>NC_000003.12:149955574-151205574 GCF_000001405.40 Homo sapiens
TACAGGGCAATTAAAAAGAATTCAGTACTAAGAAAAAAAAGCTGCTATTGTTTTCTTCACTGGCAGAAGCAGCGAGTAAGTGGCAACTCATGACTCTAATGATGCATCATCCCTAGGCAGATTATTTATAATGCATATGTAAAGTCAGTATCACTAGTGAAATCTATATGTATTTAACCCTGAATCTTCAATCTCTTTTATCTTTTACTTTGAGGAAACCTATTCTTGGTTTACTTGATACCCGAACTAGTTTGGTATAGAACTGAACAATTAACTTCTACATCAATTTGTCTGCACTGTGACTATTTTAACTAGCTCAGTTTCAAGCCTTGTTTAAAAATGGTAATTCCTCTTTCTAAATTTAATTTTATGTCCAAATGTTTTTGTTACAGCCTGGCCAAATTCAGGTCCCCATCTAACTTACTATCATATTTATTCAAAGACTGAAAGAAGGCCACAAGGATGAAGCATGAATGAAGGGTGGATTGGTATGAGATGAGACAGGATGTGGGGGTAGAGGGATCAAATCATATATAGCTATATGAAGGCCATCATAAGGAGGTCAAATTTTATTCTCAGGGAAGCCATTTAAATTAGAATGGCATGATGTGATATTTCATTTTTAAAAGATCACTCTAGGTGCTAAAAACTACATGGGGCAGGACTAGATGGGAGACCAGAGAGGAGGCTCTTAGCATAATCTAGAAGATTAGACCAGAGTAATCAAGGTGATGGAGAGAAGGGGAAAGATTCAGGACATGTTTTGCAGATAAAAGGTTCCAGGATCTGGTGACAGATGGTATGAAGGCTCTAAGCAAAAGAAGCATCAAAGATAGGCCTAGGCCTGATATTTAGTTCATGCCACTGCCTTGGCTACCTAGGTCTTTGTGTGAGTCTTGTTATGAAGGGCCAATACTTTTCTGTATCTGATGAGCCAAAGTTTTGGGCTTGAAATGGGGAAAAATCATGGATGAACAAGTTTAAAGAGGAGACAATCTAAGTTCTGTCCAGCTACATGTTTTAACATTCCCAGATTGATGAGATTTACTTTAAAAGTACCTTCATGAAATTTTTCTGAAACTTTATTCTACAGCAGTTCCAAAAACATTCCAGACAAAAGTGTGTCTTATTGTTTCATATAACAGACATGAATCTGATTTCTTCCACAACTTCTGACATCTTATCCACTAGTGAATTAGCAAAGTTTTGTTAGCCTGCAGGGGTTTCTATGAGGGTTTCTCACCCTCAGCACTACTGACATTTAGATGGGGTACTTTGGTTTAGGGGGCTGTTCAGTACATTATGGGATGTTTAGCACCATCTCTGGTCCACAAGATGCCAGCCGCAACTCTCAGTTATGAAAACCAAAACTGTTTCCAGATATCACCAAATGTCCTTTGGGAGCAAAATCATCCCCAGTTTAGAACCCAACTCATGGTGCTAATAGTAACAAAACTAACACTTATAAAGCACTTGTTATAGCCCTTTTATAATACTACCAGAGCCAGTAGGTAATGTTTAAAATCTTATAAATCATAAAAATAGATAAATGCCTTTAATTTCTATTTTAAATGTAATTGTAAATCCACTCAACAATTGATGTTGGACCACAGCCTTTTGAGTATGAATCCACTGGCTGGATTTCCAAATTGCCATGGTACATGAAGCATTTTCTACCATTTTTAGTTTCAAGTATTTTAGTGGGGGAAAAACTGGATTCTGCTTTCATCCTTGCTTTCTACATTTGTCCAGTCTTTTAGTTTTTTTACCCATACCCAATTTAACCACTTTTTGACTGGGGATGGGTTGAGGGGAGCAACTAGCTTTTTTTTTAAAGTATTTCTAATGCATTCAACCTAGCTTTCAAATAAAACCAGAAGTCTTTTACACTCACAGTTTATGGACTGCTGAATATTTAACTAAATTACATAATTACCCTAAGTAAAACAAACAGGTTCAATGACCACTGCCACTAGCCTTTTGTAAGCATGCAGCTGATCATCTGTTGGGACAAAAGCATAAGGTTGGTTAGAGAATAGCCTCCTAGCCAGTCTTCTACCATGTGATAAGTAAGTATGCCTATCGGCTAGTTTTACTAGGTAAAAATTGGTTAAGAGGTATTGTATGTGCGAAACACCATGTAAATTACTCTACTTGCATTATCTCTTTTAATCTTCACAACAACCCTAATACATAATTATGTTAATGTTTGTGTTTTGCCTTTGAGAAAACAAACATAAAGATAAGTGTTTTACATAAAGTTACATAGCTAATAAAAGGACCAGGATGGGAACCTCAGGCATTCTAATATGTGCTTTACCATTTCATCACAAGTCCAAGGCCATAAAGGTTAATTTGCTACAGAGCACTAAGCTCCAGTTTGGTCCATGATCACAAACTGTACCTTGGAATCTTGACCTGTCATCTTCAAACTAAGTGCTACGGCAATAAAATATGGGATATTAATATAAATCTACTACTTGGAACAATTCAAAGGATTGATAAGAAAGCTCAGTGATTCCAAATCATCAAGTCTATACATTTAAAGATAACCCAAATATACCTGTATTAGTTTCCTATTTATTTGATAACAAATCAACAAAAGCTTAATGCCCTAAAACAACAAAAATATATTATCTATAGGTTAGAAGTTTGACACAGGTCTCACAGGGCCAAAACCAAGGTGTCAGCAGGACTGTGTTCCTTTCTGGAGGTTCCAGGGAAGAATCCATTTCCTTACCTTTTCTGGCTTCTGGAGGGCACTCAATTCCTTGACTTGTGACCCTTCTTCCCCCTATCTTCAAAGCCAGTAGTTGCATCTCCCTGACCATTCATCTGTAGCCACATCGCCCCGACTCTGAATTTTCCTGCTTCCTTCTTCCACTTTTCAAAACCCTTGTGATCACATTGAGCTCACATGGATAATACAGGCTGATCTCCCTACCTCAATAAAATGAGCCTTAGAGCCTTGGCACAGCTTTGAGCCACAGTCAGTTCCTGTTCAGCTACATTAACTGTTTTGTTTTTAGTAGGCGTTTTCAAAAGGTGATGTGACTCAAAGGTTGATTTGTATGAGAAATCAGTCATGATTGAATTGCATAACTATCTGTCCTCAAAGTCCATGTAAATAGATCTATGTAATTATAATTAAAAACAATAATTGCAGATATATCAGAGGTCCTTTAGTCTTCTAATAGTTGAGTCTAATAAGTCTCACCAAATTCCACACACAAGATTCTAACACATGTACATATGCATTTGTTACAGAATGTAATTTAGATACTATAGTAACCAAATTCAAGGTAATGGACAAAACTTAGTAATTTTCATTAAAGCTTTCTATTTCGGGCTTCTCCTGAATGTGTGTTTTAAATGACTAGGACATTAAAGGGATTGTTTCAGAAGAACTATCAGCACCTTTTTTATGTGTCATGTTCATCCAGACTATCCATCCAGATAATTGCTTTATTTCTGATATGTCTTCCAAGGTTGTTACCCCGTGTGGGATAGGCAATGAATTTAACTGTCTTTTGTCCCTAAAAGTTTTATAAGTTTTTATCTAACATATTCATGTAGTGGAAAAAAACTCACAAAAGTGCTTTCAAGCATTCACAGTGGTGTCTAAGCCACTATTAATTGAAAAAGCTGCTGTATTTAAAAAAACTGCTAGTTCCTGTGAACCAAGATCATGCCACTGCACTCCAGCCTGGGCCAAAAGTGCGAGACTCCGTCTCCAA
This sequence comes from Homo sapiens, assembly GCF_000001405.40. Lineage (NCBI taxonomy): Eukaryota > Metazoa > Chordata > Mammalia > Primates > Hominidae > Homo > Homo sapiens. Next base: position 149,959,312 of record NC_000003.12, read on the forward strand.
AAACAAACAAACAAACAAACAAACAAAAACTGCTAGTTCCTTTAAAAACTTAAAAAACACTGGAACTCCAAAAAGAGCTATGAATTAATAAATTTCTATGATTATAAAACTGATAAATTCCACAGTAAGACAATTAAAGTGGCAATATTAATAGTATACCCTTTATTGAATACCTATGTGCCTGGCCCTTTGCTCATTTCATCCTTATAACCTGCAAGGTAAGTTAATCTTTTTACTGATAAAGAACTGGATGGCAAAGGCTAAGCAACTTGCCAAGCACCACAGAATTTGGTAAATGCTAGAGATTTGAAGTCCAGTGTGACTCATTTCAATTCTGTTTTTATTTGCTAATATAGTTAAACATTTGAGTATATTCTCATGTTTCCATTTTTATTTAAAAAATGACTCAGTTTGAACATTTTAGTAGTGAAATTTTATCTGGCATTAAATATTTCAAAACTAGCATTTGGTTAGGTAGAACACTGATGTAATTATGAGTCTTACTAAAATATTTTGCAAAGATAATCAAGGTAAACAAATTTGTCATCAATTTTTAACTAGTTTAGGTAAAATGTTAATTACTTAAATTGAAACTTCAGGTCCTAGGACTTAGATAAGCAGATCCTTGAGTCCGATGCAAAAGGCATCATTCAAAGATAAATACATCAAAAGGCAGTAACTGAGGACTAACTTGAAAAGTTTGAAAGGTGAAAAAATAGTTCTCTACATATTTTCTGTTTTCAGGAGATGAGTATGATGTATGTGCCATTTGTTTGGATGAGTATGAAGATGGAGACAAACTCAGAATCCTTCCCTGTTCCCATGGTATGAGTAATTACGTACTGCTTTGAATTTACATATAGTAATTTATATTTAGGTTCCATATTCCAGGGGAAGAGATGGAAAATAGTTATTAGCACACCAGAAGCCAGGCCCTGTACTAATTAGTGGTCTCATTCAAGGATGGAGGTGTATTTATAAAAATTTATAAACTTTCAGGCCGGGCATGGTGGCTCACGCCTGTAATCCCAGCACTTTGGGAGGCCGAGGCAGGCAGATCATGAGGTCAGGAGATCGAGACCATCCTGGCTTACACAGTGAAACCCCGTCTCTACTAAAAATACAAAAAATTAGCTGGGTGTGGTGGCGGGCGCCTGTAGTCCCCAGCTACTAGGGAGGCTGAGGCAGGACAATGGCGTGAACCCAGGAGGCAGAGGTTACAGTGAGCTGAGATTGTGCCACTGCACTCCAGCCTGGGTGACAGAGCAAGACTCCATCTCAAAAAAAAATAAAAATAAAAATAAAAAATAAACTTTCTTCCCGTCCCTACATGATACATACAGAACACTGAATAAATATGGCAAGAGATTAAATATAAAAGTATCAACCGCAGCATACTAACTAAAGATGTATATTTTGCTTCAACAGCTTATCACTGCAAGTGTGTAGACCCTTGGCTAACTAAAACCAAAAAAACCTGTCCAGTGTGCAAGCAAAAAGTTGTTCCTTCTCAAGGCGATTCAGACTCTGACACAGACAGTAGTCAAGAAGAAAATGAAGTGACAGAACATACCCCTTTACTGAGACCTTTAGCTTCTGTCAGTGCCCAGTCATTTGGGGCTTTATCGGAATCCCGCTCACATCAGAACATGACAGAATCTTCAGACTATGAGGAAGACGACAATGAAGATACTGACAGTAGTGATGCAGAAAATGAAATTAATGAACATGATGTCGTGGTCCAGTTGCAGCCTAATGGTGAACGGGATTACAACATAGCAAATACTGTTTGACTTTCAGAAGATGATTGGTTTATTTCCCTTTAAAATGATTAGGTATATACTGTAATTTGATTTTTTGCTCCCTTCAAAGATTTCTGTAGAAATAACTTATTTTTTAGTATTCTACAGTTTAATCAAATTACTGAAACAGGACTTTTGATCTGGTATTTATCTGCCAAGAATATACTTCATTCACTAATAATAGACTGGTGCTGTAACTCAAGCATCAATTCAGCTCTTCTTTTGGAATGAAAGTATAGCCAAAACATAAAAAAAAAAAAATCCTCAGTATAGCTTGCAATTAAGACCTAGATCACAGTATTTAAGTGTTTTGCGTTTTATACATGAGGTCAGTGCTACAGCCACCTAGCATGAACTAACCCAGCTTCCACCTCCATAAAGTTACCTAGAGTTGTTGAGTTGGAATATGTTCTGGCATTTACCTGACCTGCCAATCATTAGGGAGAGGCAACAAGGTAATTCAGCCTTTCCTCCTATCAGCACAAAGAAACTCAAAGCTGTTTTTTCCCTTTCTGTTCCAAAGCAGTCTTATCCTGACAGGAGCGGTCTATACTAGTGCAGATTTCAACACTTTTTTTTAACGTTTTAATTACTATAGTGTTATGTAGAGATTTGATTGAGCAGCTAATGTTTCTGAACTTTACTTACTAATTTTCAGTGTCCTTAAGGGTTCTGTAGTGTTATCAAAGCAAAAAGAAAATGCTGCATAAAAATACCAAACTTCAGCAACTGTTAATACTCAGATCATATACCTCTTAATAAATAGCATCTTATGCTAATTAGCCCTGCTAAACTATGTACAGAGGAAACTGTTCAAGTATTGGATTTGAAAGTAAGTGACTTATGTTTAACAGAACTAATGATGTATTGAAACACTGTATTATGAAAAGCTAAATTATACATCATTGTAACTATGTAGAAAGTGTAGACTAATGTATAATCAAAATGCTAAGGATTTTTATATGGCCTTGTATGAGGGGAGTTTGAATGTTAATAAACATGTTTTCCACTTTAAGATCCAGTAAATGTCTGTTCTACTGTAGTATTACTTACCATATTAGCCTTATTTATATATATCCTATAAAGTGATAATGATTGAGGTCAGAGAAATCACATCACCTTAGGACTTTATACAAGGTAACTGACCATTCACATGCAGTTAGGTAATATCCCAAAAAGTTTAGACTGCTGCCAAAATTATTCCAAAAATAAACAGTGTACATTTTGGTACCCTGTTGTAAATTATGGTATATCGAGGGAAAATTTCACTTTCCAAATTGCCTTTTAAAAAATAATGTTCATAATCAGGAAAAAAATAAATAGGTATTTCTACTTTGGAAAATAAACGGTTGAATTCAACATCAGCTATCTGATACCTCATCCCTCTTCCCCTTTTTTATAAAAAATTAAAGAACCACAGGCCTGAGAAACAGGACATCAAAGGTTACCACGGTAGTTAAGCAGAGTTTGGAATTTGACATAATTGTATGGCCCTAACCTTTTTAAACCTGCTTGGTCATTTGCATAATTTTCATTTAACCTAAGAGGGTGTGAGGAGAAAACATTGAGCTCAGTATCTGGCACATCAATGCGCAATAAGTAATAGCCTTCAAAATAATTATTATTAAATAAAAACAAACCTAAAACAATATTTTAAAATAGGAAAAGGGAAAAAAGTAAAAAGTCACGGTAATGGTTAAGTATGTATTAGATGTTATATTCCCTCAGTCTTTAATCCAAAGTTTAGAATAAGGACCTGGTCCCTTTATGTTAGGAGTTTTATGGAAAAAAAAATTTTTTTTTGAAATTCCAAATAATTACTAACTAACTGTAAAAAAAAATCTACGAAGTGTCTTATTTAGCAGCACTGGCTAGGGCTGTTACTAGGTTCTGTGAATGTTCACTTGAAATGTTCTATAATTTCATGGTATAGCTTTTCAAACAGGACAGTAGGTGCAATTAAAATCCAATTTCTATTTAAAAAACATTTAAAACTTTCTTGATTACAAAAGTAATATTAACACTAGAAATCAAAATATAGTCACCTGGAAACTTTCACTCCAGAGATAAATTTATCTTAATATATTGCCTTCAGAAATACATATGTAAAATACATGTATATTAATACTGTATGTATGTGCACTGTCATGTGACATGTTTATATCCTTATATTATTAACATTCATTGGTAAACATTCTTATGTCATTCTTCAATGACTATTTTGTCCTATGGACTTAAAATCATTTATTCAAACCATACCCCTTAAAAAGCTGAACTTTGTAGATATTTTCCAAGTTTGGATGTCATAAGTAATGCAGCATGATGGACATTCTGGTATACAAATTTGTATAGCTTCATTTCCATATGCTAAATTCCTAGAACTAAGTACAAAGCAAAGTACGCATGTATGTATTTCCCTAAGTATTTTTCTAATGAAATTGTGGGTAGAAAGCCAATGAATAGTTTCATTATATACTATTTTAGTGATACACTCACCCTTTACCACCTTCTCTACCCACAACCTCCTCTCTGAACACACACATACACACTGCCCCTTCACCTACTTACAGATTAATTAAGAGTTTCAGAATTTTGGTCACTGCCTTCTATAATTGGTTACCCTAATAGTTCTTTACATGTAAAGTGTGAATGTGTATTATTGTAAAATCTCAAATCATCACAACTCAACCACCAAATTTTCATTTGCCCCGTCTTTTGGCCTTAACAGGTCAAGAAACTGATACCAGGTTTTTATTATAGTTTTACAATTTCTAGGTTATGTCCAACTACCAAAATAGCCCCAAATCCTTTATCTCCCATATTTGTACATCCCTGTGTATGTACAACCATATTCACAACCAGTGCCTGACAACTAGTCAAAGAAAAAAAAACTTTCATTATGCATAGTATATTTTAAGACAGGTTAATTCCTATTCCCTAACCCATTTTTTCTCAAAAGGTAGCATATACACCACTTAAAATGAATCAGACTGACTCAGTGATTGTTTCTGAAAAGGGATTCCTGGGCTTATGGACTCTCCATCTCCAGAGTGGAACCCCAGAGTCCATAGTCTGCCTTATAACCAGCTCCCCAGTTTTACTGAGACCTACTAACTTTTGAGCACCCCTGGCTCTAAGCGTCCGCTTGACAGTTGTTGGTAATAATGATTTATGTAAATAGCCCTAAATTTACATATTTATCAAACTTCAATATATATCAGGGATTTTATGGCCTCTGGATTTAAACCTATTACACAGCCATGGTCAACATGTCACTACAAAGCCAAAAAATGCAAAAGCATCCCAATTATCTTATATGCTGCCTAAGGAATGTCTTCTGCTCTTATGTGGGAGGGCCCCAGCTGGCTGACTTCAGCCTGCCAACACAGCTTCCAAATCTAAAGTCATATGACATTTCAATACAGAAAAATCCACAATAGTGCAGAAACCCTTCTTGGTACTCCCTTTACTATTAGATTTCACATCTAGAAACCAGCAAGAAGAGGAAAATACTTATTTTCTAGCAGATAAGTCAGTTGCTTCTCACATACTCCTGAAGATGAGCCTGAAATGACTAAAAGCTATGTGTAACAGATCAGAGTCCATTAAAAAGAAATTCCCAGGCACTAATTTTATCTGTAATATTACTTGAAGTAGGCCATCACCTAATATTGCTGAAGTTTTATGCTTGCAGCAGACTTTGGCCTATTCTGTGTATTCCCACTTTGTCAAAAATCAACTTTTAACAGTTTATATAAACAATGTATATAAACAACAGGAGCCTAGAGTATTTGGTTGGAATAAATTTATTTCATCTGTCTGTAAACAAGGTGTTTAATAGTTATGGCATTTTTTTAAATGCATATTAAATCAGATGAGTTAGACTGTATCCCAGATGTAACAAAGTGCAGGGAAAGAAATGGACAAATCAGCAACAAGATTTGTTTTTAAATCTGTACATTATCCACAAGGCCCAAACAATAGAAGCAAATACTAGAATGTCCCTAAAGTAGTGCCATTCGAAAGAAACCCTTAATAGGTCAGTTAAAATCCATCTCACAATAGCAACAGTTCATTTTAACAATAGTATGGCACAGAATACATATGAAAAAAATTCATCACAAGACAGCCAAGTCCACAATAATGCAACTTCATATAAAAACTCAAGCTGCAAATAAAAATTGGTCCTATGAAGAACAAACTGGACACACTCCAGATGGTTATGTTGGGATACCTAATGTCCATAATGGCAGCCTTTTACAATTTTACTAAAGAGTAGAGCTGGTGTGCAAAGAAAAAGGAAGAAAAATCTGAGCTATTGCAATGATGGAATGTCCCTGGGGATTCAATCAGTATGGTTACTGTAAGGTCATGGGAGGAAGTGCTTTTTGCTCTTGTTTTGCCATTGCACTCTTCATATGTCCTGTAGACACTATGAATAAAGGTTTGTCTCTGCTCAAGTGCAACAACAATACTAAAAGCAAACTACTGCAGCTCTCAATAGCTCATCAACAAAAGGGATTTTAATTGGTTAAAAAAAAACAGGCACTGCATAAAAAAAGATGGAAGCAAACCAAATGCCTATGTGCGAAGGGAGGGGGGGCGGGAAAAAGAGAAGAGTGAAGGAATGATGCATGCACTTTTTCCTCCCAACCATGCGCTACAAAAGGAAGACTAAATGAGCCAAGTAAATGCTCAAAGTGCTGAAAAGACACTGATCAGAGATTGTACAACCGGCACCTTGCTTAATATTAACTTATTTTAGTAATCAATATCCCATTAATTGCTAAGACAAAGTGATGCCCAACTTGGCATGCCCCCTCCCCCCAATTTCAAGGTATCATGCAAATCATTATTGTGCTGCAATTATGTTGCCAGATAAGGGTTGGTTACATACAGTGGTTAACATACAAATGATCCATTGGGCAAACAGGAATCATGACATTAGAAAATAGGTAAAGAAAAATTAGCTACCATCTACAGTTTGGTAGCATTGTGACCATAATTAGGGTTGTTGATGAAGACAGTTGCTAGGTAGATGGGGAGAGGCTGCTTACACATCAGACCTCCTCAGGTATAAAGCGAGTTCATATGCTTTCTTGTTAAGTGTGCCTCCGTGGACACCTTCCTTTCCCATGACTATAACCAATGCTGGAGTACACAAGGAAACAAAACAAAAGTGAACAGAATTATTTTGGGGGGGGAGGGCAGAAAGAAAGACACCTTTCCCCACCAACAGAGGGATACAAAGGAGACACAGGTTCATACCCCATCACCCTGCATTGCTAATAAAATTTCCAGAATTAAGACTTAAGCTTATAGCTAGGAAAGTTTAAGAGCAATTTTCCCCTAATACTTAACAGTCTGCCTAGCAGCTAGAACCCAGAGTCTCTCAAGTATTTTGCCATTGAGTATGCCTTCTTATTCAATCCGCCTCCATGGACCCCTTCTTTTCCCATTACAAAGACCAAGACTGAAAGAGAAAGAAGAAAAGTGTTTCAAAAGAAGTGTTAATCAAGAAAGTCACATAAGTTTTAGCAGACAGAACCCGGATTAATAAGTTAACATTAAGTTAGTTTTCCATGAACTGCCAAGCACTGAAGTCAAGTAGGTTTCCAAAAAGAACTTTCAAACTAGTAATATACTAAACAGAAAATAGTAAACTTGACTGCATCTTGGAAGCCAATCAATGCAAGCAAAAGTTCTATACAACTATCTTTACACTAGCTACAGAAAAAAAAAAAAGTGACCATTTGTCTTCTATTTTAGGGCAAAAAAATTCTGGCTGATGTCAAGTACATGTTATTACTTGCCCCCAAAATATAAACTTAATAAACCTGGGGAGTTACTTACTTACAAACTCTCCCCAAATTTTAACATGCTTGATAAGTTTAAACTATTAAGTTTTACCAGTGAGGCTAAATGTATCTATTATTTCCAGAGGAAAATGAAGATCAAATTTTAAGTAGCATACTCAGTATCATTCAGAAAAGGCCAAATTAAATTATTTAAGGTGTTTGCTTACTGATAACTTCACCGTAGTAGCCTTGTTTTTAATTGCGTCTAAAAAAATAGGTTTACGATTTCTAATTGCTCTTCTATGATGCAATTCAAAGGTGTATAACCCAAAATATATGTATATGTCAAATTTTATATTCACTACCACTAGATGTCAGTAGTGCTGTATCGTATAAAATATTCTGGTTTTTTGTCTTGTGTTTGACGCTTCTTTTCAGCGTATAGTGCAGCTAAGGTTTAAAGAGATTTGTCACTATTTCAAAGTCATCTAATTTTCTTATAAATCCTTATAAACATCAACTCACACCAGAATACGAGTAACTTTTAGGATAATCACAGGGAGCTGGTAGAGCCATAGCATTAATTATAACTCACAGCAGCTTCAACTCCCCTCACATGGTAGAGCTGTTATTAAAATTAGATGTGCCAAGTCAGCTATGTGAGGCTACAGAAGCACTCTCTATTTACAAAATATTCGTATGCGTTAACACATTAAAATGTATTTGTAAATCAATTAGATGTCATAATAAAACTCAATTTCAAAAGTTTATTTTGAAAAAGTAGGGAGACTTCTTTAGTGCAATTAAGAGTTTCTATAATGCTGACAACAGTCTGGAGACACCTGAATTTCTGGACCAAGTATACAAACTAAATGTAATTTCCTACTTTTCAAATCTAAGTCTCAGACACAATCTTTGAAAATATTTCAGTGAATGGACAACTTACTCCAAAATCCTCATCTAATTATCTTTTCCCCAGCAAAGTTCCTAACTGAAAAATGAACGGATGTTAATTTTTCCTTCTTTATGCTGAGTAGTGAAATGGTTAGAATACAAGCAAGAAAAAAAAGAAAAGAGATCCAAAGGTCAAACACACACCAAAAGGGACTAAAATAACCAAGTGATTCGAACAATTTAACAATCTGAAACACCACAGGATTATGATTTGACATGTCAAGCAGTTTAAGAGACTTTTAAGTTTAATAAAGCTGAAAGTGAGTTCATACGAATATTCTATCGTAGAAACAAAATCAGGATCTAAGAGGCCAGGTCATAGATGCTGTAGAGTAGGTAAAACTAAAGCAGTGCTTCTCCATAGTGCTGGGCAGTTCACAAAAACCACCTTAATAGCCATTATGGACTAACTTTTATTCAAAATGTTAAAAGAAACTGCTTAATAAGTTGTAATGTGGCATGCAACTTTAACCAAAAGAATGCCTTACTCACCTCTACCAGCTCTGCCGACAGCCACATTGTATGTTGGCTCCCCACCTTGACTCTTTGTCCGGATGTCCATTGTGCAGTCACCATCGACGTATAGACTATCTCTGATCACTGAGCATTTCTTCGCGCCAAGAGTCAAACCGTTGGTAAAGAAACCTTCCCGGTCTTTTCCTACAATCATATCTATTTCTATTGGCTGCCCCCCACCAAAAAGAAAAAAAAAAAACACACACACATTAAGTTGTAGTTAACTCCTTTTAGGGCTTGATGTAACAGGAAGGGCTGTAGCTAGGCTTATGCTACCACTGCCAGATAGCCACATTTCACTAATGTAAAACCAAGATTCAGTCTTTTCTAAATAATTATTTAATCCTATATAATCACATATTTTACATGAGTTGATTTGACTTCAGTTAATGATGTCGTCTCTTAACCAAGACCAGTCTATACAAAGAAACTGTAAAGAGTTGACAGTTGACACTAGACAAAGTGCAAACTTAAAGAGTTATTTATAAACTGTATTAAGTCAGCTGGTGCCTGAAAGTGTTCACGTAATGGTAAAAATTCAGCTATCAACTCTGAACAAAGCTGGTCTATCATATTCAGTCCCATTACAGTAAATCATGTTTCATCAAATTTAAAGTTGCTTCAAAGTCTCCCAAAATAAAGCCTGTTCTTTGATGTGTTCACTTCTCTGCTTAGAGTAACTAGAAATATACGTGATGAGATGGACTTCAACCCCTGGACATCAGTGCTTTTCCAAATTCATATTTCCCTCCTATTTTTCTAGCCACGACTCCCGTTTCTTTCCAACTTCCCTTCCCCTCCCATCTCAGTAATCAGTTTTCTTTCTGGGCAAACGCAAAGTGGATTCTGTCTACAGCACTGCGGTAGGCAATAGTAAAACAGAAAAAATGGAGGGAGATTGGGAAAGAAACTGAGGTAGCCACCAGAACCGGAAAGGAGAAAACGTGCATTCTAACATTCCATGAATAAGAAGGAAGGCGTCGCCCCCATCAGAACTGCAGAGTCATAGCAGGCCCCAGCCATTTCCAAGCACACTCCCGCAATCTTCCTAGTCAGACAGCGGGAACTCACACACAAAGACAAGAGGACTGCAGGAAAAAAGTTGATGACCAGATGCCAATTCCCTACAAGAATTGTAGTCCACTGCGGGTATACGAGACCTTAAAGTACTACTATCAAGGACTGAGTTCTAAAGTTAGACTTTAAACCATGTTAAGTGGTAAAAGAATAATTAGCACCCTTAATAGGGGACCTGAATTTTGGTGCTTAATGGAAAGGGAGCGTGGTGCTAAGAAATAAAGAGAATGGTCTCGTATTTAGTACAATTATCATAATTTTAGAAACAGCCTTGGGCAGAAACAGGCAAAACAATAAGCTGGAGGTTTTGTGGCAAATATTCTCCAAACATATTGCAACCAACTCAAAACCATCAAGTCTCAAGAAAATCAGGCAATGTGAAGCATAAAACTGCATTAGTTCCTTTACTGCCACCACTAAAGAGGGAGGGACTTAGAGAAGTGAAGTGTGCTCCTGGTCTTCGCAGATAATTGAAAGCCCCCGAAAAGCACCCCTTTTTTGAGCTATGTTGCATAACTGGGGATAACCGTATATCGATGAATCTCCATATGAGAAGAGAAATCAATGGCAGTTCGCCATCTTGGAGAATTTAAAAAAAAAAAAAAAACAACCTATAGAGCTAGAGCTGAAGTCGAGATTCACGAATCCACCTACGCGGTCGGCGTACATCTCTCGCAAGCCCCAGAGGCCTGGACATCGGTAAACCTACGCAAAGTCGCTTCGAGAATCCCGGGGGCCGGGCCGGGGCCGCCGCCTCCCACAGCCGGAGGCGCGGGAGGCGCGCTGTCCGCGGAGCAAGAGCCGGCCAGAGAGCCTAGGGACCTCCACCCGGGGCCCGCGCGCCCCAGCCCGGATCCCCGACCCCCGCTTCCACCCCAGAACGTGCATAGCAAACCTCAGGGCTTCAAGAGAACCTAGGGGAACCGCACTAGGAGGAAAAAAGGAACCCCTCCCCTTGCCCTGGCCGGTGCGTGCCCCCTCCCCCAACCCGGGCACCTGGACCGACGCTGGGAACGCCGGGGGCGCCCGGCCAGGGCCAGCAAGGAGTCCGGCCGCCGCCCCCAGCCTGTCAGCGCAGCCCCGGGTGAGGGGGCGTCCCCGGGCCTCGGCCTCCCCGCCCGCCCGGCAGCCGCATCCTCGGCGCCCGCTGCCTAGCACACCTGCGGGCTCGGCCCTCAGTGTTCCAGCCCCGCGCTGCGGTGCCCCCGCGGCCGGCCACCCCGCTCCGGTGCAGGGACCAGGGTACCGGCCGCCACTGGTCCTCACCGTAATGCTCTGAAAGACGCCCCCGGCCGTGGCTGCCCAGACGTATTTGGCGTCGCAGTAGCCGACAATGGCGGCCTCCTGGCAGCAGCCATCGCACATCAGGTTATCCACGTAGCTCTGCCAACCGGCCATCTTCGAGCCCTTCGCACTGCAGCGCGGACGGCGAGGAGCAGCAGGCGCAGCGGCGGCGGCGGCGGTAGCGGGCGGCGGCGGCGCGGGGGGAGGCGGGGCGGGGGCGGGGAGGAGGCGGCTCTGCGCAGGCACCGACCGCCCCCCTCCCCGAGGAGCTGCGGCGGGAGGACGCGGGTTCAGCGATGAGGGACGAACCTCAGAGCGCGCTCGGCCGCCCGGCCGCCCGCAGCCGCGGGGCTGACAAACCAGCGGCGGGAGGCTGCGAAGCGGCTGTGCCTGTGGCGGCTGCTCCTTACCGCAGCGCCCTCCGTTTTCCGCGGACACGGCTGGGCGTGCGCGCGCGCGTGCGTGCGATCCTTCCGCGGCGCCCGGGCACGGAGGGTCCCGGGAAGGGCGGGGGGAGACTGAGGCGGGGGCGCGGAGGGATACCGCCCCGGGACAATCACGGCCGCCACGTGCGGGAGGCGCCGGCCGGGAGCGGTGGCGGGCCGAGCTTCGGACCTCGGGCCGGCGGAGAGGGTGGACCCCGCGTCGCTCTCGGCACCCCAGGAACAGCGGCGGCACGGACGCCTTGGAGCCCCGCGGCCGGGCCGCGATGTGCTTTTCTCCTGTGTTCGCTGCCCGGGATGCGGAATCTTGAGCCTCGGTGTCGGGTTACAGAGTTGTCCTGGTGACGGGATGCGGAGCGTTTCCTCCTTTTTGTTGTGGGGGCGGCTGGTGGCAGGGGCAGCTGGTGGCAGGGTTGCCCACGCTAATCTCCGAGTCTCTAAGGGCACCGTCTTTCCTGGATCCCTCTTGCGCCTCGTCCATAAAGGCAGACCCGCGGGCGCGCGCCGGCAACCTGAAATCAGAGCAGGCGTCCGTGGCGCTCAGGAACCTTGCTGAGCTTCGCCGATCTTTCATTGTTGCTTCATTTGGGTACCAAGGGCCTCTCATTCTGTGGATTCTTTGCCTGGAGGAGCCCCCTTAATGTTGCTAATCACGTGTGGTTAAATTGCTCGTAAATTCCGAACAAAACAAATAGCGACCTGTGTTACACTGTTTCTTGGTAACTGGGAAAGTTACTGGTGGCTTGAAGTATACGCAGAAAATACAAAGATTAAAAACTAGGGAAGAGTTCACTGAATGAACACCGTAACATTTCTGCTCTGCAGGGTAAAATAATTTCGGGACCCAGGTCTGGGAAAGATTTGTATTAACAAGGTAAACGGTGGGTAGAGTGCCTGAGAAGCTATTCGTATCGTCTTTGGTAGCCTCTGGGCACTAGGACTAGACATGGAATTAGGGGTCCCCCAACAATGACTTCAATTTTAGGTTAATAGAAACCATCTGCCACTTAAGGGAAAGAAAGCACCAAAATGTAGATAAGTTGATGTTCACCCTTAAAGTTATCGTGTGAGGTCATGATTTGTAGGAGGATTAAGGAATGTATCTCTGGAAAGGGCAAGAACGTTGCTTTTAAAAGTCTAATTGGTTCTGAAGTTTTATATTTTTTCTGCTGATTGCTTTAAAATGTTCAGCTACTAGAGAGAAAAAAAGTACAGTAAAAGAAACCCCCAAGTCAGAGACCTATCAGACTGAGAATATGTATTTTCTCATGTTCTAAAGATACAGAATACCTGTGTGGTGTAAAATGTGAACCAAAAATTGTTTCATTTTTGTAAGTGTGCCTCCCACCTGATTTAATTACACTTAATTGTTCTTGTTTATGACTCTGCCTTTTATGGTGATGTTGATCATTTTAGTCCTTCGATCATAGCACTGTATCATCTTAAAAGTTAATAATAGATTACTTGTAACACAGGCTCACTATGTGAGAATTCATCAAGCTGTATGTACATTTATTGTGCTCTTCATTGTATGTATAATTCAATAAATTGAAACAGTAAACGAAAAGGTAATTATAGAAAAAATACAGTGATAACTTGAAGTATGTTGAATTTTTATTAATTTACTCTGAAGGTTTTAAGATATAATTTCTAGACGTTACTATCTTATTGTTATAGCACAGAGTTGGAAATAACTACATTCTTTTCCTATTCTTTTATTGTTGGCTTTAAACAGTGAAAGAATTTGACCAACAATATTTTCTAATTCAAATCTCAAAAGATTCTAAAACACATTTCTTGGGTAAAATATTCACAAAAATTTAGAATTCTTGTCATTCTTCTATATTTTTCAAAATATAATTCATTTTAAATTACTGCTTACTTTTCCAACATGATGTTATTTTTCTAGAATTGCAAACAGTAAAATTTAAACAACTATGAAAAAAATTCTGTATAATAGATTAAATTTTACAGTTTCAATTTTTAGGTTATATATTCAAAGAGAGTCCATGTGCTGTCTTGGTTTTCAGTACTGTAATAAAGTAACCTGTGCTTTTTTGTTTGTTTGTTTATTGAGATGAGACTCCGTCACCAGGGCTGGAGTGCAGTGGCATGATCTCGGCTCACTGCAACCTCCGCTTCCTGGGTTCAAGCGATTCTCCTGCCTCAGCCTCCCAAAAGTAGCTGGGATTACAGACACCCGCCACTACGCCCAGCTAATTTTTTGTATTTTTTGTAGAGACGGGGTTTCACCATGTTGGCCAGGCTGGTCTCAAACTCCTGACCTCGTTATTCGCCTGCCTCGGCCTCCCAAAGTGCTGGGATTACAGGCATGAGCCACCATGCCCGGCCACCTGTGCTTGTTTTCTTTAGAACCAGCTTCCTTGCATGCTGCTTTATTTTCCATTTGTGTACAGTGATCCCTTCCTATTTCATCTAAGTGTTGCTTATACGTTTCAGAAAGTATAAATAGAGGTGGAATACTGAGCTTTAGTAATAACAATATTGGTTCACTTAAGTCCAAAGGAGTATCAGTGTGAGAAAAAGAATTGCCAATTTGTATCTTCCTCTACTTTTCTGAGAGTAAGTAATCCCTAGGATAATTGTAATATCTGGGCAGAAGTTTAGAAAAGTTGTGGCTGTGTTGTTGATACAAATAGCCAGAATAATGTAGCCATTAACAATCAGTAGCATATTTAAGTTTGGAGTGCATTATTATGCATTCTTTCCAGAATTATTTTATTCTTATTGAGTAAAGCAGAAACTGTGTAGTAAGCCACGTTCTTTAATGTGTAAGTCAAGTGGTGTCTGAACCACTTGAGTCCATGTAAAAATCATTTGAAATTTTAGCAAAACACAAACAAGAAATTATCTTTAAAATGTACACAACCTGATAATCATTGGGAGCAGGATCTAAAACTATACACAGTAATTACCCCCAAATTTAGTAAAACCATAATTAACCATCAGTTATTTAAAAATTTCACCGCATAGTTCATTTCTGAAAAAAGTATATGAATTATAAAATCAATATCACAGCAATAAAGTTTAGAAAATGGAGAAAAATCCTTAATCCCACAAGCTAATACAAATATCTTTTGAATGTATTCACTATGTATGATTTTTACAGTAAAGAACAAGGAGAACTTATAATTCTGCATTTGGCCATTTTACCCTGAAATTCTATGAATTTTTGCTTTTTATATTTTGAGGCTATTAGGAAAATGGAAATTTAAATTGTTATATTTTTCCTTTCTGATGAATTTATTCTTTATTATTTAGTAGTTGCCCTCTTGATCACCAATACTGCTTTTTGTCTTAAAATTTTTGTCAAATATTAAGGTAACATCCCAGCTCTCTTTTTATTGGTGTTTACCTTATATATCTTTTCGCTCCCCACCTCTCTTTCAACCTTTCTCTGTCCTTTTTATTTTGTGTCTCATAAACTTCACGCAGCTGGATTTTGTTTTTTTATCCAATATGGCAGTATAACCTTTAATTGGCAAGTTTATTCCATTTACATTCATTGTAATTATTGACATACATTTGGACTTGTTTGAACTAATTTTATTAGTCTCTTTTTTTTTCTATGCTTTTTTCTTCCTTGCCTTTAAAAAAAATGTCGGGCATGTGTGTTTTATTCTTTTTTTTTTTTCAAATTTATGCTACCAATTTTTCTTAGTGTTACCCTTAAATTTTTGCCTTGCATATTTAATACAATAAAGTTTTAAGTTAAATATCTTAAACACTACCCCTAGACAATCCAAAAACCTTAGAATGTTTTAAGTCTGGACACCTCTCTCCAGACTCTTACACAGATGTTTATGTATGTGTGTATATATATGTACTTACATGTTTGTATTTTATTTACTTACTATTCCTTTTCATATCTCAGATCATTCTATGATCATTTTTCTTTCTAAAGTACATCTTTTAGAAGTTCCTTTAATAGCAGTCTGTTGGTGAGAAACTATGTTTATCTGAAAATGTATTTATATCACTTTCATCCTCTGACAATGGGTTGGATCTACAATGCAAAATGGACACTTTGAAGATGTTATTCCATTTCATTTTGGTTTTTGTCACTGCTGTTGTATCATATGGATGATTTGTCTCTTTTCCTCTGGCTACTTTGGAACCTTTTTGTGTTTGCTCTTCTACAGTTTCACTATGATGTGTCTACATTTGGGTTTCTTTTATTCTACTTAGGAAAATAGATTTATATTTATCATCACTTCTGTAAAATTCTCAATTACTATCTCTTCAATTAATTCCTTTTTCTCAGTTCTCTTTACTGTCTTAGAGTTCAGAATACATATGTTTCTGTTTCCTCTTCTGTTCTCCGTATCTCTTAACTTCTTTCATCTTTTTCATCTTACTACTCTCTGTGCTCTATTCTGGGTAATTTCCTCAGATGTGTATTCCATATCACTGTTCAACTATGTTTCATCTGTTGATAAACCCATACATTGAGACTTTTTTAATTTCTAAAAGTCTATTTTTCATTTTAGAAGTTCCATTTTATTGTTATGCGTATCTTCCCAGTTATTCCTGATACTCTTGTATTCCTTCCCGATCTTTGTGGTTCCATACTTCATTTCTTTAAATGTTTCTTACCTACTTATTTTGTACTCTGTATCTGTATCTCAGTAGTCAGTATTAAACGAGGCTTTTAAAATCTTTTGTTTTTGCCCAATGAAACCATTCCAATATATAAACAAGTTGTATGTTGTTTTTCATCTACCTCACCCATAGTGGCTTGCCTCCTTGTATGCTTGGTGATCTTAAAGATTGTGAATGATATTTCATTGATCTTAATATGTAGGAAATTTAATGGCCTAAAGTGTGGAGACTTTTCTTCAAAAACAGTTTGTATCTGCTTCTACTATATGTCCAGGGTGCTAAGCAACCTGGGGGCACTTTAACCCTTTCTCTGGTGCCCCCTAAAGGCAGGAGTATCTGATTCAGCTCCTCACATAGTTGCCATTTGCATCTGCACTCAGACTAGCCCCATTTTTCCTGGTTACATACAGACTTCAGCTCTGCTTTCTGCTCAAGATTTGTTTCCCTTTATTTGGCAGGAAAAGGGTATTTTGAAGATTTCTCTAATAATTTCTGTATGAGGATTTCAGTTTCTCCACATATGCACCAACAGTTGATATTGTGTGTCTTTTTAATTTTAAACATTTTGCTAGTTGTATTATGGTATTTAATTATGGCTTTAATTTGCATATTTCCAATGACAAAGGTGAGCATCTTTTTCTTGTTGTTAGTCATTTAGATACTTTTTTGTGAAGTGCTTGTGCAAATCTTTTGCTACATATTTTTCATTGTTAATGACTGTGCAGTAGTCCATCAAGTGGCTGTATCATAAGTTATCATTTCTTATTGAAATATCAGGTAAGTTGAGAAAAAATAACCAAAAAAAAACTTCTTTATGATCTGTGTGGTGGTGAACTTTGAATTGTGTGGAAATGGATGAAATACATTCTTTTAAATGTCTGATGGCAAGATTTAAAATATGAAGTGTGGCACTTAATTCAGTTAATCAAATGTGATAGACATTGCTGGTTTGCCTATCCAGTATGTACTCTTCTTCCTTGCTAACAGAATCTTGAATTTGCTTGAGATAATAGTAAATAATTTAAAATACCTCCATAAATGCCCTTCCAGCTAGGGTGGTCATCTAGTCCATTGGCCAATAAACTAGATCAAAAGCTACTTCATGGAAAGCTATTTTTTCCTTGATACCTATATCTTTCTGTAAAGGACTGCTCAGCTGGCATAAGCTTTCTACTTTTAACCTGTCTTTTCTCTTGTCCAGATTGTGATTCAGTGTCAAAGTGGGGCAGTCATTCGTAAGTGCTGAGCATTGTGGAGCAGGAGGGGAAAGGGGCCTGTTCTCTCAAGGACCTTCACTATCCATTCATTTCCTACCCCCAGACTCTTGTTAGATTGGGTAAATAAACTCCTTACTTGGTTAAAGTACTGTAATCAGCCTGTGTTAAGTGCAACCAGACCCTGCTCTAACCAGAATATCCATTTTGCTATCCCACTTCAGGTCTCTAAGCATTCTAGTTTATCCAGTTTTGCTTTTCCATAATGAGTTAAGCTCTTGAGGAAATGCTTTACATCTATTGCATCCCTATTGTAATAATGACTGAATTAGCCATATCATAGAAAATTGCTCTACTGTTTGTTTTTTTTTTTTTGGCAATAATACATTAAATAGTGCCCTAGAGGCTTCAACGATTTCGTGTACCTCCCTAAATATCACATTAGCTGACAGAAAATTCCTTATGAGTTATGACTCATTTTTTCTGATTTGATGCAGAAAAGAGAATTCTGGAAGCACATGTAGAGCATTTCATTCCAAGTTATATGTGAACTTGAGAGATGTTTTTTGTAGAATTCCAAGGGTAAAGGCACAAAGCCTACAAAAACATTGGCCATCTTGTTATCTGATATGAGAGAAATGCAGGCAATCCATCAAAACACCCCCCAAAGAGATTACATGTCTAATTTTTCTTCATCTCAGTCCCAGAGGACAAATAATAAAATTTAATTAAGTAGCTGTTTCCCCCAAAAAAGTATTAAATGAGGCTTTTAAAATCTTTTATTTTTACCCAATGAAACTCAGATATCACTTCTGGGAAAAATTCTTTCTGGGTTCACAAACATACTGACAGAGAACTAAAAGGAAAGTGTAAATTGAGCAATGGCTGTGTTCCATTTACAAGCATTTTAAAAGTGAATGTCAAATATATAGATGTCTAAATCATTTGATTTTCAAAGAATGTAAACTTCACCACCACCAGCTACAGCACCCGCATTCTTATTGAGAAATTTATATTAGGTAGCTAATTATGCACATAATAAGACTGTCAAAGATCATGTTGACACCTTATCCCACTTTACCATTTCAGGCTGATCCAAACTCATAATATGAATAGATGGACATTGACCAAAGAGACCAGCAGCAGAACAAAAGCATAAACAAACATGAGAGTAGGCTAATTTTACCAACCTGAGGTCAAAAGTAAGTATTTTTAGAAGTAAGTGAGTAACTAGATGAAGTAGATGATGAAGGTGGTATGCAGGACTGTTAATAACTGAAATTCCAAATAGAATCCAGGGAGGTTAAAGTGAAACACTTTCAATACGATGCCTTTATGTTGTAGAGGTTAGACTCACTTGATGACTTACATGGCTTGTTTTCAAGACCTCTTGAACAAAATATTTAATTGGAACAATTTATTTGCTATCAGTTCTTTTAGTGGATAGTAGATATTCCTGGTAATATTTACATTTTTCAAGTCATATAACAAGTATTGAGCTCTTGCTCTTGTTACATATAACAAGTATTGTAGCTCTTGTTACAGGTAACAAGTGTTGCAGCTCTTGCTACCGCTGTACTTGTTGGTATGTATTAAGGATAACATTTGTTAAAAAGGCCCTTGCCCTCTGATTTAAAGTCAGGCAGGAAAGTAATGCATGCAAAGCACGTGAGCAATGTGGTCTGGCTGTAGAGTATGTGAGAGGCAAACAAGGATATGAACTAATTATATTACCATTAGATCACAAAATCAGGTGGTAAACACTCTAGAAGGGCAGAGATGGTGAAAATTAATGGAGGCTGGAGTTATAAGAAACTAATAAAACAATGTTTCATAGAAAAGACCCAAGTACTGTTAGACCTTAAGGAATGGGTAGAACTGAAGTTTGGTTTTCAAAATCATAGAGACAGCATAAGCCACTGATTCCCCCTTCCACTAGAAAAAGCAGCCCACAGAATGAGAGAAGATATTTGCAACACATACATCTGACAAAGTACTTCATATGGTTTGGCTCTGTGTCCCCACCCAAATCTCATGTTGAATTGTAATCCTCACATGTCAGGGGCAGGGCCTTGTGGAAGATGACTGAATCATGGGGTGGACTCCCTGCCTTGCTTTTCTTGTGATAGAGTTCTCATGAGATCTGGTCGTTTGAAAGCATGTACCACTTCCCTCTTCGCTCACTCTCTCCCTCCCGCTCCACCATGTGAAGATTGTGCCTGCTTCTCCTTCACCTTCTGCCATGATTGTAAATTTCCTGAGGCCTCCCCAGCCATGCCTCCTGTACAGAGACTGTGGAACTGTGAGTCAATTAAACCTCTTTTCTTTATGAACTACTGAGTGTCAGGTAGTTCTTTATAGCAGTGTGAGAACAGACTAATATAGTACTCGTTCAAAATATGTAAGTAAACTATAGGACAACAGAAAAAGGGTGACAATTTGTAAGAAAAGTGGGCAAAGGCTTGAATGGAAAATCTGCAAAAGAGATTACAGGCCAATAACCACAGGAGAAGATGTTCAACTGCATTATTCACCAGGAAAAAGAAAATTATCTTTTGCACCATCTTATACCCATTAGGATGGCTATTATAATAAAAAAAAAACAGAAAATACTAAGTGTTGGTAAGGATGTGGAGAAACTGGAATCCCTGTGCACTCTTGGTGGGAACGTAAAATGGTACAACCAATATAGAAAATAGTAAGGTGGTTCCTCAAAAAATTAAAAATATGATTGCCATATGATCCAGAAGTTTCATTTCTGGGTATAAAAACAAAAGAAGTGAAAGTAATAACTCAAACAGATGTGGCACACCCATGTTCATAGCAGCATTATTTCCAATAGCCAAAAGGTAGAAGTAACCCAAGTGTCCATGACAGATGGATAAACAAGTGGTGGTATATACATACAATGGAATGTTATTTAGCCTTAAAAAGGAAGAAAATTCTGACACATGCT
Source organism: Homo sapiens (assembly GCF_000001405.40). NCBI lineage: Eukaryota > Metazoa > Chordata > Mammalia > Primates > Hominidae > Homo > Homo sapiens. The sequence continues at coordinate 149,979,979 of NC_000003.12, forward strand.
AAGACACGGATAAATCTTGAGGACATTATGCTTAGTGAAATAAGTCAGTCGCTAAATGACAAATATTGTATGATTCCACTTATATGAGATACTTAGATCAGTTAAAATCATAGAGATAGTAAATAGAATGGAGTACCAGGCCTGGAGGGAGGAGGAAATGAATTATTGTTTAATGGGTACAGAGTTTCAGTTTAAGAAGATGAAAAGAGTTCTATATGTGGACGATGGTAATGGTAGCACAATAATGTGAATAGAATTTATTCTACTGATCTGTACACTTTAAAATTGGTAAGATAGTAAGTTTTGTTATGTGTATTTTACCACAATTGAAGTTTAACCACAATGCAATATCACTATTTGCCTATTAGAATGGCAAAAATGAAAAAGAGAGAAAATACCATGTGTTACCAATCAGAACAACACATACACTGACTGCTATTAGAAGCGTAAAATAGTACAATAATTTTGGATGATGCTTGCAGTGTCTACTATAACTGAACATACACAAACCTAAGACTTCACAGTTCCACTCCTAGATATATATCCAAGTAAAAATGCTTCCATGTCTTCCCTAAAAGACTGCAAGAATGTTCACAGCACAATTCATAGTAACTCCAAACTGGAAACACCCAAATGCCTATCAAAAATAGGATGGATAATAAATGTTATATTCATGCAATGGAATATTATACAGCAGTGAGAATAAACATAATGGTAACTATTTTCAACATATGAATGAAACTCACAAACATACAGTTAAAAAATGCCAGATAAAGTGTATCCTTTGGGTAGATTATTTGAAGGGTGCCCTGGAGTAGTGTTATAGTACTGTTTCTTGATCTCAGGGCTATTTATATGGATGTGTTAACTCTGTGGAAATTCATCAAGCTATATACCTATAACTGGTGCAATTTTCTGTATTTTTGTGATAATTAAAATGAGAAATTTTGAAATCCCAACAGTTATGTGTGTGTGCATGTGTGTGTGTCTGTATGAGAGATAGTGAGTGAGAGAGACAGAGAGAGAAAAAATTGGCAAACTGTTAATAAAATTCATACATAAATGCAAAGGACCAAGAATAACCAAGAAAATGTTTCTTGAAGAACAACAGAATTGGAGGACATTCACTATTGGCTATCAAGTCTACAGTATATGTAATATTGGCACAAGGATAAACATACAGGTCAGTAGGCCAGAATAGAGACTCCAGAAATAGATCTATGTATGGTCAATCACTTTTTCAAATAGATGTCAAGGTAATGGGAGAAGATAATTTTTTCAAAAAATAGTGCTGGAATAACTGGACATCTGTGCAAAAAAATGAACCTCTACCCTTACATCTCACTCTCTGCAAAAAATGAAAGGGGATCCTAACCTAAATTTAAGAGCTAAAATTATAATATTTCTAGAAGAAAATGAAGAAGTCTTTGTGACCTTGAATTAGGCAAAGAATTCTTAATTAGGACACAGAAAAGCATGAATCACAAAAGAAAAAAATGATAAATTGGACCTTATCAAAAAGTTTTTAATTTCTTTCTTTATACTACAAACTCATACACTGATAATGGGAATGTAAAATATGGTACAGCCTTTTGGAAAACAACTTGGCAGTTTCTTAAAATTTTAAACACAAACCCACCATATGACTGAGCTATTGTACTCTTAAGTATTTATCATGGAACTTTTTTTTTTTTTTTTTTAAGATTCTGAAAACCCTGTCACCTGCTTTATTTCTGGAGAAGGGTAAAGGGAGAAGGGAAAATATTCACTTGAATTTGAGGGGCAGCTAAACTGGAAGCAACAATTTCAGGCCTCTAAGGTTCCTCTGATCCATAAGGGAATGCTGAAACTTCCTTGTTTGGAGATTCAAAGAGTTTAATTTTTCCCTACAGCAAGATCAACAATTTTCACTGGGATAAAAGAATAAAGAACAAACTCAATAGCACCAAATGGGGTTTTAACACAGAAAACAGGGCCACTCCTTTTGAATGCAAATTTTTACATTAAAATATGTTTATAAATCATAGTAGTTGTTTTCCCTCTTGATTCAACATTTCTCCCTCCCCTAACAGGAGCCCTAGAACCTGAAGAGCATGTACATTACTAACGAGATATACAATCCAGCCACCCTGTCCAAACTGGAATCTGATTACTAATGGACTACACTCGAGGCTGCCCCCAAGGGATGGGAAGCAGTAACTACGCTCTCAGGGAGAATGGGTACTGAGGATGCCACCAGTCAAAGAGCCGAACGCTGTGCACTGGGTCCAGGATGACTTGCACACCCTGTTCACTGCGCAGTTTCCGACCACCATGGACAGGGGAATCTTGGAACACCAGTCTCACTCGATGATGCCGCATGTCCGTGCTCACATTGATAGTAAACAGAGTAAATATCATTCCCATGACAATCGGAATAAAGATGAAATTGAGGGTGGTGACCTGCAGTAGGCAGCAGTCCTGGTCTGGATTGGTATGAACATCTTCGTACTGAACGGGAGGCTGCAATCCTCCTGTACACTTGCTCTTTAACCTAGGGGACTGTTTTTTGAACTTGAAGTTGAATTCCCACATTGGTTCCTGTCTGTTCCCAACAATCTTTCTGCACCAGAAAAGTAAGCATTTGGAATTCTTTAATGTGCTGGGGGTGCTTTCTGGAATGGCTGGATTCTTGGAGATTCGAGCAGCAAATGGCTCATACATATGGTACAGAGATCGGATCACACAAGCCCGGAGACAGTGCAGCTTCTCCATTGACTCTGGTCGCAGACGCAAAGGCAGGGAAGCATCCAGCGTGTAGTGCCTTCGGTACAACCTGGTCCAAAAGGCAGCAGTGCAAGTGACAGTCCAGGCATTCTTACAAATCAGGGAAAAATTCACAATGTCCTCAGGACGGATATAGGAGGCCAGCAATAGCCAAATATCCATGGGATACTCTTCTCCTCCAGCCCCGTCCAGTTCTTCTTTGTGTCTCTTGCTTTTCTTTTTTCTGGAGACAGTTCTCTCATGGATGTTTTCCTCCTGGGCATCCATCTCATCACTGCTGTCGATGATGTCATAGGGCTCACCAGCCCCAGAAAGAGCTTCCTCTGCAGGAACCTGAGAGGCTTCCAAGCCACAAAGAGATTTTACTTCCTGCCGAACAGCGTTGGCTACGGCTTTCTTGACTCGTCCAGACCTCACGACCGCCAGATCCGAGTCGGCGTAATCCGCCACGGTCACTCGGCCGGAGCAGGCGTCGTGGGCCCGGAACTTGAGTCGCTTTCCTCTCTTGGGCATGGCGACCGTATCGGGGCGAGGCCTGCCTAGCGGGCCGGGCCCCCGGGCCATGTCTCCGGCCAGAGAGCCGGCCCCGGTAGCCGCAAGCCAGCTCCGCCCGGCTCCGCGGCCATCCCACACCCTATCATGGAACTTTAAATCACATGTTTACACAAACACTTGGACAAAAATGGTTTTAGCAGCTTTATTTGTAATAACCCCAAACTGGTAAAAAACTAAATGTCCATCAGCAGAGGTATGGATTAGAAAATTGTGATGTATTCATATAATGGAATATTATTCAACAATAAAAAATAACACATCTGATACATCCAACAACAGTGAATCATGTTTAATGAAAGAAGCCAGACCACTCCCCACCACAAAAGAGCACTAACTGATAAAGCTGACCTAAGAAGCTTTGAAATGCAATATTTTGACTTGATACTACAAGGCAGACAAAACTACACAAACACTACACTCTGGTTGGTAAATCTGTTTCTCACAGGAGCTTGGTTAGCAATTCTGAAACTCTTTTACATGTTGTGTTTTCTAAGGCTGCTGTAACAAATTACCACAGACTTGGTGGCATAAAGCAGGAGAAATTTAATCTTTCACAGTTCTGAAAACCGGAAGTCCAAAATCAAGGTGTCAGAGCTGCGGTATCTCTGAAGTCTCTAGGGGAGAATCCTTCTTTGTGTCTTCCAGCTCCTGGTGACTTCAGGTGTTCGTTGACTTGTGGCTGCTTCACTACAGTCTCTGCCTCTGTCTTTACCTGGTCTTCTCGTCTTGCCTCTATGTTTCTCTTCTCTGCGTGTCTCTTATAAGGATACTTGTCATTGGATTTAGGGCCCACTGGGATAATCTAATGTAAATGAATCTTAAGATCCTTGATTATGTCTGTGAAGACCCCTTTTCTAAGTAAGGTTACATTCACAGCTTCCAGTGGTTAAGACATAGGCATATATTTTTGAGGATCACCAATCAACCTAATACACATGTATATAAAATGAATAAGTGCTTTGCAAACACTGTCACTGCCCAGAGCCCCTGACACCAGCCATAGTCGACCCCACCATGCTCTTTGACATCACTGTCAGTGGTGAGTCCTTGGGCCACATTTCCTTAGATCCATTTGCAGACAAAGCTATTAATACAAAGACAGCAGAAAATTTTCATGCTCTGAGCACTGGAGAGAAAGAATTTGGTTATTAAGAGTTCTTGCTTTCACAGTATTATTCCAGGATTTATGTGTCTGGGTGGTGATTTCACATGCCATAATGGCACTGGTGGAAAGTCCATCTATGCGGAGAAATTTGATGATGAGAGCGTCATCCTGAAGTATACAGGTTCTGGCATCTTGTCCATGGCAAATGCTGTACTCAACACAAATGGTTCCCATTTTTTCATCTGCACTGCAAAGACTGAGTGGTTGGTAGGCAAGCATGTGGTCTTCGGCAAGGTAAAAGCAGGCACTAATAAGGTGGAAGCCATGGAATGCTTTGGGTCCAGGAATGGCAAGACCAGCAAGAAGATCATTGCTGACTGTGGAAAACGCTAATAAATTTGAATCATGTTTTATGTTAACCACAAGAGAATTGCTTCTGTAGCTCAGGAGAGCACCCCTCCAACCCATTTGCTCACAGTATCCTATAATCTTTGTGCTATCTCTGCTATTCTTTAGGTTCCATATTTTCCTTATTCCCTTCCATGTCTAGCTGGATTACACAGTTACATTTATGATCATGAAATAAAAACTAAATAACAAAAAATAAAAAATAAAAATTGAATAAGAAAATATATTGTAAATAATGAGAGCCAGGTTTCTCACTGACATGAGAAAGAAGTTACAAATGGGCAAGAGTGAAAGGTTAGAATGACCCCTGTGGTGCTGGATTAGAGTCACATTTATCAGCATGAGTTTATATTAATATGTATACAGATATATGAGCATAAATACAGGTATTGTAGATACATGGGTTAGTATACATACATATATCTCCTACTTCTGTTCACTAACAGAAGCTGAAGCAATGACACTCAAGTAGTAACAAGTAGACATACTACTTAGATCTTTATTTCTAAATACCTTTTTTTTGTTTGTTTGTTTGTTTGAGATGGAGTCTCACTCTGTCACCCAGGCTGTAGTGCAGTGGCATGATCTTGGGTCACTGCAACCTCTGCCTCCCAGGTTCAAGCAATTCTGCCTCAGCCTCCCGAGTAGCTGGGATTACAGCCACGCACCACCATGCCCTGCTAACTTTTGTATTTTTAGTAGAGATGGGGTTTCACCATGTTGGCCAGGGTCTCAAACTTGTGACTTCAGGCGATACACCCGCTTCGGCCTCCCAAATCTAAATACCTTTTTCCAACAAACAGAACCAGTGCTCCTTAAAGAAATAGTTGTTTCTAGATCTAGAGCAGAGTAAATACAATATGAGCCTGGAGCATCTTACAGTGCCAGAAAGGAAGTGTCCAGAAAAAAACTCTATAGAGATGGAAATTAGATTAGTGAATGCCTATGGCTGAGACTGAGAATGGGAAAATGACTGCAAATGAAGATGAGGCTTCCTTTCGGGATGGTGGAAGTATTCTACAATTAGCTTGTCCTATTAGTTTTACAACTCTGTAAATATACTAAAATTCATATTGATATCATGTACCTCCTGATGTGATGAGTATGAAAGTTGAATATGTGCATACACGTCAATAAATTTTATGGTATATAAATTATACCTCAACAAAGCTGATTAAGAAGAAAGTGCTCTATAAAACAAACAAAAAAAAGGCCAGGCACAGTGGCTCACACCTGTAATCCCAGCACTTTGGGAGGCCGAGGCGGGGGGATCACGATGTCAGGAGATCAAGACCATCCTGGCTAACACGGTGAAACCCCCATCTCTACCAAAAATACAAAAAATTAGCCAGGTGTGGTGGCACACACCTGTAGTCCCAGCTACTTGGGAGGCTGAGGCAAGAGAATCGCTTGAACCTGGGAGGCGGAGGTTGCAGTGAGCCAAGATCGCGCCATTGCACTTCAGCCTGGGAAACAAAGCAAGCTTCCATCTCAAAAAAAAAAGAAAGAAAGAAAAAAAAAAAGGATGGTGTATATTGAAGACACACAAGAACCAACTGAAAGTGCTACCAATGGCCAAAGTTGGAACAATCTGAGCAACAAATTAAGTAATGGTAGTATTGGATTAAAGCCCCAAAATAGAATCTTCGTGATATTCATGACTCCATACTGACATACATACATACATACATAAATGGGTAAGAAGGGACAAATCTTCCTTACAGAAGAATTGTAAGTACTAAATATAGAAGGAATGAGAGAAATAGAAAATCACCATTAGAACACCACAGTAATAGCTACTATGAGCAAGATCCACTGATGAATGCTAAAATTAGTGAGTGAAACTTTTAGGATGAGTGAGATATTTGCATAAACTCAAAGTATTTCCTTCTAAATATTTATTAATTACTGTGGTCATTTAACATAAGCCTATAAAGTCTTTCATATACTCTCCTCCAGAGGTAGAGTTTAACTCCTTTTCCCTTGAGTGTAGGCTGGACTTAGTGACTTGGTGCTAATGAACAGAATATGAAAAGGGAAAAATAGCAAGAGAAGAGTGGCAAGCATGACCCTAAGTGGGTCAAAGTTAGCATCAACAATAATAAGTCATGTTGATATAATGTGCATGCTGATATGTGATAAATATGTATCTTTGGGGTTTATTCGTTTGTTTGTTTGTTTGTTTGTTTGTTTTGAGACACAGTCTTGTTCTGTTGCCCAGACTGGAATCCAGTGGCGTGATCTCAGCTCACTGCAACTTCTGCCTCCTAGGTTCAAGCAAGTCTCATGCCTCAGCCTCCTGAGTAGCTGGGACTACAGGTACTCACCACCACGCCTGGCTAATTTTTTTTTTTTTTGTATATTTAGTAGAGACAGGGTTTCACCATGTTGCCCAGGCTAGTCTTGAGCTCCTATGATGTGATATATATCAAATCTCCCAAAGCTGATCGTACCCATACCCTAGGACCTATTCATTCCAACCATAGGTATACATGCAACAAAAACGTGTTCACATTTTTTGCACCAAAAAACCTTTAAAAGAGGCTGAAAAACAGCATTATTTATAATAGCCCAATAAGTAATACCTAGCTCAAAAGACTATTTTGAGGACTAAATAAAGACTATTTTGAGGACTATATAATATATATATAAAATATACAAAGTAGGACCACAGGCTCTGGTACAATAGACAATAAAAAGCTGTCATCATCATCATCATCATTATAATAAACAAGGGGGGCTGGGTGAGGTGCCTCACACCTGTAATCCCAGCACTTTGGGAGGCCAAGGATCACCTGAGGTCAGGAGTTCAAGACTAGATTGGCCAACATGGTGAAGCCCCATCTCTACTAAAAATAAAAAATTACCTAGGTGTGGTGGCAGACGCCTGTAATCCCAGCTACTTGGGAGGCTGAGGCATGAGAATCGCTTGAACCTGGGAGGCAGAGGTGGCAGTGAGCTGAGATTATGCCACTGTACTCCAGCCTGGGGGATAGAGCAAGACTCTGTCTCCAAAAATACAAGGAGAACCTTCCTTTTAACTCTGGGCCATTCTTTGTTGCATATGCCTCCAAAGCAGCTCAGCTTGGGTAAATCTCACAAAGTCCCACTTGACTGTGTCTGCTTTTAGCCTCTCCAAAGAGGTTCAAAATCAGCCAAAAAAGAAGACATGCCATCCTATCTCTATTCATCAGCTCAACACAAAAGATCCCATTTGTGTGTGTGGCCAAAACTGCCCTTCTCCCTGCTCCCCTAGGTGAAGTAAGGATGTGAAGAAGCCATGGATTGGGTAGGAAGCTTTGAAAATGGCATCTTCCAAGGTTAACTAATTAGAAGATATTTTGCTTGTCATGTCACTCAAGCTCAAGCAGAAGATAGGCTCTAGTCATTATGTGGTGATATAAGCATAAAAATAGAATAAGTTTAAATTGAAACAAGTGGTGTTTATGAAGGGTTATGAGCTTCTAACTAATGAGTTAACAAAAAGTATAGAATAATTGGATTGTTAATTAGCACCAGGGGTCAGTTGCATCACCAAATAAAAAAGAGGTCCATTCATGTATTCCAAAACGATAAATTTCCTAAATGTCCTACAGAGGTTTGCTAAGCACACAGACTGAGGTAATGAAACTCTGGTGGTTCCAGCAAAAGCAATAAAGTACCAATAAGAACATATATGTTGTTTAAAACCCTAATATGACAGATCAATCTACCCCAATATAGGGTAATGTATTATATCATCTTGACCAAGTGAGACTTTAAAATACATTATTTCAGAAAACAAACACCAAGTTCTGGGGGCAAACTAAAATCTAGAGAAAGGAGTTGACTTTAAAAAGTTTAAGCAACCTAACAACAAAGTTTAATAATAAGAAAGAGAGGCTATTGTCTTAGGTTTAAGTCACTTTAGAAGAAAAAACTGAATTTTGTGTAATCCCAGCACTTTGGGAGGCTGAGGTGGGAGAATCACGAGGTCAGGAGTTTGAGACCAGCCTGGCCAACATGGTGAAACCCCGTCTCTACTAAAAATACAAAAAATTAGCTGGATGTAGTGGTGGGTGCCTGTAATCCCAGCTACTCAGGAGGCTGAGGCAGAAGAATCACTTGAACCTGGGAGGTGGAGGTTGCAGTGAGCCAAGATCATGCCACTGCACTCCAGCCTGGGCGAGAGAGTGAGAATCCATCTAAAAAAAAAAAAAGAAAAAAAATCCAGGACCCCAGGGAATTTGGGGTTGAGTAAAAATTACTACCCAGAAGGTATCCAACTAATAGTACTGAAACATTAGGAAGAAATCAAAATAAGTTTATCTCTAATCCTAGAAAGGTATAAAACAACTTTAAGGAAGAAATAAATTCACCACATGGTACTTGATGTTTGGAATAGCTTAAGGTTAAATGTTGTAATAAGTTTTGTTGTTTTATCTACAAAATGCATTTTGTGTATTTTGTATTTTAGGGTGTTGAAATGTTCAAAAGAATCAGACATACTAAATTTGCAATTGCTGTTTAAAGGAATTTAATCAAATTTTGTATCAATACCTAAATGCTCACTCCACTGACATTAAGGTTCATATAATTGTGAGTGTTCCTCTCTATGCAAAAACTCTCTCAGATATTAAAGGCTAATCTACATGCCAGCAAACTCAGTCTCTGCAGAGAGAAGGACCGTGACTCAAAATGCACCCTGTGTGCTGGGAAGATTTCTGTCTTAGTGTGCTTGGACTGCTATATCAAGTACCACAGACTGGGGGATTTAAACAACAGAAATTTACTTGCTCACAATTATAGCAGCTAGAAGTCTGACATCAAGGTGTCGACAAGATTACTTTCTTCTGAGGTTTTTCTCCTTGGCTTGTAGATGGCCATCTTCTCTCTGTAGTAATACATGGTTTTTCCTCTGTGCCTATCTGTCTCCTAATGTCCTCCTCTTGTAAGGACACCTGTTATATTGGATTAGGGCCCACCCATATGAGCTCATTTTACCTTAATTACCTCTTTACAGGCCCTGGCTCTATAGTCACATCTTTAAGGTACTGGATGGGTGTTAGGATTTCAACATACGTGTGAATTTTGGGGAGCACAATTCAGCTCATAATGATTTCCAAGAACCAAGAGACTGAGGGCTCAAACACGGTGGGCAGAAGAACCCAGCCTTGGAAAGGATCTGCGATGGAAACTCTGGGGGTATAGAAAAGGAATTGAATGATATGAGGAGCAGAAATCAGAGAGGAGGGTGTATTCTGAGGAAGCGAGAGAGGAGCCCCAAGGGTTGTGGTACAGAGGCCCCTGTCTGCACATTGGTCATCATAATCTCAATGCCCAGGTTGTACTCAAGAACAATTCAATCAGAATGTCTGGGGGTGAAACCTGGGCATCAGTAACTTTTAAAGCTCCCCAAGTGATTCCAACTGTGCAGCCAAGGTTGAAAACCTAAAGGTTTGATCACAAGGCCTTCAGCTCCAGTACCCTACACAAAGAAAGTTAGACTAGAGGATGGAACTTTCTGACCTCTTGCTCTGCAAAAGGTGGGGACGAATGGCCCCCACAGCCACACCATAGTAAATGGCAGGTGTCTTGATCATCTTCACTCTGACCCAGAGGGTCGTCTGAAAGAGCCTCTGGTTGTAATGACTCCTACTAAGGAATACTAAATCTGACATTCCTGTCTCCCTTGACTCTTTCTAGGCACTTTACCCCTGATCTTGAGCTTCAGGGTTTTTCCATAGCTGTGTCCAACCCCCACCCACACTCTCCCCACCCTCTATCCCCAAAAAGAAAGAAAAAGAGGAAGTGGGAAAGTGTGTTTAATATATTTGCAGATGTACATATTCACAAATATGTTGGGAATGTTTGAGCCATGTTAATTGGGTGAATACTTTGACCCAATCCTTCAGGAATATTGAATCATGGGAATACTGTACTTAGAACAACACAATATTACCATGGGCCTCTCTGCCCTGCGCAAATATTAGTCTTTAACTGGAATGACCAAAAACAGATGTTTCATATCTAGAATGTTTTCTCACAGAGAGTTTCAATAGAAATATTTTAGCCCCTCAGATACATCCAAATAAAATATTTGGTCTTGAAACATTCTATTTTAAAAGTCAGTGAGTTGTGGCTTCATTATAGCAGAAGAAGCATGAATCAGAGACCTGTTTTCATTTGTCACCTTCAGGATAAGCAAGAGTGAACAGTGAAAAGTGATAAAATTCTGAACTCTTGTGATTCGGAGATGATTTTTTTTAAAAACATGCATCCCTCATGTAATAAACCTGAGAAATGCCAGTGACATTTGCTATAAAACATGCATGGTGCCTCCTTTCATGCTTATTTGCATTATAAAACCAGAGGTGACTTTTGATTAGAAAAAATTGTCCCTGGGATATACTAAAACCATTGCATGTAGCCAAATTTTAGTCACACCTTCAAAGAAACATGTATCACTTTAAAAAAGACCTAATATGGCCAAAATGTTAGTATTATTGATATGGCATATTCAAAATAAACTACAGGAAAAAAACATGGAAAGTAAAAATATTATACAACAATGCCTCTCAAATTTTAATTTGCATAAGAACCACCTGGGGGATCTTGCTAATTCTGACTCTGGGAGGGCCCAATATTCTGCATTTCTAACAAGCTCCCAGGGAATGCTGTTGCTGCCAGTCTCTGGCAAAGGCTCTGAAAGCTTGATTTCTTCCGTATTAATTATGCCCACTCTAAAGGTAAAGCCTTGGTTCTTCGCTAACATTTTCATCAGCTTTGAACAGTCCTGACAGTTACAACTTTATATTACCACCCCTCTTTTTTTTTTTTTTAAACTCCTGCGGGATCTCTTCTTGAACAAATTTTCCCTTACCATCACTGTTTTACTTGATAATATGGCCTATAAGGACAAAAACTGCATAAGGTTTATGAACTCTCATTATTAATGAGCAAACAGACTTCTCCCCAGTGTAGGATTGAAAGTCTACTAGTAAGGAAATGTTTAGCAATGATCACCACATCACCTCCTGTAATGGTAATGGCAACTCCTGCTGACTACTTACTATTTGTCAGACATAATGGTGATTTATTTAAGTCATCTTAATTAAATGTTAAAATAAATCAATGAAGTATTTATTTTATTTAGCAAACACTTATATAATGCTTTCTACATACAGGCATTATTTTGAGTGCTTTACAAATATTCACTCAATTAATCCACATAAATCATATAAGGTTGGTGTTACTCATCTTACAGATAAGAAAGTTAAGGCATGGAGAAGGTGAGTACTTGCCTAAAGTTATTTAGTTAGGAGATGGTTTGATTGAACCTACATAGTTTGGCACTTAATCATCTTCCTAAACAGAGGAAGGAGTGGGTCGCTCTGTCGCTGAGGCTGGAGTGCAGTGGCACTATCTCGGCTCACTGCAAGCTCCGCCTCCCGGGTTCACGTCATTCTCCTGCCTCAGCCTCCCGAGTAGCTGGGACTACAGGCACCCGCCACCACACTTGGCTAATTTTTTGTATTTTTAGTAGAGACGGGGTTTCACCATGTTAGCCAGGATGGTCTCAATCTCCTGACCTCGTGATCCGCCCGCCTCGGCCTCCCAAAGTGCTGGGATTACAGGCGTGAGCCACCGCGCCCGGCCAATAATCACATTTCTAACAGATCACCTAAGAACACTGGAATTCAACAAAGAAATGACAGTAGACACCTAAGACAAAGGAGAGGGGAGTGAGGTAGTCAGCTCAGGGATGACAGGATCAGTTGGGAGTCTGCAGAGGCTCCTCAATGTGGGGAAAGAGTAAGTGACTCCCAGTGATCTACATTCTCACTGCAGACTCTCCCAATCCTAGCCATGGGAGAGCCCCTCAACTCATGAGGGCCCTGAGACTAACATAGGGATCTGCCTGGAGACTGCATAACAGGATTGCTTCAGAGAGGGGTCCCACAGATGCCTGGAGTCCTAAGCAGCTACAGCAAAGTGCCACTTTGAGAGTCCAGCTCCCACCAGCCTGCATCCTGCCCTGGGGCTCAGTAGCCCTTTCATCTCCATATCCATAGAGCCCCACTGACATACCTTGCATGCAGCCAGGTGCTGCTGCTAGTTGCTGCCACCAGGGCTGAAGTGCAAACTATTGGGAGCAACCCTGCCACTCCCAGTAGCATGGCTGCTTTGAAAGCACCCTGAGGACAGGCTATCCTCCTTAAATCTGCCACCAAGGGCCCAAGTTTGTATGCCCCCCTGCCATACATTTAAGACTGCAGCCACTGAAAGCAACCCTGCTCTTCACAGGAGCAGAGTTGCAGCATAGCTGCAGCTTCCCCCTACTTGAGCATTTCAGCCAGAGGCCTGGTGATCATCTCACCCCTGCCTACCACAGCTAGCACCTGCATGCACCTCTAAGGGGCCTGAGGACAGGTCTACATGGCCCAGCTCGTATCCACCAGTGCCCAGGCACGCCATTCAGGAACCTGGGGATCTCCCTTCCCCGTCTACCACCATTGGCATGTGAGGACTCCTCTTGGAGGCCAGAGAACAGACCACCCAACCTGCTGCTAGTATCATAGCTGGCACTCACCCATGTGTATCACCTTCAGGCCTGGGGACTGGCTCACCCAGCCTATCACAGCCACCGTCAACATCACTTGGGAACCAGAGAATTGTCGCACTACTGCTACTGTCATTGGCCACACTACACCCACTGCCTAGAGGCCCAAGGACCCACCCACCTGCCTGACCCACCACTGCCACTACTGGCTCCCAAGTAAGCAGCCTGGAGGCCCAAGAATTGGCTCACCTGTACCTGCTAAAAACAATGCCAGTATATACTTCCCTGGGAGTGAAGGACAGGCATGCTTGGCATGCTGCCGCCACCATTGGGACCCAATGGCTGGCCCACCTGATGTCCCTGTCTCCAACAAAACTTCACCACTCCCTCCGTTAATGATTACACCCTAAGCCACTGAGGGAACTACAGACACTCTTGACACTGTTTATAGGCAAAGAAATCAAAAAGAGACTACACTATTGCATACACCCTAATTCAAAGTCAAAGTACCCTACCAACCAATGCCACAGGGACATCATCAGGAAAAAGTCCTCCGCTATGAAAGCAAATTCAAAGAATTGGAAGAAGTGACCATTATACCAGATGCACAGATATCAACATGAGAACACAGGAAACATGAAAAGGCAAGGAAATATGACACCTCCAGAGGAACACAATAATTCTCCACCAACAGATTCCAATGAAAAAGAAATTTATGAAATCTCAGAAAAATAATTCAAAATGGTTCAAAATAATATTTAAAAAGCTCAGTGAGACATAAGAGAACTCAGAAAAACAATACAAAGAAATCAGAAAATTCAGGACATAAATGAGAAATTTACTAAAGACATAGATATCATAAAAAGAACCAAATATAAATTTAGTAATGCAAGAATTTATTGAATAAAATACAAAATACATATGACAGCTTTAACAATAGACTAGACCAAACAGAAGAAATTATTTCAGAACTTGAAAAAGGTTTTTTGTTTGTTTGTTTGTTTTTGAGATGGAGTTTTCCTCTTGTTGCCTAGGCTGAAGTGCAATGGTGTGATCTCGGCTCACTGCAACCTCTAACTCCCGGGTTCAAGTCATTCTCCTGTCTCAGCCTCCCAAGTAGCTGGGATTACAGGCACATGCCACCACACCCAGCTAATTTTTGTATTTTTAGTAGAGACAGGGTTTCATCATATTGGTCAGGCTGGTCTCGAACTCCTAACCTCAGGTGATACAACCACCCTGGCCTCCCAAAGTGCTGGGATTACAGGCGTGAGCCACCGTGCCCAGCCAAAAAAGGGTCTTTTAAAATCACCTAGTCAGACAAAAATAAAGAAAAAAGAATGAACAAAGCCTATGTGACATATGGAACACCATAAGGCAACCAAATTATTTGGATTTTTGATGTCCCACAAGGTGAAGAGAAAATAAAAGGGATAGTAAACCTACTTAATGAAATTTAGCTGAAAATTTAGCTGAAAACTTCCCAAATCTAGCAAGAAATACCTAGACACAGAAAGCTCAGAGATTTCCAAACAGATAAAATTCAAAAAGGTCTTCTCCACAGCACATTACAGTCAAACTGTCAAAAGTCAAGGATGAAGAGAGAATTGTAAAAATAGCAGGAGAAAAGTATATAGTTACTTATGAGGGAAGCCTCATCAGACCAATGGCAGATTTCTTAGCAGAAACTTTATAGCTCAGGAGAGAATGAGATTATATATTCAAAATGCTGAAAGGAAAAAAAAATTGTCGGCCAAAGATATTATACCCAGCAAAGTTATCCTTCATAAGTGAAGGAGAAATAAAGTCTTTCCTATAGAAGCAAAAGCTAAAGGAAGTCTTCACCATTAGACTGGTCCTACAAGAAATACTTGACCAGATGTGGTGGTGCATACCAATAGTCATAACTACCAGGGAGGCTGAGCCAGGAGGATCACTTGTGCCCAGGAGTTCAAGGCCAGCCTGGGCAACATAGCAAGACACTTATCTCTTAAAAAACAAAAACAGAAAGAAAATTTAAAAAGAAAGAAAAAGAAATGCGTACGGAAATCCCACATGTGGAAGCAAAAGATGATATCTATCCTCATTAAAACATACAAAAGTATAAAATGCACTGGAGAGCAAACACATAAATAAGTAAGAAAAAGAATTCAAATGTTCTTACTACACAAAACCACTAAACCACAATGATAAATAGTAAGAGAGAGCGAAAAGAACAAAGGATATACACAACAACCAGAAATCAATTAATAAAATGACAGGAATAGCCCTCACATAGCAATAAAAAGTTTGAATGTAAATGAATTAAACTGTCCATTTAAAAGATATAGAGTGGCTGAATGAATTAAAAAACATGACTCAACTACATGCCACCAAGAAACTCATCTCTCCTGTAAAGACACATATAGACTGAAAATAAAGGGATAGAAAAAGATATCCCATGCAAACAGAAACCAAAAATAAGCAGGAATAGCTATAGTTATCTCAGACAAAACAGACTTTAAAGTGAAAAACAGTAAAAAGAGACAAAGAAGGTCATTATATAATGATGAGGAGATCAACTCAGCAAGAGGATATAATTATACTAAACATATATGCACCCAGTACCAGAACACCCAGACAGATAGCAAATATTAGATCTAAAGGGAGAGATAAACTCCAACACAATAATAGTTGGGGACTTCAACATCCCATTCTCAGTATTAGACAGATCATCTAGACAGAAAATTAACAAAGAAACATTGAGTTTAAGCTGCACATTAGACCAGATGGACCAAACAGACAGAGAACACTTCATCCAACAGCTACAGAATACACATTCTTCTCATCAACACATGGAATATTCTCCAGGATAAGCCATATATTAGGACACAAAACAAGTCTCAACAGATTTTTAAAAATTGTAATCATATCAAGTATCTTCTCAGACCACAATGGAATAAAACTAGAAATCAGTAAGAAGAGGAACTTTGGAAACTGTACAATTATATGGAAATTTAAAAACATGCTCCTAAATGACCACTGGGTCAAGGAAGAAATTAGGAAGAAGTTCAAAAAAATTGAAACAAATGAGAATCAAAGCACAATATGCCAAAACCTATGGGATAAAACCAAAGCAGTGATAAGAATGAATTTTATAACAATAAATCTGACATCAAAAAAGTCGAAGGATCCCCAGTAAGTTCTAATAATTCACCTTAAGAAATTAGAAGAGCAAGAAAATAAGGAAAGAAATAATAAAGATCAGAGCAGAACTAAATGAAATAGACTACAAAACCATACAAAGGATCAACACACTGAAAAGTCTGTTTTTTGAAAGGATAAACAAAATCAACAAACCACTAGTTAGACTAAGAAAAAAAAAAGACACAAATAGAATCAGAAATGAAAAAGGAGACATTACGACTGTTGTCACAGAAATGCATAAGATAATCAGAGATTGCTATGAACAACCATACACTAACAAACTAGGTAACTGTGAGGAAATAGATGAATTCATGGACACATATGACCTATCAAGACTGAATCATAAAGAGAGAAACTGAACAGACCAATTACAAGTAATGAGATTGATTCAGTATCAAAAGTCTCCCCACAAAGGAAAGTCCAGGACTGGATATCTTCACTGCCAAATTTTGCCATAATTACAAGGAAGAACTAACACCTCAAACAATTCCAAAAATTGAAGAGGAAGGACTTCTCCATAGCTTATTCTATGAAGCTGGCATTGCCCTGATATCAAAACCAGACAAGTTTGCAATAAAAAAGAAAATTACAGACCAATATCCTTGATGAATTTAAATGCAAAATTCCTCAACAAATATGACCCCCAAAAATCCAGCAGTACACCATGATCAAGTGGTATTTATCTCATGGATACAAGTACAGTTCAACATACACACATCAACAGAATAAAGGACAAAAACTATGTGATCATCTCAATAAAAGCAGAAAAAGCATTTGATAAAATTTAACATCTCTTCATGATAAAAAAAGAAAAACCTCCTCAAATTGGGTATAGAAGGAACATACCTCAAAATAATAAAGGCCAAATATGACAGGTAACACCATACTAAATGGAAAATTGAAGGCCTTTAGATCTGGAACAAGACAAGGGTGACCACTTTCACCACTCCTATTGAACATAGTACTGGAAGTCCTAGACAGAACAATCAGGCATGAAAAAGAAATAAAAGGCATCCAACTTGGAAAAGTGGAAGTCAAACTGCTCCTCTTTTCGGATGACATGATCTTATATCTAGAAAAGCCTAAAGCCTCCACCAAAAAACTCTTAGATCTGATGAATAAATTTGGTAATACTGCAGGATACAAAATCGATATACAAAAATTAGTAGCATTAATATACAACAATATCGAGCCAGCTGAAAAAGAAATAAAAAAGTGATCCCATTTATAATAGCTATAAAATAATGAAATATGTGGGAATAAATTTAACTAAGGAAGTGAAAGACCTCTATAATGGAAACTAGTGAACTACGATGAAATAAATTAAAGAGGACACAAACAAATGGACAGACATCATATGCTCATGAATTGGAAGAATTAATATCATTAAAATGGCCATGCTGCCCAAAGCAATCTACAGGTTCCATGCAATTCTTATGAAAATACCAATGCTATTTTTAGAAATAGAAAAAACAATCCTAAAATTCATATGGAACCAAAAAAGAACCCAGAAAACCAAAGCAATCCTAAGCAAAAAGAACAAATCTGGAGGCATCATTATAAGGCTATAGTAACAAAAATAACATGGTATTGGTGACACATAGACCAATGGAACATAATAGGAAATCTAGAAATTAATTTATGTATTTACAGCCAACTGATTTTCAACAAAGATGCCAAGAACAGACATTGGAGAAGGAACATCTTCTTCAATCATAGTGCTTGGATATCTATATGCAAATAATGAAACTGGACCCCTATCTCTCACCATAGATGAAAAATAAACTTGA
This sequence comes from Homo sapiens, assembly GCF_000001405.40. Lineage (NCBI taxonomy): Eukaryota > Metazoa > Chordata > Mammalia > Primates > Hominidae > Homo > Homo sapiens. The sequence goes on from NC_000003.12 coordinate 149,998,331, forward strand.
AATGGATTAAACACTTAAAATATAAGACCTGCAACTATAAAACTACTAACAGATAATATAGGGGAAACACTTCAGGACATTGGTTTAGGAAAGATTTTATGAGTAAGACTTCAAAAGCATAAGCAACGAAAACAACAAATAGACAAATGGAACTTAACTAAACTAAAAAGCTTCTGCAGAGAAAAAATAACAGAGTGATCAGACAACCTTCAGAAAAAGAGAAAATATTTGGAAACTATGCATGCAACAGGAGACTGATATTCAGAATTTACAAAGAACTCAAACAACTCATCAATAACAAGAAAAACCCCAAATAATCTCATTAAATAGTGGGCAAAGGATATTAATAGATATTTTTCAAAATAAGACATACAAATGGCCAAGAGGCATATACAAAACGCTCAACATCACTAATCATCAGGGAAATTAAAACCATGATGAGCTATCATCTTGTACCAGTCAGAATGGCTATTATTAAAAAGACAAAAAATAACAGATGACAAGGATATAGAGAAAAGGGAATGCCAGTCACTGTTGGTGGGAATGTAAATTAGTACAACCTCTTTGGAAAACTGTATGGAAATGTATCAAAGAACTAAAAATAGAAGTGCCATTTGATCCAGCAATTCCACTACTGGGTATCTACCCAAAAGAAAATAAATCATTATATCAAAAAGATACCTACACTTGCATGTTTATCACAGCACAAAATTACAATCACTATAGCATAGATGTGGAATCACTTAAGTGTCCATCAATGGATGAATGGATAAAGAAAATGTGGTATATATACACAATGGAATACTATACAGCCATAAAAAAGAAATCATGTCTTTTGTAGCAACATGGATAGAACTGGAGGCCATTGTCTTAAGTGAAGTAAGTCAGACACAGAAAGACAAATACTGCATGTTCTCACTTACAAATGGAAGCTAAATAATGTATATACGTGGACTGAGAGACAATGGAACCTGGGAAGGGTGGAAGAGTGTGAGAGGGTAGATGATGAGAAATTACTTAACAGGTACAATATACATTATTTGGGTGACGGATACACTAAAAGCCCTGACTTCACCACTTCACAATATATCCATGTAACAATATTGCACTTGTATTTCTTAAATGTATAAAAACAAACAAATAATAAATGAGATATACGTTTGTTAGCTTACTCTTTTCTGTCTGTGGAAAAAGTATCATTAAGTATCTTCCCACTGCCATCTGTCTAATTCTGCCATCTGCCATCTGCCACTCTAAGTCAGGGTCTCCTAAAGAGACCAAACAGCTGTGGAAGGTCTTCATCAAAGGCTTGGTGAAACAACCAACGGGAGTCTGAGGAGCCATTGTGAGCAATGGGAAACACTCACAGAATGTGTGGTAACGAGAGATCCAAACACCTAGCGCTCCAGGAGCTTTGGGCTTGTCACCTATGCCAATTTAGAGGAGGGGAATGCAGCCATGAATCAAGGCCACACAAAGTAGATGGAAGAGTTGTGGAAACAAAGGGAGTTGTCTCAAGCGAAGATTCCCAAAGACTAGGTGCCCACTTAACTGTGAGAAAGATATTTGTTGGTGCTATTAAAGGAGACATTGAAGAGCATCACCTAAGAGATTATTTTGAACAGAATGGGAAAATTTAAATGATTGAAATCATGGCTGTCTGAGGCAGTGGCAAGAAAAAGGGCTTTGCTTTTGTAACCTTTGACAACCGTGACTCTGTGGATAAGACTGTCATTCAGAAACACCATACTGTGAATGGATATAATGGGAAGTAAGGAAAGCACTTTTAAAAGCAAGAGATGGCTTCACGAAGCCAAAGAGGTCACAGTGGTTTTGGAAACTTTGGTAGTAGCTGTGAAGGTGGTTTTGGTGGAAATGACAATTTTGGTCATGGAGGAAACTTTAATGGTTGTGTAGGCTTTAGAGGCAGCTGTGGTGGTGGTGGATATGGTGGCAGTGGGCATAGTTATAATGAATTCTGTAATGTTGGTGCTTAGGGAGGAGGAAGCCCTGGTTACTCTGGAGGAGGAAGCAGAGGCTACAGAAGTGGTGAACAGGGTTATGGAAACCAGGGCAGTGGCTATGGCAGGATTGGCACCTATGACTGCTATAACAATGGAGGAGGCAGAGGCAGCATTAATGCTAGCAGTGGAAGCAATTTTGGAGGTGGCAGAAGCTACAATGATTTTGGCAATTACAACTGTCAGTCTTCAAATTTTGAATCCATGAAGGGAGAAAACTTTGGAGGCAGAAGTTCTGGTTCCTATGGTGGTGGAGGCCAATACTTTGCCAAACCATAAAACCAAGGCAGCTGTGGTGGTTCCAGTAGCAGCAATAGCTACAGCAGTAGCAGAAGATTTTAGTTACTGCCAGGAAACAAAGCTTAGCAGTAGAGGAAAGCTAGAGAAGTGATAAGGAAGCTATAGGTTACAAGAGGATTTGTGAACTGGGCCAAGCACAGTGGTGGCAGGGCCTAGCTACCACACACACAAAAAAAGGGACATGTTTTAGACAATACTCATCTGTATTAGAAAAAAACTTGAGGAATGTAGTTGTGACTAATTGTATAACAGCTTAATGTTTCTGTTCTGTGGAAAGTGTAAAGCATCCCAACAAAAGGGGTTTAATGTAGATTTTTTCCACTCATGCTGTTGATTGCCAGATGTAATAGTCTGTCTGAACATGATGCTGAATAAATATGTCTTTTTTAAAAAGTGAATGGTGCTGGGAAAACTGGATATCCATATGCAAAAGAATGTTCCCCTATTTCTCACCATACACAAAAATCAACTCAAAATATGTTAAAGACGCAAGTGTAAGACCCAAAACTATAAAGCTACTAGCAGAAAATATAGGGGAATCACTTCAGGACATTGGTCTAGGGAAATATTTTATGCCTAAGACCCCAAAAGCACAAGTATCAAAAACAAAAACAAAAACAGACAAGTGGAACTTGATTAAACTAAAAAGTTTCTGCACAGCAAAAGAAACAATCAATAAAGAGAAAATCTCTTGAATGGGAGAAAATATTTGCAAACTATTCATTCAGTCAGAGACTAATATCCAGAATATACAAGGAACTCAAACAACTCAACAATAAACCAAACAATCCCATTAAAAAGTGGGCAAAAGACATGAATAGATATTTTTAAAAATAAGACACAGAAAAGGTCAACAGGTATATGAAAAAATACTCAATATTCCTAATCATCAAGGAAATGCAAATTAAAATCGCAATGAGATATCATCTTACCCCAGTTAAATAGGCTGTTATTAAAAAGACAGAAAATAACAGATGCTGGTGAGGATATGGAGAAAAGGGAATTCTTATGCACTGTTGATAGGAATAAAAACTAGTACAACCACTATGAAAAACAGTATGGAGATTTATCAGAAAAACTAAAAACAGAACTATAATATGATCCAGCAATCCCACTACTGGGTATTTATCCAAAGGAAAAGAAATCAGTGTATCAGAAAGATACCTGTACCGTCATGTTTACAGAACTATTCACAATAGTCAATATATGGAATATATGGAATCAACCTAAGTGTCTCTCAACAGGTGGATGGATAAAGAAAGTGTGCTATATTTACACAATGGAATGCTATTTGGCCATAAAAATAATAAACACATGTTATTTGCAGCAACATGGATAGAACTGGAGGTTACTATGTTAAGTGAAATTAAGCTTGGCACAGAAAAACAAATATCACATAATCACATGTTCTCACTCATCTATGAGAGCTACAGAAGTTGATCTCATGGAGATTGAGAGTTGAATGATAGTTACGAGAAGCTGGGAAGGGTGTTGGGGGTTGGAAGAATGAATAGAGTTTGGTCAGTGAGTAAAAACATGCAGTTAGATAGAAGAAATAAGTTCTAATGTTTGATAACAGAGTAGGGTGATTATAGTTAACAACAATATATTGTATCTTTCAAAACAGCTAGAGGAAAGGACTTGAAATATTCCCAACACATAAAAATGATAAATACTTGAGGTGATAGGTACCCTAAATACCCTGACTTGATCATTACACATTCTGTGCACGTAACAAAATATCACATGTACCCCATAAATGTGTACAGGTATTACGTATCAATTAAAAATAAAGTGGCAAGTTAATTTTTGACTAGGCTGTTTCCTAGAGAAAATAACTAATTTTGATAATGATAGACCACACTATGGTCTGAATTTTGGGTTTGCCCTCCTGGCGGCCTACTGAACAACTGACAAATTATGTGAGTTATATAAAGTATTAATTGCTTCAAAAATAAGATTTCAACTAGGAAAAAGAAGGATTAACGCTATTTGATAAAAATATTTTTCTTTCCAAAATCTGACAGATTATGACATGTGATATTATATTTTGATGAACATAGTGTATAAAACTATGATGGTTCAGACTAGATTTTTAAGTACAAATGTTTCATATTCATGACTATATTTCGCTGTTTGTGTTCCACTACATTATCAATAATGAGGTCAGTTTGGGGAATCAGTAAGGATGTAAAACTAGAGAAAAATTTTTCATAAGAATTTTGAAAATGTTTAAGAAGCATTGGTAATTTTTAATTTGTTTCTTCTCCAGTTGTTGTAGAAACCAGAATAACTACATGACAAAATGCAGGGTTTCATTTTACCTTCTTCTTTCTGGCTTTTTATTGTGATATTCTGTGGTTCAGAATTTTTTTAAATAGGCAAGAGTTCACATGTATACTGCATTTTAATAAAACAGGGAGAGTCCAAAATTGACTGTAGAAATTCTTTGTTTCAAGGGCTACCTGCAACCTACTCTCCTAAAGTAAGATTTTTCCTGGTTTCTCGGGTCCCTAATGTATTAAAAGTGCCCTATCTAGGGCAGTCTCTCTAGGTGATGGCTAACATTCCACAATTCTGAAAAGGGCCCAGAAGGTCTTTTCTAAAAGATACAAACCTGAGATTTACAACCTTTTGTCCTATCTCTCCTCTCACAAACACCTCACTGCACATTTGGCATGCATAGAAAGCTCATGACCACAGACTGTTATTTCTAGACACAGAAATAATTAGAAATAAATTAGAAATAATTCTAGTTCTAGAGTATTTTATTTAGTATAGATAATTACAAGATTAGAGATTCACATTACATAATTATTTTTGACATGGGCTAAAAGCTTTGTCTTTTTCAAGCTCTGCCAGTTTTACGGCCCCTTTACCTTGATGCAAGCCTCAAATATGGCTGGTTGCTCTTGTTTTAACTAAGCATTAGTTCAATTTCAGGCTCTGTCCTGTAGGACCCATTTAGAGCCTGGAAATGGCAGTGCTCTTTTCACTTGGGCTCCCAGTGAGCTCCATGGGCTTTAGGTCAAACCTGGTCTTGCAGACACCTTGATCCATTGTCCCTGAGCTTTGATTGTCCAGAAATGCTTTGGATCCTCCTCTGAGAACACTGGCTGATGCTGTGACACAATATCTACACCAAGTTTAAATAAATTGTTTGTCAATATGTGAAATGTTATTGATAAAATTGTACCAGTTCTAAAAAGCCCAGTAAGCAAGCCCCTTTTTGTGGAATTATGACCACCTGAAGAATGTGTGACATTGTCACATTCTCTAGCCTTTCAGCAAGCCCGGAGTTTGTGCATTCTAGATAATGTAATCCAGCTGACTTCTATATGTGAATTACGAACATTAATACCTAATTACTATTTTTCTCTTTATGTCTTATCTAATGAAGAGTAATAAGGAAGATGAATTAGTAATTCTAGTTAATCTCTGTCTCATGGAGACTGACTATAAGTCAATCTCATAGTCAATCATAGGGTAGGGTGGGTGGGGAATCTCCACTCACAAAATACATGAGAGGTTGAGCTATAGAGTAAAGCCTAAAGTCTGCAAATGAGACCCACCCTGGGGTACATTCCTTGTCAATGGAAGTGTCTGATGACAGGGAGAGGTTACAGGAAGAAATGCCAAAGAAAGCTGTTTCTTCAGGTCTGTGCTGAGTCCAGTCTCAGACTATTAATGAGACATGGAAATTACTAAGTGATTTCCATATAAGCAAATTACTTGCTTATATGGAAAGCAAGATAATAAGTAGAACACAGGTTCCAAAAGTTTGGGTTGGCTATTATATTAAGACATTTGAAATATGCTAAATGAGTTTACCTTTGAACTTAGCTGGCACCATTTTGTCCTTGGCTAAGGTTGACCCTACAACATGGAAGGAGATCTGAGCGGTACTGTGATGATCTCAGTGGCTTTAGTGTCTACCAGTAACCATACTGCACAATTTTAGCATAATCATTGTCATCATGATCATCATCATCATTACTACTACTATTCAGAAGAGATGAGATATAGTAGAGTCACATAATATCACATAATATGTGCATATTGTGAGTCCAGTTCAACTACCTTCATGGAAATAAAACACTGTAAACATATTTGGCATGTGTATTCTTTATTATATTCTGTCCATCCTGCACACACAGCAAAAAGTTGTAAGTCCAAAGCCATGAATACTGTGTTTGATTATTTTTAAGAGAAGATTGGATTATACGTAACCTTCTTATTACAGATTGATTTTAGAGTCTATGTTCTGGGTAAGACATGATTCTACTCTATAGTATAGATTCCTGTTAAGCAAATAAAATGTATTCTGTTTGTATTTTGTTTATCTTCACACATGGATTATATTCATTTACTATAATAGTTATAAAAATAAGTTCTAAAGCAATATCCTAATTAATTATTCATTCTTCACAATTTATACTTATTCCTTGGAGGCAGAAGGGGTCCACTCTTCTTTCTGCCGTGAGGTGTTGGGAACCTGGGAGAACTCAGGACAGTGTGATGTTCACCTTGGTTGAGGAAAGGTGCCCAGTACAATCAACAGGGATACCACACACTTGGTTTCCCTTATCACAAAAGTATTTTTCTTGGCTTCTAAACTTAATTTTATATTAAAAAAACACATATAGAATGGGAAATGTGTTAAATAGTGAGAGTGGGTGAAATTTTTATTAGGTTTTCTAAAAAGAGACTGGAGAAGTTAGTACAAAAGGAACTAGCTGACTAGACAGAATAAGCATGAATATCATAGAGGGGAGAGGTCATGAAAAACACTGAAGACTTTGAAAAAGTTGCATGAATGTCCAGAAAGAGTCTCATCAATAGAATCTTTCATTGTGGAGATGAATTGCCAGGCAGGAATTACAGTCTTTCTCAGCCAGGTTGATGAATGGCATCATCTCAAATTATACAGCCCGTGAGACTGATTACCTTAGAGAGCCTAGACATGTACTGTTAGGAGCTGTGTCAGGGTCAACCCCCCACCACCAACTGGCAATTACACTGAAGCTTACATGCAAATTTACCTACAAACCTGTCAGACATATATGTTTTGCAAAAATATATTTAAGAAGACAGGCATAAGATATATCGAATCAAAATATTGTTTCTACTTCTTTGGAAGACACAGAAGCCTTTAAAAAGATCTGCTTTATCCGCATTGCTCAGGTGATAGATACTCTCATCCATGTTAAGATAAAGCTTGATTGTTACAAGATGTATCTAGAGTCATGAGTCATAGGAACAGAGTCTGTCAGAGATTAGATCATATCTGTTACTCTTGGGAAAATGTGGAAGTTCTGCTTCTTTTAAAGAAATATAGGTTTTTCCTGCCTCACTGGTCAGCCTTTCCCAGTGCAGGGACACACACTCACGCTATTTGTACTGTGCCTTTCTCTCTAGAATAAGAACCAAAAACCTTTAATTCTGCAGAAAAATGATATTTAAACTATTCAGAGAAAACTAATGTGAGCAATATAATAAGATGCTTGGCTCTGAGCAAAGTTATGCTCCAGGAATATGATTGGGAAATTGTAAGCTGAAAACATTTACCTATTTTGTTTCTGTAGCCCCAAGAAGATGAACTAAAACAACAGTGAAATGCTATGAATCATTAAGAAGACATGGGAAATGAAAATAACCACTATCCTGCCAGTTTATTGAACCTAGAAATATCATGTATTATTCTGGTCATTGCATTCAAAGAAATCAAATCATAGCAGGCTTGAAGAAGAGCAGGGGGGACTTCCATATACAGAAAGCACAGACCCTCCATTTCCCCTGAAAAAAGGCCTAGAGGGGGATAAGATTAAAATACATACAGCAGAGAAAGCTGTGACTAGATAAACACAAACTCACCAGGAGTCAGTCTCATGGGAAGCTTGAAAGTTGCAAATTTAAGACAAATAAAAGGAAGAATTACTTTGCACAGTAGTTAGTAAGTGCAATGTACTGAATATTTGTATTCCTGTAAAATTTATATGTTGAAGCTTAGATCCTCAGTGTGACGGTATTTGGAGATGGGGCCTTTGAGAGATAACTAGGTCATGAAGATGGAGCTCTCATGATGGGGTTGGTGCCCTTATAAAAGACAGGGGAGAGCTTGCTCCCTCTTTCTCCACCAGGACACAGCCCCTCACCAAACACTGGGTCTGCCAATGCCTGGATTTTGTATCTCCCAAAATTCTGCCTGCACAATTTTTGAGAAATTTCTGTTGTTACAGTCACCCAGTCCATGGCATAGCAGCCCAAACAGACTAAGATAGTAAGTTTCATGCAGTCTTTTCTCAGAGGGGAAGTACTAGTGACAAACATCCTTAATGCCAAGAAAGGCTTGAGTCATTGTGATAACATAGCTCAGGGCATAAACTTTGACATTAGATGGTCTTGGGTTTGAATCCCAGGTAGGCCATTTGCTGAGAGTGACTTTGGGCAAGTTAGGTAATCTCCCTGGAACTTCATTTTTCTAACCTATAAAATAGAGATGTTGACATTATCTACCTCACTAGGTTGTGAAGATTAAATGAGATAATGAATGGAAACATCTAACATGGGGCCCAGCACATAGTAAAAGATCAACACAGGTGAACTAGCAATATGATTTATGCATTATTCATGGATAAGAGTTCCTGTAATGGGGCTGGGTGCGATGGCTCATGCCTGTAATCCCAGCACTTTGGGAGGCTGAGGCGGGAGGATCACCTGAGGTCAGGAGTTTGAGACTAGGCTGGCCAAAATGGTGAAACCTCGTCTCTACTAAAAATACAAAAAATTAGCTGGGAATACCACTATTCCCAGCTACTCAGGAGGCTGAGGCAGGAGAAATGCTTGAGCCCAGGAGGTGGAGGTTGCAGTGAGCTGAGATTGTGCCATTGTACTCCAGCCTGGGTGACAAGAGCAAGACTCCATCTGAAAAAAAAAAAAAAAAAGTTCCCATAGTGGGATTACTAAAAGAAACTTGGTGCTTCAGATCTTCTTCAGGAATTTCTGTGCTCCAAGACAGGGGTCAAGTGTTTTCTGTAAAGAGCCAGGTAGTAAATATTTCAGGCTTAGTGGGCCATATTATCTCTGTTGCAAATACTCAACTTTGTTCTTTGGCATGAAAGCTGCCATAATCCATAAATAAATTGACATAGTTATGTTCCAAATTAAACTTTATTTATGTATGCTGGAATCTGAATTTCACATAATTTTTTATGTCACTAAATATTATTCTTCCAGTGGAATTTGAATTTTATATAATTTTCATGTTACTAAATATTATTTTTCTTTAGGCTTTTTTCCCAACCATTGAAAAAATGTAGAAACCATTTTATCTCCTGGTCTAATCAAAAATAGGTGGTGGGCCAGATTTGGCTCACAGGTTGTAGTTTGCCTACTGCTGCTCTAAGATAATAACTCAGTTAACTTAGTTCTGACAATATTAAGAGCCATTTTCAAACTCTCTAGTGTGCCACTCCATCCTTGCTTGAGGACACACCCAGTCTACTGCTAAATGTGCCACTTGGCATCTGTGTGTTAGGTTAAAGGGAACTCAAAATGTATTTTGAAAAGCATAGGATTTTCAGGATTCCATCTTAGATTCTCACCATTGTAGACCTGTAGAACAGCAGGGAAAAGCAAATTAGGGCCACATCAACAAAAAATACTATAATAAATTTTCTCTTGTTGATATGTTCTGAAAATAACAAATATGAAATATTGTAGAAGCCATTGCCAATCTTATGTCTTTCTATTTGTGACTCAGTGGATCATAAGACTAGATACTCAATTAATCAACACCTGAAAAATATTATGATAATAAGGCCCAAGATTCTGAAGGTAGTTTTCTAAACATCTTTTAGAATAGTCTTTCTAATGACATCTGCAGTGATGTTTGTAGTTGAAGACAAAATTCATTCTTGATATTTCTGTCAGTGTGCTTAAATTAATTTTATTTTAAATTTGAAAACTATAATCTTGTATTAGTGTTGTGGTGACTTATATGTGGGAAATGAAGCTTCACATCAATGCTTCACATCAATGCTCCCATCCTTCAAAGTGAATTGGAGATCCAGACATCATGGCTGAGAACAGGGAGCTCAGGGCAGTGTGAACAGATAGAAGGAAGCACAGTAAATGATTTCCTCATACCTCCATCTCTCTTCTATGTCATGTTCTTACCCCTAAAGTTAACTTTTTTATAACATTCATCCATCCACCCATCCATCAACAGATACTTAATGGGCATATCTTAACAGGCACAGTAGGTACAACAACTAAGATCCACACTATTTTCAGAGGTCTGTGAAAATGTTTTAATTTCTTTTAAAATTAGAAGAAAAAATAACTTTTAGGTTGAAGAAAATGTTTTCATACTAATATTATTTGTCTTTACAGCAATGCAGTGACAAAATATAATTTCAAATATTTTTAATGAAGGAAGAAGCCCAGGGAAGTAAAAGTGCTAAGGGCCCTTGAAATTCATAATATGTATTGAAGGAACATACCTCAAAATAATAAAGAGCCATCTATGACAGACCCACAGCCAACATCATACTCAATGGGCAAAAGCTGGAAGCATTCCCCCTGAAAACTGGCACAAGACAAGGAAGTCCTCTCCCACCACTCCTGCTTAAACACAGTACTAAATATAGTCCTGGTCAGAGCAATCGAGCAAGAGAAAGAAATAAAGGGCATCCAAATACGAAGAAAAGTAGTCAAACTATCCTTGTTTGCAGGTGAAATAATTCTATATGGAGAAAAACCACACAATCTCAACTCAAAAAGCTCCTTCAGCTGATAAACAACTTCGGCAAAGTTTCAGGATACAAAATCAATGTACAAAAATCACTAGCATTCCTATACACCAAACGACAGCCAAGCTGAGAGCCAAATCAGGAACACAATCCCTTTCACAATTGCCACAAAAAGAATAAAATACCTAGGAATACAGCTAACCAGAGAAGTGAAAGTTCTCTAAAATGAGATTTACAAAACACTTGCCAAAGAAATCAGAGATGACACAAACAAATGGAGAAACAGTCCATGCTCATGGATAAAAAGAATCAATATCATTAAAATGGCCACACAGCCCAAAGCAATTTACAGATTCAATGCTATTTCTATCAAACTACCAATGACATTCTTCACAGAACTAGAAAAAAAAATTTTTAAATTCATATGGAACCAAAGAAAGAGCTCGAATAGCCAAGGCAATTCTAAGCAAAAAGAACAAAGCTGGAGGCATCACACTACCCAACTTCAAAATATACTACAGGGCTACAGTAACCAAAACACAATGGTACTAATACAAGAAAAAACACATAGACTAATGGAACAGAATAGAAAATCCAGAAATAAGGTCTCACACCTACAACCACCTGATCTTTGACAAATTTGACAAAAGCAAGCAATGGGGAAAGGATTCCTTATTCAATAAATGATGCTGGGATAACTGGCTAGCCATATGTAGAAGACTGAAACTGGACTCCTTCCTTATACCATATACAAAAATCAACTCAAGATGGATTAAAGACTTAAATGTAAAACCCAAAACTATAAAAACTGTGGAAGACAAGCTAGGCAATACCATTCAAGATATAGGAACTGGAAAATATTTCATAATGAAGATGCCGAAAGCAATTGCAACAAAAGCAAAAATTGACAAATGGGCTTTAACTGAACTTAAGAGCTTCCGCAGAGCAAAAGAAACTATCATTAGAATACATAGACAACCTACAGAATGGGAGAAAATATTTGCAAACTATGCATCTGACAAAGGGTCTAATAATACCCAGCATCTATAAGGAATTTAAACAAATTGACAAGAAAAAAACAAACAGCCTCATTAAAAAGTGAGCAAGGGACACGAACAGACACTCTTCAAAAGAAGATACATATGTGGCTGGGATGGTTAATACTGAGTGTAAACTTGATTGGATTGAAGGATGCAAAGTATTGATCCTGGCCGTGTCTGTAAGCATGTTGCCAAGGAGATTAACAATGGAGTCAGTGGGCTGGGAAAGGCAGATTCACCCTTAATCTTCGTAGGCACCATCTAGTCAGCGGCCAGTTCAGCTAGAATATAAAGCAGGCAGAAAAACGTGAAAAGGCCAGACTGGCTTAGCCTCCCAGCCTACATCTTTCTCCCATGCTGGATGCTTCCTTCCCTTGAACATCAGACTTCAAGTTCTTCAGCTTTGAGACTTGGACTGGCTTCCTTGCTCCTCAGCTTGCAGGTGGCCTATTGTGGGACCTTGTGATCGTGTGAATTTAATACTCCTTAATAAACTCCCCTTTATATTTATCTATCTATCCTACTAGTTCTGTCCCTCTAGAGAACCCTGATTAATACAGTGGCCAAGAAGCATATGAAAAAAAGCTTAATAGCACTATCATTAGAGAAGTGCAATTAGAGAAACCACAATGAGGTACCATCTCACACCAGTCAGAATGGCTATTATTAAAAAGTCAAAAAATAACAGATGCTGGCAAGGTTGTGGAGAAAAGGGAATGCTTATACACTGCTGGTGGGAGTGTAAATTAGTTCAACCATTGTGGAAAGCAGTGTAACAATTCCTCAAAGAGCTAAAAGCAGAATTACCATACACTTCAACAATCCCATTACATATACCCAAAGGAGTATAAATCATTGTGTCATAGACACGCACGCATATGTTCACTGCAGTGCTATTAGAAATAGCAAAGACAAAGAATCAATCTACATGTCCATCAATGACAGATTGGATAAAGAAAATGTACATATACACCATGAAATATCATGCAGCCATAAAAAAGAATGAGATCATGTCTTTTGCAGGAACATGGATGGGGCTGGAAGCTATTATCTTTAGCTAACTAACACAGAAACAGAAAAACAAATACCACATGTTCTCACTTGTAAGTGGGAGCTAAATGATGAGAACACAAGGACACAGAGGGGAATAACACACACTGGGGCCTACTTGAGGGTGGAGGGTGGGAGGAGGGAGAGGATCAGAGAAAAAACTATTGGGTACTAGGCTTAGTACCTGGGGGATTAAATAATCTGTGCAACAAACCCCTGTGACATGAGTTCACCTACATAACAAACCTACACATATACCTCTGAACCTAAAATAAAAGTTAAAAGTTTTTAACAATACTTTAAAAAAAGAAGAAGAAGAAGAAGGCCGGGCGTGGTAGCTCACGCCTGTAATCCCAGCACTTTGGGAGGCCAAGGCGCGCAGATCACGAGGTCAGGAGTTCCAGACCAGCCTGGCCAATATGGTGAAACCCTGTCTCTAGTAAAAAATACAAAAATTAGCCGGGCATGGTGGCACACGCCTATAGTCCCAGCTACTCGGGAGGCTGATGCAGGAGAATCACTAGAACCCGGGAGGTGGAGGTTGCAGTGAGCCAAGATCGCGCCACTGCACTCCAGCCTGGATGATAGAGTGAGACTCCATCTCAAAAAAAAATAAATAAATAAAAGAAAGAAATAAATTCATAAAGTAACCCTGCCTCTTACTTAAGTCTCAACTCTCTGCCACGAGCTGCAAAGGAAATCAAGAAAACATAAGTTACAATCTCTTATCCTTTCCCAGCCTTTCTCTTTGGTTTTAGTTCCTGTGTGTTGCCTACAAGGCAAAATTGAGAGAAGGTGTCCTGGACCTTGGCCCTGAAGTAGCAGCAACTCACCAGTATCTCAGTTCCAGATAAACATACATATTTATTTGTAAATATAGTTAAATGTCCCCACAGAACTGAACTTCATGGGCACCTTCAGCAAGAGGGTCTGCCAGCAAACTGATGTGCAAAGCAAATGATGTGCATGCAGTCTCAGCAGATCTCCTCATGGAGCAGCACCTTGGAATCATCAGGAAGTGATGGAACCCACTCTAAAACTGCAGAACCAATCTTTGTTAAGAATGTCTGACCCAGAGTTGGGTGAATGGATATCGAGTCACACTTGCACGGGGACTTTGAGACAGCTTTAGATTGAGACTATCCACTCCCTCGTCAGCTTATAGGCTAAATACAGTTTGTTTGTTTTTTATTAAAAAATTTTTATTTGAGCCTCCATAAAGATAAGTTTTTTTCAGGAAATGTGAATCCATTTCAGAAAAGAAAAGGAAGTCAGGGGCACACATCATGGGGTAGGTAGTGTAAGGAGTGTAAGGAGTGCCAGTGGGTTCCTGAGTCTCACCACTCAGACTGCTGTTCCTCTGACACTGTGTGGTCATCCAGCAACACCGTCTGGTAACACCATTGTCTGCTGTAGTGATGAAAGACTCTGACAGCGGGGCTTCCTGATACCAAGGGACTGTACTGTGGCCTAGTCCTAGACCAGACCTTGTCCCCATCTCTGGTGGCTAGAGACCCCAGAAAAGCTGGACTAGTGTGCATTTTAGAAGCAGCAGCATCACCATGTCATGGCTTATAGAAGCATCTTTTTGAGTGGGTATGATTTTTTTTTTTTAACCAGGGTTCAGAGTCTTACTCCTCAGAGTCACTGTGAATGGGTCAGTTTTCTCAGCCAATTGGAGGAACTGAGGCTTCATGAGGGCTTCGCAACCAGGGAGTCTCCAAGAGAGCTGTTGATAGCAACCCAAAGGCAGGATGAGAAATAGGTTCCAGGAGAGAATTACAGTAAATAAAATAAAGTTCACTGTCATCCCGCCATGGTAGACTGACACATTTTCCAATTTGGTAAGGAAGGTTACCACTGGAATCAGCTATTTATGTATGCAGGTTATTAAGAAGGATGTTAGCAACCTTTTAATAGTACATTTTATGGAAATTGGGATTGCTTTTAATTTCTTCCAGGAGGTCCATACTTTTATAAGTTAGCAGTATCTTTCTGCAGTGTTGTTTATGTAATCTTAGAATTCAATAGTGCATTTAGGGGCCTCCTTCTCCATGTTTCTGTTTAGGAGTCAGAGGACTCGGGCTTGGGTTTTCTTGCTGATGGTTTCCAGGAAAGATGTTGATGCGGTTTTATGCCAGTCCCCACTCAGAAGATCTGACAGGTCAATGGGTGTTGCAGGTACAATGTCAGAAGCCCCATAACCAGAGTCCTCACGAGACAGGTCTATCACTACCCGGTAGATACCTTTCAGGAAAGCTGGGATGGTGGAGTCAGCCTCAGAATGAGCTTTATAGCCTTCTGGTCTAAATAGTATATGGGATCACATTCTCTGTTACAGGCAATAGGTGATGCCCATCCTTCCTCAACTGGGAGCTTGCCTTTTTTCATAAACATAACCTCAACTATGGAGATCATATCCCAGGTGGCTGGCAACTTGACATCAAATATAAACTTTATCAAGCATTCCTGGAGGGTTGGCAGATGAACACAACTGGAAATACTTCCAGTAAATCTCACTGTCATGTCTAGATGGAATGCAATGATTACCTCCTTTTTTTTCCCCACTTAAAACAGACACCAGACAGAACTGCCTTGACTGTCTTTACCATCTTTTCATTGTGTTTTTCCTCCCTGAACCATATTCATTTTTATCCATATGGACGATAATAGTGTTGGGATCCACTGGGAACTGGGCCGCTGTGGTGTTTCAATTGATAAGGGTTTAGAAACCACAAGTAGGAATTATTTGCTTGCAGAAACTACCGAAACTGTGGGCCAGATGGGAGAAGGGAACCTTGAGTTATGAAGGTGACAGGCCTCAGGTGGGGAAAAGATTGGGTTTGCCAAGTCAGCATTGTGAACTCAAAATTCGCGGGGCCTTTGTTTTTGTGACAGAGTTGCTTTAGCTATGGAAAGACTTTTTTTTTTAACCAAAGTGGGATTTCTAGGTAGAGTTCATAGCTACCTAGCAAAGGGAATAGAGAAATGGTTCATGTGTGCTTTCAGACACAAGAGGCGGCTGAGGCATCCACTCAGCACAATGGAGAGCTCTGGAGAAGCAGAGTTGAGGCTTGTTCAGGAAAACCTTGTGACCAAGAGATACCAAACAACCTTATATTTGGCCACAAACTAAAGGGCTGCCTGAGCTCTTACTTCCATGAAACTAATTAAAAAATAAGAAGAGCATGGGGTGATCATGGAGGTCATCAGAGAACACCAGGAAAGCAACAGGGAGCAGCTGATGAGCCAGAAGTGGTGAACAGCTTGGCTGTAGAGGAGAGACTGAGCAGCCTTTCTTGCCCAGCCCAGGATCCTACCAGATCCTTTCCAGGACTTTGGTCACAGACAATATCCCTTAGTTTGCTTCCAACATGACTGGGTTGCTCACAGATAGAATCTCCCAGGTGGCTGGCCCTGTGGCCCCCAGGGACAAATCCCCTGATGTCTAGGAAACTGCAGTTCATGAGAAACTGGCTTGAATCTTGGTGGGTGGAGATCACCTCTTTGTTTCAGTTTTGGCAAATAATGACATCTGATATGAAACCATACTCTGAGGGTGGCAGAAAACTCAGTAAATATCCTACCTCCTAACCCTGGAAGAAGAAATAGACTTCATTAGGGGGTGGGGTAGAAAGAGAGCATTAGATTAAATTTAACTGTAGATTTGTTTCCCTGCCATCTAATTTTAAACTTCCCAACTCCTAGATTTTTCTAGAAGGTACTTTACAAACTAGTTCTTGGCCTATTAGTGGGTTCTGAAATCAATTTAGTGGGGCATGACCAATAATTTTCTTTTGTTTTAAATTTATTATTATTAAAGATATCAAATATATAAAATATTGGAATAGTATAACAAACTCCCACGTGCCTATCACCCAGTTTGATATGATCAACTCATGACCAATCTTGTTTCACCAGTCGTCTCACAGATTTTGAAGCAAGCTCCAGACCTCATATCATTTCATCAGTAAATATTTTGGTATGTATCACTAAAAGATGATTAGTACCATTTTGAAATGACATACAGAGAATAGAAAATATCAGAGTGAAGGTTAAGTAATATTAACCTTTTGCTTCAGATGTGTGTGTGTACACATATGTGCACTTGGGTGAGATGTGAAATGTATTTCTTACAGTGAGTCGCAAAAGAAAAGTGTGAAAGTCACTTTTCTAGGAGAAAGTCTAGAGGACTTGGTCCTCACCAGCAACCTCAGTAGTGCCCTCTACCCCACCCCCACAAGGCCTATGTCAGAGCAGAACCTGGCTGAATCCAATAGGAGAAAAGGATTGGGGGAAGTATGCTGGGGTGTCTGGAAGGTGACCCAGAGAGTATGATGTCCTCATTTCAGAGAACAGAAAAGTTTTCCCTAGAGAGAATTTGTGACTGGGTGAAAAAGAAACAGAATAATATAACAAATGTTTGCAACCTCCCCCTTTCTTTCTAAGGAGGTCTTACAGCCTGGCTTTGTGTTGCTGCTTGGAATAAAAAATGAATTGAAGGAGACCTAGAAAGCTAATTGGGTCTCCTTAGTGAAGAGCTGAGCAGAAGTGGGGAGGGGAGAGGGAAATAGCCAACGCTGGAGGAGTTTAGCGGGAGAGTTAGCAAAGAAAGGGTGGGGAAAGGAGCCAGGAGAGATTTCTGAGTGGCTGCCCTGGAAACAGGCATGGATGGCTAGAGAGGGATTTTAGAGTAATTTGCTATGAGTCATGCAGTGTATCTCACTTTAGGCCTGTTCTAAAACCTAGTAGAATGTTAACATCCTTTTCAGTGCCCTTTGGATGTTTCCAGTCAGCCACCCATACGAAGAGGAGGCTCAGATTGTGTGGGTCAGAGTGAAATGGGGCAGGCAAGTTAGGAGGCTTGAAATTTCAGCAATTCAGTGAGAGGATGGTGGCTTGGACCAGGATAGAAATGCTGAAGCTGAAGAGGAGTGGGTGGATTCAGGATATGTTTTGAAGGTAGAGTCAATAGGACTGCCTACTGGGTTGGATGTGGGGGGAATGGGGAGAAAGAAAATAAGGATAACTTATCTATTTTAGAAATAGAATTGGTGAAGAGGCCATTTATGGGGGTAGGGAAGAATGTGAGAGGGGGTAGGTTGCAGGTGAAACATCTGGCGTTCTATTTGGGTCATGCTAAGTTTGAGATAGATCAGATATCTAAGCTGAGGGGCCAAGTAGAAGGCTGAATATATAAAAGTCTGTGGTTCTGCAGATAGATCAAGGCTGGAGACATGGGTTCCAGGACCATCAGCCCAAAGATGGTATTCAAGCTGGGATCCTGGTTGAGATCATCTGGAGCATGTTTGCTTTCTGATGAAAGTGATAGAGAAGTCATTGTTAAGGGGATGGGATCCAGAGCTCAAGTGGACGGGGAATCTCTGGAGACACTTCATCCAGAGAAAAGAAAAGGTGGAGAATTTTACATAGATGCTGGTAGGTTAGGAGTCTACATTCTAGGTTGATGAAGGAGTTCCTTTCTGATTATTTCTAAAGTCTCAATGAAAAATGAGAAAAGTCACCAGCTTAGAGTGAGCACAGGGGAACAGGTATTAGAAGTTGAAATGATCAATCAACCAATTTTTCAATGCCTTTCCAAAAGACCGTCAACCCCATAAAAGTAGTAGGGGTTGGGCCTGTCTTATTCATTCTTGTTCCTAGTGCCTTGCAAGTTGCTGCACATAAAGTGTTCAATAAACAATTGCTGAATGAAAGAGTCAGTGATTGAATGAAAGTTAGACACCTCTGGTAGTTATTTATTCCATATAACCATCTACTCCTGAACTTTGTGGCTTAAAACAACCATTTATGATTACCTCTCACCATTCTGTGGCCTTGATGAGCTCAGAGATGTAGTTCTTACTTAGGGTTCCTCATATGATTCCAGTCAAATAACTGGGGTTGGCTTACAGCTTCTTTACTAATGTGTCTGATGCCTGTGATGTCTGAGACATTTGGGTACTGGTGGGGCATCTCTGTCTCCATATGGTTTCTTCTTCTTTTTTTTTTTTTTTTTTTTTTTTTCACTCTGTTGCCAGGCTGGAGTGCAGTGGTGCAATCTTGGCTCACTACAACCTCCGCCCCCCAGGTTCAAAGCGGTTCTCCTGCCTCAGCCTCCCGAGTAGCTGGGACTACAGGCACGTGCCACCACGCCCAGCTAATTTTTGTATTTTTAGTAGAGATGGGGTTTCACCATGTTGGCCAGGATGGTCTCTTTCTCTTGACCTAGTGATCCGCCCACCTCGGCCTCCCAAAGTGCTGGGATTACAGGCGTGAGCCACCGCACCCGGACATGGTTTCTTCTTCTTTGCTGGCTTGGTCTTCCTTACAGCATAGTGGTCTCAGGGTCGTTGGATTTCTTCCATAATGGCTGGCTTTCTTCAGGGATTGCTTCTCCCACAATTTGTGTTCCAAGGGACCCTGGTGGACTCTGCAAGGCTTCTTAAATCCTAGCCTTAGAAGTGTCACAGCATCACTATTTCTGTTGGTTAAAACAGTCACACATCAGCCCAGATTCAAGGGGGTGAAGGGATAGAATTCACTAACAGGAGAAGAAATTGAGGCAGCATTCTTGGAGACAAGCTACAACATTCATGCAAATGTGTCATGCAGACCTGGAATTTAGATGAAAGAATAGAACTAGAGACCAAAAATAGAAATCACAGACAGAGATAAGAGAGGTGGATTCACAAGAATGGACTGGACCCCTCAAAGGAGAAATGGTAAAAAGCCTGAGCCTTGGAGGACATTCCCCCACCAGCAACCAAAGGCAAAGGAGAGAGAAGAGGGAGGACAGGGGAGGGAGAGATAAAAAGGAGGTGGGAGGACCAAGGTAAAGGAGGTGAGGAGACAGAGCTGGGGGAAAAGAGAGAGAGAGAATATTAGATTTAGAGTCTAACTTTAGCTTATGGAATAAATAAGAACCCAAATTATCTGAAGAGTAAAATCAAATTCTCAAATCTGTTTTTAGAGACTACTCAGCCTAATTGATAAAATTAATTGCAGTTGCTACTTTAACCCTCAACGGAGCAGAAGCTTAAAATTTGCTGTTTAGATTTCAGTTTCTAGTTATACCTGAGGTTGTTCCAGCTTGGTTAGGTTCAAGCCGGTGAAAGGCAGGCTGGTACTAATGATTCTTGTAAAGATTGCCATTCACATACCCTGCTGTATGCTTGATTGAGTTTCATGAAGCCTTCAAAAAGTAGTGATTTGGTTATGCTCTGAGTTTGAAAAAGGACCATTATTATACCAGATTTAAAATTGGATTTGGGTTAGCTCAGTTATCTGACTCATCACTAATTTTCTTTGACAATTAAGTCAATTCTTGGGTATACCTTGTATCTGAGTCTCAGTTTTCATTGAGAAATAAGATTTTATCTTTGCAAAGTTAGAAAAGGGAAAAGATAAAGCAGCAGGTCCTGTCAAAAGGAAAGGTGAATTCAATGTCAAATGGTGGGACTGTGAAATTAGAGAGCCAGGGGCTCTAATGAGGAGGAGTTCAAAGGACAGAGAACAAAGGGGTGAAGAAAATGACGGAAGGAAGAGGAAGTCAAATTGGCCTAGCTGAGCTGATATGTTTTCTCGATTTCTTGACCTCGTGATCCGCCCGCCCTGGTCTCCCAAAGTGCTGGGATTACAGGCGTGAGCCACTGCGCCTTGATGTGTTTTCTCTTAGAAACCTTTCGAGGATCTAGCAGTACTCTACTTTGCACAAAAAAAGAAATACTTCAATTAATCATTTTATTTAAGGTAGAGTCATACAATGTATGTGATTTTTAAAAAAATGATAGCCTAGTTAAAATGTAGCTAGAATCCTTTATATCAGCTGGTGTCTGTAAATATGCTCACATTCTTACACAGACACTTCATGACTTCTGCTCCAAGCTCAGAGTTAAGACGAGCGAGAAGCTTCATTTGTCCCTAAGTCTTGAACTGTTTGTAATAAGCGATTACTCCTACTTTAAGTTAAATTTCCCATGTTGAGCCAGCCTAGAATGTTGATGCTGGAAGGTACTTCCCGGCTCATTCATCTCTACCCCTCATTTGGCAGATGAGAACACACCATTCAGCCGATGAGAACACAGGCATCAGAACCCAAATGATAAGCCTATTCATTTTATTTTAAAGACTGTGAATTTCACAAGAGATTTTTTAGATGAAATTGTATAGATGCCTTCAAAAAATCATTAATAGAATATTATTCCCTCTCATATCATCCGAATAAACTCATCATTGCCATAAATGTTTTGAATAAAGCCACAACAAAATATGAGCTGTCCTTTGAACCTCACTTTCAATGTCTTCAAAGCTACTCTTCTGGGCTTTGCAAACTCCTTGGCAAAATTAGTCTTTTAAGTCTGAATAGAAAATATCTTCACAGTGAAACTGTATTAGTTAGGGTAACCTCACTGCTGTTAATGAATAAAACTCTTAATCAATAGCCTTGTAAGATACTTGCAAGTAGCAGTGACATGGAAGAAAACCTCTCAGGAAGAATACTATGTCTTTCACACACGGGCCATTTTTCCTGTTACATAAACACTGTGGTCCTTGTTGCTGTTTACCTTTTTTGGGATTAGAAGGGCAAAAGTAAGATAGATGTCCTTCTGGGATGTGCACTGGCTCCCAAGCTAAGCCTTTCACTATGGTGCCATGAATTTATGTAATCTTGGGTCAAGGCCTGCTGTCAGGCAAAAATTAAGCTTTATCAGGTCACTCAAAGTTGATGGACAGCAAAGCACTGATTTGTTTCAACTGATTAATGAAGGACCAATTGTCTAAACCAGAATCCTAGACTCAGGATAGCTCAGGGATTATGACCACGGGCTTTGGACTCAGAACTATGTCCTTATCTTCACTCTGCCACTATGTGGAGCAATGTGATCTTGGACAACTGACCTAATCTTGCTAAGCCTCAGTTTCCTCATCTAGAAAACGGAGATACTACGTACCTCAGAGAATAACTGCAAAGACTAAATTAGATTGTAAAGTGTTTAGTGGCTGTCAGGTGCAAAGTAAACACTGATGTTGCTATTATGATTCTGAAAGTGGTTGTTTTATTGGGAGACATTCTTTGAAATGCCTGAAAGATTCATGTATAACATGCAGGATCAGGGCATAAACCTGAAGTTGCTCAGTGAAGATGAAATCTGATCAAGGCCACAGACAGGGGCAATAGATTAGCAGTACCTCCTCAGAGAGAGAATCTTTCTAGGGCTGAATTCCTGTTTGTCTGAGTCAGTGTCTCACTCCTTTGCATGTGCCTGCTCTATCATAGATATTCAATAAATATTTTCGCACTGACTGAGCATGCTGGAC
This sequence comes from Homo sapiens, assembly GCF_000001405.40. Taxonomy (NCBI): domain Eukaryota; kingdom Metazoa; phylum Chordata; class Mammalia; order Primates; family Hominidae; genus Homo; species Homo sapiens. Next base: position 150,020,816 of record NC_000003.12, read on the forward strand.
AACAATGTATACTTTTTGCTCACTGGGTTTTCTTTTTCTATGCTTCATTCTCACCATCTCATGATAAAATTGATTCAGTTTTTATTCACTAAATTCAATCAATTTCAAATCTGCTTCCCAGAAATTAAACTTAGGTGACCTTGATTGCAGTCCTGGGTATTCTAAAACATTCTCATTCTTTTTTTTATTTTTTAGATGGGGTCTCACTGTCATCCGGGCTGGAGTAGAATGGCGTGATCTCGGCTCACTGCAACGTCTGTCTCCCAGGTTCGAGCGATTCTTGTGCCTCAGCCTTCTGAGTAGCTGGAATTACAAACATGCACCACCATAACCGGCTAATTTTTGTATTTTTAGTAGAGATGAGGCTTCACCATGTTGACCAGGCTGGTCTCAAACCCCTGACCTCAAGTGATTCATCTGCTTTGGCCTCCCAAAGTGCTGGGATTACAGGCGTGAGCCACCATGCCTGGCCACGTTCTCATTCGTTAATTCCACTTAAAAAATTGCAACTCATAGGCTGGCGGTGGCTCACACCTGTAATCCCAGTACTTTGGGAGGCAAGGTGGGTGGATCACGAGGTCAGGAGATGGAGACCACCCTGGCTAATATGGTGAAACCCCATCTCCACTAAAAATACAAAAAATTAGCCAGGCATGGTGGCGGGCACCTGTAGTCCCAGCTACTCGGGAGGCTGAGGCAGGAGAAGGGCATGAACCTGGGAGATGGAGCTTGCAGTGAGCCGAGATCGTGCCACTGCACTCCAGCCTGGGCCACAGAGCGAGACTCTGTCTCAAAAAAAAAAAAAAAATTACAACTCATAAATACTTACACAAAGACATATGACTTAAATGTAAAACCTAAAACTACAAAAAACCTAGAAGAAAACCTAGGAAATACCATTCTGGACACAGGCCCTGGAAAGAGTTCATGATAAAGACTCCAGAAGCAATTGCAACCAACAAAAAAATTGATAAGTGGGACCTAATTAAACCAAGAGCATCTGCACAGCAAAAGAAACTATCAACAGAGTAAACAGACAACCTACAGAATGGGAGAAAATATTTGCAAACTATGCATCTGACAAAGGTCTAATATCCAGAATCTGTAAGGAACTTAAGCAAATCAATAAGCAAAAAATAAATAACCCCATTAAAAAATGGGCAAAGGACATGAACAGATACTCTCAAAAGAACACATACACATGGGCAAGCATGTGAAAAAATTCTCAACATCACTAATCATTAGAGAAATACAAATCAAAGCCACAATGAGACACCATCTCACACCAGTCATAATGGCAATTAATAAAAAGTCAAAAAATGACATGCTGGCAAAGTTGCAGAGAAAAGGGAACACTTAGACACTGCTGGTGGGAGTGTAAATTAGTTCAGCCACTGTGGAAAGCAATCTGGAGATTTCTCAAAGAACTTAAAACAGAACTACCACTTGACCCAGCAATCCCGTTATTGGGTATGTACCCAACGGAATATAAATTGTTCTACCATAAAGACACATGCACATGTATGTTCATCACAGCACTATTCACAATAGCAAAGACATGGAATCAGCCCAAACCAGGATTAAGATGGCGAATAGGAGGCAGGACTAGCTTGCAGCTCCTGCTCATATGGAGAGAGCAGCATGTGGAGACTCACATCATGAGCTTTTTTGCTACAATTCTTGTAGCACAGGAACATACCAGGAAAGCCGAGGGAATCCACAGACGTTTGAAGCAACTGGATCACTGCTTCAGGCTCCCTGAGATGCTGAAAAACTGAGTCAACTTGCTTTCTCAGGCACATACCAGGAAAGCCGAGAGAATCCACAGACAGTTTGAAGGAACTGGATCACTGCTGCAGGCTCCCTGAGATGCTGAAAAACTGTGAGTTAACTTGTTTTCTCAGCCGGGAGGCTCATGGTCTGGGGCAAGTTCTCAGCCCTGGTCATGGGCTGCCTAGAAATAGACTTGGTGCTGTTGCAGGGCCTCGGTGGGAGTGAGACCAGCCTTTAGGACTGTGGGCTGAGTGGGAGTGAAGTGAGGCCTGTGACTGCCAGCTTTCCCCCACTTCCCTGGCAACCTGTATGACTCAGCAGAAGCAGCCATAATCCTCCAGGGAATATAGCTCCCTTGGACTGGGAGCCACACACCCATTCCCCACAGCAGCTGCAGCAAACTCCGCCCAAGGAGAGGCTCAGCTCAGACACACTATCCCTGTCCCCACTAGATGGTCTTTCTCTACCTGCCCTGGTAGCGGAAGATAAAGGTCATAATCTCTTGGGAGCTCTATGGCCCTGCCCACTGCCTGAGAAACCTGAATACTTAACCAGGTCTCCCTAGGGTAAATTTGCATCCTCCTTACAGGGCCGCAGCTGATAAACTCTTGAAAGTGGCACTTCCTGCCTGGAGCTTAACCAACACAAAACCAGTGCACTAAACAAAAACACAACCAAAGATCCTCACAGAGTCCACTTCAGTCTCCTGCTACCTCCACTGGAGCAGGTGCTGGTATCCATGCCTGCAAGGCCTGAAAACGGATCACATCACAGGACTCTTTGCAGACACTCCTCAGTACCAGCCCAGAGCCTGGTAGCTCTGCTGGGTGGTAAGACCCAGAAAAGCAAAAACAACCATTACAGTTCAGCTCTCAGGAAGCCACATTCCTAGGGGAAGGGGGAGAACACCACATCAAGGGAGCACCCCATGGGACAAAAGAATCTGAAGAGCAGCCCTTGAATCCCAGGTCTTCCCTCTGACATAGTCTACCCAAATGAGAAGGAACCAGAAACACACTTCTGGTAGTATGACAAAACACAGTTCTTTAACACGCCCAAAAGATCATACCAGCTCACCAGCAATGGATCCAAACCAAGACAGAATCTCTGAACTGCCAAAAAAAGAATTCAGAATTAAGCTAATACAGGAGGCACCAGAGAAAGATAAAATCCAACTTAAAGAAATGAAAAACATGATACAGGATATGAAAGGAAAATTCTTCAGTGAAACAGATAGCATAAATAAAAAACAATCGCAACTTATGCAAATCAAGGACACATTTAGAGAAATGCAAAGTGCACTGGAAAGTCTCCGCAATACAATCGAACAAGCAGAAGAAACAACTCCAGAGCTTGGAGACAAGGCTTTTGAATTAACACAATCCATCAAAGACAAAGAGAAAGGAATTTTTTAAAATAAACAAAGCCTCCAAGAAGTTTGGGACTATGTTAAACCTTCCAAATAATTGGTGAGTAATTGGTGTTCCAGAGGAAGAAGAGAAATCTAAAAGTCTGGAAAACATATTTGCGCTAATAATCGATGAAAATTTCCCTGGCTTTGCTAGAGATCTAGACATCCAAATACAAGAAGCTCAAAGAACACCTGGGAAATTCATCACAAAAAGAACACCCTCTAGGCACATAATCATCAGGTTACCTAAAGTCAAGACAAAGGAAAGAATCTTAAGAGTTGTGAGGCAAAAGCATCAGGTAACCTGCAAAGGAAAACTTAACAGATTAGCAGCAGATTTCTCAGCAGAAACCCTATGAGCTAGAAGGGATTGGGGACCTATTTTTTAGCCTCCTTAAACAAAACAATTATCAGCCAAGAATTTTGTATCCAGCAAAACTGAGCTTCATAAATGAAGGAAAGATACAGTCTTTTCCAAACAAACAAATGCCGAGAGAATCTGCCACTACCAAGACAGCACTACAAGAACTGCTAAAAGGAGCTCTAAATCTTGAAGCAAATCCTTGAAATACACCAAAACAGAACCTCCTTGGAGCATAAATCTCACAGGACCTATATAACAATAACACAATGAAAAAAGCCAAGGTATTCAGGCAACAAATGCACAATGAATAGAATAGTAACTCACATCTCAGCACTAACATTCAATGTAAATGTCCTAAATGCTCCACTTAAAAGATACAGAACAGTAGAATGAATAAGAATTCACCAGCCAAGTTTCTGTGTCTTCAGGAGACTCACCTAACCCTTAAGGACTCATATAAACACACGTAAGGACTCATATAAACTTAAGGTAAAGGGGTGGAAAAAGATATTCCATGCAAATGGACACCAAAAGCAAGCAGGAATAGCTATTCTTATATCAGACAAAACAAACTTTAAAGCAACAACAGTTTAAAAAGACAAAGTGGGACATTATATAATGATAAAAGGACTAGCCCAACAGGAGAATATCACAATTCTAAATATATATGCACTTAACACTGGAGCTCCCAAATTTATAAAGCAATTACTATGACCTAATAAATGAGATAGATGGTAACACAATAATAATGGGGGACTATACTCCACTGACAGCACTAGACAGGTCATCAAGACAGAAAGTCAACAAAGAAACAGTGAACCTAAATCTAAATGTACCCTACGACAAATGGACTTAACAGATATTTACAGAACAGTCTACCAAGCAACTGAAGAATATGCTTTTTTTTTTTTTTTTGAGACAGAGTCTCCTTCTGTCACCAGGTTGGAGTGCAATGGCATGATCTTGGCTCCGGCTCACTGCTGCAACCTCCACCTCTTGGGTTCAAGCAATTCTCCTGCCTCAGCCTCCCAAGTAGCTGGGATTACAGGTGCCTGCCACCACACCCGGCTAATTTTTATCTTTTATTTTTTTGTATTTTTAGTAGAGATGGGGTTCCAATCGCTTCTTGGCCTTTTGGCTAAGATCAAGTGGAGATGGGTTTTCGACATGTTGGCCAGGCTGGTCTTGAACTCCTGAACTCAGGTGATCCACCTGCCTTGGCCTTCCAAAGTGCTGGGATTATAGGTGTGAGCCACTGTGCCTGGCCCTAGAATATACATTCTATTCATCAGCACATGGATCATTCTCCAAGAGAGATCATATGATAGGCCAACACACAAGTCTCAGTAAATTTAAGAAAACTGAAATTATATCAAGTACTCTCTCAGACCACAGTGGAATAAAATTGGAAAACAACTTCAAAAGGAACTCTCAAAACCATGCAAATATGTGGAAATTAAATAACTTGCTCCTGAACGTTGGGTCAACAATGAAATCAGGATGGAAATTAAAAAATTCTTTGAACTGAATGATAATAGTGACATAACCTATCAAAACCTCTGGGATACAGCAAAAGCATTGCTAAGAGGAAAGTTCATTAAATGCCCACACCAAAAAGACTGAAAGAGCACAAATAAATAATCTAAGGTCAGACCTCATGGAACTGGAGAAACAAGAATAATTCAAACCCAAATCCAGCAGAAGGAAAGAAAGAACTAAGATCAGAGGAGAACTAAATAAAATTGGGAAAAAATACAAAAGATAAATGAAACAAAAAGCTGGTTCTTTGAAAAGATAAATAAAATTGATAGACCATTAGTGAGATTAACCAAGAAAAGAAGAGAGACAATCCAAATAAGCTCAATTAGAAACGAAATGGGAGATATTAGTACTGACAGCACAGAAATACAAAAGATTATTCAAGGCTATCATGAACACCTTTATGCCCATAAACTAGAAAACCTAGAGGGGATAGATAAATTCCTGGAAATATACAATCCCCTTGATTAAACCAGGAAAATATAGAATGTCTGAACAGACCAATAACAAGCAGCAAGATTGAAAGGGTAATAAAAAACTGCCAACAAAAAATGTCCAGGACCAGAGAGATTCAAAGCTGAATTCTATCAGATATTCAAAGAATTGGTACCAAACCTATTGACACTATTACAAAAGACGGAGAAAAGAGACTCCTCCCTAAATCATTCTATGAAGCCAGTATCACCCTAATATTAAAATGAAGGAAGGACGTAACAAAAAAGAAAACTACAGACCAATATCCCAGATGAACATAGATGCAAAAATCCTCAACAAAATGCTAGTGAACCAAATCCAACAGCATATCAAAAAGATAATCCACCATGATCAAAAGGGTTTTATACTAGGGATGCAGGGATGGTTTAACATGTGTAAGTCAATAAATGTGATACACCACTTAAACAGAATTAAAAACAAAAATCACTTGATCATCTCAATATATGCAGAAAAAACATTTGACAAAATCCAGTACCCATTATGATTAAAAACCTCAGCAAAATTGACATCAAGGGACATACCTTAACATAGTAAAATCCATCTATCACAAACCCACAGTCAATATTATACCAAATGGGGAAAAGTTGAAAGCATTCCCCCTGAGAACTAGAACAAGACAAGGATGCCCACTTTCACCACTTCTGTTCAACATAGTACTGGAAGTCCTAGCCAGAGAAATCAGACAAGAGAAAGAAATAAAAGGCATCCACATCAGTAAAGAGAATTGCTGTTTGCTGATGATATGATTGTATACCTAAAAAACTCTAAAGACTCATCCAAAAAAAAGTTTCTAGAACTGGTAAATGAGTTCAGCAAAGTTTCAGGATACAAATTTAATGTACATAAGTCAGTAGCTCTACTATACACCAACAGTGACCAAGATGAGAATCAAATCAAGAACTCAGCACCTTTCACAATAGCTGCAAAAAAACAAAATACTTAGGGATATACCTAACCAAGGACATGAAGGACCTCTACAAGGAAAACTACAAAACACTGCTGAAAGAAATCATAGATGATACAAGCAAATAGAAACACATCCCATGTTCATGGATGGGTAGAATCAATACTGTGAAAATGACGATACTGCCAAAAGCAATGCACAAATTCAATGCAATTCCCATCAATATACCATGATCATTCTTCTCAGAACTAGAAAAAAAAAGTCTTAAAATTCATATGGAACCAAAAAAGAGCCCACATAGCAAAAGCAGGACTAAGAAAAAAGAACAAATCTGGAGGCATCACATTACCTAACTTCAAACTATACTATAAGGCCATAGTCACCAAAACAGCATGGTATTGGTATAAAAATAGGCACATAGACCAATGGAACAGAATAGAGAACCGAGAAATAAACTCTAATACAGCCAACTAATCTTTGACAAAGCAAACAAAAACATAAAGTGGGGAAAGGACACCCTGTTCAACAAATGGTGCTGGGATAATTGGCAAGCCACATGCAGAAGAATGAAACTGGATCCTCATCTCTCACCTTATAAAAAAAATCAACTTGAGATGGATCAAAGACTTAAATCTAAGACCTGAAACCATAAAGATTCTAGAAGATAACATTGGAAAAACCCTTCTAGACATTGGCTTAGGCAAAGACTTCATGACTAAGAACTCAAAAGTAAATGCAACAAAAACAAAAATAAATAGATGGGATTTAATTAAACTAAAAAGCTTCTACACAGAAATAATCAGCAGAGTTAACAGACAACCCACAGAGTGGGAGAAAATCTTCACAATCTATACATCCAACAAAGAACTAATATCCAGAATCTACAAAGAATTCAAACAAATCAGCAAGAAAAAACAAACAATCCCATCAAAAAGTGGGCTAAGGACATGAACAGACAATTCTCAAAATAAGATGTACAAACGGCCCACAAGCATATGGAAAAATGCTCAACATCACTAATTATCAGGGAAATGCAAATCAAAACCACAATTCCATACCACCTCACTCCTGCAAGAATGGCCATAATGAAAAAATAAAAAAAAATAGATGTTGGCATGGATATGGTGAAAACAGAACACTTCTACACTGCTGGTGGGAATATAAACTAGTACAACCACTATGGAAAACAGTGTGGAGATTCCTTAAAGAACTAAAAGTAGATCTAGTGTTTGATCCAGCAATCCTATTACTAGGTACCTACCCAGAGGAAAATAAGTCATTATGCGGAAAAGATACTTGCACAGTGATATATATCACATGTATCTATATATATCTATATATATATACACACACACACACACACACACATATATATATATACACACACACACCATGGAATACTACTCAGCCATAAAAAGGAATGAAATAATGGCATTCACAGCAACCTGGGTGGAATTGGAGACTATTATTTTAAGTGAAGTAACTCAGGAATGAAAAACCAAACAATGTTATGTTCTCACTCATATGTGGGAGCTAAGCTATGACGATGTAAAGGTATAAGAATAATACATTGGACTTTGGAGGCTCAGGGAAAGGGTGGGGGGTGGCAAGGGATAAAAGACTACACACTGAGTACAGCATACACTGCTTGGGTGATGGGTGCACCAAAATCCCAGAAATTACCACTGAAGAGCTTATTCATGTAACCAAACACCACCTGCTCCCCCAAAACCTATTGAAATAAAAAAATTTTTAAAATGTAAAGCAAAAAATAAAAAATAAATTAATAAAACAACTCCTTCCCCCCACCAAAAAAAGACATGGAATCAACCTAGATGCCCATTGACAGTGGGCTAGATAAAGAAAATGTGGTACATATACACCCTGGAATACTATGCAGCCATAATAAAGAATGAGATCATGTTCTTTGTAGCAACATGGATGGAGCTGAAGGCCATTATCCTAAGAATATTAATGCAGGAATCCAAAAATCAAATACTGCATGTTCTCATTTATAAGTGGGAGTTAAATGTTAACTACACATGTACACAAAGGAGACAACAAAAGATTCTGGAGCCGCTTGCGGGTGAAGGGTGGGAGGAGAGTGAGGATTGAAAAACTACCTATCAAGTGCTGTACTCATTACCTGGGTGACAAAATTCTTTGTGTATCAAATCCCCACAACATGTAATTTACCCATGTAACAAACCTGCACATGTATCCCTGAACCTAAAGTAAAAGTTGGGAAGGAAAAAAAGATATATGCATACAAATAAATATTCATGTAATAACAAAAACTAAACCAAAACATGAAGTTTACGAGAGTTATTCACACTGGAAATATAAATTTGGGTGTCATCAGCGTACAGATGGTGTTTAAAGCCAAGAGACTTGCAGAGATCACTAAGGGAGTAAGTGCACATAGAGCAGGAAAGGGCTTGGAGGACTGGGGGTTGGGGGGAAGGTGTCTAAATTTAGAGATCAGAGAGAGGATTAAAGAAAAAAACTGCAGAGGAGACTGAGAAGGAGTAGTTGGAGGTGGGAGGAAAACCAGATGTGTGTGGTGTCAGGAGTGAGCCACTGTGACAACAAGAGATTTGCCATAGGATTTACCACTGTGGGAGCTTTGCTGAAGTTGCCTGTGATAAAGTTAACTGGGATAAAGGAAAACCTCACTAGAGTAGATTTAAGTGAGAATGGTGGGGAAGACTTGGAAACAGGATGCAAAAAGAAGAAAAAGCTATACACACACATACACACGAGCATGCATTTGTACACGCGCAGAGGAGCTCTAGAAGGAAATGAGCTAAACTCAATGAAAACTCTCTTTGAGGAAGGAGCAGCTGGGAGCAGGGGGCGATGGGGAGTTACGAGAGGGTGTAGAAATGGAAACTTTACATTCTTACCTCATATAACTCTTTCCAAAGTAATTTATTTTTAGAAAGATATTATTTCAATAATAAAAGTATTCTATTTAAAAGCCAAAGAAAACTTTATAATCACATATTTACAATCATTTGGTTGCTTAATTTTATCCATTATGTGTGGACTGTATTAGTTTCAGCCTCAAGTAAAACATTATTCTTCCTATTTCCGGGTGCTTGGGGAAGTAGCACCTCATGGTCAGGATTCATGCCACTTATACCAGACCTTTCGCAGCATCTAGCACTTCCCCCTGAAAAGCAGTTCTAATGTATTCACATTATAAAGTACAGAAAATTAAATTAAAACTACTTTATTTGAAAAATTTGCAGTGCTTCTAAGATGACTAGAGACACCTTTGCCTTAATGTGTTGGAGAATGATAGAAGAAGTCAATGCCTAACAACTTCTCACTTACCACAATGACAGCGCAGCTGATGAGCTAATGCCATCTCCTCTTTAGGCATAGAGGAATATTGTTCATGTGTTGCCCAAGCTAACTATAGCAGACTCTCTAGAAGTGAGACCCAGGCATATGAATGTTTTCATACAAGCTCCCAATTCTAATGTGACCTCAGGTTTGAGAACCACTGGGGTAGACAATTATAATTCTGCCTAAATTCACACAAGGGCTATATGATTATTTTTCTAGCAGTAGAGTTAACTGCCTGTTAATTTTATATACATGAAGGCACATGGAGGTAGGATGCCCTGAGCCAACAGAAGCTAGAAACTAAGTCTTCTGCCTAGGTTAGAAGTCCCCATTGTGTTTTTAAGGCCAACTATGATTCACTTCTCTTAAGCCTGAGATTGCCTGAGAGGGGATCCACGCAGCCGTTGAGGAATGAGGTTGGGCAATGCTGCTGGTGTTAGTCCTGCTGAGAGTCCTGCAATGGGGGCATCAACAGGGGGGACCATAACCACTGTAAGTGGCATAGTTTTTACATCCTAACTGACTGTGTTTTCCCATTATTGAACTACCTCCCATCTTCCCTCACCCTCTTAATAAGCTCTCATTTAACTACGTCATTATGATAAGCAAGCCCTATTGTGTCCCCACCCAAATCAGGTCCTCTGCATTACTGCATATACATTGTGGAAATAAAAGACACTTATTGGAGGAGGTAGCAATAAGGAGTAAGACATGTCATTTGTCCTCACAGGTGGATGTTTACATACATTTCTAAGCACCTGCATTTTCCAAGTCCAGGCTTTGGGCTCAGGACTAAAGCCAGCAGCATCTGCAGAAATTTCGTATTTTAGGCCTCTCCCCAGAATGAGTGAATCGTCATGTTACAGTAGGTGGCTAGTCAGGCATGCTCAGGGCAGGAGAGGACTCCCCAACCCCCAACCAGGAATGTCAGGCAACCATCAGGTGATGGTCAGGCGGTTGTTAACTGTCTTTCCAAAATAATAATTGGTCAGGTGCAGCTAGTGCCAGGGAAAGGCAGTCTCCCGATAAGATAGAAAATGCCTGAAACTGGTAATCAGCAGCTTCCCAATAAGACCTCAGGAGTTGGGCAAGTGAGCTCAAGCATGAGCATTAAGAAGCAAAATGGTAGAGTTTAAATGGTATATGACCTTCTAGGGACATTCGACTGGTAAGGGGAGAACGCCTCAAGAGAGCATGCGTACAACTCCACTAAACACACCACTCATGTTCCCCTCCCAAACGCTAGCAGGCCACTGCCTATGTGGACAGCCCACCCCACGGGAAGAATCAGGGAAGTAATGCAAGACCCTGGAAGTCAGAGGTCAAAGCATGCATTTGATCTCTCAAGTCGCCTGTTTGGCCCTCTTCCTTTCATTCCTGCCCTAAAGCTTTTTAAATTATTAATAACTTTGATTCCTGCTCTAAAACTTGCCTCAGTCTCTCCTTTTGCCTTACGCCTCCTCAAATTCTTTCTTCTTAGGAGGGAAGAATTGAGGTTGCTGCAGACCCATATGGATTCGCTGGTGGTAACACTCAGTTGATTTGGATGCACATTAAAATGTGAGAAACACTGAACCAGCACACAAAGATGACTGTGAGAGAGTTCCACCTGCACGGAGTGCATGGCTTCTGGCAAATACTTTTTTTTACAAAAAGTAAAAACATGGATCTCAGAAAAATGTATAGTGAGTGTGTGTCAAAGATTTATTTAATTCACTAATGAGGGGACCAGCAAAATGGCAAAGCTGGAGCAAAGGAGAATAGGAGGAAACTGATAAATGTAGTCAATAGGAAAAAAGAAAATGCTGGAATACAGTGTCAAAGTTAGGTACAAAACAGGTTAATGTCCTTTCTTTAGGACCCTAAACCTTTGGGTTTATTCTTTTTGATTGGAAGAAAATGGTTTGCCTCTTTCCTGGATAAAAATCATTTGTAATTTATCAATCTTCTACAAATATCTAACTTTCCAGAATCTAGCCTCTAGTTAACAAAAAATAGTAAGTCAAAGTTACTTTCCCTTTAGGTCTGTGTTAAATGATGCTTGAACATGATGAGAAAAACTATGATTATCTCCAGTTTTGTGTAATTTTTCCTAACAACTCAAAGAGGAGACAGATCTAGAAATAAATAATTGCAACAAAATTGCACAGGTAATGATAAAAATAGTTAACATTTTTGGAGTGCTAGGCACTGTTCTAAGTGTTTCCATGAATTGGCTCTTTTAATCACTGTCAAAACCCTATGAGGCAAGGGCTATTCTTATCCCCATTTTACAGAGGAGGAAATTGAGGCACAATGAGGTAATCGTTTACAGGCTGATGGTGGCCTTGGATGCACTCCCATTTCCCATTTCTAATTAAAATTTGAATCGGGTGATGAGATGTAATATGACAATTTGGTCTGTGGGCTGCCTGGAAACCCTAAGATGGTTTGTGTAGAATGCCTGCTGCATTTTGCAATTGGGGCTGCTCCTCCTGGTGCTCAGACCTCATGTGTCAGCTCATTACACCATCATTCCCAATCTTAGGGCTGGAGCAGTTAAGTTAGTGTGTCTAGCAGAGACAAGGGGAGGGAGACTGGTGTATACGCTGTAATTCAGTGGGATGGATGTGTCAGTGCTCTTTGTGAAAAAACAGAATTTCATAAAAATCTGGCGTTTTCTGGAAGTCTGGGTACTTAATTAGAGGGCTATATGGCTTGATTTGGTGTTTGGAATCCACTTTAGCAAGATGAGTTGCTTTTTTCTAATTAAATAAATCCACAATCTAATCCTCTAAAAATATGTTCGTAGGGCTGGGCGCAGTGGCTCACGCCTGTAATCCCAGCACTTTGGGAGGCGGAGGAGGGCAGATCAACTGACGTCAGGAGTTTGAGACCTGCTTGGCCAATGTGGTGAAACCCCGTCTCTACTAAAAATACAAAAATTAGCCCGGCGTGGTGGCAGGTGCCTGTAATCCCAGCTACTCGGGAGGCTGAGGCAGGAGAATCGCTTGAACCCAGGAGGCGGAGGTTGCAGTGAGCTGAGATCATGCCATTGCACTCTAGCCTGGGCAACAAGAACAAAACTCTGTCTCAAAAAAAAAAATGTTCATAGACAGTGGAAGGACTGCTCCAGCCTGCAAATCCCAGGGTAGGTGCTACTTTCCTGTCCCTGCTGTTCTACCTTATAGCTGGCACACGATGAAGTTGGAGATAGGACTTGATGAGCCTAATTGTTCTCCTCAGCCTCCTTTTGTTTTGTCACAATGAGCTGCACGTGCAGAATTGTTTTTATATGTAATTGCTCCCATGAGGGGGTAATTGCACCCAAAAGTGGCTGGCTGCACCAATGGCAGGAGCAATTAGTAATAAAAATGCAAATAATTGCAGTCATCCAAATTGCAGTCTTAAAATAGGGACACCCAGTAGAAGCTTGGTGAAGGATTTGGCCTGCTCTTTGTCCCATTGAAAGTGTATTTGTAATTCGAAATCAATATTATAATCTCTGGGCCTTCCTTGAGTTTCCATGCTTTTATGAGCCTCTTTAAAACGGTATATATTATGGGACCAGTAAAAAATCAGACTAATTCCAAATGTCAGCTCATTTAAAAACTAGAAAATGGAGTGACTTAGAGTCAAAATTATATTTTGGAAAAAAAAAACCCCACCGACAATTGAATAAATGAATTTTTATCATAACTGTGAATTTGATCTCCACACATCAAACCTGGGGGAAACAGGTCACAGAAGTAGTAATAAAGTGATTTTTTATTACTCAGCATCTAGGCACAATTTCAGCAACTCTAGCTACACATCTTTCCTGCTACCCTTGCCCCTCAACCAAGTTATTCCCAAAGAATGCAGGGAGATGGCAGCCTTGGTGAAGCCTGAGCATAACCTGTCTCCACAGCTTTGTACATGCCTCCTGTGATCTCCCACCTTCCCCACTCAGATAGCACTGGGTTGTGCTGGGTGGCTTTGGTGCTCTGCTGCTCTGGATGGCAATGTTGAGCTGACAGGTTGCCCCCTATAAAATGGGGATAAAATACTATTTTCTATTTGTGTTGTGCTCTGTAACATGGGCCATAGGGGATGGCATCTTTCTGCTTTTACAGCCTCACAGAGGTGTTAGTGAAACACCTCTTCTTTGTTTTTGTATCTCAACCTCTCTCCCCCACTCTAGGTAGAGAACTGCGGGAAGAAGGTACAGGGGAAAGCTAAGGGTGGGGGCAGCAAGAAGGGGGATCCACAGGCAGTGTGAGCCCTGCACTCCTCATCATACCAAAATCACCCCTTCACTCACATTTGTGCACACACAGGAATCCTTTCTTCTTTTAGGAGTTTTCTCCCATAAATTTCTTGGACACTCATGCAAATGAACATCCCAATGGGCTCCTTTTATTGGTCCACAGTGTTCCAGAGGTACCTGGACACGCCTGAATTTTACTGGTAAGACAGCCCCAGCTATCCTTGAGACCCCAGCTATAACGGTACTTGGTTGACAAAGAAACATTGCCCTAAGGAACACAGGAAGGGAAAGCAACATTTTAGGGCAAAGTATTTTACAGCACAGAAATAGCAAGCTCCTATTGATTACTGGTCCATAGGGACCAATGTCACCAACAGAATGAAGAAAATAAACTCTGGTGATGTGTGTATTATTTAGCATTCTTATATTGGCAAAGTCTTTTCCTCAGGGAAGAAGTTTGTTACATGGATCAATGCCAACTCAACCAGAAGAATGTGGAAGAAATGTAGGAATACATAAGGCACTTTTCTCCTCTAGAAATGCCACGACTTTCTTTTGCTTGCAGGGTAGTGGTAGACCTTGCAATGCTTTGTGGCCGTCCCCAGGGGATAGGGGTAAGCTCATTTGTTGACAAGAAACAATTTAGAGAAAACACTGGGCCACCTGTGGGCAGAATCTATTTAAAAACCAAAGGCTGGCCCAGCAGTGGAGATCTCATGGCTGCTGCTCTACGCGTGAGCTGTTAGTTGATTTAATAATAGCCTCCTCCACCTAGCGCTGGGACGAAATGTCACCTTCCATTTATTCCCACTGTTTGTAGCATCTGGGATGCCACTCCATCATCCAGCCAATATAATTCTTCCTTCCTTTATTGCTGTAGACAGCTCTCATTCAAAAGAGTTATGTAGCAGATAAAAGAAAAGGCAGTAAGTGGTCAAAAATGACTAAGAGAGAGGGGTTATAATGTATTTTTGCTGAGACTGAGGAAGTATAAAGAAAAATAGAATTGTGCAAGAATAAGAGGGCTATTCAGATATGGTGATATCAGATGAAATATGGTTGGGTCAACTATTCGGTTTGGGTAACCAGAGAAGGGAAGATCATTTTGAGCCCCTAGTAAATCTCCTTAAGAAGAAGCGACTGTCCATGTGTCCCAGGCCTAAAAGAAACTATGACTGTTTATGGAAGGAATTCTCTGTGTACAGGCTGCAGGCAGATTCTGTTCTTCTGCCTCGATGAACCGGTGTGTGGTCAGTGAACTCTGTGTGACAACAGCTTGCATATGGAAAACTGCCCATCTGCTGGACTTTCACGTGTTGCAGGGAAGCTGCAGCCTCCCTGTTTGCCTATGCTAAAATTAATTTAAGCTAGGGATAAATGCTTTAATTGCTCACTAAAGCTTCAAGTTCAAATATCATTGGGAGACACAGTGCATTAGTGAAAAAAATCACATTAAAATGTAAATGATTGACATGTAAGCCTAAATCAGAAAGAGGCTGTGAGAGGGGAGTGACAAAGCAGAAATATAATCTGTTGAGAGCTCTGGGTAGATTCATGCAGAGATGTTGGAGTATGAGAGCATAGTTTCTAAATGGCATGAAGAAGGTGGAGCTCTGGGTCAGCAGAAGGAGGGAGAGCGGTGTTTCATAGTGTCATGGATGTCCACTGATTTCACCTGATTGGTATTCTTTCCCCTTCGTCAGGTAACAGCATGCTCTTTTTTCTTTTTGGGCACTATGCTTCTCACGCTGCGTGTGGTCCTGGAAAAACTAAGTTCCCCCATGACCTTCTTCCATGACCTTCACAGAGGGGATCTCTGTGGTCCAGTCTGACCAACCGGCAGTCTCCATCATCTGGAACACTGGCCTTCCCTATGGCATGCTCTATGGACACTGGGAGAGAGGAGATGTCTATTTCACTCTGGGATTTCTAGTTGTAGGGATTGGGTAAGCCTGGAGTTGTTGGAAGCAATTTTCCCAGTAGTATGAGAGAAACTGCCTGTAGAACCAAGCCATCACACAGAGAAAAGCAGAGCCAAGGGGTGGGGAGACAAACACACTCAAGAGTTCTGATGGCGTCACTAAAGGCCCCAGATCGAGTCATGCCTGAAGGGAGAACACCCTAGTTACACGAGCCTCAATAGAGCCCCTTTCGGCTTGAGAAAGTTTCAGTTGGGTTTTTGTCATGTGAAACCCAATGCAAGGGAATTAGAGAATAAAAAAAGTCAAAGGATTTTAAATAAGAGTAGATACAAACACTGTGTTTACACTACATTTTTCAAAGGCCCGACACAGAAAAATGCAAACTGTTTGTGTTTCTTTGAATGTGATTTTGCTCTGAGATGGAAACGTGGGTTTTGGCTTTACCTGAGCAAGCTATTTATTCATTTCGTTTCCTCCTTCATAATATAAGAATAGTAGCAGTGCCTGCCTCCAGTAGGTTAATACATGCAGAGCTCTTAGAACAGTGCCCAGCACATAGTAAATGCTCTATACATATTCTCCACTCTAGTAGTCTCCTTGCATTTCCTTTCTTTCCTCTGTTAATTTTCCCCCATCCGAAGTCAGCATCAAAAAAAGGCAGAGCCAGGTGTATATGCTGTTGTCCCAGCTACTTGAGAGGCTGAGGGGGGAGGATTGCTTGAGTCCACGAGTGAACCCAGGAGCTCAAGGTCAGTGTGGGCAACATAGTGGGACCCTGTGTCAAGAAAAAGAAGAAAGAGAAGAAAGAAAGAGAGAGAGAGAGAGAGAGAGAAAGGAAGGAAGGAAGGAAGGAAGGAAGGAAGGAAGGGAAGGAAGGAAGGAAGGAAGGGAAAGAAAGAAAGAAAGAAAGAAAGAAAGAAAGAAAGAAAGAAAGAAAGAAAGAAAGAAAGAGAAAGAAAGAAAGGAGGGAGGGAGGGAGGGGAGAGAGAGAGAAAGAAAGAAGAAAGAAAAGAAAGAAAGAAAAGAAGAAAGAAAGGAAGGAGGCAGGGAGGGAGGAAGGGAGGGAGGGGAGAGAGAGAGAGAGAGAAAGAAAGAAAGAAAGAAAGAAAGAAAGAAAGAAAGAAAGAAAGAAAGAAAGAAAGAAAGAGAAAGAAAAGAAAAGAAAAGAAAGAAGAAAATAAGAAAGAAGAAAATAAAAAAGAAAAGAAAAGAGGAAAACTAGTCTGGTAAATACCAGGCAGAACTTGCTTTGAAGGTTGGGGGCTGGGAAATAACTGAGGTGGTGAAGGCAGAGCCTCTTCAGTGAATGGGGATAAAATAGAATCTGTCAAGAACACACATTTGTTAACAAATTTGAGTTCGTCAAATATAGACTGAACACAAATTAATCAGTTTGTTCACATTAGCCTTTAATATCTTCTTAACTAGTGAAAATTTAATGCTGGTACATATTTTCTGGTATACGATTTTAAAGACAATTTGTAAAGCTGTAGGGAATTCATTCAACCAAATCACCTGTGGAACAGTGAGCAGAATGATCTTAAAATAATATAGAATATTAGATAATACAAAAAATTATAGGGGTGTAGCTTGGTTATTGATATGGTTTGGCTGTGTCCCCACCCAAATCTCATCTTGAATTGTAGCTTCCACAATTCCCATGTGTTGTGGGAGGGACCCAGTAGTGGGAGACAATTGAATCATGGGGCTGGTTTTCCCCATACTGTTCTCATGGTAGTGAATAAGTCTCATGAGATCTGATGGTTTTATAAGGGGAAACTCTTTTTGCTTGGCTCTCATTCTCTCGTCTGTCTCAATATAAGATGTGCCTTTCATCTTCCATCATGATTATGAGGCCTCCCCAGCTGAGGCAGGAGAACAAGGTATGGAGGCAGGGAACCTAAGGCCATTTCACACTGACTTCCGAGAACTAAATTGAAAGGAAAACCCTAACTTCCCAAGCCTAAGTAACAAAAGGACCAGAGACTACTCCCTTTACAAACCCCCACATTTTCTGCAAGGCAAATTGGAAATTGAATGTCTACAACCAGTCAGACGATTGCAGGCAGAGTCTTCGTTTGTGTAAAAGTGCAACTTTGTAACTTCACCTTAACCTCTGATTGGTTGTTTTTTGCAGCCTATCAGATGTTTGCACAGGAGTGTAACCTTTGTAACTTCGCTGCAGCCTCTGATTGCAGGCCGCCACTTCATTTACATGAGGTGACCACCAAGTGGCCAATGGGAAACCTGCAGAGGGTATTTGGACCTGAGAAGATTCTGTATCCAGGCACTTGAGCCCCTATGCTCCGGCCACTCCCACACTGGGGAGTGTACTTTCATTTTCAGTAAATCCCTTCATTCCTTCCTTGTTTTGCTGGTGCGTTTTGTCCAATTCTTTGTTCAAGATGCCAAGAACCTGGACACCCTCCACCGGTGACACAGCCATGTGGAACTGTAAGCCCATTAAACCTCTTTTTCTTTATAAATTACCCAGTCTTGGGTATGTCTTTATCAGCAGCATGAAAATGAACGATTACAGTTATACGCTAACTCAGAGTTGAAGATACTTGGTTACAGAATATTTGACATTAAAAAAAAAAACAGGGACCTTTTTGTGCATGACTCCTTCCAATGCCCTTGGGGGATATAAATTGATGTGTTCTCATGTTTATATATTTTTATAAGATTTGCAAAAGTAAATGTTTTTGTATTCTTTTTTTTTAAAAGAGACTGTAATATTGTAAGAACTCCAGGCCCCATAAAACCTGGAATCACTTTCTGTCAAAGGACTTAACACTATTATGATAGATTTCCTAGTGTATTGATAAGAAAAAATCAACCAAAATTTGGAAATAAGGCCAAGAGAGAAACCACGACCTTTTAATATCAGTCAAGGAGTTGTTCAAGAAACCCATCAATGAGTATTTAATTATCTAGGGAAATGTATCTTTGTTTGATTCCTTTTTAATTAATGTTTACAGGTCTCAGACTTTGTGAAATTACATGCTAACTTGCAGACATTTTTGTCTGGTGGAGATGCAAATGATTTCTGTCTGAGAGAAAAGGTAACCTAAAAGATGATAGTTTTATTGCCCTGTAAGACATTAACAAGTTTTGTATCTAATCTAGTAATCTCATTCTCTCTTTATTTTTTGTTGCCAAGGAACACCCAGTTCCTCCAATATTCTTTGCACCAGAGTTACCATCTTACAAATTCCCTCCTTAATGAATTAAATAACATATTTGACATGTGTTCATTCTAAATTTGTACAGGAGTTATGTCTTTAACTTTCTGAAAATTGTACTTTGACAGTATGTTAAACTCTCTAAAGAAAATCATTCTATTTATAATTTATTATGACATACGCAAGTATATGTCACCCATCTTTATATGTTTACTTATAGTCAGGATTCGAACTTGGCTTGAGCTGCTCTCACCACAAAACCTCATAATCTCTTTCACTTTATGGCCTGGTGGGCTGGCACAGAGCCCCAACTTGAAACCATGCATGTAACCTTTCTGAGCCTCAATTTTCTCATCTGTGAAATGTGGGTTGCTGTTAACATTACGAGATGAGGTCTTTAAGGCTCTGACATAACACCTCACATATTTTCCCTCAACAATTGTTGACGTCTTTCTTGTCTCAGCCAGTATGCTTTCAGTTACTCAAGGCAGCTCAGGTGTCTCCCAGAACCCAAGGTAGAAATTGAGAAGATTAGACCCACAGCTGTGCTTTCTTGGCAAGTAAACAGTTGCAGCAAGAAACACCTAGACCCGGGAGCCCATTTCTCTTTCTGATTATGGCTTACATGACTCTTTCAGCCCCAAGACTCACCCAGAAGCAGAAGATGGCTTCCCTCCTTGGGGCTTCCCTCCTGAACCCATTTTGTTCTCAGACAGCTGAAACTTCACTGTCTTATTAAACATTTTTTTTAAACCATTGATTGAGTCCTTTTTAATCATGTATAGTCTGTCTTTCCATCTTCTCATTTTCAATCTTGAAGGCAAAAGATGTTTCCATTTTAGTTCTCTAGTTCCTTCAGATAACTCCCCCCTCCCCCCAAAAACTAGCGGTGTGGTCAACATTATTTACATGGTCTGTATTCTTGGCAAGACTCTATGGGATGAAGGATGTATGGGCAAACAGGACATGAAGCTGAGTAGCTGGAATGGCTAGAGTGGGATACTATTTTAGCTATATTTGTGGATTCCAGCAGAGGGACTCAAGGACCCTGGATTCTGGACCAGTGTTTGCTCCATTCTGCCTTCATAATCCACTCGTGGACCTCCCCTTCATGTGTTTGCACCTTTCATTGTCCAGACTCCATCACTATTCCTGGTTCCCTAAAGGCCACATTTTAATTTCTTCCATCTTTAGAGATACATACACACATCCCTTTCTCCTTCATTTATTTACTCTTTTGAAACTGATGCCCAAGAAAGTCATTACAAAGTTTAGGGGAGGCAACTGGATTAGACTTGTCATAAAAAGAGCACTCTGGGCTCTCAGGAATTCTCTTTCAGTCAAGATGGAGGAACCAGGACCAGATTTACCCTCATGCCTATACAGCTAGAAAACCAAACAAAATATATGAAACAATGGCCTTCACATATTAAATAAGATGTGGTGCAGGATTGTGATATATGATAGAAGGGAAACAATTGAGGTGAGCTCTGTAATGTCCCCAGGTTTCTGCCTGCAGGCTCTTTCTAAGCTGCAGCACAAGGAAGAGGAACCCGACTTGGCCCAACCATCATGCCAAAGTGAGGAGACAGAGATCAGAGTTTGGGGAGCCAAGGCAGCATAGTACCAGAGACAGAGAGAGAAAGGGAGAGAGAGAGAGAGAGAGACAGAGAGAGAGAGAGAGAGAACCAACAAGAGTGCCCTAGAGAGATGTAGAGGAATATCCTCAAGTTTTTGGCTGAGTACAGATCTGTATATGCATGAGAAGCAGCAAAAAAAGCCACTAAAATGGTGGGGCAGAAGAATTCCTAGACTTGAAAATAGCTTGTATTTCACCATCCAGAGTTAAAAGACCTTGTAATACACAGGAAATTGAATAGATTCCTCAGAAGGGTATTATTTTAGTAGTAGGGCTAAATTAGCCCTAAAGACCCCTCTGAACTCACTCTAACAGAGTTGGAAAGCAAGCCTCAAAAGGGTCAAAATCATTCCATGTAACTTATCTGTGTATCAAAAAATCCAACACTATTCAAAGGAATATAACAAAATCCAGCAATTAATAATGTAAATTTTGCAATATCTGGCATGCAGTTAAGACAAAGAATATTACTAGGAGTAAAGGACTTAGTAATAAAGGTGTCAATTCGCCGAGAAGACATAAGAATCACAAATGTGTATGTACTTAACACAGAGCTTCAAAACATATAACGCAAAAATGGTAAGACTGAAATCAGATATACACAGATCCACAATAACATTTGGAATCATCAACATTCCTCTCTCAGTAGTTGACAGAACAATATAGAGACACAAAAGCCTATATATGAATATTCATAGCAGCACTATTGCTAATAGACCAAAAGTGGAATCAAGCCAAATGTCCATCAGCCGATGAATGGGTAAACAAAATGCAGTATTGTAAATAAAGCCACCATAAGCATTGACTCAGTGAATACTGAACCATTGCACCTAGGCAAAATATACAGTTATGCTCCTGTGAGCCTCTGGTCACAATATTTTTGTCAACCAATCAATAAATAATTTTTCTTTGCCTTTGTTTCTGTTTTAAAGACACCTTATTTAATATATATTGTTGATTCATTAACATCTAACTCACAGCCAACAGCACTATAATTCATGCCTCAATAAAGCTTATTTAAAACATGTATTTTTGCTGTAAGGCATATCACGGACTTCTTGTGCTGACCAACACAAGATAGCACTTCAGCACTACACTTGGTGGGGAGCATTTAAATAGCAAATTCACCAACAAAAAGCAAAAAAAAAAAAAAAAAAAAAGCAAAAAAAAAATAAGTGCTATGGCTTGGATATTTGACTCCTTCAAACTTCATGTTGAAATAGGATCCCCAATATTGCAGATGGGGCCTCATGGGAGGTATTTGGATTATGGGGATGGATCCCTCATGAATGGCTTGGTACCATCTTTGTGGTAATGAGTGAGTTCTTGCTCTATTGGTTCCTGCAAGAGCTGGTTGTTAAAAAGAACCTAGCACCTTTTCCCTCTCTTGCTTCCTCTCTCACCATGTGATCTCTGCACATGCTGGCTCCCTTCGGCCTTCTGCCATGAGTGGAAGCAGCCTGAAGCCCTCACTGGAAGCAGATGCTGGTGCAATGCTTCCTGTACAGCCTGAGAAACATGATCCAAATAAATCTCTTTTCTTTATAAGTTACCCAGCCTCAGGTATTCCTTTATAGCAACACTAGGTGGACCAGGACAACATGGCAATAAACAGACCACAAAAAGGACACTTGTTTATAGTATGACAGCTAAAACAAGACAGCTGGGTATCACTTTGTTTGACCTCAACTGGGAATATGCACATTGGGTAAATCCAATTTTTTGTTGTTCTGTTCATATCCACAGATGACTGTGAAAACACTATGAATGTTTATTTTTGGGATTACAAATAAATTTTAGCAAGTAGGCGAATTCACAAATATGGAATCTTTGAATGACGATGATTGACTATATATACATATGAAGTATTATTAGGTTGTAAAAAGGAATGAAGTTCTGACAATTGCCACAAAATAGATGAACCTTGAAAATATTATGCTAAGCCAAAGAAGCCAGACACAAAAGGACACACATAGCATGATTTCATTAGTATGAAATGTCCAGAATTGGCAAAGCCATAGAAATAGAAAGTAGATTAGATATTTCTATTTCTAATCTATTTTTATAACTCCAGAAAGAAATTTCATATTGTTTAGCAGTCACAATTGGAGCAAATGGGGAGTGACTGCTAAAAAATATGAAATTTCTTTTTGGAATTATAAAAATGTTCTGGAATTAGATAATGGTGATGAGTTATGCAATGTGAATATACTAATAATCCACTGGATTGTACACATTAAATGAGTGGATTGTATGATATTAAATTATATTTAATAAAAATAAAAAAATAAAAAATTTAAAAAGAAAGCATATAGAAGGCTTGAATAACATAATCAACAAACTTGACTTAATTGATATTTATAGCACATTCCACTCAACAGCAAAATACACATTCTTGTCACATGTACATGGAACATTCACTAATATAGATAATATTCTGGGCCACAAAACAAGCCTTTAAAAATGTAAAAGTATTGAAATCATACAATATATGTTCTTTGTCCATAACTCAATTAAACTAGAACTCAGTAGTAGAAAGATATCTGAAAATCTCCCAATATTTGGAAATTAAATAACATAGTGCTAAATAACTCACGAGTCAAATAGAAATTCACAAGATAAATTAGAAAATATGGTTAGTTTAATGAAATAAAAACACAGCATCAGCTAAAATAATGCTTAGAGAGAAATTTATAGAATCAAAGACTAATATTAGGAAAGAAGAAATGCCTCTAAACTTTCAGCTTAAGAAACTAGAAAAAAAGAGTAAATCAAATCCAAAGCAAGCAGAAAGAAGACACTATATGAAAAGAGCAGAAATCAATGAAATTTAAAATGGAAAAGCAATAGAGAAAATCAATGAAACAAAAACTAGTTCTTTTAAAAAAATCAATAAAATTTGACAATCCTCCAGCAAGCCTGAAAAAGAAAAAAGAAAGAAGAAACAAATCACAAATATCAAGGATGTAACAGGAGATATCACTATGTACCCTGCAGACACCAAAAGGATAATAAGGGAATACTATGAAAAGAAAAAAGAAAGAAGAAACAAATCACAAATATCAAGGATGTAACAGGAGATATCACTACATACCCTGCAGACACCAAAAGGATAAGGGAATACTATGAAAAACTCTACACACATAAGTTTGACAACTTAAATGAAATAGACCAATACCTTGAAAAGCACAAACTACCACAGCTTGTCCAATGTGAAATAGATAATTTGAATAGTGTTAACAATTAAAGAAATTGAGTTCATGATTACAAACCACCTAACAAAGAATACTCCAGCCCTAATTGTCTATTCTGCTGAATTCTATCCAACACTAAAGAAAGAAGACTAATTCTATGTAGTGTATTCCAGAAAATAAAAGAGGAGAAGATACTCCCCAACTCATTTTTTAATATGAGTATTATCGTGATACCAAAACCGGTTAAAGACATTACAAGAAAGGAAAACTACAGATCAATATTCCTACAGACCAATTTTCCTACACGCAAACATCTTCAACAAAATGCTAGCAAATGAAATCCAGTGGTATAAAAAGACCAATTATAAAAGAAATGCAAGGCTGGTTCAATGTTTAAAAATCAATATAATTTACCATATCAACAGATGAGGGGAAAAAAAGCATAAGATCATTTCAACAAATGCAGCAAAAACATTTGACAAAAATCAACAGAGGCTCATAATACAAACTGTCAGCAAACTAGAAATAGAAGGGAAAGTCATCAACTCAATAAAGGCCATCTTAGTTCTTTTGACCTAATTGATATTTACAGAATGTTCCACCCAACAGCAGAATATGCATTCTTATCAAGTGCACTTGGAGCATTTACTACAACTACCTACATACCTACAGCTACCATCATTCTTAATGGCAGAAGACTGAATACTTTCCTTCTAAGATAAGGTATAAGGCAAGGCTGTCTGCTCTCACCACCTCTATTCAATGTTGTACTACAGACCCTAGCTAGTGCAATCAGGCAAGAAAAAGAAATTACATGCATACACATTGGAAAGAAAGAAATAAAACTGTCTCTATTCATAGATGTCATGATTGTCTACATAAAAAATGCCAATGCACCTATAAAAAAAGTGACTCAAACTAAAAAGTGAATTAGCACCTGTGCAAGATACATGTCAAAATGAAAAAATCAATTCCATTTCTATATGCTATGAATACATAATTAGAAATTAAAATGAAAATATTATTTACATTAGCATTAAAAAATCATGACACTTATAAGTTATATAACAAAATACATGAAAGATCTGTATGCTGAAAACTCAAAACATTGAGAAAAATCACTGTACACATTTGTCAAAACTCCTAGATCATACATATAAAATTGGTGAGCTTTATTATATATAAATTATATCTCAATAAATCTGATTTTAAAAGACAGAAGGAGAGAGGCCCTCTGGTTGGCACAAAGAGGATGGGTTGGTGAGGGTGATCAAGACTAAAGGCCTAGATGTTAATTATTTAGAGACAAAAGCTAGAATATTCAAAAAGAAATTTGAATGAGAAATGAGAGGAAAGCACAAGAAGACCAAAAAAGGGAAAAAACAGAAGCACAGAAACAGATGAGCTTCCTGAGCGCAGATTTGTGTCCTAAGATAACTTGGAGACAAGGCACAGATTGGCATGACAGACACTCCCTGGGTACACAGGCCCCTGTTCCTTCTTCTGCCCTACTTTGGTCTCACTTGAATGTTGCACCAAGCAGCTCAGGCTAATTCCAAGGTAGGCTCGTGCTAATACCACTGCTTCGGTTTGCCACACACATTTTTAGTACTCCCTGAAGATTGCTTCTACTGTTGGTAGAATTTGGTAGAATTCTAAGTTACCTTCTGAGGCTGGAATGCCCAGAGGACACTTGTTTACTCTCTTGGTTGGTGAGCCCATATTCCTGCTGGGCACTCACCCAGTGGCCATTTCTTATGTTCACATAATTCCACCTTGGTAAGGTGGTCCCATGCAATATAGGGAACTTATATTCTTTATCTGAAATTTACATTTAACCGGTTTTTCTGTATTTTTACTTGCTAAATTTGACAACCTTATACCTGAGGGCTTTCCCCCAAGATTCTGCCTCTGCCTATTGTCCCTCCTAAGTAATCCCTGAGACACTGTTTACTCTGAATCTTATCACCTAGGGTTAATAGTGGAAATATGTTTATCCATCAAGAAACAAAAACAGCCTGCCCAACAACTGGAAGAGAGGGATTGTCCTCTCAAGATTCAGGCTAGCCAAAAGAATGGAAGTATCTTTTTCTTAAACAGCTATTTCCTCAACCACAGGTAATAAAAAACTGCTTTGTCCTGTCTCCTCACCATGGAGCAAAGGGGTATTTCCTTTTGCATGTTTAGATATAAAGATTAAGTTCTTGCCTTAAACTAGTAGCAATAAGTTAAAGATGTAACCAATATAACTTAAGATTGTTTTACTTCTTTTTCAAGTTATTTTACCTACATTTTGTATGGAAAGGTCTTAAGGAACCTATTTTTTTCCCCAGTGTGTCAGAGTTTACATTGAAAGTAATTTCATACTAAAGGAAAACAACGTGAATCATGGCATTTGGTACAAGGATTAAGAATTCTTTATTGTCTGCATAGTGCTCTAAAACGTCTTATGAATAAGCCGGTATTTTCGATCTTCAGCTGAATCAGCTTTATTATTTGAAATCTGTGATCTTATACTTGTATTTTGAGCACATTTTTCATCCTCATTAATAATGAAAATGAGATTGTTAATGAGGCTAAATGACATGGCTGGGGTTACAGTAAGTTGATTGTTACAGAGTTCCTGAGTCAGAAATTCTTGCTCCCTTTTCTCTCCGTGCAAATGGTGATGAGAAATCTATCTATAATCTGATATATTATAATTATAATCCATCTTACAATCTATCTATAAGATAATTATCTTTTATATTCTGGTTCTCCATTTTTTTCTGTTATGATCCACAATTAAGAACATATGACTTAAATATTTAAGAATTGGATAGAAGTATTCATCCATAAATTTTTCTCCCCAAAAAAGCCACAATCCATAGCCCCAAACCACATGAGTAATACCTATATGTGTAAATATGATTCTTGTGTATTAAATACATATATGTATATATCATGTTAAGATACACACAGTTGGCATATATTATATACTGCCAGGTGGGTACATGTGATTGGAGGAAAAGACTGTTGTCTCTCTGCACTCCATTTTCCTTTGCCCCACTCTATCACTTAGGCATGCAACCTCTTTGCTTCAAGTTATTATAGCAGAAAAAAAGGCTATGCCTTTTAAAAGCATAGGTGCTGAGGGGCTCAGGGCATAAAGAAGACCTAATGAGAAGGAGACAGCCTTCCCTTTGACCCTTAATTCCTCCAAAGGTTCACAGGTTAGTGGCATAGGGAAAGGAAGACAATTAGAGGGGAGGCAAAGGGAGGTTAGCTAAACTCTGGCGTGACCTGAGAAACGGTCCCACATTGCTGCTCCCTCCCCTAGGCTAAAACCCTGGGAAGGAGGTAAGGAGCAGGGTAAGAAAAATACCAAGTAAAAGGAGAGGATCTGAGCGTGGTGAGCATCTACTCTCTTGTCCCTCTACCCAACCTCAAAGGGGTGGCAGCCAGAACCAGAGTCCCCTGGAATCTTCATGTGCATTCTGGAGCAGCAGGGTTCAGGGCCCCAGGCAACCTCATGGAGCTGCTTGTGCCCTGGGCTGCAGCTCTGAGAGCATTGAACCCTTGGAGCCTTGCTGCCTCTGTGTGTGAACAATCAAAGACCAGACAGCAATAAGGATGCCTCAGTCTTCACCAACTTGGACAGATCATGACCCAGACCAGACACCCCCTTCCACCCACTGCCTGGGCACACAGCTCTTCTCCGGCAACTTAGAAGGGAGGAGAAACCCTCCTTGACTGAGATTGTTTCCTCATAAGATGTGTTAAAGTTTGTTCTCATGAGACTAAATAAAGTGATATATTTTATACCACTAAGTTTGTGGTGTGAAATACCCTATACACACACATATACATATACACAATGTCCATATATATAATTTTTATTTATACCTTATATATAATTTTACCTATACCTATAATTTTTTATTTATACCTATGTGGTATATATTTTATATCTTTTAGTTATGTGCATCCTCTATTTTATGTTTCTGGTTTGTTTTAGGGAATTTGCTTGGGAAGTGGACAATAAGAAGGGTAGGCTTTTCTTTGCTATCTGTGATGGGGACTTGAAAGGGTACACAAAAAACTTAGTATTTTAGTGGTTAAGATAAGGAAAATGAAAAGAAATTGTGTGGGTGTGTGTGGTACATATATGTGCATAGATGGACACGTAGATACATAGGTAGGTAGATAGATATGGAGCTGCCATCTCTCTGCCTACAGCAGTTTTCCTGATGCAGAAAAACCAGAGTGCCACGAAAGCCTCCACATAAACTTGAATAACATTATCTCCTGGGTTCTCCAGTCCTCGTCACCAGTCTTAGCTATGCGGTTCATCTCGTGGCCTCTTGTGCTCTCACAAAAGATGGGTAGAATTCCTGCTTTAATTCTGGTGCTGGATTGTGCTTTTTAAAATAATTAGATGGTGAATGGGGAACACGTTGACTTAATTTGGCCCAGCAAGACTTTTTCTCTATTAATGAGGGCAGCATGAATAAATGAAAGACCCTTTCTGCAATAACCTGTCAAAGACTCTTTTTCAGATAAAGCATTGGTCGTAGGTTTTTATTTTCAGGAAGAAGGAAAAGAAGTACATTTATTTATAAAATAATGAAAGAAAAAAGAGAAAGGTTTTTGGTGTCTCTTCATGAATCACTTAAACAAACAAACAGAAAAAGAGAGGGATTAGTGAATAGCAACCCAGATGGAGAATTTGCTTATGGGAGGGGCAAAATGGTGCAGTGACTGAAGCAAAGATCCTGGAGACAGGGGCATGGGCTCAGATCCCAGCTGTGTCTTTCACTAGCTGGTGTTTAGCTTCTGTGCCTCAGTTATCCCACCTGTAAAGTGGTATTAAAACAGTTATCTATCTGATGGAATTGTTGTGAGAATTAAATGGTAATCTGTAAAGAACCTAGATTAGTAAACACTATGTGTGTTGCTTGTCATTGTTATTTATTTTAAAAGTGTAGTAGTCCGTTCTCTCATTGCTTTGAAGAACTACCTGAGACTAGGTAGTTTATAAAGGTAAGAGGTTTAATTGACTCACAATTCCACAGGTTGTAAAAGAAGCATGGCTGTTAGGCCTCAGGAAACTTACAATCACGGCGGAAGCTGAAGGGGAAGCAGACACAAGCATAGCCGGAGAAAGAGGGAGAAAGTGAAGTGGGAGGCGCTACACACTTTTAAACAACCAGATCTCCTGAAAACTCTATCATGAGACAGCACTAAGGGAATGGTGGTAAACCATTGGAAACCATCCCCATAATCCAATCACCTCCCATCACACCCCACCTCCAACGCTGGGGATTACAACTCAACATGAGATTTGGGTGGGAGTACAGAGCCAAACCATATCAAAAAGTGTAATGCGCTGAGGGTAACCACCAGTTTACCCTTCTCCATATATGACAGAATTAGAGGAAATAACCTAGAAAGCAATGTAAAGGACTTAGGTTAGAAATAAGAAAGAACTGGAAAGTTGTTTTTTAAGTTCTGGAATGGTCTACCCAAGAAGTTATAAGTACTTAAAAAACAAAGCAGGAGAGTTAGTTACTCATTTGACCAGAATAGTTTGGGTGCAAATCTGTTATACTAGAGCCATTTCAGAATAAGCACCTACCTTCTTGACCTGATGGCTTAGAATTTCACTCAGTTCTCACACTGGGTGACTTTAAATTATCTACGTCACTGTTGACCACGGTGGATAATTGTCATTTTCCTAAATGTACATTTGCTCTGGTGGTCAACTACTGCATATTAAATCCCTAGAGAAAAGGCGTGCACTACAGTCAGAGTTGCTTGAACATTTAAGATGATAAAGATTGAGCAAACCCAGTGACTCACCTTCGCCGCGCTAACTCTTCGCTAGCTCTCCCCCTCAATACACGCTCACACCCTCCTCAAGATGGCGGCGGCGGCGGCGGGGGACTCCGACTCTTGAGACGCGGATGCATTCTCCGTGGAAGACCCAGTGCAGAAGGTGTGGGGCGGCGGCACTGCTGGCGGGGAGCGCTGGGAAGGCGAGGACTAAGACGAGGGCGTCAACGATAACTGGGATGACGATCAAGACTTAAAAAAAGAAGAAGCAGAAGTAAAACCGGAGGTAAAAAGTTCAGAAAAGAAAAAAACAGCAGAGAAGATAAAAGAGAAAGAACGGCAACAGAAGAAAAGCAAGAAGAAATTAAAAAGAGGTTAAAAGAACCTGAAGAACCTAAAGTGCTAACACCAGAAGAACAATTAGCAGATAAACTGGGGCTAAATAAATTACAGGAAGAGTCAGACCTCGAATTAGCAAAGGAAACTTTTGGTGTTAATAGTACAGTTTATGGAATAGATGCTATGAACCCATCTTCAAGAGATGATTTTACAGAGTTTGGAAAGTTACTAAAAGATAAAATTACACAAAATGAAAAGTCACTATATGATGTCTTTTTTTTTTTGGAAATCTTAGTTCGAGATGTGTGTATTTCATTGGAAATTGATAACTTGAAAAAGATTACCAATTCACTGACTGTACTTTGCCGTAAAAACAGAAGCAAGAAAAACCAAAAAGAAGAAGAAAGGTGTGGTTCCTGGAGAGGGATAAAAGCCACCATGAAAGATGATCTGGCAGATTATGGTGGTTATGATGGAGGTATATGTACAAGACTATGAAGACTTCATGTGACATTTTATCTTTTCCTGGTGTCTTTTTTTTTTTTTTTTTTTGAGACGGAGTCTCGCTCTGTCTCCCAGGCTGGAGTGCAGTGGCGTGATCTCGGCTCACTGCAACCTCCGCCTCCCGGGTTCAAGCAATTCTCTGCCTCAGCCTCCCGTCCTGGTGTCATCTTTGTGTTGCCCACAATCCCTTGAACATGTAGTACAACTTCCTTTCCTTTCAGTTCTGCCAAATGCTACAATTAGAAGTGCAGTAGTATCTTTTGTGCTGGTTATTTAACCCCTCAACACTTAGGTGCTAATGTGCAAATGAGGGAACTTGGATCTTGCTGCCAAGGGGTTAAAATTGGGAACCTCAGTGGCTACTAAATCATAGTTCAAAACGAACCTAATAATGTTGTCATTGTTGCTGTCTGATTTCATAGCAGCAGTCACTGAATTGGAAATAAAAGGTTGCAACATGACAAAAAAAATTGTGTAGTATTTACCAGCACCATTCAGTAATACAGTCTTAACCATACCTCCTTGAACTACTTCATAACTTGTCAAGAAAACCAGCTTGCAGCAAGGGCATGTGATGTGCACCTAGTATTAAAATTGCTTTGTCTTAAAATTGAACGTAAGGATATTAAAAATACATTGTGAAGAAGACTGCTTATCTCAGAGTGAAGATACTGTGGCTGATATCTTCACTCTATAGTTTTTATATCAAACTATAGCACTAGTTTGATATAAAATTAAAATGGCCAAAACCCTCCAACTTTGAAGCTAAAGGAGGTAAACCTCTCCATTATTGCATTACATGTTGTGGAATCTCTTGAGTGCAGGCTGTCTAGTAATTTATCAGGCTATTTCTACTGATGAAGTGCTTCAGATTGGGGAGGGAAACTCTTTACTTGTTTTTATCTGCCTGATTTAAGTGTCTGAGAAACAAATCTTTGTTCTTTTAGGCCACAATGGAACAACTTTACCAGGATTTTGGCATTTCCTTTCCTTTATAAAACGTGCTCAGCACATTGCACCAGTTAACTGCAGTTTGGTAAATTGTTATGTTAACAATTATGACATCTGCAATGTTTTATAAAGCAACTAATTTAATAAAATCACTATTTTGAGGACTAAAAAAAGATGATAATGATTTACAAACAGAGTTTTAACACGTTTTAACTGTTCAGAATAACCTACTATGCAAGTTGCTGCTATCAAACAAAATAGAAAGTTTCTTAAAGTTTTCCCAGACTCAGTTGTATGACTTGATACATGCTCTTTAGTTGCTTGAAAAAAGGTCAAGACACAATACAGAACGATTAAAATAAACTTTAAAAACTAGGTTCCTGGGACCATATGTGAGCTGCTAGTATTTTGCCACCAGGAACCAAAAACTGTCTATGGCCAGCTGATGTTTTGGCCATTACTAATCCAAAAGATACTTCGACATAAGCAGAATAAAGGATTTTACATCATGGTGCCTGATTAATTTTACAGGTAACTCTTGCCTAAAGATCAATATAGACACTTGCAAACAAGACTAGACAATCTGTAAGAGAGTCATATTTGACTGCAGTATTGTCACCATAGGAAGAGTAATAGTGCTTTTGGTCTATATTACAGTCAGAGTTGAAAGGACCTTAACAATGATCAAGGGTAACCCCTTCCCCTCATTTTTCAGATGGCAAAACTGAGAGATTTCAAGAGTTTAAAATCTTTATTTAAAGCCCAACAGCTTGCTAGTAGCAGAGCTGGGATAGGAATTCAGATCCCCTGCCTAGACCTTCAACTTCATCTCGTCCCATCTCTCTCTCACCGCCCCAGACACCCTTGTCCTCATTCAGTTCTCCTGACCAGCCAGGCTTGGTCCCACCTCAGGCTTGGGCACTTGTTTCCTCTACCTGGCCCCCTCTCTACTCCTACGGCTTCTCCTGGCAAGTATTACCTCAATTATGATCCTTTATAGAGGTTCTTTCTAAAATCCAGCAATCACTGTCTATCATATCACTCTGTTTAATTTTCTTCTCAACATTTATGGATATCTGAAATTATCATCTTTATTAACTATTATTTCTCTATTATTTTCATGCCATTCACAGGTAACCTTCAGGATAGCTGGGGCTTTACCTGTCTTGTTCTCTGCTGTATTTTCTGCTTCTAGAATGATGTCTGGTACAGTGTAGGTGCTCCGTGAATACTGTTAAATGTATAAAGGAAGAAAAAGAGAGCTTTTAAGAGTTGCTCTGTTTATCTGTATCTTCTGATTATCCTGTACTTCCATCGTAATGTAGCACATTAATACTAACTACTATTTATTGAGGATGTGCTATATTTTCAAATGTTATGTTAGGCCTTTTACAAATCTTACCTCATTGTCTTCACAACAACCCTAGGTGGAAGGCATAATTACCCCTGTTTTACTGATGCAAAAGTTGAGGCTGAGAGAATTTGAGTGGCTCAAGCATCTGGCAAAGCCACATCCAGATCCGTACTTTTCCAGCTTGAAAGTAATCATGGCTAAGATTTGCAACCTCCTGTGTTTATTATATCTGTTCCCAGGTGTTCAGTATCAGGGCAATATCAGTAAAAACAATTATAGAACACTTATCAGATTGTAAGCGCTCAGAATGGGTTTAATTTCACATTAATAATGAAGCAGTCAGTTGGAAGTACAAAGATGCTCATAATTGCATTGATCTGTGAATGTTCAAGAGAGCTTGGCATCCTCACCTGTTTAGGGTTTGATTTATTGGTTGTCTCTGCTAGGGCTCATGACAGGAGAGGGGACCTAGAGTGTTCTGTGAAAAGAAAGCTGTTGGCTGTGGGCTGAGAGCTCAGGAGGGGCCAATGTCAAGTTTGGGGTTCAGCCTGCCCTTGTGCAGGAGGCCTCCACCTGAAGGAGATGGGGTTGGGGTTTCTTCATTCAGGCAGTGAATCAGGATCTTAAGAAGAATTGTAAACAGGACCCATAGCCCTCATCTTGTTCTCTGTGCTGATATGAATGACTAACTGCCCTCGGCTCCCCAGTCTGTAAATGTGGAGTGCTATGTAAATGCTGACTGACAACCATGTTGGAAAATGGTTTCGTGTCATTTGGGGCTGGCAGCCTTTTGTGGCAGGCTATTTTCAAGGCTACTGTAACTTTCTGCCTTGATTCTTACATCTTCACTATTATGGGAGAAGGGAGGTGGGACACCAGAAGAAGGTCAAACAGCTGTTCACTACAAGTCTGAGGATATTTCTAGTCTACCCAGAGAGCACCAGACAGAGAAGGTTCAGGAGTGGGGTCACTGGTCTAGTCGGATGATTCTAATCC
This sequence comes from Homo sapiens, assembly GCF_000001405.40. NCBI lineage: Eukaryota > Metazoa > Chordata > Mammalia > Primates > Hominidae > Homo > Homo sapiens. The sequence goes on from NC_000003.12 coordinate 150,054,782, forward strand.
TGGCCCTGGTCACAGGCATTAGGCACAGGCCTAATGTCCTCCATGGACATTGTCTTCTGCCTCCTGTCCCAATGCCTCAGTCCTTTCAAATGCGTTCCTGCCACCCTTCCTGCTAGCCTATCCCCTGGAGTTCTATCACAAGAGCCCACTTTCATGACTGGAGCTTGCACTTTGTAGACTGCTGGGGCATCCCTAAGCAGTGGGTTGCATGTGAAAAAAATAAAACTGGATTTGAAAATATGTTAATGGCAAAAGGAAAGACTACTACTTGGACATTAGATGTAAAGTGGAAGGGGTGAAATGTTTTTCTTTAGCAGGCTACCTGGCAGCTTCAGGATAGCAATATGGGAGAAGAAAGTAGACCATGAGGTTTTAATGAGATGTTGTGGCTTTTATGAGGGAAAACAGAAAAGGCCTGGGAGGAAAGCAGGATATGCTCACTGAGGCTGGGGGTTCACCTAAGAGGAGTGTGTAGGATTGGAAAAGACAGGGGGCTGGTTTAGGGAATTTCAGCTGCCAGAATCCTGGGGTGCCAGGAGAGAGCAGGTGTCTTTCAAAGTCAAGGGACAGTCATGGAGCTCAGATGGGAAAGGACTCAGCTGTTTTAACGTAGATTTCCAGTGATCAGGGCTGGGAAGGATTGGCAGATTTTAAGGCTGGTAAGCAGAGCACCTGCACCTTGAATGACAAATCAGTCATGTGGCTCAAAGAAGCAGCACAAACAAAGCAAGCTGTTCCTAGGGCTGGCTGAGCCATTACCAAGGTCAGAGGAAGCCTTAACTGGGAGCATGGCACACTGAGCTCTGATGTGGCAAACGACGGAAGTCACGGTGAAGTGGTGTCCAGGCTAGGGCGTGCCATGTACACACAGGCGTGGGGGATAGGGAAAAAAGCAGAGGTTCCTAAATCCAGATGCCTACAGGAAAGAAAGGGAGTCTACATAAGCCTCCAGAGGAGCTTGAACAATAAATCAGATCTTTTAAGGCTACTGTAACTTTCTGCCTTGATTCCAGAGGAGCTTGAACAGTAAATCAGATCTTTGCCATACTTTGGGCTGATTCCCACTCTACCCTGGTTAGAGCTAACCTCTGATTGGGCTGCCTAAAGAGAAAAGCGAACAGCTAGCTTGATTGAAGAAGCCCTTAATATAATAGTGGAGATAATGTTTCTCATCAATGTTTCGCTTCATCATAGGGCTGGAGCTAGAAGCAGGCAGCTAACTAACTGGAAGGGATCAAAGGGGGTTGGTTCAGAACAGACTGGGTTGGTTTGCGTTTATGCCAAGTTGTCAGAGTAACTGAGGCTGTGGACCCATTACCCACCCAACCACTCCTGCACTCAAGATTGCCAATGCTGGGGCTTTGTTACAGGGGAAAAGCCCATGGGAAAAATAAAAGGAGAGAACTAGATACTATTCACCTTAAACCTAAATTCCAACCCCAATGCACTGGCAATCAAGGCAGTAGTCTGAGATCAATGACCCATACTGGGTCTACAAGAAGCAGATGTTTAGAAGGCAAGGCATCTGTCGGGAGACACAAAGATGGGGCTCCATCTTAAGGGTCATGGCAAGGAAAAAGTCAAGAATTCAGAAGTTCAGTCAGTATAATGCTTGTGACCAGGCGTATTCTATTCAGCATGGAGTTGGTCTCAAGGTGGGGAAGGAATGGGTCTGCACATGGTTTGGGTGGGGTTTATTCTATCCTCATAACAGGAGTGAGCCCTGTTGACTTAATCTAGTGATTGGTTTATGGGTGCATAAGCCAATCTGAGATGATGAGAAACAACATGCTGGCTAGGGCTTCTAGGAAAGAAATTTTTCCTTTTCCGTTTGATAAGCCTCTTTTCCTCTGGGCAGTGGAGTGTGAATGTGTGAGGTGCACAGTGGCTGTAGTCACGGGGTGGAGGGCATGGGGCAGGGTGGGCTGCAGCCCCACATCACGTGGAGCTGAGGATGGATCCTTTGTTGTGGCAAGGAGGAGGGAGGACTTTAGTGAGTTATCTGAGCTGCTGGATCAAACCCGACTTAATGTACCAATTACCCCTGTGTTTCAGATACTGGAACCAATACGTATTATTATTATTATTACTATTACTTCAGCCAATTTTAATGGTATTTTCTCTTTCTGTTTCTTCAACACAGAGTTTTACCTGCTGTTTTTTCAACACAGAGTCTTAGGATGAAGGGAACAAAGCCTAAAGGAGGAGTAATAATGGGATACAAAAGCCTCTGAGTTCAGGAATCAGGCTTTTAGAAAATAACTCCTCCTGGCTTTTCTGGGGATGGTGGTTTGGAATGTTACCTGAGCGCAGTCCTCCTGGATTGGGGGCTTCTTTTTGGAAGCAGCAGCCCCTGCCACAAACTGAACACAGGGCAGTGCAAGGCCAGTAAAGATGTTCAGAAGGTAAATGGTGAGAATGTTGTCACCTTGGGTTGATTTTTGTTCAGGGCTTTCCTAAAAGGGTAGATGTGTCAGAATTTCTTGTGCTCTGCTAATCGTTTCACTGATCTCATCTCTGAGGTTAGAGAAAACTTGCAAAATTGGCCCTTCCAGATTATTCTCTAACTTCTGAGAAAGTAAGACAGCCCCAAATACCACAAGCTGGCAGAGCGTGGGTGGTGCTGGGAGAAGGCGCAGAAGTGTTCCTGGTAGACGGCCCCCATGGGACCTTTCAAAGGGAGTGTGCTCCTGGGGCCTGGAAGTCACTGTCAGCCTCAGCCTCACAGTCCACAGAGAGGGAACCCAGGCTTGAAGCTGCTCTTATGAAGCATTCTGTTTGGGGCCCAAAAAGCACATACTCATCCCAGTGAAAAATCACCTGCAAAAAAAAAAAAAAAAGCTGTACAAATAGGCGGTCCCTTTCAGCGGCCTGACCTCAAGAGCAGAGAAACTCCCCAGTACTGTCTTGCCTCTTCCATTAGCTTGTATTCTCTCTAATGTGAACATGCTGGTGCTGGGTGATCTATGAGCAAGCACCCTAAATTAAATAATCTCTTAGTATAAATTATTTTATCAACCCTCTGCTGGGAGCAATGTTGGCATTTTGGAGAGAGGAGAAAGAGCATGAACGTATTGATCAGACTGGCTGGGGAAGAGACCAGGAGGAGAGAACAGACAGTTGTTAAGCAGCTGCTGTGTGTTGGGTCGGGCTTCTTCACGGACTCTTCATATACGTGTCTAATTTAGTGTTTCCCAAAGAGAGTGCTGATAAAACTAGTCTTGCAAGAGACAAGTCTCCACACTTTTTTGCTCACTTACCTCACAAAAGAATTTTGAGGAGTCACATACCCTTTTACACATTTTTAAGTTAACATCTGAGATTTTTCATTACAAGTCTAAAGATTCCTTTTTTAATCATAGGAGTGGCAAAGATCAAATATTTGATAACTTGGAATCAGGTGGGGGTAGATCACAATTGACATAAATATTTCATAATATGACTTGATAAAATGTTTTAACTAGCTTGTTGAATAAGAGGACCAAATCTAAAATAAACGATGTAGAATTTTTACCCAAGGGTTTTCCTTAATGTATCTTAAAAAATTTGGTAGTCTCAGAAAACTTCCCAGTTATAGGCTAAAGAATATGTGTTTCTGAATTCAGAGCATATCAGCAGGCCCCAAACACGTCATTAATGCAAAGCTTCAGGCTTAACAAAAATCTGTGTAAGACAGTGGGCCCTAGGGACTTCACGATTTATCATTGAAGAAGTGGGAAATCCAGAGTAATCAGATCTCTGTGCAGGTCCCCATGGTAAGACTTGGGATAAGGGTGGAGCCAGACTCTCTCTTATAAGCGGGAGAAGACCACAGTATTGGGAAGGCAGGCTGATTCTTCGGTGGGTCAGTTTTATGAAACAAATCCATGTGGAATTAAGATCTGGAAACTGGTTCATTTTACTCTATCTGTATCTCTTAGAAGTCTTTGTGTATCCCTGAAGCACATGCATGTATGTATGAAGACAACTCTTGTACATTCTTCATGACAGTAGGGTTCCAAGTTTACATTAATTTGGGAAGTGCATACCAGGTTCCCTGACTGGCTTCTTAAAGACTCTGAGAGGGTCCGGATGTGGTGGCTCACCCCTCTGTAATCCCAGCACTTTGGGAGACCAAAGTGGGAGGACTACTTGAATATGTGTCACAAACCAGTACCAGGAATTTGAAACCAGCCTGGGCAACATAGCAAGATCCTGTCTCCATAAAAAATAAAAATAAAAAAAGTTAGCTGGGCTTAGTGGTACATACCTGCAGTCCCAGCTACTCAGTGGGAGGCAGGAGGATTGCTTGAGCCTAGAGGTCAAGGTCAAGGCTATGATCTTGTGACTGCACTTCAGCCTGTGTGACAGAGCAAGACCCTGTCTCAAAAACAAACAAACAAACAAACAAACAAAAAACCGAGAGAGCCTGTAGTAAAAGCACATAACCTTGTTTAACTTAGAGTTTTCCAAGTGTACTTATTTATTTCTGTTTTACATCTATTAGAATTATCATAAAATCTTTTGGAATATTATTATCAGGATTCTATGGATAAAGAAATTGAAATTAAGTCACTAGCTCTAAGTCAGGGAGCTACAAACTCTGTAAAATGTCGGGTGAAAAATGTTTTAATCTTTGACAGCTGTGTGGTCTCTCTTGTGGCTACTTGACTCTACCGCTGGAGCGCAAAAGCAGTCATAGACGATACCTCAGTGAGTAAGCACGGCTGTGTTCCAATAAAACTTTTCTTTATAAAATCAGGTGGCAGGCTGGATTTGGCTCTCAGGCCTTAGTTTGACAACCCCTACTCTAGGCCATGTATCTTAAGGGATTTGAACCCAGGCCTGATGACTTTATAGTGTTAACCCTGTCTCTATGTCACTCCGATGAGGTGCCATGGAGGGTCCCAAAAGGGGAGGCTGGGGCCCAGGAGGCAAATCTCATCTTCTTGAGCCTTTCTCCAAGGCTGGCTTCTTCCAGTTTGGCTGGTTCTAAGGGCAACTAGGGTCTCTCCATCAGCGTCAGAGTTTGCCTGCCACCAACCCCACTCATCTTTAATAATAAATTAATATAGATCTCAAAGCCCAAAGAGTAAACGTCCCCTAGCGGGCCTCAGTGGCAAAGTACAAAGTAAAGTACACCAGTAATTTTTTTAGCATGAATCAACAGCTCAGCAGTTCTGGGCTCAATTGGGCCCACAATGAGTACTTTCTCTTGTCATTTAATAGGCTTGGCCTTGAGTCAACAGCTTCTGAATAGTGCTGTTAATTAGATTGGCTGTTTCTATTTCAGTTGTTCAAAGCTTTCAGAATGCTAAAAAATATTCGTAAACCTTTGTCTGCTGCCAAGGTAAAGATATTTACCTGGGAAAGGAGTGCCATATGTAACCTGCCCTGATTTGAACTCACCCTCCCTTATACGACTGTCCTTGGGAAAAGCCTAAGAGAGTTCATTTTTTAACAGATTCCAGTGGTGGTCATTATTTCTTGACCAGAGATTGCTCCCTGGAGGCAGAAGTCACTGGGAGGCAGCTACAAAGTGCTGCAGAGGGTTCAGTAATCCCTAATCATGGAGACCAGTTACAAAGGCCTTCATTAAATTATTAACCTCTGCAACAACAGAAAGAACTATTTTCATTTTTATAAGAATGGTAGGCAAGGGTCAGGTCATAAAAGCCTAGAGATGTCATGCTAAGGAAGTCAGATTGGATACTGCAGAGAACTGTTAAAGAAGGGGAGTGACACTCAAATATGCATTAAGAAAGTCCATCAAGCAACAGGATAAATGAGAAGGAGGGCAGGAGGTCTTTAGAACAGTCTGGGAGAGAGACGATGGGGTCCTGGTTTTAGGCTGTGACTATGGGAGAACCCACAGAGGGTAGGTTCAAAAGAGAGGAGTCAACAATAACCCATATTGCTACATAAATCATAGGTTGAAATGAACATTTCAGAGTAAAATGCCAAAACTAAACAAGGCTTTCCTTGGAAGGAATGGGAAAGATTGAGAATCATGATGAAATACAGCATTAAGCTAAAAGCAGTGACACCTCAGGGGTAGGAAGGATGATGATTGTAGTTCGGGGGACTTTAGTCCTCACTCCACTCTTGGTATAGAAAATCGAGGTTTTCCCAATATTGTGAAAGTTACCATGTAAATGCAGCTTCCAGCCTCCTTCTCTATTTCCAAACATATGAGTACCTTAAACCCCTCCATTATAGAAATTCTGGATCTTCTCTTACCACTAACCATCATATAAGATGCTGCATGTTTTCGCAACAAGCATGTGCTCTTCGAAATAATCTCTATTTCGAAGCCAAGATCAGTGACCCCAGCTTCTTTGCTTAACTATAAATTAAACAGTCCTTCTGTTTTATAATTATTACTGCAAACATGTAAAATATCCAGATGGGCTACCTCTTGAAACAAAGAACAAAAAATGGCTTTTTCAATGTAGGGTGTCAACTGCAAAGAAACAACCCCATAGAGAAGCACTCATGCTTTAGCTACGACAAACTGTTTCCAAATCAGAGGCTGAGACAACCATCTTAAATATAGAAATCTCTGCACCAGCAGTGTCCTTTCTGCCCTCTCAAAGCCTGCCAGGACTTGGAGGCTGTGTCATAGATCAGTGCCACCCACAACCAAAGGGCTGAGGACTTCTGGTAATTGTTGAAGCTTCACCAATTGTTTCCAAGGCATATCAGGTCTTGGAGCGACAAGTGAGATTCCCTTTGAATCATCTCCCCTTTCACTCCGGCCAGTTCAGAAGTTGCCAACCAGCTGCTGCCTCATCTCCCTATGGCAGCCACCTGACACCACTTTGGGCTTTATGCCTGTACCACTGGAACTCAGTGGCAAAATCAGATCCAACTCAGCATTATCATGGGCACTGCAGAAGTGGTCTGTTCTCAAGTTTTAGATGTTCCTTTGTGTTTGGCGTTCCTTCCTCCTGGCTGTCTCCCTGACCTACTCTCTGAGCCGGCCTGTATCTTCTAACCTATTCATTGAATACCTACCACAACAAACTAGACTCTCTGTGGGGGCTCTAAGATGCACAGGGCATGGTTCCTACCCTCAGGGACTTGAAAAACCAGCTGGAGAGAGAGAGGAATATGCACAGCAATACTAAGCAGCAACAACATTCTCTTAAAGGCACACATTTTTTTTTTCAATGTTCTCTGGTCTCTCCATGTGTCTGTGTGGATATGAGTGCCAAATCAGAGGTATGATGTGAAAAAATGGTATTTATCTGTGGAGGTTACAGATCATTGCTTGTGAGGTTCATGGGAAAAGCGTGGACAAATTTGGATAGTGTATACATGGCTGGGTGTATCAGGAATACAAAACCCCCACAGGCTGGGACAGAATACCTTTCACTACCCAGATTCGTTTCATTCATATAAATTTTACCTGAGGTTAGTTTTTAATTTTTTGGGTAGCTAGACTGTGGGATCATGAAAGGAATTTCCAGGAAACTAGGTAAATGTAGGTGAGATATGAAACAAATGTTTTACTTCAGTGTAAACCTAAACAATAGAGTCCTAATAAACTCTGTTTTTAGGTTTTTGTCCCTCCCCTGCAAGGTAGCAAAGGAGTGAAACCAGGAAAAGGATGAGTGGAACCCCCACGGCATCTTCCAGGCCTCTGGTTTTTCTTCATCCACTGATCTCTCCACAGAGAAGAAATTATATTTAAGGTCCCAGTGAAACTTGACCCTAACTAAAGCATTCTGTTCAGAAGTTTCAACCCCTAAGGGAGAAAAAGCTGTTCCAAAGGGCCGATCTTACTTTTTGTTGGAAGCTTCTGAGCTCTGTCTGTCCAAAGAACATTCTGCTGATGAGTCACAACAGACGATTAGTTAGGACTGCTTGGTTTTTTAGGAAACAGGCATTGTACAAAGTGTAAGGATCTCTCTGGCAGTTGGGATTTCTGCTTTCAGTTTGCTAACACTGAGTTCCTCTCTGTCGCGATCAAAAAAGTCGAGCCCTTCTGTGACTCCAAGCACCACTGAGTATTTGTTCACAGGCCTGTATGTGGCTTGGAGGAGAGAAAGCTGCTAGGAGACAGGTCTGGGCCAAACTGCAAGGCTGATTAGCAGGAAAACAGACTCTATCCTTATACATACTGACGAGTGAATTGAAATTTCTCGGCTCATTTACTCCAGTAATTTGGACTGGGGCTGGATCATTGCCCTTGGTGGTCTTTAAATTTTTCCTCTGTCCTTGTGTGATTTGTTGTATAGCAGTGGACTACAGCATAGGGCTTCGGAATCAGACAGACATGAATTCCAACCCTAAATCTCTTTGCCTACTTTGGGAGGGATTCTTAATTTCTGTAAGCCTCAGTTTCTTCATCTATAAAATGGGAATAATAACAGCACCTAGGGTTACCGTGAGGATTAATCCCAGTAAAGTATATGAATGCCTAGCCCATTGCCTAATCCACCATGGGTGCTCAATAGTTTATTTTCCTCCCTGGTTCTAGCTTTGCCACTTAATAGCTGTGAGACTTTTAACAAGTCATTTCAATGTTCCTGGTCATGATTTTCCTCATCTTTAAATTGGGTAGGAGGAGAACACACCAGTAATACCCGCTCACTGGGATGTTCTGAACTGTGCCTGGACAAATATGCTTGTGGCCATGGGCAACTATCCCAGTGAGACCTGCCTGATGGCTTGATGGCCAGCTTCACAGTTGTTTTCCCTGTTGGATGGTAGAGTGTCAGCTGTATGTCTGAGAGGTCAGGGAGGGTCTCTTCCCAGAGTTGGGACAAGCCTGTAGGTGTACTCCTGGTAGATGGACATCTTGAATCCAAATTGTAAATATTTTATTTCCTTGGGGAGTCTTTCATTTGTCTCTTTTTCCTCTGCCACTGCTGCTATTTTAATTATTTTAATCCAGGCTCTTCTCATCCCAGATATGAACAGCAGCAGTAAAACTGATCTTTTTGCTTTCTGCCTTCAGATGAGTCTTTCAAAGATTCCAATTACCTTTAGTCATTTTATTGCTCAAAAGCTCAACAGCCCCATCATTTCCTGGATAAACTGAAGACCCCTCAGCCTGGTATTTAAGACCCTCTAATCTGGCCCACTTTATCTTACTTCCTACTATACGCCTCACAAACTCCCCACTCATCCACTCGTGTTTCCTCACAGTTTTTCAATGACGATGTGCATATTCTTAAATGCCAGCCCTTGTTCATTTTCTTCTTCCTGCCTGGAATGCATGGCCCCTCAGCCCATCCTAAGTATAACCTCACTTTTGCCATGTGGTCTTTTTAGTCATTGCAACTCACTGCAACTTGGTTTGGGTAACAAATGCCTGGGTTTGTGAGTTCAAGGATGGTCCCAATAAGTCAAGCAGGAAGGAGAAGCAGGTTGGATGGGAAAGACAGTACATCTTGGAGATGTTGAATTTGTGGCAATGGCATTTTTGTTGTTGTTCCTTCTTTCAAAATCACATGGATTTCAGTTAGAGAAATGTTGTTCAGGGGAAATGTTTCTTAGTTAGAAAAAATACATACACGTAGTTTTTTAAAATTTTGTTTGTAAAGAAGACTAGAAAGAAAGATATCAAGAAAAAGTAAAAATTACCTCTATTTCCAACACCTTGAAATAATTGCTACGGATATTTTAATGTGTGTCTTTCTTGGCCTTAAAAAGATATTTTAAATTTTTTTTTAAAAAAATTATGCCATATATACTCTTTAGTACATTATATTCAACACTATATTGTGAATGTGATTTACATCAATAAATCCTGACTAAATAATAATTTTTAATATCTGTTTAAGGCTACACTATAATGTATTTAATCAGTCTTGTATTGGTGAAACTTAGCTTATGTCCAGTTTTCAGTTCCTCAATATGTGACATTATTTTTTTATACCTGAGTTCAAAAAACGATATTGACCTTTAGAGACAAAATTTGCAGGTGTTCATTGTAAAAAAAAAAATAGAGTGAGAAGCAAAAATAAAATAAATAAAATAAAAATAACTCACAATTCCATTACCCAAAGATAAACTCAGCTAGATTTTGATGGCACTCCATCCCTAAGTTGACAGAACGTTTATTGTAAAATTCTGATAATTTCCTTCTATTTTCCTCTTTGCCCAAATGGCTGAAATTTTATCAGGGTACTCATGTAGTAAAAACCTACTGATGTATTCACATTTTACACATTACTACTATTTTTCTTTCAGAGCTTATTTATTGGGTATTCAGCAAAATCAAGATGAATTCTGATATGATATATTACAAATGCCAAGAAGGAAAACCATGATTCTACTGCTCCATGTCTTGTCATTAAAAAATATTTTTTAGCTTTACGCTCCTTACTTGGAAAAATGATATGATGCCACAGTGCTGTGTCACCTTCCTCCTGATACACAGAGTTCATCATGCTGGGATCATGTGTTGGGAACTTCCTAGTCACCCACATCATTGGCTTTTTGAGGAAACAATAGTCCTCTCTGGATTATTCCATCTCTTTATCACCCTCCTTCTTTGCCTCTCCGTTACCTAATACTGTGCCTGATGAGCACCCCAAATGCAGAGAGCCCCTCCCACTCTTTCTAAATTTTGTTCTTTATAGGGTAGTGTCTGATCTACAGTAGCAGCTTAATGTATGAAGTTTTAAATCAAATTATCCATTGGAATAACAAGAATAGAATGATGGAAAGAAAAACACATTGTAACTTTTCATGGGGCCTCTCTTTCATCAAAACAAAACAAATTATATTATGTTTTATAACCACATTGGTATAACAATGAATATAATCCAGGCTAGGTTTATTATTACATACTCATTTTTATTATATTCCTTTTGCTTCTGATTTTAAAAGAAATAAAACCTTTTCATGGGCCCTAGGCATTGTGCCTGATGGGTAAAGTACCCATCTGTACTTCGAAAGCTAAGGGCAAAGAGATGCAATTCTAGGAGGAAATTCTTCATTTAGAATTGGCCAGGGCTTTTTATGTTTGCATTATTGATTGAGAGCTTACTACAGTCCAAGCAGTCTTCTTATGTGTATTATCTCATGTAATTATCACACCAATCTCTGTGTTAATTGCTATTATTATTCCACATTTTATAGTAAAGGTAATTAAGGTATAGAGAGATGACCCAATGTGCTCACAGTCATACAGTTAGTATTTGGTGGAACTGGGATTTCATTCATTGCACAAATTTTCTTGAGCATCTGCTATGTGCCAGGCACTGTCCTGGACACTGGGGAAGTGAGCAAAACAAAGCACCTGCCCTTGTGCAGTGCCATCCTTGGTCTGATTTCAAAGCTTGTGCTCTTAACTCTTGTGCTACTTGTCAAATTTTCAGACTTCTTGTATACTGTGGGCTGAAGTTTTATAAGTACAGGTTGAGTAGCCCTTATTCAAAATGCTTGGAACCAGAAGTGTTTCAGATTTCAAATTTTTTTGGATTTGGGAATACTTGCATATACATAATGAGATATCTTGGGGATAGGACCCAAACCTAAAAATAAAATTTATTTCTATTTTATACACAACTTATGCACATAGCATGAAGGTAATTTTATACAATATTTTTAATAATTTTGTGACTGAAAAATTGTGCAAAGTTGTGACTGTGTTTGACTGCAACTCGTCATGTGAGGTCAAGTGTGAATTTTCCACTTGTGGTGTCATGTCAGTTTCCAAAAAGTTTTGGGTTTTGGAGCATTTCACGTTTTGAATTTTCAGATTAGGGATGTTCAACCTGTAGTGAGAAGGTGTATTTCTTACAGATGGACAAATTCCTGACCAGAATTTTATCCATCTCTCGCTGCCTCTTGTATCTGAAAAAGATGTATTTATTGTTAGAAAAGAATAGAGGTTCATAGTCCAAAAAACAAGGAATAAGAGGAAGAAGAGGGAGAAAAGTAAGAGAAAAAGAAGAAGGAGGAGGAGGAGGAGGAAGAGGAGGAGGAGGAGGGGGAAGGAAGGAAGAAAGAAAGAAAGAACAAAAGAAAGGAAGCAACGGACTAGGAAAAATATATAGAGAAGTGAAAATTACCTGTATTCCTTTCCTTTTTTTTTTTTCCCCCAGGTTCTAGGCTTAAATTACCTGTATCTCTGATATCCCAAAATTACTGGTCATATTTTGATGTACATCCCTCCTGGCCTTTTTAATTTTTTAAGAGGGAAAGTATGTTATGTATACTCTTTTATATATTATATTCAACAAGATATTGTGAATGTCTTCCACATGCCATAGCTACATATTCTCTTGGACTCAGAGGATTTCCCATCTGCAATCTCTTTTTCTTTGCTTACTCTGCCCTGCCTTGGCAGAGGCTGGCATTCCTTTTGCTCCCCCATTGCCATCTTGGTTTTTCCATTGCTTTCTGACTTACTGATGCTGCTAGAGAGCTGCATCAGTTCACATCTGGTCTGGTCTTTACTCGTACCTAAGACGCTCCATGGCTCCCAGTTATCCTGAGAGGATAACACCCGTAATCCTCAGCCCAGTTTATCAGGTCCGTTCTCATCCAGGTACTGCTTGCCTCCATCCTCACCTCATATTCCTTCTCTTTTCTCCTCTTTGTCCACTGTGTCCCCTTGTGAGTTAACTGCACTTCATTCCTTAGTCAACAAACATCAACTGGGCACCTATGATGTGCCCTGCTCTGTGAGCATATCAGGATTTAAAGAAGAATAAGATCCAGTCCCTGATCTTTAGAAGTCCACAGTCTGGAGTGGAAACAGAAGAGCAGAGGGATGATCGAGCATCCTGTGGGCAGGACTGAAATAGAGAAAAGCGCCAGGCACCACGGGAACACAACTGTGGCCACACCTCACCTGAAGGGAGAAGGGGCTGGTCACTGACGGCAGGTGAGTGATCCCAAAGGCTTCTCATGGGAGGCAGTCCCCTGACGTTTGTTCTATGGGATGAGGAGAGTGAGTCTAGAGAACAAGTGGGGGGAGGTGGATTGATGAGGCAGAGTTGTGGCAGCAAGTGCAGAAGGCTGGGCCTGAGGCCAGTGGGCAGGGCTATGGGGACCATGCTGTGGAGTCCACCTTTACCCTGAAGCTTATGAGGAAACAGTGAAGGGGTTTCAGCAGGGGTGTGAGAATGACTGCAAAGCTGGTGTAGTAAGAGAGGCAAGAAATCCAGAGGGCGGCAGAGGTGGAAAGGAGTGGGCAGGTTGGAAGATGGTGAGGAAGTAGCATGGACAGGACTTGGTGTCCAGGTGGATGTTGGGGGTAAAGGAGAAGGAGGGTTCAAGGATCATGCCTCGGCTGCTGGAACACCCTATGATCTCTTCCCTCTGCTGGCTTCTTGTTGCTTCTGACTGAACCCTTTCCACTTTTCTACCCAAATAATCGCTTGTTATTCCATACTCAGTTTGAGCATCACTTCTCCCTGGAAAGCTTCTCTGACTGTCAGGATTCCAGAGGAAAGGCATGGCACATTATCACTGGGTAACTGACGAGCACTGTTAAAGGGACTAGTTATAAAGGTGACAGCAGGGCTTAAGGAAACAAACGATGGCACTGAACCTGATGGCTAGTAGTCCTGTGACCATCTGAGAGGCTGGAAAGCACCAGGGGAGAGAAGGTTACTAGGACACAGAGAAAGAGTCGGAGGAGAGGGCTGCTTGACCAGAGCTGTGTCCTTCAGTAGGGGATACAGCCAGTCTACAATGATCCTGAAAGAAGGAATTCCAGAGAATGAACACTTCAGCCTTCTTTTCCTTCCTCTGGTTCATCTTTGCTGTAGCTCCCCATTGGCCAAATCCAACTAGAAGCAGCAGGCACAGGAGCCCATTGAGGCAGTCCCTGCAATCAGCCCCCAGGGCACAAAGCAGCATGGAGCGTGGGCCTGGAGAGGAAAGTGGGAGACGCCCACAACCCTTTCCCCGACCAACCCTAACCCCAGTCTAGATCAGCAGCTTCTCCTGTTAGGGCCTCCTATACCCTGTAATTCTCGCTGTCAAGCATTGCTCTATCTGCCCCCCTCCACCTAGGCTGTGAGCTACTTGAGGGGGTTCTGCCACATCTTAGCCATCTTTGTATCCTTGATACCTAACACAGAGCTTGGCACTTGGTTAAGGCTCCATAAATGTTGAATAAAAATCCTCCTTTCAAATGCAAATTTCACATAGAACGTAAACTTCTTAATCTATTGTCAGCTGGTGCCTCAGGGTGGTTTATGGTAAGAAAGAACAAGTTTCTGCATTATAGGCTTGAAGTTAAAAGGCCCCCAGAGGACATGTACTCACTGGTTTTATTATCTTTTTTTTATTGATCAGTGTGTCATCAGTCAACAAGTATGCAGCAGCTTTCTGTACAAGGAACCGGAATTCCTACCAGAAATTAACACGTGCTAGGGAGTCATTTTCCTTTTGTAACAAAAGTAATGCAAAGTAATTGAAAGCAATGACATTATTTCATCCAAATAGTATAGGATGGATCAAGTAGAAAAATGTGTTGGGAAATTAAATTTACTAGGTAAACACAGCCACAGAGAGCTCACAGCTGTTTACAGCTCAGTTGTATTTATGGGATGACATAGCCTAGCCATCAGGCATACTCGGGATGACTGGGCTGTACATTCTGGCAGTCTGTCCCATCTGTTCCAGCTTCTTCATTTTCACAGCCATCCCAGGCCACCTCCTCTTTCAACCTGCCCTACACTGAGGAAGTGAGGAAGATTGTTCTGGCAGCAATTTTCATCACATCATATTATTCTCCAGCCTTATGTTCAAACTCTTTTGACAAGTAGCTCCCACTTCACTCTTAGTAATCTAACATGTCCCCTTGTAATTGCTTCTCAATCATGCATCTATAGCTCCTCTCATTGCTTAATATTAAAGGGAATACATCTGTCTTCACATTGCTTTGAATTCTCACCATTCCCATACCTAGTAGGCACTGAAGGGGGATTTCTGATTAATAATCCACTTAGATATACCTACCCCATACATGTCACCATGGTAACTCTACACCTTGCTAAAAGTTGATGGCATAGTGTGTAATGACTTGGCTTCTTCCCCATTCAGCCACTAATCCTGTAGATGGATTATTTTGTTCCTACCCCCACAAAGCCTGGAGAGCTCTGTAGCCCATGAAAAAATCAGAAGAGTTGCCAGCCTGCTACCTGATTCCTCTCTGCCTCCAAACACAATGCAAAACAAGCTCCAGTTTCCATGCTGAACATAAATAGAGATTGTTCTTCAACTTCAGAAATGTCCTTAGCCGAAAATGTACAAGCCTAGCAGTTACAGGAATTTTCTCTCTCCATCTTACAGGGCAATGGCTGAGGTCTTGGGAACTCTTTCAGGAAGCCCACTAGGGAGTGAACCTTCATTTGTCCT
The DNA here is from genome assembly GCF_000001405.40 of Homo sapiens. NCBI lineage: Eukaryota > Metazoa > Chordata > Mammalia > Primates > Hominidae > Homo > Homo sapiens. Next base: position 150,070,097 of record NC_000003.12, read on the forward strand.
GATTGCCCTGTGTTACAGAGGGAGGGAATGTCCCCCCAACCAGTAGCTAGAAACCAGGGCCAAACCCATGAAAACTCATGGATTCATTCCATGCCTCCTTCTCTGATATCCTACTGCCAGGCACAGCCACCGTTTTGCACAAATCTGGGTGAATGGTGCCCCTGAGGCTGGAAACTATGGTGGGCCTGGTGCTGAGCTTCATCTTGAGCCTAGTGAAGATGATGCTACGCTTCTTGAGAGGCGCTCGGCCATTTACCCTGTGCTGTGTCCCAGGAAGCCGACTGGTATGGGCTGCATTGAGTCTTTTGCCCTCCAACTTCCTATTGGATAATGGGGACCTGTGACAAGAGGTTGGACAATGAGAAGGAGGAGAGTGACCAGTGAACCTGCCTCCCTGCCAGTTTGCTGTGGGTTTGTTACTAGCAGCTGTTGCCCACCAGACAGTCCTCTCAGAGTTCAGGCAAACACTCTGATGACCCTGGTGTTACTAGCCCCAGAGTATTGCCCTATCCCCTGTTGCCCTCATCTTTCTAAATGATTCCTTTACTAAACTCCTTTGACTCAGTTTGAGTGTGCCATAATCTCTTTTTTGCAGTAACTCTGACCATACAGTGGTAAATAAGATAAAGCCTTGGCCTCCTTGGAGCTTAGGTTAGTGTGGAACAAAGAAAGACAACAAATGTGTTTGCAAATACAATCTATGTAATTTCAGATAGTGACAAAAGCTTTAAAAAAAGAAAGTACACCAGGGTAATGGAATGGCTGGAGAGGGTCTAGGGAGGAGAGCTACTTTTCTTCAAGTAGCCAGGAAAGGCCTTTCTGAAGAGGTGACATCTGACCTGGCACGATGACAGTGAGAATGAGACAGCCACACCAGCATGTAGAGAACAATCTAGAGGGGGGAACACTGATGCAAACAGCCCCCAACAGGAAACAACTGGAACAGAATGGAACCTACTGGACAAGGGGAGAGTGGCAGGAGCTGAGGTCAGGAAGGAAGGGCATAAAAGAGTTTAGATTTGATCATTAGGACACTGAGAACTTATTGTAGGATTTGGGCAGGGAGTTGTGATGGTTACTATCCTAACAGAAATTAGATGAAACAATCAAAGGGTTTAACTGAAGACAATGCAATGAGAGGATTATTTTCTTAAATGTGGGCAGGATTAGGAAACTAATAAAGGGTGGTGAAGCATCCAGGAGCTAGCAACAGAGAGAAGCTCTTATCATGGGGAGAGGGTCCAGGTGCGGATGAGTGACATGGCACGCCTGGACTTCTGAGGACAATGGAGCACACAGCGATCTGAACATTTGACACAAATTACAGAGGCTGGAAAGAAAGAATTTCACATCTTCCAATCAATACCCTTAGTCCAAATATTTGTCAGCAAACTCTAACTGTTTTCATAAACTTTAACGCCTTCAGGGCTCAGTCAGGAACCTGTGAGGAATTCAGGTGAAAACCAATAATGAGCAGGGGGGCGGTGGTGAAAAGGTGAGGCTGGCCTTACTGAAGGGCATTCAGATGGAAGCATTACACAGTCCTGAATTCAGGAGAGCTGTCTGGTTCCTGGAGCCAAACTGCAGCTTCAGAGATGATTTATTCAGCAAGTTTCCCAGCTTGCAAAACTTTCCAAAGTCCCCTTATTGCTGTACAATCATTGCTGTTTGGGGGCCAGTAAAGCCCATCAGGGGCTTATCTGGGGTTAACAAAGGCGTCGCTGACTTGCACCTCTTTACCCTAAGGGGCATCATTTAGGTGACTCTTCCAAGTTGGCAAAAATAGATGCCTTCCATACCATTGGTCTTAAATTTAGAGAGTGCAGAGTCCTTATTAAGACTAAATTGTAAGGAAAGAAAACACTTGTGGGGTTACCGAGGGCAAGTAATTACACATAGTCTTTTTTTATTCCTCTTCTGGTTTCTGTCTCCTAGTAAGATACATGTAAAAACAACAACAAAAATGAAGACAGGCATTGCTCTCTTAAGACACCTCGGCTGCCTCTCACTGGCATTCATCTTATCCTGTGGTTTCCAGGTGTTTTTAGCAGCAGAACTCTTTTTCCAGACAAAATCTGCCATGGAGCTTTAATGGATAACACAGGCAAAATCCAAGTGGCCATCTCCCAGACACCTCCACAGACCCTGATTCCAATCATCTCCAGCAGGACTGTCCTGAATGTGCGTATGTGAGTGAGGTTTATTGCGGTATGATTTTCATACAGTAAAATTCAATACAACAAAACTGTAATAACCGTCTTGTAATAACTCCACAATCAAGACACAGAACAGCTCCATCACCCGCTAAATTCCTTTGCACCCCTTTCTAGCAAATCCCCTCACCTCATCCCCATCCCTGATCTGATTTCTGTCTCTATAGCTTTACCTTTCCCAGAATATCATATAAACGGAGTCATGCAGTGTGTAATCTCTCGTGCCTGGTTTCTTTCACTTAGCCTGATGCTTTTGAGGTTCATTTGTGCTTTTGCATACATGAGTATTTTGTTTCTTTTTATTACAGAGTAGTCTATTGTTCTTGTGGTATTTTTCAATGTCGTCCTTCAGCTTCCAATTTCTTTTCTGTATAAACTGTAAAGCTGCCCATTCAAATAATTTTCTTTTTTCCTTGAAATGCTAAGATTGAAGCCCTGATAACACCATTGCAGAGGCACAAGTGGGAAAGAGCGTGCGTGACCTGAGAGGTGTCCTTGCTGTGCCATGCTGCTGCATCAAAGCCGCTCACAGAGCTGGCTCCCGAGCCTCCAAGTGCCTCGTCTCTTCCCAGGACTAGAAGTCCTAGGAATTGTCTAATCAAAGGAAGGAAGTACTGCTTGGATTCCCTTTTTATTGTATTTTCAATTATAATTAAGAGACAAATTTTTAAACCAGGAAAAGAATATGAGGGAATGTGTTTGTTCAGAAATATACCTAGGCCGCTAAAAGTCTTCCAAGGGCAAAGATGTGCCTAAAATACAATTTCCATACAAAAACTTAAACCAAAAATCTCAGCTTTGTCCACTGCACGTGTGACCACACAGTTGTAACAATCTTTTGGATTCTCAATTCTGCCATCTCATAAGTAGCTTTTATCCCCCTCTCAAAGGCCATACCACTTGTGGATGCTCTCATGTCTAAAGAATCTACCAGAGCAGTCAAGGGCACTTTCCTTCCTCCTCCCCAGCCCCACTCTTACAGTACTCCAGGAGACTGAGGCATCTCATTCTCTGCTCCCTTTAAAATATTTTTGTTCTGGGTTTTATTTCTTTAATTTGTCATGTTTTAAAGATGCTTTAATATTTATGAACTACCCCCAGACACTTTCTTGAAATAGATGGAGTGTCATTGATAAAATAAATGTTATGAGAATTAAGCGCTGTATTTCTTATCATTTTGAGTCCCCCTAATATTTCGCTTGTGCTGAAAATAATGGCTCCTCCCTGTCCTGTCTGCTTTGAGCTGAGCTAGATCCATGCAGTTTGTCATTGCTCCTGAAAGTGAGTTTGACTTCTTGAGACAGGAAGGAGGGAGATAGGAAAGTCATCATTTAAAAGAGAGTGTGTGACCCTAGAGGCATTTATTAGGTCATTTAGGCCAACACATTTTGAGTCATTCTTCTCTGCAGACCTGTGCAGTACCCTGAGGCTACAAAAACAGTTGTTGCAGCTGACAGCAAGGTGGGGTAGACTGTAACACAATGAAATGCAAAGTGCCCGCATGGAGGTAGAAGGTGTTGTGCAAAGAAAGGGGAGCCCACCTCCTCCTGGGCTATGGAGAAGGAAACTTCATGGACAAGATGATTCCTGTGATGAGTATTGAAGAGTGCATGGGAATGTTCTTGGTGGAAAAAAGGAGCTAGAGCCCCCTGTGCAGAGAAAGTGACTTGTGTAAAAATGCAATAGACTTGAGAAAGACAGGGACAAAGAGAAACAGAGAGTTTGGTGGAAAAGCAAACGCTGTCGTGAAGTAGAAACTGTGTGTGGAGAGTGAGGTGGTGGGGGGATCCTCAGGGTGGGATCACTGAGCCATGGGTGTTCTGCTCCAGTTTGGACCGTAGTCTACGGCCAATGAGGGTGAGCAAAGAACTTTGGGTGGAGGAGGGTCAGTGTGCATTCTGAAAAATCCCTCTGGCATCTGTGGCAGGGGGATGGAGGGTCCTGCCAGGGTTCAGGTGAAAGAGGATGTGTCAGCAGCACAATGGAGAAAAGCGAATCCATCCCAGAGACATGTGGGATGCAGAATTGATAGAGTCCGGGAGAAAGGTGAAAGGAAAGAGGGTGCAAATTACTTCATTTCACTCCTGCAATAACACTGTGACATAGGGGTCATTATGTCCATTTTACAGTTGAGGAAACTGAGATTAAAGAGGTGAAGAAACTTATGTAAGTTTACACAGCTAATGAAACAGAAACTGTATCACAGTATTGAGGTGCTGCCCTCAGGAATTGCTCAAGCATGTGAGATCGTGAGAAAGAAACACATTTAATGAATTATGGAAAACTACCTTTAAAAACCCCAAAAACAAAGCTTTGGGAAAAGTTTCCTTGAGTCCTTGGAGAGCAGTGTTTGGGCAATATGCTACCAGGGACATAAGTGGAATGAGCAGATCTTAAAAGGGCTTGCCCTGAAGATCGAGGGTTTCTCCTCAATCATCCTCTTTCACTTTGTCCTTCTGCAACTGGGGAAGAGAGATTTGTATAATAACACATTTGCATCTGAGAGCATTTCAGCAAAGCATGCTTCCAGCTGCCTTTTCTGACACAGGCCCATCTCCCACCCTCATTTTATTGCTTTGGGGTAAGTGGCCTCCTCCCCACTCCCGACTGCTTTGGAGATAAGAGAAGGCAGTGAGGGATTTATCCTTTTACCCATAATATTGTGGCTGTAATTTAAAGCTGCCATAATTCATGTTTAGAACTGTGACTACAATATCATGGAAAAAGCTGTCACTCAGACCCCAAATGAAGAAATGTGGAGTCCTGTTTCTTCCAGCTGTAAATTGCCTCAAAACCAGCAGACAGCAGCTGGCGTAACCAGACAATGGAAACTAAGGTTTGGAAAGTTATCCATGACGAATTGCTTTTTCTTTCCTCCCTTTTTCCCACATCTTCACTAACATCAAAACAGTTTTTCTGCTGGAAGGTGATGAGAACTAGATAATTGATCCTTACTGAGTTAGTACATGCCAAATTTGGGAAGTGTCCTGAAACATTTTTAGAGCCGGATTAAATTTGTAGATAACACAGCTTAGTCGAGTTGGGATGGGTTACTTAGACTAGTTCTGTGGTGACAGCAGTTATAAGTCTTCCAGGAACCATGGCGTCTATTTTTCCAGTGCTCCTAGAGTGAGGTATGGCAAACCAGTAATTTCTCCCACCCTGTTCTGACCCATGATTCCCACCCATGGGCAGGGGTAATAGCCTATCCTGTAGTTTAAGCTCAGCACCCTAATCATCCTCCACGGAGCTAATGGAGGAGATCGTGAATCCCCTGAGACCTGCTTCCCACATGTCATACCACGCTCAGCTCCGTCTACCGGGTGCCCTCACGCATGGCTGTGAGCACCTTCTATGCATCAAGAATATTTGTCATACCACGCTCAGCTCCGTCTACCGGGTGCCCTCACGCATGGCTGTGAGCACCTTCTATGCATCAAGAATATTTTAGGTACTTTATGCTCACTGTATTATCTAACTTAACCTTATCACAGACTTGCAAGTTAGATATTATTACTATTCTCATTTTACAGTTGAGGAAATTAAGACATCGAGTGACTCAATGAATAAGGAGAAGTACAATTGTCACCCCAGTCAAGGTACTGCTTTTGCCTCTGTGATTCACAATGCTTTTAGCCCTCTCTTCAAAAAAGCAGGACAAAAATATTATAATTATTATTGAATGTGTAAATTCACAAACTAATTATTACCTAAGTATTTCTGGAATATCATTTACTTCTAGAAGTTAATAATTTCCTATTCTTGTGCTTGTGTCTTCAGATTTGTGAGTTCAGGCTCTGGGATTAGATGGCTTGGGTTTAATCCCAGCTCTGCCACTTTTTACTGTTGTGACTCTGTTCAAGTAACCTAATCTCTCTGTGTCTACTTAGAATGAAAATTGTAAATAGCATCCACTTCATAGGATTGTTTTCATTTTTAAAGAAGATAAATGGATGTAAAGTACCCAATCCAAGATGTGGTGTATAATTTGTGTGGTTGCCTGTTACACTGGTGACGTGACCCCGAATGAGCCATGCCTTCCAGTATTTAAGTCCTTATGTAGTTCCCTCTCCCATTGACTCTGGACTTGGCTGAGCAGCTTGCTTTGGCCATTGAGATTCTAGCAAATGGTATGGAAGCAGAGTCTTAATAAGTGCTTGCAAATAGGGGTTTATCCTCCTTGCACACTTGCTCTTAGAGTCCTGAGCCACCACATAGAGAGATTACGTTGTCCTATTGGAGAGACCACCTGGAGAGAGAAAGATAGAAATGCCCAACAAAACCCAAGCTCTTTTATCCAGGCCAACTGAGGCACCAGACAGCTATCTTGGACATTCCAGTCTCAGCAGACACCATGTGGAGCAGAAGAACCTCCCAGCTGAGCCCAGTCAATCCATAAAACCCTAAGAAATAATAAAATATTGTCTTAAGCAACTAAATTTTGTGGCCTGTTATATAGCAATAGATAACTGAGATAGACTGCATTTAATAAAGGTTAGCTATTTTTAAGTTATCATCGTTATCCAGTGACTCTATTTCCTCCAAAATAATTAACATGAAGACACGAAAAACTTTCTTAAAAACTCACTCAAAAAAAGTGCTGTCTTCCTACTATTTGCAGAGCAACAATGACTTGTCTCCCATGTATATAAAATAGTATCCCCCCAAAATATGCCTTCATAGCAATTTTGAACTCTTAGATCTGCAAAGCAGACAAATTTAAATTTCTCATCATGTTTGGATTATTATTACTTATTATGTGACTATAAAATTTCTCTATTTTTAAAAATCTTTGAAAATGCATGGGGGAATTAGTGCATTTGTGCAGAACCAGACTTTATTTTTCATCTACTTACTGACACTTCTCGAGAGAAAGTTAAAAAGTACTCAACACTACATCAAAACCACAGACTCTCGAGGATAAAAGGGCCTTTGAAAGGTCAACCAGTCTGCTGTACTCTAGGTAGACTTTTCATCTTAGCTTCCCTGAGAGCTGGCAAGGCTCCTGTTTCTAAAGTTCTGCAAGCAATGTTCCCTGGGTTAGCAGCCACAAAGCCCTTCATGCATGGCATTGGTGTTTCCAGGGGAAAGCATGGGGCAGTGTTAACTTTGTGTCCCTCTTGAGTCTGCCACATTATAGACTGCTGTAGTTTAGGGTCACGTTTGCAGCCATGAAGAGTGCCATTTGGTAGAAAGTCATTCATTTTATTGCTTGCATTACACACAGCTTCTATTGGGCATATGTGAGTAAAAACCAAATTGTAAGGTAGGGAAAGTTTACCTGTCCTCCCCACCCTTCTCTTTTGGCTAGCACCTGCAGGCTTTCATCTCAAAGACTGGCTTGTCTTCAGTTGTTTACAGGACAAGTGAGTTTTAGCCTTGTATTACCTCTCCTTCTACATTGACTTCTTTTTTCATGTCAGGTGGGCAAAGTGCCAACCTGTAGGAAGAAGGTTTGAGGGAGGCACATCTCACACGTAAGTGTGATACCACATCATCATGCTCATGAATTGCAAAAGGATCTATACTGACATATTAGGCTGAATATCTCTCTCTGTCTCTCTCTCTTTCTCTGTGTGTGTGTGTGTGTGTGTGTGTGTGTGTGTGTAATATATATAAAACTATAAATCATCCAGTTGTAGAGGTAAAGGCCTTATGCCCTGTTAATCTAATTGTAAAATCAGAGAGGCAGGAAGTAGAGTCTATTCCAACTCCCCCACCCTTTTCTGCCCTAATCATTTTAAGATATGAACGGGGGTGGGAGCATGAGTCAGGAAGGGGACCAGGAAAAAGCATTTGGCTTGGAGACAAACATTTACAAAGGATCTCAAATTTAGGCTTTTAACGTTGCTTCCAAATGAGGTTATAAATACAGTCATAACACAGATACTTCTCATTCAGCTCTAAACTCACGTCCCATGACTGAACCATCCTACCTCTAGGGTGCTATAAGTTAATTATATAGAAAAAACCTTAACTTCTATATTACCTGTAAATACCACAGTTATATGCCATTGCATTTTCTGAATTAAAGGGTATAATTTGTTAAATGTAAACATTAATGATATTCCACAATTTTGTGATCCTGTTTTTACAATTCCTTGAAATAATAATAGCTAAACATTTATGGAGTGCTTTTCATATGTTAGGCCTTTCACAGAAAACGTCACAATGACTCAGTAAAAGTAGGAACTATTATCACTCCATTTCACAGCTGAGGAAACTGAGGCACAGGCATGTGGGGAAATGTGCCCAAGGTTCATAGGTGATGAAGCCATGGATCTGGGATTTGAGCCCAAGCAATGTGGCTCCAGAGCAAACACGTGCAACACCCAAATCTATTTCTTAGTTTCAAAAGTCTCATGTGGAGAGCCCCTTGTGATCTCCAAGAGGTGCTGGATGGATGGAGAACGATGTCAGAAAGGAAAGGCCAGGTGTCCCGTGAGGCTGCTGAAATACAAACTGCTGGAGCAGGGCTGGATGAAATGGCCTTTTCTGGAATCTTCCAGATGCATGTCTGTCTTCCCAGCTGTTTCCCCACCTTATTTCCTTGCTAATCTCCTGCTCCGTCTTCTCTCTCTCATCCCCAGCTTTGCCTTCACCTCTTTTCACAAGATTCCAGCATGTGGGGGCCTCAGTCCCTTCTCAGTGTTTTCTCTCTAGCCGGGCCTGGGCCTCATCCTCAGCTCCAGTCTCCGCCTCAAAATTTCTCCTGCCTCAGGCTCTGGGTCACTCCTTCTGGGCCAGAGGTCTGGGGAGCAGAGCATGGGAGTGAAGAGGAACCTGTGAGCCGGAAGGAGGAAGGCAACCCAGGAGGCCTGGTCTGTACTGCCAGGGCCTGGTAACCAGCAGAGTGTGGGAGAGATGTGTGCTCTACATCACCGGTGGTGTCATGGAAACCTGCTGACACCGCAGTTCATACTTCTGTGCAGTGAGATGGAGATGATGTTATTCACTTGAATGCCAGCCAGGCTGGGCCACACAGGCAGGCCTGGTCACGGCTGTTTGAATCATTAGGCCCCACAGACATAGGGGACATGAGCTTTGTAATGGCCCACAAAATGTTTGAGATCTGAAAATATATATATATAGATTACAACAACAGAAAAGTAAATCATAAAATAAAGATAAATGTCTAATTAAATGTCTGCAAACTGTAATACCATATCATCTAGTCAGCCACAAGTCAACTCATGTAAATAATATTTAATGTGGAATGTGGGTGGATTTCTGTGTGAGTTAATATGCTTGCAATGATCTGAAACTGATATTGGTGCACAGGGGCTGCTCCCTTGGAGGAAGCTGGTTGTGGGGGCAGGATTACATATGTTAGAGGATTTGGATAGAGGGGAAGGCCATGGATAGGCACCAGGGACCCTTAAAAAGGGCAGAGTGAGACAAAGGGGGCGGTATCCAAGATACCCACATATTCCCCAAAGTGAACCCCTCCTCAGGGCCCTGCAAATCTTTTGTAAAATTCCAAAAAACCCAGTTGGTTCAATTGAGTTTCTTGCAGAAGCCATCAAAGGGAGTAGGTGGGAGACTGAGGAGGAAGGTTTGCCTCTCTCAGTATCTCTACAACAGAAACTGCCTCTGTCTACTTCTGCCTGAATGTCCAGTACCTTGTAGTTCAAGCAGCCTCGCTCTCAACGCAAGAATCTCTTAATGGGTGTTCTGCTTTCATTTCTGCTTCTGTTCAATCTTCTCTCCACAAAACAGAAACACTGACCTCTTAAAAATCAGCAATCAGATCCCTTAGGACTCCCACTTAGAAGAAACGTCCACCTCCTTCTTCTGGTTACAAAGCCCTGTGTGATCTGGCCCCTTCCGGCTGCTCATCCCCCATAGCCACCCTTTCTCTCCTGAGTGCAACTAATCTCAGCCACTCAGGCCTCCCTTGTCTTTGAAATGTGCGCAGCTCAGCCTGGCCTCAAAGCTTTGGCCCTGGTGGTTCCCTTTGCCAGGAACCCCTCCTCCAGATTTACAGGCTGCCAAGCTGGCCATCCAGGCCTCAGCCAGCAGCCACCTTCAAGGGAAGACTTCCCTAACCCCCAAGGGGAAATTCACTACATCTCAGGAGCTCACAGGACCCTGTTTCACTTTCTTCATCAAACTTTTCACTATCTGAAAATCTCTTTTCTTGCATTGAATTCCTCCCTTTCGTTTGTTTGCCTCTCACCCACTGGAATTTAAATTCTGCCACAACAGGAACTTGCCTGTGTTTTGCACCATTGTGTTGTTGTTATTGCCTATAATAATGCCTGGGATGTAGTAGGAGGTCAGTAAGTACTTGTTGAAAGAATGAGCTAAAAAAATGAATAAATAGGGCTGAACTGACATGGCCCACAGGAGTGCAGAAATCATGGAGATACCTTGAGGTCCTGAGGTTGGGGATAAACTAATTTTTACCTAATCTGCAAGTAGTCTCCAAGTAACATCTGGTTTACATGTGTATTTAATTATACCCTATCTTGTTTCAGAAAAATTTGTCATTTTCAACGATACATATACTGCAATAATTTATTTTTAAATAGTGAATATGGGGAGGAAATAAGTGTTGAAAAAACAAGATGAAATGGGGAAAAGATTAGTAATTAAACTAATATCACAAAGTTCTTTTTACCTTGCCAGAAGTGGATTGCAAATTGAACATGGAACTTCTTAATAACCAGTGATAGCTTATCTATACCAAAGTCCTTAAAAAAGAGAAGATAGAAAATGCAAAATTTTCCTTATAGAATTTTTACCTGTTGGCCATGAAACATAACAACTATGTATAAAATGAGAAGTGTTCTCAATTAATGTTACTAATCTTAGTTATAGCACTAAATTTGGTTTGCCATCAATTAATATTTATCGAACATGTGCACTCAAAGAGTTTACACATTCCAACAAACTTATGTGTCTTCTTCACATCCTGCTCAAGTCAGCTGGCAGGATTCAGACCAATTCAAAACATTTCCAAGGAGCACAACCTGCAGCAAGTAGAGTTGGCAGCTCCCTTGGGTGACGCGTGTCTGACTTAGCTTACTTCTAATTGGCAGAAAATTCTTACTTGAGTTAACGTACAGGCTCCTTAATATTACTGAGGCTCATTTTCTTCATGCTGCCTTCTCAGCCCTCTTCTCTAGAATAAAGCCCCTCCATTGGTTTAATTTTTTCCAAAATTTATATGTTTCCCCAAACTTTGGTCTCTTTGTTTCTGTCTTTGGAGTTTTTCATGTTCTCTCTTTCACACACATGCACACACACACACTTTTGAAAGATAGTCTAATAGCACAGTGTTGAAAGTATAAGCCATGAAATACTGACCGAGTTGCTTTGCATTTTTGTGCCTCTGTTCTTTGTTGCAATTGGGGGTGATAATTTCACCTACCTTTCAGGGTGGCTGTGAGGATTAAATGCATTTGTACACGCCTGTAATCCCAGCACTTTGGGAGGCCGAGGCGGGCGGATCACGAGGTCAGGAGATCGAGACCATTAGCCGGGCGTGGTGGTGGGCGCCTGTAATCCCAGCTACTCGGGAGGCTGAGGCAGGAGAATGGCATGAACCCAAGAGGCGGAGCTTGCAGTGAGCCGGGATAGCGCCACTGCAGTCCAGCTTGGGCGAAAGAGTGAGACTCCGTCTCAAAAAAAAAAAAAAAAAAAAAAAAATGCATTTGTATATGTAAAGTGCTTAGAATATAGCCTGGTGCGTGGCAAGCACTATGTGAGCATTAGTGATGATTATGATTACATGCCATTCCCCTTTAAAATGGCCCTCCCCCCTACTTTCCAGAAACTGTGCCCCTTGGCAGAAACTGTGTTTATTCTTGCTGTCTCCAATCTCCACATCTCTGAACATGCCTGGAATTTCCTTCCACCCTTCTTTGTTTGAAGAACTCCTACTCATCCTTCACAACTAATCTTAGATGTCTCCCCCTGCAGAAAGCCTTTCTTGGCCGGGCACAGTGGCTCACGCCTGTAATCCCAGCACTTTGGGAGGCCAAGGCAGGCAGATCACGAGGTCAGGAGATCGAAACCATCCTGGCTAACACGGTGAAACCCCGTCTCTACTAAAAATACAAAAAATTTGCCGGGTGTGGTGGCGGGTGCCTGTAGTCCCAGCTACTCAGGAGGCTGAGGCAGGAGAATGGCATGAACCCAGGAGGCGGAGTTGGCAGTGAGCTGAGACCACGCCACTGCACTCCAGCCTGGGTGACAGAGCGAGACTCCGTCTCAAAAAAAAAAAAAAAAAAAAAAAGAGCCTTTCTTAATTGACACTGCCTCCCCTGGGCTCTCCTAGCAGCCGGTGCATACTTCTAGATCACAGGACTCAGAACACTGTGAGGTGTTATCTGTTTACTTGTCTGTCTCCGCAAAGGACTGTTGGGACAAGAGCCAGGACATATTGGTTGCTATATAGTGGTTGCTCTGTTCAATGCTGGTTGAACTAAAATGAGTACAGAACTGATTCCGTGGGGGAAAAAAAGCAACCAACAAAATGACAGCATCACATTCTCATATATATCATACTTAAACAATCCAGTATCATGCTTGCTTTTCTGGCTGGGACTAAAAGAAACTACTTATTTTTATTCTTTGTCATTTAAACAAATTGAGATTTAACTCATCGTTGCAGATGAAGCCTTATTTCTCTTGCAAAATGAAAACCATTTCAGGGAAGTGGTATAAAGTGTTGGACAGAACCCTTTACTGGTCACTGGATTTGAGCCCCACTACTGCCCCTCCTAGTTGTGAGATTTGGTGCAAATTAGTGAATCTTCCTGGACTTCAGTTTTCTCATCTGTAAAATGGGTATTGTGGTACCTGCCTTGTCTCCCTCTCACATTTCTTGTGAAGATCAGATGTAATGGTAGATGTGAACGTGCTTTTACAATACTAGATCACACCTCTGTAGATGTGAGATAATGTATTATTTGGAAAGAAATCTTGGAGTTAGACACCTATTCCAATAAGGGGTAGGGAACTATTCTAGCTGCAAGGTTAACTGTAGATATTAGTCCTTCTGAATCAAGATTCAACTGTAAAGCAATTTATATTCATTAGATGTTAAGAGATGTCCCAATATATTTCACATAAATGGCACTGTTTTGAGAGGCAGGGTGTGTCTCTGCAGGCTTGTTCAGTGTTCCTAGGGAAGAGGATAACTATGTAACTTCATCAAGGGGATGTGGGGGCAGGGCTGGACAGTAGAGGCAAATGCCAGGGTGCACACTCCAAACACAGGGCTGTGCCAATTATGACTATTTTTACATGACCACTGAACTCTGAAAACTTACCATATAACAATTTGTCAGCTAGAAGATGTCTACATGCTAGTCCTTTAATTTTTCTTTGCTGCTTTCTAATTTTACTGTGATGATAACAAAATGAAACCACAGCACTTCCATCAGAAATCAGAGCATGTCCGTGAATAACTAACAGACTGCATCCAGTTTTCCCAGTGAATTCTCAAAGCCAAACGTGGGTTGGCTTTTGTATATAAATTGCCAGTGCGCCTTTTCCATTCTGGTGGGAGCTCTCTGAAGGGAACATTACAGCTGTGATGAATAACAGTCCCTCTAAAGAAGCTGGCGTGAAGCACGCATTTCATCCCACTGAATGGAACACTGCGCCTGCCGCCAAATGTTGCTGGGTCTCCCACAATTAAATAAATATATACATATGTCGCTTGGCTTTGTTTCCAAGTCTTAGGCTCTATAGAAACCAAGCACTTTATTACTATTAATAATACTATGGTTATAATAGATGCAGAGCCAAGGAATGGTACTTTGTCCTTAGTGGTTTTGATGAAAGTTTCCATTGTTCATTACTTATTTCTTACAACAACCTTTAACCCCTTGTTTACCACTATAATAAATGACAGTATTTTTCCAATATACGTTATCTCTATGTAGCCAATATTTTGATCAATTAATCTATAAAAATGATAACATCTACCTCAGAGACCAGGATAATCATAGTTAACATTTATTATGTGCCAAGCATTTTTCTAATTATTGTTATACCCATTTTGCAGGAGAGGAAACTGAGGTTCAGGGAGATTACATTACTTCTCTAACATGGCATAGCTGGAATTTGAACCCAGACCACTATGTTCTAATGCTTCTCCATGTAAGTAAAAGCCCAAACCACTGTACAATGAATTCTCTTTGCCTTTTACTGCCAAACAGTGACAGAATCACAACTATTCCTGTGTATAGAAAGGTTTTTTTTTAGAGACATAACAGTTGTTAGTGGCTCTCAGTAATGATTGTCAAGATACTTTGTTTTTGAAATGCCACTTAAAAAACCCAAGATATTATTTAGACCCAAACAAGAGACTATGGAGTAAATATCTAGTTTTCTGTTTCATTAAAAAATTCTATTATCTGTAATTCTTGAAGATAACATCACCTGCCCTTTGGACAATTCCTATCAATTTTAATTTGTCTTGTTACTCTCCACTCTCCCTACCCTCCCACTCACCTGAAGGCTGTTATGGAAACTGCCGTTCAATGGCCTGGCTCCCTGCCACCTCACCCCCAGCTGTAGTGAGCCTATTGCCTATGGGATTGGATCCAAATTCATCATGTCAAAGCCCTCATTAATGTGGTTTCATCTTACTTATCCATTCTTATTTCCTTCAATTTGTCCACATCTACCCTGACTTTCAACCTAGAGCAACTCCTTTCTGCCCTTCGGATATGCCCTGCTTACTCCTTCTGATTCCACACCTTTGATCATGCAGTCCCCACTCTGCGAAGTACTCAACTCCAACATATAAAGACCCTTCAAGACCCATTTCTTCCTTGAAGCCAACTATTTTAGTACACCCCCATCTTGCTTTCCCCTAACTTTCTTCCTATTTCAAATATAGCTATTAACAGTTAGTTGAGCTATCAATTATTCTTTAAGGCATTGCTAAACAGGTGACATTTGGGACCCCCAAATATATTGTCACCTCCTTAAGGACAGGGCCCACCTTAAGTGTTCTCTTATATCCTCCAGAATATCCAGCACAATGCGGAGGAAACATTAGGTACTCAATATATACTCACCGGGTAATGAAGTTTGGAAATAGTCAAACTTGCATTTAAAAATCTTAGGTTTTTAATTTATAGCACACTTATTAATTTTATAATTTTATTTAAGTAATACTCTAAAACAATCTGAATGTACAACAGTAAGTGTTATTTAAGGAATAATACATCCATACAATGGAAATAATATGTAGCTATTTTAAAAAGTGTTCTTTAGTTTAATGAGATCCCATTTGTCAATTGTGGCTTCTGTTGCCATTGCTTTTTGTGTTTTAGACATGAACTCCTTGCCCATGCCTATGTCCTGAAAGGTAACGCCTAGGTTTTCTTCTAGGGTTTTTATGGTTTTAGGTCTAACGTTTAAGTCTTTAATCCATCTTGAATTAATTTTTGTATAAGGTGTAAGGAAGGGATCTAGTTTCAGCTTTCTACATATGGCTAGCCAGTTTTCCCAGCACCATTTATTCAATAGGGAATCCTTTCCCCATTGCTTGTTTTTCTCAGGTTTGTAAAAGATCAGATAGTTGTAAATATGTGGCGTTATTTCTGAGGACTCTGTTCTGTTCCATTGATCTATATGTCTGTTTTGGTACCAGTACCATGCTTTTTTGGTTACTGTAGCCTTGTAGTATAGTTTGAAGTCAGGTAGCGTGATGCCTCCAGCTTTGTTCTTTTGGCTTAGGATTGACTTGGCGATGCGGGCTCTTTTTTGGTTCCATATGAACTTTAAAGTAGTTTTTTCCAATTCTGTGAAGAAAGTCATTGGTAGCTTGATGGGGATGGCATTGAATCTATAAATTACCTTGGGCAGTATGGCCATTTTCACGATATTGATTCTTCCTACCCATGAGCATGGAATGTTCTTCCATTTGTTTGTATCCTCTTTTATTTCGTTGAGCAGTGGTTTGTAGTTCTCCTTGAAGAGGTCCTTCACGTCCCTTGTAAGTTGGATTCCTAAGTATTTTGTTCTCTTTGAAGCAATTGTGAATGGGAGTTCACTCATGATTTGGCTCTCTGTTTGTCTGTTATTGGTGTGTAAGAATGCTTGTGATTTTTGTACATTGATTTTGTATCCTAAGACTTTGCTGAAGTTGCAGATCTAATTAAACTAAAGAGCTTCTGCACGGCAAAAGAAACTACCATCAGAGTGAACAGGCAACCTACAAAATGGGAGAAAATTTTCACAACCTACTCAGCTGACAAAGGGCTAATATCCAGAATCTACAATGAACTCAAACAAATTTACAAGAAAAAAACAAACAACCCCATCAAAAAGCGGGCAAAGGATATGAATAAGACACTTCTCAAAAGAAGACATTTATGCAGCCAAAAGACAATGAAAAAATGCTCATCATCACTGGCCATCAGAGAAATGCAAATCAAAACCATAATAAGATACCATCTCACACCAGTTAGAATGGCAATCATTAAAAAGTCAGGAAACAACACGTGCTGGAGAGGATGTGGAGAAATAGGAACACTTTTACACTGTTGGTGGGACTGTAAACTAGCTCAACCATTGTGGAAGTCAGTGTGGCGATTCCTCAGGGATCTAGAACTAGAAATACCATTTGACCCAGCCATCCCATTACTGGGTATATACCCAAAGGACTATAAATCATGCTGCTATAAAGACACGTGCACACGTATGTTTATTGCGGCACTATTCACAATAGCAAAGACTTGGAACCAACCCAAATGTCCAACAACGATAGACTGGATTAAGAAAACGTGGCACATATACACCACGGAATACTATGCAGCCATAAAAAATGATGAGTTCATGTCCTTTGTAGGGACATGGATGAAATTGGAAAACATCATTCTCAGTAAACTATCGCAAGGACAAAAAAACCAAACACCACATGTTCTCACTCACAGTTGGGAATTGAACAATGAGAACACATGGATACAGGAAGGGGAACATCACACTCTGGGGACTGTTGTGGGGTGAGGGGAGGGGGGAGGGATAGCATTAGGAGATATACCTAATGCTAAATGACGAGTTAATGGGTGTAGCACATCAGCATGGCACATGTATACATATGTAACTAACCTGCACATTGTGCACATGTATCCTAAAACTTAAAGTATAATAATAATAAAAAAATAAAAATAAAAAATAAAAAGTGTTCTTTCAGAAATATTATGATGTCAAATGCTTTGTGATACATTGGTAAATTTTTAAAATGTTACAAAAACCATGTTCAGAATATTCTCAGTTTGGAAATGAAAACTCCAATATTAACCAATATTAAAAAGTGCTAACCACAAAGGAAAAGACTAATAATTCACACTTTGAAAAAAGCATATACCTTTAACAGAGTATGGGGCAAGCCTGACAGAGGACTCAAATCCAGAAGATATACAAGAATTCTTACAAATCAATAAGAAAAAGGGGACAGTAACTTTTAAAAGATGGGCAAAAGGCTTGAACAGGCATAAACAAGATGTCCAAGTGGTCAATAAACAAATGAAAATGTGCCCAACACCATTAGTTATCAGCAAAATGCAAATAAAAACCATAATGAGATACCAGTACACACCAACTGGATGGCAAGGATAAAAACAGAACAAAAAACAAAAAACTGAAAATATCAAGTGTTCGCAAGGATAGGGAGCAACTTTCTGGGACTTCTATTACCATTCCTTTATGAAGAATCCCTTGTTTCTTCTATTCAATGACTTTGTATTTCTTAGTTTATCTTCTATTTTTGCTGGTATCTGTATACTTTGATGCTTTCCTAAGAAAGAATGGATAAGACTTAAATTTTTGAGTACTCTTAGAATTTTTATGGTATTTATCCATTATCTTCTCTTTTGTTTTTGTTTTTGAGACAGAGTCTCACTCTGTTGTCCAGGCTGGGGTGCAGTGGCATGATCTCGGCTCACTGCAACCTCCACCTCCCAGGTTCAAGCAATTCTCCTGCCTCAGCCTCCCAAGTAGCTGGGACTACAGGTGTGTGGCATCATGCCCAGCTAATTTTTATATTTTTAGTAGAGATGGGGTTTCACCATGTTGGCTAGGCTGGTCTTGAACTCCTGACTTCAAGTGATCCGCCCACCTCAGCCTCCCAAAGTGCTGGGATTACAGGCATGAGCCACCATTGTGCTGGGCCCCCATTGTCTTCTACTGTCTAGTGTTGCTGCTGAGAAAGCTGAAGCCCATTTTGAAATAATCACCAAAAGCTTTATGATCTTTTCTTGTCCCTGGTGTTCTAGAATTTTTAAATGATCAGCCTTAGTTTGGGTCTTTGTTCTTTTTCCCACTGTGATGGACTTTCCAGGATCCATCCCTTTCCATGTGAAACTCACATCCTCAAGTTCTGAAAAATGTCTACAATTTCCTCCATCTCAGCCCCACACATCCCTCATTTTCCCTTTCTGGATTACAGGTGACCATTGGACCTCCTGGGTTATTAATTTTCTTTCTCTCTTTTATTTCATTTCTTGGCTTCTTTTTGTTCTACTTATAGTAGATTTTCTTAACTTTATCATTCTACCCTTGACATTTTCATCTCATTTTTAGTGATAATAATCACTGAGATTTTTATTTTGGCTATCATAGTTTAAATTTCTATGAGCTTTTCCTTATTATTGGAATGTATCTTTTTTCCTAGGCTTGATTTGGTTAGTGAATACAAACAACTTCTCTTTTCTCCCATAGAAAATAAATTATAATTGTTCCAATATTTTCTTCTTCTCACTTCGTTATCTCATTCATATACATTCCCATAGTCTGCATATTTGTTTTGGTGTCACTTTCTTGTATATTGGAGGATTTTTCTATTGTTGGTGATCCTTGGCCTCTGTTCATATTTTAGAGGGAGGAATTAAAATGTGTAAAAGTATATATACTGCACGTATCACCCGGTGAGCCTCTCTGTTGAATTATCAAGAAGAAAAAATGGCAAATTTTATTTTTAAAAATGTCAAGCAATGATTTCCAAATAAAAAAGTAACCTGTTCAATACCAAAGATTCATGAATAATAAAAATTTTGGTCATGAATAAGTGGGTAGATGCAGAAGTAAATTGTTGAATTCTAGAATCCAGTTTAACTCTACACTGTAGAGAAAAAGTTGAAGTGGTAGATCCTCAGTAAAGCAGCTCCATGGTTTATAAAAAAAGTATAATAGCGCTCTTCATTCTGAGCAGGTAAACAGAGCTCTTTTTAAAGTGATTGTGGAGAAAATGAATCTGACGGAATATTTAAAAACTCATTGGTGCCTGTTGGAAAACCTTGAAAGATATTATAATTTGAAGACAAATTTGTTAGTATAGTGTACACTTCCTCACAATTTCCTTCTTTTCTTTAACAATCTTATAAAAATTTGCACTTAAAAGCACCTTGGCTGCTGAAGAGTTCTGTGGGTTGTTGGATTATTTTCCTTTCACCTCATGGTTTCACTTCACCTAGTAATTAAAACTGTAGAAAACCAAAAAGAGGCAAATAAGAATAATATTCCTCAAGGTTGCTTTTCCTGTCGTTAGCAGAAAGTCGTCAAAGTATAACGTTTTTAAAAGTTTTTCAGAAGATATTGAATTCATTCAGACATTCAAGAGAAATGAAACTTGCAAACACCATCAAAGCCTCATGAATTCCTTTTACATATTTGCCATTAACTCATTTTGTCATAGCAACCTCATTAATTCATCATCTTTGTTTTTTGCCCCTTTTCCTTTTCTCTTATTATAACTTACAGGTCACCCCAATACATAAGCACAGCTTTGGTCATTGTTTGCTGGCTCTTCTGTCTGATATATTTGGGGGAAGGAAGTCACAAATAGTGACTGCTGGCTTCACACAGGTGCTTGCAGAAGGGATCACTGATTAATGAGAGTCTCATATTGAAGGGGATTACTTGGCTGGGTTTTTTACAGCTTGATTCTCTGCCCAATGAGTAATGGCAGAAAGTATTCACTTGCCTAACGATGACTCCTTGTATATTATATCAGAAAGCAGCTAAGGATTGTAACTTAACTTGTAAGATATAATTTGAGATTTTTAAATGGAGAAAGTGCAGCCAGAAGACAAATTGACGTGGCATGGGAATTAAGTACCGCCGAGGACAAAGTCATCCTGGCTAAAATGGTGCAGTGGTGCTTGCTCTTAGCTGCATATCACATTAGAATCATTTGGGGAACTTCTAAGCAAGCACCCATAGGTGGGCTCTGTTCCAGTTCAACGGAAACTGGATCCCTGGGAGGGGGCCTGAGAATTAGCATATTGCAAAGTTCCCCAGGTGATTCTGATGCACTGTGAGGGTTAAGAATTGCTGATACAGGACAAGATACATTATGCAGGAATAGGAATAATTAAGCTCCCTCTGTCTCCCCAGCTCTATATAAGACACATCATGGGAGAATATGCAAAGACATAGAGGGCATGGCTCTCACAGGACTTTGTAATCTATATCAGAGGCAAGATAAGCACAGAAGAATAGCTGAGAGCAGCATAAGGCAATATCTAATCATGCGGACATTATACCTACAGGGATGCTGGGGAGGAAAGACCATGGTGGGTGAGGATGGTTTAGAGGCTTCACAGGGAAAGTGTTGACTTAGGGCTTTGTGGGGAGTAGGAAGGGGGCATTCACTGCAGGTGAGACAGAAAGCAAAGGAAAGAGTGTGCTGGGGCGGTGGGGAAGAGCTAGTGGACTGTCCTGGGGCTGTGGTTTAGGTTTGGTTTACTCTATTCTCATTACCAGCCTCCACTGAGCACTTTACATCAATCTTTACTGGAACTCCTCTGTGATGTGTCATTACAGATGAAGAAACTGGGCCTTCAAGGCTTAAGTAACTTGCTCAGTGTCTAGTTCCCTTTTCTGTCAGCAAATCCAGGTGAGGGTCATCAAGCTGACCTGGTCCCAAGGGGGAAGGTCGGAAAACTCATTATCTGCAGTTGTGACACCAGTGGGCTGGAGCATTTGCAGGGGCAAAGTGGAGAAGCAGCAGCAAACTGGCCTCTAATGCGAGAGAACCTGAAGCCCTCGTCAGGATCCCAGGTGAGGATCAAGAGACTCAGATAAGCTGGGGCCACCAGACCTGGGGCAGGTCAGGAGTTATTCAGACCCAACACTGGAGATGGAAGTCCTGCCTACTGTCAGGCTCTTCCATGCTCCTGGAGGCAGGCTTGCGTGTGAAGCAGAAAGTTCTGACATGGCCTCCTGGATGCCACAAATATCTTATAACCTCAAAAAAAATAGCATTCTTTTCTTCTTGTTTTCTATTATTATGTAAAAATATCATATACCATTAAGCAACGTGCACCTCAGCCTGCCTCACGCATTCCTGACCCTTTGAGCTATAAAGAGACATTTATGGCACCTGGGGTAAACAGCAGGAGATGTTCTTCTCCAAATCAATTTTATAATTCATGATAGGGCTCACAGATGGGCATTATTAACAGTGCACACCATCTGGCAGCTTCCCACTTTAAATCATTACTCTTGCTAAATAGATGTTAAGCTTTCAAAATCATTATTTACAATTTTTGTGTCGTCTAAGTTTCATGCCTTAGCTACAAGCCTTTTCCAATGTTTGGCTTCTGTTCTTCTCCTACTCCAGTCAGAGATTGGGTACAGCTCAGGCATGGGGTAAGGGCGGATGTTGCACAGATACCGGTATGAAAACAACTGAGTTTAATGGCTTACTTCTCAGGGTCATGAAATAACGTTAAAGTTTTAATGTTTATGGCATTCAAGAGGCCATGCCCAAACAGTATAAACATTTTATGTGATATTATGAGTCCCCTAAGGTACCCAGGAGAGACAGGAGTCTGGTAGAATCAAAGCAAGCAAGTGGTATAGATGCAATTTGAATTCAGTCTGTGTGATACTAAAAAATTTCTTTCCACCATATTATGCCCTGGCTACCTAGACACTATGTGCACTGCAAAGAGGCATCAGCTATGGTTCTTGTCTTCCAGGAGTTTTCAGTTTAGCTGTACTGACAGGCCGAAACATGAGAAGATAAATAACAACTCATGATTGGCATCAGACTGAAGCCAAACAAGATGAAGGCACATTAAGTGCTGAAGAAAACCAATTCTCCAGTGATTCTCTTTGAAACTTACTGTTCTAGATTATTCGAGATTGAATCTGCATTTCCACTATTTAGTTTTTATTATTTATATTTTTCAAACAGGTATTACAAGCACATGGCAAAATATTTATTGTATTTTTTTAGAGACAGGATCTTGCTCTGTCACCCAGGCTGGAGTGTAGTGGCATGATCATAGCTCATGCAGCTTCGAACTCCTGGCCTCAAACAATCCTCCTGACTCAGCCTCTGGAGTAGCCAGGACTGCAGGTGTGTGCTACCATCCCAGGATTTTTTGTTTTGTTGTTTTGTTTTTAGTGTTAGGGTCTTTTTATGTTGCCCAGGCTGGTCTTGACTCTTTGCCTCAAGCAATCCTCCCATCTCGGCCTCCTAAAGTGCTGGGGTTACAGATGTGAGCCACCACACCTGGTTTCAAAATGTTTAAATGATGCAAAAGGATAGACAGCAAATAATGTTTCCCACCTCTATCGCCCAGGATCCTAGCAGAAAACCAAATTTACCTCCAGAAGCTTCAAATTTAGAGGCTTTACTGAAGGGACTGCTTACAGAGGTGTAGGGTTAAGGGGAAAAAAACAAGAGATGTGGAGGCCCCAGAGACTGACAACAGCCTGAGGAAGGAAAGAGCGTTAGTGGAGCCCAGTGAGAGTCGGAGCCTTGGAGGACCTAGCTGTGGACAGACACAACTATTGTGAGACACGGCACCAAAGTGGGGAGGGAGCGTGGAAGGAATAGCTCGTCTTTCTCACTCTCAGATCTTTTGCTGGTGAATCCCATTGGTCAAACCCAAGAGGAAGTCAACCACCAAGGAAAAAGCGTGATGGAGGCTTTGGAGGACACTCTGGACAGGGCAGAGAGGAGGGCAGGAATGTGATCTTGGGTGGTGTTGGGTTGGGGCAGACCCACAGAACAACCAACATAGCACTACCCTATCCCTCAGTCCCCTGAGGCAACAATTCCAGTAGACTCTTGAACAACATGGTTTGAACTTTGTGGATCCACTTATATGTGGATTTTTTTCACCCAAACTAAGCGCATCAAAAACACAGCATTTGTGGGATTAGAAATCTGAGTGTGTACAAGGCTGGCTTTTGGTATAGTAGGGTTCTGCAGGTCCAATTGTGGGACTTGAAGAGTGTGTGGATTTGAGTATACATGTGGGGTCCTCGAAACAATCCCTTACATATACTGAGAGAGAACTATATTAGCATTTTCTTTGTAACCATCCAGAAATAGTCAATGCATGTACAAGCTACAATGTCTATGCCAACCCATTTTCTATACAAATAGTAGGAAACTCTTCCCCGACTATCCCCCACCCCCGCCCCACCCACTCTTGCTTTTTATCACTCAACAGTCATATTTCTTGGATATGGGCCCATTCTAGCATCCACAGAACTACCTTGTTGGATACCAAGGGTTCTGAAAGCATGGTCTCTGAATGAACAGCATCAGCATAACGTGGGATCTTGTTAGAAAGGCAAAGAATTAGAAACTTGGTGGATGAGGCTCAGCAATTCATGCTTTAACAAGCTCTCTGGGTCCTTCTGATGCATATCCAGATCCAGAGTTCTAAACTTTGTGAATGAGGCTGGGGTCCCGCCTGATCAAGCCTGCTGGCCATTCAAGTGTTGATGTACCCAAGCAATCAGTGGACAGAGGTCCACATTATCAGGCCATGTCTTTCCACTGAAGCTACTGGGTAATAAAAACAAAACGCATTAAGTATTGATTCTGTATCTGATATCAGTTCTCAGTGCAAACCTGGAAACAGCATGGAAAGGAAAGACTCACTCCCTTCCTCGTGGTACATATCATTTTCTCCCTGTCTTTTCACATTGTTAGTTCTTTAGATGCAGACACTGTGTTTTAATAGGTTTGGTTGGGTGTGTGATGCAATACAAGCTAAATATAATCATGAAGATGCACAATCACCACATGCTTAGGGTTGGCATCTGCTTGGAACCCACAACTATGAGACTCGCCACCCGCCCTGGATCCTAAGGTCACTGACTCCCTCAGGAGGGCCCTGCCAGGCACTGCTTAGCCATCGTTTACTGTGGCTCAAACACCTACAGCATATACAGCAATGGCCTACACAGAAATGGACATCTTGTCCTCACAAAGATTACAAAACAGCCTGAAGCTTTGCAGGCACCTTCTGGTTTGTGATCCTAGGACCGTCTATGTGCCTTGGTTTCCCCATCTGTAAAATGGCAGTGACAGAAAAGGCAGAGCTTGCTCAACTCTGGGGACATATTCAGGTAGAATGATGCAATGTGACTAGCATCCCCTGAAGGCTGAGGGTTGAATGAAAGATGAAACATGAAACCTTTCACCTGGTGCCTGGTCTGTACTGGCCTGAACCACCCAGCTGTGTGACAGTCAGCTGCTCAGGAAAGTGCAGGGTGAGTCAGTCGGAAGTTGAGTCCAGGCTCCTTTCTTTCTTACAACTTTGTGACTCCCGCAAGCTCATTCCCCTAGAGGCATCACTTTCATGTATTGTCTGGAGCAGTTCCTGGTATATTATTGGCATGTAATAAATATTTGTTGAAATAATGAATGTGCACTTATGGATCTCAGTTTCTTACTTTACATAATGGGGACAATGATGTACCTCATGGGAATGAATTAGGATTAATTGAGAAAACAGTTTAAAGAGACCTGATACACATATGCAGATAATTGAAATTGGTCCCCTTCCTTACACCAGATACAAAAATTAACTCAGGATGGATTAAAGACTTAAATTTAAAACCCCAAATCAAAAAATCAAAGTGCCATGTTGCTACTGATGAAAGCTGGCTCAGAGGACATGGCTTAAGCATGTGAACACGTGGGTCCTAACACTCCACTCAGTTTAAGACCCTGTACAGATTCTTTGGACATACTGGACCACTTCAGGCCTTCCCTGCAAGGGCCATTTCCATAAGCTTATGTGTGAAGTTGCAGAGTCAGCCTCCCTCTGTAGCTGAGAGGACCAGACAGAGCTGAGTATTTTCAGGCCCTTCTCCCAAATGCAGCATTCAGTTAAGTTGGCTCCCCCAGGGATGAGAGTGTGAAGGGACATAAAGATGCTCCTGGAAGAAAATGCTAAGGGAACCCTCCCCAAATGAAGTGGTTAATCAACCCCTTCGATGGAAAACTAAGGGGACATGGGAAGGATATGTCCCCTCTGCTAACATTTCTTATCTTGGACCTGTGTGCTTTATGCTTTTCTGTAATATTGGAATACTTTATTAAGTGCCAGTGAAAAAGAATTTTATTTCCTTCTTTTTATTTCTTTTGATTGATCTTAGATATGAAAATTTTTATTGGGAAAGACTGTATATATATTTGGCTACTATAGCAGGCATATTAATTACCTATTGTGCCATAATCAATAATCCCATACTGCAGTAACTTAAAACAGCAATAAATATTTATTATTTCACATAGTTTCTGCAAGTCAAGAATTCAGGCCAGGCACGGTTGCTCATGCCTGTAATTCCAGCACTTTGGGAAGCTGAGGCGGGTGGATCACAAGATCAGGAGATCGAGGCCATCCTGGCCAACATGGTGAAACCCCGTCTCTACTAAAAATGCAAAAATTAGCTGGGCATGGTGGTGGGTGTCTGTATTCTGAGCTACTCAGGAGGCTGAGGCAGGATAATCGCCTGAACCCAGGAGGCAGAGGTTGCAGTGAGCCAAGATCACGCCACTGCACTCCAGCCTGGGCGACAGAGTGAGACTCCATCTCAAAAAAAAAAAAAAAAAAATTCAAGAGTGGTTTAGCTGGGTGGTTCTGCTGAAGTCACATAGCAAGTGGTGGAGCTGGAATTTGATCTCAGATCCATTAAATAAAGTTTAACTTCTCAAACAGTTCAAATCAGTAGTTCCCAGCTAATGCCTTTCCAAATCACCTGAAGAATCTAATTCAAATGTAGTCTGTTTCAGCAGGGTTTGGGTCAGGTGAGGTTCTGCATAGCTAACAATACCCCAATTATGCTATGCTGTTGCCAAGGGACCTCACAAGGAGGTAGTACATCCACTGCTAGTGGCTATACAAAGGAGTGAAGCCTTCTAAGTACAGTACCTGGCACAACGAATTGTCAAGCAAATGGCAAATCTTCTCTGCAGAGGGGAACTGAGACCCAGTACTCACAATCCATTCTGGAGTCTCCTCATAATCCTGAAGAGGGAAGCCCAGAGGAAATCATCTGGTGAGCTTATCTCATTCTTCTAAAAAAGCGATGAGGATTGGTTTGAGGAGAGCTGCAGTGGGAGGCTGAGAGTCAAAGCCACACTATTTCTGGAGGCTTCGTCCTTTTTCCTGGGATCAGACTCTACTTTTGTGCCATCATCCACCTTTGGGGAGGTCCATGAAGGTCATCTGCTTTTGGGGGTGCATTTGGGACCAGGCAGGAAGCTGCACTTCCCAACTTACCCAAACACAGCTTCTCAACGGGGGCTTCCAAGTTGGGGGAAGGGCTGTGCATGAAGCAGTCTGTGTGTGGGTGTTGGGGAGCTGAAGGGACATCCCCAGCTGGGCCAGGGAACTCTGGTCTCTCCTTGTTTGTCTCCTACAACTGTGGCAACAACACAAAGCCTCTCAGTATGTGCATATTGCTTTGTAGTATCTCTTAGAGAGACAAGATAATGACTATTTTTTCTTAGTTTATCCATGAAGTTAACATATAATACATTAATTGCATTTAGGAGCATTTATTCAACCAAGTGTAACTAGTAATTTCAAAAAATGCCCAATAATACTGATGTTACAGCACACTTGGAGTGCTTTGCTCCAGAAATACCAAGCATTTCCTCCGTTTGGCACTGGGGAGAATCCTGGCACTTTGCTTCAGAAACAAATCTCTTTAATTCCTGCGGACTCTGCATCAAGCCTGCATTGCTCTTTGTTTTTTCCAAGGCTAGGACCTGGGCTGTTTCCCTTCTTTCATCTTCAGATCACTTTAGCCACCCACCAATGTGATTTCTGAAAGCACTGTGTGAAAATTTGAGAATCATGTTGTGTAAACCAGTCTCTGTTTCATGGTAAACCTCTCTTCCCTCCACCCTCACAAAGCCCAGAGCCAGGGACAAAAAGGAATGGGAAAGTGGATTTGCCTTCCCCAAGACTTCCCAGCCAGGGCACAGGAAGATAACAATGCTACCACCCAGCATCTCCTAATCTCTCTAGAAATGAAAATGCTCTATCCCCTTCGCACTGCAAGGAAGAGGTGTGAGGCTCTCAATCCACACAGCTGGATATCAAAATCTTAAATGTTTTAAGAAAACAAGATGAGTAAGGTTAGAGAAGTGAGTCAGAAATGCCAAGTAGCAGATGTGAAAATGTGAGTAAACCACAGCCTCAGTGAACTAAAGGCTTTACAACAGAAGGTGCCAAAACTTTTTGATTCTCACATGTATGTTTGTCCATGTATCTCTGTGCTGTGGCTTGAATGTTTACGTCCGCTCCAAAATTTACGTGGAAATTTAATCCCCAATGCAACAGTATTAAGAGGTAGGGCCTTTAGGAGGTGATTAGTCTATGAAGGCTCCTCCCTCACCAATGGCATTAGCACCTTATAAAAGCATTAAAGGAAAATAGCTAGGCCCTTTGTGCTCTTGTGCCCTTCCACTATGAGAGGACACAGTGTTCGTCTTCTCTGGAAGAGACAGCATTTAAGGCACCATCTTCGAAGTAAAGACTGGGCCCTCACCAGACACTGAACCTGCTGGCATTTGGATTTTGAACTTCCCAGCCTCCATAACTGTAAGTAATACATTTACACTGTTTATAAATTACCCAGTCTGTGGAATTTTGTTATAGTAGCAGGACTGAACTAAGACACCCTCATATATTAATATATACATCTTAAAAATTATGTAATGGGAACTATAAAGAATAGGAGTTAAAGTCACCCTCAATGGAAGTTCCACTCTTTTTTCTCTACACCCTAATGCCTCCTCTCATGTTATCTCTGCAGTGCCTGCATCCCACTGTGGAGACTCCTGTTGTATTAATAATTAGGGCTGGGCAGACAGAGCTAAGCCTGAGGCTGGGTTGCTACTTTCTTACCCATATAACCTTGGGGAAATGACCTTTCTGAGACTTCTATTGAAGAGTCTGTAAAAGCAGATAATGATAGTACTACTTCCAGGGTTGTGGTGAGAATTCAGTGAGATATTGCATGGAAAGCATTTAGCACAATCCTGGTCCATGATAAATGTTTGATATTTGTTAGTAATAATTATTCAATGACTTGACGCTCCCAGTAAAGAAAAATTATCAAAACTTCAGAAATAAGGCAAGAGGATGAATGACTGTGTGCCTTTCAATGTCATAGCAGAGAGCTGTCCAATAGGCCTACCCAAGGTCATGTGACATTGTAGGGCAGGAACTTTGTCCGGCACAATTGGCTATTGATTTGCATCCAGTTCCCCTAAAGTTAGATATTAACTAACTAAGTTGCACATGATTTGGTCTACTAGAGGATGCAAATAGTTTTTGTTGAGTAGAACAGATAACCATAGAGGTTACGGTTATATTGCTTTTGTTTTTGCTTTGTTTCATATCTACTTTAGGAACTTGGTGGTGTCAACATCTTGTCTCTTACTAAGTATGTATTCATCTTGTGTATCCTCTTTTGAACCAGCTTTATCATCCTGCTGGTTCCCTCATTAATTAGGTAAATAATCTCTGACTTACATGCATTATATACTGAGTAAAGGAGCTGTATTCATATTATCATAGTTACATGATCTCCTTTATTTCAACTTCCCCATCAAGCTCTTGGCTACCAGGTGCCTCAGCCTACCCTGAAATACCTCCAAGGAAGATAATTTCCAAACTTATATCCACATCCTACCTTCCTTTTAAGGCAAGTTAGCATCTTATTTTAACTGTTTAATTCAAGAAGTATTTGCTGAAAAAAATAAAATATTAACTCTAATTGCTTTTAAGTGGTAGGATTTAGGATGATTTTTTTCCCATTTTCTATTTTACTATTGTCCACATTTGCTATATTAATGATGTACAGTACTTGTAATGAAAAGAGAAAAAAATGTAACTTCTAAAAAAGTGAGGACCTATTATATGCATGTCAACAGGTAGGACCCAGGAAAGAACACAATGGTGAATAATCCACTCTTCCTGACTTTGACAGTACAAAAGTGTAAAGCTATAAAACAGGACAGAATATAAGTACAGATTGGAAAATAACATATTGTGTCTGTGGGGAAAGGCTGAGGAGAGGATGGAAGGGAAGGAATTGTCTTGGAGGGGTAGCATCTGATAATCCCATTAATAGCTACTAGCTAGTATTTAATGTATATTTGTTACATGCCAAGCACCCTCCTAATTCCTTCACATGCACCTCATTTAACTTTCTTCTTTTTTTGTTATTGTGTTAAAAGGATGTTGTATAAGATTTACTGTCTTAAGCATTTTTAATTGCACGGCATAATAGTGTTAAGTATATTCACATTGTTGTGAAATGGATGTCCAGAACTTTTTCATCTTTCAAATTTGACACTCTATACCCATTAAACAACAACTCCCCTTCTCATCTCCCCTCAGCCCCTGGTAACTACCATTTTACTGTGTTTCTATGAATTTGGCTACTTTAGATACCAGAGATCAGTGGAGTCCTACTGTATTTTTGTGTGTGAGTGACTGGCTTATTTCACTTAGCATAGTGTCTTCAAGGTTCGTCCATGTTGTAGCGTGCAAAAGGATTTCCTTTCTTTTTAAGGCTGAATAATATTCCATTGTTTGTATATACCACATTTTGTTAATCCATTTATACATCGATGAATGGAATACATGGGTTACTTTCACTTTTTGGCCTTTGTGAATAATGCTGCTATGAACATGGTGTGCAAATACCTCTTCAAGATACTGCTGTCAATTATTTTGGGTATATATCCAGTAATGAGGTTGCTGGATCATATGGTAGTTCTATTTTTAAATTGTTGACAACCTCCATACTGTTTTCCATAGTGATTGTACATTTCACATTCCCACCAACAGTGCCCAAGCAATCCAATTTCTCCACAGCCTCACCAACACTTGTTATTTTCTGCTTTTTGACACCAGCCATGCAAATGAGTGTAAAGTGATATCTCATTGTGGTTTTGATTTGCATTTTTCTGATAATCAGTGATGCTGAGCATCTTTTCATATATTAGCCATTTGAATATCATATCATATTTAGAAAACCATCTATTCAGGTCTTTTGCCCATTTTCTGAGAGTTATTTGATTATTTTGTTGTTGAGTTATAGAAGTTCTTTATAAATTCTATATATTAATCCCTCATCAGATATATGATTTGCTAATATTTTCTACCATTCTGTAGGTTACCTACAGAATCTACAGTGATTGTGTCCTTTGATGCACAGAAATTTTTAAGTTTGACATAGTTCTATTTGCCTAATTTTTGCTTTTGTTGCCTATACTTCTGTTGTATCCAAGAAATCATTTTTCATATCCAAGAAATCATTGCCAAGTTCAATGTCATGAATATTTTCCCCTGTTTTCTTCTGGTAATTTTACAATTTTAGGTCTTACATTTATGTTTTTAATCCATTTTGAGTTAATTTTCTGTACGTGGTATAAGGTAAGGGCCCAACTTTATTTTTCGCATGCAGATATCCAGTTTTTCCCACACCATTTGTTGAAGAGATTTTTTTTCTTCCTCATTGAGGGGTCTTGGCATCCTTGTTGAAAATTACTTGGCCATATACATGAGAGTTTGTTTCTGAGCTACTATTCTATTCTATTGGTCCATTTGTGTTATGCCAGTGCCACATTGTTTTGATTACTGAAGCTTTGTAATGTTTTGAAATCAGGAAGTGGAAGTTCTCCAACTTTGTTATTTTTCAAAATTGTTTTGGTTATTGAGGTTCCCTTGAGATTCCATATAAATTTTAGGGCAAATTTTTCTATTTCTGCAAAAAATGCCATTGGGATTTTGATAGGGATTCTATTGAATCTATAGATAACTTTGGGTAGTATGACATCTTAACAATATTAAGTCCTCCAATCCATGAACATAGGATATCTTTTCATTTATTTGTATCTTCCTTAATTTATTTCAGTACTGATTTATAGTTTTCAGTGCACAAGTCTTTCACCTCCTTATTTATGTTTATTTCTAAGTATTTTGTTCTTTTTAATGTTACTAGAAATGAAATTGTTTTCTTAATTTTTTTGGTTTATTGTTAATGTATAGAAATGCAGCTGATTTCTGTATGTTGATTTTGTATCCTGCAACTTTTGCTGAATTAGTGTACTAGTTTCAATAAGGCTTTATTTATTTATTTATTTATTTGGTGTATATGGTATCTTTAGGACATTGTACAGATAACATTATGTCATCTGCAAACAGAGATCATTTTACTTCTTCCTTTCTCATTTGCCTTTTATTTCTTTTTCTTGTCTGATTGCTCAGGCTTTAATTCTCTTCGTTTTATGGATTAGGAAACTGAAGCTTTGAGAAGTTAATTAGCTTGCCTGAGGTAATCAGCTAAGCAGCAAAGTTAGAATAAAAACATGACTTTTGAACTCTACAGCTAGGAATTTAATCAATAGTGTTGAGTAGGGCTTTACCTGGTTGAGATGGGAAGGGTGGGGGCATTTGGGCAGATGGATTCTGACTTGTTTAATATGATCTGCTATATCTTTTAGAGATTGCCACATTCCAATCAATAAACTCAAAGATGCTGAAGCAAAACTATGCTGAGTATAATTTTCTTCTTTTGTTTGTTTGTTTTGAGATACGGTCTCACTCTGTAACTCAGGCTGGAGTGGCATGATCTAGGCTCACTGCAGCTTGGACCTCCTGGACTCAAGCAATCTTTTCCCCTCAGCCTCCTGAGTAGCTGGGACTACATCACCACACCCAGCTAATTTTTTTTTTTTTTTTTTTTTTTTGGTAGAGATGAGGTCTCACTACTTTGTGCAGGCTGGTCTTGAAGTCCTGGGCTCAAGCAATCCTCCTGCCTTGGTTTCTGAAAATGCTGAGATTACAAGTGTGAGCCACCATTCCCAATCTTTTTTGTTTGTTTGTTTTTTAGTGTTTTGGAAGACAATTTTTGTTCTAGGGTCAGTTCAAACAGCAGACTTAAATGGAATAAATTTGTACTGGCAACGAACATACTGTTAAAGTTGCCTTTGTGAATATACCCTTGATAGTCATTTGTATTCTTATAATTTTTTTTTTCTTTACACATAGACTCAAACTTTTAGAGCTGAAAGAGATCTTAGAGAGGAAACAAAAGGGGAAAAAAGGAGAACTTAAGTAATCCATTCCTCCCTTCCTTATTCTTTTCCTTCCTTCCTTTTGTAGAAGTAGTACATGCTGCTTAACTGTTTATAAAGCAACATAATTTAAAGAAGGAATTGCCTCCTGTTTGATGTCTGTTTCATCTTCACCATCTTCCTGTGGGTAAAACCACATTTAAAATTTGATGGGTCTCCATCTAGACTTAATTTCTATGCTTAGACATATACCACACACACACACACACACACACACACACACACAGTTGTGATATTATTTTTGTCCTCTTTTTTTTAACAAAATAACAAAAAAATGGTATCATACTATACCCAGAGGTCTGCAACTTGCCTTTTGTCCACTCTGAAAAAGCACAAATTCTATGTGTCTTGATTGAATTTCATTTATTGAAAAGATATCCCTAGACTCAACTAACATCTTCAGACACCATTTGCCCTGTAATGACTGAAACTCCATGGCAACATATAGTATCGCCAGTTACCAAAAAACAAATATTAACACCTCACTGCTGCAGACATTTAAAACCTTCATTTCCCAAGATTCCCATTTTTTGTGTTGTATGTGCATACTTAACTCCCAATGGAATCAACCGGAAAGTTGTCTTGTTTTCATTGTGGTTCAGGGCCATCCCCTAGTATGGTTTTTGGTAGAGGACTTAGGCCAAGAAAAGAGTAAAGGCTTAGTGAGAACCAAGTTCATTCATGCTCTAAAACAAAAGTGCCTACCATTTGCCCAGGCCTTATCTCCTGATCCTCCCTTTGAAGGAGCTGTTATTTTAAAATCATTAATCTCTAAAATGATACTCTCCCTGTTATGGCACTCACCCTATCACCAATTTACATCATGGAAAAAAATCAAGTCTTAAATATTTCACAATTACAATAATACCAGGCACATTGTTAAACATTTTTATGAATTATCTAATGCAGTCATCTGAACCATGTGTATAATATGTAATGTTACACAGCATTGTATATTCTCCTTATTTTACAGGTGAGGGAACTGAGACTTATGGAGCTTTTGTATCTAACCCACATCATAAAGCTTGTGAGGAAGCCAGAGTTTGAAGCCAAACAGCCTTGCTCTTATATTTTAAGTGACCCTAAAAATGAATTCCCAGGAGCTGTATTATCATGATGGGGATGTGGATGTTTAGGTGGCTGGGATTTCCTTCTATCTGGTTTCTTCAGAAAGGCATATTACATTGTTTGGAAGTCAATTGGTTTTGAAACAAGAACAAACCCCTTGATAGCCATATGGAGATTTGCTATTCTGCCTACACTTTAAATTAACCTTATTGATGGATTTCCTGCCAAGCTTAGTTTCATTTATTATGCATGTTCCTTTTGGTAGGTGGAAGGAAAAAATGTGAGAATTATCCTCTAAATAAAGCAATATATAAGCCAGGCTTATAAATTTTCTGAAATTTATTTTTATTTGCCAAGTGTTCTGTACTTTTCTGGGGGTAAGTGCGTTTATTAAGTAAAAAAGTATAGTGATATCTTGAAATAAGGATATTTTCGTAGTACACAACCGTGAGTGGATCTATTTTCTCTTTCATTCATCCTTGTCAGCTGAGGCCATTCCCAGCCAGCAGCTAGGGGTGAAGTGGTATCAAGATGGGTGAGCTGGTTTATTGTTTCTTTCTGAGTTAAAGAAATTTCAGCCTGAAATCCTATTCCTTTTGGATTCTAAAATGTGGCAACATATGAATGTATTAGAATAGTTGTCCTAAGACTTACTATAGGGCTGCAAGTCAGGACCAGGCTTCCCTGTATGTGATGTGGAAAATGAACACTCTGGAGTATTCTCATCTTGGGATAAAAAAATATGAATCAGAGAAGGGGAAGTAAGATAAAATGTCTTCATTTAATCTTTTCTGACATTACCGAAGGTGGCCAGTTGACAATGCTGTGTGTATGGTATAGCCTTGGCATTCGATGATGGGGAAAGAAGTGCAGGTCAGTGGTACTCATAAATAGCTATTTTGTAATTGTCCTATCTAAATGAAGCTGGACTTGGGAAAGGTGAGAAGTTCCCAAAACAATTCACAGCCCAGTGGTTGCTGTAAATCACTTGGAGCTCTGGATATTTCTGTCTGACTGGGAAGAATAATGACCCAGCTGATCAGTTACATATGTGGGTTTGTTCAGAGAATTTCTGATGGAATCTGTGATTCTAAACCCTGTCAGGTCCCACGCTCCCTTTTATAACAAATATTTGAACACCCCTTTTAGTATACTGGAATGAAATTTATATATGACACATTTAAAAATAAATATAACATCCTGTTATAACAGGAGAACAAAATAGAGAGTCATTTTTAATAAGATATGTATCTCAATTTGCAAATGCCGAGACAAGACTACTGTTTAAAGATAATTTTTTAAAAAAAGATAAAATCATGACTCTCACCCAGATATAAAAATGAGCATATGTTGTATATTTTAATTAACTCAAAATGAGGAACCAGGCAAATGTTATAACCTGTTTAAGAGACTAACCACATAATGGACACATTTATAGATCAGGAATATTGAAATGAATGTACAAATGAAGGCAAAACTAACTTCTTTAATAGTGGGGTAGAGAGGTCAATTGAACATTTACCAAATAGGTCAGAATTTGCATGTCTACAGACAAAAATTATTTTGCATTGTTCTCAGTTATCTATATTTTACCAAGTTGTAGCATAGTCTCCATGTAATTAGAACCAGATAACCTGGAGGGGTGTAGGTAGATGGTGCACAGTTCTCCATTGCAGCACACTCTATATTATCCCTAATGAAACTGTCAGACATTTGCAACTATAGGTAAAAACATGCTGAATGAGGCATCTATACAGGCAGACTGACTCAGTTGGCTGGATTGTCAGCCAGAATACCTTAAACAGTGATGGCTTCAGCTAGTTTCTGAACTTGGAACCAGCTCTTAGTAAATTTCTGAACAAAGAAAGTATACTCTTTCCTCACTTTACACCATGCCTGAACTCCTAGAAAATTCAGTGCTTTTTAAGACTGTTTGAAAACACTTTGTATGCATAATGGGGTTGGATTTTAGTTAAGATAATTATAAGTACGTTTTTCAGATAATTATTAATATGATAATTATAAACATACAAATATCTGGCAGGATGTCCAAAAGTTGTGGGGCATGCAGCAAATCCTTTATTTTGCAGGGACTCTACCATCTTAGTCCTACCCACCAAATGCAAGTGGTGTCCTTCCAAGCACTGTGACCACCAAAAAAACTCTGACAAGTTAATATACTCCCTAGGGATGGATAGTGCCCACATGGAGAAGCACTGTCATTGCTGAAATATGTTTGGGACCCATAGCTTTATTCCCACTTCCAACAAAACCGTCTGCTCAGCCGGGCAACTGTGGAGAAAGGCAAAGAGCCTTCTTGACCAGGGCTGTGCCAAAAAAAAATTCTTAATTAAAAAAATTGACTCATCCTTTCTGAATTCCTCTCTTCCGAGTTTAACTCTTCAACACGGTGAAAGACAAAGGAGGCCCCTCATTGAAAGTAACTCCCAGCCTACCCACCCCCAATCTATTTGACTGGAGTTTGCTTCTGCTTTTCTGAAGAGTTCTTGCCATTAAGACCTGTGGTATAGAGGCGGATGCAGACAGAAAATAGCACAGTCAAATAACCAAAGGGGACAGGCTGTTCACAAACTAAGTGAAGTGGTGGGACCATGTGTACCTGCCACGACTTGAGGGACAGCTGCCAATCAAACTCAACCTCATGTTGCCAGATCTTCTGATTTATTTCCAAGAGAAACTGGAAATCTGAAATATTTATATGTAATTATTCAGGTCTTAGATGTTAGCTGATATGTGTGTGTATACATATGTGTGGGTATAGACGGATAGACACATGCATCATGCATACATACTGTTCTTCATACTTAGACCCATGAATAAAAGAAACAATACCTTAGGTACAGACGAGGTCCCTCCTTTGAATCAGAATGAACACTGTGAGGTAGGTGTTATTTAGCCCCATTGCAGAGATGAAGGAATAGGAGTGTAGAGAAATTAAGCAACTTGCCTAAAGTCACACAGTCAGTAGCAGGACTGGAATTTTAATCAGGCCTGTTTTGCTTCCTGATACCACATTGCTGCCCAGTCTGTGAAGAGAACGCACCATCTATTAAAAGACCACAGGACATTGTTTTCTTCATTTTTTAATGACTCAAAGACAAAAAATTCAAACTATGAGCAATGTTTGCTGAAAGCAGCATTTATTTAAGTAAAGTTAACTTTTCTTAGAGCTTCTTGATCTGGCCCTGTCAGGAGCCTACAGGGCTTTTTGGAGAAGGAAGAGTGGATGGGTTTTGATAGTGTTTGCAGTGAGCTGGGTGAGTCATCTGCTGTGTGAGCCTGCCATCCATCAAAGCTGGTGATGAGAATGAATCCCTGGGGGTTGCTTGTGAAAAATGTTAAAAGCTTTAATTGAAAGGATCTCCAACTGAGGCCACAAGTAACTTTCTCATTGTGAATTCCTGTCTTGCCCCCAAATGCCCTGGGGCCCCACCAAATGGCAGGCCCAGGTCATTCTGATGTGCTTAAGCCATAAGCCTCTGGCAGGGCTTTGATGATGCTAGGCCTGGAGTCCTGTGCCACCCCCAAC
Source organism: Homo sapiens (assembly GCF_000001405.40). Taxonomy (NCBI): domain Eukaryota; kingdom Metazoa; phylum Chordata; class Mammalia; order Primates; family Hominidae; genus Homo; species Homo sapiens. The sequence continues at coordinate 150,107,319 of NC_000003.12, forward strand.
AGGGAGGGACACACTGTGAGAAATGTCATCTGTCAGGGTCTGCAAATTAAGCCAGCCTTATGGAAAGTGGGGAAGTTTAATGTTTAAAACGTCCTGATTGAAATGCTCACATGATGAAAAAGATGGGCTTGGTCACCTGAAAGGGCGTGTGTTGTACTAAGGCAGCAGGCACGGCACCTGAAGCTTCTCATTCGCTTCATGAGGTTCATAATGAACTTTTAGCCCTTTCCTTTCCTTTGTTTGTGCATCTGTCTATCCATTTGCTGCCCCAACTCAGTTCATGGTGTGACCCAGGCTGACATTCTGTTCAAATCAGCAGGCATTTCTCCTTCTAGAGTGGATGTGCTACTACTGGGAAGCTGTCATAGGCTTCCCCGGGCTGCTTAAGGGGAGAGTAGAGAAAAAGCAGTTAAGAATTCCTGTGTTAGAGCTCTCATCTAGAAGCTTTTCAAACAAGCAAACATCCTACCCCTTTAAAAAATGTTTTTATTACACCCATGATACATGCTCAATAAAGACAAAGTAGGGAGAAGAAAGACAAAAACAAAATAAAAAGTCTTGATCCCACTTCCTGAGAAATATGTGTGTGTTCAGGGTAAGCTGCAGGAGAAGGCAGCAGTGTCAGTGAAATGTCCTCTGAATCTAAAAAGAAGTTAGGCAAGAAATGGCCCCCAAATTCACTACTCTCTTCATACAGAGTCTGGCAGACGATGATCATGCAGTTCCCTAATCTCTCTGTGGATAAAATTTCTTTTGTTGATAGATAAGACTGGGAAAACAATTATTACTGGTATTTGGAATAATATAGTAAAAAGTTTAACAATTACCCACCAATATGTACTCTGAGCTTCAAATCCAAAGCAATTTAGGAACATTCTCTATGTATATTGCAAATCATATACCATTATGTGAGCCCTTGGGATGCTTAGGAGGGGAGGCAGAGAATACAAATGTGGAAATGAAATGCAGGGCAGCACAAATTGTGTAAATGAAATCTAGACTGTTTCTGGGAACATAATTTCATGAATAAAGATGATCTAGCATCTCTGAACTATGTATTTTAAGATTAATATTTCTCAATAGTACTTGTCAAAGTGAGTGGCAGTAGAATCCATAATAAGTACTTTATTGAATTATATTTAGTTTAAATATAAATGTAAAAAGGCACCATGAATTCTCATGTCAAATTATGTCACCCAAAAGTTAATTCGTTGTACCATGGTACAAAAAAAGAATTATTTTTAATTTGGCAAAATACAGGTTTGTGTTTCTAACAATTCAGTCAAAGACTTTTTTAAAATTAATACAATTTATTTTTAAACCAGTTTTAGGTTCATAGAAAAATTGAGCAGAAAGTACAGAGAGTTGCCATATCCCCCTGTCCCACAACCTCCTGTACTAATAACATCCCCTACCACAGTGGTACATTCATTACAATCAATGAACCTACACTGATGCATCATTAGCACCCAAAGCTCATAGTTTACGTTAGGATTCACTCTTGGTGTTATGTTTCTATGGGTTTTGTTAAATGTATGATGATGTTTATCAGTGTCTACTGCTGTAGTATCATTCAGAATCATTTCATTGCCCTAAAAATCTTCCATTGCCCTCCCTCCTCAACCCCGGCAACCACTGATCTTTTAACTGTCCCCATAGTTTTGCCTTTTCAGGAATGTCATATAGTTGGAATTATATAGTATGTAGCCTTTTCAGATTGGTTTCTTTCACTTAGTAGCGTGCATTCAAGTTGCCTCAATGTTTCATGGCTTGATAACTTGATAACTTATTTAGCTCTGAATAATATTTCTTGATAAGGATATACCACAGTTTATATCCATTCACCTACTAAAAACATTTTGGTTATTTCCAATTTTTGGCAATTACGAACAAAGCTGCTATAAACATCCATGTGCTGGTTTTTGTGTGGAGTTGCCAATTCCGTTGGATAAACACTGAGGAGTGTGATTGTTGGATCTTTAGGTAAGAATATGTGTAGTTTTGTAAGAAACTGCCAAACTGTCTTCCAATATTTGCATTCCTACCAGCAATAAATGTTGTCCTGTTGTTCCACATCCTTACCAGCATTTGGAGTTGTCAGTGTTTTGTATTTTGGCCATTCTAATACTTGTTTTAATTTGTAACTCTCTTATGAAATATGATGAACATCTTTATATATGTTCACTTTCCATATATATATGGAACAGACTATTTACATATATATCTATCTTCTTTGATTAGGGGTCTGTTCAGGTTTTTATCCACTTTTTAATAAGGTTGTTATTTTTCTATTGTTGAGTTTGAAGAGTTCTTCGTATATTTCATATAACAGTCCTTTATTATATATTTCTTATTTTCTAATATATGTGTCCAATTCAATAAATTTTCTTTTAAGCACTGCTTTTGCTGCATATTACACATTTTGATGTTTTATTTTAATTTTCATTTAGTTCAAAATGTTTTAAAATTTCTCTTAAGATTTCTTCTTTGACCCATATATTATTTGGAAGTATGTTGTTTAATCTCCAAGTACATTGGATTTCAGACATCTTTCTGTTATTCATTTTAGTTTAATTCCATTGTGATCTGAGAGTAGAAGTTGTATGATTTCTCATTTTTTAAATTTGTTAGGGTGTGTTTTATGTTCCACAGAAGTACTGTCATTCCCCTCATAATGACGTTTCAGTCAACAAAGGACCACATGTATGACAGTGGTCCCATCAGATTATAATGGAGCTGAAAAATTCCTATCACTTAGTGATGTTGTAATATCATAGCATAACACATTACTTTTCTATGTTTAGGTATGTTTAGACACACAAATACTTATCATTGTCTTACAGTTGCCTACAGTGTTCTGTACAGTAATATGCTCTATGGATTTGTAGCCCAGGAGCAATAGGCTACACCATTATAACATAGGGGCATAGTAGGCTGTACCATCTATGTTTGCATAAGTATACTCTATGATGTTTGCACAATGATGAAATTGCCTGACGATGCGTTTCTCAGAACATATTCCCATTGTTACGTGACGCATGACTGTAGTCTATAGATGTCAATTATATCCCGTTGATTGATGGTGATGTTGAGTTCAACTATACCCTTACTAATTTTCTGCCTGCTGGATTTGTCCACTTCTGATAGATAGGTGTTAAGGTTTCCAACTACAATAGCAGACTCATCTATTTCTCTTGCATTTCTACCAGTTTTTGCCTCAGGTATTTGACATTTGGTTGTTAGACACATACACATTAAAGATCGTTATGTCTTTGTGATGTATTGATCCTTTTATCATTATGCAGTGCCCCTTTTTATCCCTAATATCTTTCGTTGCTCTGAAGCCTGCTCCTTCTGAAGTTAATATAGCAACTCCTCCTTCTTTTGATTAGTGTTAGCCTGGTTTATCTTTCTCTATTTACTTCTAATCTACATGTTTCTTTATATTTTAAGTGGGTTTCTTATAGGCAACATGAAGTTGGGTCCTTTTTTCTATCCACTCTGAGGATCTTTGTCTTTTAATTAGTGTAGGTAGACCATTGACATTTAAAGTGATTATATCTACCATATTTATTACCATTTTCTATTAATTTCTCTTGTTCTTTGTTTCTATTTTTATCTTCCTCTCTTTTCTACCTCTTATGGCTTTAATTGAGCATTTTATATAATTCTATTTGCCCCTTCTTAGCATATACATTATACTTTTATCAGATAACATTGTACCAATTCATGGATAGTGTGAATAACTATTTTTGTTTGTTTTTGAGAAAGGGTCTCGTTCTGTCACCCAGGCTGGAGTTCAGTGGTGCAACCATGGCTCACTATAACCTCCACCAACCTCCCAGGCTCAATCAATCCTCCTGCCTCAGCCTCCCAAGTACCTGGGACTGCAGGCATGCATCACCATGCCTGGCTAATTTTTGAATTTTAATCTCTTATAATAACAAAATACTTGTAATTCCTCCCTCCCGCATCTTGTATCACGGCTGTCTTTTTTTTTTTTTTTTTTTTTTGAGATGGAATCTTGCTCTGTAGCCCAGGCTGGAGTGCAGTGGTGCAATCTCAGCTCACTGCAAGCTCAGCCTCCCGGGTTCATGCCATTCTCCTGCCTCAGCTTCCCGAGTAGCTGGGAGTACAGGTGCCCACCACCACACCCGGCTAATTTTTTGTATTTTTAGTAGAAATGGGGTTTCACCATGTTAGCCAGGATGGTCTCGATCTCCTGACCTCGTGATCCGCCCGCCTCGGCTTCCCAAAGTGCTGGGATTACAGGCGTGAGCCACCGCGCCCGACCCACTGCTGTCATTTTACTTATATATTGGCATATAGTTGAACACATTGTTGCTGTTATTATTTTGAACTGACTGTTAGATCAATTAAGAATAAGAAAAATAGGCTGGACAAGTTGGCTCACGCCTGTAATCCCAGCATTTGGGAGGCCGAGGCAGGCGGAACACGAGGTCAAAAGATGGAGACCATCCTGGCCAACATGGTGAAACCCTGTCTCTACTAAAAATACAAAAACAGATTAGCTGAGCATGGTGGCGAACGCCTGTAGTCTCAGCTACTCAAGAGGCTGAGGCGGGAGAATCGCTTGAATCCAGGAGGCGGAGGTTGCAGTGAGCCGAGATCGCACCAGGGCACTCCAGCCTGGCGACAGAGCGAGACTCCATCTCAAAAAAAAAAAAAAAAAAAAAAAAAAGGAAGAAGAAGAAAAAAAGAATAAGAAAATAAAATGTTTGTTTTCCTTTCACTTAATTCTTCTCTGAAGTTCTTCTTTTCTTCACGTAGGTCCAAGTTTCTGACTTATATTATTTTCCTTCTCTCCGAAGAACTTATTTTTAACATTTCTTGCAAGACATGTCTGCTGACAACAGATTCCCTTAGTTTTTGTTTCTCTGAGAGAGGCTTTATTTCTCTTTCACTTTTAAAAGATGATAATTTTTCAGGGTAAAGAATTCTAGTTTGGCAGTTTTTTCTCTCAACACTCAACAATTTATTTTACTCTTGCGTGCCGGGTTTCTGAGGAAACGTTGGATATAATTCTTATTTTTGCTTCTCTGTAGGTAAGGGGCAGCTGATCCCTGAACAATATGGGTTTGAACTGCACGGGTCCACTTATACACAAATTTTTTCCAATAAATATATTGGACAATTTTTTGGAGGTTTGCAACAATTTGAAGAAACTTGCAGATGAATTATGTAGCCTAGAAATATTTTTAAAATTAAGAAAAAGTTAGGCATGGTATGAATGCATAAAATATATGTAGATACTAGTATATTTTGTCATGTATTACTATAAAATATACATATATTATAAAAAATTAAAATTTATCAAAACTTACATAGACTGTACACGGTGTCATTTTTAGTCAAGAGAAATGTAAGCAAATGAAAAGATACAGTATTAAATTATAACTACATACAATTAATTGTAGCACATCCTATACTACTGTAATAATTTCAATGCCATTCCCTGTTGCTGTCATGGTGAGCACAAGTGCTGCGTGTGTCCACTTAAAACATCATGTGATGCTAATCATCTCTACGTGAGCAGTTTACCTCTCCAGTAAATTGTGTATCACAGTAAAAAAGTGATCTTTTGTGGTTCTCACATATTTTTCATTTTGTTGAGTGCATACCGTAAATCTTGAATAATACCATGGGACCCATACAAAGTGCCACTAGTGATACTGGAAGTATCCCCAAGAAGCACAGAGAGGTCATGACATTACAAAACAGTTGAATTGCTTGATATAAGATTGAGGTCTGCCGCTGTGTTTGCCCACTGCTTCAGACAGATAATTCATCTTATAAACAGATAACATAAACTTATGGTATTAATAAATACAGTACAATAATGTACTGTAAATGTATATTAAATGTGTTTTCTCTATCTTATGGTATTCTTAGTAACATTTTATTTTCTCTAGCTTATTTGTAAGAATACAGTATATAATATATACCACATACAAAATACATGTTAATCAACTGTTTATGTTATCAGTAAGGCTTCCAGTCAATAGTAGGCTATTTCAAATCCATGTTCATTAACCCAGAAATCATACCAAAAACAATGTCATCAATATCATACCCTGTCCCTATCCTCTATAGGAGAAATAAACTCCCCTTTCCCTGAAAATAAAAATCTAATCTGCTGAAAATTAAATGATAGGTTTTGTACCATAGTGGTAGTATCAAGGGGTGAAACATACATTGACATATCAGTCAATATACCTGTCCCCCTGCATTGTAATTATTTGCTGATTGCCTGTCTTTCCTGTGAGACTGTCAGCTTCTGAAGGACAGAGACAAGGCTTGTTTGATAACTCTCTGGCACATAATAGGCGTTTCGATATACACATGTTGAATGTATCATTGCTTCATCAGATGTGTTAAGTGTGAACCAACCTCACTAAGTTATTAAGCACCTACTTGGGATAAGGCTGCAGGTTGGATACTTTGGATATATAAAGATGAGTAAAGTTTGTTCTCTGCCTTCAAAGGCAATCATTATAGCAGGATGTCCTTGTCAAGTTCCTATCCCCTTGACCACCCCCTTCCCTTCACAGGTGGGAAGTCCCCTAGAGGCTATAACTTCTAGCATTTTTTGACCTGAAGGCATTCTTTAGCTTTAGAGCAGCTCAGTGCCTTATAGGTGGATTGTAAGTGCCAGAGACTTAGTCTCCAGAACAACTCACCACCGATGAAGGTGGCAGTTCCTTGCTCTTCAGTAGGACACTGAGCATGTTCCACTCAGACTCAGAGCATTCCCAATGGTGCTGAGCCCTCTTTGCTCATAGCAGTAATCTGCTCATTAAAGCACTCTTTTTTTGGCTTTTTCTCCATTCTTGGTCTCACTTCCTACTCCCTCACAGTGTTTCCTGGGATCTCCTCCTGAATAAATTCTCATACCCAAATCCTTTACTCAGGGCCTGCTTTCAGGAGCATCATTAGAACTGAGCAGGATAAGACAGGCCAAGAGAATGCAGAGGAGGAGGGGATTAATTCTAGCTGGAGAAGACTTGGCATTATTTGAATTGGGTTTGGGTGGGTGCAGTGAGTGCAAAGGAGAGATGCTTCAGGCACAGAGGAGCTGAAGCACACAGAGTGCTCAAGGAAATGTAAGCAATTAGGTCTGGAAGGAATGTGGGTAGGGGGGCATCTCAGACTCTCCTGGAAGGTACTCCAGAGCCCCGTGCATCCCAGCAAGGAGCCAGATTTCTCCTGCTCCTTTCATCCTAAACTTCAGCTCAAGTTACTCACCCTTCTTATACTGGGACTCTGAAATGTCCACATAGTCCCCTTTTGGTAGGAAAATCTAAATACAGAAAAGGACACGGCTACTGCATGTAATCTGTGAGAGCAGCCGTAAGAAATCACTGACCAACCCACTATCTTTTTTAAGCATGGTTCTTTCTTTCTGTCTCTAGATTTTAATTCACATTTTCTGAGTTCCCATGACATACTCTGCGTTAGTATTTTGCTATTTCTAAGAGCTTATATTCTAAATACAGTCTCCACAACTCAATCTAGACAAGAAACTTCCTTGCCTTCTGTTAGAGGCTAATCTTTAATTTTTTTAAAAAGGAATAGTGTGTCAGAAGATCAAAGAAAATGACCCGAGTTTACTCTACATTGGAGTCCACTCTATTACCCACAAGCAAGTACAATGTGTATGTATAATCTCACTCATTCTCTCTCCCCTTGTCCTGAAAATCATTTCCCTCTCATGAACTGTTCTGATGAGTCATTTCATCTCCAGTACTGACTCAATTATACACTCTCGCCATGATCAACAACTGCTAAATTGGTTGTAAACCCCAGAATGGGAGCTGAAAAACCAAAAACTAGAGGTGTGGCAGGAGGACAGGAGTGGAATAATTTGGTCATTTTCCCAGCAGAGGAAAGTTGGTTTAGGAAAGACAAAATGAGTACTTCTGGAATAGGTATACAATATTGGAAAATAACAGAGAAATTAAAGAAGTTATTAAAGCTCACAAGAGGATTTGGTGAGAGAACACTACTCATTTCAGCTCAGCATGAGCCAGTTTGCATTATTATGTTTTGCTCTATACTTAGTCTTGGAGAAAGCCACAAATTACAATGGTTAAATAAAGCTTTAGAAAATGGAAAATAGCAACATTGCAAGTACAGAACGCTACTGGGGTAGAGCACCCTCCAAACTGGGGTGGCTGTAGTGAACTTCTAAAATCCCTCCCTCGTTCTCCCACCCCCAGGAATTTCAGCCATGTCCTTTATAAATCCCCATTACTGTAATATTGTTTGTGTAATAAATACAGCTTTGTTTAGTTTTTAAACTCGGAATTTCTACCAAAGGCTGGGAGAGAAAGAAAGCTGCTGGGTTACCTGCAGGTTGAGTATTTTGGGAAGAGATTAATTTGAGGCATACCTGGATCCAGAAGGGAATGATGATGATAACATTTATTGAGCTCTTTGTATGTCTGAGACATACTCTATAGATGTATTATGTGTTAACTAACGTAGCCTCATAACAACCTTATGAGATAGTACTGTTCCTATCCCATTTTATATATGAGGAGACTGGAGCACACAAAGGCTAAGTAATTGGCCCAAGGTCACATGGCTGGTGAGTGGCAGAACCAGGATTTAGTCTGGCTCCAGAGCCTGTCTTCTTAATGACCATACTGTAATGCCTCAGAGACATAAATATTTGTGTCCTCCAAATTCATATGTTGAAACCCCATCCCTCAATGTGATAGTATTTGAAGACGTAGCCTTTGGTAGATAGGTTTAGATGAGACCACAAAGGCAGATTCTCCATGATAGGATTAGTGCCCTTATAAAAAGGAGAGGAAACCAGAGCACACTCCCTACCCCCACCATGTGAGGACAACCATCGGCAAACAGGGAAGAGGGCCCTCACCAGAAACTGAATCTGTCTGCACCTTGATCTTAGACTTCCAGCCACCAGAACTGTGAGAAATAAATATCTGTTGTATGAACTACCCACTCTATGGTATTTTGTTACAGTAGCCTGAACAGATTGAGACAGACCACCAAGCTGTTATTATACAATTAAGCTTTTACTCAGGAATTCTAGGAAGAGGCATTTTAGCTCAGATCCAGGAATTTATTTCGGGTGCTTCTCTGCTACTTTGCTTCCTGCAGGATGGGGCTGAGTCACAGAGCCCACTGGGCCCAATGGTCGTGGAGAATAGATTCAAGACCAGGAGCCACACTTCCATGGGAAACTGAGTAAACTGAAGCTTGGTAAATTTGAGATTATCGGTGGGCCAGCCTATTTGGGTAGAGTGTGTTCCAAAGTGAAACAGCAGTTATGAGCTAGACTTGCAGCAGTTTGAATCTGGATGGGAGTGTTGAATGAGGAGGAGGGATGAGCCAGTGGTACTAAGAAGACCCCTCTCACCTCATTCCCAGAGAGGTGGTACACATCAAGATCTATGCTACATATAAGGAGATGTATATTGAAGTGGCTCAGCATGTCCCTCTCAGATTTTCAGAGTCCCAGTCCCAACTGGGTTTAACTCCAACTCAGTTTTTTTTAGGTTGAGTGCATATTTAGTGGCATAAATGCAGCACAACTTACTCAACTCTTTTTCATTGAAAGACATTCACTTTGTTACCAAATTTTTGCCCGAAGAACAATGCTATCATAATATCTCAATGCACATATGTTCTTAAGTATGGATAATTTTACTTCTAGGGAATAGATTCCAAGAAGTGGGGTTTTTAGGAGAAAGAATATTTTTAATTTGTAAGGTATTTTCAGGTTTGCTTTCTAAATAGGTTCTAGCAAATCACTCTCCATGGCTACTGTAGGGGCATATTTGCCTTTCTTCTTGCAGCATTCTTTCCAAGTTTAGGGCATTCTTCTCAAGGAGATGCCAGAGACTCACTTTACCAACATTCCCTGCAGCTTGAGTGTGGACATGTGACCTAGGTCCTGCTATTCAGACACCACAAAACTTCACTGTAATGAGGCAAAGACACAGGCCTGCACAGAATCCAAACTGGTGAGCGGACTGGAGATACTTCCAGCTTTCAGACACAGCAGTGGCAGTCATCCCTTGTTCTGGAAACTCTGCTGCTCTAAGACAGGGATATCTTGTCAACACTGTCAACACCTCAGCATTAAGAATTAATTGAACTTCTTTTATATGCAATCGCTTCTATCTATCCCATTGCCTCTACCTGAGTTGTGGGCCACCATGACCTCTTGCTGAGACAGCAGTAACAAACTTCCAACTGGTCTCACAGTCTCTAGAATCCATTCTCCACCTTGCAGCCTAAATGGTTTTCTAAAATTCAAATCTCGCCATGCCAGTCCCCTGCTTTTAAAACCTTTCATTTTTTTCCCTTTGCCTCCATCCTCCTTAGGCTGACCCTCAAAACTCCCCAAGAGGTGACCTTTGCTTTCCTCCCCGGGCACATCTCTTTCCTCCCTTCACATTCTACTGTCTGGTCATACTGCATATTTTTTCAGTTCCTGGATTGTTCCATGCTCTTTCTCACCTGTGCTTTTGCAAACACTGTCCTAGCCTCTACTTTTTCTCCTTCTCCTTTGCTTGCCTAAATTCTTTTTTCTGATTGTCAGCTAAGAGGTTACTTCTCTGACTATACAATACTAAATTAGGTTTCTCTTTGCTAGGTTACCAGAGTGCTCCACAGTACCCCATAGTTCTATTTATTTTTGTTTTCCACTAAGCTGCTTGAAGGCAAGGATGATGCCTATTTTCTTCCTTGTTGCACATTCCATATCTAGAGTACTGCCTCATGCATAGAAGGTAATACATAAAAATTTGATGAATTAATAAATAGATAAAACAGATACTATTGTCACCAATTTACTCACAGGGAAATTGAGGTTTTGTTAGTCCTGGATCTGGAACTAGAACATAGAACTTCTGATTCCTGATATATTTTCAACTATTCCTCATTGCCACCTTCAAATATAGTTCAACACTCTCATAGGCTTAATAAACACTATTATGATGGGCAACTACTCTGCAAGGCAGGTTTCTCAAGCTTTGCTGTTTGCTGTATCGGGCTGCCAGTGTGTTGGAAGGTATTTGACATCATTCCTGACCTCTATCCAGTAGATGCTAATAGTAACTTCCTCACTCCAGTTGTCTTCAGACATTGCAAAATGTCCCCTGAGGGGCAAAATAGCCTCCCAATAAGAATGAGTACTCTAAGGATACCAGGCACCATTTAATACATCTCTATAACTTTGGGTTGAGAATATAAGTTTCAGCACAGACATATTCCAGGTGGAAAGATGAAAGACAAGGACATATCTAAATATTGACTTTGAGTCTTATAAATACAGGTCTTAACCTCACTGATCCTCAGTTTTCTGATTTGCAAAACAGAGATAATAACACCCAAAATTGTGCGAAGGATTAGAGAGAATGTATATAAAGTACTCAGTAAGTTTGTTGATGAAAAAAAAGTCAAACTTTAAAATATTTAAAGAGATTTATTCTGAGCCAAATATGAGTGACCATGGCCCAGGGCACATATTTTGGGATGGTGCCCTGGGCCATGGTCATTCATATTTGGCTCAGAATAAATTTCTTTAAATATTTTACAGAGTTAGGCTTTTTTGATCAACATTAATAGGCAGACATAACCAAAAATAAAAATCTAAGGCTCCCAACAGACTGAATGGACCTCCTTCTTGGCCAAGGGAGTCCCAAAGAAACCTGAAAAGCTAGTTCAGGCCATGAGGGGAAGGGTGGTATGTTATAACCCCCTCCCTTTAGAGTTTAGGCAAAACTGACTGGCATTAACATTAAAATGGAGATCATAAGACTGACAACACAGACTCTCTGTGGCAATACAAAACCAAATTCCCACCTGACTCAGGTATAGCATCACATGGCACATAGCAGACCCTGAAGGAAATCAAAAGTATTTTACCCCAAAATATATTTCATTCACATATTTTGAAACGGTCCTCAAAGCTGTCTCTTGAGAGAGAAATTTGCATTCTGTAGAGAATCTCCTTCCCTTTCTAGGTCTTTTCCTGATCCAGGAGAGATTTGCCTGAGAGTCTGATACTTTTAAGGTTTGAAAAGAGACGTTTACCGTCTACTCTCTCTGAAGCCTGCTGTTCAAAGGCTTCATCTACATAGCAAGAACATTGGCTTCCACAACCCCCTTTCCCTCTTATCTTAACTTAAGCATTTCTTTCTGCTGACTTCAACCATTTAGGCAAAGCTGAACTCTTTCAACTAATTGCCAATCAGAAAATCTTTGAATCCACCAATGACCTGTAAGTACCACCTTCCCTCTCCACCTTTGAGATGTCCCACTTTTCCAGGCTGAACCAGTGTATACCTTATAGGTATTGATTTATTGATTTATGTCTTCACCTGTAACTTCAGTCTCCCTAAAATGTATAAAACCAAGCTGTAACCCAACCACCTTGGAAACATGGTCTCAAGACCTCCTGGGACTATGCCCACCCTGGGTCATGGTCACTCAGATTCGGTTCAGAATAAGCCTCTTTAAATATTTTAGAGTTTGGCTTTTTGTTTGTTTGTTTGTTTTTGTTTTGGTCAACAAGTTACATTATCTAAACAACTGCTTTCTTCTGGCCAATAACTAGTGGGTTAACTCACCAAAGCATGCATAAAGAGGAAACACAACCTAAGAGAGGGACTGGATATTGGATATTCAGGGTGACGTGGTATGGGTTGTATGACAGAAGGCTTTGGCATTCTAGGAGACATAGAAAAAAAAAGCCCCATATTCAGTAATAAAAACAAGTATTACTATTTGAACTGACAAGCTTTTGGGCATGCAATCTCTGATTTATTCTATCCTCATTTCATGGTTTTATGAAGAAAAGGGCAAAGTCATGTTTAATGATCAGTTGCTATTTTTTAAGTAGGATTACACACTCAAAGTTGGGGATGGGGGATATTTCAAGATCTATCAAAAATGGGAGCAGGTGAATTGGCAATTGCTCACCCTCCCTCTCCATTATGAATTTTAATGCAATTTTCATTTAGTGATTGACATACTGTATTTGTGCTCAAGATTACTTCAATTTTCTTCCTTCCTTTCTTTCCTTCCTTCCTTCCATCTTTCTTTCCTTTCCTTTCTTTCTTTCTTTCTTCCTTCCTTCCTTCCTTCCTTCCTTCCTTCCTTCCTTCCTTCCTTCCTTCCTTCCTTCCTTCCTTTCTTCTTTCTATTGATGGAGTCTCTCTCTGTTATCCAGGCTGGAGTGCAGTGGCGTGATCTCCACTCACTGCAACCTCCAACTCCCAGGTTCAAGCAATTCTCATGCCTCAGCCTCTCGAGCAGCTGTTATTACAGGCACATGCTACCATACCTGGCTAATTTTTGGATTTTTAGTAGAGACGGGATTTCACCATGTTGCCCAGGTTGGTCTCGAACTCCTAGCCTCAAGTTATCCGCCCGCCTCGGCCTCCCAAAGTGCTGGGACTACAGGTGTGAACCACCGCACCCAGCCCAATTATGACAATTTTCAATAGCAAGTCTAAAAAAAATATTTTTCTTCTAAGCATCTACCATCTTTACTGACTTGCTACGTTGACATAACAATGATGCTCCAGAAAAATGCTTCCTAGGGAATTCCACATGGTATAGCTTGTGGGTTCAAAGGATTAAACTAAAAGGACAATGGCATCTCCTAGCTAGGAGTACAATTTACCAGTACTGAATCCTCTGGCTCCATAGAGCTTCTGCTTCTTCTTCTTTTCCTTCTTTTCCTCCCTCCCTTTCTCCTTTTCTCCTCTCTCCTTTCCCTACCTGGGACTTTAGAACTGCTTTCTCTCCTTCAACACTAGAGAGATACTCCAACATGCAAGCTTTGCCACAGACCTAGGTCCTCTTACTTAGGTTTAAAGAGATCTACCTCCTGAACCCTCAATCTGAAAATGTAGGGCAAAAAATATTAACCAAAAGACTTAAAATGTCCACTATTAATAGTAGCCCGAACCTGAAAACATCCCAGTGTTCATCACGGTAGAACGACTAAATTTTAGTAAAGTCACACAGCAGAATATTATATGGCAATGACAAGGACCAAACTGTGATGTCATGCAAACCCTGGATAAATCCACTGTTAACTAAAGAAGGAAGATGCAAAAGTGCATCTGGTACTCAACAATGAAGTTAAAAAGTAGCAAAACTAATCTCTGCCATTAGAAGTCAGCCTAGAGAAAGTCAGCATGGTGACAGCCTTTGTGTCAAGGGGTGGTGTGAGGAGGGTTTCTGGGTACTGATCATGTTGCTTCTTGCTCTGGGTGCTGGTTACAATGTGAATTTTCACTTTGAGAAAATTCACCAAGCTGTTCACTTTTGATTTGTGCATTTTTTCATATGTAGGGTATACTTCAATCAAAAGTTCATTTAAAAAACAAAACAAGGCTGGGCACAGTGGCTCATGCCTGTAATACCAACACTTTGGGAGGCCAATGTGGGTGAATCACCTGAGGTCAGGGGTTCGAGACCAGCCTGGCCAACATGGCAAAACCCCGTCTCTACTAAAAAACTACAAAAAATTAGCCCGGCATGGTGGTGGGCGCCTGTAATCCCAGCAACTTGGGAGGCTGAGGCAGGAGAATTGCTTGAACCCGGGAGGCGGAGGTTGCAGTGAGCCTAGATTGTGACACTGCACTCCAGTCTGGGCAACAGAGAGAGATTCCATCTCAAAACACACACACACACACACACACACACACACACACACAAAACAAAACAACAACAACAACAAAACAACAAAACCAAAATTTTCCTAAACTCTTTCATTTCTTCAAAAATTCTCCTTTTTTCACATTAGGCTTCTCTGTCATAGGAAGATACGGTCTCATAACAAAATTGCTATACGCTTTAATAACACTTTTCAGGAACTAGAAGAAGAGCTAAAAGATTTGAGTTTTAGGTTTCATTTAATTTTCTATTAATTTCTGTGAACTATGTATTAAACGCAGACTGCTACTGCTTAACTGAGTGTTTATGTTCCTCCAAAATTCCTGTTTGGAAATCCTAACTCCCAAGGTGATGGTATTAGGAGGTAGGCTCTTTGGGAGGTGATTAGGTCACAAAGGTGGGGCACTCATGGATGGGATTAGTGCCCTTATGAAAGAGTCTGGAGTGATCCTCGCCTCTTCAGCCATGAGAGGTTACAGGGAGAAGATAGCTGCCTGTGAGGAAGCTGCTTTCATCAGACACTGAAACTGCCTGTGCCTTGACTTTACACTCCCCAGCGTCCAGAGCTATGAGAAATAAATTTCTGTTGTTTATAAGACACCTGCTTTATGGTATATTGTTTTAAAAGCCTAAATGAGCTAATATATTGCAGGAGACCACAGGGAGGGAGTCTGGTGCGTCTACTCCATTTCCTTCCTTCTCCATACGCAGGGGAACTGAGGCCTAGAGAAATTAAGTGGCTTGCTCAGGGCCACATGTTCTTTTTTTTTTTTAATTATACTTTAAGTTCTAGGGTACATGTGCACAACGTGCAGGTTTGTTAGCTAGGTATACATATGCCATGTTGGTTTGCTGTACCCGTTAACTCATCATTTACATTAGGTATTTCTCCTAATGCTATCCCTCCCCCTCTCCCCACCCCATGACAGGCCCCAGTGTGTGATGTTCCCCACCCTGTGTCCAAGTGTTCTCATTGTTCAATTCCACCTATGAGTGAGAACATGCAGTGTTTGGTTTTCTGTCCTTGTGATAGTTTGCTCAGAATGATGGTTTCCAGCTTCATCCATGTCCCTGCAAAGTACATGAACTTATCCTTTTTTATGGCTTGCATAGTATTCCATGGTGTATATGTGCCACATTTTCTTAGTCCAGTCTATCACTGTTGGACATTTGGGCTGGTTTCAAGTCTTTGCTATTGTGAATAGTGCCACAATAAACATACATGTACCTGTGTCTTTATAGTAACATGATTTATAATCCTTTGGGTATATACCCAGTAATGGGATGGCTGGGTCAAATGGTATTTCTAGTTCTAGATCCTTGAGGAATTGCCACCTGTTTTCCACAATGGTTGAACTAGTTTACACTCCCACCAACAGTGTAAAAGCATTCCTATTTCTCCACATCCTCTCCAGCACGTGTTGTTTCCTGACTTTTTAATGATCGCCATTCTAACCACAGTGGTATCTCACTGTGGTTTTGATTTGCATTTCTCTGATGGCCAGTGATGATGAGCATTTTTTCATGTGTCTGTTGGCTGCATAAATGTCTTCTTTTGAGAAGTGTCTTATTCATATCCTTTGCCCACTTTTTGATGGGGTTGTTTGTTTTTTTCTTATAAATTTGTTTAAGTTCTTTGTAGATTCTGGATAATAGCCCATTGTCAGATGGGTAGATTGCAAAAATTTTCTCCCATTTTGTAGGTTGCCTGTTCACTCTGATGGTCATTTCTTTTGCTGGGGGCACATGTTCTTTAGTAATAAAATTGCTGTTAAAGAAATACATCTCAAAATGAAAGTGATAACGGCAGTTTGTGTCCCAAAAGGTCACATGATTTCTCCTATTTAAAAATAAAAATAATGCTGGGAGGGAGAAGGGACTGGGTCAATCATTACATAAATACAGAATTTTAACTTATTTATTCAATTTATATAAAAGACAATGCTCTCATTTGGTTATTGTGACCTCTAAACAAATTTCCCTTCTAATCGGCACTTACAAGACGGTTTCTCCTTGGGACTTGGCCCCTAAATCTCGATGATTTGAAACAGCAAAGGTGTATAATTGTGCCATTGTCCATCAAGGGCCAGCAGGAGCTTTGCTCCACTGCTTTATGTCTTCTCTCTGGGACTCAGGCTGAAGAAGCTGCTCTCTAGACCATGGCAGGTTGTCACGGCAGTGGGAAAAGAGAATATGGCCATGTACACACTGGCTTTTAAACCTGCCTGGAAGTGACACACATCACTTCCATGTACACCTCTCTGTCAGAGCGAGTCCTGTGACCACTCCTAACCTCCTGTAGGCAGAGAGGTGCAATCCTACCATGTGTATGGAGTATTTTGGAACAGCCCTAATGACAATCTCAAGAAGGAACTGAAACTGTCCCCCATGGAGTCCCACATTTCCTCATGAGTTCTATCATTATTCACTGTGACCTACACTTTTTAAAAGACATGATGGAACAAAGATTATCTCTGCAGAAAGTAAAGCAGAGACATAAAAGGCAGCATTGGCAGGTGTAAATAAAGCTCTTTCAACTATAATTGAAAGGATTTTTATGAAAGGCACAAAGTGGTTTCATCTGCCTTTCTGCAAATAGCATAGTGGGTTGAATGATCAATATTCCTTTAAAGTGCCCAGGAACTGTTTCAGTTTTGACCAAAGGCAACTAAATAAATGAATTGTCCTTCTGGGCTTTTATATTGAACCCTTTAAATGAAGGCAGTTTACATGGCTGCAAACAATACATGTCCCGTGTGGTCACTGTAAGCATTAAATATCAATCAGAAGAGAGTGCTTTTAAATAGGGAGGGAAAAAATCCATTTGTTGGGGCTATAATCTCTAATGTTAAATTTAAAAAAAAAAAGAGTTTGACAGGTAATAATTTGTTTTGCATGACTTTCTCCCTTTATTTTCTCTGCACGCAGGTCTAACCATAAAATCATCAATACTGAGAAATTAAAAGGGGAACATGTCAGGCCTCACTCTTTCTGTATTGGATTTCAAGAGTATTGTCCTTGGTAAGTAGCAAAGAAAAAAAATCAAATTAAGACATACATTTAAATGGTCACTGGTCAAAAAGCAAGCCTGGAATAAAAGTAGCAGTCTATTGAAACATATACACAACTTGACTAGTTAGCAAGCACCAGTGCTTGTTCTCACACTTGAAATGATGCCAGGCTCAGATGCTTGCTTTATCATTTGAAATAAGGTTATACAATACATCCTTCTCCCTCTGTGGTATAAATATTGTTGATACTGTATAGTCATATTATTTGTTAGCTCAAAATCCAAGTGTTTGGGCATCATGGCATAGGATCTTACATAAAATTATTACAGTTGCATTAAGGAATACGAATTACTTAAATTATGAATTATCTTTCTGTTTACACTTTAATTCTTTAAGCAAAATTTCTAGGTGAAGCTTTTTTTTTCAGTATGGAATATAAAAGTAAAATTCAGACATGATTCTGGAATATTAAAGTTTCTATGTTAATGGCTTGTAATAATGATATAAATTTTGAGGATCATACCAAGGATGTGGGCTCCTGCAATAGGGTCCAGATAGGACAAGCAGTCAGGAGCAGATGGTGGTTTAGTGAGGGTAGGCAAAGGTTGTACCAGGGGATGGTGTGAGGAGTGGTGGTGGTCAGTAGGGCAAGGGGAGGAGAAAAAATGTGAGTCAAGGTCTTGGGGGCTGGAGCAGAGGTAGTCCAGATGCATGAATTCACTCCAGGAGAAAAATTACTCTGACACCCTCTAAAGGACCTTTATCCTTCCAAAATAAGATTTACTTGCTTGTTATGATCCCCAGTAGGACTTCCCTGTTAGAGAACCACATCGATTTATGGCACATTTAGTCCTCCTTGAACTGGATGTCAACCTCATTCCCTTAAGAGCTGTCTAGTTAGAGACAAAGTCTTGTCTTCTGGCCTGACTTGGGCTTCCAATGGAGATCTCTGTGCTTACATTCATTACCTCAGTGTCTGGGCTTGGCACATGGTGGTGCTTGATAAGCATTCATTGAATTAAAAATGTGAGCAGGATGGGAAAATACGGCAAATGATGGTCACATATTCTCTTCTATTCATCTACAACAAATTGTTCATTCTTTGTCCAGCATCAGAGCCATTTTAGGAACCTGCTTAGCAAATTAGGCACCTTTCAGAATTGCAGAATTTTCATTCTATCCTTGCCGGGATTACTTCCATGTTGTGAGCCTTTCTTGGCATTTCACCCTTCGCTCTTACATAGAAACTCAAAGTACCTTTGTTAACATTCATTTATGCTACAAGGTAGTTGGATTAAAAATGTCAACACTCCCATGACACAGAAAGAAGACCAAAGCTACCAGTAAAATTTCACGTGGAGGAAATATGGAAGTAGATTAGCAACCCCAGTAGTACTGTGGTATTGTTGCATTGATCGTACTATTGAATAGTGAAGAGCGAGGTACCTTATTTTATAAATGCCATAAGCAACATAAAATCACCCATGTACAAATATAAGACCTTTCACATGAATTTGATGGTGATTATATGTTGAAACCATAATAACTCTAGATCTCAGTGACTGTACTTATCTTCAAACACTTAGCTAAATCTGGAACAGATGAATATCTGAAGTTTGAAGCTGTACGCCCCAGGTTATTATTTTTATATCAACAAGAATATAAGAAAATGTACATTAACTTTTAAAAATAGCTTTTAAATATTCTAAGCTTTAGTGCACTTTTTTTCCAAAGCCCGCATAAGAGATATCATAATCTAACATTAACATCTTGCATTTTTAACTGTCCTTGTAAATTTATTATAAGAACACTACTTGGAAAACAGTATTTTCAAAAGGTATTATATTTACTAAAATAATGCCTTTGCCCCTTTGGTCTCTGAACAGCAGTGCACATCTTTGTATTCTTCTTAACTGGACTGATAGTAGTAGATACATAAGACAAGTTATAATTTTTGAGATTGTAGCCAAACGCAAGCTGGGCTGATCACTGCTTGTAAAGCCAAATGAACGAGGACGAGATGCAGTAAAAGGAAAGTGACTTTATTCCAAAAGCCAGCGGTTGGGGAAATGGCCAGGCTCATTCCTTACAAGAAACATTTCAAACTTTAGGCTGGGGAGAGGGGCTTAAAAGAGGAACTTGGAGAGGGAGGCATGCGGGCATGGTGCTGAGTGTAAGGTCGGTATGCCTTGTTCTGGTGGCCGTCTTGAGTCATGGTCCACCTGGAGCGTGTGCTGGTGTCATCTCAGCAGTGGCTGGGCTGTAGACTAATTACCTTGAGATCATCTCTGGAATTTCACAGCTAGCTCTCCATGCCTGGTTTGTCACAAGATTACCCCTGAAACTTCATTAACAAGCATGTAGTTAGATAAATGTGCATGGTGTAAGAGTGTATGGTGGGAGAGGGAGAGATGTGAAGTGTTGAAGTACACTTTAAGGCTATATTTTAAGACTAAGAAGGAAAAAAGACGTTTCTGCAATTTACTTCAAGGATACATCTTGAGACTAGGGAGAAAAGAGAAAAAGGGGAAAAAAAGTTTGAAAAATGTGTTTCGAAGCTAAACTACTCAGTTACAAGATGGAGACACAGCCCAGCAATGGGACCAAACTAAATTCCTGTTCATTTCCATTTCAGAATGATTTCTCAGAGGTCTCAACAGTGGTTCTCACGTTGGCTATACATTAGAATAGCCTGTGAAGCTTTTAAAAAATGCTAACACACAGACCCCACGGGAAACCATCTATAGTCTTTGGAGGGTGGAACCCAGACATTTGCTTTGTTAAAACTCCCATGTGGTTCTAATGCAGTCTAGGATGAGAACCCACCAGACTACAACCCACAGCAACTGAGTAGCAGGTGATGTCTCTTAAACAACTAACCTTCTTTATTTAGGAGTTCCAAATATCTGTTAGCCAGGAAGTAACAGTGTAGTGATGTTTCTCAAACTTCTCATTTTCCTATGACCTTCATAATTTTTGCCACATTTATGTATTGTGTTCTATTCTTTAACATTTTTTTCTAAATTAACTTATATTGTAAAACTGAAATACAAGTAATAAAAAATAAAATTTCTTTTTACAATTGTGAATAGGAAATTAATATCATTTGCCATCAAGAGAAAGCAACTGAAAAAACAACAAAAAACCCAAACGCCCCTCCCATTATTAAAATCCACTTGAATTGTCCACTGTTTCTTGCCCAAAGGCATCCAACAAGAGGCCTACTCTCTTTTTGTTGACAAGACAATGGAGAGATTCTTGTTTTTAACCACCCAACACTCATTCCCCTTGCCAAGGGCCCAAGCCTAAGGCTTCAGGCTACTGTTGGTCATTGAAACTGTCCAGGAAAGGCCATGTGAATTGATTCGTGCTGATGAAACACAAAGAGGAAGTTTTCTGGAACCTTTTGGGAAAAGAAGGTTTTTTTGTCTTTTGAGAATAGAATGCGTCTTTTCCTCTGGATGTTAACTGGGGCCAATGTTGAGTATGAGTGCAAGGCCTGGAGCTGCCACAGCCAATTGGAAAAGTTACTTCTAGCCCAAGAGTGAGGCCAATATTTTGAAGGCTCCAGAGCCAGTTGAGATGACCAGCCTGAGCACCCCCTCCACCCTCTAGGCTGTTTCATTTATTTAGGGCATTTTTAGTTGGGTTTTCTGTTGTTAGCAACCAATCACATCCCAATACAGGGAGAGCAGCAAGCATTCAAAGACATAATAGCACCTAACAGAGACTTTCTCTTTGACATACTTAGGAGGATGGAAAGAGAACTGGAAAGGAAGTAATATCCTTATTGATTCAAGGTCATTTAATGCCGTGTCTTTCTATCAAATGAAATCATTTTGTGGGCATACCTCTCCTACTTAGGAAATATTTATCTTAGGCTGGGAGAGGTGATGGCTTCACAGAAACAATGCTGCAGTAGGCTATGAGGGACTTATGTTTGCTTCTTGGTAACTTTCCTTAACAAGAAACTCCAAAGGCATCTTTGAAAGTGAGGGCTGGGGATGGGGGGAATAAATTATTCAAACAGTGTCTGTGCCTCTGGAATTAAGCACGAAGCTGTCTGAGCATATTTCATATCCTTTGGAACTCAAACTATGGCCAATGAACTAGTGTCCATGGCGTCACCTTGGAGCTTATTGAAATGTAGAGTCTCAGGCCCCTGACCTAGACCTACAGAATCAGAATCTGCTTATTAACAAGATGCCCCTTTAATTTGTATGCACATTAAATTTTGAGAGGCACTGTTCTAGGATGCATGTCACCAGCTGAGTGCTGCTTAGACCATAAACAGCTGTTGTGTGCAGAGCTTGGCCTCAGAGAGACCTGCTTCAACCCATGAATACCAGCTGTGTGCTCCCAGCCCGAGACTGTCTGCTTTGTTTCCCTTCAGTTTCCTCTACAAATGATAGGTCATCTGCACAAAAGAACCAGTTTCCGAGAATTCCTTGGGGTTTACTTAATACTAGTATATCTCAGTCCATCGCGAACATCCTCATCTTGTAGTTGTAGAAGTCATAGACACTGGGCCAGATGAAAACCTTTGGGCTTCTTTTCTTTGTTATTAAATTTTCTATATCCTATATTCTATATATATAAATTCATTCATTAACTCAAACACGGATTAAACTTCTTTGTGTCCCATGTAAACCACATCTTTTCAGATATTTTATCAAAGTTATTATGATGATTAACAATTCCCTGAGATCTTTTATATTCAGTACTTTCTGGGCTGCCCTGAAGAAATGTTCAATCAGGAGCTCTCCTGACTCTATGAAGCTTTAGAAATTCATTTTTTCTTAATATTACAGTTAATAGTCATGTAAGTTACATACCACTAGCCAGCTAATGGTTAGGTGAATGCAAGCAAAATAAATAAATAAAGACAAAATCAGAGCTCCTTCCCGCTAGCTGGGTTCTCTGTGCTTCACTTTGTACTTGCTCTTCAGGAACGATCTACATAGGACCTCAGGGACTTTGAATCTAATGTTCTACATCTGTAGAATGGAGATGGTGGTTCCAAAGGCTCTGAATATGAGGGAAAGTCCCCAGCACTTGCCCAGCATGCAGAGATGCTCAGTGAGGTGAGTGCCTGGCAGTGACGGAAGCAGGGATTTACGGCATATAAAGGGGAGATGAGGTCAAATCCAGTTTCTCACCAAAGGGAAACATATCCTTGACTAATGACAGCAAAGGGAGAATTGGAGGGAAGTAACCGAGGTTTAAATGTGGATAGTTTCTGGGAAGGGGCATAGGGCCCACTGCTCTGGGGAAAAGGGGCTTTGTGTCACTTGAGCCCTTGGGTTGGAGTTAGGAGTGCAAGAAGTTTATGGGGTGAGATAAGTGTCAGGGGAGGGCACCTGTGATAGATAAGAGGGGAAGGTTGAGCAGAGAGAGCCTACAACTGCAATCCAAATCTGACTGTCTCTGCGCACTCCTGGGAACTCTGGAGCCAAGAAAGCCTCTTAGAGGAGTTCTGTGTTGGGCAGAAATAGCAACACCTGAGGATCCCCGCTGTGCTCAATTGTTGGCTGGGCCCTGCCTGGGAAGAGTGTGGCCTCAGCTCAAAAGCTGAGGGAGAACCTGAAGAGACACACAGCTGGGGCCTGTCAGCTAATGACATTCTTGCATCTGAATAGCAAGTCACTTTCTTAAAGGGAGAGGCAAGCTATACACCTCCATGGCTGGCACAACCTGAGGGAATGAAAATCCTTCAGATAAATTTACAAGGATCCTACAGCAGAAGACACCATTCCCTAGCTTCCCAGGAGAAGCCTGGAGGGGAGCAAGCATTGTGGAAAGTCCGTGCACCTGAATGTCAGAGTAGCGATAGCTGTGGAGATACTGAAGCAGATGAACCTGTGGCTAGCTTCACAGCATCCTACACTCCCTGGTTGGGTCAAGGGAAACAGCTGAGAGCTGTGCTCCCAGGAGGGGGACCGCAGTGCAGCTAAGGTCAGCAGGCTAGAGAAGCCTTTAGGCTGGGCCAGGAGAAGGCAGACTGTGTAGACTGGATTGCCCATGACTGGCAGAAATGGATGAAACAGGAATGGAGTGATGCCCAAGAACTGGTGGAACTGGGTACAACTCAGGGGGGGTTAGCAAGGCCAGCAGGTAACTTTGGACCAGATTTGTACCCATCTGAGGGCTTCACCTGGGAAAGCTACAGGGAGGAGCAAGATTCCTAAATTGATGGAGTAATTACCAAGAACAAACAGAATTTTAAACCAGAGGGACTAATTTATCTTGAACTGATGAGATTAAGCTTTGTGCTAATGAGGAGAAACAGGGAAGTAGGAGCTAGTTAAATTCAGTTACAGAAAGGAAAGAAATTTACAAACTGCATTTCCCAGTTATGTAGCCTATTAAATTTCATCTCTGTTAAACAGAAAATGATATCTTTCGATATAATCATTTCACTTTTTGGAATCTAGTTTTATAAGTGGAAAAAAACTTTGCAAAAAGATTTATTTCCATAATATTTATAATTGTGAAATGAAATAAATGCCCAGCAAGAGGGTGTTAGATAAGTTATAGTACATCCACTTAATGACATATTAGACTACTAACAATGATATTGTCATTAAAATGCAATAGTATATAAGCATTTTTTAAATTAAATTGGGGGAACAAGCAGAAAGAAATATTGTACACTGTTTCTCAAACCTTTTGACCACACCACACCCAGGGTAAATGGTTGTTTTTGCATCTTGACCCAGGACACCCATACATATTTTATTACTGAAACAAAGGTTGCATGAGACAATGCTTGCCTACCCTGGGGACAGTACATTTTAGCATTTTAGATGCTCTTCCAATTTGTCTTTTTCCATGCTAGTTAGACCCACCACATAGGTTTCATGACCACAGATGGGCCATGACCCCTCATGGATTGAGCATGATCCCAGCGACGGGAAAGAACAATGACAAAAGAGTAACATCTAGAAAACGTGCTTGGAGAGAATCTGCCAAAATATCAACAGGACTGGAACTCTAGGGGATTCATTCACATTTTTCCATTTGTCTCTCAGGAACATATATGACTTTGTATAATGGAAATACTATTACCATGCTAATTTTTAAATTGATTCTAAGGCTTCTCTTTTCCAGGCTAAGTAATCCCAGGTCCTTGTTATCTGATAAATTCACATCTACCCCTGATAAACTTCTGAGATTAGAGGCAGCAGCCGGAGCTGCAGGCAACCTGTGCTCCTGAGCTACACAGTGCAGCTTTAGCACCTCCTGACTCACTGCCCCCCACGTGGCCACTGCTGAATTATGTGCATTTTAATGAGGAGATTGATGTCACTTTCCCTTCTTCCTCCCTCTCCAACACAATTTTATTGAGTGCCTGTTATGTTCCAGACACTATTCTAAAAGCTAGGTGTAAGATGAGATTTTAAAAAATGTGTTTCAGTTTTTTCTACGATGAGTATGTATTTATTTCACAATCAGACAATAAAAATACATGTTGTTTTAAAAGCCTATCTTAAGACGTGGCTCCTGCCTTCAAGATGCCCGTAACCTAGGAAAGAGGAAGTCACCTAAACAAATATGTCAGTATGAGACTTACTTTCAGTCCCTTACCCACCTCCTACTCTGGCCAGAAAGTGGCTCCTCAAAATGCCTTTTAATTGATAGGGGCCAAGACGTTGCTCTATTCATTTGCAGGACACCATGAAAATCATCTAACACCTACCTCTGACCCAGCTCTTACTTTTCTATTTCAATCTACTGTGCAGGAAGAGGGAAGGGGGAGAGAGAGGGGAGGGAAGGGGGAGAAGACAAAGAGGGAAAAAGAGAGATGGAATGGCATCTAGTCCAGCACTAGATCTAGGACAGATCAGGTCTGTGCCTTGTCCATAGACCAAGCTTGTCCAACCTGCGGCCCACAGGCCACATGGGGCCCAGGATGGCTTTGAATGTGGCCCAACACAAATTTATCAACTTTCTTAAAACATTATGAGATCTTTTGAATGCAGCCCAACACAAATTTATAAACTTTCTTAAAGCATTATAAGGGTTTTTTGTGATTTTATTATTTTTTGTAGCTCATCAGCTATCGTTAGTGTATTTTATGTGTGGTCCAAGACAATTCTACTTCTTCCAATGTGGCCCAGGAAAGCCAAAAGATTGGACAACCCTGTCATATACATTTGACTGAAGTTAGTGTTGGGGGCATCCTGAGGTGTTCAGAGCATCTTTTAGCTCTACACCTTTCTGGGTTTGAGTGGTACAACACAAGACTGTTTGGTCCATCAGAGTTTATTTCTCTGATTTCCCAAATGTGTCATGGATGGCCTGGCCTGTGACCTCCAGGGAAGTGAGAAGCAGGCTCTGTATTTGTCTGGCATCAATGCCTGCAGCCAGATCTTTCTGATTATTTTCAGGTTTTCTCAGTTAGTGAATAACGTTCTGATGGTAGCTTCTTCAGTACATTAACTTCTAATTCTGGTATTTCCCCAAAGACGTTCAAACAAGTAGGCAGCCAGCCAGCTGGGTAAATCACTAAAGAAAACTGCATAATACTCATGTCTGTGTGTCAGTGGCTACTGCTCCTGGTGAGTGACTGATTTATCACCATTGGGTTGAAGCAAGTTGTCTATTTGCTTTCCAATCATGGGTGGCTTGTCAAATTTTAATATAATGCCAGGGGTTAATACAGTCAGTCAAGGGTATTTTAACTCAGCAATTCCTGGACCTCTTGAACTCATGTCACCTCTGCTGTAATAAGAAAAATGTCCCCTCACTGTATTTTAATAATCTCTTGAACACAGTTGTGGAGGATTCTGACACTCTTAGCCATACTGGACTTCCCAGCTTGTTTTCACTTCAGAATGTGTGTACATTACAGGACATATGGGTTTTTTATTTCGTTTTGTGATATTGTTTGGCTGTGTCCCCACCCAAATCTCATCTTGAATTGCAGCTGCCATAATTCCCATATGTCACAGGAGGGACCCTGTGGGAGGTAATTGAATCATGGTGGGGAGGGGGCTCCCATGCTGTTCTTGTGACAATGAATAAGTGTCATGAAATCTGATGGTTTTATAAAGGGGAGTTGCCCTACACAAGTTCTCTCTTGCCTGCAGCCATGTAAGACATGCCTTTCTCCTCCTTTGCCTTCTACCGTGATTGTGAGTCCTCGTCAGCCATGTGGAACTGTGAGTCCATTAAACCTCTTTTTCTTTATAAATTACCCAGTCTCAGGTATGTCTTTATTAGCAGTGTGAGAACTGACTAATGCACAGAGTCTTGATCTGTTGCCTGGGCTGAAGTGCAGTGGTGCAATCACAGCTCACTGCAGCCTCAAACTCCTGGGCTCAAGCATATCCTCCTGCCTCAGCCTCCCGAGTAGTTGGGACTACAGGCACATGCCACCATGCCCAGCTAATTTTTTTAGAAATGGGGATTTTGCTTTGTTGCCCAGGCTGGCCTTGAACTCCTGGCTTCAAGCAATCCTTCCACTTTTGTCTCCCAAACTGTTGGGATTACAGGAGTGAGCCACCACACCTGGTCCATGTACTCTTCTGATACTTGCTTCTGATACTTACTGCACAGGTTAACCAGAGGTGTCTCAGAGTGTTTAGGATACATGTTTCAGAATTCTGGGAAACGTGGTGCAAAACATTTCTCTCCTGTGCCTATTTTGTTTGCACCTCATGATAAATGTTCCTTTGGCAGTTTTATAAACAGATTGCTAAAATACCACCTTTCTTAAGTGTGACAAGCTTGCTGGAGAGGACTGCTGGGAGTTGGGTGGGCCAGGCGCAGTGAGTATCTGCCTTGGCCTGAGCTGGTGATTTGACAACATGCAGGTCATTTGTTTGCAGAGTTGGCCCAGCTCGGAAAATTTTGAGATGCCATCCTTCAAGCAGACATGAAAATAACATGGCTGATCCTCTGAAAGCCAAACATGCTGTTTCTGTGTGAATTTTAATCTTCAAGAATGCCTCTTGGACCAACTTGTGAACAGCATGAAAGACAGTGCCTCACAGAATGTAAGAGGGTCTTAGACCTGGGAAGCCAGCTGGTCCGTAGTGGAAGCCTGCCCACCTGCCTGCCCCTAATCAGGTCTCTCTTAGGAGAAACAAGCTCTAGCTCAGTGAATGAAGCAAACACAGATAAAACTGGGTATTTACCAACCAAAACAACCAGTCTACAGAGCAACAATGAATTAGGTCATCTTGATAATGCATTCATAATCTCTAGAAACCTAATGTATTGTAAGGCAAAGGAGTATGTTATTTGAATTCATGTTCAATTAATGTAGAAATTAGTTGTAACTGGGTTCAGGCCTATCCATGCCACAGAGCACATGGAGTTCATTCTGTTTTACAC
Organism: Homo sapiens; assembly: GCF_000001405.40. NCBI lineage: Eukaryota > Metazoa > Chordata > Mammalia > Primates > Hominidae > Homo > Homo sapiens. Next base: position 150,135,362 of record NC_000003.12, read on the forward strand.
ATCATCACACCATCAATGGAATTCCATGTAAATTCCAGAGAGTAAAGTGAGGAAAAATACTAGATGCGTTGGGAAAGGAAAATGCCCAAGACTTCATAGCTAATGGGAGTTGGTCCTTCAGGCAGAAAGCCTGTTTCCATTCACTGGCCCCAAAGTCCTATGTCCAGCAGGCTACAGAATGTTCTCAGCTGAGTGGTGCAATTCCTGTTGCCAAACAAACTTGCTTTGCATTTGAATGGTTTGGGTAAACCAATTTGTGACCTTTTGAAGCTCACAGATTATAGTCACAGCTTTTGCTTCCCTTTGAAAGGAATGACTTAATATGGCCAATACAGTAGCCACTGACCATATTAAGCACTTGAAATGTAGCTGGTTCCAATTGGCATGCACTGGAAGAGTATAGCATATGCTGTATTTCAAAGACTTAACACACACACACAATGTCAGATAACTCCAAGATTTTTTAGAATTGATTTCATGTTGAAATGATAATGCTTTGAATATAGTGAATTAAGTATATTGTTAAAATTAATTTCACCTGTTAAAATTAATTTCATATTATTAAAATTAATTTCTCTGAGGATAAAGACAGGGTGGGAGACAATGGAAGTGCATGCATTAGAAAAGATCCCAGCACTGTAGGAACACTTGGACCAGATTCATTCTTTCAGTGGATCCGCATATATTTTATGTGTGGTTACTAGTTGCTAAAGATTTAATGATGAACAAGGCATACATAGCAGGAGAGTTGGTGAGCATGTCATCTACAGTTGCAGTCTCACATCTTCACTCATATTCTCTCCTCAGGCCATTCCTTTCAAGCTTCTCTGGACACCATCACTCTATGAGGCTGCTTGGTCAAGGTCACCAATAACCTCTGTGTTGGCAGATGCAATGGCCACCTCTCTGTTTATATCCTATTTCACTCTTACAGTATATAGTTGAACTCCTTCAAACACTTTTCTTTCTAGGCCTCCAAGATACTGCACTCACCTGATTTTCTGCCTCTCTCCCCAACAGCTCCTTCTCAGTCTCCTTTGCTGATATCTCCTTCTTTGCTTGATGTTTATATGCTGAGCCTGCAATTTCTTCCTGCCACTATCTGTACAGATTGTCTGGGTAATCACATTTGATCCTGTGACTCTAAATAGAATCTATGCCCCTTCTTTCTGGAACTCCAAATTCATTATATCCAACTGTCTACTCCCAACATCTCCAATTAAAATATCTAAAAGGCATCTTAAAATCAACATGACCAAAAAAAATTTGGTGGTTCTTTCCAAACCTGTTTTATTCTTAGCTTTCTCCATTTTGACAAATGCCAGATACAACTACCCCAGTTGCTGAAGTCAAAAATGGAGAAGGGAGGACTTCTGGTTTCAAGATTGCTGAGTAAAGCAAAGCCCTTTCTGCCTTTCTTCTTTCAAAAACTACCCCCTAAATTACTAGAATAGAACAAAACAAAGGAATGCGAACCTCCATTTTAAATAAAACCAGAAGTCCTTGGTGATTTTGAACCATCAAGTATAAAGATAGAAAGAAGATGAAGAGGTGGGAAGAGGCTTAGCAGAGTGGATGCAAGTGAAACCTAAGCACCTGTAGAGAGACAGACCAAGGAAGAGCAAGCTGGGTGACCACATGAGACCCTGAAGAAGCTCCAGAATGGGAGGCATACATTATCACTAAAGGCAGAAGTAGAGCACAGGGTTGCAAACATTGCAATTGAAGATCTGTATAAGCAGTAGTTGGACCTCCCCCTACTATCTCAACTAGACTATCCCTCTGGTAAACTCACAGTAGACAAAAGTTAGAGTCCCTGGAGAGATTGAACTAGAAGCGTACTGTATTTAGGAACCAAGGCACAGAAGTAGAAGAAAATTGCGTCGGCTAACTGAAAAGTACAACCACAGAAACTCCCAATCACCAGCTCCAGAAGTCAAAGGAAACTTGTAGACCATATCCAGGCAGGAGATCGGAGGATCCTTTCTGGAGAAACTGAACTGCCACAGAGAAATTACCCAGAAACTGACAAATGAAGGTCTCTGTGAGAAAGCAAGATGGCCACACAGTTGCCCTACACTAAAACCCACCCACCAACAAGTTCCACCCAAACACACATGATGGCTTAAGCTGAATTATGATATCCAAGGATGATCAGCCTTTAAGAAAAGTCTCTGGTATAGAAGAGAGAGATCAAAATTAAACAGAAAGCCAAAACTTAGAGGAAAAAGAGATGATGCAAAAAAGCCCCAAGACTTTAGATGCGGAAAGATAGAATTTAAAAATGGTAAAGAGAAAATTATATTAATATATAAAATTCTTACTAATTATATAGGAAGTATTTTCAGAACTGAAAGACCTAAGTTTCCAGATTGAAAGGGTCTCAGAAATGCACGAAAAAAGATATGTATCAAGGCACACCATCATAAAATTTAAGATCTCCAAAGCTAAATCAAGGCGTTCAAAATCTTTCAGAGAAAAGGCATGTCACATAAGTGTTAGAAATCAGAATGGCAGCAAATTTCTCAACCTCAACATTTAAAATAAAATATAATTAAAGCAATGAGTTCATGTGAAGAAAAGAGAACCCTTCTACACTGTTAATGTAAATTAGTACAGCCATTATGGAAAACTTTATGGAGGGTCCTCAAAAAACTAAATATAGAATTACCATGTGATCCAGCAATTCCACTTAATGCATGAAATGATATTTACCCAAAATATTTGAAATCAGTTTGTCAAAGAGATGTCTGTATTCTCATGTTCATTACAGCACTATTCATAATTGCCAAGTTATGGAATCAATCTGTGTCCATCAACAGATAAATGAATAAAGAAAATATGGTTTATATGTACAATGGAACATTATTTAGCCTTTAAAAAGAAGGGAATTCTCTCATTTGTGACAACATGGATGAACTGGACAACATTATCCTGAGTGAAATAAGCCAGGCACAGAAAGAGCTCAGTTATGTGTGGAATCTAAGACAGAAACAGTCAAACTCATAGAAGCAAAGGGTAGCATGGTGGTTACAGAGGCTAGAGAGTGGGAGGAATAAAGGGATCATGGTCAAAGGATACAAAATCTAAGACAGAAGGAATGAGGTTTTATTTTGTGACCTGTTGCACATCATGGTGAATATAGTTAATAATAGTGTATTATACATTTCAAAATTGCTAAGAGTAAATTTCAAATGTTCTCAACAGGAAAATAATAAGTGAGGTAATGGATATGTTGATTAGCTTGACAATTATTCCACATCATATTCATAAATTATAACATTACTTTGTACCCCATAATGTATACAATTATAAATTGTTGATTTATAATAAAATAAAAATATTATATTCAGAAGTGTTTTATAGAGCTAGTAGAGGTATGAGAAGACCTAGCCAGTGAGTCAAAAAAAGAGGCAATTAATAACTCTAGCTAAAACAAACATTTGGAAAAGAAAATTGTATATGTGAACTATAACTGAGATTACCTATATCTAGTATGTAGGGAAAAAAGAATGAGTCCAAGAAAGATAGTACCCCAGTTACAGAAATGTCTAAAATCATTATACTTGATTCCAAGATAGTAAAAATAATATAAGGTTAGATCCCTCTACTGTGTTCTTTTCCATATTTACTTTCCTTCATGTTTATGAGTTTCAGGTATGAGTAACTAGGCGTAATGTGGTGTCACTTGCTAAGACAGACAGCATGAAAAAGAAGCAAATATAGAGGATTGGGAAGCACTGGTTCGTGTCTTAATTTTGGATATGTTGCGTTTGAGGTGGTTGTTAGACATTGGGCAGGCAGGGGTATATTGGCTATATGGATCTGGAGCTCAGAAGGAAGGACTAGACTGGGGACATCTAACTGGGAAGGGTTGTAAAGGCATCAGTGACAGTGCTAAAGTTACCTAGAGAGGAAATGTAGTGTGAGAAGAGGGTCTGGAAACAATTCTTGAGGAATGATGAAACATTAGGGAGAGAGAAGGGGAAAGCATCTGGCAAAGGAGATTGGAAATGAGAAGACAGACAGGTAGAAAGAAAAGTCAGAGAGCGTAGCTCATGGAAACCAGGAGAAGCCTTCCTGACCCATAAGCCACTTCCTAACATGAATTTAGATTCCTCTATTATCCTTCTTTTCACGTTGTACTTTCCCTCATGTACTAAGATGAAATGAATATTTACGTAGTTGATTGATTCATTTGTTCATTGAACAGTGCCAGAACTGTTCTAGGATGCAGATGCAGCAGGTACAAGTCAGACAAGGCCTTTGTTTTCATGAAGTTTATCTTCTAGTTGGGGTTAACAGTTGGGGATATTAAGGAAGGAAGTGGAGGAAGGACATGGTTAGTGTGTCAAATTCTTCTAATAAGTCAATGACAATGAGGACCGAAGACTGTCTACTAAATTAAACCACACAGAGCTTATTGGACACATTAGCGTGGTAGAGACAGAAATGAGATCAGAAAGTCCTAAGGAACAAATGATGAACCAGTTGAGAAAGGAAATATAGACACATCTCATGGGGAGATTGAGCCAGAAGGGTGAGAAGAGAATAGTGATGGAGGAGATACAGGGAAAAATCCAGTTTAAGATCAGAATAGTCAGAACGTGTTTAACAGATGATGAGAAGGACCCAGCTGCTAGAATGAGATTGAAAAGGTAAGAGAAAATAAGGGTAGATAACAAGCAGCATAAAGTTTCTTAGAAGAGGTTTGGAAAGAGGGACCAGAGCACATATGGGGACCTTTGCCTTTGATGGCAGAAAGGACACTTTATCCATCATAGCAGGGTGGCAGGGATTTGCAGAGAATGATGAATTTTAAGTAGCAATTACAGGAAGCGTGCTTTAAGATCTAAAACATATGCATTCTTTATTCCCTACCATTGACTGGGGGCATTCATTTATTAAGAGGAGCAATAGAAGAAGAAGGTGAGGGACAATAGATGAGAGGGGCTTGTGAGGTCAAAAAAGAGTTGAAACAGGAGTATCCAAGCAAAAACACTGTAAAGAGAGAAGGCTGAGGACCAAAGAAAGGATACTTGAATTCATGAATTTAAAGATCTGTGGGCAGGAATGGGTGAGATGGAGTATAGGGGAAGGTTATCGGGAATGAAGAAACTCAGAATGTTCATGGCCAATGAATCAGATGGCCATCCAGTGTGATTCTGGTGTTGCCTAGGAGGATGGCAGGAGATGGAGTAGAGAAAAAGGCGGGGCTACAGTCCTCACAGCCTTTTGCCGACTGGTCTCTGTCAGGTCCTGGGGTCTGGGTCCAGCCCATGCTGAAGTCCAAGGGGAGTGGGTGGATGAGCAGAAAGAACACTCGGTGGGGGCATAGGCAGGTGAATATGGTTTTATTCAGCAGCAGCTCTCTTAGCAGCTTATTCACATTGTCCACCTTTATTTCAGCTGTTTGCTCTGGCACTGCGGCTCCTACAGCCTCCACGCCTGCAGCTGCATGGCCAGCTCTCCCTTGCCTTCAGGGTCAGCAGCTTAACTCTTTCTGTTTTGGGGCACCAGCGCACTGAGCTGTGTGGCTTCCTTCTGTCCGTCTGCAAGACAGACAGCTTTGGCTCTCTCTCTCCCTTTCTCTGGGCGCCAGCATGCCCACCATGTTAAGCCATATTGAACCTAGCTGAGCCCCAAGAGTCCCTGTACAGCGTTAGCAGGGAAATTTTACCTTTGTGACTTAAAGCAAAGTATGAGCTTACACAAAGAGGTTATATAACAAGCGGAGGTGTGCGCCTGCTTGCCAAAGTTGCTGAGTCATGCAGGCCCGGATATTCGCCTTGGCCTATTCCTTGACCAAAGCACATCCATGTACCTTACAGCTTCGCTCATGGGACCCACCGAGGGGACTAAAAGTGGGAGAGGATGGATTCATCAACAAAAATCTGGCCCTAAAGTCAGAAGAAAGGGTGTGCTGGGAGGCAAACCCCAAATGTTGACCGTGGTCCCAGTAGATGCACTATTTGGGACCAGCCTGCCTCATAAGATCAGCCCTGGAATTGGGGCCAGGGATTTCTGTTGTTCCCTTCCACCTTTAAGCTCCACACTTTATAGTTAACATGGCACTTCACAGTTTACTTTAAAGCCAGAGGCCTGGGTGTTGCGTCAATAGTGGCATCCGTCTTCAGACAAAAGCCACATGTCCCAAGCAGTGTTTGGGGCAGGTCAGGCTTATGTTCCCTTAAGCTGCAGGTGGAGGAACACTGCCCTTTTATTTAGAGAAGTACTTCTCAAAAGTGCTTCAGCATATGCCAGCATCACCTAGAGGGCTTGTTAAAACGCAGATTGCTAGGTCCCAGCCCCAGAATTTCTGATTCAGAGGGGCTGGTGTCGGGTCAGAGAATTTGCATTTCTAACAAGTTTCTAGGTTATGGCAATGCTGCTGGTCTGGGGACTGCACTTTGAGGACCACTGATTTAGGCCACTGGTTCTCAATTCTGGCAGCACACTGGAATCACCTGGGGGGTTTTAAAACCCACTTGGTCTGGGGTAAGGCCTGAATATCAGGAATCTTCAAAGCTTTCCTGGTGATTATAAAATACAATGAGAGTTGAGAGACTCTGATTTAGAGTATGAGCCCTGCTTGAGAAAAGCACATGGGACAATTGATTTCTTTCTCCCTTCAAGCGGCAGTGGATATTTACTTAATCTGTTTAGACATTCAGTTTCCAAGAGAGAGTTCATTATGTATGTTACATCTACTATATCTCTGATATATTCCCTTATTTGACTTTGTGGGCTTTTTTCCCAGATCATCATAGACTGTGCTTTCCAATCCAGAGGGAAATTGTGGCGTTTATCTGAAACGACCCATTTAGATGGATTTGCAATTTAAAGGGAGATTTGGAAATGTGGCATATTTCATTTCATTAATGGAAGTGACATACATGGCTCATTAAGCCCCACCAGTAAGTTTCTACTTGAAAAACTTTATAACTTGCTGGTCAGCCTTGGGGGCCTTCACATACTCAAAAAACACATTTCAATTTGTAGGCGTTTATAATTTGGAATTCACAGTACTTGCTTCTAGGTTGTCTGCATTAGCAAGCTAGCAGCAACCAGGACTAAAGTGCTACACAGTGCCTTTTGCACTCAGGAAGTCATCGTTTATTTGTTATTTCTTGGTTGATTTATACTTAGCTAATTATTGCTCTACTCTTGGCCAGTTATAGTTTCTTCTGTAGGGTCCATGATTCTGGAAGTTTGTAGTTGTGGCCAAGTTATAATGAATTCCTTTCGGCATTCCTATAACCAAATTACATTAATCAAACTTAAAGAACTCTCCCCAGATTCTGCAACATTAAAAAAAAAAAAAAACCAACAACAATAGCAACTAAAGACATTGTGACATAATCAAACCTATTCGTGGTACTGTTTAAGGGTATGAATATTGGAGTCTGAATACCAGGTTACAATTCCTATATAAAGCACTTTACTTTTCAGGCAAATTACATAATTTCTCTGAGTTTTAATTTCTTCACCTGTAAACTGGGCATTTTAAATCACCTGGCTTAACTACCTCACAGGTTGTATCAAAAAACACGAAGTGTGTGTTTTCTTTCTGTAAACTGTTAAATAAAATACAAATGTTATTTCTACCATAGTGCTTGCAGAAAGTAAACTTCCAGAAAATAGACTTTTAGGGATAATTGAGGCTTCACCACAAATATTTTTTATTTTAATTAGAATGGAAACAAACATACTTTTCTTCTGTGTTCAACAATCCTGGGACCAAACCAAATAACTTACTTACTTGCTCCAGGAAATTCTTGTTCCCAGAGGCTGAGAACCAATTAAATGGCTGACTTACCAAGAGTAACATCTTGTTCATTAGTACTCACTTCTATACCCTCTCCTCACTGTGCCCAACAACCCAAAGATATTGTGTTATAAACTGCCCAATCCTAGTTTCCTGCCTTGCAAGGCTTGCCATAAAAGCCATCCATCCCAGGCACTAAAATACTATAAATATCCTCTCCTGAGTTTCCCCTTTTGAGATAAAACCAAGGCTTTGTCAAGGTGGTGTTTTCTCTTTCCGCAATAGGATAAAAAGCTTAGCTTTGCTTGATCAACAGGTTTTTCTGGTAGTTTTTTGGGAAATAAACATAATCCTGTGAAAAATCTTCCCTAAATGTAGTATTCCAACTTTCTTTCTTCCACAGCAGGATGGCCTGGTGGAACATACTATTCAGTGCCCTGGGTGATCATTTAAAATATGAATTTTTCATCCAAATGTGTAGTCCACTAAAGTTCCAATAATTTCAAACCTCTGAATGATTGAGTCCTAGTTGAGAGTGGAATGAAGTAGTCCCCAAAGCTGCTGCCTCAGAATTTGGGGCCCAATAATAGGGCAATTCAACTTCCATGGGAGCTTCTGGTGCCCAGCCAAGAGCTGAGGTCTTCTGGCTTAACGTTTGTTAATTACGGTATAGTTGAGGTTTTCAGACTTCGGTGTGTATAAAATCATTGGAGAAGCTTATTTGTAATGTAGATTTCAGAACCCCATCCCCAGAGATTCTAATTCATAGACACAGAATATAGGGCCCCAGAATCCATATCTTAAGTCTATAGTCTTTTACAGACCATATTTTGAGAAATATTGAATGATTATAGGGGAAGTAAGACCCTCGTGGATGCAGGAAACTGGTTATGATGAAAATCTTTAGATAATATCTAGTAATGAGGCACAATATCCTGAAATAACACTGTTTATTCTGGGCTTTAGTTTCCTCATTTGCAAAACAGAATTGCGAAGATTTATTAACCACAAGAGTTAAAGTATATTTGGGTTCATGAGCTGCCCGATTCTCCTTGCTTGATGCTCTGCAAATAAAAACCCTCCTTTCTCTTGCTGCAAACCTCACTGTGGATGTTTGGTCTTACTGTTCCAGGCAAGTGGACCCCAGTTTGGTTCAGTGACACCCGGGGCCAGGGAATAGGCTTCTGCTATGCCGTTGATCTGTCATCCTCAGCATGTGGCTTCCACTTTCTAGTCTAAGGCTCATGCAGCCACCACTTCTGCATTCCAGGCATCAGGAAGAAGAAGGGAGAGCAAAAGACAGGAATCTTCTCCATAAGGCACTTCCCAGAAGTTGCACATGTCACTTCTACTCACATCTCATTGGCAGAATTAAGTCACGTGATTATACCTAACTAAAACAGAGGCTGGGAAATGCGGTCCTTGTTCAGAGCAGCCAAGTGTCTGGCTAACATTCAGCAAAGGAAAGCGTATCTATTATTAAGGAGAGGGGAGAGAACCAATTATTGGTTTCTGCTACATGGACGTTGTATAAAGGGCCTTAGCTATCATGTTGGAATAGTTTGTATTTAATTCATCTAGGAATTTGGAGACAATACATTGTTTAGAGGCAAAAATGTGACATTATTTTACGAATATAATCCATCTTTCAGTGATCTGTAGGAGGGACTAAAAGAAGGAAAACTTGAAGCAGGAAGGCCAAATCCGTGATGGCAACAGGTAAAGCAAGAGGTAATGTGGACAGAATTTAGCAGCAGCAGTAAGAATAGAAAGGAGACACTCAACTGAAAAAATGGAACCAAAAAATTTGGTAACTGAATTTACTGTGTGGATGAACAATGAAATGAGAATGTCAAACTTCAGTCGTGACTGCCCAGAATGGAAGAGCACAAGCTCAAATGTCTACAGAGGCCCTGTAGATAAGTAATTGGGCAAAATGGGCTCCCATATCACCCAATAGGAAGGCAGGGGGCCTTCCTGGTGCCTAGCAATAGAAAAGCTGCTCAGGCCCCTGGAGACACCACTGCTCAGACTTTGAATACCACTGGGGCCGTCTTGGGGGGCAGGGGCAGGGAGATAGGAGTCTCAAAAGAGACTCCTACAGCAGGAGAAATAAAACATTTATCAATATCTCCCACTTAAAAATCTCAAACTACCCTATTAAATGAGTATAAAACACTTATATAACCACTTCCACCCTAAGCCTCCAAGATGGATAAGGATTATAAAATAGTCAGCATTTCTACATGCCCTAACAATATCTAAGAGCTAAAATTTATGTAATGTTTTGTTGTTTTCATTTTTTTAAAATTCATTTATTTACTCATTCTCTTAAATGGGATTCCCATTTTACATGTGAGAAAACTGAGAAATAGTCATGTTAACTAACAGTCATATTGCCGGAAGGGGTAAAGCTGAGATCCTAACTCGGGCCTTTCTGCCTCATCATCCCAAGGTCTCCCACCTCTGTTACATGAATGAGCAGAAAGCGATCACTTCTGGATTGTGTGGATGTGCATGCATGCTGTCAATTTTATTGATCACAAAGAGCTAAGAATGCCCTGAGTAATCTGGAAAACACAATTGTTATGTCACTTTCAGAAAAACTGCTTCCGTGTGGATTGGTAGTCAGTGTTCCTGTAATATGAGAGTTTTCTCTTCACTTGGGACATTGAGACCTAGTGATGTTTCTGGCTTTCTGAAATCTCTTGCACATATTCTCTTGGTTGGTGTGGCAACTGCTTCTGTTGCTGCTACTGACGTACGCAGGCCTTTCATGTTGCTCACTGAACTTACTGAGACTTCTAGGTTGGCTCATGACCCAGATGCATTCCTTAAACTCTTCCCACCTGAACTCATAAACACACAAACCCTGCTTTGAGCCTCCTTCAGAGAATAAAATCTCTGTTAACCTGGAATAAAATATATCTAGTAAATAAAGAATAATGTATTACCATTGTTGATGACATAAGGAATTTTGAAACAGCCCAAACATCTCATCATAGGGTTTTATGTGCCCTACTTATGTATCATCATAAGCTTATAATGAAAGAGCTACTCAATGAAATGTTATTTATTTATTCATTAAAAAATGGTAAATGAGCAGTCAAGAAATTGAATGTGGCTGTGGTTTTTATCACGTTAAAAAAAAAAGGAAAATGGCAGGAAGGAAATATACCAACATTTTAACATTGGTTACATAGCCTGTAGCACATTTAAACAGAAAGAAATCTTGTTAAAGGAACATTTTGTGAGAACTGCAAATCAACAGAACACCAGCATCTCAGCTGTTAGATTTGGTTCAGATATTGATCAATAATAATAACAAGAGGGGTTCTTTACTTAAGACTTCATGAAGCGAATAGAAATTTGAAGAGAATGACTAAACCCATGCTTTAAAGCAAGAATTATATGCAGTCTTACAAGAGAGTGGAAAGCATGATGAAGAATCAAGTCCTGGAGTCAGACTACTAATTGCAAGGCTTTAGGAAAGTTACTTAACCTCTATGTGCTTCTATTTCCTTTTTTTAAAAAAAATGGCACGGTGAAACCCCGTCTCTACTAAAAATACAAAAAATTAGCTGGGCGTGGTGGCGGGTGCATGTAGTCCCAGCTACTTGGGAGGCTGAAGCAAGAGAATGGCTTGAACTGGGAGGCAGAGCTTGCAGTGAGCTGAGATCGTGCCACTGCACTCCAGCCTGGGCGACAGAACGAGACTCTGTCTCAAAAAAAAAAAAAATGGTGTTGTTGAGGATGAAATAAAACTACCTGGCAAACAATAAGTACTCGATAAAAGTTACTAGAAGCATTCTGACATTGATTCTCTTTCTTTTCTTGCTAAGAAAATGTTGATAAGCATTAGCCGCATGTAGCAAAAGAATGACTGTGTCCAGTGTTTGGAAACATATTTGGCACCTCCTTCTGCTTGCTTAGGAAAAGCTCCCTGAGTGATGTAGCTCTCAGTTCTTTCTTTAATCTGGGAGCTTTGTAGTCTGTCCTTTGGGTGGAAAATTAACCTCATATATGGGATCCAAAATGAAGTTAATTTCCACAAGTGGGAGGAAAAACAGACGCCATGACATTTCCTATGTAATGCCGTCACGCATTCTCCTTTCCACTGTGCAGCACACTGGGGTGGCACAGCTCCAATATGCAGCCTGCGTTATGTTAGAGGCTTGACTAGAGGGTAGGATGGAAGGGCCGCACGTGAGCCAGCTGCAGGAGGAGTAAAGTGTCAGGAGGAAAGGGACAGAGTAGGAAAGGGACAGAACAGTCACGCTCTGCCCCAAATTCACTTTGTGACGTTGGGCAAGTGGACTCACTCTGACCCTTGGTTCCTCCCCAGGCAAAATGAGGGGCAGAACTGAGTAAATTCCTCCCAACACTAACATCTATGATTCTATTTTCCCCTCCCAGTGACCACTTCCTCTGAAAGTACAGCTGACTCACGACCCCAGGCAGCTTAAGATGTGCTCCAAGCCCTTTCTCATCAGTAAAGCCTGACTAATATCAGCCTGAATTTAAGGCTGTTTAGCAATTGTCCTGCCTGCAGTTGGGGGTGAAGGAGGTGAGCTCCCCATCTGTGCAGGCTGGAGGCTCTGCATTTACCCACTGTGATCATTGCCATGGTCTATTGCTGCTTCGTCTTTAAACACTGTTTACTCTGCCTTTCCTCTCTCCCAGCATTCTTCTGAATTGGGCTGGATGATTTCTCCTTTTCCTTTTCAGAAGTTTAGTTTACCTTTAGCTTTAGCTTGGAGCTTTGGTGATGAAAGAAAAGAGATCGTATTTCCTCTAGTCAGAGCTGTATTTTCAGGGCACAGCTGCCTGGACCCACTAGAAATATAACAAGAGTACATATGAGGTCATGGTCAAATCCCATCCGGCTCCCTCCTAATAGGAGAAGAACGCAATGAGAGTTTAGTCTCCGGAAAGTCAAGCTTAGCCAGGCTTGTGGGCTGGATGCTGGGTGCTGGTGTCATAGTAGATCAGTTGAAGGGACGGTGTTTTTCCAGGTTCTGGATGGAGCTCCAATCTTTTCTCTATTTCTAAATTCTCATGACTGCCTAAGGGCTAGGAGAGGCCTTAATCTTTGATTCATGGAATGTTGGAACCAGAAGGTCTCCAAGTGCTGTCGTGTTGTGACACTGAAGCACTGTTTATTGATTCCCTGGAAAGCCCTAACAAATATGACTGGTGCAGAATGCACTTTGGAAGGCCATCTAGTCGAATTAGGAGTCTTGTAATTCCATGTTCATGTCACCTGTGCGTGTGACCAGTGTACATATATGCACAGATTTGCGCATGAAGCAGGTGACTGGGGAACGAATGACCTATTTGCCAAAGCATTTGGAATATTCACTCCAAGACAGCAATTAGCAATAAATCCAGGTCTTTGAGCTGGTAATAATATCTACATGTATACAGTATTGATTGAGCTCTTATGATATGCTAGGCATTATCCTGCAGGCTTCATAAAGATTGTATTATTTAATGTTCACTATGATCTTATCAGATTGGGGCTGCTATTCTTCACACTTAATGAATGGGGAAACAAGGCTGAGAAAATTTAAGTAAAATTTAAATTTTCCGAACTCACAAAGCTGCTCATGTTAAAAACAAAATTTAAACCAAAGTAGTCCATCTGCAGAGCTGTGCATCTATCAAAAAAACTATACTGCTCCCCTACATGTGGTCTCTGTCCCAATGACATGGTGAATACTTTTCATTTTGCAATGAATTTCACTTAGTGTAGGTTAAGAACCAGGATTTTGGAGATTTAGTACTGCCTAGATTCAATCTCAGTTCTGTCATCTGTTGTTAGAATCTTGGCCAAGTTGATTAACCTCTGTGCCTTAGTTTCCTCGTCTATAAAATGGGGATAATAATGGTATCACTCTCACAAAGTTGTGATGATTAAATGAGAAAACATAAGCAAAGGTCTTAGAACATAGTAATGCTAGCCATTCTTAACTTTTTAGCTATTATTAGTAACAAACATGTATTGATTACCTACTGTATTTCAGGTATTAGGTTCTTAGACGTAGGCAGAGGAGAGGGACAGGATATTATGGTTAATAAAAAAAGATGTTATAGAGAGGGAAAGATATATTTTAAACCAATCATGATATAAAGTGTTATAATCCATAGTGGATCACTAAGAAAGGATTGACAGGCAGAGACAAAGTTGCAAAGGGAGGTTTGGGACCAGACTTGAAAGGATACAGAAACTGCAAGTGCTAAAGGGTTGGGACTTCATCCTGTGTAGGCAATGTAGGTAACCAAGGAGCTGAGGTGTTTTTAAAATAGTGGTTGGTGGCACAATCATTTAAGGGTTTTACTAACCACTGTCTGAACCCTATTTAGTTAAAGGTGAGTATTAGAAAAAGTTCTAAGAGAACAGAAATGGTCCTTATAAAAACAGTTTTGCCAGATTTTAAAAAAATTCTGTTTGCAAGCTGATCTGTAGATTTTATATAACATTAAAATATTCTCTGTACCAAAAAAGGACTTCAAATCATTTTATATCCTGATCCCACATGCATTGTGCAAATGACTCTCATTGACTTAATACATTTGGCATCCTCTAGCATGTATAAAACATGCTTTATAAATAGTAACATAGCCCGTGCTGCCAGGGCCTCCTCTTGACTCAGGCAAAGATGACAGTGTATTCTCTTAAGAATATGAGATAATGCATGAGGCAGTTCTTGCAATATGTATGCCAGAGAAGGTTTGAGCTGGGGCATAATCTCTAGGGAATGGGAATAATTTTAAAAGTCAAAGCTATGGTTGGCTGGTTTTTACAGCAATAAACCCAACCTGTTCCACCAGTTCCATTCTGCATGGTTGATTAAGTGACCAGCATGACCAGCCAGTCATTCTCTGCTGTGTATGCCCAGCTCAAACACAGAGAGCTAAATGAAGTGGAAAAAACCCACATTAATAAAGGAAGAGCTGAGGATGTGCAAGGATTTAGCACAAAATGTTCATCACAGTGTTAATTAAAATAGTAAGGATGCCCAACATTTGGTAAAGTGTTTGACTGTTATAGTACATCTGTAAGACTCACTACTTCGCAGTTATTGAAAAGGATGATCTATAAAAGAATATAATAACACAAAGGAATTATACCACAGTAAATGATGATTTTAAAAAGAAAGCTTCTAATACTGTATGCACAATAAAATCTTATTTTTTAAAAGAAAAAAGATTCATGTTTTAATAGCTATTATCTTTAGAGGTTGAGATTATTGGGGACTTTTGTTGTATTCTTTTGCTTATGTATACTATTTAATTTTTCTATAGTGAAGATCTATTAATTTTATATCAAAAGTTAAAAAAAAAAATCTTCCCCTCTCTTCCTGCGTGTTGCCTACAGAGGGAAAGCCATCTCCTTCTTGACACCATGGCTACCCTTAGACCCCTCGTGAAGCCCAAGATCATCTAAGATGGACCAAGAAGTTTATCCTTCACCAGTCAGACTGACATATCAAAATTAGATGTACGCATATAGCAGCAACCCAGAGGCATTGACAACAGGGTGGGGAGAAAAATCAAAGGCGAGACCTTGATCCCCAACATTGGTTGTGGGAGCAAAAAGAAGCAAAACACATGCTCCCCAGTGGCTTCCAAAAATTCCTGTTCCACGATGTCAAAGAGCTGGAAGTGCTGCTGATGTGCAACAAATCTTACTGTGCTGAGATTGCTCAACATGCTTCTCCAAGAACGGTTAAAGCCACTGTGGAGAGAGTAACCCGACAGCCCAGCAGAGTCACTAGTCCCAATGCCAGGCTGCACAGCAAGAAAAATTAATAGACAGCTCATGTACACATTTTATTTGTGTTAAATAAAACCATAAATACTCTGTCATCTGGCATCCTCCCCCTTAAAAACATACAAAAAATACAAAAACAAAAACCAAGAAAATCTAAATAAAAGAATAAAATATTTGTGGGTGCTTTATACATGTTGCTCATTTAGTTCTCACACCAGTCCTATGAGATGGTGTGGCAAAAACCATCAGTGTTCTCCCAAATCCATGTGTTTCATGGCATTTCCAGACTCCTTTGCAGTCAGATTGGTCATATAAAAGACTTCCGACAGATGAAATGTAGACATGAGTTATGCACCCCCTTCCAGCCTGGCCTTACAATAGCCTACAGTGCTTTTTGCTCTCTCTCCTTCTCTTCTTCATCACACTGAAAGCAAATAACTCCAACTCGTGGCCCAATTAAAGGAGCTCAAATGTTCAGAGAGCTGCCCAGGAAAACCACCTATCTTCACCCACTTTGTGCTCCCTCTCTCTTTCTGTCATGTGAGGATACAACAAAAAGTTGGCAGTCTGCACCCTTGAAGGGGGCCCACACTTGGACCCAAGTATGCGGGCACTCATCTCAGACTTACAGCCTCCTGAACTGTGAGAAATATATTTCTGTTGTTTGTAAGCTACCCCACGTAAGAATGTTTTATAGCACCCCAAACTGTCTAAGGCAGTGCATTTACAAGATTGATATTCACAGTCATTATTGGTATAATTGCATCAACATCTAACATATTTGTGATGTTTTCTATTTGTTGCCCTTGATTTTTCTTTTTATTTTTGTCTTTCACACTTTTTCTGCCTTTTATGGTTTTAATGAGCATTTTATCTCCTTTATCAGCATATCATTTGTAGTTCTTTTTTTTTACTTTTATTTATGGTTGTCCTAGAGTTTGCAGTAGACATTTATAACAAATCCAAGTCTACTTTTAAATTACACTATACTTCTGTAGTGCAAGTACCTTATAGTAACAAAATATTTGTAATTCCTGTCTTACATTCCTTTTATCATGTTGTTGTTCATTTCACTTATACATAAGCAAGTATATATGAATACATTGTTTGTGTTATTATTTTGAACAAGCTGTTAGAACAATTAAGAAAAAATAAAGAGTTGAAGAAAGATATAACATATTAACATTAATTAAAAGAAAGCAAGAATAGCTATATATTAATTTCAGACAGAATAGACTACAGATCAAGGAAAGTTATCAGGGATAAAGAGAGGAATTACGTACTGATAAAAGGGTCGAGTCTCCAAGACAGGGCAATCCTCAGTGAGTATGTGCCTAACAACAGGGAATTGAAATATGTGAGAAAAAGCTAATAGAACCGTGCAGGAGGATTATGGCAGGATGGCACTGTAGAAAGCACCAGGAATGTGTCTTCTCACCTAAACACCAATGGCACTAGCAGAATCTGGCTAATGTAATGGTTTTGGAACTCAGGAGTCTATTGAAGACTTAAAATTTTCAGGGGAAGGCTTGGATGGTAAATGCTGGTTAATTTCAATCAATTTCTGCTGTTAGCACAGTAGCAGTTACCCATCCCCCATCCCTCAGCTCTGGGACAAGTAGCTGTGCACATGTTCCTGGAACAGCCTGCAAACAACTTGCAGAAGCCAGGTTGGGTGAAAAGGATTCTGTTCTCAAATATCCTGGATTGGTACCCTTCTGATCTCAGAGATGCAGATGAAGAAGAAGCCATTGTTGTTGCATTTCCAAGCATTGTTGCGAGTCCCTTCCCCCTTGGCTGATGTGACTTCCAGCAGAATGTAGTATACCACATTAACAAAATGAAGAAAAGGTCACGTGATCATTTCAATTGATGCAGAAAAAGCACTTGACAAAATTCAACACCCTTTCATGATAAAAACATTCCACAATGTAGGAATAGGAGGAAAAATTACCTCAACATATGAAAGTCATATGTGAAAAATTCACAAGGCACATCATACTCAATGATGAAAGACTTAAAGCTTCTCCTCTAAGATCAGGAATAAGGGAAGTATACCCACTTTTATCATTCTATTCAACAGCATACTGGAAATTCAGCAAGAGCAATTAGGCAAGAAAAAAAAAATAAAAGGCATCCAAACTGGAAAGGAAGAAGTAAAATTATCTCTGACACAGATGATATAATCTTATATGTAGAAAGCCCTAAAGATTTCTTAAAAACACTGTTAGAACTAATAACTGAGTTCAGCAAAGTAACAAACAAAACTCAATTGCATTTCAATACACTAATAATGAACAATCTGTAAAGGAAATGGACAGATCCAACAGGCAGAAAATCAGCAAGGACTAGTCCAACTCAACAACAGTATCAATCAAATGGATATAAGGGCCTCTGTAGACTACATCATCCAACAACAACGCAGTACACAAACTTCTCAAGCTCACATGGAATATTTTCTAAGAGAGACCACATTTTGGGGCATAAAACATGCTTTAATAAAAATGAAAGAATATAAATTGTACAATGTCTTCTCATAACACAATAGAATTAAACTAGAAATCTATAACAGAAAGATAGCTAGAAAATACTGAAATACTTAGAGATTAAACAACATACTTCTAAATAACACCTGGGTCAAGGAAGAAATCACAAGAGAAATTTTAAAATACTTTGAAGTAAATGAAAATGAAAACACGACTCATCAAGATTTGTGGGACGCAACAAAATCAGTGCTTAGAGGAAAATTTATAGCATTGAAGGCATATATTGGAAAAGAAGAAAGAACTAAAATAAATAATCTAAACTTCCACTTTAGGGAACTAGAAAAAGAAGAGCAATAGAAATCCAAAGTAAGCAGAAAAGAAATAATAAAAATTAGAGCAGAAATCAATTAAATGGAAAAGAAGAAATCAAGTGAGAAAATCAACAAAACTGAAAGCTTGTTTTTTGAGAAGATGAACAAAATTGAGACGTCTCTAGCCATATTAGCAAATAAAAAAAGAGAGATAATACAAATTACTAATACAAAAAATGAAAGAGGGAATATTATTATAGTTCCCATGGACGTTAAAAGGACAATAAAGAAGTACTATGAGAACAACTCTATGCCTATAAATTTGATAACCTAGATTAAATGTACCAACTCATTGATAGACTCAAGTGGCCAAAATACACACACAAGAAGGAACAGACAATCTGAATAGACATATATATATGTGTGTGTGTGTGTGTGTGTGTATAGATGTTTATATGTATACATGTATCTATACATACATATACAATATATGTGTGTCTATATATATGTATACATATATATTTAAAATTTGAATCAATAATTAATAACCTTCCAGGCCAGGTGCAGTGGCTCACACCTGTGATACCAGCACTTTGGGAGGCCGAGGCAGGCAGATCACCTGAGGCCAGGAGTTGGAGACCAACCTGGGCAACATGGTGAAACACTGTCTGTTCTAAAAATACAAAAATTAGCAGCGAGTGGTGGCACATGCCTGTAATTCCAGCTACTTGGGAGGCTGAGGCATGAGAATCGCTTGAACCCGGGAGGCAGAGGTTGCAGTGAGCCGAGATGGCACCACTGTACTCCAGCCTGAGCAAAAGAGAAAGACTCTGTCTCAAATAATAATAATGATAATTATTATTGTTATTATTAACCTTCCAAAACAGAAAGAAACAGGTCCATATGGGTTCACTGGTAAATTCTACCAAAAATTTATGGAATAAATTATACCAATTCTACAATATTTTCCAGAAAATAGAAGCAGAGGGACTACTTCCCACCTTATTCTATGAGGCCAGCATTATCCTAATACCAAAACCAGACAAAGACATTACAGAAAAACAAAACTACAGAACAGTATTTCTCATGAACATAGATACAAAAATCCTCAATAATATATTAGCAAATAGAATCCAATAACAAGAATTATACGCCACAACCAAGAAGTATTTATTCCAAGTGTGCAAGCCTGGTTCAACATTTGAAAATCAATTAATGTAATCTACCACATCAACAACTAAAGAAGAAAAATCACACAAGCATACCAATTGATGCAGGTAAAGCATTTGACAAAATCCAGCACTCACTTATAAAAACTCTCAGTAATCTAGAAATAGAAGAGAACTTCCTCAACTTAATATAGAATATCTACAAAAACCCACAGTAAACATCATATTTAATGTTGGGAAACAAAGATTCCTGCCAAGATCAGGAACAAGGTAAGAATATACCCTTTTACCTCTCCTTTTCAACATTATACTTGAAGTCCTAGCTAATACAATAAGATAAGAGAAGAAAATAAAAGGTATGAAGACTAGGAAGAAAGAAATAAAACAGTCTTTGTTTACAGATTATGTAATTCGCTATCTAGAAAATTTAGAGGATCAACAAAAAAGTCTCCTGGAACTAAAAAATGAGTATAGCAGTTTTGCTGAATACAATGTTAATAGACAAACGTCAATAGTTTTTCTATATACTAACAATGAACAAGTGGAATTTGAAGCTAAAACATACTACCATTTATGTTAGCACCCCCCAAAATGAAATACTTAGTTATAAATCTAATAAAATATGTGAAAAACTTATATGAGAAAAACTGCAAAGCTCTGATGAAAGAAATCAAGGGGGAAATAAGTAAATGTAGAAATATTTCATGTTCATGGATAGGAAAACTGAATATTGTAAAAATGTTGATGTCAGTTCTTTCCAACTTGATCTATAGATTCAGCACAATTGAAATAAAAATCCCAGCAAGTTATTTTGTGGATATTGACAAACTAATTCTAAAATTTACATAAAGAAGCAAAAGATTCCAAATAGCCAATTCAACATTGAAGGAAAAAAACAATCAGAGAAATGATGCTGTCTTTAATACTTATTGTAAAGCTACAGTGATCAAGACAATGTGGTATTAGCAAAGAATAGACAAACAGATCAATGAAACAAAATGGAGAACTCAGAGATAGACCCACATAAATGTAGTCAACTGATCTTTGACAAAGGAGCAAAGGCAATACAATGGAGAAAAGATAGTCTTTTCAGCAAATGGTGTTGAAATAATTGGACATCTACATGCAAAAAATCTAGACAAAGACTTTATGCTCTTATAAAAATTAACAGAAAATGGATTATAGACCTAAATATAAAATGCAAAAATAAAAAACTCCTAGAAGATAATGTAGGTGAAAATCTAGATGAATTTGGATATGGTAATGACTTTGCAACACCAAAGGCAAAATTCATGAAATAAAGAATTTGATAAGCTGGACATTATTAACATTTGAAACTTCTGCTCTGTGAAAGACAATTCAAGAAAATGAGAAGATAAGCCTTAAACTAGGAGAATATACTTGCAAAAGACAGATAAAAGACTGTCATCCAAAATATAAAAGAACTCTTAAAACTCAACATAAGAACTCAAACAACCCAATTACAAAATGGGTCAAAGACCTTAACAGACATGTCACCAAAGAAGATATACAGATGCCAAATAAGCATATGGCAAAATGCTATATACATCATATATCATTAGAAAAATACAAATTAAAACAATAAGTAAACACTAACTATGCACCTATTAGAATGGCCAAAGTCCAGACAATTGATAACACCAAATGCTGGCAAGGATGTGGAGCCACAGGAACTCTCATTCATTGCTCCTGGGAATGCAAAATGGCACAGCCACATTAGAAGACAGTTTAGCAGTTTCTTACAAAACTAAACATACTCTTACCATATGATCCAGCAATCATGCTGCTTGGTATCTACCCAAAGGAAATGAAAATTTATATCCACTCAAGAACCTGTACATGGATATTTACAGCAGCTTTATTCATAATTGCCAAAACGTGGAAGCAACCAAGATGTCCTTCAGTACGTGAAAGGATAAACTGTCATAAACTGTGGTACATCCAAATTATGGAATATTATTCAGTGCTAAAAGGATATGAGCCATGAAAAAACATGAAGGAAACTTAGATGTACATTATTAAGTGAAAAAAAGTCAATCCCAAAAGGCTATATACTGTAGATTTCCAGCTATAAGACATTCTGGAAAAGGCAAAACTATGGAGACAGTAAAAAGATCAGTGGTTGCTAGTGGTTAGGGAGGAGGGAGAGATAAACATGTGGAGCACAGAGGATATTTAGGGCAGTGAAACTGCTCCGTATGATACTATAGTGGTGGGTATATGTCATTATACATTTGTCCAAACACATAGAATGTACTACAGCAAAAATGAATTATATTGTAAACTATGGACTCTGGGCGATAATGATGTGTTAATGTAGGTTTACCAATTGTAACAAAGGTACGATTCTGGTGAGATGTTGATAATTGGGAAGGCTGTGCATGTTCAGGGCAGGAGTTGTTAGGAAACCTGTACCTTCTACTAAATTTTGCTTTGAACCTAAAGCTACTCTAAAAAAAATTTATTAAAAAGAGATAATCCTTCACTATGTTAAGCCATCAAGACTTCAAGCTGTTTGTTTCAGCAGCATAGCCTATCCTACCTTAACTAATATAGGTTTATATTATTGTTATCTCATTTTACAGGTGATGTAACTAAGGTTCAGATTGTCTTAGTCAGTTTTGTATTGCTGTAGTAGAATATCACAGGCTGGGTAATTTATAAAGGAAATAACTTTATTTCTCACAATTTTGGAAGTTGAAAAGTCCAAGATCAAGGTACTGGCATCTGGTGAGGGCCTTCTTGCTGCATCATCCCATGGCAAAATGAAAGAGGGTGAGACAGGGCAAGAGAGAAAGAGAGAAAGCAAGAATGAACTCACTTTTATAACAAACTCACTCTCATGTTAACAAACCCACTCCTTAGATAACGACATTAATCCATTCATGAGCATAGAGCCTTCATGACCTAATCACCTCTTAAAGGTCCCACTTCCCAACACTGTTGCATTGGAGGTTAAATTTCCAACACATGAACTTTAGGAGATACATTCAAGCCATATCAGAGAAAAAGCAACTTTTCTAAAATTGCAGAACTATATACAGGGTAAAATTGGAACTAACCCAATGCCTGTTACACTCTAAAGCCATAGACTCTACAACCGCCTATAGAGAGTTATACTTTATTTCCCAGGATGTGAATGCTTTCAACATATGGTGATTTTTAGAGTGATTGTTAGCTATACCCACGGGCTGATGGGGGTGTATATAAAAGCTTGAGGTACATAAAAATCATTTGAAGTGCTGGTTTTTAAAATGCCAGTTCCAGGACCCCATTCTCATAGATTATGATTCAGTAGCTCAGGGAAAGGAACATGGAATCTGCATTAAACAAATACTAAAGAACAAACCAGTGCCCACAGATTTATAAGGTAGTTAACCTCAGTGATAGACAAGAGCCATCTTTCTGGCTTTTTTGCCCATGACCTCATCTGATGTTTGGGGACATTCTCCCTTCTTTTGTATCTTACACCACCACCCACCACAGAAGCTGAAAAATAACAATCACACGTGTTCCCAGATCTCAGGTGAATGACCTAGGCTTAGCCTCTCAGACACACCTGCCCCACACTTGGAACCAAAGTTAGTGAAGGAAAGAAGTAGACTTGAGAGGAGCCCTGTGATAATCTTGTGACTCAGTGGGCCAAGCAACAGTGCTGGTAGAATCCTTCCCAGAGAAGTCCTGGGGTGAGGTTTTAGGATCATTCTGGACATAGATCGCTCCAAACCCAGTTCTTCTGCTTTCTTGCCATTTCTGTGAGCTACTCAAAACCCTTTTCACAGTTCAGCTTAAATCCACCAGAGTGGATGGTGTGCTGTTGCTTACTATTAAGAACTCTGACTGTGAATTGAAATTGCAGCCAAGAGTGTTTGGATATTTCATTCACACCTTGAATACATGCAACCACCCCCCCACCCCCAACTCTCTTTCCCCAAGACTATAATGATACTTCCTTCATCTTATTCTACCTTTTCCCTGGCCCTCTCAATTATTTTGTAGACAAACCTCAGGAGACCCTCTCTGGCAAAGGCCGAATTCTCTCATGGTGGGGCTCTAAAATGATTAGTGTTGAACGGGCAAAGACAGAATCCACTTGAAAGAGCTTGGAGAGGAAATCTGAGAATGTGCATATGTATATAAATTTTTTGTCACATATTCTAAAAGTGAATGAGGCCACCTCCCCCATTCTTCTGCTGCTTCACACTGCCTTATAGCTAGAAGTAGAATGGATTTTGCACAGGGAAATCCAGAGTCTCCATATAGCCTTGTTGTGCTGCTTATGAGAGCAGGATGAGCAGACGATTGGAGCACTCACAACCCAAACACTTGCACTCTAGAAAAGCATAAGGTGTAGAAACCCCAGGACACATTCCCGGTTGTGTAAGAAATACTTTCCTTTGTTTTTCTTTGACAACTGAATTCATATTTTAGCTTTCATCCTGCCTGGTGGCAGAAAACTTAATCTCAGTCAATTCAGAGTTCCCTTTTCTCCCTGAGTTTGTGGCTAAGTTCCAGGAGGCTTATGTCACAGCTTTGGGAAAGGACATCTGGCTCTTGGTAATCATCTATGAGGCTGGCATCTGCTAAGATTCACAGCATTTTCTCTCCTCTTCAGTCCATAGGTGTGCTGTTATCCATCCCCATTTCTGACATCTGGGCCTCCCCAAGTGTGGCTCTTTTTTATTCTCTCAGCCTACTTTTTGGTCTACTTTTCCATGTATCTCCCCTCTCTGCTTGTGAGTATGTGGGACTTCTACGAGGCTGCTTTAGGCCCCTCATCTGAGACACCCCATAGAACCATCTTTACTGGTCACCCCTGTGTCCTGCTAGTGCAGGATCAACCAGGGAGGCTTACCACCCCCCAGGTTCTACATGGAAAGCAAGAATAGATGCCCTGTGCACGTGGATTCCTCAAACCTAGTTGGGATTCTGTCACTCCTCCTTCCACCCCCAGGGAAGGCAGGGAAGGGGTGAGAGGGGGAGAGTGAGGGAGGTGGGAGAATGATAAGGGGACCTCTTCATGGGCCCAGCTTTTTATACTTCCCTCCAGTCCTCTTCTGCCATTAATCCAGGAAATATGTAGAGCTAGTTTGGAGGGTGGGTAAAACTGGCTCTGAGCCATTATGTGTTCTTTGAAATCTTTTGTCCTATGTCCTGTGCTCTTTCTGGTCCCTGCTGTGGCTTAGGCATTTAGACCTAAAAAAGCTTCTCTCCCTCTCTGCTGTGTAGTTCCTACCCTGAGACAAAGTACACCGCACTCCCCACAAGCTGGAGTGGGAGGAAGAGCCGCAGGAAAATCCTGGGCTAGGGTGGGCACCCAGTGGTTATCTTAAAACATTATTTCACAACAGGGGTCCGATATGAAATGTACTGCTGAGAGTTTTTTTTTTTTTTTTTTTTTTTTTTTTTTTTTTGAGACGGAGTCTCGCTCTGTCGCCCAGGCTGGAGTGCAGTGGCGCGATCTCGGCTCACTGCAAGCTCCGCCTCCCGGGTTCACGCCATTCTCCTGCCTCAGCCTCCCGAGTAGCTGGGACTACAGGCGCCCACTACCACGCCCGGCTAATTTTTTGTATTTTTAGTAGAGACGGGGTTTCACCTTGTTAGCCAGGATGGTCTCGATCTCCTGACCTCGTGATCCGCCCGCCTCGGCCTCCCAAAGTGCTGGGATTACAGGCGTGAGCCACCGCGCCCGGCCTTTTTTTTTTGCTTTTTATAAATTTCCAAGAACGTCATGCTCCTCCTACCCATTCTTCCCAGCTAAACAGTCATTAGATTATAAGACAGGCATTCAGAAGGGTTAATGGAATTGATCCTTTTGATAATGTCTATTTACTAAAAGAACAGAGATTGTCTTATTTTTATGTACTCTATATATGTAACTTTTATGTACATTTGAGATTAATTGCTATGAAATGAAGTACACCATTTTCCTCTTCTTGACTTTCATATAAATGACATCATGGAGTATGTACTTTATTGTGTCTGGGTTCTTTTGCTAAGCTTAATATTTGTGAGATTCACTTATGTCATTCTGTATATTTTTCATTACTGTGTAGTATTCCATTGTATAAATAGGCTAGGGTTTATTTACCTATTCTTCTGTTGGTGGACATTTGGATTGTTCCCAATTTTTGGTTATTATGAAAAAAGCTGCTATGAACATTCTTGTACATGTCTTCTAGTAGACACAGGCTTCATTTCTCTTGGATATACACTTAAGAGTGGGATTGCTGGGTCAAAAGATAGTTATGTGTTTAGCATTGCTACATAATGCCAAACAGCTTTCCAGGACTTGTAGGGATTTATACTGTCACCATCAATATGAGAGTTTCAGTTTCTTGACATCTTAACCAATAATTCGTATCATCGGTCTTTAAATTTAGCCATTCTGATGAGTATATAGTGTTATTTCATTGTGGTTTTAATTTCCATTTCCGTTATGAGTAATAATGCTGAGTACTTTTCCATATGTTTATTAGACAATTAGGTATTTGAATATCCTCCTTTGCCATGTGTCTGTTCATGTCTTTTGACTTTTCTTGTTTCTTCATTTTTAGAGACAGAATCTTACTCTGTTGCCCAGGCTGGAGTGCAGTAGAGCAGTCATAGCTCACTACAGCCTAAAACTCCTGGGCTCAAGTGATCCTCCTTCCTCTGACTCCCAAGTAGCTAGAACTACAGGTGCTTGTGTGCCACCACACCAACTAATTTCTTTGCTCATTTATTATTTAGGTGTCTTTTTTCTTATTGATTTATAGGAATTCTTTATACATTCTGGATGTAAGTCTTCTGTTGGATATATGCATTGCAAATATTTTCTCCCAGGCTATGGCTTGCATTTTCACTCCTTTAATGGTGTCTGACTTTTGATGAGTAGAAGTTCTTAATTTTAGTGATGTCCAATTAATTAACGTTTTACAGTTAGTGCTTTTTGTGTCCTATTTAATCTCTGCTTAATCCAAGTTCATGAAGATATTATTCTGTGTTTCTTCTAGAAGCTTTATTTTTTCATCCTTCACATGTAATTTTTACTATCAATCTCAAAATAATATTTGTGTCTGATGTAGAAGGCAAAGTTCTTTTTTCCATATGGATATACAATTGCTATAAAACCATTACTGAAAAGATTCTACTTTTGCCTTTGTGTTGTTATTGCATATCAAGTAACTGTATGTATGTGGGTATATTTCTAGGCTTTCTAGTTTATTTTGTTGATGTATTTGCCTGTCCTCAGGCCAGTACCACACTGTATGAATCACTGTGGCTTTATAGCAAATCTTGAAATTTGGTTGTGTAAATCCTTCAACTTTGTGTTTTTCTTCAGGGTTGTCTTGATTATTCTAGGCCATTTGCATTTCCATGAAAATATTATGAATTTCCACAAAAAAATCTACTAGAATTTGATTGGAATTTCATTGAATCTGTAGGTCAATTTGGGAAGAACTGACATCTTAACACTTGAATATCTAATTCAATTTAGCAAGGTTACTGGATAAATCTATGTATATTCCACTATGTTGTCTGATTAAAAACAGTGTCACTTCTTCATTTCCAACCTTTATATATATTTTTTTCTTGCCTTAATGAACTGGTTATTTCCTCCAACATAATGCTTAATACTAGTGGTGATAGTGGGCATTCTTGTCTTATTTCTGGCCTTGGGGGTAAGGAGATCACTATTTTACCATTTATGTAATGTTAACCTTAAGAATTTTATAGGTACTCTTGATCAGATTAAGGAAGTTCCCATCTTATCCTAGTTTACTAAGAGATTTTATCATGCATAACTTGAATTTTGTCAAATGCTTTTTCTGCATATATTGAGGTGATATTATGATTTTTCTCTTTTATTTTGTTAATTTGGTGAATTACTTTGATCAATTATTGAATAATAATCAGTTTTATAGTTTCGTAAAGCTTCACTTGGTCAATGTATAATCTTGTTTCTTTATCAATAGATTCAATTTATTAATGTTATCTTGTTTGGGATTGTAATGTCTTTGCTCTTAAAACATAGTGGCCTATAATAGTCCTTTCTTAGAATGTCCTTGGCAGTTTTTGATATTAGAATTATGCTGGCCTCATAAAACCCCCAAATTTGGAATTGTTTCCTCATTCTTCTTGAAAAGTATATTAATTTTCCCTTAAGTATTCAGAAAAATTTATCAACAAAGCCATCCGAACGTACAGTTTTGCTCTGTTTTCTGGGGTGGGGCAGGCTTTTAATTACAGATTTGGTTTTTAAAATCAATATAGGATTACTTATTTTTCCTATTTCCTCTTGCGTCAGTTTAAATAATTTACATTTCTCAAGGAATTTGTTCATTTCAACAATGTTGTAAAATTTTTTGGCATTTTGTTTTTAAAATTTAGGATCTGTAGTTATACTTCTTTTAAAGTTCCTGACATAGGTAATTTGTGATTTTTTTTCCTTCTTAATTTTATAGTCAGAATTTATCAATTTTATTGCTCTTTCCAATAAAACAATTTTTTGTGTTATTCATATTTTGTTTCTACCTCCATTTCTATTTCATTGATTTCTCCTTTTTTCTTTATTTCCAGTCTTTTTGTTTTTTGGTTTGTTTCATTTGTATTTCTTTTTCTTGCTTCTTGAGATGGAAACCCGGTCTGGGTTGTATACCATGATGGTACACAAAATAGTACAAGGAGTTGATTTTATATTATACTGAATCACATACTAAGAAATGTATTCTTTTAAATTATCTTTCAGTCCTTCTAATTAAATCAAGAAGAGTTTCCACTTGAAAGTTTTAACAGTTCTCTAATTCTTGCCTATCTTGCTATTTTTCTTGTTTAAACAGAGAACAGGCCCAGGCTCAGAGCTTTTATCAAGCCCCAGGATGGAGCTAAAAGTTAACAACATTGTTTGGTTTGCATGGCACTAATTTTCAAGTTAGTTTCTGTTTATGGCAAATACTCCTGGTTTTCTACCCATGGGAATGATATAAGATCTCTTTTTAAAATATATGTATCTAAGTAAAAGACAAATTAGTTTAAAGAAAACTATTAATATGTTGAGGCAAGTACAGTGAAAGGATACTTGAATGACTGCGTTTGGAACATGCAATTCAATACTATTGCAAGGTGTTTGTTATTATCTTCCAAAAAGCTTCTATTCCAGATTATAGTATTCCAGTGCCTTCTCTGCCTTTGATACAGAAACCATTGGCCCCTCAGGGAGACAAACCTTTATTTGGTTTTAAAATCATATCTTTTTCCTTGGGCATTTCTTCAGGTGTAGAGCACACAACTGAAACCAGCAATGAGAGCTGTTTAAAGTTTTTTTGTAGTATTCGTTTTTCCTTAGGGCTTTTATTTTTTTATTTTTATTTTTATTTTATTTATTTATTTATTTTTTTTTTTTTTTGAGTCGGAGTTTCACTCTTGTTGCCCAGGCCGGAGTGCAATGGCATGATCTCTGCTCACTGCAACCTCCGCCTCCCAGGTTTAAGCAATTCTCCTGCCTCAGCCTCCCGAGTAGCTGGGATTACAGGCATGTGCCACCATGCCTGGCTAATTTTATATTTTTAGTAGAGACGGGGTTTCTCCATGTTGGTCAGGCTGGTATCGAACTCCTGACCTCAGGTGATCCACCCGCCTTGGCCTCCCAAAGTGCTGGGATTACAGGCGTGAGCCACTGCACCTGGCCCTTTTCTCCCTTTTTTAAAATTGAGATGGGCGGGGTCTCACTATGTTACAAATATTGTAAGATGTTAATTGTAGAATCTAGGTGGTAGATACATCTGTGCTCACTGTAAGTTTCTTTCAACTTCTATATATGATTGAAAATTTTTATAACAAGAGATTGGGAAAAAATCTAACCCATTTTGTGTTTTCCAAAGGAAGCATGTAGAAAATAGGACTTTTCAGATCTGCATGCAGTGGTGGTGAAATGGTCTATTTGGGTCCCTAAACAGCGTCCAGCACATCATGAAGGTTCATTGATTGCTGCTGTGTTGCATGTTTGTAAACTCACAGTTGTCTGACTCACCACCTGTGATTCTACCTGGGAGGCTGGCAAGGCAGATGTTACCACCACCATTGTTCTCTCTTTTCTTTTAAGATTAAAACCATTTTATTTTGTCTCTAATACATTTCTCCCCAAGTTGATAGATGCAGCAGTAACCAATAGTAAAATAGTCATCCATACAATTCATCTTCTTACAGAGAATCATGACTTTACAAACACAGACTTACAATCTATCGGGAAAGAAGAAGGCTGTTTTTAGAGAGCAAGCCCCTTGTAAACCTGACTTTGTTGTAAAGTACTGTTCTTTTTATATAATGTTAAATTTGATGTGCTTAAATTTTATTAAACATTTTTATATCTGGGTTTTTTGTTTTGTTTTGTTTGAGACAGAGCCTTGCTCTATCACCCAGGCTGGAGTGCAATGGCATGATCATGACTGACTGCAGCCTATGACTGCAGCCTAGAGAACTTCTGAGCTCAAGTGATTCTCCTGCCTCAGCCTCCTAAATAACTAGGACTACAGGTGTACATCACCACACCCAGCTCATTTTTTAAAAATTTGTTTTGTAGAGACAAGGTCTTACTATGTTGCCCAGGCTGGTCTCAAACTCCTAGGCTCAAATGATCCTTCTCCTTCAGCTTCCCAAAGTCCTGGTATTACAGACATAAGCCTCTGAGCCTGGCCCATTGTTCTCTTTTTGTAAATAAAGAAACTAAGCCTCTGAACTAAGTAATGATGACCTTAGGGGATGCACCAGGCCTCTGATTCCCTTTTTGCTGAGTGCTGCTCTGAGTTATCAGGGTGAAAACTATCTGATAAGGAATCTATTTAGCCAAGGTATTGGTGATTCAAAAGTGTTAAATATGCTTCTCCCAAGGGTTTTTGTATTTTTTAAAAAGATCAGTAGAGCAATAACTAAGCCAGTGAAATAACTAAACCTTTAACTGTGTAATTTCAGTCATAGTCAATGGAGACTGTTGGGACAGGGTGGGCAGAAGATGGGAAAGGAGAGGGCAATTGGCCAGTTGCCAATCACACCCTGTAAGGAATGAGCTTCTCCATTCACATGCAAAGCTAGCATTGTCAAAAAAAAAACCCATCAGCTGAGGATTTTTTTGTATTGTGGTAAATCCTTTAAATTGCAAGCACAAGTTATTAATTTTATTTACATTTTAAAATGTATATTTATGACAGAAAATCCACCTTTAAATTAAAGGTATTGATATCCATTAGGTCTGATGCAGATTTCCAAATTTTATTTATCAGTAAATAATATAGCATCAGCTTTTTGAGAACAGATACAGAAGACGAAGTGCCCATATTTATTAAATGAAAGTAAATTATCATTCTAAAAGCAAGGTTTGAGCAACGTTCTCGCTGGTTTGGTTTTGCAGATATTTATGGACTCTAAGTGGGAATTGAGGTCTTATAAGCAAAGCAGGAAAAGTCAATTGACCTGAGCTTCCATAACTTTTTTAACTCAGGCTTGTTGTCACAACACTACTGACAGTACGAAGCGTGCACTCTGTTGCAACGTCAGATGAAGTGTTCATTTAATTAGAAATTAAAATTAGAGCATTAAAAGTTTGAAATTTTTCTGATGTTTCACAGCCTATTTTTAATAACCCAATATTCTAGCACACTCAAAAAATCTGGGTGAGATTACTTTAAATATAGATACATCACCAAGACCTGAGAGAGCATATAATGAGGTGTAGGGTTTCCCAACAAGGAGAAGGGGAAGCATGAACCCCCAGATAGGGCAGAGAACTACTGCTTGGATAGAAGGCAGTGCATGCAGGCTTTCTTAAGATATACTCTGCACCCCTCTACCTCTACAAGACTTTTACCAGCTTTGAGATATAATTCACCTATAAAATTCACCCACTTTAAGTGTACAATTCAGTGGCTTTTAATATTTATAGAGGTGTGCAGCCATCACTACAATCTAATTTCAGAACATTCTCATCATCTCCAAAAAAACCTTGTACCCATTAGCAGTCACTCCCCTTTCCACCTCCCTTGAGCCACTGGCAACAATTAATTTCCTTTCTGTCTCCATAGATTTGCCTATTCTGGGTATTTCATATAAATTGAATCACACAACACCTGGATGTTTATGACTGGCTTCTTTCACTTAGCGTAACGTTTTCAGGATTCATCCATGGTGTGGCGTGTGTGAGTAATTCATTCCTTTTTATTGCTGAAAAATATTCTCTGGTATGGATAACCCACAGTTTTATCCATTCATCAGTTTGTGGACATTTGGGCTATTCCCACTTTTGGGCTATTATGAATTAATGCAGCCATAAGTATTTGTATACAGGTTTATTCATAAACATAGGCTTTCATTACTCCTAAGTATATACGTAGGAGTAGAACTGCTGGGTCATATGATAACTCTATGTTTAACATTCTGAGGAAATGGCAGGCTGTTTTCCAAAGTGGCTGCACTATTTTACATTATGATCAGCAATGTATGGAAATCCAAGTAATGCTGACTTTAAACCTCAGAGATCTTCACTAGCAAGACTGGAAAAGATGGCTTGGACCCAGAAGATCGTGAGTCCAGAAATCCCCAATTGCCAACTGCTGCCATATAAGACCTGTAGATTCTCGATATTCAAAGTGTGGATCTTGAATTCATAGCATCTCCATCACCTGGAACCTTGTTAAAAATGCAGAATCTTAGGCCCCATCCAAGATCTACTGAATCAAAATAATTTTGGTAAGAATTACAATGATCCATATGCAAATAGTTTGAGAATTACTGCCATAGAAAGCTTAAAGTAGATTTTAAAACTGCACTGCAGAAGGCCTCCCTGGGTACCTGTGCCAGATGGAGCTGATGAGTGCTGAAGATTGGCTCATGGAAAAACAGTCATGCAGGCAAATTTATCTCCAGTGTCTCCAAGCTAACCCCCTCAATTCTAATTCTTTCCTTTTATATTTTGGATCCCCTTTTTGCCTTTTTCTTTTTTATAACCAGTACCTTTTTCTCTTACCCCTCTCCCATAGCACAACATGATCTGTGCAACACTCCATCACACCACAGGGAACAATAGCATCTGTGGTGTCCACAATTTATATTTTTTGTGCAATTAAAAAATGAGAAGGCCTAAGCCCTTTGGAGAAAACTGAATAGCCTGGGATGCCCGGGGCTTTTTCCAGGTCCTGAAATTAGACCAGAGATTACCTTTATTATTTATATCCTCTATCCTGCATAGTGCTGAAAATAATTGAAGAATTGAAACGACGATAGGAAAAAATATGAAAAAGCCACCAGGGGTAGGTTTTGTGTACCAAATCCATGCCATATTGCTAGAAACAGGTTGCAAATTTGGCTGTAGCAGCCAACAAGATCAGAAAAATACTATGAATTATGTATTCAGTGTCTATAAGATAGAAACCAATCAGCTGCTCAAGAGTTGTGCAGCCATTCCTGGTGCGGAGGTTAAAGAGAATTTTTCTCTTCAATCCTCAAATTTTCAGGTAGGAACAGACAGATCCAATCACATGAAACCTCAATGAGTTGACATCCTCTTAAGAAAACCAAGTACTCTAACGTGAGCACCTTGGGTCAGCATAAGCGTGAACCAAAAAGAGTATCTCAGGCAGTGCCTGGCATCAGGACCACTCTAACATACCCACATGTAGGTAACTGAGGCTCCATATAAATAAAAAGTGCTGTGTAAGTGACTGCCAGGATATTGCTAGTCTAGTGAGCTAATCTTTTTTCTTTTTTTCAACTATTTCTCTCCTAAAAATAAAAAAAGAAAAAAAGAAAAAAGAAAACAAAAACCTTAAGATCCAGACAACTGGGTCAAAAGATGTGTTCTCTTTTACCTAATAGGGAAACTTGCCTTTGCTTTCTTAGCTTAAATCATCTGAGAACGTTGGGAGTGACAGGGACCTTGGAGATCATCTAGGTTATTCTCCACATGTCACCAAGCCAGAAAGCTCTGGAAATTGGCTGCCTCCATGGGACAGTCATCGCAGACTTTGCCAAAGCAAAAGTGCTGATGTCACTCATCATACTAGCAGTTGGCTGCTAAGTGATTAAGATAAAAGGGGCCAAGCTAGTGAAAGCTTGTGGGGGTAAGGAAGGAGGGCACAATGTGACTTACATGCAAGAAGAGTTTGTATAATGGAAAGAGTACTGGGCTTTTATTGACTATGTGACCTTGGGCATTAATCTCCTTGGATTTTCCTCACCTACAATAAATAATCTAAGCAGTTAACACTTACTGTGTTCTTAGTACTTCATATGAACTGTTCATGTTGAAACTTCACAATAATCTATCAGCCAGGGCCTACTATTTTCTCCATTTACAGATGAGAAAACTGAGGCACAACGAGGTTAAGTTACTTGCCCAAGGCCACTCAATCAAATTCAGGCAGTCCAACTTCAGAGTCTGAGCTTTGTCAACTGAGAGGGTCAAAGAGATGAATGCTAAAGACCCTTTGCACCTGTGCTATTAATTTTTCCCTCCTGTTAAATTGGGATAATAATAAAGTTGTTGCCAAGATTATGAGATAATGCAGGTTAAGTCCTTAGCGCAGTGCCTGAAGCATAAGTGCTCAGTAAATGTCAGCTATTACTATTGTTCATACTTGTACTCTTGCCATTAACATTTTATGGAACAAATCACTTCTGTCATCTCAACAGCTGCCTGAGTGCACAGTTATTCCAACTAAACTGATTAATAAATTCAAACAACGAGTCAATTTAATCATAAAATCAAGCAAGCCTGAATTGATGCTGGAGTGAATTGCCTAGTTAGTCTTAAGCGGTGCTGTCTGATAGAACTTTCTGTGATAATGAAAATGCTCTATATGTGTGCTGTCTGATACAGTAGCCAGTAGCTGCACGCGCCTCCTGAGCACTTGAAATGTGACTTGAATGTGACTTGAAAGTGACTCAGCACTTTCAGTGCCTGAGGCACTGAAAATTTAATATATTTAATTTTACTTAATTTACATTTTTATTTTAGTCACCTCATGTGGCTAGTGGCTGCCATGTTGGTCAGTTCAGGCAAAGCCTAGATGGCAGCCAGAAACCCTTGGTGAGGGGACGCCAAGGTGTCAGGCACAAGAAGGAAATCCAGGAACTCTCTGGCCACAACTGTTTTGTTAACAGATGTCTTAAAGAATCACAAATATTCTAATGCTGGGGGTTCCCTCCCCCTGGTATGTGGGAATGTATATTTTGGGGGAGAGGGCAGGAAAGAAGACAATTCCACTTTCCTCACCAGGATGCCCCCAGTGAATTCTCAGTAGATTTTAATTCCTTATTGTTGTTAAAAATCATTTTGGGCATTTGGTTTTCTCTTCTTGTGTTACTTTGCTGAGAATGATGGTTTCCAGTTTCATCCATGTCCCTGCAAAGGACATAAACTCATCCTTTTTTATGGGTGCATAGTATTCCATGTATACCTATGTAACAAACCTGCACGTTGTGCACATGTACCCCAGAACTTAAAGTATGATAATTAAAAAAAATGATTTTGGGGAGAAGATAGTTTATACCTATGCAATGTGACAGCACCATGACAACACATCTTTCAAATGCTCGATTTTAGTATGTGCAGAAACTAAAATGTGATTTTAAGTCACATTGTAGCTTGAGTGTTTAATTAAGAAAAAGGTTACCAAAATGGATGATTAAAGAATCTTGGATTTGGAGTTTATTTCATAAATGTGTCCATTACAAATTGTCATCTTAAGGAGCCACCCATATATCCTCAGAACACAGGTATGACATTGTGCCTTGCCTTTTGGAATGACTGACTTTGGATCAAGAGAGAAGGGGCAGCCAGAAAGGTGGTAGCAATGTTGATTCTAGCTCTCACTCTGGTCCTCCAAGGATCCTGGGTTTTTTTTTGGTTTTTTTTTTTTTTAAAAAAAAAAGAAAGAAAGAAAAAATTTCCTGATGATAGGAGGACATCAGTGAGCACCTTGGGTTCTAAGCATGTGACTACTGTCCTAGTACAAATTATTAGGCCCGGTATCATATTCTGGTTCTAAATATTTTCAGCAATGAAGGAAGACCCCCCCTCCTCTGCCAACTGCCCCCGCACCACCAGCATTGGTTGGGTGAATAATTCAATGGCTGCCAAAATTTGCAGAAAACAAAACTGAAACCTAATGAGGCTTGCTTGTGTTAAACCAATGTTTAAATGATAGTAATTAAGAGAGTTTTCATATAGAAAAGGCTTTGTTTAGATTGAAACGTTAAAAGCCACCACCAGAAACACGAGGGTCTCATGCATAAAGGATTCTCTTTTTGCTGTCTCAAGATCACACCAGCCAGTGTTGATTGGTGAATGCTAGCACAGTGCCCTGCCCTGGCGTTTGCTCTATGCCACCACTGCCCTGTGGAGTTCACCACAAAGAGTGCCTTGCACCAGGGCTATAGCCTCTCAGGCTGTCTGCAGACAGACACCAGGCCATCTGCCCTCTCGCCTTCCACCCAAACACAGCTGCTGGGCTCCATCCCAGCTTCAGCCATCTGGAGGAGGAACAAAGGCTCCCCTCTCCTCACCCTCCTCCTGGCTGCTGAAGGGGACTGGGGAATCTTGGCATATTCAGCCTCAGTGAAGAAAGGAAAATGGAAGAAGCAGCAAGATCTAGCTACTAGTGGCAGGCAGTTCTTCCTCTCTGGTTGACAGAGTCCCTGACACCCTTCATTCATTCCCCAAACATGGGTTGAGTGTCAAGTCCTGGACCAGGCTCAGGGGACTTGAGAATGAGACACAGCCCTTGGCCTCCAGAGGCTCACACTCTGGTCAGGGCAATGAATGTGTGCACAGCCAAGTCTACTGGAAAGGGATGCTCAACCCAGATGGAGGGAGTCAGAGCAGTTGTCCCACAGGAGGTGATATCAGGCCTAACATCTGAAAACAAGTCTGTACTATGTGCCAGAAAATCAAATGGGGAAAGGCTGGCCCATGTGGTGAGGTGAGAAGTAGGAACAGGAGGTGATGAAGAGAGCCAGATTCTAGAGGACATTGATGCCCAGCAGAAAACAAGTGGTAGGTAGTGCAAGGCTATGAGCGCAGGAGGCAGATCAGTGATTCCAGAACATTCTTCAGGTGATACAGAAGAGAAGGGCTTTGAGGCAATAAGATCAATTAAGAGTGTCACAGTAATCCAGAGGAGAAACACTGGTAGCTGAAAAAAGCTATGGTACAGACAAAGAGATGAATTTGAAAGAGAAATCTTTACTAAAACTCTTAGCTGTAAACTCTCCAGGCCAATTTGCAAGTAATTTTGACGCTCTCAGTAAGCCCTGCAAAGGACAAGCTCAAAACTACTCTTCAGTATGTCTGGACCCTCTTCTCAAACAGGAAAAAGTTTGACTGTAGGAATAGCTGTTGTCTGAATGGCCCCAAGAGCCACTGGGCAGCTACAGATGGGGTAACATGGCACTTAAGGCTACTCTCAAAAAGGATATGTGCAAGAGGTATCTGATTCTCTGAAATGGCCCAAATCCCAACTTACAGCATTTGCCTATGATACTCATTCCACTTGGGTCCTCAAAGCCATCAGGAGAGACTTCCTTCCAAAGACAGGTTGTTCAGCTCGTTGCAGTCAGCTCTTTGCTTTTGGCCTGACTAGGAGAAATGCCAGGGCAGTGAAGAGCAGCCTCAAGGGTCAAGAAGAATGTCAGCCACGACATCTTCCCTCCTCTCCTCTCCACAGGGGCAGATGCTGCCCACAGGCTCTGCATGCCAGAGGCCACTGGACTGCTAGTTTCTTTCTTCAATCAAAGGGAAAGAAGGCTGCTGTTGTTTGAATGTCTCTGTCTCCTCCAAAATTCATATAGAAACTTAATCCCCCAAAGCCATAGTATTAAGAGGTGGAGCATTTAGGAAGAGATTAGGTCATGAGGACTCTTCAGTTGTTAATGGAATTAAGGTCTTTATGAAAGGAAGCTTCACACAGTGTTCAGCCCTTTTTGCCTTTCCATCCCTTCTGCCCTGTGAGGACACAGTGTTCATTCCCTCCAGAGGATGTGGCATCAAGACACCATCTTAGAAGCAGAGACCAGACTCTCTGCAGACGTGGAACCTGCTGGCACTTGATTCTGGACTTCCAGCCTTCAAAACCATGGGAAATAAATATCTGCTGTTTATGAATTATCCAGTCTTGGGTATTTTGTTATAGCAGCAGGAACAAACTAAGGCAAACACAAAGGCCCCTTTTCTGTTCCAAAGCCCTTCATTCCTGGCCTTCTTACAGTGCCTGGAGCATGTATTTTCAAGAGCCCTCATGAAGAATCAGGAGCCAAAAAGCAGGGATGGAAACTGGCTCCTCTTGCAAAGGCAGGACCAAATGTTAGTGACAGTCTGATTTAAGATAGAAGAGGAAATGAAAGATGCCCCAGATCCATCCCTTAGATCCATGTCATGGACTCTACACTGGCTATTGGAGATAGGCTCTGGGGACTCACTTGAAATCTGAGTTTCTAATTATAAAAAAATGCTTTCAAAGCATTTTTCTATTTTCCTCTTTGCAGATTTGGCCATTTTTGAAACATGAGATGTGAAGAACTATAGTAGGTTGTAGATCTGGCAGCTAGATTAAAACATTCTTTAAGTCACTGAAAACACAAACCATTTTATT
Organism: Homo sapiens; assembly: GCF_000001405.40. Classification (NCBI taxonomy): domain Eukaryota; kingdom Metazoa; phylum Chordata; class Mammalia; order Primates; family Hominidae; genus Homo; species Homo sapiens. The sequence goes on from NC_000003.12 coordinate 150,173,514, forward strand.
CTTTATTTTTTGGTGATTAATCAATTTCCATTCTGATGGATTACTTTTTACTTTAGCCACATAAAATTTTAAAACTACAACTGCTAAAAATAACCATGGGTAGATTTTCTTTTCCTTTTATTTAGCTTCTCAGGCCCTTGCATCATTGCTGCTTCTTCTAAGGAGGGTTTTTGTGTTTGGTAGATTTTTAAAATAAATGCTTTTCTGTTGCTTTAATTCTTGTGTTTTAAAATAGCTTTTGTTTTTAATGTTACCCTAAACTAGGCACTATACAAACAATACAGATAAGCTTGTTAATTAAGCTGATTCATAATTCCTTACATAAGGAAAACACATTGGCAGTTTAGAAGACATGATAAATTAATAGTATAACCTTCAAAATGATTTCTGAAGGGTCCAAGGATTACCACTTAGTGCATTCTTTAAGAAAAACATATTTCTATATTCAAGGGAGCAAAAGAGAGTATTTTTTGAATGTTAAATCTGTTCCTAAAATTCATGCTGCTTTTCATCCTCAATACATTGGTTTCAAGGACACTGAGCTTTGTAAAGTCCCTTCACTTTACTGGGCCTCAGTGTTCTCATCTGTGAGAGGAAGCAGGAGAAGAAAATGACATATAAGATCTTAGAAGTTTTAATGTTCTATAGTTTCCTCATCTAAAATGCTGTTTCATTCTGTGTAATATAATCCACACTCCTTGTTCCTATTTCGGTTCCTATGTGCCAAATGCCTGCACTCCTCAACATCCTTCCAAGCCCCTTGCTGTGGGGCTCTCTGTTACTGTGTTCCTTGAATCACACCCTTTCAGTCAGAGAGCTCTCAGCATAGTTTGCTGTCTAAGAACTCACATACTTTGGTTGGATGGACCAGCAGGACAAGTCACATGACTTCCCTTCACTTGTCTAGAAATTGCTCAGTCTAAAGATTTCTCAGCATTTCTTTCACTTCATTTATTCCAGATCCTTCAAATCCCACTTTGTTCTCATGTTCAGAATTTCAGCAGATGGTCTTCTCAAAGGAAAAATATGTTGTGATGTTCAACTCCCCTCCCTTATCCCTCACTTACCTATCCTTGAAATATTTTCCACATCCTACCCTCTTCTAAGCTTTTACATATATTTTCTCTTTTGAAGTACATTGACCCAATTTCTTATTCTTTCCTGCTTGAAATATAAATTCATCATTTCCTGGATTAAGGACTTAAACCTAAGACCTGAAGCTATAAAAATTCTAGAAGATAACATTGGAAAAACCCTTCTAGACATGGGCTTAAGCAAGGATTTCATGACCAAGATCCCAAAAGCAAGAACCCAAGAACAAAGATAAATAGCTGGGACCTAATTAAAGTAAAGAGCTTTTGCACGGCAAAAGGAATAGTCAGCAGAGTAAATAGACAACCCACAGTGGGAGAAGATCTTCACAATCTATACATCTGACAAAGGACTAATATCCAGAATCTACAACAAACTCAACCAAATCAGTAAGGAAAAAAAAAAAAAACAAACAATCCCTTAGCCCTTAGTGGGCTAAGGACATGAATAGACAATTCTCAAAAGAAGATATACAAATGGCCAACAAACAAATGAAAAAATGCTCAGCATCACTAATGATCAGGGAAATGCAAATCAAAACCATAATGCAATATCGCCTTACTCCTGCAAGAATGGCCATAATCAAAAAATCAAAAAACAGTAGATGTTGGCGTGGATGTGGTGAACAGGGAACACTTCTACACTGCTGGTGGGAATTTAAACTAGTATAGCCACTATGGAAAACAGCGGAGATTCCTTAAAGAACTAAAAGCAGAACTACCATTTGATCCCACAATCCTGCTATTGGTTATCTACCTAGAGGAAAAGAAGTCATTATTCGAAAAAGATACTTGGACACGCATGTTTATAGCAGCACAATTCACAATTGCAAAATCGTGGAACCAACCCAAATGCCCATCAATCAATAAGAAACTGTGATATATATATATATGATGGAATACTATGTAGCCATAAAGAGGAATGAATTAACAGCATTTGCATTGACTTGGATGAGATTGGAGACTATTATTCTAAGTGATGTAACTCAGGAATGGAAAACCAAACATCGTATGTTCTCACTGATATGTGGGAGCTAAGCTATTAGGATGCAAAGGCATAAGAATTATACAACGGACCTTGGGGACTTGAGGGGAAGAGTGGGAGGGGGGCGAGGGATAAAAGACTACAAATATGGTGCAGTGTATACATGGGTTATGGATGCACCAAAATCTCACAAATCACCACTAAAGAACTTACTCATGTAACCAAACACCACCTGTACCCCAGTAATTTACGGGAAAAAAACATACAGTTAGTGTTCCAGAAGTTATAAGTTCTAATGTTGGATAGCAGAATAGGGCAAAATAAATAACAAATTAATTCATCATTCCCAAGACAAACTCCGCAGGCAACACCATTCTGTACCTTGACAAATGCTGAGGTTTTAATCACAATAGTCTTCATTTTCCATTAAAAAAATAACAAAAAATGTTTTAGGAATTCCAAAATGTAGTTTCCTAGGACCAAAACATAGAAGCCCCAAATCAGGGTATTTTCAAGGAAGAGGAGTCCTTTGAGATGATTCAATGAAGTATCTCCATCTTACAGATGAGAAACTGACAGTCCAGAACTGTGAGGCTCAAATTCATGTCCCAAGTCATGGCAGAGTCAAAACCGGAAGCAGAGATAGCTGCCTGCCAGATGACAGTCATCTCTACCTCAGTTTCTTCTACTGTCAAGTGAAGAACTATAATGTGCAAAATGTAAGGCAACTGTAAAGTGAAGTACCCAGCTCACAAGAGTTTTGTGAAAAAAAAATGAGCTAATATGTGTAAGTTCTTACAACAGTGCTCAGCACAGAGTTAATGTTCCATAAATGTTCATTCCGCTTAGCAAATGTATTGAAACTCTATAGTATAGGAAAAGGATGTCCTATATTCTCATTGTGTGGATTTTGTCAAAACCATTGTATTTCTTTATTCTCTGACATTCCTGTTAGAAACCTGGAGGATAGGATTTGATCCAAAATAACTGTGATATTGGTAAATAAGTTCTCCAACATAAAATATAATGATAATAACTTAGAAATAAAAATAAAAGTGTCCCGGCATTAAAATGTGTTTGATAAGGCAGATGGCATTACCAAGGCCATAGGAAAATCTTTCATAATATGCTCTTTTTCTTCTTTGCCATATTTATCAACTTTCAGTTTTATAATTTTACTCCAAAAATACATACCAAGTTTTAAAATATTTCCCTCTAGTTTCATTCCTCAGTATTTTTCTGTTTCTTCTTTCCCATCATTATCCTCAGTTGAAAAACAGATTCAGGGCCTTCTAGAGTTAGAATATGGCCACATATTTGAAAGCACTAGCTTGTCTTTTCTATAACCCAACAACGCTATTTGTTCATCAAATATGTAACTCTCTTTTTAGTTATATGATTTGTTCCCTTATCCCTCTGATATTTTCATTCTTAAGAGGAGTAGACGGGATAGTGGTGAGAAATCTTCAAGGAAGAATGGCTTAAAATGAGAAGACTTTAAAACGTCTGTGTGTCAATACGCCTACGATGTAATGTTCATGGGAAATAAACAGCAAGGGCAGAGAGAGGTGAAAATACCTAAGTAATCAGCAAAGTGGTTAAAAATGTGGTATACATTTAGAATTCCCTTTCAAATTTGTGAGAATATTTTTAAAATGTGCAGCTATTTTACATGTGCATAATGGATACAGATGCCCTTAAGAACAACAGAATTTTGGATAAGTTTGGGTCTTATTGAAGTAATGCGCTGTACACGTATGTTTATTTTCCAGTTGATCATATAACCTGGGCATTTCTTCTGAACTTAGGAAAATGGAGAAAGCATTATGAATGTTATTCTTCCTTTGCTAAGAGGAGGTGTATGGAAGAGGGTAGGACAGTGTTTGAGAAAGGAAGTTTAACAGCATAGACAGACTGGATCAGGAGACTCCTTGCCAGTAAGGAAGAGCTGTGGGAGTTGGATGTCCACTGTGGCCAAAGCTTTGGGCCCTGACCTTTCACACCATGATCTTGTTCAGCCCTCACAGCAACCCTGCAAGGTAGTACCATGATTCACATTTCCAGATGAGGACACTGAGGGTGAGAGAACTTAAGCAAGCTATCCGAGATCATTCAGCTAGTCAAAGATACTCAGTGAAACGGGAAAGGTATAAAGAAAAAGGAAGAAGTATTGCCCAGGGTTAGCTGGTGGGGTGTGGGGGCAATTGTCCTTGACTCATAGTCAAGCTTGTTTGGGGTGAGGCAAGGGGCAGCTAAGGAACCAGGAGAGAGGCTGGTAGCTGAGATGGCACAAAGGAGTGATGGCTTTCCTACTGTTGCCTTAGCTCATAGAGGACAGGCAATTTCAAAAGCATGAAGGAGGTAGAGGTGGGGAAAACATAAAAATATATAGCATTTTTTATGATGTCTGATAGAGTACTCTGGCTATAACGAGGGTGACCATCCAGTGGTTTTCTGGGGGTCACTATCAGTAGATGAGCTAGAAGACTACAGGGATCCTTACAGTTCTCTTCTTGTGATCTTTGCTTTCTCAATGAGTCACTCATTCACTGCTAGGATGTGAGTTTGCTATTAATCTTGTACAAGCTGAGCTAAGCAACATGAATCATTCATTTAGACCAGATGAGCACCATCTTGCTAGAGAGGCAAAAGCCTGGCAGTGCATGATGGAGAAAAATAAGAGCTATAGTCCCACCCCCAAAATGGGAAGTTTCTTAGGAAGTAGGGAGACAGAGAATGCATGCAGACACATAGTCATCCAAACACATGAACACGTATACACCCACAGACACACCCACAGACACACACACACACACACACACACACGTACTTCTAGCACGAACATTTTAGCAGGAGCTAGGAGACACAATTTTTATTTTGGTTCTTATTCCAGGTTGGGTTCCTTGGGAAGCACTCTCTAAGATAAAAGTTAGTGTGTAAGAAGTTTATTGAGTAGTGCTCTTGCGATCAACACTGGGTGGGGGTTAGGGAGGAAAGCACAGGGAGAAGTCAAGCCACAAAGCAGGCCCACTGACTGCCTGATAGCCTCAGCCAACCCCACAGGGAGCTTGGGAGACAAAAAGGCCAATAAAGGTGTCCCTCATTAAGTCAAAATGTTGGGCCTTTATACTCTCAATCAGTTGTTGTATATGGGCTGCCCCAGGAAGCGCCTGATCCTGGGTGAGGCTACTCTCTGCAGCTGAGGCAAACCCTAACGAGGCTGACAGTTGAAAGTTGTCTGCCAACTGCCCTCCCAGTGGCAGAGCAATGATCTTTCTGCTTTAAGAGAGATCTGAGGGGCCTATCACTGAGGCCACCATGGATAGAATCCTACCTAACAAGTATGTACTTGTCTCTCTGAGTTTCAACTTTATCCCCTACAAAAGGCCTGGTTGGATTGGATAATCTCTAGGATTTCATTTACCTCTAAAACTCTAAATTTTAGAAATCAAACTAAGTTTTTATAGCCTGACTTCTACTTTGTCTTTAGCAAATGTAGAAAATAATCCCATATTTCATATATATATATATATAATTAAAATGGTATATACATGCATACATATAGCTGGAAAATCTTGTTCCTTTAGTCACACCAGGAGTTTGGCCAGAAAGCAAAAGCAAGAGGAAAAAAAAGTGGGAATGATTAGATAAGAATTCCATTCTTGGGGATCTCTAAAGAGCTACGAAGGTGGTCAATGTGTGTCTCTAGACTATAGAATATAAAAATAAGGTTGTTGTCTTAAGCTTTTAGATGTTCCACACTCTTCACCTAATAGTGATAATTCTCTCTCTCTCTGTCTCAAATTATGGTGATTTGGTCCAACTGTAGGAACATTAAGGGAAAAAAAGGTCCCCTTCTCATTTCTTCCTTTACCAGCCAGCCCACAGGATCTTCCACCTCCTCCCCAGCTAGATTTTTCAAGGCTCATGTGGGCATCTGCAGCGTGGAAACCAGATGGCAGTTTTCTTGAATCTGCTTGTTCTACTTTAAAAGCTTCTTTACAAAAAGCTCCCCAGAAGAGTATGTTGCAGGTAGGATCAGCATGAGAAAACAGCAGAATCAGGTCATCTGAGAATGAGGGATTCCCAAATACTAAGTAGATATGAAGGATAGCTAAGAGGCAAAACTCAGTGTGGGGACTTGAAAGAGTCTCTCACTGGGTAAAACAAGCAATATGGTGAAAAGTATCCCGGAAATAGATCTCAGGTTTTTATCTGAGTTGTAGAAATGGTCACCTGTTTGCAGATAAGAACTGATTGGTAGGGGAACATTTTGATGTCTAGCAGAGCTATTTGCTAAAGACTTTGGGAACATATCTTTGTTTCATGGTGAGAATCTCAGGATAAACCAATTCAGTTACTGGTTTTTGGTTGCTGAGAGAAGAAGGCTAGGGCGGGAAGGATACTGGAGGGAAAAAGAGATATTATAGGATTCTGGGGTGAGGAAAGACAAAGTGGTCCATTGGTTTTCAAATGCCAGTCTGCAGGCTGGAAACAAGCTGGCTGCTTCAGAATCTCTTGGGGTGGTAGTTAAAAATAAAGATTTCTAAAACCCAACCTCAGAAATCTTGATATAGCCACAAATTCTCCTACTTGATTCTGATACCCAGTTAGGTTTAGTAACTACAGGAGTAGTTAGAATGTAAAACTTAGAAAATTGGAATTCATCCATTATTCAAATATATGGTTATTAAGCATATTCTATGGAAAAGTGGCTCAGTTAAGTTCTGTGGGATTTATAAATATGTATAAGAAGACTGCCTCAAATCACTTTGAACATGAACAGAGAACTAGATAGGTAGGCAGATAGGCGGCAGACAGACAGAGATGTTCTCAAACACCAGTTTAGTTCAGTGGAATGGAGAGAAAAGAATGCAACTATGATGCCTGAGGAAAATAAGCAGATGTTTTAAACCCAGTAAGGAAAGGAGAGAGAGACAGCTTGGCAGATTTCCCAGCAATAGTTCTCAGTTCAGATGTCCAAAGGTTAGAGAAGACAAACATTAAATCAACCTTCTAAGTTTGTAGAAAAAATTCAATTAAAGCATGTAGTAGTACTTACCATAGTGTGTGGTAATGTCAATAAATGGTAGACATTGATCACTGTAGGAGATTTAAGAGGCTGTGGCTAGTACCTTTTTCAAAAATATTTTTATCTCCCTCCCTATCACGGTGCCTATAATTCCATATCATGAATGATTTTTGAAGTCTTTTCCAATTTCAAGTATTTTATTAAAGAAACAATTTTGAAAGGCTCATACCTTAAGCTTTTAGTGGTTAATCTAGAAAAACAGGGGACAGTGGCCAGATGAGAGAGCAGAAGTCAGAAAGGAGATAAGATGGTGTCAGAGGCTAACTTTCTTATATCCGATACCATTCTGTGAAGCCGCCCTCGTAAAAGTGGGGCAGCAGGCCACGGCTGGTTGTATGGCCCATGTGACCATTCAGACCCCTGTCCCTTCCACCTAGCGGTTTCTTCCTCACAGTGGCTGGAAGATGGGGAAAGTGACTAAGGAGACGGTACATCCGCTTCTTTTTTTTTTTTTTTTTTTTTTTTGAGACCGAGTCTCCCTCTGTCGCCCAGGCTGGACGGCAGTGGCGCGATCTCAGCTCACTACAACCTCCGCCCCCTGGGTTTAAGTGATTCTTCCGCCTCCCGGGTTCAAGCGATTCTTCCGCCTCCCGGGTTCAAGCGATTCTTCCGCCTCCTGGGTTCAAGCGATTCTTCCGCCTCCTGGGTTCAAGCGATTCTTCCGCCTCCTGGGTTCAAGCGATTCTTCCGCCTCCTGGGTTCAAGCGATTCTTCCGCCTCCTGGGTTCAAGCGATTCTTCCGCCTCCTGGGTTCAAGCGATTCTTCCGCCTCCTGGGTTCAAGCGATTCTTCCGCCTCCTGGGTTCAAGCGATTCTTCCGCCTCCTGGGTTCAAGCGATTCTTCCGCCTCCTGGGTTCAAGCGATTCTTCCGCCTCAGCCTCCCGAGTAGCTGGGACTACAGGCATGCGCCACCATGCCCGGCTACTTTTTGTATTTTTTGTAGAGACGGGGTTTCGCCATGTTGGCCAGGCTGGTCTCAAACTCCTGGCCTCAGATGATCCGCCCGCCTCGGCCTTCCAAAGTGCTGGGATTACAGGCGCGAGCCACCGTGTCCATCCACATCTGCTTCATAACCCTGTGGGTTTTTACAGAACTCTTCTGCTCACATTCCGTTGGTAAGAATCAGTCACATCGCCCAACTAGCCATAAGTGGGTATATGGATAGGGTAGGCTGGGAAATGTAGCCCCTGGCTGAGCAGGGGGAATCAGGATTCTTTTGAGCCCTGAGGACTCCTGAGACTGCGACAGTGCATTCATGAAGAGGCGTCAGAAACAGAGAGACAGAGTCTTGGCCAAGGACAGAAAGACTAGAGTCAAGAAACAGGTCAATGTATAGATGCGCCCCCCTACAAATAAATGAACTTTTTCAGGGATAGGAAAGGTGTTAAGTGGGGTGCAAGTCTGAGAGAAAGGGAAACATTTGGGCGGCTTATACGGGATGGAGAGAGGCCTCATGCTTAAAACAATAAAAAATGATGCTAGAAAAAGGTAAGAAGTCCGACGACGTGAGACTAATCTCCAGATGAAAATTTGCTTTCAGGGGTGTGACAAACATAGCTATTTGACTGCAAAAACCCATGTTCTTCCTAGCCAGTCAGCGGCTACATTTCCCAACCTCATCAACCTTTACGCATATATGGGCCAATTAATTGGTTCGCCCAATAAAATGTGAGCAGAAGAGCTTTGTAAATGGCCAAGTGGGTAAGAAGCAGATGTATTTCCCAGTCTCTTTCCCTAACTGCCCGCTACTGAGAGGACGAAGAGGAAGAGGAACCACAAGGTGGAAGGGGCCTGGGCCTCTGAACGTTCACATGGAAGGCCATACAATGTGTCTTGGACTCTGATGTGAATAGAAAATAAACCTTATTAAATCTCTGAGATTATAGGTGTATCTGTTTCAGCAGCTAGTTTTACTTAACACATGTGAAAGGCCAGAGGAGGCTTATGGGGAGCAAAGGAAATTCAAGAATCTAAATGATGACTCTTTTCAACTCCTCCCACCTATGAATACAGATCTTAGGCTAATAAATACAGACACCCCACCTACGTCTTAGGCAATCATCAAGGCAAGGTTAAAGAAAGTTTCCCTGTCTCTCGCCACTTCTACACTTAGCCTTAGGCTCCATACTTTTAGTGGTTTATTTATCTACCTCAAGGTCTCCATCTGTCATCTTTTAAATCACTTTTATTCTAGCTAAAAATGTTGGAGGATAGGAAGGACACTGGGTATTTATTCTAACTATTTTGGGGGACAGAAAGGTAAAGTAACAGAATCAGATAAACTGGTGAACATCTTAGTTGTAAAGAAAAGGGGGCGCTATTATAAGAAAACACTGTTCTATCTCTGAACTTTAGGTTTTCTAAGGGAGACTGCTCTGTAGTTTGGCTAGTACATTGATGGGTTTTAGATGGGCAAACCTGGGCTCAGAGAAGGATCTAGGAAGAGTTGAATTGAGTTATTCAGCATAAAAGTATGAAAAGAGTTGAAAAAAGGAAAAGAGATGAAAAGAGAGAGGTGACAGCAAGACTCTGAGATGCCAGAGGGGTCCACGGGATGGGGCATTATGGATGGTCTCAGTGATGGGGATGGAGACGAGACTGTTAAATCCAGGAAACATGAATGTTGAGCGTTAGACTGTCTGGTCACCTCTATGTAGCTCCCGCTGTCTACCCAAATTTTCAGTGGAGGTTTTCACATCAAAGACACCTTCTATGGGAGGTTTTTCAGGGGCACCTAAGGAAGGGCTACAGTTCCACAGACAAGTTGACAAACTGTGGAATGCAGACAGCATATACAGGCAGGAGAAGACCCATAAACAAAATGGATCCAGATGGAGCTTGGAATCACAGGACCATTCACTCCACAAACATTGAGCACCCAATATGTGCCTAGGACTATTCCAGAGCATGAGGACCATGCCTGGAACTAGATAGACAAAGTCCATGGGAACTCACAATCTAATGGAGTGACAGACAATAAATAACTGAACAGATAAATACATGAGAAAAATAAAGCAGAGGATATGGTGATGAATGGAGGCTCTGCTTGAGAATGAATGGTTGCCTTGCAGAGGCAACACTGAAGCCGAGACTATTCTCATTAGGAATTTACTATCAGCTTTGTGGGGGTGGAGGTGTAGGTTGGTCAGGAGCAGAGTGACCCCAGTACATGTGGATTACAGACCAATCATTTACTCATTTCTCCTGCTAATTCTCTTCCTTTTCCCTACGATGATGTAATGTTATTTTTTCAGTAAACAATAAAAAATGTATTGAGTCCTTCTTTGTATGCTAGGGGGAGATAGTTGCTACTCAGAAGGTTATAATCAAGGTTGTCGCTGAAGTGGGAGTTCATGGATTCCGCTTCCCTCCCGTCTCTAAGGAAAAGGCAGTGAACTGTAGGTTCGAAATCATTTGATCTCACGCTTGCCTAGAAGCAGAAGAATGAAGCTGACTAGAACACCCCTTAAGCCTCTTAGCTGTCCTGAGGGAAAGGAGCACTGCACCCTCCCCCAGAGTAAAGACATCGCGAATTAATTCCTGGGTGGTGGACGGCGACGTCCTTGTCCTGCGGGAAGTGCAAGGGCACCCGCTCAGGGTTGTGAGAAACTGCGGGGCCCACGCTGCTGGCGAGAGTCAAGAAGGAACGAAAAGAAGGAGCTCCATCTAGCGTTGTTACGAAACAAGACCAGCGGCATCCTGAACAGTTAGCTCCTTTCTGAAGGGCGAGTACCAAATGAAAAACGCACCTTATCTTCCGCCTAAAAATTTTACCGAAAAAGCCAGAGCCGCTGGGCTGTGGGAATTTAGCGCACAGTACAAGCCTGACATCACCTTTGTCTGGGAATGAACCCAGGAACGGAAAGAAGACTAAATTATCTTAAGGTCTTGCTTATCAGTAACTACACATGAAATGTTTCCTCCTAGGACAGGAGCGCAGGCTTCTTTGTTGTTATAAAATCATGATCTGGGGACTTGACAACGTCCAGAGCAATCTGGGGAGGCCCATAAATGGGATCCTGTATATTATGACTTTGGGGACATTTGTGCAAGTATTTGTAATTGATGGGTCATAGGGTTCACATACCTTCAACTTCAGTAAACAATGACTAACTGCTTTCCAAGGGAAATATAACAGTTTACACTCTCATCAAGACTATGAGGGTTCCCTTTGCTCCTTATCATCTGCAAAAGTTAGTATTGTCAGCCAGTTTCATTTTTGTCATTCTGATGGGTGGGGTCAGGATACTTCATGGTGTTTTAGTTGGCATTTTCTTAGTTACTAGTGAAGTCAAGCACTTCCCATATGTTTCTTGTCTATGTAGATATCCTCTTTTGAGAATTATTTATTCAAGTCTGTTGGCCAATTTCCCAAGGTCTGCCTTTTTCTTAGTTATTTGTACTTATTCTTTATATATTCTGGTTAAGAGGCCTTTATTAGTTACATATGTTGAGATATAGTCCTTCAGTCAAGGCTTGTTTTTCATTTGTTTAATTGGTGTCTCTTTAGGAACAGAGGTTCTTAATTTTTATGAAACTCAATTTATAACTCTTATGATTTTTGTTTTGTATCTTATTTAAAAAATATTTCCCTACCCTGAGGGAAGACATTGTCCTATATTACCTCTCAAATCTTTATTGTTTTGCATTTTGCATTTAGGCCTAGTCTCCTGGAATTGACATTTTATTAGACAGAAGGTAGTGGTCAAGTTTTATTTTTCCTATTTGGGTTTCCAATTGTCCCAGGTTTATTTGTTGGAAAGACACTCCTCTTCCCACTGTTCTACAGTACCACCCTTGTCATCAATCGTGTTCATTTGTGTGTGAGTTTGAGAATGATCTACTCTGTTCCATTGTTCTACCTTGCCTGAATATAAAACTGTCCAAGTAACCTACAGATTCAATGCAATCCCTATCAAGATTCCAGTGTCATTTTTCATAGAAATAGAAAAAAATACTAAACTTCATATGGAACCACAAAAACCTGAATAGCAGAGGCAATTATGAGCAAAAAGAACAAAGCTGGAGGCACTACACTATCTGATTTCAAACCATACTAAAAAGCTACAATAACTAAAACAGCATGGTACTGGCAAAAAACTAGACACATAGACTAATGGAGCAGAATAGAGAGCCCAGAAATTATCTCTCACATCTACGGTCAATTGATTTTTGGCAAAGGTGCCAAGAATTCACAATGGAGAAAGCCTAGTCTCTTCAATAAATGGTGTTTAGAAAACTGAATATCCACATGCAGAAGAATGAAATCGGACCCTTATCTCACACCATATACAAAAAGTCACCTCAAATGGATTAAAGACTTAAAAGTAAGACCAGAAACTGTAAAACTCCTAGAAGAAAACATAGGGGAAAACCTACATGACATTAATCTGGTCAATGAGTTTTTCATTTAACCCCAAAAGCATAGGCAGCAATAGCAAAAATAGACAAATGGGATTGCATCAAACTAAAAAGCTCTGCACAGCAAAGGAAATAACCTACAGATTGAGAGAAAATATTTGCAAGCCATACATCTGATAAAAGGTTAATATCCAAAATATTTAAGAAACTTGGACAACTCCACAGCAAGAAAAAAACAGTTAAAAAATTGGGAAACAACTTATATACATAACTCTCAAAAGAAAACATACAAATAGCTAACAGATACATGAAAAAATGTTCAACATTACTAAATCATTAGAGAAATACAAATTAAAACCTCAGATCTCACACCCGTCAGCATGGCTATTATAAAAAAGACAAAGGGTAAGTTGGCAAGGATGTGGAGAAAAGGGAACATTTGTACACTATTAGTGGGAATGTAAATTAGTACAGCCATTATTGATAACTGTATGGAGGTTTCTCAAAAAACTAAAAATGGAATTACTGTATGACCCAGCAATGTCACCTATAGGTATTTACCCAAAAGATTTGTCAAAGAGATGTCTAGACTCCCATTTATTGTAGCACTATTATGTAGCACAAGTTATGGAGGCAACCTAAGTGTCCATCAACAGGTGAATGAATATAGAAAATGCGGTATATATAAATAATAGACTACTACTCAGCCTTTAAGAAGAAGAAAATTGTGGAATCTAAACAATCAAATTCATAGAAGCAGAGAGTAGAATGGTGGATGGGGGGGTGGGGCAAATGGGGAGATGATGGTCAAAGGAAACAAAACCTCAGTTAGATGAGAGGAGTAAGGTTTTTAAAATATCAATTGCACAGCATGGTGAATAGAATTAATAATAGTATACATAATTAATACTATTATTAATACTATTTATAATAGTATAAAAATAGTACATTTTTAAATTGCTAAAAGTAAATTTCAAAAGTTCTCACCACAAAAAGTTTAAAGTATTTGAGGTGATGGATATGTTAATTAGCTTTATTTTTATTTTTTTCCACATTGTATTTATAAATCAAAACATCACTTGGTGCCCCATAAATACATACAATTAGAAACTATCAATTTATAATAAAATAAAAACATATCAAACTGTCCTAATTACTAGAACCAATACATCTTCATATCCTGGAGAGCAAGTCCTCTCATTTGTTTTTCAAGAGTATCTTGGCCATCCTTAAACCTTTGTATTTTCATATAAAATTTAGAATCACAGGTTTGCATTAAATCTGTAGACTACAGGAGAAAAATTATCATCTTTATAATATTAAGTATACAATATATGAATATCGCATGTCTTTCTATTTATATAAGTCTTTAATTTCTCTCAATAATGCTTCATGATTTTCACATAGGGGTCTTGGACATCTTTTGTCAGATTTATTTCTAGGTATTTTATATTTTATGCTTCTGTAAATATTTTTAATAGAATACTTTTAGAGCAATTTTACATTCATAGCAAAATTGAGTGGAAGGTGCAGAGATGTCCTACATACCCCTACTCCCTGCCCCCAACCTTCCCAACTATCAACATCCCCCACCAGAATGCTATTTTTTATAATTGATGAGCCTACATTGATATATCATTACAACCCAAAATCCATACATTAGGGTTCACTCTTGGTATTGTATATTCTAAGGGTTTTGACAATTGTATAATGACATGTATCCACTGTTATAGTATCATACAGAGTATTTTCACTTACTTAAAAACCTCTGTGCTCCACCTATTCACCACTCCTTCCCCTGTAATCCCTGGCAACCATTGATCCTTTTACTGTTGACATAATTTTGCCTTTTCCAGAATGTTCTACAGTTGGAATCATACAGATCAGCTTCTTTAACTTAACAATATGCATTTAAGATTCCTTCATGTCTTTTTATGGTTTAAGTCATTTCTGTTTAGCGCTGAATAATATTCCATCATCTGGATGTACCACAGTTTATCCATTAACTTACTGAGAGACATCTTGGTTGCTTCCAAGTTTTAGCAATTATGAATAAAGCTGCTATAAACATTTGTGTGCAGGTTTTTGTGTAGGCATAAGGTTTCAACTCCTTTGGGTAAATACCAAGGAATGCAATTGCTGGATCATATGGTAAGAGTATGTTTAGTTTTGTAAGAAGCTGCCAAATTGTCTTCCAATGTGGCTGTACCATTCTGAATTACCACCAGCAATAAATGAAAATTCCTGTTGCTCCACATTCTCACCAGCATTTGGTGTTGTCAGTGTTTTGGATTTAGGCCATTCTAACTGCATGTGGTGGTATCTCATTGTTTTAATTTGTATTCTCTGTGACTTATGATGTTGAGCATCTTCTAATATGCTAGTTTGGCATCTGTATACCTTTGGTGAAATGTCTGTTCAAGTCTTTTGCCCATTTTTATTCAGGCTGTTTGTTTTCTTATTGTTGAATTTAAGAGTTATTCATGTATTTTGGATAACAACTTTTTCTCAGATTAGTCTTTAGCAAATGTTCTCTTCCAGTCTGTGGCTTGTCTTCTCATCTCTTGACAGTGTCTTTCTTTTGCAGAGCAGACATTTTTAATTTCAATGAGATCAAGCTTATCAATTATCCCTTTATGGATTGTGCCTTTGGTGTTATATGTAAAAAATCATTACTATGCCCAAGGTTATCTAGATATTTCCCTATGTTATCTTCTAGGAGGCTTATAGTTTTGCAGTTTACATTTAGGTCTGTGATCCATTTGGAGTTAATTTTTATGAAGGGTGAAAGGTCTGTGTCTAGATTTTTTTTTGCCTGTGGATGTGCAAATTGTTCCAGCTCCATTTGTTAAAAAGACTATATTTTATCCATTTAATTTTTTGCTTCATTATTAGAGATCAGTTGACTATTTTTAAGTGAGTCTCTTTCTGAGCTGTCTATTCTATTACACCGATCTATTATTTCATTCTTTTACTGTTACTATACTGTCTTGATTACTGTAGCTTTATAGTAACTCAAATTGGGTAGTGTCAGTCTTCTGATTTTGTTTTTCTCCTTTAATATTGTGTTGGCTATTCTGGGTCTTTTCATATCCTTAAAATAATTGCTGGGATTGTGATTAATTTGCATTGAATCAATAATTCAAGTTGGGAAGTACTGACATCTTGACAATATTGAGTCTTCCCATCCATGAACATAGAATATCTTCCTTTTATATAGTTTTTCATTTCTTTCATCAGAGTTTTATAGTTTTCCTCATATAGATCTTGTAAATATTTTGTTAGATTTATACCTAAGTATTTCCTTTTATTAGGTGCTAAGGTAAATAATATTGTGTTCTGGTTTGCAAATTCCACTTGTTCATTTTTGGTATATAGGAAAGTGATTAACTTTTGTGTATTACCCTTGTATTCTGAAACTTTGCTATAATCACTTAATAGTTTCAGGAGTTTTTTATGGATTCTTTCAGATTTTCTATAGACACAATCATGTGATCTGTAAACAGAATTTTATTTCTTCCTTTCCAATCTGTATACCTTTTATTTATTTTCTTGTCTTATTGCCTTAGCTAAGATTTCTAGTATAATGTTGAGAAGCAATGGTGAGAGGAGACTCCTTGCTTGTTCTTAATTGTAGCAGGAAAGCTTCTATTTTTTCTTAAGTATAATGTTAGTTGTAGGTTTTTTGCAGATGTTCTTTATCAAATTGAGAAAGTGCCCCTCTATTTCTAGTTTGTTGAGAGTATCTATTATAAATGGGCATTTAATTTTTGTCAAATGCTTTCTTTGCATCTATTGATATGACAATGTGATTCTCCTTCTTTAGCCTGTTCATGTGATATAGTATGTTAGTTGATTTTTAAATGTTGAACTAGCCTTGTATACCTGGAACATTGTTGAATTTGTATTGATAATACTTTGAAGAGGATTTTTGCGTCTGTGTTCATGAGAGATATTGATCTGTAGTTTTCATTTTTTGTAATGTCTTCGCCTGGTTTTGGTATTACGGTAATGCTGGCCCCATAGAATGAGTTAGGAGTATTTTCTCTGTTCTGTCTTCTAGAAGAGATTGTAGAGAATTGTTATAATTTCTTTCTTAAATGTTTGGTAGAATTCACCAGTCAGCCCATGTGAACTTGTCCCTTTCTATTCTAAAAGGTTTTAATTATCTATTCAAGTTCTTTAATAGATATATGCTTATTCAGATTGTATATTTCTTTTTGTGTGAGTTTTGGCAGATTGTGTTTTTCAAGGAATTGGTGTATTTTACGTAGGTTATCAAATTTGCGGACATAGAATTCTTCATAGTATTCATTATCCTTTTAGTGTACAAGGGATCTGTAGTGCTGTTCCCTCTTTCATTTCTGATATTAGCAATTTTTTATCTTTTTTTCTTAGCCTGACTAGAGGCTCATTGATTTTATTGTCCTTCCATATAACAAGCCTTTGGTCTCTTTGATTTCATCTATTGACTTCCTGGTTTTAATCTAAATGATTTCTGATATAATTTTTATTATTTATTTTCTTCTGCTTACTTTGGATTAATTAGCTCTTCTTGTCCTAGTTTTCTAAGGTGGAAGCTTAGATTACTGATTTTAGAGATTTTTCTCTTCTAATACAATATACTCATTAAATGCTATAAATTTCCCCCTAAGCACTTGTATTGGGCTGTGATCACATTGCTATAAAGAATTACCTGAGACTGAGTAATTTATAAAGAAAAGAGGTTTAACTGGCTCGCAGTTCTGCAGGCTATACAGGAAGCAGGAGGCTGGCATCTGCTTGGCCTCTGGAGAGGCCTTGGAAAACTTACAATCATGGTGGAAGATAAAGGGGAAGCAGCCATGTCACATGGCCAGAGCAGGAGGAAGAGAGAGAGCAGTGGGGTAGATGCTAAACACTTTGACCAGATCTAATGAGAACTCACTCACTATCTATTGCAAGGACAATACCAAGAGGGATGATGCTAAACCATTTATGAGAAATCTGCCCCCGTGATCCAATCTCCTCCCACCAGGCCCCTCCTCCAATATTGGGGAAAACAATTGAACATGAGATTTGAGTGGGGACACAGATCCAAACCATGTCAGCACTGCTTTTGTTGCATCTCACACATTTTAAAGTTGTGTTTTCATTTTCATTTAGCCCAAAATATTTTAAAATTTCTTTTGAGATTTAATCTTTGATCCATGTGTTATTTGGAAGTGTGTGGTTTAATCTCCAAATACTTTGGAGTCGAACATTCTGTTATTGATTTTTCATTTAATTCCATGGTGGTATGAAAGCAGACATCACATGATTTCTATTCTTTTGACTATATTAAGGGGTGTTTTATGGCCCACAAATGTGGTCTATCTTGGTAAATATTCCATATGAGATTAAGAAGCAAGTATAATCTGCTGTTGTTTGATTAAGCAGTATATAGATGTCCATTTTATCCAGTTGATTGACAATGTTGTTGAGTTCAACTATGTCCTCACTGATTTTCCACCTGTTGGATCTGTTCATTTCCGATGGAGGAGTGTTAGAGTCTGTAACTATAATAGTGGATTCATCTATTTCCCCTTGCAGTTCTATTAGTTTTTTTGCCTTCAGTATGTGACATTTTATTGTTAGGCATATACACATTAAGGATTTTTATGTATTCTCATGGGATAATTGACCCTTTCATCATTATATAGTACACCTTTTTATCCCTAATAACTTTCCTTGCTCTGAAATCTGCTCTATCTGAAATTAATACAGCCACTTCCACTTTAATTAGTGTTAGCGTGATATATCTTTCTTCATCCATATATTTCTAATATATTTGTGTTTCTATACTTAAAGTAGATTTATTATAGACAACATATAGTTAGGTCTTTTTTTTGGATCCACTCTGAAAATTTCTTTTAATTAGTGCACTTAGACCATTGATATTCAAAGCAGTTGCTAATATCATTGGGTTAATATCTATCATATTTGTTACTGCTTTCTATTTGTGGCCCTTATTATTTGTTCTTGTTTTTGTCTTCTGCTCTTTGCATCCACTTCATGGTTTTAATTAATACATGTATACAATATTTACATTTAGTATTTATATAAGTATTATGTTATAAAAATATGAATGTTTTATATAATATAAATGTATTATATATATATTCTTTTCTTTTCTTTCTTAGCAAATGTATCTCTTTTTTAAAACTCTTTTTAGTGATTGCAATATACATTTACAATATACATTTACAACTAATCAAAGTCTACTTTCTAATAACACTGTACTACTTCACAGTTAATGCAAGTAAATTATAATAAAAATATATTCATAATTCCTTCTTCCTGTTCCTTGTATCATTTCTGTCATACATTCCACTTGTATATAAGCATATATATACACACAGAATACATTGTTGCTGGTATTATTTTGAACAAGAATATTATTTTGATCAATTTAACATTTTACAAATAAAGGTTTACATTTTACTTTCATTCATTCCTTCTCTGATGCTCTTCCTTCCTTTATGTAGATCCACATTCCTGACCTGTATCATTTTTTTTCTCTCTGAAGAACTTTCTTTAACATTCATAGGTCTACTAACAACAAATTCCCTCAATTTTAGTTTGTCTGAGAAAGTTTTTATTTTTCCTTCACTTTTGAAGAATAATTTCACAAGGTACAGAATTATAGGTTGACGTGTTTTTCCCCTTAACACTTTAAATATTTCTCTTCGCTCTCTTGCTTGCATGGTTTCTGAGTAGAAGTCAAATGTAATTCTTATTGTTGCTCCTCTATAAGTAAGGTGTTTTTTTCTTCTTGCTTCTTTCAAGATTTCTTCTTAATCTTGGATTTTCTGCAGTTTGAATATGATATGCCCAGGTGTAGGGTTTTTTGTTTGTTTGTTGTTTTGAAGGGAAGAGGGGGATTCATATTTATCTTGCTTGGTGGTTTCTGAGCTTCCTAGATCTGTGATTTGATGTCTGACACTAATCTGAAAAAATCCTCAGTCAATATTATTTCAAATATTGGTTTTTTTCTTTCTCTATTTCCTCTCCTTCTGGTATTCTTGTTATTCATAAGATACACCTTTTGTTGTTTTTCCACAGTTCTTGGATATTCTGGTTTTTTTTTTTTTTTTTTTTTTTTTGGACCTTTTCTTTCTCTTTGCTTTTCATTTGGAAGTTTCTGAGATATTTCTAAGCTCAGAAATTCTTTCCTCAGCTGTGTTCAGTCTACTAATGAGCCCATCAAAGATATTCTTTGCTGTGTGTGTGAGACAGGGTCTCTCTCTGTCACCCAGGCTGGAGTGCAGTGGTGTGATAATAGCTCACTGCAGCCTCAACCTCCCCAAGCTCAAGTGATCCTGCCACCTCAGCCTCCCGAGTAGCCTGGACCACAGGTGTGTACCACCACATTCAGCTAACTTTTGTATATTTTTGTAGAGAATGAGGTTTCATCATGTTGCCCAGGCTGGTCTCAAATTCCTGGGCTCAAGCAATCCACCCACCTCAGCCTCCAAAAGTGCTGGGATTATAGGCACGAGCCACCACACCCAGCCCCATGAAAGATATTCTTTGTTTCTGTTAGTGTTTGGTTCTCCAGCATTTTTCTTATACTTTCTTAGAAATTTCATCTCTCTGTTTACATTATTCATCTGTTTGTCTGTGTTATCAGCTTTCCTATTAGAGCCCCTAGCATATTAATCACAGTTGTTTTAAATTCCTGGTCTGATAATTCCAACACCCTCTGAGTCTGTTTTTTATCCTTGCTCTGTCTCTTCCAATTGTGGGGGTTTTTCCCCCCTCTAGTATGTCTTGTAATTTTTTTCTTGATAGATAGACATGATATCATAGGTCAAAGGAACCTGGGGTTGGTTTCCATGGAAGTTTCTGCTTGTGGGTTTTTGCTCTGGTAAATTTTAATTTTCTGTATTTACCTAATTGTCTCTACAACTTTGAGGGCGGTGGCTTGCCCTGTGGCCTCACTTCTCTGACAGATATAAAAAGAGTTACTGACTTTTCAGTTTGTTCAATTTTTTAGCTGTTGTTAGGACAAGTGACTATTTCCAAGCTACTAGATGCCAATCTGGAAATTGGAAGTACAATTATTTTTAAAGGTAATTTAATAATGTTTTTTCACTCAAAAATGTATTCATGTATATAGTTATTGTAATTGACAGACATACATGATTTTATTGCTGTTACTGTTTGTACCATTTTTTCCCTCATATAATCCATTTTTTTTACTTCATTCAGATTGATTCTGTATTCTCAGTAGTTTACCTAAGTTTTTTGCCATGCTTTTTTTTTTTTTTTTTTTTTTTTGGCTAGGTGCCTGTGTATGTATTCCTGAGTATTTACTCTGCTTGGAATTCATTTGGATCCTTGATTCTGTGAATCAATATCTTTCATTAGTCTTGGATAATGCTCATTCATTATCTTTCCAAATATCACTTTACCTATTTTCTCTTTTCTCTTTCTAACTCTTACTTATGTAAATGTGTGAAGCCATTCTTGCATTGCTATGAAGAAATACCTGAGGCTGGGTAATTTATAAAGAAAAGAGGTTTAATTGGCTCACAGTTCTGCAGGCTATACCAGCATGGCTCCAACATCTGCCTCTGGTGAAAGCCTCAGGAATCTTACAATTACGGCAGAAAGTGAAGGGGAGCAAGCATGTCACATGACGAGAGCAGGAGCGAGAGAGGAGGAAGGTGCCACACACTTTGAAACAATCAGATCTCCTGTGAACTCAGAGTGAGAACTCACTTATCACCAATGGGATGGTGCCAAATCATTCATGAAGGAACCCCCGCTCCCATAATCCAATCACCTCCCAGCAGGTCCCATCTCCAACACTGGGGATTACATCTGAACATGAAATTTGGAGAAAACAAACATTCAACAATATCCGTAAATTAGATCTTCTCTCTGTCTTATGTTTCTTATATTCATTTCTCTTTGCTCCATCCTTTTGTATCTCTGTACTTCATTTTGCATATTTTCTTCTTACCTGTTTCCAGTGCACTAATTTTTCTTCAGTTGTGAATAATTGGCTTGATTTTATTTATTATATTTTATTTTTATTTTTTTGCAGTCTCTTTTTATTATTATATATAATATATATTATTTTAATTTTATTTGTTATTTACTTTTTATTATTATATTATATTTTTATTTTTTTGTAGGGTCTCCCTATGTTTCCCAGGCTGGTCTCAAACTCCTGGCCTTAAGGGATCTTCCCACCTTGGCCTCCCAAAGTGCTGGGATTAAAGGCATGAGCCACTGTACCCAGCCCATTTTTGTATTTTTTTCATTCTAAAATTTCTATTTGTTTTTTTAGTTGGCTATACATTTTTTAACTTTTCAATTCCCTAACCATATTTTCATCTTGTTTTTCATCTTCTTGAACATAGGAACCATATTTATTTTATTTCTTTTTTTTTAAATTTTTTGAAACTGGGTCTCACTGTGTTGCCCAGGCTGGAGTGCAGTGGTGTGATCACAGCTCACTGCAGCCTTGACCTCCCAGGCTAAAGCAATCCTCTCACCTCAGCCTCCCTAGTAGCTGAGACTACAGGTGCACACTAACACAATGGGCTATTTTGTTGTTGTTGTCAGTAGTGACAGGATCTCATTATGTCACCCAGGTTGATCTCAAACTCCTGGGTCAAGTGATCCTCCTACCTAGACCTCTCAAAGTGCTGGGATTACAGATGTGAGCCACCACGCCCAATCAGTATATTTATTTTAATGTTTGTATCTGATAACTCCAATATCTGGAGCTTCCGGAAGTCTCTTTCTATTGCCATTATTTTTACTGATTATGGTTTATGTTGTTCTACCTTCTTGTATGCCCAGTTTTCTTTGTTTGTGTGCCAGACATTGCATTTGGAAAATTGTTTATTAAAATTATTTGAGGCCAAAGTGATATTATATTTTTTTCAGAGAGCATTTTGGCTTGCTCTGCCAAGCATCTGAGTTCCTAGCAACACTGAACTATTGTGTGAAGCCTGCAAGAGGTCTATGAGTGATAATTTATTTCAGGCTCACTCTTAGTTCCAAGTTATAGTCTTTTCGGTCCCAAATCAGAATGTGAATATTCACCCAGGCCCTGTCTTGACAGACCATTTACTCCAACTTTTAGCCCCTTGCTCCTCAAAGCTAACAAAAGTACTGCTCCACCTCCAGGCCTTTTACCTACATCTTTTAAATCAACAAAAATCCCAAGGCAAACACTTCTCCTTTCTGAATTTTCATTTTCTTTCCATTATTGAACTAATAGGCTCTCTGATGTAGAAGGATAAATGCCCTAAAACAAATAATATACCTTAGGTATAAATGCCCTAAAACAAATAATATACCTTGGGTATAGCATATTAAATAAAAACATGGTTGATTTTTCCTCACCACTAATACAAAGTTTGATGCACTTGGAAATTACCACACTCCAGTATAGTGGGATTCCAAGAAGACCACTCCTGGTTTAATGAGACTGACTCTTATCTGGATGAGTTTTAAGGTCTCAGGGTCTACCAGTAGATCTGAATATACTCCCCTCCATGATCTACCCAGTATCACCCAATTTATGTACCAGAACAAAAGTATTCAGGGTATTTTTCTCTTATATAGAAAGCATTTAGTTGGAGGTATGCCTACAGAAAATCTAGTTATAAGATATGGTCTGGTCTCCCTTGAATGGTCTTATCTTTCCTGCCTACTGACACTCACAGCTGACGTAATGTTTATTTGAATGAGCAAAACACAGCTTACTATCAACAATTTTATTTGATACAGGAACCATTAATCTTTTATTAGATATAGAAGTAGATTTTCATGTGTTCTTTTGGTATTTATAACTAATGCACATGGGAGAACAAAAACAACAAATCAGGCAAGGGAGAGTTGGCTTTAAGTATATATATTTTGGGTATTATGCATATAAAGGAAAGTCAAAAATCTCAAGACCCCAAACTCATTATGCTAAAGAGAAAGTTAAGCCTGGAGACTGAGTCATGCAACATTGCCATCTTTTTCCGAATGCATAGCTGTTATTTTACAACCTTGTGTCAAAGCATTACACAGACCCCCACAGAAAGGCAAAATGCCGTAGGTCTAGACTGCCTTACAAATTGTTATTTGCTGGCTTCAAAACCTTTCAAGATGTAATCCTCCCATAAAATAAGGACATGTCAATTGTATAGATCTGCAATCTAAGTCTAGCTCCTAAAATTAAAGCCTATTAGATTTCACACTGATAATGCTTATCTTCTCAGGTACAAAACAAAGACAAGATGAATCATTCCTCTACCTACCCCCCTCTTCCTACATGCCTTTCCCCATTTAAGAAAATGTATAAACACTAAGCCTGCTGAAAACCTCTTCAGAGAAACAAAAGCCATAGAGGTCTTCTGTGTCTCGTGTTTTTCCCAGGCACACACTTAAGCTCTGGCTCAATAAATCTCAATTGACAAGGATTCATTTCAGTCACTCATTTTGGTTAATACACATAAGGTTTAGAAAATACAAATGCTCCTCAATTTATAATTGGGTTACATCCAGATAAATCCATTGTAAGTCAAGGAGCATACTGAATGTAAATTACTTTTGGACTATCATAAAGTCAAAAAGTGTAAGTCATATTCACTATGAAAGAGTAAATTTGTATTATGTGCACTGATAAAAATGTAGGATTCTGTATCTGCTTGCTAATAACACTTTTTAAGGGAAAGTTGCATGCCTGGTAGCCCCATGGATTATGTCCCTATTTAGTGTACTCTCTGGATTTAAATTCATATTGATAAGAATTAATATGAAAGAGAAAGCATATACAATTTAAATTTTAAAACTCTGTGTTTTGAAATATACAAAACAACTCCTGGAACTAGCAAGTGAGTAGGGCAAGTCACAGGATACAAGATCAAAATGCAAGGGTCACTTGTATTTCTGTATACTTCAATGAATACCTAGAAATCAAAATTTAAAATACAATACCATTTATAATCACTGAAAAAATACTTAAATATAAATCTAATAAAATATGTACTAGACTTGTATGCTAAAAATGCAAAATGCTGGTGAAAGCAATTAAAAATTTAAGAATGGAAGGATGTACTATGTTCATGGATTGAAAGATCAACAAAGTAAAAATGTCAATTCTTTCTAAATTGAACAATAGTTTTTTAAAAAACTACATTTTGGACTACCTATTCTTTACAACTTGATGTCAGAGACCCTGAATTGAAATGAAGTATCTACACAGCTGCCTGGCAAAGGAGGGAGGAAAATCAAGAATTTGGCCTAGGACAAGAAGTATTGTGTGCAACCACTCCTGAAAGTGGTATTTTCTTCAAGGTATTTGGCGGGGGTGGTCAGCCAGACAAGTTTAAAGAGGAGGTGTTTGCAAGTAAAGAGTAGGAGGGGAGCCCCTGGGGCAATAAGAAAGTTTGAGGATAGCAAAGAAGAGATTTGGAAGTGAATAATATACTCAAAAGGCAAAGTGGGGGAGAAGTGGGGAGTGGGGTACTATACATTGAAAAATTAAAGGATCCAAAGAGGCAGTACTCAATAAAATTATAGGGCATTTTAACTTCTTACCCACAAGACAGACATAGCTAGTCTCTGCTGTGGTGTTCGTAAATCGCTGAATAGCATTTGTTGAGGTGAAAAATAGCTCCATTGAATCCAGAAATATTTGATAATGGGTACTTATTTTACCACATAAATCTTAATGGAAAAAATATCCTGTTTCAACCATGTAATTGCTGCCTAATTGTCTTGTCTTTTGTTACCGAGAAAACAGAATACAAATTGATTGTTTTTAAATTTCTATGGTGTTCTAACAATATTTGCATTACCCCCAAAGAAATATTTGGATAAAGACAAAAGTGGAAAAATCTTAGGTTTTGGCAACAGACAGGACCGTATTAGAATTACAGCCTCATCACTCACCAAAGTAAAGACTACCTGCCTGAACCTCAGTCTTTTCCAATGGAGACAATAAGAACTTCCAGTACTACTGTGGGGATTAAAAACTATATATGGGGAAGCTTTTAGCACAATGTTGGATACATTGTTTGCATGTAGTCATTGATAAATATTATTACATCATTATTATTTGGTGAATCTTCAGTATAACACTATTTATTATAAAATGTTATTTTGTATATTTTGGATCTTTCTGGGGACAATTAATCCAGAGGATACTAGTCACTACTATATCAAAAAGACCCTGTATGAAGCAGGCTTACTTTTTTAAGGCTGTCTCCTGGAATGCATCCCAAGGATAGAGTTATAAGGAGGTCTTATTTATTTTGCAAAACAAATTACAAACCCCACGTAGTAATAAACTGTATTAAGATAAAATAGAAAAAGTGTACTACAGATACTTTTTTCTTTAAGATGCCCAAATATTGTTTATCCATAATATAATTATAAAATAATTAATAGATTTGCCCAGAATATTGCAGGAAGTCACAGCAAAAGTCATACATAGTTTCACTCCTCAGAAACCCAGATTTTTTTTTCCCCTCTCAAATCCTCAAAACTCAGCAAAGTGCTCTGAATCACTGAGGTGTTTAATGAATTCACATTCCCAAATTTTTGTGGGATTAAATTGCATTGTTTTACTAGAAATCTTTGAGGTGAAAAGAAATGAATAAATTCCTCAAAAGAAGTAATCATGGAGGTCCTTCACCACCAAGTTCAATATTATACTTTTAGGCATTCATCTGTTGATTATGTAGGGTCCCCTTTTTTAACTGAACCCCAAGTTACTCTCTCTGAAACTCTCCCTCACTCACTTTGTTATTAATACCCCTCAGATTCCCACGTGGTTCAGGAACCCAGTGAACCCTGGAACATTTGGCCATACTGAGTCTGCTTGTCATGTTCTAATGTGAATGGAAACATTTTATATTATAATCTTAAAAAGAGAACAGCAGGGAAAGTTTAGAAAGAACAAGTTCTCAGGGAAAGTCAGAGAAATCAAATTAGCTGGGAAGATTTGACTTTCACAAAAATATTGCCTTTACCCAGAGTTCTTCCTGAGGTCTGCTCTGTAAGTGAACTATGTCTGTGGAAGAAAAGCACAGTGGAATTTGACTACAGAAAAAGCCTGGTATTTTTAAGAGTTAAGAAAAGAAATCATAACTCCAGCTCTTTTCATAATCATAAATGGTGATTGCCCAGACCTATAAAACTTTACAATGGAAGAGACCTCAGAGATGATAAGATCCAGTCCCTTCATTTTACTGATAATGAAACTGAAGCCCAAAGGTATTACTGGATTTTCTCATGGTCATGCAGATCCAAGCTGAAGATGAAAACCCAGGACTCCTCATGGGAGGCTCCTGTGGGCCAGGTTCTTTATACCATCCTAGCCACCACCTTAGGTCACCATATATTTTCAAATATTTCTTTTCATAGTAATCTCCTCTTGTGTGTCCGGTAACCATTTTATCAGGGCTCTGGACATATTGCCCCAAAATATGACCAGAGGAGACCAGAATATGCCACCCCAAAATATACTTTTAAGATCTATTTTGAGCTAGTTATCCTGAGAGACACCAGACATGGGAGTAGCTCTGAAAAGCTGCCCTTTTGTAATAGAAATGTTTATCAATAAAGGAAACCTACATTAGTAAAAGTATCTGCATCAGAAAGAAGGCTGCTTTTAAAGACAACTTTTTTACCTGAGAAACTTCTTGTCTTGTAACAAGACAATCTTTATTTACCATACATTTCTTCCACTCACCAACCCCCCGATAACTTGTCTCCATCACCCCCAGATGCCCCCAGTCCTTATTCCTTTCCATAGCTCAGGATAGTATGCAAGCTTCAATCACCTGGCCCTTCTTTGAGTCTCATATTGTGTGGGACTCTTGTGCTTATGCACATAATTAAATATGTTTTTTTTTTTCTCCTGTTAATATGTCTTATGTTAATGCATAGCCTGGCCAAAGAACCTGAAAAGGTGAAGGGAGGCCATTTTTCCCTCCACTACAACCTCAAACTTAACACAAGAGGACCTTCCTGGTTAACGTTTGTCATTCCATTCCCAGTGCCTAGACTACTGCCTGGCACTATGTAGACCATCTGTCTACCTGCAAGAATCATAGAGACTTGAATACAAGGTCTACTCTCAGAGGGAGAGCTGTCTATTATAGGCCTGTAGATCAAACTTTGTGAAAGTAACTTTGTAACCCATTGCCCCTGTGGTGGATTAACGATGGCCACAAATTCTTTGACAATACTCCCATCAGGAGTAGATCTAAGTTTCCTTGCCCCAGAACCTAGATAGGCCCGTAACTGCTTTGGCCAATACAATACAGCAGAAGCAATGCAGTACCTATTTCCAGGCCCAGGTGTGAGAAACTGGAAACTTCTACCCCTTTGGAACTCTTTCTCTCTGGGTACCCTGAGCTACCAGGTAATGTCTGACCAGCCTAAGACCATCGTGCCAGAGAAGCCACGTGTAAGCACTCCAGTTGACAGAATCCACTGAGCCCTGTTTTGTAGGCTTCCCTGTCAAGGCACCAGACATGTGAGTAAAGCTATCTCGGACCTTCCAGACCAGCCCATCCACCAGCTGAACACCACCCAGTGATCTCAGTCAATGACAGAGGGAGCAGAAGAATTGCCCACTGACATTGCCTGAATTCCTGACCCACCAAGCCAAGAGATATGGTGAAATGGTTGCTACCTTAAGCTGTAAGTTTTAGAGTAATTTGTTATGTAGTTAACAGATAACCAGAATAGGCCCCAACAACAACAAAACAAAAACAAACAAACAAAAGTCTATGCCCTTATGGAAGGTCTCAATTAATAATGTGTTTGACTGTAAATAACAGAAAACCCCGTTTAGTGGCTTAACCAGATAACAGACCTCCAGAGCTGGGCAGCCTAGAATTGGTACAGCTTCCCCACGTTGCCCCCAGAGACTCAATCTCCTTCTGTCTTCCTGCCTGCATCCTCAGGGGATGACTACTCTGCCTGTAGCCAGGCAGCAGGGTTGAAGACAGTAAAAAGAGGCAAGGGCAAGACAGTACTTCTTTTGAAAAGTTTTTCTAGAGGTTTCAGTCAATTACTTTCCCTTACATTTCATTGGCAAGATTTGGGTAACAAGGGCCACCTCTAGCTGCAAAGGAGTCTGAGAAGACAGGTGCTTTTAGCACAGCACATCGTCACCCACATGGTAACTGGGATTCTGTTAGAAAGGAAGAATGGCTATTACCTAAGCAATTAGTGTCTGCTGCAGGAATTCTTCCTGTCCTGGGACCTCAAACTGAGCAGTGGCTGCTTGCTGCTTAGCTCCTGCTTGCTGAGTTCCTACAGAGAAATGGTTCAGAGCATAAATCTCGCTGGAAGGGTAGGAAAGGGGGCTTATCTTGAAGTCGAATTTTCATGGAAAATGCACTGTTTTTTGCTTACTTGTATGTTCACTGGGGATGGCTTAGGGAAGCCTATAGAAGTTCTTTTGGAGGGGAGCACCTCCTCTTCCCCCACCAAGTACCCCTTGAAGCTGACATTGTCTTCTTGGGCGGGGAAGCACCAACAGTCATAGTTACTCTAAGGCATAATTTGAAATTTGCTCTTCACAAATATAAAAGGCCTTAATAACTAGGTCAAAGCGTAACAATCATTGCTGTATGTCTTTGCATGACAAATGAACAAAGATGCAAAAATTTCAATAGCACCCATATATACAAAAACTCATTACAAAAATGGAGACTTGTCATGTTTGGAACAAGAATTAAAAAAAAAAAAAAAAACTCATCTGAAATCCAAATACCTCACAAGCACTTGAATGTGTAACATGGCCTAAATGTTAATGAAGCAATTCGGCTCACTCAGCAGGATGAGCACAAAAGAAACCCTTTTCAAGACACAGCTGTCAACAATTACACTTGGT
Organism: Homo sapiens; assembly: GCF_000001405.40. NCBI lineage: Eukaryota > Metazoa > Chordata > Mammalia > Primates > Hominidae > Homo > Homo sapiens. Next base: position 150,202,932 of record NC_000003.12, read on the forward strand.
GGGGTGAAGCTGGCTGATATTCAGCATCTTAAAACTCATGGAAATGTGGAGTCTATTTGACCAAAAACCATTCCAGACTCCAGGGAAGACAGTAAACCCCTGTTTATTTGGCAGTCCAGAGAAAGGAGAATGGGATATTCTAGTTAGCCAGGCATCCCCACCCAGCTCAGAAATAAATAACAAGGTTTTTTTGTTTTATTTGTTTTTGTTTTTAAGATTCAAAGTGATACAGAAAGCACGTAAGGATGATATGGGAGCTAACCTACCCTTTCATTGATGCGGAGGTTTGGATGGCATGCGGACGGTCTGGATGGCATGCGGACGGTCTGGCAGGGCCTCAACGATTTCCTAATTGTCAAGGAGAACTTTTTTTTAAATTTTAACTTTCTGGTTATCTATGTTTTTGTAAAGAGAAGTTCATTTTACTCTATTATGACGATTAAGCGAAGAGAGCCTCCATTCTGGCTGAGGAGTGCTCTTCAGAGAATTACTCCTCTTACCCCAGCACACGCCCACACGAAACTAGCAGACAGATTTGTACATAGTGGCTCTTTGACCACAGAGAGTCAGACCAGCATTAAGTCCTCACCAAAGTGAGGTAATCAGATTCTCCTTATTGGAAGGTTGAGGGGTCTGAATTCAGAGAAGCCCTACTATATATACCAGTTTCCTTGAGCAGAGAATATGTGAATTTGGGATGCAAAGTGACCATTTTTTACCTTGTGCAAAGAGAAGGAAAGGGTCAGATGGAGAAAAAGAAAAGTAGGAGGTGAGTGTGCTGAGTGAAGAACAGAAGAGAAACAACATAGCCTGAGAAGGAGACTTCCCAGAGTGGCCACCTGGGTTTCCAATAGCCTCTAGTTTCTAGTTCTTGCTTCCCATGAGGCATGACTGTACTTCTTGTCCTGTTTCCCTGGGGCTCCCATGTATCCTTCCTGTTTGACATAAACTGGTTTGAATGATTTGGCAACTGCTATCTGCTGTTTCTCCAATCTTTATTCTCCCCTTCTTCCTGACTAGTTGAAACCCAGTTTTATTCAGAGCAGGTAAAAAGACCACAAAATTGGAGGTCACTGGAATTTTCAAGAAGTTTCTTAAAGAGGGTAGACTAAGTTAGAAGGCATGCCATTTTGCCCTTTCTCTTTCCTTCTCATTGTGTGGAAAGCAGGCATGATTGCTGGAGTTCCAGCAGCCACTTGTGATCATATGGCAACCATAAGGAGTGAAGCCAGTGCTAAGGATGATGGAGCAGAGGAACAAAAGGACCTAGGCCCCTGGCAACAAGGTAAAGCTTTCTTGTGAACCCAAGACTGTCACCTTCCATGTGTTATGTTATGTGCAGAAAAACAGACTTCTAATTTGCTGGAGTCACTAGGGTTTTTATTAGTAGCAGCCAGATGCAATTCTAAATGTCACCAATGGCTGTTAGTTCCTTGCTGCCAATCCTGAACACAGTTTCACATATCTTATTACAAATTCTACCAAATATTCCCATGGATGTTGTGAGCAGTGGCTGCATCATGTGCTATCCATATGAAACACTCTTCAAAGAACAAAGGAAGATAATGCAGTTTCTGTACCATCTGCAGCTTCTTGGTTCAGTGCTGGTGGATGTGACCTAGGAGGCTTGTGATGGGTTAGTCCTCCTCATCCTTCTCGTCCTCCTCCTCCTCCTCCCATTTTCTTTCTCTTTACAAGGAGGGAGGGCAGATCCACATGACCAGTGGTATGCCAGGCCTAGATTAACTTCTTGAGTTATTGCCAACATCTAGAGAAACAACACTTTTCATCCTAAGGCTACTAAGCATAGTGTACTTATACAGGAAGTACAGATTACAAACTAATTTTGCTCCAATCCCCCACTTCACATTGAAAGACCTACCTTAAACTCAACTTCAAAATCTCAAGAAATGTCCCAACTGCCCTTCCTACTCTGAGACACCATCAGGCTCTGTCAAGGTAGCATTCTTTTTTGTTTTTGTTTGTTTGTTTTGAGACAGAGTCTCGCTCTGTTGCCCAGGCTGGAGTGCAGTGGCTCAATCTTGGCTCACTGCAACCTCCGCCTCCTGGGATAAAGTGATTCTCATGCCTCAGCCTCCCAAGCACCTGGAATTACAGGTGCATGCCACAATATCTGGCTGATTTTTACATTTTTAGTAGAGACAGGGTTACATCATATTGGCCAGGCTGATTTCAATCTCATGGCCTCAAGCGATCCACCCACCTCAGCCTCCCAAAGTGCTGGAATTACAAGTGTGAGCCACCGTGCCTAGCCAAGGTAGCATTCTCTTTTACCATAGTAAGCAACAAACTCAAGCTTTATCAACAAGTTGTTTTGGGGATATTGTGGGAAGCAGCATTCAAAAAGATAAAGACTAAAAGGGAACAGGCAAAAATTAAATCCATTATTGAGTGACAACAATGTGACTTTTTCTGTAAAAGGCATTGACTTGGGTACAACTGGGAAAAATAATGTTAGATAACTATGAAATTGTTAATTTTCTTAAGTGCAATTATGGCATTTGAATGAATGCCCTTATTCCTCTTAGGGGAAGTGTGCTTAAGCATTTAGGGGTGAAGTGTCATGTCTGCAACTTACTTTCAAAACAACAAGAAAAATATATATAAATTTTTCAAGAATATAGAAAGAAAGAACTTGAATATGGCACATTTGCATACATAGGGAGAGAAGGAGAGGAGAGAGTGAACAAATAAGACATATATAGGGGGAAGGAGAGAGGCAATGCAAATATAGCAATATGTGAACAATTGTTGAAAACTAGGTGGAGGATATATGGTTTTTTACCATTTCACTTTTTCCTTATGTGTGAAAATATTGAGGTAATAAAACAGTTGAGGGAAAAAGAGGTTGAGGGGGAGAAAATAGCCTCATTCTCCACATGGAGATCAGGTAATTTTGTTATTTATCTTAGAGACAAAAAAAGATTAACCTTTTCTCCAAATAGAGACTAAATAACTTTGTTATTTATTTCTCTAGCCTTTTCTCATGAGTGGAGGCATTTCGAGTTAATCACCAAGCATACAAACTATAATAATTTCAACCTTAACCAGAAGGATTCTTTTTTTAATGACCCTTTTCAGGACTGTTATATAGTTACACAAACTGTGTCCCATTGACATAGGCAACTTTGTGAAGATCACCCCAGGAGCTGACAAGAAGGATGACCAATGCATCCCAGTTTGCCCAGTGCTGGTCCCAGGTCCAGCACTGACAGTCCCGCCTCTACGGTTGGTCTCCCCATGTGCACGGCAGAGGGCCCTGGCTGTGTTTTACAATGTTGAACAATGATGCAAAATTTAGCCCCAAAAGTGACATCAATAGCAGGGACATTCCTCAGGAACCATGACTTAGCCTTTACTGGACAAAAACTGAAGAAGTCTCCTCAAAGCCTCCAATATATGGAGAACAAAAGGCCAACACCAGGAGCCCCACTGGTGAAACTTATTGTTGATACTGCTGCCTTTCTGTGGTTCAAAGAGGAGTGTGTTCTCCTCTTAGTACTTATAAACAATTCCATCTTCCCTCATCCTTGCCTGCCTCCAACCCTGGGAATAATGTAAGAGACCTGGAGAAGCTAAGCCATTTGCCCAAGGTCCCAGAGCTTTTAAGGGCAGGGGCAGGATTTGAGACCAGGTTTGTCTGAGTTCCTACTTCTAATCACTTCATTCCCTTCCAGCTCATCACATTCATGAGCAATGAGTTCACCTTGCTAGTTTTACCCTCCCATGGAGAGCCTGCATTTTTATAGGAATTTATAAAGACAGAAACCCCTATGGGACCCCAAGAAAGGAATGTGGCATTTCCAGCAGTACAGAGCCATGGGAACCTCCATGCCACTGTCAGATGGGCATCCTGCCCATGGCACAGTTCCTGTGACAGAGTGGTTGAGAGCCACACTTTACTGTGAGATGAACTTGGGTTTAGAAGCTGGCTTTGCCTCCAAAAGCAGGGACCTTGGACAAGACATTGAAACCTCCCTAAACCATAGTTTCCCCATGCGTAAAAGGGGGATAATAATAGTACCTATATCATAAGATTGTTGTGAATTTAAAACAAATAGATAATCCACTTAGAGTGGAGCCTGGACCACTGTAAGGGGATCTGTAGAAGAACACTCCTTCTAAGATGTCTGCAATACTGAGTGCAAACTGCGGGTTCCATTTTCTTCATAAGATAAATGAACCCGTTTAATTTTCTTTATAAGTTAAACTAACACATTTAATGTATATACACCTTATTGAAGCCAAGTCTCACAGGGTTTAAACTGAGAGTGGGGTAATATTTTTAACATTCCAATATTTTTAAATTAGAGTTTTAAAATTCAGTCTTTGAGTCTTTTGAAAGAACTTAAGGGTGATCAAATATAATTCTGAATAATCTTTCTAGTATCCTGTTGTCTCTCCTCTCTGTTTTAATGAACCTTGGAGTCCCCCAGCCTTTCAGTAGCTCACCCCAAACCCTGCCCTCATCCCCAACCCAGCAGCTCTGAGTCATTCTCTCCCAGTGCAGATGTTGACCACCCCTTCTCTCCTCCCCTTCCCAGCCTCTTCCCCATTCCCTTCCCGCTCCTCCTCTTCCAGTTTCTTTAGCTCCATCCTGCATTGTCCATCCTCTGATTTTACAGGGAAAGGGTCTAAGACTTAAATATATTTCTGAGAAACATACTGATGTATGTGGATGTGAAATAACATGACATTTGGGATCTGTTTTCAAACTTTGGAGAATAAAAGGGATAAATGAAATATATATCGCAAAATCTTGACAATTGTTGAACCTGTAGTGAGAAGTGTGATTTTTGTTTTTAACTATTCTCTATGCTTTTGTGGAAGTCAGAAAATTTTCACAATAAAAAAATTAAGTCTTGGAATCAATGTGGCAGAAGGACTCTCCACAAAGTGGGAGGTGAGAAAGGGAAGACGCAGGAGAGAAGCAAGCAGCTCGCTGGTTCAGTAGACGCTTAAGAAGCGGGGGGAGGAAGGACATTTGCTGCCATTTCAATATTAATCTATTTTGCCTGAAGGGGTCTGGAAAACCTCCCAAACTATAACCTGTGGTTGCCCCTGGTGAGTGAGTTTGGGGAAAAGGGAGAAGCTCTGACTTTTTACTTACTACACTAATGTAATAGTATTTATTAAAAAAAAAAAGCAACTAAAAGAAAAGCTTTTGCACTGTATCATGAAGTCTATCTCCTGTAACTTCTACACACTTGGTCTAGTCCATCATCAATCAAGAGCTCTTCAAATAACTGAAGATTATTATGGAACCCCATGTTGAATGAGGAGCATTTAATGGACATGTGAGGTCCAAGGACCTTGCTTTTAAATTCTACTTAATAACATATGCTTTGCATGTTGTACATGTTCAATAAATGCTTTAATGTAATCATTGCTCTTTTCAGGGGATATTTTTGTAGCGTGGTTGTTACCTTCTTAAAATGTGATTCTAAAAATTGGATAGAACTCTTTATATCAGTGGTTCTTAACTTGGGGTGGTGTGGGACGGGGGCGGTGATTTTGCCTCCCAGAGGACATTAGGTGATGTCCGGAGACATCCTTGATGGTCATGACTTGAATGGTGGGGAGGGTAAAGTCTCCTAGTGGACAGAGGCCAGGGATCCTAGAAGGTGCAGGACAGCCCCCACAACGAAGAATTATCTGCGAAGTGTCATTAGTACCAAGGGTTAGGAATTCTGCCTTATGTTCATCTCTGTCCACAGTCCAGTAAAACCATTGTATTTTAAGATCAGGACACTTTCTAAAATGCAGTTCATTTTGTTGCCCATTTTCATGATTCTATCACATTCTTGCTTCACATCACACTTGATGCTGAACACAACCTTCCCCCACAAGGAATGACCCTGGGCCTCCTCCACCACCCTACACATATAACATGGATTCTTTGAACCAAAATGAAAGCTTCCTTTCTTTCCTTAAATACCACCTTGATTTCATTCAGTGGGAATTATTTTCCACATGGGATATAAGTTTTTCCTTCATGCTTTGGAGCCATAAATAATTAGATAAGCAGTCTTACGGTACCGTGTTAAAACTGACAGAAAAGTATTGACTAGAAAAGGGCCAAAGTTATGTGTTTTGTGGCATATCAAAAATGACCCTCAGCAGATGGACACAGACATGAGTCACTCCGTTGCATGCACTGTGTCCAACCAGAATTGACAGGAAAACTGCCATTCAAGTGAGGGACCGTCTCACTGGTAATGGTATCTGCTGTAGATGGAATTGTGTTCCTCCAAAATTTCATATGTTGAAGCCCTAACCCCCAGTGTCATGGTATTTGGAGATGGGGCATTTGGGAGATAATTAGGTTTAGAAGAGGGCATGAGAGTGGGGCCCCCGTGATGAGATTAGTGCCCCTATAAGAGACTAATGGGCAGCATTTTAGACAGTGTCCTGATCTTAGTGCCCACTAAGAGACCAAAGAACTTGCTTCCTCTGTCTTGCTGCCGTGTGAGGATACAGGAAGAAGGTGGTCATCTGCAAGTCAGGAAGGGAGCCCTCACCAAGAACTAAATCTGCTGGTACCTTGATCTTGGACTTCCCAGTCCCCAGAACTGTGAGAAATAAATGTCCGTTGTTTAAGCCACCCTTTCTATGGTATTTTTTTAATAGTAGCTAAGCTGATTAAGACAGTAGTCTTTGGCACTCTGGAAACATTTTCCTATTTCTGCCATTTGTAGATCTAATAACCCTATGAAAATGTGCAACCTAAGATTTCTTCACAGGGCACTTCTCACTCGTTTAAATTTCAGGAAAGGTCCTCTCCATGGCTACCTTGTCTGTTTGTAGTATCTCATTGAATCCATGCTACTGTTGATACAAGACACACCATTATTTTGTATGCTATGAAAAAAAAAGAGATGCTTCCCAATGTCGTAATATTAAGAGATGTACAAAAAAATCTCAGTTTTAAAGTTGTTGAAATTTTTTATGTGTATTTTGGAATTGAGGAACATAATGGCCCTGACTACAAGTTGTGGCTCTAGGAGGGAGATAGAAACAAATATTTTTAGATCATTGTATTTGTTCTAAAGCTGAATCTCCTAGTCCTACTCTAGTTCACATTTAGAGTTGCCCTTTCCTTGGTGGTGTGAATGCGGGCAGAGAGATCACTGTGATATCCCTATGTGTTGGGGGAAAGGACCATGAAAGTACTGCCCAGTAAAGTTTCAACATGCTACTCATCTTGCTTTCTGGACAGACCGATGCTGTGAGAGTTGTCTGTGTCTGACTAGTGAATTTAATGAAATAGGGCCCTTCTCATTCCTGGCTTAAAGCAGAAGTGTTCTCTTGTAAGTAGCTACAAAAGAAAGAGTCTGGAAATAAGGGAGCAGAGGTGATTCATGATGAATGGGAACCAGCACGGAGCTCTTATATATTGTAAACCTCCCAGAACAATCCACACCAGAAACCGAGCTCAGAAGCTGCATTATCCCCCAGATTCTCTCAGGCAGGAACTCACACTCAGATCCAGAATCTAAATTAACAGAAGCTCAGAGGTTCTCTGTCCTGGAGGGAAGCACAACTTGAGAATGAATTCATTCTGCTGCTACTGGGGAAGCAGTGAGGCTTCCTGCTCAGTTTTCTTCTGACACATAGTTAAAAACCAATTCATGATTCTGAGGCCCTATGTGCTGAGGAAGCCTCTGCATTTGCTGGTGAGCTGTTCTATTCTCAGCTTCCCTGCAGGGGCCTGTAGGAAGCAGGGATTCCCAGGAGGAAAACCCTCCCGAGGCTTTGCTGCAATTGGAGCCTCAGGAAGCAGGTTAATTTTTGAGCATTCTCCTTCTAGAGTCTCTCACAAAAGAATCTAGTTGGTGCTATTTTGAGAGGCCCAGGCTGGACCCAAGGATCTTTCTTCCCTGCTGTTCAGGCCCCCTCAGGTCGAGTGGGCAAGATCCCCCCACCTGCAGCAAGTGGGAGCATTCTCACTTCTGAGCCCTCATTTTGGGTGGCAGCGGCCTCTCGCTTTCTGAGAAGCACACTGCACCTCACCATTTTGCCCTTGGGGCAGCAGAAGAAATCAACATCATTAAAGCCTCACATCTTCTAAACCCCCAGCTTCACCTTGACACTAACAACACTGGCAGCTACAAAAATCCATGGTCAGGGGCTTCCTCCTGCTTCCAGAGCTCTGGTGTGCACACGCAATCTCACAGCTTTGCCTGCACACACGTCTCTGCTGGGAAGCTGCCCGTGGCACGAGGCAAGGGGACCCTCTGTGGTGGATTGTTCCTTTGCCATCACCACTTAGGGGTTTTTGTATCTTTAATTTCATTATAATATTGTCAACTTACCAAACAAGCCAAAAACCTGCAATAGAAGCATTTTAAATGTTTAACAACATCTCTCTTCTCAATGTAACAATCCCCAAAGATAAATCTAGGAGAGCATTCAAGGTGGGCAGGCAGGGAAGAAGGCACCACGTCATAATAGCACTTGAATGTCACACTGCAGCTGGCCAGCAGCATCGATCGCTGGTGGTCATTTTGGAAATTTGGGGGAGAACTTTGAATTTTATCATGACAGGAAAGGGGGCTCCTGGCCTTTAGTGGATGGGCTCCTGTTCCAAACAAGAATTTTCCTGCATTGTGGATGATGTATGAATGTAACAATAGATGTTCATGTGAATGACAGGCCTTTATATGTACACAAAACCCAGCTTGAGCACAAAATATTTTTTTGCAAGTTTTTAACTTTTTTGGAAATACAGCTAGCACGTAAATGCACAGAAGGTTATACTTTGTTTTGTACAGAATTTTACCAGGGGGTGTTCACTATTTTGGAAACATCACACAGCAAGTTTGAGATCCTGAGACAGTCGGTTTGTGTACCTGTGACCTTCCCTGTTGTTCAGTGTGCAACTACAAACATCTGACTCCTTCATGTCTTCTAGTGTGATTGTGCCTGGGCACTTACATGTTGAAATATATATTTATATATATATATATATATATAAAATATATATATTTCAGAAACTACTTCCCTTTTACTTCTTATAATATAGTTAAGACACTACATTGGTATTTTAAAAGTATGTGTAGAAGTAGATTGAAGCAGAAATGCTCCCTTATAAGTAGCTACAAAAGAACAAGTCTCGAAATAAGGGAGCAGAGGTGATTCATGATGAATGGGAACCAGCACAGAGCTCAAATATATTGCAAACCTTCCAGAACAATCCACACCAGGAACTGAATTACCGATTAAGCAAACTTAATCTTGAATTTTATCTTGAGATAGAAAAGAGGTTATCCATTTTCTATTGTATAGAACAAATCACTGCACATTTAGTGGTTTAAAAACCACACAAATTCATTATCTCCAGTTCCTGGGGTCCAGCATCCAACACAGCTTTAGCTGGGTCCTCTGCTCAGGACTCACAAGGCTAAATTAGTTAAGGTGTTCACTGGCTGTGTCCTCATCTGGAGATTAACTAGGAAAAGATCTTCTTCCAAGCTCACTCAGGTTATCGGCAACGTTTACTTCCCTATGGTTGTAGGACTGAGGGTCCTGATTCCTTACTGGCTGTCATCAGGGGCTGCTCTCAACATCTGGGAGCTGCCTGCCTGCATGTCCTTCCAGGGGGCTCCTTCTGTAGACACTCCCGCAACATGGCAGTTTGTTTTGTCCCAGCCAGATGAAAGCATCTAATACTTCACTTTCTTACAAAGGTCAGGCCCACTCAAGATCATGTCCTTTTTCATTAACTCACAGTCAATTGATTAGTAACCTAATCATGGGAGTGGTACCGTGGCTGTCATATTCATGTTCCTGCCTACACTCAAGGGGAGGGGATTAGGGGATTATACGGGGCGAGTACCTGGGGTGGGGTCAGAATCTTAAGGGCCATCTTAGGATCCTGCCCACCATAAGCTGCAAACAAACATCTATTATCAACGGGGGCACTGAATCTCACAGAACTGAGGAACATTGCATGCTACCAAAGGAGTTTTTCACATACATTAATCTTACTTAAGCTACAAAGCCACCTCTTCAGGTAGGTAATTAATTTTTTATCTACCTTCCCCGAAGCCAGTGTGGATTACCGCTTATGCAAACTTAAAAAATGCTTAGGGCACCAGCACAGCAGGAGCACCAAAAAAGAAAAAGAGAAAATCTGTTTCAATAAACTCATCTGGAATTTGCAAAATCTAAAGATTTAAGGGGAATAAAGCTATTATAATGCTAGAGTGTGTGGAAATTTTTGGTTTTAATATTTTAGCATTTTTAATTTTAAAAAATCTCCTCATTGCTTATCGCCTCTAAATTAATTCACCCCACCCTTCCATTTTACAGCTAATATTCATTTAGCAATTACTATGTGCCTGGGATTATTTTAAGAATTTTACACAAAATAATCCAATCCTAACAAAAACCCAGTGGGGTAAGTTGTATTGTTCCCACTTTGCAGGTGAGGAAGACAAAGTGAGTGGGCTCAGTAACTCGCCCGAGTCACAGAGTCAAAGCAGGAGCTGGACCCAGATAGTCCAGAGCTCATGCTCGTACACACTTCACTTCGCTATCCTGAATAAAAAAACCAAGACTCCAGGAGGGCTGCAGCTTCGTCCAAGGTGTCGTGACTTGCCCACAGCCACCCTCTTGGCAAATGACCCAGTAAACTCCACCTCCAGCTCCTCTACCTCCAGAGCCTGTGTCTGTATGTCTTCCTTTTGGAGCTTTCTTTCTTGGTATTCTTTATGTTTCAATTTTTAAAATGATAGTCAAATATACACAACTTGAATTTTGGCCATTTTAACCATTTTAAGTGTCTATTCGGTGGTGTTAATTACATTCACAGTGTTGTGCAATCATTACCACTATCCATTTCCAAAAAATGTTTCATCAACACAAGCAGAAATGCTGTAGCCATTAAGCAGTAATTATCCATTCCTACCTTCTTCAACCCCTGGGAACCACTAATCTACTTTCTGTCTCTATGAATTTGCCTGTTCTAGGTATTTCATATAAGTAGAATCATATAATATTTGTCCTTTTGTGGCTAACTTATTTCACTAGTATAATGTCTTCAAAGTTTACTCATATGGTAGCATCTATCAGAACTTTATTTGTTTTATGGCTGAATAATATTCCATTGTATGGTATATCACATTTTGTTTATCCATTTATCTGTTGATGGACACAGGTTGTTTCCTTCCACTTTTTGGCTATTGCAAATAATGCTGCAATGAACGTTGGCACACAAGTATCTGTTTGAGTCTGTCTTTCTTTTCTTTTTTTTCTTTTTCTTGCTTGCTTGCTTGCTTGCTTGCTTGCTTTGTTGCAAGACAGGGTCTTGCTCTGTCACCGGGGCTGGAGTGTAGTGGCCCTATCATATCTCACTGCAGCCTCAACCTCCTGGACTCTTAAGCAATTCTGCTACCTCAGTCTTCCGAGTAGCTAGGTCTTCAGGTGCACAACACCACGCTGTGCTAATTTTTTGTTTTTTAGTTTTTTTGTAGAGATGAGGTCTTGTTATGCTGACCAGGCTGGTCGCAAACTCCTGGGCTCAAGAAATGCTCCTGCCTCGGCCTTCCAAAGTGTTGGAATTACAGGCATGAGCCACTGTGCCCTGCCTGTTTGGGTTTCTATTTTCAATTCTTTGGTGTATATACCTAGACATGGAATTGCTGGGTTATATAAAAATTATTTTTCTTTCTTTCTTTCTTTCTTTTTTTTTTTTTTTTAATGACAGTCTCCCTCTGTCGCCCAGGCTGGCACGATCCCAACTCACTGCAACCTCTGCTTCCCAGGTTCAAGCCATTCTCGTGCCTCAGCTTCCCAAGTAGCTGGGATTAAAGGCATACACCACATGCCTCGCTAATTTTTTTTGTATATTTAGTAGGGATTGGGTTTCGCCATGTTGGCCAGGCTGGTCTTGAACTCCTGGCTTCCCACAGTGGCTGTACCACTTTACATTCCCACCAGCAATTACAAGAGTTCAGATTTCTCCACATCCTTGACAACATGTTTTTCTTTGACTTACTGATAACAGCCATCTTAATGGATACGAAACACCATCTCATTGCAGTTTCCATTTACATTTTCTTCCTTTTTTTTTTGTTTTTTTTTTTTGAGATGGAGTCTCCCTCTGTTGCTCAGGCTAGAGTTGAATGGCTGGATCTTGGCTCACTGCAACCTCCACCTCCCAGGTCCAAGCAATTCTTCTGCCTCAGCCTCCCAAATAGGTGGGATTACAGGGGCATGCTGCCATGTCCTGCTAATTTTTTTGTATTCTTAGTAGAGACGGGGTTTCCCCACGTTGGCCAGGCTGGTCTCGAACTCCCGACCTCAAGTGATCCACCCACCTTGGCCTCCCAAAATGCTGGGATTACAAGCATGAGCCACTGCACCCGGCCGACAATTTCTTAATGACTAATGATGTTGAGCATCTTTTCATGTGCTTAATCGCCATTTGTATATCTTCTTTGGAGAAATGTCTACTCAAGTCCTTTTCTCATTTTTTGATTGGGTTGTTTATCTTTTTGTTGTTGAAATGCAGGAGTTCCAAATCCTGGGGGTTTCTTGACTGGTAATTTCCAATCCCCAACCACACACCTGTCAGGAAGTCTTAAAGATCCAGGTGGAGACCAACAGTCCTTTTGTAGGAGCCAGGAGGCTGGATGCAGAAGATGGTGGTAGATGAGGAGGGAACGGAAAGGCATCTAACACTCACCTACCCCTGCCCTAAATCCAGGTACCCTCTTCCATTGAAGAAAAACCCACATTCTGCTTGTGGATGCTCATTACTCTTATCCACAGAAGCTCTGTTAACCTACCCACCACAGGCATGGAGGCCACTGACCTTCATCCCCAACCACAGCTGCAGCAGAGTGGCAGGAATTCAAGGAAGGAGGAGCATGTGGTGTGGGAGAAGGAAGGGAAGAGGACCTGCACTAGGAGAGGATGTTTCCTCTCAGACAACCTACACAGGTGAGGAGGCAAAGCCTGCAAGGAAGAGACAGCTTATAGGTGAAATGACAGTGACACGGGGAGTGGGAGATGGGAGGGGGAAAGGAGGGAGGATGGGAGGGTTGGGTGAGAAAAAAATCAGGAAAGGATGAGGGGGTGAATATCAGAAAGGGGCAGGCAGCTGTAGCCAGATCAGGGGAGAAAGGCTTCCTGGTGCCCCCATACTAAGGAGAGAGCTGCAGACCTCTATTTTAATGAGTCACAATCTCACTTAGCCCCAGGCCATCTCTCACACTCCCCCTCCTCTCTGGCTTGTGGTCAGCAATAAGCATTCTTCCTTCATTGTCTATTCATCAGGCTACAGATAGGAGGCTAAGAGGAGAACACAAACACTTATTTGTACCACAAAAAAAGGGGGAGCCAGGAGGCCTGACCCTAATTCTCAGCAGTTAGGGACACACCGGAATAGCAGTGACAGAGAGAGGGCAAGTTTAGTGAGATCCATGCAACACCTGCCTTGTGGAGGGGAAGCAGGGCTGACAGTGGCGTGGCGTTGAGCTAAGTTTAGCTGCCTGTGTGATCTCTGCCAACACTCAGGGATGTGGGAGGGGCTTGGGGCAGGCCTCAACAAGCCTTTCCAGGGACCTCTTATTTCCTTAAATCCCACCAAAACTCAAGGACGGACTCCAACATCAACATAGTCACTGGCTTTTGAGCAGTCTTTTCCAAACAGCTGTTGTGCAATTTACCATGTGGCATTATAGACAGGCTACCCCGCTGAGACTGAAAATGAAATCTTGGCCCAGATCCTCCAGCCTGCAGCACCCTGTGGTGAAAGGGGTGTCTCTGCCATCACAGAGAATGAAAATGGGCTACAGCCAGGCAGTGTGAGGGAGCTGGAGACAGCAGACTGGCTCCCGACCATCCTGGTCACACCTAACAGCCTTTTCTCTGATGGCAGTAAAACAGGAGCTTTTAAAGAAAAGAACCAGTGTTGATGAGAAAAAGCTTAGGTTTCTATAATGAAATCAGATGTCCTTTTAGTAAAAGAGCTTCGACGTGAAGATTAAGTTAAAGAAAACAAGCATAACCCTTATATCGATATAACCCTTATATTGATGTTCCCATTTATGCAGCCCCATGGGGATGACGCTGTGGTAATGTGACTAATTTTGTAGCTGCCTGGACAGGTGTGTAGAATAATAATAATGAGAATGATTCCTGTACTGTCTCCGGTTCACTACACAAGTCATTACCCCGTGAGGAACGGGTCCGTCACTTAGAAGACAGTGGGATGTGCTAAACTGGAGACTCTCAGGATGGAGAAACAGGGTTTCACTGCTGAAGAGAGGGTGGTGGTCAGGCTGGTGGGGAAGCACATGCCCATGAGGGAGGCAGTATTGGGAGGAGGCCCAGCAAGAGGCCACAGGAGGGAGGCCACAGACAGAGGCACAGTGTTTCTGCCCTGGCAATCCTGTGGGTTACCCAGGCACTAGCTGTCCTCTAGGAGGATTACAGTAGCCACAGGGTTCCAGGAAAGAGGGCAGAAGGAAAGAACCTCTGTGCATACAGATGGTGCCTGTTTTCTGCTGATTTCCCAGTGCCCAGCATGGAATCTGGCATAGTAGGCCTCAATGTAGACGTGTTTAATGGAGGAGTGACTGAGCAAATATGAAGGAGATGCTAGCAAGAATCAAGCAATGATCCTCTCCTAGAGGGATGGGGAAACCAGCTCAGGATCCAGATACAGCCTCAGAGAAAGGGAACAAGTGCAGGTGTTTGGGGAGGTGGGGAGGTGGCTTCTGTGATGGCTAGCAGTGACCGTCGCCTTCTTACATTCATGCCCTTGGGGAATCTCCTCCCTTTGAATATGGTCTGAACTTACCAGCCTGTTTGTAAGAAACGGAGTGTGAGAGAAGTAATGAGATATCACACAAAAGATTAAGTTACACATGTAGCAGCTTTCACCTTGGGGACTTTTTCTTCTCTCTTACTTGCTCACTCTGAGGGAAGCCAGCTGCCATGTGATAAGCTGCCCTATGGAAAGACTCCTGTGGGAAGAGACTAAGGGAAGGCTCCGGCCAAAGCCAGCCAGGGCCTGAGGTCCCCAGTCCAACAGCCCACAAGGAACTAAATCCTACCAACAGCCACAGGAGTGAGCCTAGAAGACAGTCCTCCCCCAATCAAGTCTTCAGATGAGACAGCAGCCCCACTGACCACAGCTTGACTGCAATCTCTTGAGAGTTCTTAAGCCAGAGACACCCAGCTGGGTCACACTTGATTCCTGACCCATAGAAACTATGAGATGGTAAATATCTGCTAATTTTGAGATGCTAAATTCTGGGGTAATATTTACACAGTAGGGGTTTATAAACAAATGAGAGGTATGAAGCTACAGCTGATTGAACATGGAAGCAGCCCACTCACAAAACGAATTTCATGCTGACTCACCAACACACTAAGCCAGTGCTTCTGAAATTCTGCAGAATTCTCCACCTGCAAATATAGAGGAACACATAAGGATGGAAAGATGCAGGTTATTTCAATGTGAGAGCTTTAAAATCCACATGAGTGTCATTCCTTTCAAAGTGGTCACCTTGGCTGAGAGTACATTTATTCTAGTAACACTATTGTTCCAACCACAACTAGAACGACTCTTAGATATTCCAGTGTAAGTAGCAAAGAGGGCGTTGGCAACAATTCAATAGCAACAGATACTGTAAAACAGGAACGCTAAGACATCTTTCTTTTTTCTTTCTTTCTTTCTCTTTCTTTCTTTCTGTTTCTTCCTTCCTTCCTTCCTTTCTTTCTTTCTCTTTCTCTCTCTCTTTTCCTTTTTTTTTTTTTTTTTTTTTTGATGGAGTCTCACTCTGTTGCCCAGGCTGGAGTGCAGTGGCATGATCTCGGCTCACTGCAGCCTTCCACCCACTGGGTTCAAGCGATTCTCCTGCCTCAGCCTCCCGAGTAGCTGGGATTACAGGCACACACCACTAAATCCAGCTGATTTTTGTATTTGAAGAAGAGACAGGGTTTCACCATGTTGGCCAGGCTGCTCTCAAACTCCTGACCTCAAGTGATCCCCCTGCCTCAGCCTGCCAAAGAGCTGGGGTTACAGGCATAAGCCACCACACCTGGCCTAAGACATCCACTTTCTGTAGCTGCGGCTAACCCCAGTGAGCTCCGAGAGAGTGTGGCCCCAGGTACAAAGTCAGTGGAGGGCATCTGATACCTATGGAGCTGTGGCTTCAGATCACCTTCTGCTCTACTCCCTGAGGAGCTAGTTGAGTGTGTGTGAGTGGAGAAGACTCCTTGGGCCTAAACTAGAAGAGAGTTTCCCAGCTATAGACTGTATGCAGCAGTACACATGGGGTGTTCCAATAGATTACTAGTGTACCCCCAATACCCTGATTTCCAAATTCGAAAGCCTGGGGCATTACATGCTGGAGTTGGTTGTTGCATACTGGTGAGTTAAAGGCAGTGAAGGAGGTGTCCCCCAACCCTCAACCTGAGCAGCTTCATAGCTGTAGAGTACAGTACTGCCTGTCTAGATCAGGGATCTAGGCAGTTGCCAGAGGAGTCTGGCACCAGGGACCCAAGGTGTGACCAACAAAGAATGAGGGGACAGAAAACGTCCAGGCTTCCTAATCTCTGTCTTGTATTCCTGGGATACTTCTGGCTATTTGCTGCAAGGCAAGCACTCTGATGGTACATGCTCTTTCTGCAAATTAGAGTCCCTTATTTTGAAATGCTTAACCTGAAAATATTCCATTGGATTCAAAATCCGTTCCCTTATCACAGGAAATGTCAACATTCCCTTTGTCAATGAAACAAGAAGAAAAGTTGAATTCTCTTTTGTTACAATTTCAAATGTAACTTTTTGAATGGTTGTAAAACTGGTCTTAAAATTCGTATCCCCTTCCGATACAAAGTCAGTGATGGTGACTATCAAAACTTTGAAGAACTTATCATTTAAGGGTCTTGAGGAATTGTTACAAATCGTTACAGTTTTACAGTTGTAAAACTTGTCTTAAAATTCATATCCCCTTCTGATACAAAGTCAGTGATGGTGACATACAAATTATGTCCATGGAAGCAAACTCAAGCTTCTCATTAAAAGTGTTAGAAGATTTTCTTTGGAAGTTTCATACAAATTCAATAGTCACCATTATATAGGAAAATATAATGAAAATTTTCTCCAACTCCCCTACAGATGCCTCCAAATATCTTTCAGTTCTAGCTTTTTACACAAATAGTGGCCTTTTCTATGTAATTATGATATGCAAAATGTTGGGAAGGAATGGGAAGGTATAAAAGTTTCACTTCCCCAGGCTGCCCCAGGCATCTCTAACCACATCAGCTGCCTGGGCCCAGGGTAGCTAAGAGGGCATCCAACAGGCAGCTGGGGCGTTCAACCTCTTCTCCCACCAAAAGGACAGCTCCAGCCCCTAACGCCAAGGCCATTTGCCGTTTGTCCCTCACTGCTTCTCCTGGCACCACAGCCTCCAATGGAGGTGGGGAGTCTTCATCTTCTGAGGGTGGATTAATTTCTAGAAGAGCTTTGCATCACTCACAGCTAAATTCAAATGAATAAAACACATTTTAATATAGCTAATAACATTTGGAATCCCGAAGAGGCATGACATAAATTGATTTATTATTATTATTATTTTTTTTCCTAAATGGACTCTGGGGGCAAATTTCCTCAGCCAAATGCTTTGGGTTTGCTTATAAGAGTCCTGTTGGTCCCCGTGGTTTGTAGGAAAAGTGTCAATTAGATTTATGAGAACTAAGATGCTTAATTAAAAACATTCTCATTGCTTTATAGCTGTGCCTCCTCAGATACACAAAACAAGTTCTCTCAATAGAGGCTTCCAAGAGGCAACTAAATCAGTTTTACTATTGTTTCTCATGAAGTTCTAACAATGAAGCTTATGGTTCATTAATGGCATCAGTCACTTAAGGGATTATCTTCATAAGGGAGTAAAAATGGTATCTTAATGGTGTCAGCCAAGAGTCATCACAAAACATCGACATTCCCTGCTATTAATTCACTTCTATTCCATTTCAAGCTAAAGGTAGTGTGCTCAACCCTCAGCAGGCCTGCAAAATTCTTAGGAGAAACAGTAAAGAAGGAACAATGGGGGCAGGGCCCCACCGCAAAGGCAAGGCTGGGAATGCGCTGCCTCTTCCCAGAACTCCAGGGAAACGTCAAGATTTTCCTACTTCTTTGCTCGCTCCTTGTTTGTTTTTTCCAGTTTGTTTAAAATATATGTTTATTCATTCTTAATTATGAAAAAAACATATGCTTGTTCCCCCCCAAATCGGAGCAGTGTAAACGAGGAAAGTCCTCCACCCATTTATTTTTTAATATTAAAGTTAATTAAAATTTGGTCTCCCCTCTGTTTTACTCCATATTTCTGGTTTTCCTCATGCTCTCTGTCTGTCCTGCTCCCGAAGCCTCCTGGTTGTGCACTCGGGCTCTCAGCCCAGATTTCTTTTGTGGGTTCAGTTGAGCCCCGGGGTCTCGGCGGCCGGCGGCTCCCCGCGGCACTGGCTCCCTCTTGTGGCTCTCTGCGGTCACTGCACACCCGCTGAACGGCAGTCTCTTCCAGCGGGCCCCGGCCTGGGGAGAACAAATCCGGGGACAGCGAGAGGGACAATCCCAACGCTGCCAGCAGTCAGTAAAGATTCTCCCTCTAACTCAGAAGCCGGCCCCAGGGAGCATTTCGGGTCTCCTCATACATGTTAGGGCTCCTCTGACCCCTGTCGTTCCTTAGGTTTCTCAGGTGTTCCCTTGCGTGAGGATTTTCAAGAAGCATCAAGAGTGCAGCCTTCAGGGTCCAGGGAGCGGGGGCGAGAGGGACGGAGAAAGTGTGTGTGTGTGTGTGTGTGTGTGTGTGTGTGTGTGTGTGAGATGGGAGTGTCTGTGTATGTGTGTGAGAGAGAGAGATGGGGAGAGTGCCTGTGTGTCCGAGAGAGATGGGAGATTGTGTGTGAGAGAGATAGGAGTGTGTGTGTGTGTGAGAGAGAGAGAGATGGGGAGAGTGCGTGTGTGTGAGAGACAGATGGGGAGAGTGCGTGTGTGTGTATGTGTGTGTGAGAAAGAGATGGGGACAGTGTGTGTAAGACAGACACAGAGAGATGGGGAGAGCGTGTGTGTGAGAGAGAGAAAGAGATGGGGAATGTGTGTGTGACAGAGAGATGGGCAGAGTGACTATGTGTGTGAGTGTGTGTGAGAGAGAGAATGTGTGAGACAGTGTGTGTGTGTGTGTAGTGTGTGTGTGTGTGCATCTGTGTTGGTGTGTGTTGTGTGCAAGTGTACTTGGGAAGAAAAACAAGAAAGAAGAGTTGATAGCGGCTGCCTCACGGCTTCCCAAGTCCTCTGGGGGGATTTAAAAATTCATTTGCTTAACAAACAGACATGAAGCATCCAGAATACGCCAGCACTGGCGATGCCAGAATGAACCAGATATGCTCCTGCTACTAAGGTGCTCCTTTTATAATGAATGGAAGGAGAGCGTTTAGAAATGCTGGCCTAGGAAGCAGCGCTGAATGACAGAGTATCAGAAGCTCTGAGAGTGAATTCCTCCACCGCCACCCAGTATGGTGACCTTTGAGCAGGACACTTCACCTTCCTGAGTCCAATTTTCTCATCTGTAAAATGAAGACAAAAATACTCACCCTCATCTGTCTTCACTGGGCTGTTAGGAGGGTCAGCTAGTCTGATACATGTGAAAGTGCTCTGAAAATCACATGCAAATGCAAACTGATGCTGTATTTTCAATATAATTTGAGGGATCCTACCAAAAAAAAACATACCTCAAAATGACTCTCTTACAGCATGTGACTGCAGTTCTCACCCAAAGAGTCACTCGGTGAGGAGTCTTCTTAACTGGGATAAGGCGTTGTTACCTGGAGAGCACAGTGTTAATCCACAGAAGGTAGTTTGCGGATTAAGCCCTCCATAGGCCACTCCTCCTGGGCAGGAGAGTCTCCTAGCTCTCCAGCTGAAACCCTGCTTCCTGAACATTGCGCTTGCCTAACAGCTCCAGCACCAAGATCGCACGGCCTCTACCCTGTCTCTCTTTCCCTAAGAGATTTTCCAAGCGCTGTCCCCATTTGGGCTGGGTGTGCTCTGGTTGTTTTTTTTTTTTTCACAGCTACTACCACTCGGAGGGGGGAGGGGGTTCAGGGAAGATGATCCTTAGCTCACTCTAAGGATGATACAAGATTATCCTTGTATCTTGTATGGTACAAGATCATAGTGGAGGCTGACAATGCCAGGTCCATATCTCCTTGGCACTCACCTCTGAATACCAATGGTTCCTTACGTGAACACATAATTTTTCTCTGCTGAGGGCTGTTTTGGGCTTCCAGCAAATTAATGCCCCCATGAGCAGCCCTTAAGCAATGACAGATGAGGTGCAGCTGGATAAATACACCAACTTCCTCATCCCTCAGGGCAGTGATTGACTCTGAGGAAGGCTGCCCAGTTCCCCAGTGGGTCTAAGCCCGGGTGCCCCACTTGCCTGAAAACATGCTGTTTATTGGCTTCCTACCTTCTCTGTCTCTACTAATGCTTCCTGGGTCCCCTTGCAAATAAACTACTTGCATTCAAATCCTTGCATTGTGATCTAATTGGAGATGATAACCCAGTCTCAGACAGCTGGGGCTAGAAGTGCTCCTGGGAAGCAGACCCTCGGGATGGGATTGTGGAATTGGATCATTTATCAGCCCAATGGTCACAAGACCCCATAGCTGGTGTTGAGTGGAGTTTTGAAAGATTCTGTAAGATTCTCATCATACTCATTTTGCGGTTGAGTTCTGTAAGATCCTCATATGCAGTGAACTAAGATGGAGTCCTCTGGAAGGAGACACATCAGCTTATGCAATAGCTCTGGCACTTGAGCAATATGGTAGCAAAAGTCTGTAGAGATGGTTAGTTGTCTTTAGCTGTAATTGGAACCGCGAAAGAAGAAAATGACAGGTTCAGATCAGCCAACCATCAACTTAGAACATAGTGTGGATGCCAGAAGGCTTCCAGGGAAGCATTTTAAAAACCTTCATCTCCTGCAGCTGGAAGGCAGATCAGGAAAAAAAAACAGGTTCAGGCCCTCTTTTTCAGAGTGTTCTAGTAACAAAGGAAGTTGAATTCACAGCCCTGGTGTATCTCCTATGGGAAGTGAGGTCCCTGATAAGAAAGATATAGGGCCCTGATACCCAAGATGGGGAGCCTGGGGTGATGTTCCTGAGAACATGAACCCCCAGATTCCCAGGAACCACTGGACTGGCAGAAGTTAGCCCCTCTTAATTGCTAGAGGAGATGATTAGACAAAGACCTCCCCTGAGTCAGGTACCTTCCCAGACAATGTTTGCTGTCCTGAAGATCTGCTCCTGCCTCTCCCCTTTGCTGTAGATCAATTATGGTCAAGTCTCAGTAAGGTTCAGGCAGCGAAGCAGCATCCCTGCAAGGGAGGAAAGCCACAGGACCTGGGTAATAAATACTGGCAGGGACTGGGAGAACATGAATGGGAATGGATCTTGACAGTGTTGAGTCAGGGTTGGCAGGGACAGAAAATAAGGCTGGATAAGGAAGAGCTTAGTGACTGAGGATTAATATCCTGGTAAAAAGCAAAGAGAATTCTCCCTTTACTACAGTAATGAGGCGTCCACTAGTTAGGGAGGCATCAGTGTCCCTGAGAACTTCTGCAGTGGTTCTTTTGCAGGAGATGCTGCCTTAGAATTGGGCTTCATAGTCAATGGGAATGATACCACGCTGGAATACCAAAGTCCAGGTGGAGGCACTGAACCATCAGAGGCAAGGTGGAAGTAATTGTCGTAATGAGAAGCACAGCAGAAAGACAACCCTGAGCCTTGACCTGCGGGGACCCCTCGGGGTGGCTGATAGACCATGGTGTGTCTGCAGGTGAGATCACGGGCAGCCAGTGAGGGCCTGGCTTGACTTATGTCACTGAAAAGATCAAGAGCAAGTGGGCAGAAGGCTGGTGTCAGCTGCTATAATAAAAATCACAATCCCTCACCCAGTTTCTGCATGTGAGTCAGCTCTAAGATCCAGGACTCATTGATTGAAGGGGAGGTCAGGTCCCTTTGAGGAAGGATGCTGCAACAAACCACACCAAATATCTGTGGTAGCTCTTCCCCCAATCCTCCCCAGAGACTCCTTTAGCCATTTACCTGAGTAATTCTACACCGGAGAAAGGAGAACCCCTAGATCTTTCAAGGACTATTAGACATAGGATCTGAGTGGACACGAATGACAGTTGACCCAAGCACCACCATGGCCCCCTGTTAGAGTGGAACATACAGAACCTTGTGATAAACGGCCCACATCAGTCTCAAAATGGGCCTCGTGGGTCCATGGACCACACAGTGGTCATTCTCCCACTCCAAAAGTATGCTGGTAAACCAGCTCTCCAAAAAGAAAGAGGAAAAAAAAAAAAGTAGGGGGAGAAAAAAGCCCTGATTTTCACATATAGCACTGGCCAATTTCAAGTCCCCAACATGAAGTCATTGCACCTGAAGTAGGAAAAAGCGCCTTTAGTCCCGAGTGTAGAAAGAGGATGGATCTGTTAAACGACCAGCAGAACTCACTTGGGAGTTGGTCAGAAATGCAGAATCTCGGGCTCATCCCAGGGTATGAATCAGAACCTGCATTTTAACAAGATCCCAGGAAATTCATATGCACTTAAAAGATGAGAAGCCCCTGCTCCAGAACTATCCATAGATCCCCAAAGAGCCTCTATTTTTTTAGGTCTAAAGATTCTACAGCAGAGAGCATTTCTATTTTAAATGAATGAAGCTGTGACTTTCTCCAATATAGTTATCACTATCCCCATCATTGTCATCATCACTGACTGTCATCATTACCATCCCCGAGCAGGATCCATTAGATACCTACTTGTTTCATGGACCATTTTTTATATTAAAAAAAAAAAAGCCCATAATAACCTGACAATGTCTTCCCCTAGCTGAGAGCATTTTGACAGATATTTTTTCGAAGTAATCAGAGTTCTTTTTTTTCTTTTTTTTTTTTTCTTGGCTGGTTTCATCCTTTGGCAGGGTTCTACAACTTATTTGCTTTCACTTAGTTTATATCACTGTCCCTGGCAATCTCCACTTTCCCCGACTCCGCAGTTCACTCTTCATCTACCCCAACGCAGCCAGCTCTTCCCTCCCGGCCCCTCCACCTTACTCGAAGGTTTCTGCTATTGTCAGAACAGCCAAAGACAACAATGCTTCAACTGGCAGGAAACAGTCTTCACCCTCTCAGGATTTCCTATTATGTGATGTGCAGCCTTTTCCAGAAACACAATTGCATCTAAAAAAAGAAACTGCCTGGATTTACCTTCATCTCAACACAATGAGTCCATGGCCACCGTAGCCTTGAACGAGGGCCAAACACTCCGAAGCGCAGAGACTCAGAATCAATGGAGGTGAAGGAAGCTGCTTCCCAGGGACTTCCAAGCAAGGGTAGGCAGCTGTTTGCTTATTCCCCATTCTTTTGTTATGTTGTTTGATTTTGCCAGTGAAGCTTGGGTAAGAGGAAGGAAAGAGGAAGAGAGGGGCTACGGACCAAGAGGAAGGAATGGAGGGGAAGGGGCTCAGGATGATCAGGAGTTGGGAGCTATAACTGTAGGGTGGAGGGGATGACTCGAGAGAAAAGGAAAAGTAGCAGGTGAGTTGTTGAATGAGGAAGGATGAACTGGAGAAGAAAGAAAGGACAGCGGAGGTTTCACCATGATTTTTAGCTGTCTCTACATAGCTGGAATGATAGAGACCTCATAGCTGGGTCATGGTTTTCTGAAGTGGAGAATGAAGAGAGTTTCAATGTCAGTGCCAGGTCTGGCAGTTGTTTATTTCCTTCTTTACACCCCATCCCCCACCCCCACCCCCACCCCCAGTAGCATACCTACCTCTGGGAAGAGAAGTTCTCACCTCTATTCTCATTCCCTTCTCTGTGTAGGGAGAGTGCAGGAGAGTGGATGATGGAGGAGGTAAAAACAGTATCTTCAGAACTAGAGAGGATTTAGGTGTCTGTCCCAGTAATCTGAGACAAGAGAAAATAAAATGCAATTAAGTTGTGGGGAAGTAAATGCAGTTAAATAGCATTAGGCAACTGTTTCAGAAGAAATCCAGGCCTGAAAATAAAGACCTGGATTGGATACTGGAGGAAGTGATCCTGTAAGAGAGATGGGGAGTTTTCAGTGGTGAAGCTAGCAGGAGACAATGTGAAGAACATTTGTAATGACCTGGAAATTCAGGAAAAAACAGAGAACTGGTGAGAATCCAGGAGGCATGTGAGTTTGATGTTACCTGAAGAGGAATCTGCGGAAGGCAGCATGTCCTTCTGGGCCTCCAACTCTCACAATTCAGAGGTGAGCAGCCTCAGGCTCTAACCCCAGCTCTTCATTCCTTGCTTCACCTCTCTAAGCCTTAGTTGGGTTCCCCATCTGTAAAACCCAGACAATAACACCCATCTCATAAGGTGTTTGCGAGGATTACAGGAGATGTAAATGAGAAGTGCCACTTCCCATACATTCTCTTCAGGGAATTTATGGGCAGAGTCAAGATTCAGGAGGTGGTAAGAAAATAGTTTCGACCTGAAGTTAGGCATTGGACCAGAGCGAAAAGGAGATGCCAAGAGGCCAGAAGTAGAGTTCAGATCAGACCTGGAATTAAAGATAAGGTGAATTTAAAAATTACTAAGACCCTAAGGATCTACACTAGGTAAGAAGAGGGAAAGTGGTGGCAGTGGGGTGGGAGCCAGGTTTTTGTGCACATTTTGCCTTGGGGCCTCACCAAAGAGGGGATGTGGGAAGTTTCTCCCACTAGAAGCCTTCCAACCTAATGTAGGAAGATGGATAGAATTAGATTATCACCATTTTGCAACCCCTAATGAATAATGAACCTAGCCACTGATCATTATGCCAGTTATTAATTTATTGCCTCTCAGCCCCACATCCACCCTTCAGTAACTGCTCTGGGGTAATGGAATGGACTCTTCAAGCATTTCCCCTTTACAGTGAGATCGATGTGAAGCTTTGTCGGTAGAGGGCGCTGGAGGGACACTGTAGGAGAAGGGGGGCTTTTCTTCCTGGTTCCAGGGTACTGACCTTTGTTTTTTGTTGCTCCAGCTGCATGGTCTGTCAACAGTGCGTGTGTGAGTTACCCAGTGGTGCTCTGCCCCAGCCATATACCCAGAATGTACAGTCCCTCAGTGACCTCAGAGCCCCAGACTCGGCCCAGTGAACCTCACCTCAGTCCTTGGGATGTGGATTAACATCTGCAGTGGAGTCTCAACTCTTCCTGGGCACTGCTTTCCAGCATCAGCTGGCCTGCACCCCAGGATGTTGTTTCCCTGGGCCCACACAACATGAGCATTGCACACCAGACCCTCCACCCATTGCACACATGAGGCCTCACCTCCCAGACTTAACGCACCTGCACTCATTGGTTTCTTTCCTGCTGGCCTGGAGGCTGTGGACCGGCTCTGGCTGGACAGCCCAGTGAACTTAACTGCTATCTAGTAGGCCACATGCTTGCCTGCTCCAATAATGTTGGAATCGCAGCCTTGGGGAAGAGCCCACCCCTTCCAGTTTTGCTTTTCCTTGAGTACTCTCCCCTAGACATAGGGTACTCTTCAGGAGTCTCTTTATGTCTTCATAGGTACTCTCTTATCTTATGGTATTAGTTCATTCTCACACTGCTAATAAAGACATACCTGAGACTGGGTAATTTATAAATGAAAGAGGTTTAATTGACTCACAGTTCCGCATTGCTGGGGAGGCCTCAGGATTATTACAATCACAGTGGAAGGCAAAAGAGAAGCAGGCACCTTCTTCATGGGGTGACAGTACAGAGTGAGTGCAAGCAGGGGAGATGCCAGACGCTTATAAAACCATCAGATCTCAAGATAACTCACTCACTATCACAAGAACAGTATGGGGGAAACCACCCCCATGATCCAATTACCTCCACTTGGTCACTGCCTTGACACGTGGAGATTATGGGGATTACAATTCAAGATGAGATTTTGGGTGGGGACACAGCTAAATCGTATCACTTATCTTAATCGTTCTTTTTATGAAACTTCCAGTATTTGAATTAACGAATGGCTTCTGTTTCTTGAGTGGATCCACAACAACACAATCACGAATGGCTGCTAACTTCACAAAGAGCCAGCCAGAACTATGTGGCCTTGTTGGAAATGTACAACACAATCTTTCAAGTATTCTTGTCAAGACATCAGCCCTGAGTCTGATCAAGCCTTAGATCTAACTAAAAGTATGCAAGAAATACACAGGGCATGGAAACATGTTAAATGACACCATGAGTATCATCAGAGAGTCCAGCCTGTGGGAAACTCCATAGGGAAAATAACCAGAATTCTTCAACAAATGAGGGAAATAATCTATAAATTCAGAGACTTAAAAGGCACTAATTAAAATCTATGGACCTTGCTAAAGGCATCACACTACCTGAATTTAAAACATACTACAAAACCAAAACAGCATAGTACTGGCATGAAGACAGACACACAGACCGCTGGAACAGAATAGAGAACCCAGGAATAAATTTACATATTTACAGCTAATTGACTTTCAACAAGGCACCAAACATTTACTGAGGAAAGAACAACTGCTTCAATAAATGGTGCTGGGAAAACCGGAGATCCATATGCCAAAAAATGAAACTAGACCTCGATCTCTCAACAGACAAAATTCAAATCAAAATGGATTAAAGAGTTAAATGTAAGACTTGAAACTATGAAACTGCTAGAAGAAAATATTGGGGAAACTCTACAGGACATTGTTCTGGCCAAAGATTTTCTTGGGTAAGATCTCAAAGCAGAAGCAACCAAAGCAAAAGTAGACAAATGGGATTACATCAAGCTGAAAGCTTTTGCAGAGCAAGAAAACAACCAATGGAGTGAAGACACAACCTATAGAATGAGAGGAAATATCTGCAAACTATTCATTTGACAAGGGGTTAATAACCAGAATATATAAGGAGCTCAAACAACTTAATAGCAAAGATATATATATTATTTTAAAAATGAGTGAATCATCCGAATAGATACTTCTAAAAAAAAAATACAAATGGCAAACAAGTATATGAAAAAAATGCTCAACATCACTAATCATCAGGAAAATGCAAATCAAAACCACAACGGGATATCGTTTCACTTCAGTTAAAATAGCTGTTATCAAAAAGATAACAGCTTTTTGATAACAGGAATACTGTTATGGAATACTATTCGGCCATAAAAAGAATAAAATCCTGGCTGGGTGCAATGGCTCACACCTGTAATCCCAGCTACTCAGGAGGCCGAGGCAGGAGAATTGCTTGACCCTGGGGGCAAAGGTTGCAGTGAGCCAAGATTGTGCCACTGCACTCCAGTCTGGGCGACAGGGCAAGACTGTGTCTCAAAATAAATAAATAAATAAATAAAAGAATAAAATCCTGTCACTTGAAACAACATAGATGGAGCTGAAAGTCATTATGTTAAGTGAAATAAGCCAGTCAAGGAGCTAATCAGGTGGTTCTTATGGAGGTAGAGAGTAGAAAGATTATCAGAGGCTTGAAAGACTAGGGGAGCAGAGGATGAAGAGAGGTTGGTTAATGGGTGAAAAATATACAGTTAGAAGGAATAAGTACTAGTTTTTGATATCACAGCAGGATGACTATAGTTAACAATCATTTATTGTATATTTCAAAATAACTAGAAGAGAAGATTTGCAATGTTCCCAACACAAAGAAGTGATAAATATTTGAGATGATGAATATTCTAAATAACCTGATTTGATCATTACACATTATATGCATGTATCAAAATGTCACATGTAGCCTATGAATATGTACTGTTGTTACATATCAATAACAAATGAATAAAACTTATGGTCCTTAGATCTTGATTCAAACAAATTTTTTGAAAAAGATTTATGAGGCAATGGAAAAAATGTAAACACTGGCTAAATATTTGGTGATATCAAGGCAATTATTTTTAAAAATGTAAGAGCTAATGGAGAAAATATGAACACTGAATATTTACATTAAGAGAGTTATCTTTCTAAGTGATGATAAGATTGTAGATATTTTTAAGAGTTTTAGTCTTTTACATTTACTTAGTAAAATATTAACAAATGAAATAATGTAATAGGGATTTGCTTCAAAATAATCCTTGCCTGGGATAGAAATAGGTGGGAGAATATATTGGCCATGAGTAGATATATTGAAGCCAGATGGTGAATACATGGATTTTTTTTTTAAATTTTGATGCTCTTACAAATTGACTAAAAAAAAAAAAAAAAAAAAACAAAAAGCAACCTAACTGAAAAATGAGCAAATGAGCAAAGGGCATAAATAGGTAATTCAAAACACATGTGTAAAAGTGCTCAACCTAGCTAGCAATAAAAAAACAATGAAAGATCAGTAAGAATGTGGAGAAACAGGTATTCCCTCTGGTACTACCAAATTGATGGACAAATTTTTTTTTTTTTTGAGACGGAGTCTCACTGTGTCGTCCAGGCTGGAGTGCAGTGGTGCAATCTCAGCTCACTGCAAACTCCGCCTCCCAAGTTCACACCATTCTCCTGCCTCAGCCTCCCGAGTAGCTTGGACTACAGGCGCCCACCACCATGCCCAGCTAATTTTTTAGTAGAGACGGGGTTTCACCGTGTTAGCCAGGATGGTCTCGATCTCCTGACCTTGTGATCCACCCACCTCGGCCTCCCAAAGTGCTGGGATTACAGGCGTGAGCCACCGCACCTGGCCATTGATGGACAATTTGACAAAAATTTTTCAAAAGGTAAAATTTGCATTTTCCTAAACCCAACAGTTTAGCTTCTAGATACCTATATTAGAGAAACTGTCAAATATGTAGACAAAAATATGAGCTTATTGCAGCATTTTTTAGAGTAGTGAAACTTTACAGGCAAACTAAATATCCATCAATGGAGGAGTGGTTCACAAAAAGAAGTAAACAAAACATGGTGTATTCACACAATGGATCTTTTGCAGCAGTTAAAAAGAAACTGTATGCGGGCCAACGTGGTAAAGAATCCAAGATATTGTTCGGTGGAAAAAGCATGTTGCAGAGTAATATGTTCTGTTTGATCCCTTTTCTGTAAAAATAAAACTAAAACATGTAGAATAAACCCCTCTAAAAATGAGATATTTGTAATATGTATACATAATTTTGTGTGGCTATACATATACCATACACTATGTAATTCTGCTTTATTTTTCATAAGAATATATTCATACTGCTTGTATAATTTTCTTTTACTTTGTGTTTACTGAATTTTGTAACAAATAAATCATTAGTAATTTGTCCAAGAACAGTTTCCAAAGCATGGCAGAAGGCCAGCTGTGATGAACTGAGGTCCCTACCTGACCTGACCAGCCTGGCCTTGTTAGTATACTGGTAACCAGACAAGATTTAAGATATAAAAGCCTCAAATATTTAAAAGGATTTTCTCAGAAAAAGGAGGGTTTCCTCAAATGCTTCTTGCCATCAGATTGTAGGGCCAGAAGGATTTTAGAGGCCAATTGGTCCAATTGCTGACTTTTAAGGAAGCTAAAGTTGAGGTCCAGAGAAGCTAGTTTTCTAAGTCCCCCAGACTATTTGGCATTTTTTTTAAAGGTCTCTTGGCCAGGCATAGTGGCTCACACCTGTAATCCCAGCACTTTGGGAAGCCGAGGTGGGTGGATCATGAGGTCAGGAGATTGAGACCATCCTGGCCAACACGGTAAAACCCTGTCTCTACTAAAAATACAAAAAAAAAAAAAAAAAATTAGCTGGGCATGGTGGTGGGCGCCTGTAGTCCCAGCTACTCGGGAGGCTGAGGCAGGAGAATGGCATGGACCCGGGAGGTGGAGCTTGCAGTGAGCCAAGATCGTGCCACTGCACTCCAGCCTGGGCAACAGAGCGAGACTCCGTCTCAAAAAAAAAAAAATAACAAAAAATAAAAAATATAAAAGGTATCTTGCTAAATACCAAAAGGGACAGCCAGAAGAGTATGTCCGGGGACCTCTGAAAGTCTGAGAACTATGAAGAAGTAACTAGGGATTTATGTGTTCAAGACAAGCATCTACATGAGAATTCCTGCAAAGTTGCTGACAGTCATGTATGAGTGACAGGCATCAGCAATCATCCACCACCGGAATCAGGAAAATGAATCATCCCAAGCTTTGTTCTTTGTAGAACAGTGCATTTTCCTCTGGCCTCCCCTCTTCTATATCAGGGGATTGTTTCAACTGCAGTCACTGGGCTGAAGGACCCACTAAATTTGGCCTGATTCCTGTCTTGGCAGGCTGCCGTGGCAAGGATGATGGAGAAGTGTTTACAAGTGTCAGATCCCAGGAACATTTTCTTTGTTCCGTCTGACAAAGCCCAGAGTCAGATAGGCAGAGTGGTGAAAAGAGCTCTGGGCAAGCAGTCAGCCAGCCTGGGGTTTGGTCTTGGTTCCATCACGAACCCAGCTGTGTGAGCTTGAGCCAGTCATTTGAGGTTTTCTGAACATGCAAAGTAAATGGGCTAGCTGTGATTCCCTCAGCCCTTGTGTCTAGGGAAATTGTTTTGGAATGAAAGTAGCTTTTGGCCTGAGTACCCATTTTCAGAATATATTCTCTGAAGCAGAGTGAGAAAGAAGTGCAAGGTCATAGCTATGATTGGCATAGAACTGAGGCCAGATACTAACAAAGAAAAAAGTCGACACTGACATGCCATCTCCAGGGAGAACAAATAGATTCATCCTTGAAGCCAACTATTGTGGTGGCTGCCTGGAGTACTGTGTTGGAAAGGATTTGAGCTAAACCTAAGCTCAAAGGAGTTCTGTGATCCACTAATAATGTCTGCTACAGGTAAGGGAGCTAGAACAAGGTAAGGGTACACCAGATTTTTGCTACTCCTGCACCCAGTTACCACATTTAGGTTCCTATAGCCATGAACCCATGAATCTAATGCAAAGTAGGAAACTGCATGTGATGAAATCTCTATAAAGAAAATTTCAGGAAGCAGGCTTATTTAGGATATAATTAACAAGTAAGACAGCAGCAAATCGGGATGCCTGAATTCTGTTCTTTGGACCATCATTGGATAATAATCTTGGACAAACCAACAACATGTTGGCATCCCTACATTCTGGCTCTGTTATGGCCTGAGGCATGGTAAGGAAGGCACTGAAGGGTCTTTGCAAGTTGGGGTGGTATACGGACAAGCCCTGGTGATCCTGTAGCCACAGAAAGTGCTTCTCAGGGGCAGTTTGGTGCAGTTTGGTCTTATTTTAATTAATGCTGTAATTTTATGGGATTTTAAAAACATATAGTGAATTATATACTTTCCACTGTGATATGTTAAAAAGGGCAGCAAAAAGTAATCAAAAGAAAATTACCTATATTCTTATCATTCAGATCCAACATTTGACACCTTGTATTTCCTGGATACAAAGATAATTTGATGTAAATGTTTTCCTTCATAAGTAGTAAATGTACTTTTTTCCTCTCATGTTAGGAAAGTAAATCACAAACCAGAACTGGGATACATAAAAAATTCACAGAAATAATTATAATTTAATAAAATTAATTTATGACTACATGTCATTATTACTGAGTGGTGAGCCAGGGCCAGATTAAGGTAATGCTCTTCATGCCATCGTCACTTCTAAGTTTGCGTATACAGTTGAGGCAAACCAGGGTCCTTTTTGAAATGACGTGCAAAAATGAGTAAGGACCAGAAACTAACAGTAAAGATACATAAACTGTTTTTAAAAAATTGGGTTTAACATTGCTACATCATCTATTCAATAAAATAAAATAAAAATCACTTGCAAATGCAAAGGCAAGTCATAGGATTCCTTTCAAAGGGCGAGGGATGGAGCAGTGTTGTATTCTGTACTGGTTAAGCCTAGTGGCTCTGAAGTTAGACTGGCTGGAATGCTGGCTTCCCCAACTAATGAGGATAATAGTGCTACCAACCTCATAGGATGGTTGTGAGGAGTAATTGGATTAGCACGTCTTTGGACTGTGCCTAGCACATAGTAAGGACTCATTAAATCTTGCTATTAAGATGCACCCTTTTGGGCCAAACGTGATGAAGATCATTACTGTCTCATGGTCTTACCCTTTTCATCCCAGTGTGCCATTTTGACTTAAGTTAGATGAGTCTAACACAAATTCATTTATTTATGGTTCAGATGTTACAGGCGATCACTCATGAAAACCCTTTGTGGGAAGTCTTTGGGAGTGGAGAAATCTGAGGCTCCAGGACTTGAAAATCATTTGCCCAATATTATGGAGCTCACGAGTGGAGAGATCTGAATCTATCACATTCCTCCTTGCTCCCTCCGTTTTGTCCCTTTCTTCTCCTTTCTCAGCATCACTGAGGTGCACCCAATCTGCCTTTGCCCATGCTGTTCCTGGGGTGTCCATTGCTCCCCACTGCTCATATAAACCCCTGTGTGGTATGAATGCAATAGGAAAGGAGAGAAGGGAGCAACCAGCACAGGCTGAAATCATGAAGAGATGAAAGGAGGTGTAAGCTGGACCTTGGAGGATGTGTGGGATGTAGGATTTGGCTAAGTGTAAAGTGGAGAAATTGGGCTTGGAGTTGAAGAGGGATGGGAAGAGTTGATGGATGCCAGCAGTGACCAAAATAGGCCGTTGATGTGTAGAAGGTGGGATGTTAACTTGGCTACACAAGTCTAGGTCTTATTATGGAAAAACAAATGATGTGCCTGCCCTCAAGGAATTATCTAACTGGGGACTTAGAAACAAAAAAAAAATAATAATTTCTCTTTAATAATTCCTCATGCCCAGGCACAATACTGGGCACAGCATAGTTTCCAAAATTCAATACCAGACTGATTGGCTGCCATTCTTCTTAACTCAGTTGAGAGACTCCAAAACTTTCCATCTGCTGGCTCCTTCTTTGTATACTAAGGCCACATTTTCCATTTGCCTTCAAACAGTTTAACATTTTTGCTGCATTACTGAGGCCATTTTAATTTATCACTTTGTTTTAAAGCACTGCACCATCCAAAAATAGCACAAAATTACTCATTCTATTCAAGGGTAGATGGTACTGCAGCCTTATATGAGACATGTAATCTTTCACTGATTGGGCCAGTGTGAACACAGGCCTGGTTTTCAGAGTTCTAACAGTCCCGGATGGGAGCTGCTTGTTTTTTTGAAGCAAGTTTTAAGCTTTTTTGCCACCAGAGCCACTGAAGAATGCCTGACCAGCCACAGAGAGAAGCTATGCAGCTGGGTTCTGAATTCCTTCCTTGTCTAGAGATCCAGGCAGGCTGAAATATTTTAGAAAGAGTTGACTTACCAAACTTTCTTTCTCCTGGTTTTCCATAATGTCATTTCATGTACCTATTTTTAAAATGTTTAGTTTTACATTGGATTTTGTGTTTTAAGCCTATAAAAAACTTGATTTAGGATTTCACTGGAGCCTGGCAGAATAATTTAAAGGGAGAATTTCTTGAGAAATGGAAATCAGTACTGGTTTTTCCAAAAGTTTTGTTGAGATTATTTGTGATTGCTCTTATTTTTATAGTGAGTACAGCCCCTCCTTCCCCTTGCCTTCTGCCTCCCTTTTGTATGCATAAGACAGCCTCATTCTGGTGGCCTGTCTTGAAAATCACCATAATGGAATATATATGAGGATTAGGCACAGAAATGTCAGGCCTTATTAAATTTCAGTAGTCAAACTCGCTTTTGTGTTTCCCATTACCTCTCTGGTCTCTGAGACTTTCCAGAGAGGAATAACTCTCCATGTCCCATAGGAATTGTACCCCCTCCCCCAGTTTTAGCAGAACCTTGCCTGTTGTCAGTCATTATTGGAAGACTATGATGTTTTCCACTTTCATTGACTTTTAAAAAATTCTCTTGCAAAGAAGACCTTTGGGTGATTCATGCAATCAAATTCTGTTAGGGAGGAGAAAGTCTAGCTGTCAGTGGTATTATTAAATGCCCGGTGTAAAACCACGGAATCTGGGCATTCATACCCCCTCTCCCCAAGGAGCTCAGTGAGCTTTGGATGCATTACTTTCCTTTATTCATCCTCACAAGGGAACTCGAAGAGGAAGAGGGGGGCCAGGCTTCTTTAAACAATCTTCCTAGCATTTGTAGCTGCTGTAGTATACGTGGTACGATAGTTCCCCCACCGTAATCCACAGTTTTGCTTTCTGTGGTTTCAGTTACCTGCAGGACAGTATTATAAGATATTTTAAGAAACAGAGAGAGACCACATACACATAAATTTTATTAGAGTATATTGTTATAATCGTTCTATTTTATAGTTATTGCTGCCAATCTCTTACTGTGCCTAGTGTTTAAATTAAACTTTATCATAGGTATGTATAGGAAAATATATAGTCTGTATAAAGTTCTGTACTATCTGCAGTTTCAGGCATACCCCTGCAGATAATGGGGGCTACTGTATATACATTGTTTTTCACTCTAGGTGCCTCCAACTAAGTAGAAGTGTGGAGACTCGACAAGGTTTAGAAGGAACCTAAAATAGCTATTAAAGGTAGAGCCACCAGATCAGCGCAGCTGTCAGGGTTTGAAGGCACCCCTGCTTTTGGAGTTGGCAAAGACCTAAGGAATCCACCGCAAGGAGAGAAGGAGGGGGCATGGACACACACAGGTGATTTAGGAGCCTGAGGATACACCTCACTCCCAGGCAAGCTCTCCCACCCTCTGCCGCCAAGGAGAGTGCTGGCACATCTCTCTGGCAGTCTTCCACCTGAAAGAGCTAATCTGCCAGTCATCGCACACTCATCTTCCTGTGGGCTGCCAGGAAGAATCTGGGTCAGTGGGAGTTTACAGCTGTAGGAGCAGCCAGACCAGGTCATGAACTATGGTTCATCTACTTTGCAGAAAAGATTTAATGAATCCTTTAAGGCTATGTTGCCTCTCCCAGGGGTATTTGCATTTATAAAAGAACCAATGAATAAAACCATTATTTTATATGGGAAATTGGCAAATCAAGTGGAGGAGGCATTTAAGGCCTAGTAGATCCCTCACCTAGCCATAGATTATACCAGAAGTGTGGTCGATAACTACTGTACCTATTCAACATGCAGGGCATAGGAACAGCATGGAGACTGGCACGGAGGAGGGCTGAATTCCCAGAGGGCTGCCGCCAACTCAACAGTGAGGGGCTCAGACCCTTCACCTCTGTGGGTGTCAGTGTGCTTCTCTGTAGAATGAAGGGTAGGAAGAAGAACCAGTCCACACCGCTCCTTCCACTACCTCCTTTCCTCATCCCTCTTCCTTCTCTTTCACTGTTGGGGCGGCTGTGTGGATATCAGAGTTCAGCTGTACAAGCCGGAGTGGGAAGTTTTGGCTGATTGCCAGTTTTCTTCAGAATTTCTCTACAAGTTGAGTTAGGGAGCAGCAAGCTGGTGGCAGGGTGGAACCAGTGTTTGTTGTGCTTTCCATAAAATGAGATCCATCTCTTCCAAGCCACCCTTTTCTCCAGTACTGACTAGCTGATCTCCAAGATACCTGATGGTCTAGTTTCAGGATTAGCCCTGTGGTCTGACCCGCTGGCTACTCCAGATGGAACTGTCTCCGGGCTCTTCTGTGTGCTTAGCCTTCCCTCTGGGCAGAAATGCACCAGGGAAAGGACATAACGAAACTGGTTTTATCAGAACAGCCTGCCTGAGAGAGATCAAGCAGGGCACAGGTAAAAATGTTAATAAAAATTAAAAATAGAACCTGCAGAACAGGTATTGCTCTTTTTCAGTTGGCAGAAGCCTGCTGCCAATATCAGAGTGATCCCTACCAATGTGATGAGTGTGGGGAAGGCCATAGAAAGGACCGGCGAATGCTGGCATTGATGTGTGTTATTTTAACATTTCTGAAATCCTGTTCTTAGTCTGCACACCTTGTCCGAGGCTCCGATGTTATCCAGGTGATTCATCATTTAATGCTGTTGGCTTCAACATGGATTTAATGGTAACTAAACCAAGTGCACACTATGTGAAGATCTATTCACTTGGAGGTCCTTCATTTCAGGTCACCAGGTATGCCCCTGGGCTCCTGCCGCAGCTGATCGGGTGCTAGGTGCTGAGGATACACGGTGAGTTCCTTCTCTCCCCTCAGGGGCCGGTGTCTGGATGGGTAACTTTAATATGATGTCGGATACAGAGAGGGCCAAAAGAACATGAAGGAAGGCCCTTGACCTCCCAGGTGGTGAGCTGGAGACCTTGGGGAGATGGAGTGAGGTGCAATTTGCAGGAAGAAAGGAGTTACCCAGGTGAGCGGGAGGAAGGCAATGGCATTCCCAGTAGAGGGAGCTCTCTTTTTGTATATTGTGGACAGGAAGGAAGTGGGAGGTGGAAGGTGGGAAGAAGGTGGTCAGAAGGAAGAAAAGGAATTGCATTCTCTCCCTTTCCTACCCATCTGCACTCTTATTGCTGCAGAAATAGAGAGAGAAAATCCACATCTAGGGATGGTTTTTATCAGCTTAAAGGAGGTAGAATAAATTTGGATTACTGTTTCTAATAGCAACAAAACAAACAAATCAGAAAACCCAAGCTGCATGCAACCTGAATGTCTATCCATAGACATTGCTTAAACAAACGCAGTACATTCATATATATTATGGAATAATATGTAGTTTTAAAAAAAAAATAAGATAGCTTTATATGTAGAGAGATATCCAAGAAATATTAGTAAATAAAAAAGCAAGTCATAGGAAAATATATATAGTGTATACGTTCCCATTTATGTAAAGAAATATATGCATCTTGCTTGCGGTCATGTATTTTTGTGCATCTATATACATGCACATATATAAACACATAGAAAAAGGGTCTGGAAAGATTCTTAACTTCTGGGGAGGGAAGTGGGATTGGAGGATGGCAAAGAAGGACTTTCACTTTCTGCTCAGTTTGCTTCTATATTGTTTATATTTTTACCCGAGAATATATTACTGAGGTAATTTTTTTTTTTTTTTAGTCTGGGAGAAAGCAATTGGAAGAAATGCAAAGCTCTTCAAAGGAGACCTATAAAGTCATCTTTGTTTTGTTCATTCTTCTCATGTTTCTGCATTCTGGGCATTCTCCTAAATTGGGGAGAAACCAAAATGCCCAGAAGTCAAATTCTGCAACTGTCATCATGCAAAATGTCAAATGAGAGAACCAAAGTATGCTGGATTCTATATTGTTAGGAAGGGATGGTTAATTTGATTGACTCTTGGGAGCTATTTTTCTAGCATTAAGTAATTCTAGGGAACCCTTCTGTGATCATCTCTGAGTAAATAAAGAAGTGAAATTGCAATTCAAATAAGGAATCAACTTTAATGCTCTCATAGAGAATATAAGCCAAATTACAGTGTGAATTTAAATTGTAATATGTCAGAGGCACATTATCTCAATGGCAATATTTTCTAAAATGTCTCTTCTTTTTTTTTTTTTTTTTTTTTTGAGACGGAGTTTTGCTCTTGTCCGCCAGGCTGGAGTGCAATGGCTTGATCTTGGCTCACTGCAACCTCCACCCAGGTTCAAGTGATTCTCCTGCCTCAGCCTCCCAAGTAGCTGGGATTACAGGCATCCGCTGC
The DNA here is from genome assembly GCF_000001405.40 of Homo sapiens. Lineage (NCBI taxonomy): Eukaryota > Metazoa > Chordata > Mammalia > Primates > Hominidae > Homo > Homo sapiens. The sequence continues at coordinate 150,240,481 of NC_000003.12, forward strand.
CACGCCCAGCTAATTTTTGTATTTTTAGTAGAGATGAGGTTTCACCATATTGGCCAGGCTGGTCTCAAACTCCTGACCTCAGGTGATCTGCCTGCCTCGGCCTCCCACAGTGCTGGGATTACGGCTGTGAGCCACCGCTCCCAGCCTAAAATGTCTCTTCTTACCCAGCTTCCACCTCCAAGCACACATGCCTCTCACACATCTGTGATTTTGTTATCTAGTACTGAGCCAACAACAAAGCAGAACATCTAGCACCAACAAATATTTAGATGATACACTGTTAAAGCAGCTCCCACTAACACCAGATAGGCTTAGGGGTCATTTTGCTCTTTAGCATCTCCCCTACCGAAGCCTGCAGAAAATTTCTAAGCTTATCTGGTGCCGGTGGGAGCTGAGTTCAACCCCGCTAGACAACAGAGTCCCAGACTGTATGTCCCAGATTCAACCTCTGGTTCATGTCAGATCTAGCAAGAGTTTGGGGCCACCTTAACTTTTCAACTTGCCAGGGATAGAAAATGTGGATGGCCTTTCCCACTGTTTATTTATGTGGGTCAGGTGGCTTCACCTGGGTAGGCTCCCATTTCCTCACATCCGCAGGGGTGCGCACTTTCTAGACCAGAGAATGTGTTTAAACCCCATGTGACCCTTGAGGAAAAAGCTCTAATAGTAAAGAAGATCCTCTGTTTGAAGAGAAGGGCAAGGCAGTCTCACACCAAACAAAGCAATCCATATAAGACCCTTTTCTTCTGCCTCAGGAATTCTTTCTTTTCTTTTCCTTTTTTTTGGTGGGGGGTGGGGGTGGGGGACAGAGTCTCACTCTGTCTCCCAGGCTGGAGTGCAGTGGCACGATCTTAGCCCACTGCAACCTCTACCTCCTGCGTTCAAGGGATTCTCCTGCCTCAGCCTCCCAAGTAGCTGGGATTACAGGCACCACCATGCCCAGCTAATTTTTGTATTTTTATTTTTATTTTTTTTAGTGGAGACGGGGCTTTGCCATGTTGCCCAGGCCAGTCTCGAACTCCTGAGCTCAAGCAATCCACCCGCCTCGGCCACCCAAAGTGTTGGGATTACACTGTGCCCGGCCGCCTCAGGAATTCTCTAAGTGGAGAATTAGTGGTGGGAATATTACACCTGATAGCTCAGAGGTCTCTACATTCAAATTTGTCCAAGGTTTATTACTGGGGTCCCTGGACATAATCCAAAGGGTTCACAGACTAGTTGGACTGGAGGAGGAATCACTATTTCCACTAACCTCTCTCTGAAATTTAGCAAGTTTTCTATTTTAAATATGGTAACATCGCTTCTCGGCCTTTTAGCTAAGATCAAGTGGAGTATCTGTTCTTATCAGTTTAAATATGGTAACAAACTACAGTAGTCTTATTGGTACCTGTGGCTTAGTCACCAATAGAAATCAAGATAGTTTCATATAACATTATAGTTACCCCTGATATCTCAAAATATTTGCCCTGATCACTATTGCAAAATTATGGAAGTTACTTAACTTGCCATTAGATCTTTTTGTATAATGTTTAATAAATAAGAACATATAAAAATCTTTATCATAGACTTTAAAAAATATTTTAATAACTGTATTTCAGTATGCCCAGATGCATTTTTAGCCCAATGTATTTTCTTTTTATAACCCAATTTATTTTCTTTTACTGTTTTATATAAAGATAGTATTCTGAGCGGGATGCATAAACCTCACCAGTCTGCCAAAGGAATCCATGTCCAGTAAAGATTAAGAACCTCAGCTCTAAGTGAGGTTAGAATGGGGTTTGCAAATGTTGCTCAGGGTCTGTGTCAATGTCACTTTATTTAAACATTCCTGAGATTCAGCCTCCAGCTCACTGAGCTCCTCCTAACCAAATATGTGAAGGAAGAAGCTGCATCTGTATAAACATCATCCAGCTAAAGTGTCAGGTTTCCTTCTCTTCTTCACAGTTGTTTGAAGCCAACAGTTAAAGGCATTAAAAGGATCAAATATCCTGTGTGGCTGGAAGAAGAGAAAAGAACTTGGGAATTACAACCCAAGCATTTGGTTTAACTCTGCTACCCTGTTTTATTTGTTTGAATTAAGCGCAACCAATAAGAGCTCAAAAAATGAAAGAATAAGTCATAAACCTGTAAGTTACTGGTTTAATTTTCTCAGTAGGGCATTAGGGCATCACCTAATAGCTGCTTAACAGCTTGATAATGAAGAGTCATGGCTTCTGATCAGTGCCTAGACATGGCGTGACGAATGCATTTTACTGTGATCTGATCCAGTTACCACTGTGCTGGGAAGGGCTCTGAGGCCATCTCCAGGTCTAAGAAGGGGAAAGGTGCTGTGGTAGATCACTGATGCCTGCTATGGTAAAGGGATGGAGCTGTCTGCATGCCCCATAATTACCCAGAGTCCAGCCCTAACTGGTGCCAATGGCCACCTTTACTTGAAACCCAGGTAGAAATATATTCCTGAACGTTCCTTCCATATCTCCCCTCTGTGCTGAATAGAAAGGGTAACCTCAGTTCCTGTAACTATTTTGCCAACTAACTGCATTATATTGATGAACAAGGAGCATGAAACACATGATATTGTACAAAACTGTCTGGGATGCAAAAACATTATAGCACAATTGATGAGAGAGAATTTACTAAAAAATTAATAAATTGATCAAAGAAATGGGATTCCTGTGCTTCTTCCTATTAGTATTACAAAGTTTGACCTCATGACTTCTGCTTGGAAATACTCAAACTCCCAAATCCAGTGCTTACTGACTCAGTTTACCTGGCTGTGTTTCTTTTGTAGGCTCTTATTGGCGGGAGGCAGTGGGAGGTGGTGTTAATGCTACCCTGAACATACAGAGGACTTTCTAAAACACTGTCTCCTGTGATGCCACCCAGCAGGCAGGAGAGTGTCCATTGTAATCATTATTTCTATTTTGCAGATGAAGAGACTGGGGCTCCAGGAATTGACTTTCCCAGAATCCCATTGTCACTTCAGGGCTCTCAAGATGTTGCCTTCCAGAATTCTGCTTGCTCGTATCAGGTTCTCCTAAAGAAAGGAAGCCATTAAACAAGAAAAGAAACCAACATTCCGTTATGGATTAAAAATATGCTGTCATTCACCTATTAGCTCTTCTACATTGGCCAGGATGGAGGCGACATTTCTGGTTTTCTTATCTTTCCTCTTGTTTTAGCAGAATTTGAGGAATCTGCTTAACCATTTGTACTTTGTTCTACTGCCAGTCCAAACAATTTCAATCAATGGATTCCCAAGCCAAGCTTCTAACTACAGCTCACCAGGCATCCTAGTTGGACTGATTTTGTTTTTGTTTTGAGAAATTATGAAATAGGCAAGTTGTCTTACATGTAAGTATTGACCATTTGGGAAAAGCTGTTATTTGCCTTCAGTTAAAATATGCAAGAAAAGGAGATGGATGGGTTTGGGGACTTGCCTTAAACTCAACTAATCAAGATGGTAATTCCTAAGTAATTCATGGTTCCTAGCGGTCTTCTTAATCAGTGGGTGGGATTCCTGGCCTCATATTTTGCCCCAGCTACTAGTCCAATTCTCTGATGTCTGTTCACCCACACCACAGCCCTGGACTCTGGCTGCAAGAGTAGAAATATTCTGTTGTTTCCTCTAATCTTGTACGTTCATTTGTGCATCAACTATGTGCCAGTCATCCTAAAGAAACTTACAGCCAAGTTGAAGACAGACAAGTTAAAGGGCAATTTTATATTAAAAAAGAGAACTCTATGGAGTGCATGTTTGTGAACCCTGGTCTTTGGAATTCAGGGGAAATTTTCTGGAGGAAGGGACATTTAAACTAAGACCTTAAAGAAGAGTAGGAGAAAGCAAGGGGAAGGAGTGAAAGAAGGTATTTGAGGCAGAAGAAAACTTGTGCAAAAGGTAAGTAGGCAAAAGAGTGGGTTCAAGTCTAGAGCAGAGAATGTAAGGGATGGTATAGAGGTGGGGAGAGGTGGGAAGAATATGCCTGGGAAGGTAAACAAGAGCCAAATCATAAACAACCTCACATGTGAACTAAGAATTTGGGGCCACATCCTGAGAGCAATAGGTAGTCACTTTACTATTAATTTGATCATGATTGCTTTGATTGCTCTTTGGAGAATGGAATTAAGAGGAGCAATATTGCAAGCAGGGAGGCCCACTTCAATCCAGGGGAAGCTTTCTGGAAGCCTGAAATATAATGGAGAGAGTAAAGATGGAGAAAAAAGAATTCCAGAATCACCAGGTCAGCATTCCAGTGTGGCAGGTAATTATTGCTAGGTCCTCTTCATTGGATTACCGTTTGATGTTTCTGGCTTTAAGCTGTTTCACTTACCCCTGAGTTGCAGGGACTAAGCATAAATGAGCTCCACTGTTAGAAAGAACAACGGTTGACTAAGCATGGAGAAGGGTTCATTTTAGGTCTCAAGTCCAGTTAACAAGTTCCAAGGTTTGTACATATGTTTCATTATAGACACCAATTATGATGATCAAGGCTGAGACAGATGTAGGAAGTTTATTTTAGGATGTGCAGGGAAGTAAGGAAGCAGAAGAAGCCATCTTAACAGTGGCCAAGCCAAGCTTCATAGAGCGCTGAAATGTCCCTTAAGGCATCACAGTAACCCCAGGGACTCAAGAGAAGTCTGGCAGCCAGCATTTCTCTGCCTCTGCTTTTGTGCCAACATCTCAACTACCAACTCCCTGGACACCTCATAGCTTCTACTGCATCATGGCTTCTGTTTACCACCATGTGTGTGTGTGCTGTTCAGTTTTAGTCTCTACTGCCTCTATTGCTGTAGGAGGGTTTCCCCATACCTTGACACCCTGAGCCCCAACCCAAAGACCTGAAATTATCTTCCCTGATAGCTCAAGGCAGAAAACTCCTTGGGAGAATCGTTATTGGTTTTGTTTGGGTTATTCACCTATCCCTGCTCTAATCACTGAGGCCAGGAGGCTGAGGATACATGTGTAGCCAGCAATTTGGGGATCCCATCTCAACCACATGTCATGGGGAAGAGTTCTCCAAGAAAGTGGTGATCCACTAGCAACCTCTGGCAACTTTTCTGGGAAGAAAAAAATTGCCATTGGCAGGCATTTTGGGCTTCATGGCTTGTCCCGAAGGTAACATTCTTCTAAATATAGGTAACAATGTTAACAACTTCAAGTTTTAACTTTCTCTGCTGGAATATAAGTTTGTCAGGATGTTAGTTTTAAAAGAAATCTTACATCTATGGAACATTCATAAGACTTTGTGCAGAAAGGAATAAAACAAAGACAAATTATTACACGCTATCTTTTTCTCTATCAAGAGTCTTTTAGAAAAACAATGATACCAGATATATTCCTTTGGTTGCAAGCAACAGAAATCAACACTGGCAAACCTAAGCAAAGTAGAATGTACTGGGAGAATATTGAAGGAGTCAGTCACTGGAACATCTGCAGTCTCTGAAGCAGTAATCATAGAAGTGACTGACTTTAAAGCAGGAATAGTATGTCAGAGCATACCCTGAGGATGAAAGAGCTCCAGATGCATACAGGTGGTAGAATTATAAAGAAAAGCAAGAAAATCATCCTCACAACAGTCAGGATAATGGTCACCTTAAGAGTGAAGGCAGAACTAGCTATATTAATTTGTGGGACTCAGAGAAAACTTCAAATGCAGGGCCACTTACTCAAAAATTATAAAAAATTTCAAGAAGGCAACTGCAGACATTAAACCAAGCATGGGACTCTTCTGAGCATGTGCACAGGTCCCAAACCCATGAAGCTATCCGTGAGGGAAGAAGACGGCTTTGACTGGAGAATAGCATACAGAAGGCTTTGGTGGGTTAATAAACTGGACAATGCTGCTACATAGGCATTTGCTTTCGGTTATTTGCAAATCTTTCATGTCACTTTTGCATTTTTCTTTAGTTGCGTGATATTTCACAATTTAAAAAAAACTAACTGTATCTTCTGTCCTTGTGTCAACCATACAATATTGAATATTCCAAGGAATCTGAGTGGCAAAGTTTAGGTCAAGTACCCTTGTCCTGGCTCTGCAGAGGATAATACTACTACTAATAACAACAAAAATGAGAAGGCAAACAAGAAGAGGATGAAGAAGAAGAACAAGTAGAAGAGCTAATATTAGCAGTTGCCACATGTTTTATGTGTTATTTCTAAATTAACTCATCAAATATACTCATAACAACCCTGTGAAACAGAAACTTTTCCCTTCAGCTTTTGAAGTGGGAAATGGGTAGTGTACTTGGACTTTTTGACTACTAAGAGCTCATGCCATGATAGGAGATCATGCTCTAACAGGAAGCAGGGTTTACTGGGATATAGAATGGATTGTGAGTAGCCATGAAATAACAAATGTCTACTACACAGAGGGTCAGAGGACTTTACTACAATCTAGTCCTTCTTCTTTTTTTTTTTTTTGGAGACAGAGTCTTGCTTTGTTGCCCAGGCTGGAGTACAGTGCCATGATCTCAGCTCACTGCAACCTCTGCCTCCTGGGTTCAAGTGATTCTCCTGCCTCAGCCTCCTGAGTAGCTGGGACTACAGGCGTGCACTACCACACCCACCTAATTTCTGTATTTTTGAATAGAGACGGGGTTTCGCCATGTTGGTCAGGCTGGTCTTGAACTCCTGACCTCAAGTGATCTACCCACCTCAGCTTCTGAAAGTGCTGAGATTACAGGGGTGAGCCACCATGCCCAGCCTATTCCTTCTTATATGTAATAATCATTTGTTGATTTCCAAAGTTTAATGCCCTAAGCTAGGTAATATATAGGAGAGACAAAATTAAACAAGACAGTGAACTCCCAGGTACTATGTCACTTAAGAAAAAAAGGGAAAAAAGGGACACCCCCTAAGGAAAGTTCACCTACAAAGAAACAATACATGAAGTGCTTAGTAACTGAAGAAGATGAGTCTAGGACATGTCCAGGGCCATCACGATCACATCACACATCACATTGTCAAGGTAGCTTCAGTCCCTGCAAAGATGGACTCAGAAAACTAAACTCACAGTAAGTCTGCCCTCAGATTTAACCTGGCCACAGCCATCATCACTTATTTGCCAAACTGGAACAGCTGAGGAGCACGACTACACACAGACATTAGATTCACAGATATGCAGGGCTGCCAAATGGGACTCATGAAGAGGCAGAAATCTGGAAATCCCATTAGCGACAGATGCAGCGCAGCATGCGTGTCTGGGGAGGCACTGGCGCCAGCCCTTGGGGAAAGGCAGATCCATCTTGGATCATGACAGCCACTCCAAACCAACCTGAGGCCAGCATGAGGGTGAGATGTGGCGCAAAGAAGGGGTGGATAAAGCCAGGCAGTTAGCAGCCATCTACTTGCCCCAGAGTAGGGCAAAGACTCCTTGGTTTCCAAGAGAAATGAGTTCAAGTCCTTGGAGGGCCTCTAATTTGATGTTTGAATGGGAACCAGAGTGCTCAAGTTTGAATCCTACCTCTACCACTTCACCTTGGGCAGGTTCCTTCACCTTTCTTTTTCTTCTCCGCAAAATAGATGTGACCCATTCTAGGACTGTTGTAATAATTAAATGGGAAAATACATATATACTGGCAATAGTAATTATTGTTAATTGTGTCCTATATAAAATGAAGTTCAATGAAAGACTCTCTTTGTTTCTTTCTAATGCTAACATTCTGTGATTATCTTAAAAGTACCTGAGATGAGATATCCCTGGTTCATTCCTTTTGCTCTTAACAGCATCTAAACATTTATAATTTTGGATTTCTATACAGAACTAGCTGTTTGATTGAAAGTGTGACCTGTGTGTCTATTTTCACTTCCGTTTTTATGCCTGTTAAAATCTCTGATGATATTCGTGCACTAGCTCAGGTAAAAGACAACTACTTTCATCTAACCACTTCAACATTTGTAATCAGTGTTAACTAGGGAGGGAAACTTGAAGATTTCACTTGCCTATTTTCACTCAGTCCTACCTTTCACAGAGAGCTCATTCAGGAAGGGATGAATTGAGGCTGAAAGGGGCACACATAAATGTGAATATAGTCACATGACAGGAGAATTCTAGATTTAGAAGTTCAACGTGGGGATTACACTTGCTGAAAATAATCTTAATGTATATTTTAGTGGTAAATTGTTAACATTCTTTCCATATTTCCTGACCTCAGCTATTCCCTTTCCTCCGCTGTGGTTAAGGGTAAAATTCAGGAATGGATAACTTTCAGAGAACCAAGGAGACAGGATTTTGCCTGTGGTCAGGAAAAAAAAAAAAAGAGAGAGAGAAAGAAAGAAAGAAATTTCAGTTGCTTCAAAGCTGGTTTGTGAGAGGTCAGGGGTGGGGAAGGCAGAGGGAGGAGGCCTCTCCAGGGGCCCAGCCGAGGCTCCAGCTCCCTTTTTGTTTTAATCTGGTTTGTGGTCCTGCTGGCCCAGGGAAAACACGGACTTGTACTAATGTAGCCCAGGAAAAATATTGGAAGGAAAAAAGCTTAGACACTTTGTATAAACTACAGAAAATAAAAGCAATAAACTGCACAAGCAGATGAGACTTTCCTGATGGAAGTACTGTGATTTCTCAAAGCCAATAAAAAAGTCCTCAAATACATCCTCAAAGAAACTTGATTGTTTATTGTGGTGTCACATTTATGACCCACGTAAGTAGCAGTCAACTAATATCTTTATAAAACTCTGATTTATAGGTACTTTGATTGGGCTTTTCTGCTTACTGGGACCCCAAATGTGACAGGACCACCTCCCTATTTGCGTGAGGAATTCTTGTTGTTATTGAGGACTGTGGATGCCCAGTAACCAAGATGGTTGCTGTTGATGACAGTTTTACATATTCCATTTTTCCGAGGGGCAAAAGTCACATGCATATGACTGAATTCTTGGTAGAAGCTCTTTCAATTTTCTTTATGGTGATAATCAGAGACAAAGAATTTCCTTTGGAAAAGATCTCTAATAAAATTATGAATAAATCACTTGGACTGATCCCAAATGGAGAAATCAATTTGATTTGTAGAAGCTAAGCCCTTTAGATTCTTCTGCAACATTTTGGTAAACTCATTTTTTAAAAACAGCAGCACACCACAAGTTGGTCCTGTAAATCATGTAGATCACTAGATTTGGGAGACTAGAGGACTAGGAAAAAATGATGACAGTAATCCAGCAAATGTTTAATTTCTACCCCACCCCCAAAAGGAACAACTACCCTTTCAGAGCCAAGTCCTGACTTCAGGGCTGCCCACAGTCTTGCTCTCTGAAAGCCCTGTAGAAAATTAGAGGGGTGGAAGGCAATCATTTAAAATAGATCACATTCAGTTTTATTAAAAAACCAAAACAGCTGGGGTATTGATTTGCAAGCTCTGTAATGCCATTGGTATGCCCAACCTGGCCAAGATATTAAAAAGATATTTAAGGAAATGTCACTAAGTGTCTCAGGCACAAGTTTTGGCATATTCAACCAGCATTGTGGTGCTGTGGGTAATTCGTCTTCCTTTATGTTTTGCTATGCAGCACAGGGGGAGGGGACATTTACAAAATGATTTACTGTGACACATCCATTATAATGAAAGCATGTGCCGCTTGCCAGCACTCCTGGCCCATCTTCTCCCTCCCAGATGCTCGGCCATATGTCCCATGCTTGGCGTGAGCGACAGTTGTGTTGATAGAGAAGGAGTCCTGGGATCTCGGTGTTTTTAACAGAAATCCCAGAAAGCTCTGAGGTTGCTGGCTCAGGTAAGAAAAGCAGCAGGAAAGGGCCCATTGTTTGGGACTAAGTGTTTTTAAAGATGCTTCAGTGGTATAACCACAGGATGGAGTGAGATTTACTGTCTCCTCAAGGCCAGGAGGATTGCTGAGAGAGGAGCTCAAGCTTCACTTGGGGAGCTTTCCACTGTTGCTGGCTTCCCAGCTCAAGTTCTCTTTCCTTCCTCACCCCTCCGCAAGATAACTGGCTGCTCTCTGCTCTATCTTCCAGCAACAGCCCATTCCTCAGTTACCAGGACCTTGCATCCAAATTCGAGCGGCACGCATTACTGCTTCGTGAAAGCAGCTGCTACTTTGACCATGTGGATCTCCTGGCTCCCTAACTATTGCAACCCTAGCTTAATTGCCTCTGCTCCTGGAATAAAATCAGCACTTATTGAACACCTGCATATGGAAGACATCATGCTAGGCCCTGTGAAAGAAAGAAAGAAATTTGGTATACAGTTGGTTTTGCCTTGAAAAGTTTACCATCTAGTTGTGAATTAGTACTCCCATCTATGTCCTGGCAAACCTTGGACAAATTTCTTAACCTCTTTGCACCTTGATTTCTCCATCTGTAAAAGAGAGGATAATAGTATATAGGATTGATGTAAATCAATTAATATGTATAAAATGCTTAAACTAGTACATGACACATAATAATCACTCAGTAAATGTTAGCTAAATTTGGCCCCTAGTTGGAGGAAAGAAAGAGGGAAAAAAGAGGAATAAAATTAGATTTATGTGCTGTATCTTGTAATAAAATTTTATATATGTTCACTGAATTCTCACAATACCATGTAAGGTAGATATTACTGTTACTCTTTAATTTTTAGTAAATTGAGGCTCTGCTAGGTTAATACTTTGTCCAGGTGTTCAATGTTGACAAAGCTTACAGTCAAGGCCAAAACTACTTAGTGCCACAGCCCATGATTTTGAAAAGACAAATAATTTAAAATTTAAATAATGTTTACAAGACACTAGAGGTTGTCTAGCAAAGGTCAATCTCTGATTGATTTCCCAATAAATTGCATGAGAAGACATTGCCTAAGAGTTCACTTCGATATGGAGCTGGCAACCGCAGGGAGCTCTTCCCACCACTAGACCTGAATGAAGCATCGAGGAGCCATTCTTGGAAGCCAGGGAGGGGAGTGGAATGGAAAGGGCTGCCTGGCAGGAGCTGTATCTCTGGGTAGAGGGACACAGCCAACCTGCAGGAACCAGCAGAGAAGGGGCCAGGAACATACTCTGATCTTACCTCCTCCTTCCTCTCTCCTGCCAGTACTCTTGGGTAAGCAAGCCCTTTGCTGCTGTCTAAATAGGTCATCCTCCCTGGGCAGAGAACAGGATGGAAAAGAGTAGAGAGAGGACCTGGGGGTGCAAATGTAAGATATCCAACACAGGAAGTTTGTTATAAGATTAGATAACTTACATGGCACTGTGTCTGCTACACAGAAGATACTGACCACCTGATGGTTACTATTATTTCTTATTATTTGTCCTGCTTTGGTTGGCTTGGTATTTATGTGTCCAGTTCAGATCCTCTGGCCTCACCGCAAACAAAAGAGTTTTCTAATCCCTGTAGTAGCATGAGAAGTGACTCACTAAAAAGTCAATTAAGTTTCTTGTCTACAATCTTTTGCCTCTATTTTTTTTAAAGGAAGCTTTCAAATGGGGTTGGGGGTGGGGAACTTGGAAATCATTTTTTTAAACACAAGCTTTGTGATTTGTCTTATTGGAAGTTCTTAACAGAGGAAAGGGGCCTGTTTGTTTAGATTGCTATGCAACAGGAGGCATTGAGTAAATGGTTTCCCAGTTTTTATTATTTTAAACTTCACCCGGAGAAAATTGATCCAAGTTTAAGAAAGACAGGAGGAATGGAATATAGACTCTAATGTTTCCAAAATTCTAAATGGCACTGCAAATAATAGAACCCTAAAACAAACATTCACAAACAGAAAATTACCTTTGTATTTCTCACTTTCAAGGTAAAATCCGTAGAAAATATGTCTTCATCTATTCAAACAGAATTTTTTCCAGCTAATTTATACACTACATGCTAAATAATGACAGAAAGTTGAAAGTTTATCACTTTCTACCAAATATCAGCAAAAGGTTAAGTTGCTGTAGAATAATTACTTTTTATCTCCATTTTTCACCCACAACATGCAGAAAGCACAACTAGGCAGAAGCCATCATTGACCAAGAGGAAAGAGGGGCAGATGCCTCCTAAAATTCTTTCCCTATCTCAAACTCAGTCACCAGTTTTTACAAAAGCTTCACATTCCCCCATCGAGCTATTTTTCATTAGGCCAAGAGGTTTTGGGTTGATATTCATGTTGGTGCTGGCTCTATCAGGCTGGCAGGCTTAAGGCAGTTTCTGAATTTCCTGTTCAAGTTAGAGGGGAAAATGCACATGCGTCCAGTGCCCTGAACTTGGTGAAATCAGACATCTGGAAGCCAATGGTGGGGAAAGAGAGCAAAGGTTACAAGAAAAATAACACTCAGTAGCAACCAGCAAAACAAACTTTTGTCTGGAGCAACAAGAAGGCACAGCAAACACATCAGCCCATGTGGCACCAGCTCATCTTCTTAAAAACAGTGTCTTACTGCTTCTCCTAATGTCAGGAGTTCCAAAAACATAAAGAAGTAAATAAAAATAATTAAAATGCCTCTACCCAATAATTAAATGCCACTACCCTAACACTGTGATATATTTCCTTCTAGTTTTTTACACACACATATTCTATAGGTATATGTACATAAGTAAGATTGCAAAGAAATACGAAGGATATTTTAAAACTAAAAAACAGAATTATTTTATACTTGCAGTTTTATGTGTTGTATTTTAAGTCTACATTATTTTTACACATTTCCTTATATCATTACATATTGTCAGAATGGCTATTTTTTAAATTAGCTACGTAATAGTTCATCCTACAGATGTAGCATAATTTGACCAAGCTCTTGTTGTTGGCATTCACGCTGTTTCCAATTTTTTTACTGTTATGAATAATATTTTGAAGAATATCTTTGTAATTCTGCCTGCAGAATAAATTCCTAGAAGTGAAATTACTGGGTGAAAAGCACTCACTTAAAACATAAAGCCCAATCTGCCATCTAGAAAAGTTATGTCAAGCCTTGGTCTTGTGAGTAGTTTAGGAAAATATCTATTTTACTACACCCTATCGATCCTGAGAATTACCACCTTTAAAACTCTTGGCCTATTTGAGAGGTGGAAATGGTGTCTTAATATTTAAAATTTTTATTTTTCTTACTTAATAATAGTCTGAACATGTACTGACCATGCCAAATCAGTTTTTGTCATCTTTGAAAACATTGACTTCCTTTTGACTGGACTTTAAAGTGCCAGTTCCCGCAGAAAAGTCAACTTCCATGGACGTGTGAACACAGCCCTCTTAATATAAATATTACCAACTCCATATCAGTCTTAATTTTAATAATAACGCCAAACAATGGATTCTTTTCTGTCACGTTTTGCAATATAATCATGTCAGTTTTCAAAGGCTGGTACACCCTGGAATTACAAACACAGTCTGTGGCAAGAGATATTGGCAGCTCTCCAACCCAGAATGACAAGCAAGCATCCCTTCATTCTGAGCCCACAGGATGATGGTGCAGGGACAGGGGACCTAGTGACATGGGTATCCATTGGCAACCTGACACTCGTTGACCCCTCACATGTCAGAGTTCCTAACTTTCATGCCAAGGACCCCTCTGACAGGTGAGGTCTACAGATCCCTTCTTAGAATAATGCCTTTAACAGCTTAAAATAAATACATACATAGAATTATAAAATAATCCAATTATATTGAAATATGATTATCAAAACATTTATAAAAATCTGTGGTATAGTAATATAGGTGCTTATTAAGCACTATTTAACAAAATCTAGCAGCAGATCTAAAAACTACCATCACAGCAAAGTGATAAAAAAGGTAAAGATATTTCAAGATACCTGCAACAGCTAATACAATGTGAAAATGTTTATTTCTATTAGTGACAAAGTCCAAAGACTGCAAACACTGTTGTGGTTTGTTGCCTACATTCATAATGAAGGTAATGATGCATTTCAGTGAGAGTTCAGTAAAAGATGTAATTTTTTTTTCCTGTCCTGGAATGCCTGAGTTCTCTTCATGGACCCTAGGTTAATAACCCGTAGTCACATGAAGTGTTCTGAAAGTAGAAAGTTATGTAAATGCATTTATTTCCACCTCCTCCCACTACTAAGAAATGTTACATTTTCTCTGGGTCCTATTTTTTTTCTTTGCTCTAATTACTACCATTCTGGGAAGCTGTTGGAACAGTGCAGTAGGGTTGGCTACAGTGGAAGAGCTTAGTCAAAGTGTTGAAGTCACCATGTTAAAAATACCTTACTTGATGAAGTTGCAGACCTGTGCTCTCTGATCACGTGCCACACGTAGCACCATTATACCACGCTGTGATTTAACAACCCATGTCTGAGAGTCAGAAGCTCAGGGTTCTAGCTACAGCTTTGTCACTAAGCAGCTGTGTGACTGTGAAAAGGCCCCTTGACATTCCTGAGCCTTAGATTTTCATAACTAAAAAAAAAAAAAAAAATTGGAAAAGACCATCTCCCGTTTCAAGTTCTCACAATATTTGACTTTAAAACTTTGTAACTTCCATTGTATTTTGATGATGAGTGTATCCTTCCAGAAGAGTTCTTTAGCATCCAGAACAGACAGATAGGCTTACCTGTTGTCTAAAATAAAGTTTCAATCCCCTTTTTTGTCCCTGCCAGTCTCTCTTTTCCATTTTTCCCTCATCCTCTTTGTAAAACAAACGTGTTCTTTTCCTTAAAGCAACAGAACCTGAATTCTTCTGTTGGTTCTAAAGCAGAACTTAAAGTTTCTCTGGATCTTCTGTTTGTCACACGACTTCCCCAGTCACGTCTGAATGCCCAGGCCAGCCAGTGTCAATTTCAGTGTTGGTTCCAATGTTCCCAAATCTCCGCTCATAGAGCATTCTTCCTTCCTCTTTAGGTAAGCTTTCCTAGGTCTTAGGCAGGGATTTCTTAACTTTCTATGTGTTGCTTCACTGAACAAGGTAAAGTATTCTGTTCTCCTACTCACATAGAATTCACAGAGTAAATATTTCTCAGAGATTTTCCTTCCTAATCACGCAGCATTTTTAAACACTTGGCATTGTGCTCCGTTCAAGTTGTCGAGCCCAGATTCAGGGAGAGCCCAGAGCTTTTGGTGTCAGAGTGAACAGGAGTGCTGGGTGAATGAGGCGGCCTGGCAGGGACACCATAGGCCTGTTGGACCCTAAGAATACTGACAAGGCTGAAGAGAAAGACACAGAGGCAGCCTGCTCTTGGCAAGCCCAGGCAGGGTTCCCTTTGATGTGAAGTCTTGCTTGATATTGCTTTGTGTGTCTGCATTTGTCCTTGGCAGGCGGAAGGCAGTTCCTTTCCAACAATGAGGTGCCCTTGTGTATTGCTGCCATCCACCAAAACAGTGATGCATGCAAGCAGCTCCCAGGGTGATGAGGTAGGCAGAGTGAGGTTGAGGCTGGTGAAGGGGGTGGGGAGGACACTCAAGGAGAACCCAAGTGCCAAGGTGAAGATGTTAGCAAAGAAGCTGTGACAGGCCTGAAACTCTGCACCAGGGCTCTCAAAACATTTCACTGATTTCACCTTGAAGTAGGAACAATTTGAGAGGGATACAGAGTAATTAGGAGCAAAATGTTGAAAGTGATTTCTTTTGATTGAAATACAAAGAGGTTTAGAAATGCTGCCTGCAATTGCCTCAAGTTAGTCTGGGTCAAATACTAGCCTGTGAATGTTAATCATTACAGTTGGGTCTGTGGACATCATTAGTGCTGTTCTCTAAATATTTCCAGTTCCCCTTCCTCTCAAACACAAGGTAGATTGTATGTAATTCCTGGTCTCTTTGGTCAGAACCATGTGACTAGTTCTAGCCAATGAACAGAAGTGATGTGGGTCTCTTCCTGGCTGGAATATTGAATTATTGATGCAAGACGCTCCAGAACTCTTCCTCTCTGGAATGAGGGTCACTGGTATGGGGACTCTATTATGTCAAAGTCCTCCTGCCAACCCACATGGGAGAAGTAACATAAGCAAGAAATCAACATTTTTGGTTTAAAGCCACTGAGATTTGACTGTTGTTCATTATAGCAGCATAACCTAGATTATTGTTAACTGCTGCAGGCCCCAAAGACTCCTTTCCTTATCCAATTGCTCTCACAGAGATTAGATAGTGAAATGATCCTTGACTTCTTTGAGAAAGTACTCCTGCCTTATTTAAGCAAGGAGCTCTCACAGCCAGGGAATTTCTCCTAGGGAGTAGCACTGGAAGTCAACTGTCTGTGGTTGATTCTCAAAACCTCAAGCTTTGGGAAGCCCAAGATGTTGTAGATAAGAGCCATAATAGGTCCCAAGAAAGAAGCCAGAAGATGCTCGTTGAGTCTTGCTTAGCCTAAAAGAAGCCATGAGAGAAATTCACCAACAGACTGCGTTAAGTGTCTATTTGCATATATTTCTGGGGTCAGAGGTTGTAGTCCCTAAGCAGCTTTTAATGTAAGAGTGGAAAAAGTGAAAAAAGAAGAATATGGTTAGAGAAAACTCAGACTCTAAAGGACCTAGAAAGAATACTGGCTAAAAATCAGAAGAAACACAGTTTGTACTGAACAGAAAATAATTTGCAGCCCTGGTAAGGCACAGAAGAACGGACATTGATTGGCGCTTCCTGTGAGGAGCGTGAGAGCTGCAATTAATCCGGAAATGCTTCAGGGAGGTGTTGTTTTAAAGAACGACTTGACATTTAGAGGGAAAGATAGAATGGTGGGTCAGAAGAAGGACAGGCAATACAGCCTGCAGCCCTTCCTGGAAAAGGACTCAGATACAGGTCAAGGTGGCTTTACAAATGGTTTTTTTGTTTGTTTGTTTGTTTGTTTGTTTGTTTGTTTGTTTGTTTGTTTTGAGGCACAGTCTCACTTTGTCACCCAGGCTGGAATGCAGTGGCATGATCTTGGCTCACTGCAGCCTCTGCCTCCTGGGTTTAAGCAATTCTCATGCCTCAGCCTCCCCAGTAGCTGGGACTACAGGTGGGCGTCACCACACCTAGCTAATTTTTGTATTTTTAGTAGAGATGGGGTTTCACCATGTTGGCCAGGCTGGTCTCGAACTCCTGGCCTCAAGTGATCTGTCTGTCTCGGCCTCCCAAAGTGCTGGGATTACAAGTGTGAGCCACTGTACCTGGCCAGATCAAACTTCTATAATGACCATTTGTAAGCCAGTCATGGTGACTGACACCTGTAATCCCAGTTCTTTGGGAGGCCAAGGTGGGTGGATCACTTGAGGCCAGGAGTTTGAGACCAGCCTAGCCAACATGGTGAAACCCCATCTTTACTGAAAATACAAACAATTAGCCAGGTGTGGTGGCAGGCACCTGTAATCCCAGCTATTCGGGAGGCTGAGGCAGGAGAATCACTTGAATCCGGGAGGCAGGGGTTGCAGTGAGCCAAGATCGCGCCATTGCACTTCAGCCTAGGCAACAAGAGTGAATCTCTGTCTCAAAAAAAAAAAAAAAAGTTTGATCTGAGGGACTCAGTGGGGTGTTACATTTTCAGGTAAGTTGAGAAGAGAAAAGTCAGGTGGCCTGAGGTGGACTGATAAGAGAAAGAATTTTTAAAATAACTAATGCTGGCCGGGTATGGTGGCTCACACCTGTAATCCCAGCACTTTGGGAGGCTAAAGCAGGAGGATGATTTGAGACCAGGAGTTGTAGATCAGCCTGGGCAACATAGTGAGAGTCCATCTCTAAAACAGTAATAATCATAAATGAGCCAGGTATGGTGTAGCTCATCTGCAGTCCTAGCTACTTGGGAGGCTGAAGCAAGAGAATTGCTTGAGCCTGGGATTTCAAGGCTGCCGTGAGCTAGGATCACACCACTGCACTCCAGCCTGGACAACAGAGCAAGACCTCATCTCTAAAAATAAAAATAAAAAATAAAAGTAACTAATGTGAATAGAAGTAGTCCAGGCAAAATGCTTCAGGAAAGGGCAACAGGCCAAAGTGACAAAATATGATATCAGCAGAAGCATTAATACCTGGAATGAGGGTGGCTTTGGGACCTGAGATGCCAAGAAAGAGAAAACTGCATGCTTCTGTATGAAGGAGGACTGGCTAGTTACAGTTATGTGACTGAGAGTGCTAACTGTCCTCCAATACCCATTCGCACCTTCTTCTTCAGGAGGGAACCCCCAGTTTTCCCCTAAGTACATAGCTGCTCAGAATAAAGATTGCATTTCTCAGTTTTCTCTTCAAATAGGTATGACCACAGGGAACAAAGGGACATAACAAAATTTCACATGTGACTTCCTTAAAGAGAGGGACATATGTTCTTACTTTTCTTTCTCCCTTTCTCCTGGCCGGAATGTAGTATAAGAGAGTGAGCTAGAGCAGTCATCTTGGGCAATGAAGTGTAAGCGTGTGTCAAGAATAGCAGAACTGTAAGAGAGAAAGGGCCTGGATTCCTGATGGTCTTAGAGCCACTATCCCTGGACTACTTACTCCTGAACTTTTTTATGTGAGAAACAAAGAATGAAATGTTTACTTTAAAAAAAATTTTTTTTTTTGAGACAGGATCTTGTTTTGTTGCCCAGGCTGGAGTGCAGTGGCATGATCATGGCTCACTGCAGCCTCGGTCTCCCAGGCTCAGATGATCCTCCCACCTCAGCCTTCCCCAGTAGCTGGGACTACAGGCACATGCTACCATGTCTGGCTAATTTTTGTGGGGTTTGCTTGTTGGTTGTAGAGACAGGGTTTTGCAATGTTGCTCATTCTGGGAAATGTCTACTTAATTTAAGTTGCTTGTATGTTGAGTTTTCTATCTCTTACAGCTTAACCTCATCTTTACTGATTCAAGAAGTTATCCCCACTAGTAAAATTACAGATGCTTTTTATTTCCTTCTTTATAATTTTCTGTATTTCCTAAGTTTTCTACAATGAATATATATACATATATATATATATATATATATATATATATATATATATATATATATTTGTAAATTGGCAAAAAAACAACGGTTTCTTTTTTTAGGTAAGTAAGGGAGAGGCTGGAGGACAAGGCCTGAATTGACACAGACTGAAAGGCACTTTGATGCCCTTTGTAGTATAAAAGAGCTTTGGACTTGAAGTATTTTTCTTCAGTCCCACATTGACTTGCCTTTGAATGGCTTTCACCTTCTGCCATGCAAGTTTCCTCATCTTTTGTTCCTGTAAAGATTTGGTGCAGGAAATAGAAAAGGGTTTAGGTATCTCGAGTAGAAGGGAATTTAATACAGGGAATGGGGTGCTGCAAAATTGTTGGAAGAGCCGTAGAAATGCATGTGAAGAGGTCCTATTAGACTTACAGATCATGCTGATGCTAGGTTATAAGGTTATAACCCTGAAGCTATGAACCAGAGGTCAGGAAATCATTGTCAACACGCATAGGTCAAGAAACTGCTGCCAGTTTCACAGTTGCTTCACATTCATGAAGCTGGTCACTATAGGGTGATTGTGAAGTCTGTCCACTACAAAATGCATTTCTGCCAGGGCTTACCACTGCCATAGAAATAAAAACGGGCTCCACCAGCATTTCACTTTCCAAATCTCATGGGAAGGATCTTATTTCCTGGACTTCACCTCAAACCCTGGCAGCAAGGGAGCCTGAGAAATGTAGTTGTTAGCCTTCCAGCCCCTATGACACAAGAGTGTGTAGAAGGGGGTAGATGTGAACAGTGAGTGCCAAAAGAGCATGTCTGGCTTATCTCTAAGCTGTCAGACATTCTCAATACCTTTTTTGATGGCTCTCCTGCTTATGTATTTTTCTATAGCCAATTAAAAACTATTGTTGTACAGTTATTATGTGCTAACACTGTGTTAGGCACTTCAGAATGTACAGAATGATAGCATGGTTTGGATCACCTGACACCTCATCCACTCAAAAAACTTATGTTTAATGTCTATCAGGTACTCAGAAAACCATCAATAGCTCCTCGTTATCTATCAAACAAAGTCCAAGGGCCTTAATTTAAACCTAACAGACTCTCCATGTTTTCATGACCTCAACTCATGTTTTAAACCTTATCTCTCATTTCTCTGCTTATTGAGCTCTTGTGGACCAGGAAAACTGGATGATTTTCTCTTCTTTATACATGAGCCTCTTTTCTGCCATCAGCACTTTAGTTACAATGTTTTTCCTCCCCAGAATGTCCTTCTTTCCATCTCCCTATGGTAAAGTGCTGCTGGCCCCTTAATGTCCAGCTCACATGTCACATCCACTGTGAAGCCTTTCCTGACGCAGGACAGCTGGAGATACTCCTTTCTTCCCAGAATCTTGGGAACTTGTTTTAATCTCCTGTGTGAGATTTAGAACGGTCTATCCTCAATTACGGTTTTTTGTTGTTTTTTTTTTGTATAAACATTATTTCTTCCAAAGTAGACCCTGGTCCACAGAGGAAAGGAAATTATTTCTTATTTATTTTTGATCCCCCACATAGTGCCATGGTGCTTATTGAATGAATAAATGTAAAACCAGAGGACAGGCTTTGCTCTCAAATAATTTATAATCTAATAGCAAAAATATAAAAAGCACCAATCACTCTATGAATAGTATCTAAAATTCTTTGTCCAGAATTTCACACTTCCCAGATAACTGACATCCCAGTTCTTAATTCTTTAATTTTCTGTGAGAATAAATAAGCTTTTTTGTTATTGCCACATGTCAATCATCTTTCATTTCCTGTTATTCTTTCAATTAAGTGTAATTTGTGTCATGTAATTTTCCATTTGCTACTAAACCACCAATAAGATGAAAATGTCTCCTTATGTCTATAGCAATAAAAACAATTCTCAAAGTGTGTTTCTGTGTTTCTAATGTAAACCAACAATTAGTGCAAACGATGTAGCTTGAGTATAAATGATGAAGAACATATTCACAGATGTATTTAAAAATTTCACATAGGGAAACTCCATTCACCAACTCTCTTCATTTATTAACACCTCCAACTATAAAGGAAGTCATAAACCTTAGTTCTTTGTAACCAAGCAAATACCTTAAACATAGAATTGGACATAAAAGCATTATAATTAAATTGTACCTTTTTCTTCCAAACATAGAATTACCCTTTATTAAAACAACAGTGTTTATAAATGTTCTGGTTTCCTTTCTCAGATATGTTTTCTATGTTCCTCCAGTTCAACTAGTACATAGCTTCTTCAAGGGAAGGCACATATGTTTCTTCCCTTGAGCTTGAGCTTTTAACCTCTAGTGTCTAGTCCATCACACCAAGTATTCTGGTCTTCAAGCAGTGAAAGTTTAAGTAATGCTTGATATTAGGTTGGTGCAAAAGTAATTGCGTTTTTTGGCCCATATTTTGATGTCAAATAATTAGTACTGAAAATAGAATGAAATAAGTTGTCATTGATTTCTTTGTTCAAAGTTGTCCCTCCAAATATTACCTAAGCAACTACTATTCGCTGTTCAATAAAAGGATTTTTTTTCTAAATATTTCTAAATTTAGACCCAAGTCTGTTATGTAAAAGATAACATGATCAGGGGCTACAAAATGAGTAGGCTGATAGCCAGCAAACTACATAAATATGGGCTGTAAATACCATCATAGAGATAAAGACAAACTCTAAGGGAAGATAGTGGAAAGAATAATTACCTCTTCTTGGGGCTCACCTCCACCAGTCTAACCACCAGTGATCATTTGTCTAACAGGCACATGTCTTGGTTATGCTTCTGAATTTTTATAAGGAGTGCTTAACCCTACTCTCTCCCTGGTTGGTTGTCAAAGCCTATGTATCTGTCCTTATCAACAATGCAGGCTTTTGTGCTCCAGGTAAGATTGTGTTAGAGATTACAGCCTTTAACTCCCTGTGGTCCCATTCTTATTCAATGTCCAGCTGTGAGAAATAATATTTATGGAAAGTGGTTCAAGGGCATTGCTGTTCATACATGACTCTAGATAAGCTAAATGTTACTGTTGGATTAAACTAGATCATAACAAGGCTTTGTACTTGAATACGTTGTTTTGATTTCCCGTAGACCTGCCTTCTCCCAATTTGTGCCTTGGTCTAAGCCATCAGCCTACAGAGAGAACCATGAAACTCCATGATACATGATAGAACTCACTGCTATATTTACTGTATAGATTGACATTAGGGTATGGTCTGATGTATCACACAGTATCTTCATTTGATGACACCCAGGAATGAGGTTGCTCAATATCAGGAAAAACTGTTCATATCCTTTGTAAAAGATACTAACCTAATGCCATCCCCAAGACCCTCCTTTGCCCTCCTTGCTCTAAAAAGGCCAAAATGGCAGACACTAATTTAGCAGTCTCTCTTGTAGACAGGGTGTTCATATGATCCAGTTCTGGCCATGAAACATAAAAGGAAGTCTACAAGGGGGCTTTTAAGGTGGCAATTGCTTCCTGATGAAAGCTACAGATGGAGAAGAGCTCTCTAGTCTTCTCCCTGCCTTGGTCATGGATATGATGCCACAAGTTAGCAGTTCACTTGAGACAATGAAGTTACAAGTATGACGGAAACCAACATCCTAAGGATAGCAGAGATGACAGATAGAAAAAACCCACATCATTGATAATATGACTGAATTATCTCTGGGCTTCTTGCTATGTTAGAAAAAAATCCTAACAATGCCCGTAAGCCACTCCTAGTTAGGTGTTCTGTTACTTGCAACCTAATGTATCCTAACCAATAATCTAACAACCAGATTAGTTTTTATTTTATGGATTGTTATTAGTCTTGCAATTAAGCCTACTTCATCTTAACTTTAGCCACCAGGAAGTTACAAAATTGTACCCTATGTCTACCATGACACTATAAGTTCTGCTAGTTCAACTTCCTCAATCCTAAACATGGGTTGATGTTTATTTTCCTAAAATATTTATTTTGTTTTTTTGTATTATATGTACTTTTATATGTCAAAATTTTTCTAGAGGATGGCAAGGTGTAAATAAACTTATAAACAAACCCCCCAAAATTTAACTCCACTGGAGGATTGAGAAAGTAGTTGGTTTATTAAAGTTTCACAGGAGGATGACATCTGGGTCCCACTCTTTAGTCCAATTCACGAATTCAAACCATTCCTAAGGTTTTAACTGAAGTGAATTTGTATGTAGTTTAAACAGTGGCCTATTAAAAATTATGCATCTATTAAAT
Source organism: Homo sapiens (assembly GCF_000001405.40). NCBI lineage: Eukaryota > Metazoa > Chordata > Mammalia > Primates > Hominidae > Homo > Homo sapiens. The sequence continues at coordinate 150,263,461 of NC_000003.12, forward strand.
TCAGCACTTACTATAGGATCTTAAACTAGGGGGCCCACAATTGAACTTGAGGAAATCTATAAACTCCATGACGTAAGCAAAATTTTTATTTTACACACAAATGTGTAGTTTCCTGGGTGAAGCTCTGAGGCTTTCATCAGATTCACAAAGAAGTCTATTATCCCAAAAAAGTTATGACCTACTGGGCTAAGTTACATTTGCCTTTTTTGAGTCCCTGTCTCCCAAATCACCATTTTATTCATCTGGGTTTTTGCTTTCTGTCAAGACCCTAAGGTCTATCAGAAGGCTGATGCCTGCATCATTCTGAGAGTGCACATTCAATAAATGTTAGTTGACTTGTATTGATATTTAATTATTTACAGTGCTTTTGGTGTCTTTTGGAATAGCAGTGTCTGGTTGATCATTCTAAAGGCTCTGAATCCTCAGTTGCATCCCAGTGGGCTTAGTGTGTTGTAAACACACAAATCAAAGTAGTGTGAGGGAGGAGAAAAATCATTCCTTTCTAGGATAATGCATTTTTCATGAGAAACAGGTCATTACAGAACCAACCATTGCACCCATGCGTGCTCTCATTCTACCTCTTCATCTCTTCTCTCTTTTCGTATTATCTCACCTCCTCCCCCTTCCCTCACTGTGTTCCCCTTCCACTTTATTATCCTGTATTTGATTATTTTACCATCTCCTTCTTTAGTATATTTTAATGACTTCTACATAATATACGTCTTTGAACTACTTTCCTGTGTCTTTGAACTACCTGACTCTCTGTTCCCTTTTTCCTTATGTGGCACCTGTCTCTTCTTCAGCTGCTGTACATGATACTTTCATGCTCCAAATTGATCCATTGCATATTTTCACAAATTTCAAATTCCTGACACATAAAAAGACAATATTCATACCCTGTTTTACCATGATATTTTGGTTCTCCCTGAAGATTTAATTTTATTGCAATTTTAATCTTTTTCCTATTCCCTTTCACATCTGAATATAGACCCAATAATTCACTTGTACCAATTTTCTAGTTATGCGAATTCTGTGGAAATTTCCACCCAGTTGATACATGTGAAGTGATCAATTCATCACATTTCATAGTTCAACTTTCTCTTCCCTGGTTAAAATTAAAAGTGGGTTTAAGTAAGCCAGAGATTTTTGAAGAAGATTTCTGTCATGAGAGGGATGACTCTATGGGGAAAAAGTCTTGGTGAAAATTTCACATGTCTGTTGAGAGTTGAGGTTTTTTGTTTTTTTTTTAATAGCAGCTAAGTTACAATTTTTACCAACATTTTATTACACGCAGAGAGTAAACATCTGGAAATCATCCTGGGTAATCAGTGTGAATTTTTGTGGTGAAATAGAGGCTTATATTATATGCTAGAGTTTAGTGATTATAGTCTTAATGATCTGTACATTATTCATAAAATGCTTTGTTTTAAATCTGTCTTTAAAAAATAATTAGAATTCAAGTTATTTGCGAAACAGGAATCCTGCCACTTTATTTTTTACTTTACATACATCTCCCTGGGACAGTCTGGTTGTTGGAGAAGGGAGTTTAGTATTGGTTTGTTTTTGGTGTGTTTGCTTTTCTTCTTTAACTCGTTATTTATGAAATTTAAGAAGCAGTACGGATCCTAAGTCAGGCAAGTAAGCTAGAAAACAATCAAACTCGAAAATTACCCAGGCATGAAATCCCCTTGAACTAAGGAATGCTTTCAACGTTAAGTTCTCCATAAGCTTGAACTATAAATGATAACATTTCAAAAATACTTTTTAAAGGAAGATTCATATTAGGAAACTTGATCATCTAAAATTAGACAAACCTATCTTCTCTTACTATCCTAAAATAATAGCCTACACCCTTACCCAATATGATCTAAAAATAACAGATTGTATATCACCCCTAAAGTAACTTGGCTTGGGCCCAAGAACTAATACATACATGACACTCAGAATTGCATCCAAAAAAAGAAATGGCATTTTATTTCTTGTGAGTTCTCACAGCACAGTAAGCCTCCATGGCACTATAATCCTAATTAATGTTCATCTTCTTCACTGTGTTCAAGTGTGAAAAATGCAAAGCAGCAACACTCTTCACCGGAAATCAGGCTCCCAAGAGCCTGCAGTTTCAGAAGGTGGGTCTCAAACTCGATTTTAAGTCTTCCACTCTAATAGGGATTATGTGTCTTCATTCTGAAAGCTGATAACCTGAGGAATTAAAGAGCTGACATGGGAAAGGAAAACCAATGCAAGGAAAATGCTAGTTTTTATGTTATTTTATTTTTTCACTTAATATGAAGGAGTCATATGGATATAGGCCAAATAATGCTAGAAGTAGAAGAATACTAGGAATTACAACAGTAAAGAGTGGGGTGAAGGCAAGGAGGAGATGAAGATGGAGAGAATAACAAAAAGAGAAAAACAGCAGCTCAAAGGGGAAAGGCAACAGGGCTGCATCCTGACTTTTGTGGGCTTCTTCCTCCACAAAAAAATATTAAATTTCTATTTTACTACTGCATTGGAATGAAGATCAATACACTTATATTATGTATAAAAATATTTTCTTCAACCTGAAAGTTCATCTTTTTCTTCTGATTTTGAAAGAAATAAAAACATTTTTGTGTGCTCCTAAAAGTTCTGTGGGCCTAAGCACTGGGCCCACTGTGTCTAATGGTTAAGTCATCCCTGGCAGATAGAAAGAGAGGGAGGGAGGAGGAATGTTCTGCTTGGAAATGACGGGCGAATTAAAGCAAGCAAAAGAAAAATTAAATAAGCACATAGGTGGAAGTGTATTTTCATCATTAGATATAAATTATATATTAAATTATTTATAATCATGCCAGGTAACCTTTATTGAATACTATGTGCTAAGCACATTACATTATCTCACTCATTCCACACAATAACCTTGAAATTAAGCAGAAGATGTACCTTGATGTTTTAGGGCCTCTTGGGTCATAGGCTAGAATTCAGAATTGAATGCAATCACAAACGTAAGGTGCACAGAACTCCGTTCTCAACCTACTTTTCCCAGGCAGTCTCTGTAACATCCCTGGCTTTAGCAGTCACCCATTGGCTGGTGACTACTAAATATATAGCTCCAGCTGTTTCTGTTAGGATATTTTCAATTGTCAATAACAAGACCCTTATCCAAATGATACAGGTGGCCAGTAAGCCATCAAGGCTAACCCCAGTATCCTCGGAATCACCCTATTTCACCTGCTCATCACTCCTTACTTGAATTATTGCAATACCATCCTACAAGACCTCCTTACCTCAAGTCCCCTTTGACCCGTGTCCCCATTGCTACCAGAAGTATGCTTCCAGGTCGCCTAATGAGGGAAGAGAAAAGCATGTCACTATTTTATGTAACTTCCTGTAGTAGCTCCCCTTTAGCTTCTGGATATGGTCCAAGTATGTTTTTATTCGGCAAATACTTATTGGGATCTCCATGTCAGATTTGGGTTTGGTGATATGGATGAAAGATGAACTAAATAGATGGGGTCCCTGCCTTCATGGGCATGTACATTCTAGGGGACTCTAGAGGGAGTGGATGAGAGTACCTAGAGTGAAGTCCTGATCCAGAGAACAGAGCCACTAACCTGTTTTTAAGGAAAATCAGTTTCATGAGCTTGGAGGGGAAGGAGCTGCTAAAGAATCAAATAGTGATGTTCCCAGTGCTCTTCAGTGTTCTCAGAATTCCTTGAACCTTATTAAATTGCTCACCATAGTGTCTTCATAACTGTTAATGTCCCAGCCTTTCCCCTGGGAAAGCTAAACTTTTTTTCCTAATGCCTAAAACTTCTGTGCACATTATTTCATTTCATTTTTCTGCTTATTTATACCCTGCCTTGGTCCTCCTCCAGCCCCCACAAGAAAATATCTGGGATTTGGGATTGCTTGACCCATAGTAGAAACTCAAAAATGACTGAACACCTTGACAAGTGAAAAAACTGAGACCCAGAAAAGTTAAACTGTTGCCCAAGGCCAACCAAATAAATTTCCTCTGAAAGCCACATAAGGTTGGAAGGCTTATCATGAAAGGTAAGTTCCGCATCATAGGCAGTGTCTGACAACAGAGTAGATGCTATGGGTCATAGATCATCCTGAGGTCCTCGTGGCCCTGTTCAAGCTGTGATTCTGCAAAGCACAGAGCAGGTTGGCAATTTACAATCCCTTGCAGAACTTCCTAACTTTAAATAAATTTTACAGCAATTTTATCTAAGTTCAAAATTTTAAATATTTTAGAGAATTTTTGGATAATGCCTACAAATCTTTTAAAGAAGTTTAATAGGTTCTAGACAAATATACATTTTAATGAGAACCCAAAATTATATTTAGCTATATAATATAATTTAGCCTTTTAGAAAATCAGTATGCTATAATAAAAGCATAACGCATTTTGTTCTTTTATTCATTGATTGATTTTTCTCTCACCTTAGACCTAGAAACACATTTTGTCCAGGAAAGCAGTTTCAAGTGAGTGAGTTACGTTGAATGCTCTGAAAGAATAATGCAACTTCTGGAAATCCCATGGTATCAGCCAAAGTTGTCAATGAATCAAAAATCAACTTTGAGGAATGTTTTGGTATGTAGATGCTTCTAATGAATATGCTGAAATCATGTGAAACAGCCCTCATCAGCATCAACAAATATTTGTTAGGCTTATCATGTGGATGGATTAATGAGGATATGAAAGCCTTAAGTGTCCAAAACTGACATTGCCTCAGGATGCCCTCTTGGGTTCTTAAGCCTAGTTTTTATTTAACTAGAGTCCTCAGCTTTTTATTGGACATTGTACCTTCAAATTATAATAAAATTAATTGTAAAAATATTATTATTCTTATTTCAATTGTGCAACCCAAATTTCTGGAATATACCTGGCATAGAGCAGGGTGAAATCATACTTAGAAAAAAACAAACCAAAACTTTGAAGACATTTTGGTAGGATTTATCCCTCCTGAAAATCTGTTGGTCTATTCCATGACATCTGCTGACCAGTGTTGCATATGTTCAATTCTATGGTTTAATCAGTTATTTTTTAACTTAACACTAAGCATTTTCCTGCCTCTCTAGAAAAGCCAGAGAGGAATCCAATCTTCTGTAAGCTCTAGAAACGCGTTAATATTTTTCTTATACCACCTAGTCAAATATCTTTTTTCCCAGACAGGTTCTGCTTTGTGGAAATGAGCTGCAAAGACCTGCCAATTCAACTCTCAATGATAAACAAAGCCTACTTGTCTTAAAATTTTGTCAAGGCAGAATTTTACCTGTCAATTTCATTTCAAATTGTACAGACTGCCCTATGTTTGCAGGAAAAAACCCAGCTTGTTAACAGTAGGACCCAAATACTAAACTTACAAAGGTAGTCCAAGAGGAAGCACCCACGACAAACAGAAACTTCCAAAACCTAACACAATGTGGACATGCACATCACACTCAGATCTTTGCCTTCACTAAAAAAAGTAAACAGTGTGATGACATCATTCACAGCCAATTAAAGCACAGCCCCATGGCAAAGGAAGTGCTGGGAGATCCTTCTGCAAGTAAGCATAAGAGTGAACATGCAATATGTTTGATAAGCTGTCCTAGTACATGTCCAGGGGCTCTAAGCTGTATTTACAAAATAGCATTTGTTGCTGCTTCAAAAACAGCTGAGGGTGGCCAGCAATATATCACATTCCACAAGAGGAGCAATTGCGGTGATGGACACAGGATGACCAGGAACAACCTTTGTTCGTCGTTCCATCACATGGTTCAATAATAAATATTACTACTCATCCAGTGTACACATAGGATGTGGTGAGGCAAAACCCTCTCCCAGAGGTCAGAGTTCACTCCCTTTTCCAGGCAGATCCCTTAATCAAATTTATTGTCTTTACTTTGGGGAAACACAATTTTCCCATCAAGTAGAAGGCAATCTTGGAACAGCAGATTGGGGCCTATTTATTACAGTCGCTTTCAAGTTCTCCTTTTTTTCTTCTGAGTCCCAAACAGTTCATGGTCCCCTGGTCTTGATTAAACCAGTCTTGTATTTTGAAGTTTTGCTTTCTCTCTTATCTAGCCTCCCCTAAGTTCCAAATGATCTCACTTTGTAGTTTCATTGGCTAGAGATACCACAAAAGTCCGAAGTCACTGATAATGTACTTGGAGGCACAGGCCCATTTTATGAGATTCTATCGTTTTGGTTCTTCATGAGAACACAGTCTTCTTTCAACACAGGGTTGTAGATCCATTACTAGGTGTTAGCAGAATTATAAAATAGTATTGTGCAATACACAATATAATCAATTTAACACAAAATATTGTATTATTTTAAAAACACAATATACTGTGGTTTTGACTTTTTTCTTTAGAAAAATAAAATAGCCCCTTTTTTTTTTTTTAGAAATTCAAAGTATATAGAAAACATCACACTCTATGCCTTCGTATGCAGAAAAACCATAAAGAAAGAAAACTGGCCTGGCATGGTGGCTCATGCCTGTAATCCCTACACTTTGGGAGGCCAAGGTCGGCAGATCACCTGAGGTTGGGAGTTCAAGACCAGCCTGACCAACATGGAGAAACCCCATCTCTACTAAAGACACAAAATTAGCCAGGTGTGGTGGTGCATGCCTGTAATCCCAGCTAGTTGAGAGACCAAGGCAGAAGAATCACTTGAACAGAGGTTGCCCCAAGCTGAGATTGTGCCATTGCACTCCAGCCTGGGCAACAAGAGCAAAACTCCACCTCAAAAAAAAAAAAAAAAAAAGAAGAGAACTGATAGAAAGAACTGGCACTCAAATGCCTACCTTTGACTTAACAACAACAACAAAAAAACAAACAGACAACATTTGACACAGAGTACATCCTCTGAACATCTTTACTAACTAGCAATAAACTTATTTTATAAATACTGCCTCACTGAGGACCAAGTCTGAGCCAACTTAGATACCTTCACTATGAATGATGCCTTTCTAAGAAGGACTACAAAGATCAGAGAAAGGCCAGTCCTCGTCTGGGTAGTCTGGTGTCTGAAGCAAGAATTTTTCTTCGTGCCTAACCCATGGCTCTAGTCAAGTACCTCACACTTGTTCTGATCCTCCTACTTGGAGGAAAATATTTATCATTAGAACTCACTGGACATCTGTATTCTTTTGATGATATGGTTTGGCTGTGTCCCCACCCAAATCTCATGTTGAATTCCCACGTGTGTGGGAGGGACCTGAAGAGAAGTAATTGAATCATGGGGGCAGGTCTTTCCCATGCTGTTCTTGTAATAGTGAGTAAGTCTCATGAGATCTGATGGTTTTAAAAAGAGGAGTTCCCCTGCACAAGCTCTCTCTTGTCTGCTGCCTCCCAGGTAAGATGTGACTTGCTTCTCCTTGCCTTCTGCCATGATTGTGAGGCCTTCCCAGCCATGTGGAACTGTAAGTTCATTAATCCTTTTTTCCTATATTAATTACCCAGTCTTAGGTATGTCTTTATCATCAGCGTGAAAATGGACTAATACACTTGATATATTTAAAATTCCTCCTCTTTCAATAAAAAGCTGTCTCAGGGACAATGGCATGTAATAAAGTCTACACCTACCACACTCCGAAAATCCAGGCTTCTTCTTGACCAGAAGTCACTCAACAGGCTGAGCAGTTTCAAAGATCAGTGAGGGTTGGGCATGGACAATTCCATTTTACCTCTACCTTAGTCCTCAAGCTAACTATCACTGTTTACTTAACTTTACTTGCCTACATCTCTCCAGTCTCTGGGACATCTTCCTACTTTACTGATATTCTTCTTTTCTCTGGAATGTAGAGATTGTATCTCAGACCCCCAACCATACATGCTATTACAGTCAGGACCAACAAGAAAATGCTGGGATTCCCAAGTCCAACTCCCTCCCCTTGTGTTTTCCCCCACTAGGATAACCACTCTGAGGCCCTTGTAAATTTGCCCAGTGGATTTTTATTTCGGTCCTAAAGTTCAGAGTTTAATGGCGGGAAGTTAAGGAAGTGTGGGGCTTTTCTCAACCTTCAAACCCTATGGCCCCCAATAAAAAGGATTCCAGATAGCTTTCAATCTTTTCCATTTGTACTCTCAGTCCAAGAAGAGATTTTATCTGAGCATCATAAAAATCATGCCAAACAAGCCCTTCTCTGTTTTGGTCAGTTCAAATCAGTTAGTGATTTTTGCACTTTCTAATATTTAAAGGACTATTGAAAGAGTGTCCTAACTTTTCTTTTGACACTGTTAAGAGAGTTTTTTTGGAACAATTCCAGAAAAGATTCCAAGTTGGGGCTGGAGGAAAAGAGCCAAAGGCATAATATGGTTTGTATTTAAAGTTTCTCCATATCAGATGAGATTATTGTGTAGAAAGTTCCTTTTTCCTATGTATATTTTTAAGCTACATTTTGCCTGCTGAAATGTAGCCAGTAGAATTATTGAAGCCCCAAACTTCTTTCTGAAAAGTAGCAGGAAATGCACTTCTTAGAGAGAAATGACATTTCTGAAGTGGAAGAATTGGTGGAAATTAAGTTCCTCAGAGGCAAATTTTTTCTCCCAAAGTTGGTGGCCCGGGCTCTGGTGAGCCCCAGGCCTAGCCTTTGGTAAACTGAGAAATTGTCAAGCTGAGCTTGGGTGCAACCTCCTGCACATCCACACTGGCACACACAGCACTAAACACTTGAGGTCTTTGTCTGACCAATGCCAAGAAACCCCCAGAGAGTACCCTACTGGACTTCTCTCTTCTCTGTGAAAATGTCCTCTTAGGAGGTTATCCTATTGTGAATAAAGAAAATAGGGTCAAATTACAGAATGTTGAGTGCCACTGGAGGCAACGATTTTTAAAAAAATCTTGAAAATCATCCAGTAGGGTTATTTCCAGAACTGTTAATTTTTAATATTTTAGCTGAAAATCCCTTTCTTCAAAAAAAAAGTTTCAAAAAGGCGTAAGGTATAAATAAGTGAACCAAGAGCTACTGGTTACAGCTCCTTTTCTTTCCAGAGGGAGAGCCTGGAAATCCCCAGATATTTAAAAAGCCATTACTGTAATCCAGTCCCTTCAATTCACAGATGACAAACTTGAGCCCAAAAGTGAATCAACTTGTCCAACATTACCAAATGAAACAATGACAAAAGTCAAAAGCTCCTCAAGGGTATGTCTTTACTGTCACTGGACCTGACACAGGCCCTCAAAAGCCCTGTAATAAATGCTAATTACCTGAATTCAACAATTTATGCTATGGTGTTAATGACTGATACAATCTTTAAACATTACCCCTCTTAGGGGTGTTTGCTTTCATTTAAACAGGATTCAGTTCCTTAGATCAAAGAAGGAATATCTAACAGCAAATATGTAGATGTTGTCAATAGGCTTGTTGGTACAGGAGAAAATTGAGGGTAGTATAACAGAACCTCCAGAAACAGACTCTCTGTCATTTGACAATAATACACAATTACATAATTCAATTGTGTGCATGTTGGGTGAGGGACAGGAGAGGAAGGGGATAAAAGCAATATCTGTCATTTTCATAAAAGTACCTAAAATAAGAAAACCTAAATCAAATCATATTGACTGGTGCAGTATGCTGAAGTTTGAATGAGAACACATTGAGAGTTGATCCTGCATTAATTCCGGTCGGAGCACGTCTGTTAGCTACTTCTGATGTCATCATGCGTGTGTGTAATTTACACTGCTCTGTGTCTTACCATGAGCAGAATGTTTTCTGTTTTAGGATGAGTATAAGTTTTATTTTAACTTAAAGTTTGCCTTGATAAAACAAAAATAGGGCTTTTAGGCCCTATTGAGTATGATAATAGGAGCTTTTAGGCTTTCAAAATGTATTTGTTTCTTCCTCTATTTCTTCTAGCCCATCAGATGAATACATCATGATTACAGAAATAAGTGGATTATTAAAGTAAATTTGTTTAGATTGGGTAATAGGTTCCATTAAATGGCACCAGGTATTATGCTGTGAGCCAATGTGTAAATGAAAAATAAAGAGTAATTCCATTTGTCAGAGATCTAAAAAGCTTGACACCCTGGAAAAAACAGCTACACCACCCATCACCACTATCAGCTTCATTCATTGCTCAACCAGCCAGACCAGACACTTTCCCACAGTACGCCTCATGATTACATTATTATTATTATTTTGGAGGTTAGTTGATGATGACAGGAGAAAAAAAAAAGGAACTCACATCAATTATGGTTTCACATTTACTGCAAAGGAAGAGGTTCTATTTTCCAATATGCTGCAAATCCCAACAGTCCAAAGTGACACTGTAACTGTCATTTTGACAGACACATGAGTCAAAATCACAAATATCTAATTTAAAACGCTATGGAGTTGCTTATTTTTCTGCAAGGCATAAATGTTGGCAACACATGAAACTGAATAATACTGAATTCATTAGGAATTCACAAGGGTGGTGAAAGTTTTCTATCTTGAAGTTAGGAGTAAAAAAACACCAAACCACTTTACATTCCGCATTCTGTCAAAACTATACTTGATGAGAAAATTGAGAGGAGATTCCAAAATATTTCCTTATCCAATTCTACCACCAAATGGCAAACATCTGATTTTGCCATCAATCAAATCATTGCCCTTTTCAGCCATTTTGGTGACTCCATCAAAGGATATTCAGCTCAACTGTTTGCGCATGTGCAATTGTGACTCAAGATGGTACGGAGGAAGAAATCCTGCTTTCTTACCTCTCAGAGACTATCATTAAGGATTACAATGTCTTTAAATTTGCCCAAAAGAGCAGAAATGATTAGAATACTCATGGAAGGTTCTCTAACAGTCAGAATTCTTGTGGAAAATAAAATAACAAAAGTTACCTGTTGTTGCCAAGTGTCAGCTTCCACATATGGCCTGGGCATCTACAGAAAGACCTCAGTCTTGCTCTCAGAACACCAGATTGTCTGCCTTGCATTGTGAAGATCTGCACGCTTATCACATAGTTCTAGCCTTTGTTGAGCTCTAGGTTTGTTGAGAAATCTTGTGGGCTACATTCAAGAATTGAGAGATACAGCTGCTCTATTTTGGAATACAGAGAAAGGACTAGGAATCATTCTTCAAAATATTTAATAACTAATACGGCACAGGCACAGACAAGTCAAGACTGACACTGGCACAAATAATAGGTATCACTGCATTGGAGCATACTTACTGAGTACCAATTATTTCACCCTTCAAAAATAACAATGAGATCACAACATAGGTATCAACATAGAAAGATGTCCAAGTTATAGCCCAGTGAGGAAACAAATTTGTGTAACACGAGGTATAACATGGTCCAATTTATAAATGTTTAGAGAAATCTGATGAGACTTACAGATTACCCCCACAGGATTCTGGCAAATAGGTATAGAACCTCAGGCAAAGAGATCTCCTGAGAGTCTTATTCCTGAGTTCTAGTCCTAAATCTACCATGTTGCTTAACCCTTACATGCCTCGGGTTCTATGAAATCAAGGAGTTAAACTAGAAAATCTTTACGCTATTCCAGTTCTCATTTGCTATGAGTATAAGAGCAATTCTTTCTTAGGTCACTTTTGTGAAAGAAAGGTTTAAAAAACCTACTTCGAAGATTATTGCAAGGCTTAAAAAGAGCAGGTTTGTGAATATGCATTGTAAACTGTGAATATAGTATAATAACAATAATAATCCATAGCTTGAAAAAGCTATGTACTACATAAATTGTAGCCTGTACTACAATTTATTAGTTGTTCATACTAGTTCTTCTTAACTTCAGCTCACTTGGGGATATTATGTACACAAATTCTTCATCAAAAAGCCCAGAGCCTTATGTTTAAGGTTACTTTAGGGGCTAAACCATATCATATATCAGCCTCAGGGGTAAAAAAAAAAAAAATCTGTTGCAGCAAAGTTGACTTCATTAAACTTCTGAAAAGTGAATCCTATTTTCCCACTGATGACCTTGATAAAATCAGAATCACGTCTCCTAGAAAATATTTCAGTGGATTAGGTTGCAAACTCATTTTTCTATTTAAAGAATTATAGAAGTTAGCTAAATATCTTTGAGGGGTCTCTGTCAACTAAAATAGCCTGTGGTTCTGATTCTGTTTTAGGATTCAGTCCAGGAGTTACCATTTCTCAAACTGGGATGCCAGTGGGTGTGTCCCGCTCAGATTTTCATGGGGTCTTAGGAATGTGTCTCCCCTCTTGATGTCAATCTGGTAAAGCGGGGTTTACTCTGAATCTGTTTCTTTTTTAACTGTATGGCCACCAAGGACAGAAATAGAATTTGGACTGATGTCACTGAAGGAACAATTCAACGTAAAAAACTTTCTAACAACCAGAGCTCTCTAATAAAGAAGTAGCCAGTAATCAAAGGAACTGAGTTACTGTGGCAGGAGAAAAGAAACAGGGGAGCTCACTGCTTATTGGGGATAAGCATCCATTTTAGGATATTTTTGCTCATCTTTTATCTCTTCTAATTGTAGGCGCCCTGAGGACAGCTTTTTACATTTTGTTGCTTTCTGCATCTCTGGACATATTGTGGATGTTTAATAATTATATTTTTAATGATTGAAGGAATAACACAGAAGGGAATCCTGCATTTATTGAGCAGGGCGTTGGAATGCAAAACTTTAAGATACTTTAACTGTGAAATTCTTGGAAGCATTCATCATCCTGTGGAAAGCTAAATTCAATGGTAAGTGTGCAATGTGTTAGTAAGTATTTTGCAATTTTTAAGAACATTTTTCTATCTCCAGATTGTTGTCAGTTCCTTCTTGCAGTTCTCTATTTAGAAGATTTTCTTTCTTATCTAAGGCTCCAACGTTATACTAGAGCCCCCAGAACTGAGAAATCACTATTCTTCTCATTGCAAAATGTCTAGTATTTAAAAGAGCTATGCTGCCAAATCGTCTTTTACCAGCATAAGCCACATGCTAATTGCAAAAATATCTGATTCTGAAAAATTTGAAGTTTTACATTATGACAAATAAAACATAAATTTGATAACTTCTGGATTCTACCAGACTTGTTTGTTTCAAATAAAATATACTTGAATTTCATATTATTCTCGAGTACAATCAGCACCCTGATTTGTTTATGTTTGTGATTTTGACTCATACTCTGAGTCTCAATTCTTTTGTAGGCGGTAAAATCAATTTAATGGATTAGAACCCAGAATTTAAAAAAATAATAATACAGTGAAATGGAAAAATATCAGAATGCATCATGCCTACTAAGAAGAAGTATTTTTTTGTTGGGTTTTTTTTTTTTTTTTTTGAGATGGAGTTTCATTCTTGTTGCCCAGGCTGGAGTGCAATGGCGCGATCTCAGCTCACTGCAACCTCCGCCTCCTGGGTTCAAGGGATTCTCCTGCCTCAGCCTCCCAAGTAGCTGGGATTACAGGCATATGCCACCTCGCCCGGCTAATTTTTGTATTTTTAGTAGAGATTGCGTTTCTCCATGTTGGTCAGGCTGGTTTTGAACTCCCGACAGGTGATCTGCCCACCTTGGCCTCCCAAAGTGCTGGGATTGCGGGCATCAGCCACCTCACCCAGCCGGAAAAGTATTTTTTAAATGAAACTTCCATTTCAGTAATTTAGATTTACATGTTTGCATATGTGTGTTGTGATATCAAATGTATTTCTTACAGTAGATCATGAGCAAAGAAAAGTTCTGAGACCCTTTAAAATAATATCTGCGGTATGTCAATAGTATTATGTATAAATAATATTCACAGTATATCACTATCCAATTTTTTCAGGAAATCATTTTGATAGATAATCCAGCTCATACATGTGAAATTACTCAGTTCAAAATTTCTCATTAGCACTAAGGGGAACAGATGACCCAGTTCTCAAGTTTCATGCACTTAGGTTAACTGGAATTAAAATAAGTGGGGGATGCTCTTTATTTTACATCATCCACAGAGGAACTGAAGGTCAAGTGCTTCGCAACTCAAGGGTCCAGACATATATGCCCCTGCTTCCTTCCCCAGGGTCAGTGCACAGGCATTGTTCCTTTCCTGGAGTTATCTTTGTTGTCTTCCTTCCACCTTTATAGCCCACTATTATTACTGTCTCCTTTACTGTTTTTTTTGTTTTGTTTTGTTTTATTTTAGCACTTGGCAAATATGTGAGGCAAAGTTTATAGGAGTTAAATATTTCTAAGAATATTGCTCTTAAAAGGTTTGTTAGAAAGGAGTCCTTTCTTCTACCCTCCTTACTTTCCTCCCCTTCCCCCCTCTTTTCTCCACTCTCCCAAGACCACAAGATAAGTGTTCAAAGCCACTTTTGTTCTACAAAGTGGTCTCTGTCTCCTTTAGAAAGGGAAAGTTTCTATGTATGGTGGCAGTGGTTGGAATAAGTCAAAATGAAAAAGGTTAAGAGAATGTAAACATTTTTAAATTGCCTTTTTCAATTTTCTTTTAGTAGCTTTAAATAGCTATAAATAATATACACTTCATACACAGAGTAAAGTTAATTCTTATAAATATTCTTTCAGGAGAAATAAAACGTTAGATGCATTTCACTTGGTAATATATTTTCCATTTACTGATTCTTTTCTAAAAGACTCCCCCTGCCCCCAATTTCTGTCTTATCAGTAGAGTGCATAGAGAATATTTGACTTGAAGCTGAATCTGTTTTCTCAATTTTTTGAGTGACTATTCTCTAAAGAAAGTATTATTAAAAGCAGACTTCCCCCAAATTGACTTTAACAGCAATTATTTTCTTTGAATATGAGAAGGATATTTTGATTTCCCAAATGCACGTTAACTGAATTTTTGAACTGGATCTTTTATGGCTGAGTTTTCTCTATTTTTTTCTGTAACAGAAACATTACATTACATTGTCTCCCTGAGAACCCTAAAGCTGGAGGTTCCATGGTATGTGTCTTGCATAAAATAAAACAGCAGATGACAGCAAATTCATTTTCCTACTCTGCCATAGCTCCTATGGCTCACTAACTTTTGAACTGTGGCTGTGCTGAGTGAATTTTCTTGTCAGGCCCTGTAAAACTGCTTTACAGAGAGAGCAAAAGCAACTTGAGTTTTCTCAAAGGGACCTGTGATAATGGACAAGTCACACTGCTTTTCTGGGCATCAGTAACTTCTACTGTATAAATAAGAACTTTCAGATAGAATAATCTCCAGGGTTTGTTTTTTTGTCTTTCTAGCAATAAAAAAGTATTGACTCTGTTAACCAATATTTAATCATTTTAAGTCAAACAAAACAAATTTTTACATCATTGTAGTGTTACAAATGTATTTGGTTTCTTTTATACTGCTTAGAGATAACTTCTTAAATATATATTGGATTTCAGTATTCTATATATAAATTTGAGCATTTCTTAATGGGGGAAAAAGATTAAAACTCATATTGGCTCAATTATACTGGAGCAGGGTGAGAACATCTCACCAGGCAAGAGCAAAGACAGCCCCGAATGTCTCCTCCCCTTTGTTGAAATATTACCAGCAAAACCCAAGTGATCAAAAAAGACTCACAAATTATATGGCAGTCCATGCCCATAAAACATGATACAATTCGGTCAAGGTACACTAGGTCAGTTGCTAAGAACCTCGTGTTTCTTCTAGTAGTTACGTAAACAGTTAGATGTGTTTGCTTTTTTTTTTTTTTTTCAAAGACTAAGGAAAAGGGAAAATTGCCAACACAATTACCAAAATAATTAATTAAAAGCCAGCCCAGTCCGCAACAGCTGCTTTCAGTTGTCCGGAGTGTGCCCTGAGGCAACAGCACCTTACAGCTCCTTTCTCAGGCAAGGAATGCTGCCATTATCTCGTTCTCAATGGAAAACCACCTCCCCTGCCACATCCCTGTAAATTGTTGAACCTAAAGGGCTTTTTTCTCCACCCAGAAAAGAAGGTAATGGAAACTAAAGTAGGCTGTTCAACCATAAGCCTTGGGAAGCTTCCAAAAGCTTTCATTCCTGTCCAGAAGCTTCTAAAGAGGAGGCCTACGATTAGGGAGATAAGCAATACTATCAAATTTTTGGAGCCTGGAAATGCTTTCCCCAACCCCATTTTTCTTTTAAGTAAGGGACCCAGAATGAGAAATAAATATTTGGGAAAGACACAGGAACTACATTTCCATCTTATAAATCCTTTTTTTAACTTTACGTGTTGAAAAGTTTTAGATATATATAAAAGTAGAGGATAATATAATGCACCCCCATGTATGAATCATTCAACTTCAACAGTGATGAACTTGTAGCCCATCTTGTTCGTTGTTTTGAAGCTAATCCCAGATATCACATTATTTTAGAGGTTTTACAGATTTTTTTTTATTTGTTTGTTTTTTGTGACAGGGTCTTGTTCTGTCACTCAGGCTGCACTGCAGTGGAAAGATCACAGCTCACTGCAGACTTGACCTCCAGGCTCAGGTGATCCTCCTACTTTAGCCTCCTGCATAGGTGGGACTACAAGAATATGCCACCATACCCAGCTAATTTAAAAAAAAATTTTTTGTAGAGAGACGGTCTTGCTATATTGCCCAGGGTGGTCTCAAACTCCTGGGCTCAAGTGATCCTCCTGGCTTGGCATCAAAGTGCTGGGATTACAGGCATGAACCATCACGCCTGGCCTAGAGATACTTTTGTTAACATAAAATTGTCTTCCACTTTTCAGAGGTCAGGAAATCCAAATGCAGGAAGAAAAATGAAAACTTCAGCTAAAATCATTACAGTGGTTAAGGTAAGTTATATAAACTTCTTATACTCTAAGTGGACTTTTCATTTTAGCCTCAAAATTGACACTTGTCAATCATGAGTCAACAAATATTTATTGAATGTCCCTTAAGTGCCAGACTCTGTCACCACATAGCCTAAAAATAGATCAATGGGGGGTCTATTTTTTAAGTCTTTCTAGCGACAAAAAACTTTTGATTCTGTTAACTAATATTTAATCATTTTAAATCAAATCCAATTTTCACATTGATAGGGACAGGAGACAGGAAAATTCTGGGCAGAAGAGGGCAGGTCCCCAGCGAGGGCTTCACCTTCAAGCCTGGAACTATGGCCCAAAGTGAGAATGTACATCCCTGTTTTCCCGCTTGAATGTTGCCTTTTCCAAAACCACCCATGGCCTCCCCTGCCCCCATCCTGTGCCCATAAAAACCCCAGGATCAGCCAGCAGAGAGAGGAGAAGAGGAGATGCAGCTGGATGTCAGAAACTACCGTTGGAGAGAAGCAGCTTGACTTCAGAGGGACAGGTTGATGGCACAGCTTTGGAGAGGGGTTTGGCCATCCCCAGCCAGACTCCAGAGAAAGATTACCTTCTCCTAATCCGTCCCCTTTGCAGCTCCCCTTCCTGCTGAGAGCCACCTTCATCGGCAATAAAATCCCCCACATTGACCATCCTTCTAATTCATGTATGCAACATTCTTCCTGGATGCCAGAAAAGAACTCAGGTGTGGGTGCAAAAGGCTGTCACACTGACCCTCTACTGAGCTGTTAACACTTAAGCTGTCCATGGATGGCAAAGCTAAAAGAGCACCGACTATAACACTCCTTCTGGGGCTTCAGGGGTCATGGGCACCCTCAAGACACTGCCACAGGACCGGCACAAAGTTTGTTTCTGCTGGCACCCCAAAACGCCCACCCCAGCTCGTGCACCTCCTCACCTGCATGCCCCCTTCAGCAAGGGGTTAAGCACTGTGGGTTTGAGTGAGTAGAGCTTGCCCCTGCCGGTGCTGAAGCAGCTGACTAGTTCCAGTGCCTGCACTCCAGTTCCTGCCCACAGAGGGGTCAGGGAAATTTCCTGCTTCAACATCACTGTAGTGCTACAAATGTACTAGGTTTATTAATAGTGCCCCACAAATTAAAAATAAAGTTATGGCTGTTTTTCTATTTTTTTAAAAAAGTCCAGTGGCCCTGATATATGAATACACAGTTATTTTTCTAGGAACAGACATAAAAATTGGGAATGCATATGCATTCCTAGAGAAACAAATTTTTGTTGTCACAAAGTAAACAAGCTTATATTATTTGTTAGAGCTCAGAAACAAAATGATAACCTTATAAAACATTTAAAAAAGAACTAACACCAATTCTACTGAAACTACTCTGCATAATAGAAGACAGAATACTTCCAAATTCATTCTATGAGCCAGTATTACCCTGATACCAAACCAGACAAAGACACATCAAAAAAAGAAAAGAAAAACACAGGCCAAATCCCTGATGAACATTGATGCAAAAATCCTCAACAAAATACTAGCAAACTGAATTCAACAACACATTAAAAAGATCATTCATCATGACTAAATTGAATTTATCCCAGGGATGCAAGGATGGTTCAACTTACACAAATTAATGAAGATGATACATCATATCAACAGAATGAAAGACAAAAATTACATGATCATTTCAATTGATACTGAAAAAGCATTTGATAAAATTTAATATCTTTTCATGATTAATAAAACCTTCAAAAAATTGGTATAAAGGAATATACTTCAACCCAATAAAAGCCAAATAGGACAGACCCACAGCTAGTATCATATTGAATGAAGGAAAACTGAAAACTTTTCCTCTAGGATCTGCAACATGACAAGGATGCCTACTTTCACCACTGTTATTCAGCATAGTACCAGAAGTCCTAAATGGAGCAATCAAACGAGAAAGATATAAAGGGCATCTAAATTGGAAAGGAAGAAGTCAAATTATTCTTGTTTGCAGATGATATAATCTTATATTTGGAAAAACCTAAAGACTCCACACACACACACAAAAACTATTCAAACTGATAAGTTTGGTAAAGTTTCAGGATAAAAAAATCGACATACAAAAATTAGTAGCATTTCTATATGCCAACAGCAAACAATCTGAAAAAAATTTAAGAAAGTAACCACATTTACAATAACTACAAAAAATAACTGAGAATTAGCTTCACCAAAGAAGTGAAAGATCTCTACAGTGAAAACTATAAAACACTGATAAAAGAAGTTGAAGAGAATACACAAAAAATGAAAAGATATTTCATGTTCATAGATTGCAAGAATCAATATTATTAAAATGTCCATATATCCAAAGCATTCTGCAGATTCAATGCAGCCTCTATCAAAATAGCAATGACATTCTTCACAGAAATAGAAAAAAATAATCCTAACATTTATATGCAACCACAAAAGACCCAGAATAGCCAAAGCTATCCTGAGCAAAACAAACAAAACTGGAGCAATCATAGTACCTGACTTTAAATAATACTACAGAGCTATGGAAACCAAAACAGCATGGTACTGACTGGCACAAAAACAGACACATAGACCAATGGATCAGAACAGAGAATCCAGAAACAAATTTATACACCTACAGTGAACTCATTTTTGACAAAGGTGCCAAGAACATACACTGGGGAAAGGACAGTCTCTCCAAAAAGCAGTGCTGGGAAAACTGAATATCCAGATGCAGAAACTAGACCCCTATCTCTCACAATATACATAAATCAAATTAAAATGGATTACAGACTTACATATAAGACCTAAAACTATGAAACTACTGAAAAAAAAAAAGAACATTGGAGAAACTCTCCTGGACATTGGACTGGACAAAGATTTCTTGAGTAATGCCCCATGAGCACAGGCAACCAAAGCAAAAATGGGCAAATGGAATCGCATCAAGCTAAAAAGCTTCTGCACAGCAAAGGAAACAATCAACAAAGTGAACAGACAACCCATAGCATGGGAGAAAATATTTGCAAGCTACCCATCTGACAAAGGATTAACACCCAGAATATATAGGGAGCTCAAACAACTCTATAGGGAAAAAAATCCAATAATCCTATTCTAAAATGGGCAAAAGATCTGAATAGACATTTCTCAAAAGAAGACATACAAATGACAAACAGATATATGAATTGGTGCTCAACATCATTGATCAACAGAGAAATGCAAATCAAAACTACAATGAGATATCATCTCACCTAAGTTAAAATGGCTTATATCCAAAGATAGGCAATAACAAATGCTGGCAAGGACGTGGAGAAAAGGCAACCCTTGTACACTGTTGGTAGGAATGTAAATTAGTACAATCACCGTGGAGAACAGTTTGGAGTTTCCTCAAAAAACTAAAAATAGAGCTACGATATGATCCAGCAATCCCACTGCTAGGTATATACCCAAAAGAAAGGAGATCAGTATATTGAAAAGATGTCTGCATTTCTACGTTTGTTGCAGCACTGTTTACAATACCTAAAATTTGAAAGCAACCTAAGCATCCATCAACAAATGAATGGATAAAGAAAATGTACATATACACAATGGAGTACTATTCAGCCGTAAAAAAGAATAATATCCTGTCATTTGCAACAACACGGATGGAACTGGAGGTCATTATGTTAAGTGAAATAAGCCAGGCACAGAAAGACAAACTTTTGCCTGTTCTCACTTATCTGTGGGATTTAAAAATAAAAACAATTGAACTCATGGAGATAGTAGAATGATGGTTACCAGAGACTGAAAAGGATAGTTTGGCAGTGGGGGTGAGGGGTAAGTGGGGATGGTTAATGGGTACAAAAATATAATTAGATAGAAGGAATAAAATTTAGTATTTGATAGCATGACAGAGTGACTACTATCAACAATAATTTATTGTACATTTAAAAATAACTAAAAGACTATAATTGGACTGTTTGAAACACAAAGAAGAATAAATGCTTGAGATGATGGATATCCTATTTACCCGGATGTGATTATTATGCATTGTATGTCTATATCAAAATATTTCATGTACACTATAACTATATAGATGTACGATGTACTCACAAAAATTTAAAACAAAACAAACAAATAAACATGAATTCAGTTTATTAGAATTCCCAAACATGAATAGAAGATCTAAGATAACTCTTTTTGCCATCCTGAGGAATTTGGTAAGGTTTTCTGGTAGATTTTCTACATAGAAAAAAATACGCTTTGAAGGAAAACAAGAGCCTTTATGACTTTAATAGAACAACCCTTTCCCAGAGTCTCTCAGAGGCTAACATAATCCTGTACACACAGATTAACCTGTGCCTATATTCCTGAAAAGACTGCAGTAAAGGCAAATTCAGGCCTCATTATAGGGTCATTTTACATTTCAAACTGCAGTTTTCTTTTTCTTTTTTTTTTTTTTGAGATGGAGTTTTGCTCTTGTTGCCCAGACTGGAGTGCAATGGTGCGATCTCGGCTCACCTCAACCTCTGCCTCCCGGGTTCAAGCAATTCTCCTGCCTCAACCTCCCAAGTAGCTGGGATTACAGCACGTGCCACCACGCCTGGCTAATATTGTATTTTTTAGTAGAGATGGGATTTCTCCATGTTGGTCAGGCTTGTCTCGAACTCTTGACCTCAGGTGATTCGCCCGCCTCTGCCTCCCAAAGCACTGGGATTACAGGCATGAGCCACCATGCCTGGCCTGCAGTTTTCTTTATAATCGAAAAGTCCATCTTTACAAACTAGCAGTAAGGCTCAAAAAACAACAACAACAACAACAATACCACACACATACACACCCCAAAATTATTGCTTAACAACAAACATCCTGATATCTACAGTTATTTTTCTTCCCTTTACTTAAAATTCTATTTTCTGACCAGTTGAAGAGTCCTCCTGTCCTAACTTGGTTCATTAAAAATATCAGTTTCTTTCCATGGCCTCCAAAATTTTTTTTTAATTTGAAAAATTTTTACCTCATTTCTGAAAGGACTGTCTCCTGAAAACATTCCCACTTCTGAGTGCTTCCTATTTTAGGAGAACAAAAGTTCCAGCTTTCAGTATCCTTAGAGCACACCACTCTCTGCCTCAGATGGACCCAAATTCTCACAAAAACAAAAGAGAGACATGGGATGAGACAACGAATTCTCACTTGGCCTCACTGCCAGACTTGTATACAATCCTCTCTGATGTCTTCTAGATCTTGGGCAGCTTGAACACTTTCTTTATTGTATATATTTAAGATGTACAGCACAATGTTTTGATATACACACATACAATAAAGTGATTACTATAGTCAAGTAAACTAACATATCTATCCTCTCACATA
Source organism: Homo sapiens (assembly GCF_000001405.40). Taxonomy (NCBI): domain Eukaryota; kingdom Metazoa; phylum Chordata; class Mammalia; order Primates; family Hominidae; genus Homo; species Homo sapiens. Next base: position 150,285,447 of record NC_000003.12, read on the forward strand.
CTTACTTTTGTGTGTGTGGTAAAAGCACCTAAAAATCTCTCTTAGCAAATTTCCAGTTTGTAATATTTTTAGCTGTCTTCCTCACGTTATTCATTAGATCTCTACACCAATTCATCCTATATAACTGCAACTTTGTCCCCTTTAACCTACATCTGCCCATTTCCCCCATCCTCCCACCCCAATCGCCATTATACTCTCCATTTCTATTTATTCAGTGTTTGAAAAGATTTCGTATATAAGTGAGATCATGCAGTATTTTTCTTCCTGTGGTCTGGTTTCCTCAAATGTCTTCAACACAAACTGTATATTTGCTAAATAATGCTTTGTGGTCCTGAGTCAAATATTATTAAAACTTGATATGTTGGGAATTCCAAGCCAAGAGGAGAAATACTTCTAGACCTCTCCACAAGCTGGTATGTCTTCAAATGGAATAAAAAATGTAAGTAAAAACTTATTTGAGGTCTATATGGAATGTATGATTTTCTTTGGAAAATAATCATTCAGACAATTACTTATGAAGAAATCTCTTCAATGCCATCTTTGCTAGTAACTGCTGGGCTATTTTCCATTCCCACCTCCAATATTAACATACCATGACATACAATTCTATAGAGCCAAAAAGATATTCAAAAGACCCCAAATAAAAGAACTTGAAAGTCAAAAGGGGACCAATTCTTACAGAATATTTTGATAATAAATGTAATTCCAGACACACAGACTCTTTAGGGACTTAAAGTCCTAAATCTCTAAGATTATAAATGAGAAAACTGCAACCTGAGATATTATGCCAATTGTCTAAAGTTTTTAGTGGCAAGAACCACTTATTTATTTCAACAAACATTTACTGAACATCTACTCTATAGCTGGCAAAAGAAGACATTTTGGAATAAAGAAATGCAAGACACAGTTCCTGCCCCCACCTCCGGTTGTTTACAGTCCACTGGGGATACCTACCTAGTGAGCAGAGACACAGAGTGATAGGCTCTTTGATAAAGGCAGTCACAAGGTGAGGCCCCAAACTCACAGAGCAAGAAACCAGAACAAACTTTCTGGAAGGGGTTTGTCCTGAGCTGAGTCTTGATGAAGGTGAAGGAGCTGCTTAGGAAAGAAAGAGATCAAGAGAAAAGGGCCTGGCTCTCTAGGTCTTTCCGCATTCACATTAGACTAGTCCGCTCTTAAAATGTTTTGGTTTTGAGTTTGGTTTTGTCCGTGAATTATTTTATCTCTAGGTCAGAACATAGTGTTAAAGGAGTGAAAGCCACACCAGACACCTTAAAATGTCTCACACTAACCACAAGGGGGAGTAGGTTAAAGATGGCTGAATTCAGGTAACTCACTCATCACCATCACTAAAATCCACCAGTAAGTAGCCTAGTGTTGCGGGGCATGGGCCGAACCTCCCTATAAAGGCAGCTTTGCTTACTGAGTTATTCATTTTATCAATCTGTGTACTTTTCAACAATCACTTTAACATGTAGGCAGAAAATAAGAAATATTCAGTAAAAATATGTAAAACAAATTTATTAATTCAAGTATTTATTGAGTTCCTATTATTTGCCATGTAGATATTACAATAATATTCTAATCATATATATAAGCCTTTGTAAAGAGGTTTACGGCTTTAATTTTTTCCTCATTTACTCATTTGTTGCTCTAAGCCTGAATTTGGAGGTGTTCAAAGACTAGAAAGACAGGCATAGACAAGGGTATGTCGATGTATAGAGAATGGGAGAAGGAGGGAGAAGGAATGGTTTGAAAGTATCTTCAGAACAGGCTGCATAAGTGACAAAAGTTTTCAAAAGTGGGGTTTGTGGATACCTTAAATTTGTGTGTAGTGCCACAGTTTGTAGAGTTGGGAAAAAAAAAAAAGAGTTGGAGGATGATGGTCAGAACTCACCATTTATTCATTCATGGTAGATGTGGGTTCTTCCCTTTCCTCTAGGCTCTAAACAATTGGTTATCTTTGGGACCACTGAAAGAAAGATCACATTTCTGATCAAAATTTAGGATACATGGTCTGCCACATATAAGTGTTTTTATAAGGAAAATGGGATAAACATTTAAAAGCAGGATTGTCACTTTTTTGTCCCTTTTCAACGTTAAAGATGTCAAAATAAGAACATCTTGGTGAGTCCTCTGGTGAGATCTCTCTCTCTCTCTCTCTCTCTCTCTTTCTCTCTCTCTCTCTCTTTCTCTTTTCCCCTCTTGGCTCCCAGGACTAAGAAAAGGATAGATCAAAGGGACAGTAAATACAGCCTATGCCTGGAAGACTTAATATCATAGCTGTTTTGTTGGGGATGGAATCTGGAGGTTGCAATAGAGTGAAAGGAAAAATGATCTAGGAGTTAAGACACAGGTAAAATTCTGGCTTTGCTGCTAAATATCTGGATGTGTTGGGCAAGTCATTTAGTCAACCTAGGCCTCAATTTCTCTATCTGTAGGAAATAATGATGGCTGAAATTTGTTAAACATGTATTATGAATCTATCAACAGTTCTTAGAGGCTTATTTGGAGGGGGATGAATAGATCAGTGGTTTTCAAACTTAACTTTATGCAAGGGAATCCTTTCGTAAAATGAAGTCTTGTATGGCTCCCCAATGCATAGCACAGATAAAAGTAGTATACCTCTTTCATAAGTTACTGTGTATGGCATTTCCTCATGAGACATTTGAAGATTATCATGATCTGTGATTTCTACCACATCAAGCCTTGATCTGTAACACATTTGAGTAGTAAGCCTTTTTTAACTTAGTTTTTCAAATAATAAAATAAATGTAATGAAATGCGTGTGGATCCCTAGAACACAGTTTAAAAGCCACTGAATGAGTTTATCTCTGAGGTCTCTTCTGAATCTGATGTTCTCCCCATCTGAGCCTGGCTCAGATGGCAAAAACTCCTGCCAAGAACACATACACACCCGTCACTTTTCTCCCCCATGAAGGAAGATGCCTCTTATATTTCCCAGCAGAAATCAATGCCTAATATTAAAAACATGTCAGTGTGACTAGTTCTAATTCAGTCTCTCCTTCAACAAGTTTTGGGGACAAAGGTATTGCTACATCTGTGACAGTTGTAACTGCTTTGGGATTCTACTTGGACTCACAGTGTGTATATCTGAATATTCCCAGAAGTATCTAGTCAAGCTCAATAAAATTTTGAATGTCAGCAGAACTGAAATCCAGTATATAAGAAACCTGAACTAATATCACATAGTGAATTTCAACAATGCTGCTTGGATGGTAAGAGAGGTTCTCATCACTCTTTACCTGTGTGACCCTGGCCACTTTTCATTTGGGACCTTGTTTCTTGAACTAGAGATCAACATTATTTCCTTTCCAGCTGAAGTATTCTTTGTTCTCTAGTTAGTTAACATCCTTCTGTGATCAGCTGTACTACCTGCATCTCCACCACTTCTCATTTACCAGCTGGGCTGTTTTCACGGACATACATTCGGTACAGATTTTCCACTGTGTAATTCTGGTGATTCTACATATGAATTAAATGTTTTATGTTTGCACTTAAAACTGGAATTGCATGATATGAGATGAATGGTAAAATTTACATTTTAATTTTTAAGCTCAGAACAACATTAAATAGCAAATAAAAGACATAAAATATTTATGTATGAATTTAACAAAATATCTATAAGATCTCATGGGTACAAGAAGAAAACTACAAAACTCTAATGAAAGAAATCAAAGTAGATCACTAATAAATGAAGAGATATTCCATGTTCATGGATAAGAAGACTCAGTGTTGTTAAAATATCAGTTCTTCCCAAGTTGATCTACAGATTCAATGCAATTTCAATAAAGTAGTCCAGAAAGTTACTTTGTGGTGACCAACAAACTGATTCTGAAGTTTACATAGGGAGGCAAAAGACCCAGAATAACCAACAAAATATTGAAGAAGAATAAAGTCAGAGGATTGACACTATACTTCTTCAAGAGTTACTACAAACTGCAGTAAGCAAGACAATGTGGTATTGGTGAAGGAATAGACAAATAGAGCACAGGAACAGAATAGAGAATCTGGAAAAAGACCTACACAGTATTGTCAACTGATCTTTGACAAAGCTAAGTTAATTCACTGGGGAAAGGATAATATTTTCAATAAATGATACTGGAACAATTAATCATCCACATGCAAAAAATGAATATAGAATCTAACCTTATACTACACAAAAATTAACTTAGAATGGATGACAAACCTAAATGTAAAACTATAAAACTTCTAGAAGACAACATTGATGTTGGATTTCATTACAATAAAACATGTCTGCTCTGTGAAAAATTTCATTAAGATGATGAAAAGATAAGGCACAGACTGAGAAAAAATATTTGCAAAGGACATATCTGAGGAAGGACTGTTACCCAGGATATACAAAGAACTCTTAAAACTCAACAACAAAAAACAAACAATCTAATTAGAAAGAGAGCAAAAGATCTGAACAGACACCTCTGCAAAGACGATATACAGCTGGCAAGTAAGCATATGAAAAAATGTTCCACATCATATGCTGTTACAAATTTGCAGATTAAAACAAAAATGAGATACCACCACATACCTATTAGAATGGCTAAAATCAAAATGAGTTAAAAACTTATGCCCACACACAAAAGAACTGCACATGAATGTTTACAGCAAATTTATTCACAGTTGTCAAAAATTGGAAGTAACCAAGATGTCTTTTGGTAGATGAATGAATAAACTGTGGCATATCCATACAATGAAATTTGGCAATAAAAATAAGCTATCAAGCCATAAAAAATCATGGAAGAGAAAGCTTAAATTCATATTGCTAAGTAAAAGAAGCTAGTCTGAAAAAGCTACATATTATGTAATTCCAACTATATGACACCTGAAAAGGCAAAACTATAGAGACAATTAAAAGATCAGTGGTTTCCAGGGATTGGGGGAAATAGTGGGGAAAGGATGCAAAAGCAAAGCACAAGGAATCTTCTTTTTTTTTCAACTTTTTTTTTTTTTTTTGAGTCAGGGTCTCCCTCTGTCACCCAGGCTGCAGTGCAGTGGTGCAATCTTGACTTACTGCAACCTCCACCTCCTGGGCTCAAGTGATCCTCCCAACTCAGCCTCAGTGGTAGCTGGGACTACAGGTGTGCCCACCATGCCCAGCTAAGGTTTTTGTACTTTTTTGTTGAGACGAGGTTTTGCCAGTGTTACCCAGGCTAGTCTCAAATTCCTGGACTCAAGTAATCCACCCTCTCAGCCTCCCAAAGTGGCAGGATTACAAGCGTGAGCCAACACGCCCAGCTCCAACTTTTATTTTAGACTCAGGAGGTACATGTGCAAGTTTGTTACCTGGTTATATTGCATGATGCTGAAGTTGGGTGTACAAATGATCCTGTCACCCAGATACAGAATAGTACCCAACTGTTAGTTTTTCAACCCCTCCTCAACTCTCTAATAGTCCCCAGTGTCTATTGTTGCCACCTTTATGTCCATGAGTTCTCGATGTTTTGCTCTCACTTATAAGTGAGAACATGTGGTATTCGGTTTTCTGTTCCTGCATTAATTTGCTTAGGATGATGGCCTCCAGCTCCATCCATGTTGCTGCAAAGACCACAGTTTTGTTCCTTTCTTTCTTTTTCTTTTTTTTTTTTTTCTTTGGAGACAGAGTCTCACTCTTGTCACCCAGGCTGGAGTGCAATGGCACGATCTCCGCTCACTGAAACCTCTGCCTCCCAGGTTCAAGTGATTTTCCTGCCTCAGCCTCCTGAATCGCTGGGATTACAGGCACCTGCCACCATGCCCAGCTAATTTTTTTTTTTTTTTGTATTTTTAGTTGAGATGGGGTTTCACCACGTTGGCCAGGCAATTTTGTTCTATTTCATGAGTGTGTAGTATTCCATGGTGTATATGTACCACATTTCCTTTATCCAACCCTTCATTGATGTGCATGTAGGTTGGTTCTATGTCTTTGCTATTGTGAATAGTGCTGCAGTGAACATGCAAGTATTAAGTGTCCCTTTGGTAGAATGATTTGTGTTCTTTTGGATATATACCCAGTAATGGGATTACTAGATCAAATGGTAGTTCTGTTTTAAGTTCTTTGAGAAATCTCCAAACTGCTTTCCATAGTGTCTGAACTAATTTACATTCCCACCAACAGTTTATAAGCTTTCCCTTTCTCTACAATCTCACCAACATCTGTTGTTTTTTGACATTTTAATAATAGTTATTCCCACTGGTATGGGATGGTATCTCATTGTGGTTTTGATCTGCATTTCTCTGATGATTAGTGATGATAAGCATTTTTTCATGTTTGTTAGTGACTTGTATGTCATCTTTTGACAAGTGTTTGTTCATGTCTTTTGCCCATTTTTTAATGGAGTTGTTTTTTGTTTGTTCAACTCTTTAAGTTCCTTAAAGACTCCAGGTACTAGATCTTTGTTGAATGCATAGTGTGTGAATATTTTCTCTCATTCTGCAGGTTGCCTGTTTACTCTGTTGATAGTTTCTTTTGCTGTACAGAAGCCCTTTAGTTTAACCAGGTCCCACTTGTCAATTTTTGTTTTTCTTGCAATTGCTTTTGAGGATGTAGTCATCAATTCTTTCCCAAAGCTATGTCCAGAATGGTGTTTCCAAAGTTTTCTTCTAAGATTTTTATAGTTTAAGGTCTTACAATTAAGTCTTTAATTCATCTTGAGTTAATTTTTGTATATGGTGAAAGATAGGGATCCAGTTTCATTTTTCTGCATATGATTAGCCAGTTATCAAAGGATATTTTTGATCAGAGAAAATATTCTGTATGATACTGTAATGGTAGATATATGACATTATGCATTTTTCAAAACATGTAGAACTAAACACATTAAGAGTGAACTCTAATATAAACTATGGATTTTAGTTAGTAACTATGTGTCTATATTGGTTTGTCAGGTATAACAAATGTACCACACTAAATGCAAGATGTTAACAATAGTGGAAACCTGGAGGGAGTAATATGAGAACTCCACTTTCCACTTTCTTATTTTTTCTTTTCTTTTTTTTTTTTGTAAATCTGAAATTGCTCTAAAAACTAAAGTCTAGTAATTAAATACAACACCACCATCACAAGCCGAGAGAGAGCACGAAAGAGAATAAAAAGCTTTTTTTAAGTACCTTTAACAGCACTTTTTTTTTTTTGCATTGCTTTCTGAACAAAGGGTCCCACATTTTCATTTTGCTGTGGGGCCAGAAAATTATGTAGCCCTGTTTATCACTTTGTATAAATAATAGCTAATGTTTATTTAGCACATATTATGCAACAGGTATTATGGTAAGTACTTTCACATGTTACTTCATTTAAAATTCACAACCCTGATATTTTATATATTTTATAATGATCTCTTTTACATATTTTAAAATATTTTATAATGATATAATTAACCCCATGATAATATTTTCATGCCTATTTACAAATAAGGAAATCAAGGTTTAGAGAAGTTGAGTGTGTTGATCGAAGTCACTTAGCTGGTAGGAGAAAGGGTCAGATTTGAACCCAACCATCTGATTCCCAGCTCCTAACCACCAGCTATAACCACCACCATGTTAGATTTCAAGCTCTCTGAGGTACTTCTTTAGCTATGCTACTGACCACTAAATATAAACCTCACTGACTACAATGCTCAGGCATGTGCCCAAAGGATAGCCCTGCGATTTTAATCATCCTGGGTGTAATGTAAAATATTCCCAGCCAGCAGATACTTTTAACAAAACCCCTCAAATTCTTTGGATGATGCAAGCTGCATAAATGCACAAGAGTTATACGAACATTATGAACAGTACTTCTTTAGAGACTTATAAATTACGAAGAATTAATTTTCTCTTAAAAATATGCACTATGTATGTATGGTTTTATAAAGCAGACCTGGGTAATCAATTTTGAACTGAGAAGGCACACACTAGATTTGAACATCAACAGCAAAAAATCAAAAATAATCCTCTTAAGCTTCTTTGGCTAAGTTCTTTGCCATACTTGTTCCTGCTTTCTTTCTGTCTTGCTCAGCACATAGCTATGGGGTTAAGCAAAGGAGACCTTTTCATCTGTGTGGGTTATGAGGCGCAGTTGTCTGTACAAAGTTTAGGGCTCTCTGCCAATTCCATAGGCCTCAGCTCTGCAGCACAGATGTATGCCTCAACTTACCAGATAAACTAGGCTCCAGTCTCTCTCATATTAACAACTGATCTTAAAAGGAATCTGAATGAACGTGTCTGCCAAAGTTGGCTCTGTACTTCTGACTGAAAACCACATCTAACTGAGTGGTTGAATCTGTCATGGAGGGACTCGGGTCTTGGGAGGTTTGAAGTACAGTAGGGGGTTTTAGTCCTGCTGTGACGAAGCTAGTTAGTCCATGCATCTCTTCTTCTTTGGCGCATGGTGGAAGCATGAGGGATATGTTATGATAAAAATCCCAATTATGCCTTCTACCATCTGTTAATAGCATGTGCTTGTGTACACGTTGCCAGGAAATATCGAGAACAAAGGAATGAGAGGCCCTCATTCCAGAGACATGGCTCTCAGCTCCCACTGAGGTTCACTGGTTTGGTTACAGATGTGTCGATGTCCTCAACACCCAGCCCCACATAACACGGAAGTGCACGGTCCTGGGCAAAGCTAGACTCATCCAGGTCTGTTTGGGAAGAGGGACCCAGTGGAATGCAACATTGATGTTTTTCTTATAATGTCTCAAAAATACAATTAAAATGGAGATAACCATTTAGCTCCCACATCATATGTGTACATGACACTGACTTACAAAGTCGTTTGAAAAATACAGATCTCCTTGAAAAAAAGGCACACATGGCATGCGTTAAATCAAGTTTTGTAAAACAATTAAAGTTTAAGCTTTTATTACGTTTTAAATATGTGAGTTGGAACCATTGTACTTTATCACATCAGGGGATTTTTTTTTCTTCAAGATGAGTGAGAATAACTATAATAGTCGTGAAACTATTGTAGAAATAAGCAACAACTTTGTATAGATAATTGGAACCCACAGATAAAGTAATATACTGAGCCATTGGTTTCTACCTCTTTCTAACTACATTAGTGTCAGAGTTAACAACTAATAAAAATTCTACTAGGCTGGGTGCTGTGGCTCACACCTGTAATCCTAGCACTCTGGGAAACCAAGGCGGGTGGACAACTTGAGCTCAGGAGTTCGAGACCAGCCTGAGTAAAATGGTAAGACCACGTCTCTGTGAAAAATACAAAAATTAGCTGGACTTGGTGGTGGGTGCCTGTAATCCCAGCTACTTGGAGTGTTGAAGCAAGAGGATCGCTTGAGGTTGAAGAGGTTGAAGCTACAGTGAGCAGGGATCACCCACTGCACTCCAGCCTGGGTGACAAAATGAGACCCCGTCTCAAAAAAAAAAAATTCTATTATATTTTTAAGATCTTTTTTATAATGTGATCCTAGAAAATAATCTGGACCTTAAAAGATGTGTTTAAAACATTACTAAACAAAATTTATTTAGTTTCAGAGTAATCTTCTAATGAAGACTCCTGATTCTGTTATTATAACACACAATCAGGGATCTCATCATACAGACTACATTCAGAAATTCCTTGGTAGAAGTTAGAAATGTGCCTGTGAGAGCAAGGATTCTTTATCTACATATAAAATAAAACAAAAGTGGAACCATATTTTTGTCCCCAAACATCCCTTTGATACTACCATTGAGGTTTCACAATTAGGACAGTTTTCTTCCAGCACCCTCACTAAACGACACCCCTCTACTCTCATCTTGCACAATTCCCTTCCTTCCTCTCCAGCAAACATTCCTCTATTTTCCTTTGCCAGGTGAGTCTTATGCTGCTGCACACCCACCCTGAGAGCTGGCTGCCCTTAAGAGGAAGTTCACTTAGAACATCTTGATTAAAATGAAATTTGTGCATTGTTTTCTAGTGTGGCCTGCACACCCTGGAGATGAAAAAATTGATGCTCAAAAAGTGAAATGACTATGACATGGCTTCTTAATATAGCTGCTAGGGATACAATTTCTGATCCCTATTTTAGTATTCCCTTTTCCTGCCTCTCTCTATTCATTTGTCTTTTGCTTCTCTACTCATTCCCTCTGTGACCCTAGCTGAACTCCTAGCTCCAATTTAATCATAATGGTTTCTCCTCAACCCTTTTCTCACAGGACTGCATGAGTTAAGAAGAGAAAGTCCTCCTCTTCCAAACTTTCTTCCTGTAAACCCTTCCTCTGTCATTCCTGTACACAAAATTTAAAAAGGTTAATACTTAGGTATGTTATTTTTAGTGGGTTGTTTAATTAAGAAAGCAATGCTTATAGAATACTTGAAAGATATAATGCATGAAACAACAGTTACCTGTAAATCTACAACCCAAAGATAACCACTGTGAAGACACTGATGTATTTTCTTTCTTATAATTTTCTATATAGAGCTATATGTTTTAGCATTTTGGGGACTGTACTGGAGCTATAGTTTTGCTACCAGATTTGTTTCTCATGTCACTAAAAATTATTGAAGAGCATAAATGTAATCAATGCCTTATAGTTTATCATACACTCTAAAGAATTTTGGACTACTGGCTAATCATTTTTAATTGACTCTGTCTTAATGGTGTGCTGCTGAACTGGCTCTCTTAAAAAAGAGCTCTGACTTACTGTATTTGCCAGATTCCATGGTATAAGTGCTCCTACCATGGCAAATTTCAACAATCGGCCCACAAAAATTCCTAAAAATGTAATCAGTTATTGTAAGCTGGTATGTACCGGTCCCAACAAACCACTGACTATCAAATATTATAAAGGTTACATATTTTGGCTCTCAAGCAGCCTACACCTAACTAGGGCCCTTGATAAACAAGGAAATGACCTTTAAACCCATAGTTACCTCCATTTTCACCATACTGTATTTCATCTAGCTGTGTTCCTAGTTGACAGCCTTCACTTCAGAGTGACTATCTCCAGTAATGACCTTTAGAGTGTATCATAATGGCAGACAACTTGGAATATGCTTAAATAGTTTTCTTTACATTCCTTACCCTGGTTGTTCAAAATCACTTTCCATAGTCTTGTGCTTCCTGCCTTTCATTGCTATTCAATCCTAACGGTTTCCAGATGTTTAACTTCCATTCAATTACAATTACATATGGTTTGAACATGGAAGAGGTCAGTTAATCTGAAATTAAAAAACAAAGTAAAACACTAACGTGTAACTGACTTTGCGGGTAGGCAGGATGAGCTTCCAAGCCATCTCTTCAGTGACTGCTGACAACTTGCTCCTTAAAGAAAAGTCCTAGAACTGTGACATAAAGATCAAACAAATAGCTTTTCTGAAAGTTTTATTACCTAGAATGGGATTCTGTAGGCCACCACCTTCAGAGTAAATGTGTCAAATTTGAATTTATAATATTTCATCCATCATCACATTATAATAACCCTTGGTCTTCTTAGCTAAGTAAAAAGTTAAGTAAAATTTTCAGATTCCATCTAAATTACATCTCTTGTTTCCCCACAAAGCTTAGTGCAGTGCTTACCTGTGGTGACAATTATCAGTACACATTTATTGAGTTAATGAAGACTGACATGGGCATAAAATGTATTGCAATAGAGTAAAGGCTGAATATTATGGGGCTACTGTATCACGAATAAAGCTAAGGAATTGAAAGGACCTGGGTTGAAATCCGAGCTCCTTATTTGCCAGCTGTGTGAACTTGAGTAAGTTATTTAATCTTTCTGAGCTTCCATTTCCTCACCCAAATATTTGCATAACAACATCTTCCTTTGTAGGGTGGTTGTAAGGTGTTTCAGTTATTTCTTGCTATGTAACAAACTACTCAAAACTTAATGCCTTAAAACAGCCATTTATTTTGCTTTTGCTAAATTGTTGATCAGGAATTTGGGAAGGACTCAGCTGGGTAATTTGTCTCTGTTCCACGTGGCATCAGTTGAGTTGGCTGGAGGTGGAAGGTTTGAGATGTATGGCATATTTATATACTTATATGTATTAGCTCCTTGATGCTTCCTGGCCTCTCCCTCTTATCCTCTAAGGGTGGGGGTTGCAGACTTTTCCTGTAAAGGTCCAGATAGTGAATATTTTAGGCTTCAAGGGTCTTATGATGTCTGTCACAGCTATTCAACTCTGCCATTGTAGCATGAAAGCAGCCACAGACAATAAGTAAGCAAATGAGTGTGACAGTTGCAATAAAATTTTATTTAAGTTTCATATACTTTTTACATATCGCAGACTGTTGTTATTCTTTTGGCTGCCCCTCCCTGCCATTCTTAGCTAGAAAGAATGTGATGAGCCAGATTTGGCCCATGGGCTATAGTTTACTGACCCTTATTCTTGGGCCTTTCCATATAGCTTGGGTTTCTCATGACATGGTGGTCCCAGAGTACTCACATTTCTTACACAGTAGCTAGGTCCCCATATCAAATATTCTGTGAGGCAGGAAGTGGAAGCAGGTAAAATCATAAGGCCTGAGTCTTGAAACTGGCATAATGTCACTTCTGCTGTATTCCCTTGATCAAAGCAGTCATAGGGCCCACCCTTATTGGATGGGGTGGAGAAATTGAGGGAGTGGAGATTGGACGGGTTGGAGAAAATCTCTTCTTGATGGGACGTTGGCTAGGTCACATTGCAAAGGAGCATGTGGAAAGGAGAGATTATTGTAGCTACAAATGCAACCTACCACATGAGGATTAGGAATAATATTTATAAAGTACCTGCTTCTCATGATATGCACCCAATGAATGATGACTCATATTGCTATTAATAGTGCCATTATTAACTTTAAGTGGGGAGCAATTGGCACTGAGATTCATATTGACCTTCTTAGAGGAAAAAGGTAGTGAAAAATTAGGCTTTTAAGAAATTCTCACTTGTGTTTCCCTCGTCTGCAGTAATGGGGCCCATAATAGTAACTGTTTTTGAGTTGTTTTAAGAAGTTTATTGAAATAAAATATGAAAAGTGCTCAACTAGAGCACACTTGGCATGAGCGTCAGAACTGTTCATTATTACTATTTTATGTCATGGTTTAGAAATAATGTATTGTTTTTGATTATCATAAGCTTTTCTAGGACTTCCAAAACCTAGAATCTAAAATGCATTGGCTGGGCATGGTGGCTCATGACTGTAATCCCAGCACTTTGGGAGGCCGAGGTGGGTGGATCACCTGAGGTCAGGAGTTCGACACCAGCCTGGCCAACATGGTGAAACCCCATCTCTACTAAAAATACAAAAATTAGCCAGGGGTGGTAGTGGGCACCTGTAATCCCAGCTACTTGGGAGGCTGAGGCAGGAGAATTATTTGAACCCAGGAGGCAGAGGTTGCAGTGAGCCCAAGATCATGCCACTGCTGCACTCTAGCCTGGGTGATAGAGCAAGACTCCATCTCAAAAAAAAAAAAAGCATCAAGATGCCACGTCACAGGATTTAATAACTTCAGAAATTTTATAACTGATACATTCAAGAGAAAAATGTTTTTAAAAATTGGAGCTTGCATTATTAAAAATTACATATATAACAATATAATAGATATAGGTAAATACATCCATTCATGTACACATCGAAGTCAAATTTTGAGGTAAATTTTCCATTGGAGTTACATTTTTAAACAACTAGCCAAATATGATATAATTATATTGACCACTATAGGAGCAATCACATAAGAAGAGAAACACTAAAACAGAAAAGAAACTGATTCAGAATTGTAAATAGGGTGCAAACTGGGGTTTTGTTGATTGATACTGGTTTCAACAGATGAGTTTCTAAAACAAGGCAGCAAATGGATAAAAGGATCAGGACACCAGTGAAAGCTCTAAACAACTGCAAATAAATTAGATTCCTGAGTAATAAATCTTGAATCTTGCTGTTTGATCACCCTTATCAGGCAGAAGCCTGAGAAAATAGAGGAGCTCTCCATCCTGCCCAGAAGGTCAAGGACACACTTGGCATCATCAGCTCCACATTCCTAAGGGGAGGACCCTCCACCGAGAATGCAAAGAATGGCTTCTTGGTCTGGATAAAACCACTGCTTCTGGGGCTGTATTTCCGCTGGCCCATGGCAAGGCAGCATGCAGCAGCTTAAGAATAACACACTTTGATGCTATTCAGCCATTTAACAGAATCTTTGCTGACATGGGAAAACAGCCCCCAATATGTTGTTAAGAGAAAAACAGGCTCAAAGCTGTAAATATAATGTGATACAATTTTTGTCAAGCAACATAAGATACATGAAAAAAACATTATAAGGCTTTGCCAAACATAATGGAAGCCACCCACGTGCGACAGGATTTGGGGTAACTTATTTTCCTGTTTCTTTTGAGTTTTTATTTGTTTTCCAAATTTTCTGCTATATGTGTTATTGCTAAAGTACGTAACAGTTATTTTAAGACATAACTGAAGTAGAAGGAAGGCAACAATAAAGTGATACTGAGAGTAAATAAAACATAATATATTTGTCAGTGCTTAGTAAACAAATCAGTGCCCTACCTCAGCACATAACATTTCAAAGTAACCACAACATGCTATGTTAAATATTTAATTTAAATTTTTATGTGAGGCTGAATTAGGAGGTATTATAAATATTAGGTATTGCTATACTTCATTAGCTAATCAAAATTTATCAAGAAAAATGCACATGAAATTGCTGTTGCCAACATATAGACTCATTTAAAAGTCTTTAAAAGAAATACTGTCATGTTAGAGACCATGACATTATCATGTCTGAATTATGGGGTCTATTCGAAGAGGTTGTGGTGGAATCAGGTGGCAAGGTGGGGGAAGGAAATCCATTCAAATCAACCAATATACAGTAATCTCCTGTTATCTGTGGGGAATATGTTCCAAGACCCTCAGTGGATACCGGAAACTGCAGATATAAATTCTATATGTACCATGTTTTTCATATACATTAATACCTATTATGAAGTTTAATTGATAAATTAGCCACAGTAAGAAATCAACAGTAATGAATAATAATGTAGAACAATTATAACAATATGCCAGCATCTCTACTCTTGCACTTTGAGGTCATTATTAAGAAGCATAAGAGTTACTTGAACACAAGCACTGCAATACCATAACAGTCCATCTGATCACCAACATGGCTACTAAGTGACCCACAGGCAGGTAGCATATCCAGTGTGGATATGGATGCCCTAGACAAAGGGATGATTCATGTCCCATGCAGGGCTGAGTGGAACGGTGAGAGATTTCATCACCACAAAACAATGGGCAATTTAAAATTTATAAATTGTTTATTTCTGGAATTCTCCATTTGATTTTTTTTTGTCCTCAATTGACGACAGGTAACAAACCACAAATAAGGGGGAACTACTGTATGTATTATGCTTTTCGGGGGAAAAAGCCATTGAGGATGGAATTTCTGAGCTTCCCTTAGGTTGTGTTGGCATGACGAAACCGCCCTTCCACAAGGCAGTCGCTACCTCCTTGATTTCTTTATCTCCAGTGCCTAGTGTGTGCTGCAAGGTATTGCCCAGTAAATATCTGTGCCATGAAGAAGGCCAAAGTCTTGCTTACAAGGTGGTGAATGTGCTAAAAGTAATCCCAAGGTCCATATTGGAGAAATACTACTTTGAATTAGAGTCTTGCCAACACAAAGCACACTCGCTTACTATTAAACTGATACGATTATCAGTATGATAAGAAATGATTATCATTTCCTTACACTTACTCTATACTTGCTTACTCACTAACTAGTCATCAGTCACAGGCTGTAAAGTCGGAAGGAAAAACAAACTGCTGCTTCCTGCTGTAAATTCTCTAACTACACTTGTGAAGTCTTTTCGTTTTGTCTCCTTTTACTTTTAGAGAGCCCCCTTTTTATTTTAGTCCAATCAACTAAAATAAGACAGGCTTTTGGTTTAGCCTAGTATTCCCTGAATTTATGGGAAAGAGAATGGCTTTGTGTCTAACTAGATCTGTATGCCAACTTGGGAATATCAGTTCTCAGAAAGCATTATTTCAGTCTCTTCGTATTTGATTTTGTTTGAATCTCCTGTGCTGCCTCACCTATATGGTTACTTAACAAGGGCTGTTCTGAACGCCCAGTTTGGTTGCTGAAGGTGATTGATAAGTGATACACTTTTGTCCTTATGGAGTTTGTCCGTCAAACTGTTTCCACATACTCTGTAAATTGGGAACTTGGCTTGTAAGTTCCAATCCCCATGAATCCTCAAGAACAAGGAACTGACCCTGTTGTTCCTATATTAAAAGCGAATCCAGGAAAGAAGGAAGCCTTCGTGTGCACTTGTCCATTTACCTCATTCCGGATGGAGAAG
Organism: Homo sapiens; assembly: GCF_000001405.40. Taxonomy (NCBI): domain Eukaryota; kingdom Metazoa; phylum Chordata; class Mammalia; order Primates; family Hominidae; genus Homo; species Homo sapiens. Next base: position 150,301,735 of record NC_000003.12, read on the forward strand.
CACATGCTGATCACTTGGGGTCCCTTCCAACTTTACCAAAATTTGCTGTTTATTCCTTTGTGCATTGTTTCAACAAATAGTTGTTAAGTGCTAACAATGTACAGAGCTATGCAGTAGGTTCTCCAGGGATATACGGTTGTAAAAGACATACCTCTAACCCTCAATAAATTTACATTACATGCCGATTTGCAATCTAGTTAGCTCAGGCAAATTCTCTTCCAAATAAATAATACACATAGGAACAATTCCACCCCAAGCCAGTGGCCTACCTATTTAAAAAATATTAGAAGCTGCCTAATTTCTGTGTGTTTTTTAAAAGATGTATCTGCAGAGTCACATACAGAAACATTCGAATTGTTAATTCCTAATTACGAGTTAAAGTTCCTGCTATTCTTCCTTAGGAGACTAGGTGTTGGGAACCTGAGGTCAGATTTTTAAAAAGGAAGCTTGACCCACATGGATGGTGTAACATGGCTTCACTACAGTAAATAGTAATTCATCAAAGTAACAGGTGAAATGATATAACACAGCTTCTAGGACATTCACAGACATAGGCTTTGTGTTTTTTATCCATACTCAGATTTTCCTTAACCAATTGAACATTCCAGTTCTTTCTTAGCTTCTTAATCCCTTAGCCTACTCTCCATGATATTTCTACTCTTCTGCTTAGTTCTCTGATATTTTTGGCAACACTGACTAATTTCCTTCAGAGACCATTGAAGGCTATTAAATGTCTGTGCCAGAAACTCCTCCAATGCACATGTCATCAAGGCATAGAGAGGTATATTTGCAGTGGACAGCCCCTCCACCCCCTCAAACAAAAGGAGAAAGTCCTCTAACAAACCAAAATATTGGTGGCTGATAATCTCAGCCCAATTTTTTCATCATCTGGGTTTTTTTTTTTTTCCTGTTCTCTTAATTAGATGGAGCCACACACTATGGCATGTTGTAAAAGAGTTTCTGAAGGGCAGAATTTGTGGCAGAGAGAGAGAGTTCCAAACTGGAAGACTCAAGAAATAAACAAAGATACCACAAATGAGAACAGATAAAATGTTCACATTCTAAATCTTTTTTTGAAAGAAAGAAACAATCCTCAGAAGTAAAAATAATTATCATTAGTGGCAAAAAGCAAAACATACACACACAACAGATAAAGGAGATTAGACACTAAAACTGGGAGCAAAAAGGCAGTGGAAATAAGTGCAAAAGTACACATAGAAAATGTTGTAGTAAAGAGAATGAAATAAGAAAGGCATCAGATTGAACCAAAAGAAAGGCAGTGAAAGGAGGATTATAAAAAACTAGAAACAGAAGTCAGAAACAAAAGGGAATTGAAAACTTCAAAATATAGGCACTTAGAAGATGAAAGGATAACTGGAAGAAATGTAAAGACGGGGAGTGGTTCAATGGGGTCTAAAATAATTCTTAATCTCACCTCCCCATCATATATAAAAAGAAAAAATAATATTTTGCATAGAATAATACTTGCAGTGGAAGTTTCAGAGTTACACCTGTTATATGTTTGCATACTCACTGAGCTACTTCTTTCCTTAATTGAAGTTTCACAGAAAAATTATTCCTCCTGAAGAAATCTTTGACAAGAGATTATGGCAGTATCTACCGTTTACATCAGGAAAATTATGCTACTTTTGGGAAAACCAAGGATTCTCTATTTTGGGGGGTGGGGTGGGGAAAAATCTCACCACGGCTGCCTGGAATGAGACAAAAAAATAAATTGCTTTTACTAGGGTTCAGCACATGCTAATCCCACCATCAATTTAGTTAGTCTGTCTTTCTGTAGCAACATTCACTCTGAGGCATCTGCATAGGGTCTTGGTGTCATCAGTGTAACTAGGGTTGGTATTACCAGTTGTTGTCTGGATACGCCCTGTATGTCTGTAAGGTCTGAAGCTAGTGGGACAGGACAAACTCTATAGTTTAGGTTAGGACATCAGAAGAGTACGGAAGGCAATCATTGGCATGCATGGGACACTAAGGGAAATGCTTCTTTAGATAAATGTCTTCCTTCTCTCCCACTCATTTCAACTTCACCCATTCTACACACTAAAACGCAGGGTACTGCTGCAGTTCAAATCTACCCACAAGATGAATAACTGGAATGCATAATCATTGAGTAAAACCAATCATGCCACATTTGGGGACGCTGTAGCCTCAGTTTAAGGTTCATACTCAAAGTTTTGATGATGCCAGCATAGGTCTTGTGACTGCATGGTAAATGGTGGCCTCTGGGGGCAGCAGAATGGCCAGGATGTTAGGCTTCACTAGTTCAAGCTTTAGGTTGTTTTCCACTATGGAAATGGGAGGCTTATGGGAAATCCCTAAGGCTCTGGCCAACAGCAGGGCTTAATAAAATTTGGCTAGTGAAATTAATAAATGAATATATGATTTTTATATCTTCTCCCGAAGCATCAGCTAATTGCAGTCAGCTCCCTCATCTCCTGACCACCCCCAGTCCACTACAGTAGAGTCAGCACATGCAATAATCTAAAGACAGTAATATTTTTACTTGCTACTCCTGCATTTATCACTTTCTCTTACCATTTGATAAAATCATTCTATATGAAGTATGAGGGACTTATGTGTGTCCTTCATGTATCTTTTTTTAAAGCAGTTTTAAGTTCATAGGAATATTCAGCAAAAGATACAGAGCGTTCTCATATGCCCCCCACACATGAACAGCCTCCCCGACTATCAAAATCCTGCACCACGGTGGCACATTTGTTATAATCAATGAACCTCCATTGGCACATCATTACTACCCAAAGTCTACCATTTACACTAGGGTTCACTCTTGGTACTGTACAGTCTATGGGTTTTAACAAGTGTATAATGGTATGTATACACTGCTATAGCATCATACAGAATAATCTCACTGCCTTAAAAACCCTCTGTGCTCTGCCTATTCATCACTTCCTCCTCCTAACCCCTGGCAACCACTGATCATTTTACCGTCTCCATCATTTTGCCTTTTCAAACAAGTGACATAGATGGAATCGTACAATATGTAGACTTTTCAGATTGGCTTCCTTCACTTAATAATATGCACTAATGTTCCTCCATGTCTTTTCATGGCTTGATAGCTCATTTCCTTTTAGTACTGAATACTATTTCATTGCCTGGATGTACCACAGTTAAATTTTCTGTTTGCCTACTGAAGGACATCTTGGTGGCTTCCAAGTTTGGGCAATTATAAATAAAACCTGTATAAATTTTAACTTCTTTGGGTAAATACCAAGGGGTGCAATTCCTAGATCTATGGTAAAAATGTTTGGTTCTGTAAGAAACTGCCAGACTGTCCAAAGCAGCTGTATCATTTTGCATTCCCAGCAGCAATGCATGAGAGTTCCTGTTGTTCCACATCCTTTCCAGCATTTGGTGTTGTCAGTGTTCTGGATTTTGGCTGTTGTGATAGGTGTGTAATAGTGTTGTTGTTTTTATTTGCAATTCCCTAGTGACATATGATGTTGAGCATTTTCTCATATGCTTATTTTCCATCTGTACCTCTTCCTCGGTGAGGTGTCTGTCCATGTCTTTTACCCATTTTTTTATTCATATTGTTTTCTTATTGTTGAGTTTTAAGAGTTCTTTGTATATTTTGGATAACTGTTATAGATTTTTCTCAGATATGTCTTTTGCAAATATTTTCTCCCAGACTGTGTCTTGTCTTATCATCCTCTTGATCTTCATGTATCTTCAAATGGGAGCAACAGAAGAGACTGCTTAATCCAAAGCAGGGTTTCTAAACCTCAGTCTGCACTATGGGCACTTTGGGCTCGATAATTTCTTTGTTGTGGGGGACTGTTCTGGGCATCGTAGCATGTTTAGCAGCATCCCTGTTCTCTATCCATTAGATGCCAGGGACAGCCCCCCTCCCAGTTGTGACAATGAAAAATATTATTAGGCAAATATCCCCTGGTGGCAAAATTATCCCTGGTTGACAATTTCTAATCCAAAGGAATGAATCTGTAATGGTGAAATTTAAGACATCAGTAAGGAAAGGGAGGTGCAGAAATATTTTGGCTCAACATCCTTTCCAGTCTACCAGCAATTGCAATGGTAGATTTGAAATAATCTGAGCCCGTTAGGTATGGTGATTATGCATTCTAATTTGTCTAGTATGTATTTACACCTATAGTCCTGGCAAAATTATTCATTGTGCCTTCTTTTTCTCTCAATTTTTCATTTATGATCTCAGTTTAGATCATAAATGAAAAGTCCATCTGGAACCTCTAAGAACTGTAATTTGAATTTGTGCTCCCTTTCATGGTCCTCTGGACTGGGGTGTCTGAGATAGTAAGCAGTTGATGGGTGTAGCCACAGATCTGGTCATTCGTATGCTTTATATTCATGTGCAGTTCCGTGGAGCAATGGAGAATCAGAAACTTCCAGAAAGTCTTGGCTGTATATTTTACATGGCACTAGAGTAAAAGACAAAAGAAAGAAGAGTGCATCAAAGCATTTTGTGTGTGTCTGATTTAATGAGTACTCATCAATGCCTAGATTCTGATTTCCTTCCTTGTGTATGAGCAGCAAATTCACCATGGTGTAACTCTACACAGTGTGAAGGAACAATTACTGTGTGATTTTAGCAGCTGTTGAAATCTGTAACATTAGACTATGTACATTTTTCTCCCGTTTATATCAGAATATAACATAGGTCAGAGGCAGGACAGGAATAAAGCAAGTGGCTCAAAAAGTTCTTGTGTATTAATTTCAGGTATATTTATTTGCAGGAATTGCCCTCTTTTAATTTTTATTTTTGGAGTGCAAAAATCAGACAATAACATTACAAAATGCTCTTAAACATTAGCACTTTTTTCGTAAATAACTGAGAGCTATTATTATTGCTAAACTCAGGATTGCTACTATAGCCAAACATAAACCCTGACTTTTTGACAGCCAAAGCAAAGAATAAAATAAGAATGAAAAACTAGTCACTCATCTGTGTTTATGATATTAAAGTTAAAGGAAGCCTGTTAGTTAATCAGGAGGGCACATTTCTGTTTTTCTAGCTTGAGTAATCTAACATTACTTTAACAAAGGCTTATTTACTAGACGGGACATTAAAAGGAAAAATGAGCAGTATCTTTAAAAGTAGTTTTACAAAAATTGCAGAAATATCTTCCTGTAGATACAGTAAATTCTTATATTGTTCCCAATAAGCACCAAGAGCAGTGTGCAAAAGCCTAGTGATCACAGGTAATGGGACCGAGTAGTGACTACGTCCAGCACTACAATAAGTGCTTTGCCTGCTTTGACTCATTTGATATTTACAAATAACTTATGATGTAAAGGTAGGATTCAAATGCAGGAAGTATGCTCTGGAGCCCATGTCTTGGGCATTGCTACTAGATGCTAAGGTGACCTATGGAATTCAAATGCGTCACTTCCTGGTGCTGGGACTTGCTGCAGGGTCAGAAATTATTGATGCTAGAGAAGTAAATTGTTAGCACACACTACAGATTCTTTTTCTAGATTCTAGAATTTCGATGCTCTCAAATACTTTTGTGAGAGTAGGCGCTAGCTGAAAATTCAAGGGTAAACTTTCTGGTATTCACCTAAATTGCGTGTTTAATTGGATTTTCAATTTAGAGTCAGAAGGCATTGGTTCTGACTTTGGAAGACTTCTAGAGGCTCTTGAAGAGGGGCGTGTGTGTCAAGAAGGCTGTTTGGACATCACACAGCTCTTATGAAAGAGGGCTTTCCTAAATTAAGTGTAAATGAGGTAGAAACATAAGGATTACATTTCTTTTGAAAGCAAGGATTTAAAAAAGCAGAACAATTAGTGCGGGAAGGGATATATGCTACCCCATATGACTGGGTCATGTCCCACTCCCGAGACAAAGTCTATTTGAGTTCTCTTTTAGCTGTGGCAGAGGGAAGGCCTGCCAGGCTAAGTGAAATTCCAGGACACAAAGCTGATGAAAGTAGCAAAAGAGAATCATGAGCAATAAAATGAAATTGTAAAAATTTGGTAGGAAGCCTTAAGTGTCGTTAGATATCTACCTGCTATGAATGGAGTAAAGCTATATAAATTGTGGGTGTGGGAACAGCCCTCTGGTTTCTGGCTGTTTTGGTGGTTGAATGCCAACTCTGAGAAAAGCAGGCTAAGGTGGAAAGGGCAACTCTCCTCCTTAAATATCCCAAATCCTCTTCCTTTGCTGTAGCACATGGAAAAATGTTCACATTATGCTGAACTACTTTTCTGTTTATCCTCCAAATTAGCTGTGAATTCTTTCCTTCCAACTTTAAGTCTTCCTAGGCCTCTCAGTTCCGCTTGTCTTCTTGGATTAGATTCTCTTCAAGGCCAGGACCCCTGGAATCTTAGCTTTATTTCCGAGGTAATTTCTGCCGGAAGGCAAAGTTTGGCACGTCAGCTTTTAATATACGCTGTGGCAGTTGGTGGAGGCAGGGAGGAGGGAAAGGGAGAGGAAGAAGAACACAATTCTGCTAGCCTTGGAAATTCAACTGGAACTTATGTTAGTTACATTTTTGAAACTTATTTATTATCCAGACATATGACAAACTCCAGTGAAGCACTAAGACTTCATACAGTAAACTTTGGAAGACGACCAAAACTCAAAAAACCCTCTTCAGCAGCAGGGACTCCAGAATGTTCCCCTGAGACTTTGAGGCTTTTTCAGGTAGGTGGTAATTGAAGAACATAAAGAGGGTCAATATGGGATGTGAGCACTGGAGTTCTCTCTCGTGTTCCTAGAGCCTCAGAATGTAGACTTGGGCTGGTAGAGGAACGGCAGTGGCGAGAGCCTGGCGAAGGCTTGGCAAGGACATGAGACTCCCAAGGAGACCTTGAATTCCTAAACAATGAATGGTCTGAGGTTAAAGATAGGATTTATAAGGGAAAGAAATGGAGCGCTAAATCAGGCTTGTCAAAGCTGAGTCCCACCCAGGGGCAGCACCCAGGTTGCATCTCAGCTGTCATCAAAGTAGGATCTAATCAGTGGGGCAAGGTCAGCAAGGATTTGGTGAGGAGGACGTGGAAGCCTCCCGTGGATTGCATTCAGGCCGGCATACTCACCAAGGCAGATGACGTGCATGAGATCTTGGTGACATTTGCTCAGGTGAAAAGTGCAGGGTGTGGTGTTATCTACGCTTTGTTTGGCTGGGCAGTCATAATTCTTCCGACATTACAGGAGCTTGAGTGTCAGATAGCTTGGTTAGGAAAGCTAGGGGATGCAGCTGCCCTGTGTTTGGGAATGTCTTTAAGGGTCATTCTAACTGCTATTGAAATATAGGACCGGGAAAATGTTCATTTGTACCCATTGTACAGTCAGTTAAGCATCAGAAACAGGATTATTCTGAGTAAAAATTAAAGCCTCATGACTAACCTATGGTAGATCTCTGATGACTAAATTTTTTTCCCTTCCATTATTTAGAGAAGTTTTTTGTTTGTTTACATATATTAAATTAACTTTTGGGGGGGGGTGTACAATTGTGAACGTCTTAAATGCATAGTCATGTAACCATCACCACAATTAAGACACAGAACAATTCTCTCACCCCATGTCCCTGATGCTTCCCCTTTGGAGTCAAATTCTTCACCCACCCCCAACCCCTGGCAACTCCATCCTATAGTTTTATCTCCTCCAGAATGTCATATAAATTTAATTTTATATTATGTAACCTTTTGAATCTGGCTTCTTTCACTTAGCATAATACATCTGAAAATAATCAATATTGTTGTACATACTGTTGAGTCCTTCCTTATTGAATAGTATTCCATTGTATGAATGGATCATGGTTTGCTTATCCATCCACCCATTGAAGGCCATCTTAATAGTTTTCAGTTGTTGGCAATTATGAATAATGTTGCTATAAACATTTGGATACAGATGTTTGTGTGAACTTGAATTCTCATTTCTCTAGGGTAAGCACCTAGGAGTATAACTGCTGAGTCATCTGATTTGTGTATGTTTAATTTCGTAGGAAATTGCCAAACTGTTTTTCAGAGTGCCTGTACCATTTTGCATTCCTACCAGCATTCCATACATTCCCAATGTATGAAAACCCAGTTGCTCCATATCCTTGTCAGCACTTGAAAATGTCAATTTTGTTTTTATTTTTAGCCATTTTAATAAGCGTGTAGTAGTATCTCATTGTGGTTTTAACTTACATTTCCCTAGTGACTAATATACTCCAGTACTGTTTCATGTACTAATTTGCTGTCCGTATATCATTTTTTTGTGAAGCATATGTTTAAATATTTTGCTCAGTTGTATTGGGTTGTTTGTTTCCTTTTTTTTTTTTTTTTTTTTTTTTGGGACAGGGTCTTGTCACCTAGGTTGGAGTGCAGCGGTGTGATCTCAGCTCACTGCAACCTCTGCCTCCCAGGTTCATTCTCATGCTTCAGCCTCCCGAGTAGCTGGGATTACAGGCCACAGTGCCCAGCTAATTTTTGTATTTTTAGTAGAGACAGGGTTTCACCATGTTGTCCAGGCTCATCTCGAGCTCCTGGCCTCAAGTGATTCGCCTGTCTCAGCCCCACAAAGTGCCGGGATTACAGGCATGAGCCACCGTACTTGGCCATTTTTTGTTGTTGTTGTTGTTGTTGAATTTTAAGAATTCTCTATATATCCTGGATACAAGCTCTTTATGAATATATGATTTCTGAAAATGTTGTCTTAGTCTGTAGCTTGTCTTTTCATTCTCTTTAGAGTGTCTTTTACAGAGCAAAGTTTTTAATTTTCATGAAGACCAGTATATCCATTTTTTCTTTTGTGGATCATGCTTTTGGTGTTTTATCTACGAACTCTTTGCCTAGCCCAAGTTCATGAATATTTTCTCCTATGTTTTCTTCTAAAAGTTGTATAGTTTTACTTTCTACATTTTGATCTGTGACCCATTTTGAGTTAAAACATTTTTTCAAACTTTTTGATGGTTACTTGTTAATTGAAACCACCATGCCCATTTACGTTTGGTCCTTGGTGTATAAACTTAGAGCTACAAGATATTTTTATCAGAGGTATATCCAGCATTTGACGTTCTTTAATCAATCAACAAATATTTATTAGCCATGGCATTTCACTTTCATTACTACATTCTGAGCACTTTAGAACAATCCTGGTTGGACGTCCTGTACTCCCAGCTCACATCCCTGGATTTCATAGTCCTCACAATTATTTCCATGGAACCAAAGTTACTTTCATTAGCTCCTACTGACAGATATATAGTCAAGGAGTTTGGAGTCCAAAGAGGGGAGTAAACTGTCTTGTATCTATTCCCAGGAAAATTCAACTGATTTTCCTCCTCGACAAAAAAAGACTTCATGTACACAAGCAAAGTGAAGAACAAAATGAAAATAATTGGTTGGATAATTGAAACTTCAAAAGTTCTGCCAATCCTCTTCATCTTGACTTCATGGATATTAGAGTTTTACATAGAGCTGAAAGCAGCTTAGAGGTCACCTTGTCTTAGTCCTTCATTCGACCACTTAATCAAGTCAACAAATATTATTATTGAGACCTCCTGTGAACCAGAGGCTTAGTATATGCCAGATGAGAAAATCAAAGTTCAGCAAAATGAGGGCAGCTGCCCACAGCCCCAGGCTTATCCAGAGGGCCCTGAAGTCATGGTTCTAGAATTTCTGAATTTCTGCCTCCAGCAGCCTCTCCACATGTCTCCAGAGCCTCCAAAGTTCATAGCTTCCTGGTCTCTTCTCTCCATGAAGCAGTCCCAGCCCCATTACTGATTGTAGGACATGTGTGTCTTTCAGTTCCAAAAAGTAAACTATAGTTTTCAGGAAAGTGGATTTGGGAAAAGAAGCTGGTTTAGGAAATGAGTTTTAAAAGTTTTGAAAGGGAGAATTGTGATTTGGAGGAGGAGGTAACTAGAAGGGCCAGGGGGTGAGGTCTGGAAAGGGAGATTAAAGAAGAGAGGCTATGATTTAGGGACTTTTTCAGAGGAGGGTCTAGAGTTATTGAGTGGGGAATAGAAGAAAGAAGGCTGTGGTTTGGAATAAGGGGATCAAAAGAAAAATTAGAACAAAGAAAAGTAGTTTGAAGAAATGATCTCTGGATTCGGGCCACAATTTACTTGTCTTGGACTCTAGGTCACATATAAAATACATACATTTCAAAAATGTACCCAAAAGAACAAAAATACAGTTTTGAATATTATACAGTGAGTATTTTTAAACAATAAATCTGAATGTTTCCTTCTTTGAAATAAATATTTAGGTAACATTCTGATGCATTGATTGTGTAAGATTGCCCAGAGTTTAGAGTTTTTTCTCTTCTGATTGTGGCAGGGTGAAAATCCTGCCTTTTTCAAGATAGCCCTGAGCACAGCAGTGCACATGTGAGACCTGGAATCCTCCCTGTAAAATAACTGCCCAACCTGACACATGCAGGTGGCAGCTGAACCTTGTTTGTACAGGGAATGTGGGGGCAATGCCTGCTCTTAGATTAAGAAACTACCAAACAGAAACCCAGAAATGGATCCACTTCAGAGACTGCAAAAAGAGCAAGCTGGCCAAGAGCAAGCTAGTCCTCAAAGAGTGTAAAAGGTTTTTGAGAGCTAAGCCAGAGTGAAGCCCTAGAAAGACTTCCACATTCATTGGTAGAGAAGAAAATATTTGAAACTTCATTCACTCAAGTGGGTACTCCTGTGTATTTATTTAAGATGCCTATGGGTAAATAAATGTTTTTAGCAGCATTATTCATAATAGCCAGAAGGGGGAAACAACTCAAATGTCCATCAGCTGATGAACAGATCAACAAAATGTGGTATATCCATACAATGAAACATAATTTGACCATCAAAAGGAACGAAGTTCTGATATGTGCTACAACATGGATGAACCTTGAAAACATTATGCTAAGTGAAAGAAGCCAGACACAAAAGGCCACATATTGTATGATTCCATTTATAATAAAATGTCCAGAATAGGCAAATCAGTAGAGTCAGAAAGTAGATTAGTGCTTGCCAGGGTCTAGGGAGAGAAGATAGACTGTTAATGAGTATGAAATTTCTTTTGGGGATGATAAAAAATATTCTGGAACTAGATAGTGGTGATGGTTGCTCTGATTGTGCACTTTTAAAATACAAACAACAAAAAAAAGATACCCATGGATATATATCTCTTTCTATAGTTAAAACAAACCCTGTTAGTTCTGTAGCTGGCACTTTCCCTGCACAGGTACAGATGGTGTCGCCGGGCTCCTATCTCCACCTTACCCTCCAACCAGACAGGAGCAGGTAATGTCTCCCAGCTCCACACTTTTAAGCTAATACATCCACTGATATCCCCCTCCCCTTTCCTGCCTCTCACAGTCCTTGATCCTCTTGAATGCCACCCACTCCAGGAAATATTTTCCTCCTGTAAGTCTCCTCTGTATGCTCAGACTTTCTGTAGACACTTCTCCCACAACCCACGGCTAACTTCTTCCAATATTATGGGATTTGTGACCTATGCAACCCTTACTTTGCCTTGCCTTGGAAGCCAATTGAGTCACAACACTTGTATTTTCCATGCTAGTGCATAGCCTGGCACATGATAGGAACTGAATAGAGTGGATTCAAGTGGGCATAAAAAGCCACACTAGTCCTGGCCCAACTCACCTTCTCTACTGTTTCCGATTATAGGCGGATCCTTGTTTCTGTCCCTCAACCCCTTACAGTTTCAATCCCCACAGGAGCAGTGTGGGGTCTCAGCACCAACTACATCCCTCACTCTACCCAAGGCTCCCTCAGCCTCTTGGAGCACATAAAACTCCTTCTGATAGATACTCAAGTTCTATGGCTAACTCTGAAAATAATGAAACCTCTTTCATTCTGTTCTTTGAGCACTAACACTAGGCCATGCACCCGGCTGCAGAGCATCATTCCCCTTTTCTCACATGCCTCACCATCCACTGGTCCCCATCACAGCCAAGGCACTTATGAATGACAGAAAGCAGCAAGGCTTGTTGGAGAGGGAGAAGGGGTGAGGTTAGAGGCAGGAGCAGCAGAATCCCTGCAGCAGATCCAGCTCACCAGGCCTGATAGAGATGTCAATGGGCAAGAGGCCGTCTCTGCTACACGCATATCCCTATTTTGTGGGCAAGGGCGTTCCATCACCATAGTTTACTTTTCTCATTTATTGGTTCCAACCTGGATTAAAAAGCTAAACCAAAGGGTGTGTAAATAATTTTATCCTAATTTACAAAGTTTGAATTTACATTTCCCTTGTTATGGAGGCAAATTATTGAAAACTGAATCAGATATGGAGGGCAAGGGAGCACTCTATTAAAAATAACCACGTGGCGAATCTATTTGTAAAATGAATGGTCACATCATAGTTTACTTGTTTTTAAGTTGAGGATTTTTGTGCACTGGGTTGTCTTCTAAAGAGGTAAAAATTTTTGTTAGAGATATGAGGTAGTCTTTGAAAAATAGCTCTTTTCTTATTACAAAAGAAACAGATGTTCGTATAGCATAAGTGTTTTAAAACACAAAAGAAAATACTTGTAAGAATCTGTTATGCCTCAGTCATGGAAACCACTCAAATGATATCTGAATGAAGAATAAAATGAAAGAGAAACCCCCCATATTCCACCATCTAGAGGTAACCACTGTTAACTTGGCGGTATCTATCCTTCTAATATTTTTCTGTGCATATTTCAAGTGTACTGCTGTTTTATATGCTGTTGTTTTCACTTGACAAGGTGTCATAAACATTTTCCAGATCACTAGCTGGCTGCAAGGTACTCCCTGCTCAGCTGGATCAAATCTAACTGTATCTCAAATGCTGACCCACAGGCGTCCTAGCCAAAAGAATGGGAGGGAGCATTCTGAATTAAGCCCCTTTAAATGGATTGAAAATTACACTACATTAACACTTTTTTGTCCCACCCAAAAGTATTAAGCTGTCAGAGAAAAATTCACAGCCCTAGCAAAAGGACTGCTAGAGCCAGGCTGTGAACACAGTCCCAGCAGCAGGGCGTGTAGCCTGTCACCTGTCACCTGCCCTGCTCTACCTGTTGGGTGACCTAGCTTTTTCTTTTTTTTTTTTTCCTTTGCTTTGCTGTTTTTTTTTTAGACTCAGAAGTTCCTTTAAGCCTCTGGCCGTTGGAGGAGCTGATGGCAGCTTGACTGGGCCTCTGCCAACCATGAGGAAAGAAAAAGTCCCATTCATATTGTCCCTTATCACTGGGGGCTGAACCCCATAGATAAATACTGGTTTCCTCCCTCACTATGTGTCACGGATTACATACTCACAGTGTTTCAACTGAACTCTGTGATTGAGAGGGGACAGTTCTTTCCCAGAAGCACTAAATCTGCTTTGGGGGTCCCGCAAGGGGGCTCAAAGACTGCAGTATGCCAAGCAGGCTGCTGGGTCCAGTCTTTCATGTTATTCTGTTACTAGGTATATACAGTTTAATGTGTATACCATATGCACAGGAGGCATGCAACTCAAAGCTATCTTTCCAGGGTGATGTTCAGAAATAGTTTATATTCATGGATAAAGAGAAGAAAAAGAAGCTACAATAAATAAGTGGATCTAGCCTGCTCCTTGAGTATATTAAGGGTTACGATTTCCTTAGGTTTGGTTAGGTTTTCCTTATGGGAGCCAAACATCTTGGTTACTGCCATTACTAGCGATGTGACCATGGGCAAGCTCCTTAACTTCTTTATCACTCAGGTTCCTCAACTTTATAATAAGGATAATAACTACTAGTCTATATTTCAAAGTGGATGTTTTCCGTATTGAATTATGCAATGTGTACAAACACTCAGCACAGTAGTTAGCCATAAGCACTCCATGAATGTTAACTATTATTATTGTCATTGTAATTGAGCTCTTTGTTTTCTTATAATGGTAAATTATGGGTGTCTTATGATTTGGGATTTCACCTCAGGACATATATCTTCTAGAGAAAAACACATAGACTATATTCAGTTAACCAGGGGATCATCCTACAGACAGGTGAGAAGGCATAGACTAGTTTCTGTGACATAAACTAGAAGAGAATTAATGAGGTGGTTGAGACCAGTCCAATGTTATTTGTAAACTGACCCAGTTTAGCAGTTTAATAAGAGGCTTGATTCTGAGGCTTAAATGAAATTTAAGAACTACTTGTGGCTTTGCTTTACCAACCCAGTTTTTGTTGCCCCAGTAACTCAGAATGTCTTGCTCCAGAGCTGCTGCCAGCCTCAGAGAATGTGGCAAATAGTCGTTGCTGACATGCATATCCTCCCCTCTCCTCTTTCTAGCACACACATCTTATGCTGCCCACCCACCTGATGCTCTGTTCTTACCAGTCCTACCAGTTCTCATTTTGCCTGAGAACTTCAGGGACTCAACAGCTGGGCCCAGGCTGAATTTGATATTACTGTGACTTGGCAACTTCATGTTAGTAGATCCAAACTCCCCATGCAGTCAAGGGCAGGGATGGTCCTAGATTCTGATGGTTTTAGAGCTGCCAGAAGGAGCATGAGAACTGTGGTCCATACTCATCCTGCCCTCACTTTCCTTCTGAGTGAATCCAAAGTCACAGAAAGCAAAGCAAAAATAATTCTCCTTGTTAAATACTGATCTAATTTATTAGAGCCCATCCAGAATATACCTGCCAACTGTCAGAGTCAGGAATTATTTAGTGGAATTTTAGAATCCCTAACAAGAGCTAGTCTCTCATTCTCTCCTAAAATTTACATTCCTGCCATCGCCAGAAATAAAAAAAAAAACAACACACAAAAAAAGCCATAGCCAAGCATGGTGGTGTGTGCCTGTAAGTCTCAGCTACCCTGAACACCGAGGTGAAAGGATCACGTGAGCCCAGAAGTTTGAAACCAGCCTGGTCAACTTAGCCAGACCCCATCTCTAAAAAAAAAAAGAAAAAAAAAAAGTTTAAAGCCTACATTCATAAACTCATGTGTCTTATTATAAAGGTATCCCCAAAAGATAATTTTGTTACCTTGGAAACTTCAGGTAACAATACTTCCCTTGGCAAGTCTGTCCTTTTCCTTTCTTCCTTCCTACCTTTGGGTGTAACCTAAACCTTTCCTGATGTTACTTAGGCCCATAGGATCAGCTCATGTTAAGATTTTTATGAGATCCTTGCCCAATCCATGCACATCAGTCCATCAACTCTATGCTCAGTATTTTCTATTTAAGTTGTTCACTGCTGACTGCTTTCACAGGCACACCGTGTGAGTTCTAGTTTAAACATTATAAAGTGGAGTGAGGATGTCTTCTTACATTGGAAGATGATCTACAACTTATCAAGTGCTCACCATTGAAATTGTAATTACTTCATGCCTCATTACAGATAACATGAAATATCTTGTTTAGCATCTATGGAACAGCAATAATTATATCTGCTTGAATATATCTCAGTTAGAGCTTTCCAAAAAAAAGATATTTAACAGTGGAACAATACTCAACAACTATAATAATTATAAACTAGATGTATCCTAGCCCTATTCTATTTCATTATTTGGCAGTATATGCATGAGTTCATTTTATGATTTTCCAAAATCTATCAATGATAAGGAAATTATTAGATTGCTTCTGAATTTTCAATTATAGTTCTTTTCCTAATGATGTGTATTCTCCTTGGATTCCTTAGCTCACCAAAACTTTTTTTCATCATAGCCAAATTCTGACAGAACTATGTTTGAACTATACTTACCCTTTAAATTCTAAGGCTAATTGTAAATTTTTCATCATCCTTTTAATATGGCAAACTTTATTGAGAGGTAAAGAATCAGTTAAATTAAAAAAATTTTAATTATGAATCATCAGGGCAGCTAAGACCTCAATAAACCATTTTTTACATGAATTTGGAAAGGAACTATTTCCTCCAAGCAGACTCTGCCCTCCCCTGCCTGCACCCAGGGTACAGGGCTTGGTGAGTGGAGCACAGACAGGATGTCAGTGCCCTTGAGTCCCCTTTGTAGAGCACAACAGCACAACCATGCCCAGCGGCTCTAGGAACAGTGTCAAAATTAGCTTTATTTACAAAGTTACTCATCTTTATTTACTAAGTTGATCCAACCAGTTCAAACACACTTCTAGGACAAAACCTAGAAATGAGCATACTGACCAGAACGTCAAAGTAAAGTTAAAGTAAAAAATGAATGAGGGGTATGGTAGAATCATGAGTTAGTTAAATTTATAAGGATAACTGAAAGAATAAAACCAAAATTAAGCTACCTACCTCTGATATGGAAGTCAATGGGCTATAGACACTTTTGCTTATCTCTTAAGTTAGTTTCATGGGACTTCTGGTTTGACTATTTTCTTTAAAAAAATTTATGGAGATAAAAATTGATAAAATCTTCTCACAGTATGGTTTGGAAGCAACTCTTAGAAATTTGAATGGGCAAATCTTCGGCCCAGCAATTTCATTCTAAATACCTGTCCTAAAGAAATACACATATTAACAAAGAGTACAAGGATTGTAACAATATTTCCAATAGCAAAAAAAAGACTGCACAAAAATTCATCAATAATGGGTTGATAAAAACAAATCTTTGTGTGCCCATATTGTAAATGTAATAATCATATGATTCTATTTGAACTGACAAGGAATAAGACCAAAGAAAATATACCAATGAAGCAAAAAAGGCAAATAGCAGAATAGTAGAAATCCCATTAATGTAAGAAAAATGCGTGTGGTAAATGTGCAGATATATGTATGTATGTGTAAACGCATAGAGAGGTATTTAGGAGGACATATTCCTAAGTGGTCATTGCTGAGGAAGAGTGTGAGATTTGAGGAGTTGGAACAGAGATGGGAGGGTAGAAAATTGGGAGAGGGGATTCATAAGGGACTTTTAGTTTCTGCTCTATATGCCTTTGCAATTTTTTAAACAATAAGCATGAATTACTTTTATAATTTAAAAGTAATTTTAAAGAATTTTAAAGATAAAAAAAAGAAAGAAAAATGATTACTCATAACTGCATCACCCAAACACAACAATTTTCATTTACATGTATTGCCTCCCAAGCTTTTAATATGAGTTTAAGTATGGGGAAAATATATAAAATTTCAAAATTACATAATAAGAATGTTGCTATATAGTCATTATAACTTTGAATTTTATATTTTTAATATAAACTACATAACTACAGTATATGAATTGCCATTTTGTTGCAAATAACTATCATCTGGTATTGATGCATATACATACAATTATTGTACCAGAATGTAATCAACCAAAGCAGTATGCTAGCTGCTTTGGACTTTATGCTCTTCTCATAAACAATGCAGAAAAAAATAGTTTATAAGGTATTCTCTCTTTGGATTATATCTTTAAGGAAAATTATAAGTTGCAAAGTGATCAAATTAAACAAGAATTTAAACATTGCATAACTCTTAATATACATTGCCAATTTTCTTTTCAAAAGTATAGTTTTAACCTTATTGCCACAAAAAGTGTATTAGTTTTACTTCATCTTCACTAGCATTGGGTATTAATTTTTTAACTACTCTGGCCAAGTACAACAATATATTTCTTGAATAAATTATAAATTTGAACATTTCCCTTGTGTTACAACTGCAGTTGACAGTTCAGGTCATTTTTGATTTATTTAACAATTTTGCTTTTACTAATAACAATAATAGGTAACTCCCATTGAGTGTTTATCAAGTTCTAGGCACTGTTCTAAGTATTTTACATATATATCACATCTAAACCTCACAAAACTCCAAAAAGTATTACCATAATAACCATTTTACAGATGGAGAAACTGGGACCCAGATAAGTTTATATCATAGGAAGTCTAACATCAAAGCTGAGGCTCTTACTGTCACCTCACTATATAGCTGTACATGAGTGTATTAAATAATTAAGATGTCATCCCTTTACCTGTCATACTTACCAAAAGTATTTTCCCAGTGTTTTGTATTTTTGTTGTTCTGGTGTTTTTATATGCAGAACATATTAATGTTCTTATAATCAATTGAGCTTTTTCTTCATTTTGTAATTATTTCTATCATTTCGAAGCTTATAAAGATGTCTCTGTTCCAGAGACTTGAGAAATTTTCAAATCTGTTTTCTTCCCATGTGTACATACATGTGTAGTATGTACAAATATATGTATGTGAATATATTAATGTATTTGTACGTGTGCATATATATACATAAACACAGACATATGCACATACTCTTTTTAACCCATGCAGACATTGTCTTGCTGTACAATAATACAAGGCATTTGGGGCTGTTTTTCTGACCCTGACACTGTTGCTGGGCTGAGAATTACTCTGCCAGTGTCCAGATGAGATACTGAGCCACCAGGATTTAAATCTTCAACTTACCTTTGCTCCAAGTGATATGATTAAGCAGAGATTACTTAACCCAAGCCCCAGTGAGTCATTCCAAACCCTTGAATCAGTCTGACAAATCCACAAAGCTTCTGTTGAATTACTGCCTTGGAGAATTCTTTGCCTGACTGGTTGAACACTGGATGACTGCAAGCCTGATGATTTATAGAAAGGCACAAGTCTGACCCAATGGGCACACCCATTGTATTTCTACAGAGAAGAAATATCTTTGGAGTTAAATTGGTAGGTCCCAAATGAATCAATAGAGCAGCACATGTGGTATGCTATCACTTGTGGAAGAGAAAATATATATCTTCTGTATATAGAAAAAAGGATAGATATAGATTAAGATATGGATATATAGATATGATATAGCTATATGGGAGGGTGAGGACTGGCTGAGACTTTTCATTATCCTTTCATAACTTTTTAAAATTTAATTTAATTTTTAATTTCAACTTCTATTTTAGATATGGGGTTATATGTGCAGATTTTTTACGTGAGAATATTACATGATACTGAGGTTTGGAGTACAAATCCTGTAACCCTCGTAGTGAGCATAGTACTTGATAGGTAGTTTTTTAACTTCACCATGCCCTCTAGTAGTCCACAGTCTCTACTGTTCCCATATTTATGTCCATGTATGCTCAAAGCTTATGTCCATGTGTTCTCACTTATAAGTGAGAACATGCAGTATTTAGTTTTCTGTTCTTGCATTTATTTGCTTACAATTATGGCCTGCAGCTCCATCCATGTTACAGCAAAGGACATGACTTTATTCTTTTTTTATGGCTGCATAGTATTCCATGGTATATATGTATCACATTTTCTTTATCCAATCCACCATTGATGGGCACCTGGGTTGATTCCATGTCTTTGCTATTGTGAACAGTGTAGCACTGAACACATGAGTGCATGTGTCTTTTTGGTAGAATGATTTACTTTCTTTTGGGTATATACCCAGTAATGGGATTGCTGGGTTGAAATGTAGCTCTGCTTTAAGTTCTTTGAGAAATCTCCAGACTGCTTTTCACAGTGGCTAGACTAATTTACATTCCCACCAGCAGTGTATAAGCGTTCCCTTTTCTCTGCAACCTCTCCAGCACCTGTTGTTTTTTTGACTTTTTAATAACAGCCATTCTGATTGAGATGGTATTTCACTGTGGTTTTGATTTGCATTTCTCTGGTGATTAGTGATGCTGAGCATTTTTTCATGTTTCTTGGTGACATGTATGACTTCTTTTGAGAAGTGTCTGTTCAGGTCCTTTGCCCATTTTTCAATGAAGTTATTTGTTTATTGCCTGTTGGTTTAAGTTCCCCATAGATTCTGGATATTAGGTCTTTGTCAGATGTATACTTTGCAAATATCTTCTCCCATTATGCAGGTTGTCTGTTTGCTCTGCTGATAGTTTCTTTTGCTGAGCAGAAGCTCTTTGGTTTAATTAGGTCTCACTTTTCTATTTTTGTTTTTGTTGCAACTACTTTTGGAAACTTAGCCAAAAATTCCTTGCCAAGGCTGATGTTGAGAAGGGTATTTCCTGGGTTGTTTTCCAGGATTTTTATAGTTTGAGGCCTTACATTTAAACCTTTAATCCATTCTGAGTTATTTTTGGATTATGGTGAAAAGTCAGGGTCCAGCTTCGATCTTCTGCATATAGCTAGCCAGTTATCCCAGCACCATTTATTGAATAGGGAGTCCTTTCCCCATTGTTTGTTTTTCTTGGCCTTGTCAAAGATCAGATGGTTGTAGGTGTGTGGCTTTATTTCTGAGTTTTCTATTCTGTTCCATTGGTCTATGGTCTGTTCCATTGGTCTGTGTGTTGTTTTTGTACCAGTACCAAGCTGTTGTGTTACTGTGGCTTTATAAGAGCCATCTATGAAAAACTGACAGCCATCATTATACCAAATAGGCAAAAGCTGGAACCATTCCCCTTGAGAACTGGAACAAGACAAGGATGCCCATTCTTACCACTCCTATTCAACATAGTACCGGAATTATTAGAGAAATCAGGCAAGAGAAAGAAATAAGAGGCATCCGAATAGGACAGGAAGAAGTCAAACTATCTCTCTTCACTGATGATATGATTCTATTCCTAGAAAATCCTGACGACTCTGCTAAAGGCTCGTAAAATTGATGAATGACTTTAGCAAAGTTTCAGGATACAAAATCAATGTACAAAAATCGGTAGCATTTCTATACATCAACAACATCCAGGCTGAGAGTGAAATCAAGAACACAATCCCTTTCACAATAGCCACAAAGAAAATAAAACACCTAGGAATACAGCTAACCAAGGAAGTGAAATAACCCTACAAGGAGAGCTACAACACGCTGCTGAAAGAAATCAGAGATGACACAAATAAATGGAAAAACATTCCACACTCATGGATTAGAAGAATCTAAATATTGTAAAAATGGCCATACTGTCCAAAGCAATTTACAGATTCAATGCTATTCCTATCAAACTACTAACATCATTCTTCATAAAATTAGAAAAAACTATTCTAAAATTCATATGGAACTAAAGAGCCCAAAGAGTCAAAGCAATCCTAAGCAAAAATGAAACAAAGCAAAAAACAAAAACAACAGCAACAAAAAAACAAAACAAAGCTGTAGGCATTAAACTATGTTTCATAATTTTGAATTTTGTTTCATGTGCCTGTATTACCTATTTATTAAAATTTTTATATCAAAAATAGTGAAGGTCAAGTTCAAGAATTTCACTAATAATACAGTAATATTTTCTAGTCACCTTATTGAGAGGTAACAGCATGCTGGCAGTCCTCACAGCCCTCGCTCGCTCTCTGCGCCTCCTCTGCCTGGGCTCCCACTTTGGCGGCACTTGAGGAGCCCTTCAGCCCACCGCTGCACTGTGGGAGCCCCTTTCTGGGCTGGCCAAGGCCAGAGCCGGTTCCCTCAGCTTGCAAGGAGGTGTGGAGGGAGAGGCGCGAGCGGGAACCCGGGCTGCGCGCGGCGCTTGCGGGCCAGCTGGAGTTCCGGGTGGGGGTGGGCTTGGCCGGCCCCGCACTCGGAGCAGCCGGCCGGCCCTGCCAGCCCCGGGCAATGAGGGGCTTAGCACCCGGGCCAGCGGCTGCGGAGGGTGTACTGGGTCCCCCAGCAGTGCCAGCCCACCGGCGCTGCGCTCGATTTCTCACCGGGCCTTAACTGCCTTCCCGCGGGGCAGGGCTCGGGACCTGCAGCCCGCCATGCCTGAGCCTCCCACTCCCTCCATGGGCTCCTGTGCGGCCCGAGCCTCCCCGATGAGCGCCACCCCCTGCTCCAAGGTGCCCAGTCCCATCGACCGCCCAAGGGCTGAGGAGTGGGGGGCGCACGGCACCGGGACTGGCAGGCAGCTCCACCTGCAACCCCGGTGCTGGATCCACTGGGTGAAGCCAGCTGGGTTCCTGAGTCTGGTGGGGATGTGGAGAACCTTTATGTCTAGCTCAGGGATTGTAAACGCACCAATCAGCGCCCTGTCGAAACAGACCACTGGGCTCTACCAATCAGCAGGATGTGGGTGGGGCCAGATAAGAGAATAAAAGCAGGCTGCCTGAGCTAGCAGTGGCAACCCGCTTGGGTCCCTTTCCAGTCTGTGGAAGGTTTGTTCTTTCGCTCTTTGCAATAAATCTTGCTACTGCTCACTCTTTGGGTCCACACTGCCTTTAAGGGCTGTAACACTCACCGTGAGGGTCCACGGCTTCATTCTTGAAGTCAGTGAGACCAAGAACCCACCAATTCCGGACACATTATGACCATTATTACAGGGTTGATCTCATAAAGGGCTAATAATTCCAAGGCAGTTTGGCAACATCCTTAATTACACAAAACTTAAATTTGTTGTGCTATGCAGCCCACCTGCAGTTTGCTGTCTTAGGAATCCAGTACTCTGCTTTGGCTGAAAGAAACTACATTTCCCAGGTTGCTTGGACCTCTGGTCCAGCTAGCTATAGCCAATGGAAGGCATGAGCACTAGAATGAGGGGTAAAAGGAAGAAAGAAGCCAGCGTATGTTTCTCTCTGTGTTCCCTGTGGTATTTCAAGCACCAGTAATGTCCCCTCTGTGGTCTCAGCTCCAACTGGAAAGTCTCTACTATGGTTCTAGTCCCCACAGAATGGCCCTGGGCTCTGATAATGCCACTTTCTGCTATTGTTCTTCCAGTCTTAAAGTGAGAGAAGGTTGCTAATCTCTGGAATTCTCCCTGCATTTCATGTTTGGCTTCTCTGCTCTTCTGTTTCATAGGTAACCAATTCTTTATGTCAAATTTACTGTCAGAAAAACCTGGAACGGCTTGTTTTTCTGGCCAGAGGGCCTGACTGATATACTTCACATTTTCTGTTTCTTGCTTTGAAACACCCTTCTCCATGAGAAAGAAAAACAGCTCAGTAGTTTTTCATATAACATCTGACCTTAGATTCACATTGCAGAACTCCTAACATACTAGCTTTACGTTAGTTTTTTGCACCCCGCCCCTATATTTCATAACTACCATTCTTTATCTTTGCTTAATGCTATAGATGCCTTTTAAAAGGACACTATTTGTAGATACATGCATAGGCATAATGGCCACTGCATTCTTTTCAAAACAAGAACACTTACCTACAGCATTAATTGTGGAAATTTCTCTGATCAAACTCCTGGGGCCAGAGGAGTTGCCCAAGCTGCCTGGGGCCACAGAAGTCACCCAAGCTGAGCTATTAGAGAAGGCTCATATTCAGAGTCTCTCTCCCACAGAGGTTTTAGGGGAAAATGACTGAGTGGTGCTCACGTGCAGACTCTACATTTCTCAGCTGGCTTTGTCTCAAGCTCTTCTGGTGTAAGAAATCAAAATCTCATTTCACTTGTTCCTCAGGAAAGACAATTATTCTCAACCAAGCCAGTGGCCTTTATTTAAAGGTCATGGGCTTATCTCTTGTCACCACAGAGTGCTCACCAGAGTTTATCCTAAGCCTAACTACTGCAGATTACACGTTCATGTGGGGTTTGCTAACACATTGTTCTAATTCATCTGAAATGATTGGGTTTTCTCAACTCATATGCATCCGAATCACACTCTGGCCTGGTGAGTGTTATCCTCCTTCATAATTACAGGCTGTGTCTCACTCATGGCTTCTGACTTATTCATGGCCCCTTACATCATGCTTTTCTGAACTCGAGTGGACTCCACCCCTTCTTACTGCCCCTGCACCTGTGGCCTCTTTTGTCCACCTGCTGCAGGTGAGAATGCACCTCCTTTCTTCCTTGACAATCCCCTTTTCTAATGCTGGCCTGATCCTTCTAACCGCTAATCACAGCAATGTGGAGCTAACCTAAACCCTGCGCCCCATCCCACCTCAGCTATAGAATCTGTCCCCATCCCCATCCCTCTACTTTTCGCTTTTGAGCCAGTCTTACCCATCCTTTCACCAATCCTGTTAATGTCCCACATATGGCCCCATCCTGCCACCCCAAAGGTCCTGTCCCTCTAACAACATGCCTTTGACTCTGACTGTTAAAGGTCAGGGTAACACCATCTCTGGCATGGGAACAATCATAGCTATTGAATGTCCCATCCCCCTACACTGGCTATGTTAGGGGCCTAGTGTCTATCTCTCTTAGTCCTTTAACTGCTCCCCAACAGAGCTTCAACTTCCTCTCACAAATCTCCCACCCATCCATCCATTGTTACCCCTGGCCTGACCCTGCCATAGCTATAGAGACAGATTTACCAAGGACACCAATGAAGCTTAAACTTCGGATGTCCTAGCTTGCACGGGCCCTTTGCAAGGTCTCATATCTAATTTTGTATTATTCTTCTTAAAGAGGGCCCCCCAAGTGGTCTAATCTTCAGGCCACTGCAAAGCCTGGACCTGCCCCTGCTTAGGTGGTAGCTCCCTTGATTATCTTGGAATTAGGGAAATGTTCCCACTCGCATTTCCATACTGCTTCCAGGAAAAATGTGCTTGTGGATAGAACTGAAATTGAACTTTGAATGCCCTCAACCTTAGAAACATTGTTAAACCTAGTGGTTAGTTTTAATTATAAGACAAGTGCTTGGTTTCAGCTGCTTTATAGGTTAAATAGGTTTTTTGCTGATCGGCTTTGGAAAACTACCATTGAACAAGTGACTTGTAAACAAACTTCTGGAATGTAAACCACTTCTAAATTGTAGGCTTCAGGGACTTTGCATTAACAAAAGCCCATAAACCACAGCATATGTACCCTATTTTATACCTTGTGTGGAAATTTATGTACAAATAGTGACATTTTGTCACATGAAAGAAATTACCCATTAAATTCAACCAAAAGTTGTAGTAATATGCAACTAGGCATGATTTATAACTATAGCAATCAGTCAACCTAGATTTTCTGAGGTAGTTCAATAAGAAATATTCTGCTCTATGATCACCGTGTGTGACTCCAGTTCATTGTCATATGCTCAGAAACTAATACAGTATCTGGCACACAGTAGGCATTCAAGCAATGCATTCAAAATTAATGATTGTGTAAGACTGTTTGGCAAACTATGTGCCCTGCTTTTGGTTTTAAAACTATGGTCACTGATTATAGTTATAATAAACATATACAAGCAATTTAATATTCCTTTTTATTATTTCTAAGTATACATTGCTAACTATATAAATTTGTATAATTTTTCAAAACTCACCTCCAAAATAAAATAGCTTGGATTTCAGTGGAAAATGTATACATTAATGATTCTATCCTCAGTGAAAAAAAATGCTTTACCAAACAGTTACAGAGCTTCTTACACAGAATACTACATGTTTTTTTGTATTCATTCAGAGGAATGCTTTTATATCAACTTGGCATGTAAATCATTTTATTTTTAAAGAATCAGTATGGTTACAGCATTCTAACCTCCCACATAGTTCTGCTAAATGTTACAAATATGTTACACACACTCCAATTTTTAGCCTAAGAACTTATTAACTTTTAATGAGACTATGGATTCTCTCCAGCAAGTAGATTAACCAGGTGAGTTTGATAAAGAAACCTTTTCATATAGATTATCTTAATCCTTCTAAGAATCCAAAAGAATTAACTATAATAGAGGGATAACCAGAAAAGTCTTTGATTTCTGGATTCTGGACTATACTAGTATTACAAACTGCCTCTCCACTGCCTCTTCTGCTTCTCCTTTTATCCATTCACCACCGAAGAAGAGTCAACTGTTGGTGTTTGGGGAACAAGTTTCGGAAAAAAAAAAATAATTTAGATTGAAAATGAATTCTTGATTCTAGGAAAATTTATAGCACTGGCACTAGTTTGGGGATTGAGCTATTCATTTCTCCATCAGAATACCAGTCATTAGAACAAAGATATATTCTCATAATACCATTTTTCCTTTTTCTCCACCTCACCTCCCACCTACCCAAGAACACTCCAGAAGACTACTTTCTCCTGTCTTTATTTTTTTTTTTTTGAGACAGACTCTCACTCTGTCACCCAGGCTGGAGTGCAGTGGCGCAATCTTGGCTCACTGCAACCTCTGCCTCCTGGGTTCAAGCGATTCTCCTGCCTCAGCCTCCTGAGTAGTTGGGACTACCAACACCCCCCACCACGCCTGGCTAATTTTTTTTTTTGTTTGTTTTTTTTTGTTTTTTTTAGTAGAGACAGGGTTTCACCGTGTTAGCCAGGATGGTCTCGATCTCCTGACCTCGTGATCTGCCCACCTCGGCCTCCCGAAGTGCTGGGATTACGGGCGTGATCTCCTGTCTTTTTTAATTTCCACTACAAGCACATTTCATCCTAAGTCACACACGAGCACGTCAGGAAATCTCTTGGTTCTGAATTGCAGCATGTGCATGAGTCCATTTCCTTCCCTGTTAAGAACACCCCTTCCACTTGTACTCCTCATCCTTGACCAACAAAGTAAAGGACACAACCAACTCCCTTCTCCACAGATCATGGCTTGTACTTTTCATGGCTGGGAATTTACCCAAAACAGACACCAAGTACAATAGATGTTACAGATGATTATTCCTGTAAGTACATAAGTGCTCTCTACACAATCCGGGAAACTTGTTGAAGTCTGGAGACGTTTTCAGAGTATCTGAAAGCCAGATTCCACTTAGCGGTTCTTTGAAGAGGAAAATTCCAGACATTTCAAAGGGGCAGATCATTCAGACACCTGGTATTCCTTTTGCAAACCAGCTTCTATCCCCTCAACTCACTCCTTTTAAACACCATCAGAGGGTCATGAGAACACTGTTTGAAATGGTGGCTCTTCAGAAAATACCAGGTTCTCCCACTTCAAACACAATCAACATAGTATTACTTCTTCCTGTGGTGTTCCTCCCTACCAGACATCGATGGAGGCATTCCCGCCTTTCCCATCTTTCTCTAATCTGTCCAAGCAGAGGGAGAGGACTTTTTCCTTCCTAGTCCCCTGAACTAGCTCAAAGAATATTCCCTGTGAAGAGCACTTCAGGCAAGATTTCATAAGATCTCAGGTCTACTGCTTTATTATACAGTTGTGGGCGAGAAGTGGGAATTGTGGGCAAGGAAGGCAGAGGTGAATTTAGTGCTTTAAAAAACCAGGGCACACAATGTGAAGTAACTCATTTCCTCTCTTTCCCTGGGGCTTGATGCAGCCTCTTCATAACCTTGGTGTCCAGGTACAAGAGGAGAAGGGAGCAGTTTCATCTAGCTCCATGGAGATGGTCACGAAACTCTTTACTCACTTAACTTTCAGCAATTTGGGGTCTTTAATTACCAGTTCGTGCTCATAGAAAAGGAGAACTCAGCAAGCAGCTGGGAACCAGAGTTCTAAATGCTAAGTCCTTTTCTGCCTAAGGCTTGCTAGGGCACTTGATGAATTCCTGACCTTGTTTATAAACCTTGTTTCCAGCAAAGTCAAATGAAGCTGCTTAACACTATTGAATATTCTACTATATTAACCACCTTGGCTTTTAGAGCAACTTTCCACTTACAGCTGGAACTACCATCCTTCAGCCCTGGGAGAGATAACTAAAATCTCTGTAATCCAAGTTGGGAGAACAGAAGCAAATTGTCAGCCACCTCAGAACACTTCTTCTCAATTCTTCTTAGCCCTTCTCTAAATAACTGAGCACAAGCTCTGTGTCTTTGCAGAAGCCATTCTGGGATATGTTGGGCCTTCCCCAAAAGCTGTATGATCTTCATGCTATTTGCCACAGAAGGAGCCACTCAGCTTGCTCTTTAAAACAAGTGGGGGTGGCTGGGCGTGGCGGCTCACGCCTGTAACCCCAGCACTTTGGGAGGCCGAGGTCGGTGGATTCCTTGAGGTCAGGAGTTCAAGACCAGCCTGGTCAACATGGTGAAACCGTGTCTCTACTAAAAATACAAAAATTAGCTGGGTGTGGTGGCTTATGCCTATAATCCCAGCTACTCAGGACGCTGAGGCAGAAGAATCACTTAAAACTGGGAGGTAGAGGTTGCAGTGAGCTGAGATTGTACCACTGCTCTCCAGCCTGGGCAACAGAGTGAGACTCTGTATCAAAAAAAAAAAAAAAAAAAAAAAAAAAGGTGGGGGTGTCACCATCATTAGTCATCAGAGAAATGCAAATCAAAACCACGATGAGGTCCCACCTCACACTTACTAGGATGGGTATAATACAAAAGACAATAACAAGTATTGGTTCAGACAGCTGGTGTTCCTTTTGCAAACCAGCAAAAGGGGATGTGGAGAAACTGGAACTCTCATACACAGTGGTGGGAATGCAAAATGGTACAGTCACTATGGAAAACAGTCTGGCAGTTCCTCAGAGGTTAAACATATAGTTACTATGTGACCCAGCAGTTCTACTCCTAGGTATATACCCAAGAGAAATGAAAACATGTCCACACAAAAACTTGTACACAAATGTTCTAGCAGTGTTATTCATAATAGCCGAAAGATGAAAAGAGCTCAACTGTCCATCAACTGATAAATTGATAAATAAAATGTGGTATAGCCATATAAGGGGAAATCATCGACCAAAAAAGAAGGAAGGAGTGATACATGTTACAACATGAATAAACCTTGAAAACAAAGGTTTTCAAACAAAGTGAAAGAAGCCAGCCACAAAAGTACATGAAATGTCCAGAATAAGCAAATCCATAGAGATATAAAGTAGTTAATGATTGCCAGAGGCTGGGGATAGAGGAATAGGGAATTTGACTGCTATCAGGTACACGGTTTCTTTTTGGAGTGATCAAATTGTTCTGGAAGTGGGTATTGGTGATAGTTGCACAAACAACTATACTAAAAACCACTGAATTATATTGTTGGCACACAAATCATATCTCAATAAAGCTGAAGGAAGGAAGGAAAAAGAGAGAAGGAAGGAAGGAAAGAAAGGAGAAGAAAGAAAGAAAGAGGAAGAAAGAAGGAAAATAGAGAAAAGAGGAGAGAAGAGGTGAGGAGGGGAGGGGCAAGGAGAGGAGAGGAAGGGAAGGAAGGGAAGGAAGGAGGGAGAAAAAGAAAGAAGGAAAGTATGGAGGGAGCGAGAAAGAAAGACAAAGAGTAGGGAGTAAACTGATTGGGGTAAACACTGAGCTATTTAATCTTGCCTCTCAATGTCTCTTTCCCCCAGCAAACCCCTCCCAAGAGTCATGAAGGGGAAAGGCCCTCCTTCTAGTGTTGGCCAAATTTGCCCCCAGGAACGAAGCCTTCATTTTCAGCCTCTTTGTAATTCATGAGGCTAACCTCACCCATATCTGCTTGCCATGAACTCCTGCCCCAACACAGCTGCTTGGCCACCCTGATGAAGAAGGCATCCTTCAGAGACCTGTCCTGGGTCCTCTGCTGCCCTAAGAACTGGCTGTTGGGATGACACTGACAGAGCCCTGTCAAAGTTTGCTGATCATCTCCAGACCATCAGAGCTCCCCACTGCTGTATAATTGAGAAGGGCCTGGCCTTCCACCTGGGAAGGTAACCAGAGCCCCGTTGAAACTCACCTGGTGCTGTCTCTGCTTCAGGTAGAAGAGTGAACTGGCCCCTGGACTTGTGCTTCCTTTACTGACCTGACCTGTGTTTGGCTTTCCCATCATCCCTCCCTATTGGTGTTTTGCTATAGTCATCATGTTTACACAACCCCATCCTTCCGTGAGTGTGCTGGGAAAAGCTATCTCAGCAACATATACCCAGCATCTCCTGTTCTCTCCTACTCACTCCAAGTAAATTCAGGATGGCTCCTGCTTAAACTTTAAAAGAGTTGCTCCTGTGAGCCAGGTGCTTAATATATGTAACTCCACTTAATCTTCACAACAGCTCTGTAAAAAGAAGATACAATTATCCCCATCTTTCAAGATGAGGAAACAGATTCAAAGAAGGTAAGCAACTTAATCAAGGTCATGTGGATTCAAATACAGAACTGTCAAGGTTCACTGCCTGAAATAATAAGTTCTTCCCTTCACTGAGCATCTATCATATGTCAGGCAGTGTTCTAGACAACAATATTATTTCATTGACTCTCACAACAATTCCATGAGTTAGGACTTAGCATCCCATATAATGGATGGGAAAACTGAGGTTCAGAATGATTAAAAATAGACATGCTAATCACTATAATTTGATCATTACACATTGTATACATGGATTGAAATATCACTTTCTGGCCCATAAATATGTAAAATTACGTGTTAACTGAAAAGGAAACAAAAAAGAATAAATAAGTAACTCTTTTGAGATAATATGTATTTGTCACTCACTGAATGCCTTGGGAGTTTGCGAAGATGTTTGCTTTTCCTGATAAATGTGAAAGATGCAACTGGTACATCTTTCATCTTCCTCTTTACCTGAATTTGGATGTGATGATTGAAACTTGAACAACTATCTTGGAATCATGAGAGAAAAGCCAAAAGAAAATTCAGTGAAATATTTTCCCAAACATTATTAGCCTGATAAACAACAACCCACCTTCAGATCTCTTGTTATATAAGAAAACTGAACCTCTGTTTATTTTTATTATTTTTCAAGGCCACACAAATAGTACGTGACTGTGATCTATTTATAGTTTTCCCTCATTCTTCTCTTAGTAACTGAATTTTCCAAATTATAGCTTAGCACATGCCTACCCAGCAAATGGTCACATTTTTCAGATCTCCTTGCAGCTTTGTGGGACAGGTGACTGTATTTTGGTTAATGGAATGTGAACAGAAGGAAAGGATGTGATTAACTTCCAGGTCATGCCCTCCAGTTCCTGTTTCCTTCTTCCCACTAGTGTTGAAAGTAAACCACCTGGTCCAATCACATGGACCAGAACCACACTTTAGGGGTGGCAGACCAACAAGATAGAAGGAATTTGGATTTCTGAATGACCTCAGTGGTAGAGCTGCCCTCCATTCTAGAATCACTATCAACTTGGACTTCTATGTGGGGGAGTATTTCTTTTATCTCATTTAAGCAACTATGTTTTGGTCTGTCTTAAGACCCTATTATCTTAAGCAATACTGTGGCCAACTAATTTTCAAACAGGTCTGTCTAACTCCAAATCTGAGTAATTTCTACTACAATTCTCAATACCTAAACTGGGAATTGCAAACTCAAATGCCTACAGAAGCTAGGTAGATAAATTAGTGAAGAAGTCTGAGTAGGAGCTATGGTGAGCTGGAGAATACATATGTGGTTGCTACGTGCTTAACAAACTCTGTTTCCTTTTCTTCCTGCTAGACTATATTTCCCAGGTTTCCTTATAATTAGTTAGGGCCATGTGACTGAATTCTGGCCAATGGAATGTATATAGTAGGAATGAGTGCTCAATCCAGGCCTGGTCCATGAAAAATCTCCCACTCAGTTATTCACTCTTTCTTTTCCCCCTGCTGAAGTGAAAAAGATACCACAGGAGATCTTGAGAGCAATGCAACAAATACAGCAAAGCCACAGATTAGAAGTCTAGGTTCCTGGGTCATCACTCAAAGAAAAGCTACCTAAATTACATTGACACATGGATTTTCATATGAATAAAAAACAATGTATTCCTCTGATGATTTATTACAGGTTTGGGTCTCTTGTTAGGACAGGATAGGATAGCCTACCTGGACCAATACACAAAGGAAGCCCCTATAGAAACGCAGGCCCAATATTGCCAGGTCTTTTGATTTATATTTTTAGGAGAAGACAGAAATTTTTAATATTATGAGGAAGCTGTTCATTCAGTGTTAGCCAATACTGTGAAGGTCAAACAAAACACAACTATATTCCAGATTATATTCCAGCTTCAATATTACCCTGACCCTGAGACTTTAATCAGCCTCCCTTACTGATCCCAGTTTCAACTGGTACAGATTCAACTGCCCCTGAGAATCCAATTAAGGTTCCCAAGTCTTTCTTCCATTAGGTCATGCAGGTTTATTAAACTTTAAGCCAATGGCCATTGGAGTATAACTGTGAAAAGTAGAAACTATCTACTGTCTATAGCTCTTCTCTCATTTGATAAAAGTAGCCTTGCCAAGCAATTGCCTAGAGCTCCAGTGTTGCTTTTTCATTCATATATTCTTAAAATTAGAGCTACTAATCCTACATATCCAACTACATTCACCAAAATGAATCTATTTACAAACATTTCTCTAGTTAGCCATCTATCAAATTCTTTCCACTTATCAAGGCCCAACTCAAGGTTATCTCCTACATGGGGTATTTTCCATAGAGGTCTTTGCCTCTTCCTAGGTGAAACTGACTCATCTCTCTGCTATGCACCCCTGTGGGGCTCCCTCACCCTAAGTAAGGAGCATGTTCCCCTTGTAAGGTGTGAGGTCTTGAACAGAGACCAGAATAATATTATCTTTATATTGTCAGTTCCTGATCATAATAAGTGCCCGATACTAGGGCTCACTATATGTATTAGATGTTTTGTTGTTGATGTTGTTATGTTATTTTGTTGTTGTTTTGTTTTGTTTCATTTCAGGTTCACTTTATTCAATGGTTCATCATAACTGTGCCCTGCACTGGGTGGAAAGAGGTTGGTAGGGAGAGTTGGAACCAAGAGCAATGTCTACAATAATTGAATTTAGAGAGGTCAAATACCTTAGCCATTTAGGAAGACAGAATTTGGAAGCAGACTGAGTTTTCATCCCATTTACTAGCCATAAACTTCAGTCTTTGTTTTGTTTTTTGAGACAGAGTCTTGCTCTGTCATCCAGGCTGGAGTTCAGTGGCGTGATCTCAGCTCACTGCAACCTCCGCCTCCTGGGATCAAGCAATTCTCGTGCCTCAGACTCCCGAGTAGCTGGGATTACATGTGCCCACCACCACGCCCGGCTAATTTTTTTCTATTTTTAGTAGAGATCGGGTTTCACTATGTTGGCCAGGCTGGTCTCAAACTCCTGATATCAGGTGACAGGTGAGCCACCCACCTCAGCCTCCCAAAGTGCTGGGATTACAGGTGTGAGCCACCACACCAGGCCAAACTTCAGTCTTGTTACTTAACCTTTCTGCCCTCAGTTTCCTCAACTTTTAAATGGGGACAACAATAATAGTACAATTATATTCATTTACAAGAGCTGCTGTAACAAAGTATCATAAACTAGATGACTTCACAGAAGTTTATCTCACAGTTCTGGAGGCTAGAAATCTGAATTAAGGTGTAGGCAGGGTTGGTTCCTTCTGGGGGCTGTGAAGGAAGAATCTGTTCTAGGCCTTTCTCCTTCGCTTATAGATGGCATCTTCTCTCAGTGTCTCTTCTGGTCATCTTCCATCTACATGTGCCTGATCTACCCTAGTGACCTCATTTTAACTTGATTACTCTTGTAGAAGCTCTATGTCCAGATAGGTCATATTCTGAGGTATTGAGGGGTTAGGACTCCAGCATATCTTTTTGTGTGTGGGGGGGACATAATTCAATCCATAATGACCATATTATCTAATCAGGTTGCTGTGAGGATTAAATAAATTAATACAAGTAAAGCATTTAAAAGACTGTCTGGCACACTGCAAGCACACAAAAACATTAGCTGGTGTTATTATGTTTCTGAAACTCTTGTTACACCAAGATGTTAAGATATCACCCTTAAGAATAAGCCAATAAAAATTATGCTGTTTGAGTATATTCGTGTGTTTTGGGGGAGTGGCTGGAGAGTGGGAGGTTTGCAACCCTTGCTCTCAGAATACAGAAAAACAAAAGAAGCCACAGTTCCTGACACTGACAGTATATATTTTTAAAAAGGTATGACAAGACATAACAAGTCATTGCACTCATGATAAGCTTGAAAGTGACTCAATTTGACAGGTATGTCGTATATTGAGAGGCATATCACAGTTAGTATTTGTCCTTTGATTTATTGTTAGGTATTGTTAATTCACTTTTAGCAGTAATCATTAAGTCAGTTATACAATATAAGATTGTAGTTTGATTTTGCGATTATTAAATTTGACCTCCCCTAAAGTTAGGGGTTGGTTTCAAAGTCTTCTTAGATACTCCAGGCTTAGAATTTTAAAATAAGTCTCTTAGGTCAGTTGGTCGTTGTGTGACTCAAACATACTAAAATATAGCCCAACAAGCTGTTCAAGGCACAAGATTTCTAAACACTGGCATTTCTCAATAATGCCCATGGATGCAAATTCCTGAATTATAGGGATTCCCAAAAAAGAATGGACTCTTTCTAATGGATAACATTTATCCTCCTTTTAACAAAGAGAGAATACAAAAGTCAGTTTTGTATTCCAATGTTTTGCTCTCATTCTCTTGAGAGTACATCAAAATTTTACTTTCAGTCCATCTTCCAGATCATTCATTAATGCAATTCTGTGGTGATGTGGTTTTTACATTCCGTTCAATCCTGACAGCATTTTAAACTCTGGCCTCTGAGTAAAAATCTCAGTACAGGTCCCATTGCATTTGTTGATTTTACAAATGAATAGATCCTCAGTAGGGAGAAGCCAGCCTTCTCTCAAAAGCCCTCTTCAAAGCAGAGGCTGCCTGGGTGGTATGGGTGATCTGAATATTGCCTGTTTAAACGGGCAGTCAGTGATGCACATACCATCCAACCACATGTGTAACTTATTTCTGAATTATTATACCAGGGCAGAAACCTACCTCATGAGTTTCCACCACAGTAGTACTGAAAGTTCAGCTGTCCAATTTCAATTATATTCCATCTGCAAATCCAGACTATATCCAAAGTCATGATTCCACCATTTGTCAGCATTGAGAAGGGCAGAAGAGTATATACCTGAGGCCTCTTCTCTCTGCTCCCACCTCCTTCTGTATATCCTCCCCACCAATATTTTTACCCACTCTCCTTCCCCTTTCTCTATCACATTCTTGGCCCTCTCCATTGAAGGAGTTTAGTCTTTTCATCTCAGGTATAGTCATTAGCTCTAGAGTTAAAATTTATTTTTTTACTTACTTTTTTTTTTTTTTTGCTACTTTCAACATAGTAAATGGAGATTCAGAAGAAAGCTTCATACATACACTTTAAAAATAAATTATTTTCTTATTACATAAGTTATGTTCATTGTAGGAAATTTAGAAATAAGGATATATTTTTTGTTTTTGTTTTTGCGGCGGGGTCTCGCACTGTCGTCCAGGCTTGAGTGCAATGGCGCAATCTCAGCTCACTGCAACCTCCGCCTCCTGGGTTCAAGAGATTCTCCTGTCTCAGCCCCCTGAGTAGCTGGGATTACAGGCGACCACCACCACGCTCAGCTAATTTTTTGTATTTTCAGTAGAGAAGGGGTTTCACTATGTTGGCCAGGCTGGTCTCAAACTCCTGACCTCATGATCTGCCCACCTTGGCCTCCCAAAGTGCAGGGATTACAGGCGTGAGTCACTGCACCTGGCCAGATATATATTTTTTTAAAGGAAAGATAACACCCCATATCCTGAAACCCAGAAATAAGCATGGCTACTATTTTGGTGCATAGTTTATCAATTTGCATATACTTTTAAAACTCTGAACAACCATGCAATTAGATCACCCAACTAGTATATCTGGAGGAAAGCAGATGCTGAAAGGGTCAATTACCAGATTAATGACCTTTCTCCCCTGCCCTCCCACTGCATCTACATCCCAGGACTGCTCTGAGAGGACATCAGTTTCTAAACACTTGCGAGAGTTTCTGTCCCAGCTACTAAGTATTCTCATCTGGCTCTGGTCATACATTACCCAGTATTGGTCCCTTGGCTTCAGATCATCAACTGACATGCGAGATATAAATATACAATAAAAAAGAAAAGAACTCCCGAATTTTTGAGAGAAGAAAAACAAATTTCTCTAAAGCAAATTCAATGCAGCAGTTGGTCTAGTTAAGTGAGAAAGTACATATTCTGAACATGTGAACTCCATATTTTGAAAACTCAACTTACACTGAAGAAAGTTGCATTCTACCAAAAGGAAAAATAATCTCTTAGTAGATTTTTTAAATACCAACCCTTGAGGAATGTATGTCCATGGACATGTCCACACTCATTACCCATGCAAGATATACACAAACTTGCACATTTTAAGAATACATACTAAAAAATAATATTTTAACTATAAGAATTCTCTGACAGAATTTAAAAATATTAAGATTATAATTCAAGAACTGGATACTATAAAAAAGGATTGACCCAAAATAAGAAAGACCTCTTAGAAATTAAAAGTATAGTGATTTAAGCAAAGTTTTAATAAATTGATTAAAAGATAAAATCAAGGAAATCTCCAAGAAAGTAGAAAATACAAGTAGTTTAAAAATGTGAAAAAAAGCCTAAATTGTAATGTACAAATCCAGGAGGCTAATGTCCAGTGAGTAGAAGCTCCAAAAAAAACAAACACAATGAGAGAATACAAACAAATTTTTAAAAGGGAATTTATCAGAGCTGAAAGACCTGAGTCTTTAGACTGAAGAAAAAAAGGAGGAAGAAAATACTAGAATACTACACAAAATGAATGAAAAATGACCCATATTCAGTCACAGAATGGTGAAATTTAAGAATATCAAAGATTTTTTAATCCAAAAAACATTCAAAGCAAAAAAAAAATTGCCTTTTTTTCCCAAAAAATCAGATTGTCATCTAACTTTTCAGCAATACTGAATTCTAGAAGACAATGAAACATTGCCTTCAAAGTTCTGAGGAAAAATGATTTTAAATGAAAAAGTCAACATTCAATCAAATTATCAGTATAATTGGAGAGTAGAATAAAGTTATTCTAAGTCATGGAAGGACTTAGTAAGTTTACCTCCCATATACCTTTCTTATAGAAGTGATTCAAGGATGTGTTCCAATAAAACAAGAGAGTAAACCAAAAAAGAGAAAAATAGGGAGTTAAAGAAACAAGCCAAACGAGAGAAAAATGGAAGGAAGACATGGCTTAATTGTCTCTTCCATTTTAGCTTTTCAATAAATCTAGAGAAGAAAAGTCCAGCTTGGAGCTGGCGGGACAAGGGTTTTAAAAGGCAGGTATCTGGAAAAAAAAATGTATATGAGCTGAAGTAATCCACAGATTTGGTGCTATCTTTAAGAAATTGAAATATCAAGTTGTAAAAAAAATCACAGTAATGCAAAAGATGGGGATGGAGAGGAGGAAATAATTAGAAATTCCAAGAAAATCACAAAGCTATGAAAAAAAGATATAAAATCATAGTATCTTATGCAGCTAAGAAGTGAACAATCTTTACATAGTCATAATGTAATCACTGCTGATCAATTTTCAACTCTTAGAATCAACCCACGGGGTTAGCCTAAAAAGGAAGACTTAGGGGTAGTTGCAGAATGAGGTTCATGTTTTTTGTTTTCTTTTTTCTTGAAAACATAAGTTAAAATTAAGCATTTGGTTGAGATTAGGAGGAATCAAGAAATGAAGGAAAGGGTAAGGGCTTTCATACTTTCACCTCACAAATCAAAGAATTAAGAGGTATTGTCAAATGGTTGATGGAATTAGAAGTAAGGATGTGAGTGTATTTTTTGTAGTTACACAGGTAACGGTTAATAGCAGAAAAAATCTAAAACTAGTGGCAATTTATGGGGAAGTGGAGGAAAGAAAGGCCAGATTTGGAAGATGAAAGATAAGTGAGTTAAATCCATAGCCAACATTATAGAAATCAGCAGATAATGTCTAAACTTGTTGACTAAAGAAACAGGAAAGTAATAATGTATTGAAGAGTTTATAACAAGTAAAAGCAAAATGTATGACAATCATAGCACAAAGGCTGGGAGGGAAAAAATAGGCATACTGGGGGTTCATACACTACACATGAAGTGGTATTGGATCACTCAAAGGGAGACTACGATTAGCTAAAGAGGTATGTGATAATTCCACTTCCAGTCGAATGGAGTAAGAAGGATTAGATTTACCGTCCTGCCTGAAACAACTAAAATACCAGATAAAATATATGAAACAACGGCGCTCAGGACTTTGGACGCCCCATGATGAAGAACAATGATCTCTGAGAAAGGAAAGAGAAAAGAAAATGTAAATCTATACAAACATTTGTGTAAAAATGTTCATCGCAACTTTATTTGTGATAGCCCCATACTGGAAACAACCCAAATGTCCACCAAAAGATGAATGAATAAACAAATCATGCTGTATCTATACAATGAGATATATTAGTAACAAAAAAGAATGAATTAGGTACATGCAACTACATGGTTGAATCTCAGATTAATTATGCTGAGCGAAAGAAGCCAGAAAAACAATACCACATACTATAAGATTCCATTTATTTAAAATTGAAAAATGAAAACTAACTTATAGTGACAGAAAACAGATCAGAGAGTATGGAGAGAGGTGGTGGGGGTATTAAAAGGAGCATGAGGAAACTTTCAGGGATGATGAATATGCTCACCCCTGAAAAGTTTCCCCTTGCCCTTTTTAATAGCTTGATTGTGGCATATATAAATGTCAAAATTCATCAGACTGCTCACATTAAAAATAAACAGTTTATTTTGTGTCCATTATACTTCAATGGTTAAAAAAGAAAAGAAAGACATGGCATAAACATATTATGGAAAAAGATAACAAATATATTACATATATTTATGTGTATATAACAAATATCTAAAATATATATCAAATAAATAATAAGCATGGCATAAACTTATTTTAGGAGTATGGAACTAACTGTCAAAGAGCTATAAGAGAAACTGTTTAAAGTGTTTCCTCATGTGAGGAAATGCAGGGCAGGAGAGAATAAGGGGAGGAACTGTGGCTTCTTCGTATATGCCCTTCTGGATTTGCTCATTTTTAACAGTGAGTACGTATGTCCGTTCAGATGCTCATAGAAGCCGATGCTTAGATGGGACCTGATGTTTACTTACTTGATGTTTAATGCTTAGCCTGTGAAGGATAAAGGGAGGAGGAAGCAGGAGTGGACAGGGAGAAAGCTGGGATTGAGATCAGGTCTGCCACCTGTGAAGAGAGAAGGGCAAGGAAAGGCTGGATAGGAAAAGCCTGGGAACCCAGAGCAGTTCTGAGAAAGACTTGCCGAGCTGATAGGGAGTGTCTAAGCAAAAGTTGCCCACTAGCAGAGTTCTGTGTCAGGGAGGATGGGCCTGCGCTGGCATCCTAGCACCACTTCAGTGTTCAGTCATTGGCTGGGAGCAGCCCAGAGGGCTATGGCTCAGCATGAATGCCGCAGTATATCCAAAGATGTGGCAGCTAGGGGCTGTCATTCTGCTATGTGCCCCACAGCAGGTTTTTTTTTGTTTTTGTTGTTGTTTTTTGAGACGGAGTCTCGCTCTGTCGCCCAGGCTGGAGTGCAGTGGCGCGATCTCGGCTCACTACAAGTTCCACCTCCCAGGTTCACTCCATTCTCCTGCCTCAGCCTCCCGAGTAGCTGGGACTACAGGCGCCCGCCACCACTCCCGGCTAATTTATCT
This sequence comes from Homo sapiens, assembly GCF_000001405.40. NCBI lineage: Eukaryota > Metazoa > Chordata > Mammalia > Primates > Hominidae > Homo > Homo sapiens. Next base: position 150,340,792 of record NC_000003.12, read on the forward strand.
ATTTATTTTTGTATTTTTAGTGGAGATGGGGTTTCACCGTGTTAGCCAGGATGGTCTCGATCTCCTGATCTCATGATCCGCCTGCCTTGGCCTCCCAAAGTGCTGGGATTACAGGCATGAGCCACCGCGCCCGGCCGCAGGTCCTCTTAAAGGGACATCTGAAGATCATATTTTCCTGGCTGCTACAGCAGGCACTGATTTGATTTTAAAATTTCAAAAGTTTTTTTAAAAGAAGGATAAATTCCTCTGATCAACAAGTAAAATGAATAAACATTCAGAGAGCAGCACAGTCTTTTATAGAGTGGAACACTCACCTGGTTGGTGCTATATATTCTGCATTCTTTTTTGTTCAGAAGTGTCGAGTTGAGTAGGTTAAATCTATTTGGTTCTTTCCTAGTTGAAGAGTCACAGTAGACAGCAAAGAGGCAGCCATTTTCTGCAAAAAGTATCTGTAGAGTCAATAAGCGGGGTTCTGCGAGCACAAGGAGGAGCGCCACTTGAGAACCTATGGATTCTGATGAAGCAAACCTGGGAATCACATAAAACCATTTAGAACACATTGAGCTCATTAGAAATCCTCTCATTCTGTAACCCTCATGGCTCTGAAATTTCCTCTGACTTAACAAATAAGGCTAGCAAATAATAAATTATGTTCACAGTACAAAGCAATTGAAAAAGCTGTTAATATATATATATAAATACCACAGATATATATTTATATTAAAAATATATTATGTATATATTTGCAATTCAGAGACAAAGAGGTATATCCAGGTTTTTAAGTCCTGGAACTTACACAATTTTTCAGGCTCTGTTAAAAAAAAAAAATCATAACAATAAAATGCTCTCACATGACCACTCAGCACCACCCTGCATAAAGGAAAGTATATGTGTGTTGGGTTCGGGGATGGGGCAGAGTGGAAAGATGTAGCAGTCTTAACCAATTGTGATTCAAGTTTTTTATTTTTGCAAATTTTGCAAAAACGTATAACCATCTGAACATTTTGTAGAACCCCTCTCAGGGCCTTGGAGAGGGTCCTGATGCCTACACTTTGCCAGCATTGCAGCCCTCTATGAAGAGCAGAGAATAAGGGAGTGTTGATTCCCATAAGAAATTTGTGGATATAAATATAAGTTAGTGGGGGACAGGGGTTGGCCCTTCACACAGATGTTAGTACTGAAAATAAAAAGAATATGCACAGAGGGAACTGCCTGTTGATGTAAATCATCTTCCATGTGTCTGGCACCCCGGGCACTGGTCACTCCCTGCCAGGGCCTGGCTCCAAACACATGACACCCTCATGAGCCATCTGCACGCTAAGGACATAGTTGCATCTGATTTCTCTGAGAACCTGTCACTCGGAGCAGGGAGCTGAATGACAAGGATGAGCAAAGCACATTATTGGGCTCTGCCTTTAAAGGAAGTGGATTTGACTTGGTGAAAATATGGTTATACAGCATATGATCACAAGTACTTTTTTAAACACCCTGAAAGAAAATATAGAGAAGTACACTCAAATGTGCTAACTATAGATGTTAGAACTATGGGTGTTAGAACTATGGGTAATCTTTTTTAACGTTCCCCTCACATTTTCTTTAATAAGCATATATTGTCTTTAAAATTGAAAATAAATTTCAAAAAATGTTTAGAAAAAAATGCATTAACTTTGTATATATGGATATACACAGGTATATGTATTAATTAATGCAAGCAATGTGCAGGAATCTGGAGAGATTTAAAACTTCCCATGGCTTCCAGTAAGAATATTTCACATGGCAGCTATTACCAGTGTGGTATGAGAATCAGAGAATCAATTAATCTCACTTTTGAAAGGGTCTTTGTATTAGTTATCTGTTACTCCATCACAAATTACCCCAAAACCTTGGCGGCTTAAAACAATAAACATTTATTATTTCACACAGTTTCTGTAGGTTAGGAACCTCCGAGTGACTTAGCTGAGTGTCTCAGGCTCAGGGTCTCTGATGGGGTTGCAGTCAAGCTCTGAGCAGGGGCTGCAGTCATCTGAAGGTTTATCCAGGGCTGGAGCACCTACTTCCAAGATGGTCATTCATATGGCTATTGGCAGAAGTCCTCAATGCCTTGCCACATGGGCCTCTCCATGGGGCTGCCTGACTGTCCTCACAACACAGCATCTGGCTTCCCCTGGATGGAATGATGTATGTATGAGAAAGAGAGAGAGAGGAGCCACAAGGTCTTTTGTGATCTAGCCTAGGAAAAGTCATACCATCATTTCTGCCGTATTCACAGACCAATCCTGATGCAGTGTGGGAGGGGACTACACATATCCAAGGCAGGGATCGTTAGAGGCCCTTAAACACCATCATGTCCAATCCCCATGGGATCCTTGAGAAACTAAAATTTTTCCATAAAACAAGAAATATTGAGATTGTTAGTCACAGTCATTTAAATCTATTAAGGAAATAGGTATTTGAATCCTATTTTATATTCTGACTCAGCAGAAATGGCTCTTCTGAAAATAATGTATTAGAGGTTATGAGTGTAATGTGACTTTAAAATGTTAATTGGTTTTCACTTCTTGGAAAGTTACAAAATTTTATTTCCTTCCTTTTAGAGAGGTTTAGATAGGCAAAACAGATTTTTTTTTAAACAAGCCTTTGTACTTTGGTGGTATGGCTGCCAGGCAAAAACAAGTAAACAAACGAAAACCTTTTAGTGGTTGTTTTCAGCCTAGCTAGATGTCTAATTGATTTAAAAACAATAATAATCTATCTCCCCCAATAGGTCAAATGTCTTTCTAATACAATCCATGGATTTCAACACATGGAAAAGGAGGCTTGTGAAATCAATATAGAAACTATATTGTTAAAAAACAACAATTAGTCTGGGCACAGTGGCTCATGCCTGTAATCCCAGCACTTCAGCAGGCCGAGGTGGGAGGATTGCTTGAGCTGAGGAGTTCAAGACCAACCAGGGCAACATAGTGCGACCTTGTCTCTACCAAAACAACAACAACAAAATCAGAATGAAAACTCTGTCTGACTTGGGGGATTTTCTTTTTTAATAAATGAGTTTATTTGGTTAAAAAAAAGCATTTCAAATAACATCTTATGTATTTAATGAATTGCCTTTACTAAAAAGAGTAAAATTATATGAAATTTGAAATGTCTTTAAATTAGAGACATAAGATTATAGAAATACAGGGCAATGCATCTTCCAGGCTGCTCCTCTTAATAAGAATAGGAAGAGGAAATTTGTCAGTGTTTGAAATTACCTCCAGACTCTTTAAGCAATGAATTCTCCTGTATTCATCTTTGAATCCCAAATGCCAGCAGAGTGCCAGGCACAGAGAGGTCATGAAATATTTGCTGAATGAATGAAGAAGGGAAAAGCACTAGATTGTTTTGGAGAAATGATACCACTACAAAGCCCGTTCTCACCCTAATTTCCATTCCTCCCTTCACCCCCTGTGTTCCCAACATCCCCTGACTTCAAAGAGAGTCCCCAGGAAGAGAGCTGGCCTTGGCATCGGTAAATCACCAGTTGCCCTAAGGGCTCATGACTTGTCATCCCAGCAAGTCCAATTAATTCCCTGTTCAAACTGACATTTTAAATTCCGGTCCATAATACAAAAGAAAAATGAATCTGCCCAACTTCTTGTTTGGGCATCTATTATATTTTCAACGCCATCCCATAAATTCTATGCATTCACTCCCTCCCCCAGTGCAAGAATTAAACACGGATCTGCAGCCGGATGGATTCTATCTCCTGTCTTTTATCCAGCTGGAAAGCTACTTACTAGTTCTTTATCGTCTTTTGGTAACAGATATTCTCCCAGGAATCTCCACTCTCGCTGTTAAACTTCCCAGCAAGTTCAAAGGGGCTCTCATCTCTCCAAGATCTGCTAGTTAACTTACTGCTGCTACATGGCATTGCCTTTGATAATTTAGCCCCTCCCAGAGGCTGATTTTTCTCCATCTCAGGATAAAATAAGGTGTGTTTTTTGTTGTTGTTGTTTTTGTTTTTGTTTTTTTTTGTTGTTGTTTTTTGAGACAGAGTTTCGCTCTTGTTGCCCAGGCTGGAGTACAATGGCGCAGTCTCGGCTGACTGCAACCTCCAACTCCCGGGTCCAAGCGATTCTCCTGTCTCAGCCTCCCGAGTAGCTGGGATTACAGATATGCGCCACCATGCCCGGCTAATTTTGTATTTTTAGTAGAGACGGGGTTTCACCATGGTGGTCAGGCTGGTCTCGAACTCCTGACCTCGGGTGATCCGCCCGCCTCGGTCTCCTAAAGTGTTGGGATTACAGGCGTGAGCCACCGCACTTGGCCTAAAATAAGGTTTTATCAAGCCGTCAAAGCCCTGGACTTTGGCACTGTTTTCAAAGGGTGTTAAAACATTCCCAAAGGATGAACCCTCTTGAACTAAGGAATCACTGAGGGGAAAGGAATGCAAGCAGGTCTGACAGGATCTGCAGCTTTCCCCTGATTTATTGCACCTTGCTTTAGAGGAACTAAATGCTCATTCTGATGAGTTTAGTGAATATGAGACACTCTCTGTGGATCCAGGATTTCACCATATGCTATTGGGTCATATGTCTCAAAACTCAGGTGTGCTCATCGTTGAACTAATAACCTCAGTTATTCATTTGGTTTCAAAATGCTTATCCTGGCACGTACAGTACTGTTTTCTTTTAGGGCTGAGATTTTATCTAACACAATTACAGTTTCTGATAAGCTATTCTGTGTTTAAAGCACATATTTTTAAAAAATCAGAGGTCTGCATCTCCAAGCACAGGGCAGTCCAGGATAAATCAGACCCACTAAAAATATAAGGACTATAGCTGATCTTTGTATTATTGTTGTTAGAAAGGTAATTATTCCAAATTGCAGAAAGAATGAAAATAGAAAAAAGAAAAATATGACAAGTAATTCTAGGCTATTCTTTTGATGTGTTTCCTTTTAGTCTTTTTAAAAAAAGATAAAATTTTGAATTTTTTTTTTCATTTAACTTATCACAGATATTTTGCCTTTATTTTGCCAGTCTGCTTCATGACTATGGCTTTTAGAGATCGCTTTTCAAAAGGACATGTTTTAGTGAACGCTATCAAGCTGGAAATTTTAAAAAGCAAGAAATCCAGATCATCACACATTTTTTCATTATTTTTTAGTCATCAAATTATTTTTCATGTGTATTTCAGAGGATTGCTCTTCCAAGAAATACTCTGTAATACACTGTATGCATTTGAGAGAAAACTCTGAACTTGTTTTTAAAGTTTGTATATTCAACCAGGTATCAATGACACTTTTTCATCTTTTTTTTTTTAATTACTAAAGAATCCAGTCACATCAAGCATCATGAGCTTCCAGAATCCTGAGTTCTATAGGAAACCAATTAGTTTGAACATCTTCCCCAAGGTATAAAAGTATTTCGCCAATCCCAATACAGGGTGAGAAGAGTTTATGAGAATTGAATGAAACAATGCAGATAGTCTCTCACCAACATCCCCCATAGCCTCACAATTCAAATGCAGCATTCCACTTGCTCGGCTTTAAAATTTAATAAAGAAAAGTAAAGCGATGGGTTGGAAGATTTTGGAAATTGAGCAAAGATGAAAGAGGCAGTATTGTACATTTGCGTTTCTTTTATATTTGATGTCCTTCCATGTTAGGGAGAAAAAGAAAATATGCAAGAGTACGAAGGACAATGTTTTTAATAAAACCTTGGCTGCTTTTCTGTAAGAATCGATGCAAGTAATTTTATCTCTTTAGGGGTGGTTTTCAAAGCAAGGGGAAGAAACAAATTGACAGGATCTCATAAGGTACTTGGGAAATGCACTCTTTTTGTGCTTTATTTAACTTAGCTAGGGAAAAAAACTACGTGAAAAGGCAAGATTTCACTCAGATCTAGTTCTGCTTCATATGACTTAGAAAGGAAAAAAAGGAAGAAAGGAAGAAAAAATCCCTCTCAAACCTTATGCCCTATATCATAGTGTTGTACAGATGACTTTTAAAAGGATAATAACATATTTCAGTATTTTTTAAACTGAAATTTGACTAACTGTACAAATTTGGGTTGTGGGTTCTTTAACGAAGGAAGATAATTATATTTATATTTTTCTGACATGATATAAAAACTTAAGTCAGCATAGAGCCCCTGCTGTCAAGCTAGGCTGCCATTTGAGCTCCTAAGGAAGAAAATCCTTGGGAAAGATTGTATTTTATAGTCCTGCCCTCAGCAATTCAGCTGTGCTTCATTCCAAGACACATTTTTGCCTTATGTGCCATAATAAAAGCAAACCTTCTTGCCCCTTAGAGGGGCACATTTAGAAGATCAAGAGGAGAATGTACTTGGGCCACAGTCTCTCCTAGGACGGCTGCAAGGCAAGCTGTAATAGAAACCAAAACAGGGCACATCTAACCGGTTCTGGGTTTTCTCCTGAAGGCAGGATGTAGACCAGGTTTTTTGCAAGGGTCACTGAAGTTTGCAAAACTTTTTCTGCTCCTGGCTGATTGAGCGAGCCAGAGCCAGCTCATAGCTTGGATTGGAAATCATGTGAAACTCATTTATGCCATTTTGTATTTTCTCTCTTTAACTCCCTATCAGACATTGAGCCGAGTTTGCATCCGAGTCTGGAGTTGGTTTACAAGCATACTGGAAATAAAACTCAATTGGGAGTGAGAATCCAGGTGAACCGAAGTAAACGTGAACTCTTTGTGAACCAAATACTACTGTACGCCTCTTCAAAGCCTACAGGCGCCTGAAAATCTCCCATAAATCCAAGCTGCATTGAAAGGATTTGCTCCAAGCCTTCTACCAGTAGCTTGCATCCACATGCATCAGATTCAGCTGTCTCCTAAATCTGCAAAGTGTTATCTGCCTCACCGTGCACAAACTACTGTCCCAAACTGTATTCAATCCAGATGGGAGGTTTTATCACTTCCTGACTTCCCTTCCATTGTAAGGATGAATATTTTGAAACCAGGCAACTAGGAAAACCATACCCCACTAAATGGGAGCATATACTATTTAGGGAAAACTTTCTAATTGTCCCCCAGAAAATGAAGAAATTATGCTCTTCTTGTACCCTGATTGTACAAAATGTTCAGCTCCCTGGGATATGCACCAGATCACATTCACAAGAGAACCTACCATGGGTGTGTCCAGCGTCACGCACAATTCTCAGTGAAACAGCTTAATCTCCACACTTTTCTGTCTCACAAGCAAATTAGGATGCAAGTGAGGTTGAAATTATCACAGGAATACATGTTATCCTATTTTAAAAAATAATTTTCAAATGCTGGCACTTCACTATTAATAACAACAATTTACTTGTGACAGCTGATAAGACACATTGATATTTCAATCCTGATTCACTCAGACCACCACCACTCCTATAAGTACCTCCAATCAGGGAACTTGTCAATCATAAAGTGGAAGTTGGTTTATGTTCTATTTCCTCCTCAGGGACAGGGCCCAAGTCTTGATCATCACTTTACATAAATCAGTGCCCAGGCTATTGCAGGGGTGCAATAACACTTATGTAAACCAAGGGAAAGGCACATAATATGCCTAGAATATCTCTAGAAGGATCCTCCAAGAAACTGCTAGCAGTGATTGTCCCTCAACAGAGAAACTAGGGGTTGAGGTGAGACACTTGATTTCACTGTTTTTTTTTGTTTGTTTGTTTGTTTGTTTACTAATTAAACTTTTTACCCAGTATTTTGTATTTTATTGGGTACATTAGAATATTTATTGAATGAATCAACACACAGATGAACGAACAAGCTATATCCAGGAACACAAGAGTTGACGCCCAAATATTTTTGTCTGTACCAACTTAACAGCAGTGGCTTTTTCCAACCCGAAGTTTCAAATCCTTCTGGTGACTCATGTCAAGTTGCGTGCGCCAAGTTAAGAGAGTGCTGACACTCTGACTCAGTGTGTACAGAAATTCTTGGCCAAGGAGGAGACAAAGAACTGTCACAAAGGCTAGACTTTATTGGTTCAGTTTTGATTCATTAATCAGAAGTGGAAATGCTCACAGTTTTTCTCCATATTAGATGTTGCTGTATCTTGTCTGTGAAGAGCAAGCGTGGTTACTTCTCAAGATAAAGCTCTATCCAAGATCCAGAAAAATGGCAATTCTTTAGAGAAAAAAAATCCATTTATCTCATGTCCCTAGTTTCATGTCTCCTTTCAGCTCCAGAGAGGTGGCTTACTGCAGTGAATTGAAGAGCACTGGCTTTGGGATCAGGCAGAACTGTCTAACTATCCTTTGTCTCAGAATTTGCAGTTGTATATAAACTGGGGACAAAGGTACCTACCTGACAAGGCTGCCATTAGGCTTAAATTAGCTAATATATTTAAAATCCCTGTAACATAGTGCTTAAAAAGTGGTAGCTATTATTCCTACCGTAAAATAGTTTTACAGCCCTTTTCATCCTTTAAATTGACTGAGAATCAACACCAGTCGTTGCTTTAAAACAAAGCTTTGAGGCTTTAAGTCTTACCTATAAGGTGCCACTACATTATAAGCTTAAGAACGTTTTGCCTCCTCCCATAATAAAAATATTCTGTGGTGTTTTTGACATGTTACTTCTTTTGCCTACAGTGTAAAGATTAGGAATAAGCTTGCTATTAATACTTCCAATATTCACTGTGTCATCTGTCTGACTGTCATAATCCTCAATCAATCACCTTTGTGCTAGCATCACTTTTTATCCAACCAGGTCAAGATCATGTAATTTGACGGCTGCTTAGGAATTTGTCAGCACTGTTATTTGAAGGGTGTTAGAAAGACACTGGCACTACAATCAGACTCTGTAGCAATATGCCATGCCAAAGGAATTTTTAATGAGGTGGATTTTTTTTTTTGAGTTGGGGGATCCCTTGTCCCCAACTCAAATTCATGCTTCAGTCTGGTTCCAAAAGAAACCAGACTTTTTGGAACCACAATCCCCAGATTCCTCAATGTTTGGCAAGTTTGCCAAGAGGTTCAAGCTGCCCTCTAGCTCATCTGGCTGCTGCTCTTGCCCAGGCTGTCTGATGACTTGCTGGGCCACCAGGGGCCCTGCCTTTCCCAGCATGGAAGTATGTGACTCTCCCCACACTCCCTGCGCCAACAATGCCAAGAATCAGAAACAAGGGCCGGGAGTGTTAGCAGGCCCCGCATGAGTGGCAGCTTAGAGGGCTTGCATTGTGCTTGGTGCACCAAGAGCAGATTGTTATTCTGCAGGCATGAATTAGAGCCTGGGCAGAAAGCACCATGGTCTTGCCCGGTGGTGTCTTGCTGCTGCTGGAGAAGTGAGAGGGCTGCGGTTGTACAGAATTTCTGCAGGCCATGTTCCAGGAATTGTCCTTAGAGGGCTCATCAGAAGTGGAAACATTTGCTTCTTGAATTCCAAACACCCTGAAATTCCATTAGTCTATTATTTTCCCCCTACCTTCCCCACTTCTCCTGCTGTGAAATGGCATCAATTCATTAACTCTGCTCAAAGGCGATTGTATTCTCATGACTTCAATGTATCATTTTAAATTTTTTATATTTTGCATAAGCTTTATTAAATACGTATCTAAGTTGGAATGATTATCCCCACTGTCTGTTCAGTTGTCATTCAGACAATACTTCCTGGCAGGTTAGCTACTACAGATTTAGCATAGTTACTGAAAGAATGAAGATGGTTGGATTTTATAGACCTTTTTGTAGACTATAGGGCTCTGAGGCGTCAATCCATGCAATGACTGCCTCTTTCCTCCAGGTATTGAAAAACACAACTCTTCGTGCTTTCTGACTGGCATGAACCCATAACAACTAGATTTAATTGTGTAAAAGATCTCAACTTCAAAGTCAGCTAAAAAGGCCTACAAAACCATCCATTATACTGCAAAGTTAAACGATCACTGTTTTTCAAAGTCTTCCTGATTTCTCTGCCAACAGAGATGTGCTAGAACCAATATTACCCTCTTCTGGTGGTGGGGTGCTGAATGGCTTTGCAACAACAGAAACTAAATACATCTGGGCAAACTGAATGGCAGGAAATGGTGACCAATGAGATTTGCAGAGACCATTTGGGGGGAAGTTTTTAAAGGACTCAACATGCATATATCATCTCCCCTACCTCACCCTTCCTATTCCCCCTGCCCTCACACCCTCACACTGCCAAAGTGGAATTCAGTAGCATTGAAGGAATAAAAATATCCAGTGCAAAGGATTTCCTTTTTTTTTTGAGACAGAGTCTCGCTCTGTCACCCAGGCTGGAGTGCAATTGCACAAACTCAGCTCACTGCAACCTCCGCCTCCTGGGTTCAAATGATTCTCCTGTCTCAGCCTCCTGAGTAGCTGGGATTACAGGTGTGTGCCACCACGCCCAGCTAATTTTTGTATTTTTAGTAGAGACAGAGTTTCATTATGTTGGCCAGGTTGGTCTCGAACCCCTGACCTCAGGTGATACTCCCAAAGTCCTGGGATTACAGGCGTGAACCACCACACCTGGCATTGCAGAGGATTTTCTAAGATGGAGTCTGCAGCATTTTCCTTGGGGGGTCATTTACTCACTCCTGCCTCCCCAACCCCTATTCCATTCTGAGCCTGGAGTATCAAAGATACCAAAGGTATTGAAACTCTCCTCACACTAACTTATACGTCATGCGTCAGCCTCACCATTGCTGGGTGGGGATGGCAGGGAAGTATGCATGAATTTCTCTGAACCATTTTTCCGGTTCAAGCAAAAAGCAAAGGAAATGAAGGAATCTGTCTCATGCACAAAGCACAGACTATGATTCTCCTCTAAGACATGTGCCCACAAGTAGACTATCATTATTTGAGGTAACCTTGAGTATAATTAAAAACCTTTCAGCACTCTAGTCATATTTCCTGTCACAAGGACAAGATGATACACTGAGAACTGATCAGGCTTAACTGTACCAGCAATGAAAGTAAACAGGGCATTATATGAACATACTCCCCTGTATATACAATTGTGTATTGGCAAAAATTAACATCCTTCAACCACTCTTGGAAAATATACTTTATTCAAATGATTTTTAGAAGGAGCAGAATTAGGGAGATGTAGAAATCTTTCACTCATGCATTTGTGATCAATATTTTTTGAATACATAATACAGGATACATACACATTGTTGAGGAAATGAATAAATGGTTTCTATAACTCCCCATTTCTACTCCTAAACTTGTACACTTTAGTGGCCCAGTATTTTAGAGTACCATTGACAATCAGGCTCAATCAAAGGAAATGTAATCATAGTAGTAGCAGATTTTATTCTCTCTTTCTTTCTTACACAGTGCAAGAAAAAAATAATGTGAAGACTGGGGGAAAAACTGCTCCATGTAGCTTTTGTCCAGGAAGCCTGATGTGTGTTTCTTATGGCCTTCCCTCCCCTATTTAACTTGGATAAAGATGGCCTCTTTTGAGAAAATTCACTCACCAAAGCTCTAATGCCCGAGCTTATAAAAGGAGAGCTATATCACAAGTGGAAGATGACAGAAGAATGTTACTAAGAGCACCAGAGTTTCAAAGCTTCGTCCTTCCTCTGCCAGTCTGGAATCCAAATCTGGAGCAACATGCTTTTGCTTGCAATGTCTTCTCTTCAAAGTAGGAAATGAAATTTTAAAAACAAGTGAACTAATCAAAGGTGGGATTTACTTGTCTGCTTTCAAACTAACAGATAATAATGATTCCTTCCCTCAGACGGCATTTGAAAAATTGCATACAATTAAAAAGACCATGTATTTACCACTTTTGTACTTTATCTAATAGTTAATGCCAAAAGGTATTAGATCTGATAACAATGACTATTACTGTACTATTTTGTAATATTCACTGCACATTCAGTATTTTACTAGTTGGAAATATTAATAGTATTAATAGTATTAAAAGCATGGTTCCTACCTTGATGGAGTTCACCTGATTGGAGAAAAAAGGTATTATTTGCTGGTAGATGTGTGATTATTTACAATGACTCATATTACTCATATTCTCTATTCTGAGCTCTGCCACCCTACTCTAGGTAGCCCTAAGCAAATTATTTAAATCTCCCCAATGCCTCAGTTTTCTCATCTGTAAAATAGAACTTTGGGAGGTAATGAGGGTTAAATGAGGTCTTGAGAGTGGGCCCCTGGTCCTATGGGATTACTGCCCTTATAAGAAGAGACACTACTCTCTTTACTTGCGCATACACCAAGGAAAGGCCACGCGTGCACACAGTGGCCTTCCTCAGCTATTCAGTGAGAATTAATTAATGTTTGAGATCTTCAGATAAAAAGACTCTCTGGATGTGCAGAGGGCTATTACACAAACAATAAAACTGCATTTATACACCACTTGGCATGATTCATACAAAAAGAAACAAATTCCTGCAAGCTCTGCGTTCTGTCAAGACCAGGATATACATCTGTCCATTGGTGGTGTTAAGCCTTAGACTCTGTCCAACAGAAATATAACATAACTCACATATGTAATCTTAAATTTTCAAGTTACCAAATTAAAAAAGGAACAAGTAAATATATTTTAATAACATATTTTAGCTTAATATATACAAAATATTATTTCAACATGTAATTAATAAGCAAATATTAATGAGTTATTTTACATTCTTTTAACTGTTTTTGAAATCTAGTGCATATTTTACACTCACATCTCAATCTCAATTTGGACTGACCAAATTTTGAATGCTCACAGCCAATTGTGGCTCTAGTGGCTCACCTATTGGAGAACACAAGTCTAAGAGTTTGCTCCAGGCTGTGACATCCATTCATCCACGTGCTGGTTTCTCTTAGGTGGATAGGTTGGTAGAGTCAACTTTACTCCATTTTCATCCCATGTACTGTTGGGCTTCAGCGCTGGTGATACTAGAAAGTCCTTGTTTCCAGTAGCACTCAGGAGATTAGCAAGATGGCAATGAAGGATGCTCCAGAGAAAATAAATAAATAAATCTCCCCCACTTCTTCTATCCTCACAGAGGGATATCTTGAGACATTTATGGCAAAGTCCCTCTCTGTTTTCTACCATGACCCCCAGAACACACTTGGCATCCCGCAGAAAATACACAGAATCACAGCATCACCCCTGAATCTCCACTTAAGAACATTATGTCAATTTTAAGTGGTTCCCAATAAACTAGAGTTTGAAGTGCAATAAACAAAATATTTTTTGTTTTGCTTGTTTTGTTTCATTTCATTTCTTTGGGGGGCAGTGGCTGCCATTGTTGGATTTTTGGATTTTTCAGTTGATTGGTAGTTCTTTTAAAAATATCTTTTACTACATAAAATTATTAAGGATATGACCCATTCTCGATTTCAGCCTTTAAACTCATTTGCTTTAGACAAACTGTAACTCAAAAACAATTTTTTTTTCAAAGTTAATTTGAAGCAGCCAAGCCAAAACATAATTTTACATAATGGCTTGCAAAGTGCAAAATACTCAAAAAAGAATATGCCTTACTTGGAGACATGTTGGCCATTTCACTTTTCTCACTGATCATTGTTGAGAACCTCTGTCCTTGCTAATCTCCAAATTTCACATTGAAATCCTATATCTTGCCGTTTCTACCTGAGCCCAAGTCTTGAATGCTGCCTAGTCTCCTGCCCTAAGCTTGTTATCTGTGACCTTCTTCACAGAAATTACTGCATTATCTTGAGGTCATCAAATGTTTATTGAACATCTCCTTTGGGCAAAACCTTGTGCAGGGCACCACAGGGAATGCTAACATAAGTATAAGGAAAGACCTGCCTTCAAGCTACCTATAAGGTGGAAGAAGTGATAAGAAACATATACTAATAAAGAGAGTGAAACAAAAGACCAACCCATAGGAGAAATACAAAGAACCCCTTATACAAGGATATACTAGTCAGCTCAGGCTGCCATAATAAAATAAAATATCATAGACTGGGTGGCTTAAACAACAGAAAGTTTTTTCACAGTTCTGGAAGCTAGAAGCATCAGATCAAGATCCAACAGAGTCGTTTCTCTGAGGGCTCTCTTCTGGCTTGTAGAGACAGCTGCCTTCTCACTGTGTGCTCGCGTGGCCTTTCCTTGGTGTATGTTAACAGAGTAGTGTCTCTTCTTATAAGGGCAGTGATCCCATAGGACCAAGGGCCCATTCTCAAGACCTCATTTAACCCTCATTACCTCCCAAAGGCCCCATCTCTAAATAACACAGCATTGGGGATTAGGTCTTCAACATATGAATTTGGTGGGGTGGAAGAGACACAAATATTCAGTCCATAACAAAGAGTGTAAGAGTAAAGAAGCCCTACCTAGTTGGGTTGATAAGCAAAGCTTTTATAGTGGAGATTGCACCTAAGAAAGCTATTAAGGTGCCCTCTCTTCTGAGTACTAACAGACGTCATGCATCAAGGGCCAAATAGATGAAATAGCATTTGTACATCAGTGCAGCTATTTCTGATCAACCTCTTACCCTGGCATTTTGCTTATGTGGCCTTCACTTCTCTTTACTGAGCTGCAGGCCTACATATCAATCTGCTCACTGGATATCCTTTATGACCCAAAAGTATCTAAAACTCACCATGTCCAAAGCAAAATTCATTATCTTCCACCATCCCACTTGTTCTTGCTCCTGTCTTCCCAAATTCCTCCTACCTCATCTTGAATCTAATCGCCAAAAAGACCTGTCAAATCCACTCCTTATATTTCTTATTCCCACACCCACCTCCACTGCCTGACCATCAATATCTTTCTTTTGAACTCCTAAATATAATAATTATATTACATTTTAAAAATAATAGCTAGTATGTATTAAGAGCTATATGGCAGGCTCTTCCTTGAGCACTTTATATGTATTGTTTCTTTTAATCTTCACAGCTATTATTATTGTATTTTTCAGATGAGGAAACCAGCTTTGCCCACACACACATTTGCTAAGTCATAGAAGCAGTTTTGAATCTCAACACTCTGAATTCAGAATTTGCCCTTATCATGACCCTTGTGGATGCTCCCTTCTCAGCAGTGAACTCCCCCCTTCCAGACTACTCCCCTTCAATTCATCCTTCATTCCTTTGCCAGCACGGTCTGTCTAAAATGCAGTCTGATGTTCTCACTTCCTGCCTTTGAATCCTTCAATGGCTTCCATTTCCTATTGGATAAAACTCCATGGAACCCAGCACCACAAAACCCTCCAGGTTGTAGCCCTGTCTTTCTCTCCAATTTTGTCTCCTTTTGCTTCCTCACCTCAGTCCTCTAGCAATTTTAACCACCTACTGTTCTCAGAATGTGCCACTCCATGATGTGCCTCCAAGCTGACACATGTGCTGTTCCCTCTTCACAGAGTATTTTTACTCATTAACTGACCACATGCCTTCCCATTCAAACTCCTATGTGTTTTTTTGTTTTGTTTTGTTTTTGAGGAGTTTTGCTCTTCTTGCCCAGGCCGAAGTGCAATGGCGCAATCTCAGCTCACTGCAACGTCTGCCTCCTGGGTTCAAGTGATTCACCTGCCTCAGCCTCCCAAGTAGCTGGGATTACAGGTGTGCACCAGCACACCCAGCTAATTTTGTATTTTTAGTAGAGCTGGATTTCACCATGTTGGTCAGGCTGGTCTCGAACTCCTGACCTCAGGTGATTCACCCGCCTTGGCTTCCCAAAGTGCTGGGATTACAGGCCTGAGCCAATGCACTTGGCCTTCCTATGTATTTTTTAAATCCCAGCATGGACGGAATTTCTATGAATGTACCTTGAGATCAGCCCCTCAAAGAAACAGGCTGATTAGGTAAAAATCATCTACTAAAAGTGAATTCCTGAATGATCAATTTGTCAAGTGACCAACCTACCAAATTTATCAAAAATTTAAAATGTTCAACTATTTCAAAGGCTTACAATAACTCATCTTGGATGGAATGGTTTATACAGCTTTTTAAAGATTTCTGTGAGGCTATAGTTGTCCAGATAAATTAATTGATCCCAGGGTCCTGACCCTGAAGTTGTCCACTCTTTTCTCTCTGTGGCTCTGTACCATGTTCACACTTGTCTGATGCACTTATCACTCTGTGGGATAATTATTTCACAGTCTGAGGTCCCCAGAAGACTGGGAGTCCTGTAAGGGTCTGGCCTATGTATTTTTGCCTCTCATCCTGTACCCAGTAGAATATGGTGTATGGTGAAGTTTCAATAAATATCATATTAAATTGAACCTTAGCCAGTCAATAAATGAGCACTCATGTAATACTCCTTTTCATTCATATAGAAAGGTAAATTATTATATAAAACAATTATTATACATTCTAGAAATTTAGGAAGTATATAATCTGTGTATTCAGGCCTGCTCCTGACATTTTTAGGGGCTGCCTCAAGTACAAATGAAGGATAATACACCTATCATGTGCCAAAATGTTTTAAAGTTATGAAAGCAAACTACTAAATAAAAAATATTATCTCTTTTTTTCCTTAAAAAATGTAAGCCTCAAAATTATCTGGAAGATGGGATTAAATTTAGAATTCTCAGTGGCAGTGTGGGTCTATCCAAACCCAGACACTTGTCTTTGGTTCCTGGCCCAGGGCTTTAGTTCACACCTCTTTCTACTCTCAGCTCAGTTCCACACTGTGAAGTACCATACACACATGCACACACTCACCTAGACACCCAGCTACCTTAAACAGTGCCTCTTGGCTACCTTTTGATGCCACAGTGGTACAACTTACCCTCAGGAGGCCAGGCCCTGGGATGATTACGTTTCAATTTAATGTAAGATCTTTGGGGCAAAGAATTCCCAGTCCTATTCAGCTAAAATATTCTTGGCTTGCAGCCATTAAATATTATGTTGGAAATTGAAAGGTATTTATGGTATATTAAATTTTAAAAGCAGGGTTTGAAGGTTTTAAGACATCTATATGATTTATTTTTGTGAAAAATTTTATGCATGTATATAAGTGCATAGAAAAAAGTCTAAATCAGGTATACATCAAATTTATTATGGTTGCTATTATCTCCACATGGTGGGATCAGGTATATTTTTCTTTTTACTTATCTGCATTTTATATGTTTCCATTATGAATACACATTATGTTATTTTTAAAATAATAAAAGTTAAAAATCAAAAACATAAAAATAGTAATGTACTTATACTGGGATAATTTCTACACTGCCTAAGTGAAACATGGTATTTGTTAAAACCTCAGCAATTTAGTACTTCCTATCCAAGAATAGTAGAGGATTGATTAAGTATGCCAGAGAACTCGCTGGCTAGTGAGGAAAATGCATGAAGCTATTGAGACCCCATATTTACAGACATGCGCTCATGAGGCTATGAATGTATACATTTATACTGAGTCATATAAAAATACTCAAAGTCTACAGTGCATATGTGTTCGTCCTGGTGCCCGGAATTCTGTGGACAGAGAAGTGCTCTGTTCTCTGCAGAGCCTGTCACTAACTCACTGTTTGAGTGTCAGCAGGCTGCTGCGGCCTCAAACTGTGGTGTCAAAGGATAAAACTAGTTATCAGCAAGATGCTTGGAGGGTCTCAGAGAATAATCTTCTTTCTCTCTAATATTATTGCACAAACATCGGATGTGCATGATATTATTTGTTAATATTCCACGTAATTTTAAGGATTGTGGGCGCATGCAGACACACACACCCTACCCACATACATAGGCAAATTGAAAATGAGCCAGGATGCTTATATGCATGGCATTTCAATAACCTCAGCTGTAGCTGAGTTTTTATCCACTGAGAGTAACCTCGTGCCTTGAGATGGAATCAGAATAGTCATGATATAAATTTTCAACAAAATTAGTGAATAATAAATTGATCTAAATATTACCTCAAAGTATTCAAGCTATAAATTAGTTCGAAACTAAACTTCCCTGAACTCCTGTGTGTGTGTGTGTGTGTGTTTGTGTGACAGAGTCTTGCTCTGTCACCCAGGCTGGAGATCAGTGGTGCGATCTCAGCTCACTGCAACCTCCCCCTCCTGGGTTCAAGTGATTCTCATGCCTCAGCCTCCCAAGTAGCTGAGATTACAGACATGTGCCACCAAGTCCAGCTAATTTTTGTATATATATATATTTTCTTTTAGTAGAGATGGGGTTTTGCCATGTTGGCCAGGCTGGTCTTGAACTCCTGACCTCAAGTGATCCGCCCACCTCGGCCTCCCAAAGTGCTGGGATTACAGGCGAGAGCCACCGCACCTGTCCTGAACTCATTTTTTAAAGTTAGTTTTAAATTATCATTTCTTGCCAGTTGTAATAAATGTTACATATAAACAAGAATGTGACATGTCTATTTTCAAGAAATTCTATCTAGCCCGTAAATATTCACTCCAGAAGAAACATCTGAAAAAATATACAGCTCAGTGGAGATTGGACTGCTTATTTCCTCCATATCTTGAAAAATGTATCTGTTCAGAAATAAGAACATATTATACATTCAGGAGATTAAAGCAATGTTATCAATTTTGTTTCTCACAATGCTAAGTTAAATATGTAATTATCTTATAAGTTACACAAATAAGCAAATGAGAAATCAAAAAAAAGTCTATGGTGAAAGAGAATTAAAAACATTGAACATATTGCCATAACATGCCACATTCACACTCAAAATACTCTTTATTCATTATACTTAGTTGTCTAAGTAGTTCCCTACTGACTGTAACGATGCATTCCAAAAGTTGGAGACTAGAACACATACAGTGGGATCCATATTAAATTTGGTAGTTGAGTTTATAAGATATGCCTTAGAAGCCTGTACCTAACCTATGATAGAACTGGGCTAGCCTTGGAACCTCGGCACTGTTTATAACATTGTTACTAAGGAGAAATACATTTCAAAACACAGCTCAGAAAGTCACTTAACACCCTCCCTCCACACTTTCATTCCATTTGGTTCACAAGAGGAAGGGAACACATGGCTGAGGAATGCTCTTGCACTCCAGAGGTGAGCTGGCCTGTCTCTCTCTGTTTGCTTTTTCTTTTTCTTTTCAATTAACTGTATTTTGTTTTTCTGAAATACATGCTTGTTGTTTTAAAAATTAGCCTTCTCTTGTCTTATTTTTCAAAATTTTCCTAGCCTCACCTCTTTTTGTTTTGTTTTTTTCTTTTAGATGAACGAACTTTCTATTCATCTTATTGATTTTCTAAATATATCTTGTTGGGATTGTAATTGAGATTGCATTTGATTTCTAAAATATTTCAGGAAGAAATAATAATTATATAATACTGAGTCTTCCTGTAAGATCTCAGCATACATCTTTCCCTTTTTTTCAAAGTTTTTTAATGCCCCTCAGAAGAATTTCTGATGTTTATTCTTCTAGAAACTGTACATTCTTTATTAAATGTATTTCCAGGTATTCTAAGGCTTTGTTGCTGTTATTGTTTCATTGCTACTATGATGGGGAAATCTTCACCATCACATTTGCTAACTAATTATTTTTGCGAGAGAAGATAATTTTTGTATAACTATTTAATCTAGTCCCATTGCTGAAATTGTGTATTGCTTATATTAATTTTACATGAATTACTTTAGATTTTTCTACATATGTAATTATATCTTCTGTAACTAGTGATCATTTCATTTTCTCTTATGTACAAAGACATTTGTAATTCAAAAAGTGCCTTAATGAATTTATAGAATTTGTATGTTGGAGCTGGCTCAGGCTCATACTGTTCACAAGAGCTGATTGTTACATTTTCAGGATTTTTGCAAGCTGGCTGACAGACATCAAGTTGGTAGCTTGAAATCGGTAATGGGTGGGAGTATTCACATTATGGTAATAAGCAGTGGTTACAAATCAGAGCTCCTCCTGCTACCCCCACCCCACTGTGGCACCCCAAGTTGGTTGTCAACCATTTACCAGCTCATCACTGAATTTAATCCATAGCTATTATATCCTAGATTAAAAACAAAACCGGGCTGGGTGCAGTGGTTCACACCTGTAATCCTAGCACTTTGGGAGGCTGAGGCTGGAGGATCACTTGAGGTCAGGAGTTTGAGACCAGCCTAGCCAGCATGGTGAAACCCCATCTCTACTAAAAATACAAAAATTAGCTGGGTGTGGTGGCACACACCTGTAATCCCAGCAACTTGGGAGGCTGAGGCATGAGAATTGCACAGGTTGCAGTGAGCCTAGATCACGCCACTGCACTACAGCCTAGGTGACAGAGCAAGACTGTCTCAAAAAAACAAAACAACAACAACAAAAAAGCCCTTGTTTTTAAAAGCTTCTAGAGGTGAATACCCAGATGATAATTAAAATTCAATCCAGTGCGTTACAATCTTATCAACGTATTCTTCCTTACTTCTAGGAGCATGAGAGAGATGGTATTGCACAGTGGCTAAAACTCTGGCTTTGGACCTGAACTTGAATCTGAATTTCATGAATTTTAGCTGGTGAGGAAATGCAAATCAAAACCACAATGAGATACCACATCACACTCACTAGGATACCTTAAATAATGTTAACAAGAATGTAGAGAAATGGGAACCCTCATACATTGCTGATAGGTTGTAAAATGATGCAGCCACTTTGGAAAATAGTTTGGCGGTTCTCAAAATGTTAAACATAGAGTTACCACATGATCTAGCATTTCTTCTCCTAGAAATAAACCCAAGAGATCTGAAAACATATGTCTACATGGAAACTTGTACATAAATATTCATAGCAGCATTATTTATAATAGCCAAAAAGTGGAGACAACTCAAATGTTCATCAACTGAAGAGTGAACAAAATGAGGTTATTCATACAATGGAATATTACTCAGCAACAAAGAGAAACAAAGTACTGATATACAATATAACATGAATGAATCTTGAAAACATTACTGAAATGTCCAGAATAGGCAAATCCATACAGAAAGAAAGTAGATTTGTGGTTACCAGGAACTGGCAGAGGTGAGGGGGAATGAAAGGTAGAAGCTAATGTGTACAGGATTTCTTTGGGGGTGATGAAGATGTTCTAAAATTAGATAGTGGTAATTTACAAGTACATGAATATGCTAAAACCCACTGAATTTTATATTTTAAAAGGGTGAATGTTATGGTATGTGAATTATATATCAATAAAGCTGTTATTAAATATATATATGTTGGGTGACCTAGAACAGATTATCTAATATCTCTAAGTATTGCTTTTTTAAATCTCTGTAGGGTTCTGTGAGGCTTTATCAATATATATGAGTTTAATAAATGATAATATATAATCACTATTTTATAAAAATATAAAAATATGTAAAATATATTTATGTAAAATTTTTAATATATAAAATAACAGCAGGCTGGGTACAGTGACTCATGCCTATAATCCCAGCACTTTGGGAGGCCCAGGCAGGTGGATCACTTGAGGTGAGGAGTTCGAGACCAGCCTGGCTCACATGAAACTCTGTCTCTACTAAAGATACAAAAATTAGCCGGGCGTGGTGGTGCATGCCTGTAGTACCAGCTACTCGGGAGGCTGAGGCAGGAGAATTGCTTGAGCCCAGGAGGCAGAAGTTATGGTGAGCTGAGATCGTACCATTGCACTCCAGCTTGGGCAACAAAGCAAGACTCAGTCTCAAAAATAAAAAAATAAAATAAAATAACACCATGCTTGGCACAGAGCAGGCCCTCTGACTATGGTAGCCATTACCTTAAATTCTTTATGCTACAGCAAACTTCCTTTTTTATGTCTTTTTTACAGTGTATAATATTCTCCTCTACATAATTTATTCATCTTATACTTGAAAATCATAATTATTAAGCTAACTCTCAATTCACCTGTCTTTATGTTGAGTAAACCCAGATTTACGACACTTACCTGACTGGTAACTTTACATTTACCTGCTTGCCTTGATTAATGTGTGTCTTGCACTAAACCATGCATGGCCTATGCCTGTTTCTGTTCAACCCTGAGTCACCAGTGCTAGCCCATAGCCAGACACAGTTAGAGCTCAAGAAATAGTTGTTTAATGAATGAATAAATAGATATATCTGCTTATGAGTGGCCTTCCTGTAAAAGGTGGTTCTCATTGAGAGACGGGGTGTGGACAGAAGGCAGGTTGTCATACAGGATACAGGTTGTCATATCTGAATCACCTGCAGTGATTTTTAAAAGTTAGCTGACACCTTCTCCCCAGGGCATACCATACCAGAGCTTACAAGGTGCTACCCCAGGGGCAGCAAGGCCCACCTCACCCAAAATACACCTCAAATAACTAGTCAGTGGTGATGAAAATTTCTTTAATAGGACCCAAAACCTTTCATTCATAATCAGAGATCAAGGTTAAGGTACAAATACCTTCAGCCAGTGTGATATGATAGAAACACCCCTGATTGAACCAGAAGTCAACAAAGCAGGACTTTAGACCTGCCTTGGCTTTGGAAATGGGTAGATGACAGGAAGGGAAGGGGGATAAGTACACAAATACACAGGCTGCTGAGAATCCAAAGGTGTAGAAAAGCAGCAGGCTGCTGAGAATCCAAAGGTGTAGAGAAGCAGAGCAAGGGGCAAGCACAAACAAGATAAGGTACTTAAGGCTTCATCTTCATAATTTTGCTAGCATCAAGCCTACCCTCTCTTGGGCCCAACTGCTTTCTGCTGTCAAGGTGAAAAACTTATCAGTCATACTCCCCAGGTTTAGGAACTGCCTTGGCAACCAGGTTCAGACTACTGACCCACCCAGTGATATTTAAAAAATATAAGCCAGGAGATAGTTTATTGTGTGCTACCCTAATTCTTATGTCCCAACACGTGTTAGTTGTTTTTAAACAGAACCTTAATTGCTAGTTCATGGTCACCTTTTGATCCAGTCTGATTTTCAAGATCCTATGCTGTATTTATACTCTACTTTCTCTTTTCCTGTCTGTGGAGAACAGGATCTTGCTCTGTTGCCCCGTCAGGTCTTGAACTCCTGAGCTCAAGCTATCCTCCTGCCTCTGCCTCCCTAAGTGCTGGGATTACAGGCATGAACCACTGTGCCTGTCTATACTCTACTTTGGACCTTTTAAACTGTGATATATAACAAAGTGCATAGAATACAAATGCATGGTTCAATGAACTTTGCTTGTTAAGTTAACATCTGTGAAACTGATATACAGGTTACATTATATATTACACACATATATTAGAAGATGTATTATATAATATATAAGCATATATAATACATTATATATAAGCATATATAATGCATTATATATAAGTATATATAATATATAAGTATATATTTTATATATAATATATATAAAATGTTACATTAATTTTATCACATGTAAGTTAAATTTCAATAGGAATTTTTTTTGTTGTTGCTTTTGTTTTTGTTTTTGTTTCTGAAACAGAGTCTCTGTTGCCCAGGCTGGAGGGCAGTGGCTCAATCTCAGCTCACTGCAACATCCTCCTCCCAGGTTCCAGCGATTTTTGTACCTCATCTTCCTGGGTAGCTGGGATTACAGGTGTGTACCACCATGCCCAGTTAATTTTTGTATTTTTAGTAGAGACGGGCTTTCGCCATGTTGGCCAGGCTAGTCTTGAACTCCTGGGCTCAAGTGATCAACCCACGTCGGCTTCCCAAAGTGCTGGCATTACAGGAGTGAGCCACCATGCCTGGCCAATAGGAATGATTTTTAAAGGAAACAACAAAAAAAAGAAATGATATATTGTAAACACCTCCGAAAGCCCCCACCCATAGCCCCTTTCCAATCACAACCTGTATATAATCCTCCCTAAAGAAACCATTATTCTGACATTTATGGTATTCACTTTTCTTACTTTTCTTTATGTATTTACCTCCTAAGTAATCATCCCTAAAACAAATAGCTTAACTCTGCCTCCCTTTGAACTTCACATAAATAGATTCATACTATATATATTCCTTTGTGTGGGACCTTTTCCACTCAACATTGTTTTTAAGCCTCATCCACATTATTGCCTGTAGCTATATTTTGTTGATTTTCACTTAACGTACAGTATGCTAGTGAATGAATCTTCCACAATTTTCTTACCGTTGAGGGATACTTGTTTCTGGTTTCAGGTTTTTATGAGTAATACTGCTATGAACATTGATGTACATATTTTTCGATGTACATGTGCACTTATTTCTGGTGTGTGCATATAAGGGTAGGATGTTGATAATCTATCTGGTGGTATGTGTAACTTCACCTTTACTAGGTAATGTAAAACTGTTTTCTGAAAACTGATTGTACCAATTTATGTTCTGACAGCAGTGTATGAGACACTTGGTACTATCAGATTTCAATTTTAGCTGATCTCATGAAAAGTAGAATCTCATTATAATTTTAATATGCATTTTTAAATGCATAAAAAACATATCCATGGTTTTTTGGTGGGGGTGGGGGTACACTTTCTTTCCTAGTATTAATTCTTCCTGAACATGTCTCTGATGATTTCCTTCCTACCTGCCAGCATGTATTCATTATCTATTTCTACATGACAAATTATAGCAAAACTTAGTGGCTTAGCACAATAAACATTATCTCACACCCCCATGCGTGTAGGTCAGGAATCGGGCAGTGCCTTAGCTGGTTGGTTCTGGCTCAGGGTCTCTCATGAGGTTGCAGTTAAGATGTCTTCCAGGGCTGCATTCACCTGAAGGCTTATCTGGGGCCCAGGGATTCTCTTCTAAGGTAGCTCATGTACGTGTCTTGCAAATTATGGCTGATTGTTGGCAGGAGGACTCAATTTCTGTTCACATGGGAATCTCATAGGGCTACTCGAGCGTCTTCATGACATGGCAGCTGACTTCTCCCTAAATGAGTCATCCAAGAGAAAGATCAAAAAGTAAACCACAATGCCTCTTATGATCTGGCCTTAGAAGCCACTTCAGCCATATACTGTTCACTAGAAAAGAGGTGCCAACTACTGTACAGCTCACACACAAGGAAAGGGGAATTAGGCTCCATTTTTTTTAAAAGACAGAATACCAAAGAATTTATGAATATGTTTCAAAACCACCAGACAAAAAATTCAAAATCTCCTGATTTTCATCATTTGGCAAGCACTAAAATAATTATTAATTCAAGCATTAATAAAGTAATTTTAATCCAATAATTTTTAAATTAGTGGGTGAAAGTTTTGATGAGAAACAGGAAATGTGCATAGTCTCAAAGTATCTTCTCAAAAAATATGTATTAGTTGCAAAAGGAATCACAATAACTTTATAGTGTAAAACTTTATAGTGTAAAACCTGGGCAAAAAAATTTTGACCAAGTTATCAAAATTAACATTACCAGTAATGAGACATAACAATACCATATGATTTTCAATACAATGGACTGAGAACACATAACATCATTTCTATGGTATTCATGCCAAAAATGCATAACTAAATTTAATCATGAGGAATATTAGATAAACTAAACCCAGGTTGATGAACATTCTACAAAATAACTGGATAGTAGTCTTCATTAGCGTGAAGGTCATGAAAAACAAAGAAGAGTTGAGATATTGATTAAAGGAGACTAACAAGACATGACAACTAAAAGCAAGGTATGATCCTGGACCAGAAAATGTACACTAATCAGACAACAAGGAACATCTGTATAAAGTCAGTTGATTAATTAAAAGCGTATCAATCTTAATGTCCTGATTTTATTTATTTATTTAGAGACAGAGTCTCACTTTGTCACCCAGGGTGGAGTGCAGTGGCCTGATGACGGCTCACAGCAAACTCGATCTCCCAGGCTCAAGTGATCCTCCCACCTCAACCCCCTCCTCCAGTAGCTGAGACTACAGGCACACACCACCATGCTCAACTAACTTTTTAATTTTTTGTAGAGATGGGGTCTTCCTATGTTGCTTGGGCTGATCTCTTAACTCCTGGCCTCAAGTGTTCCTCCCACTTTGGCCTCCTAACGTGCTGAGATTACAGGTGTGAGCCACCGGGCCCAGTCAATGTCTTGATTTTAAAAATTATACTGTGGTTATATAGCATGTTAACATTTGAGGAAGCTGGGTAAAGAGTATATAAGAATTTCTTGCATTATTCCTGAAATTTTTTCATAAATCTGAAATCATTTCAAAGTGAAAACCAAAAAAAATTATTATGTCTGAATATGTAATAATATATAATAAATATGTCTTGGCCGAGTGCAGTGGTTCCTGCCTGTAATCCGAGCACTTTGGGAGACCGAGGCAGGCAGATCACCTGAGGTCAGAGTTCAAGACCAGCCTGGCCAACATGGCAAAACCCATCTCTACTAAAAATGCAAAACTTAGCCAGGCATGGTGGCGCACACCTGTAATCCCAGCTACTTGGGAGGCTGAGGCATGAGAATTGCTGAACCCAGGAGGTGGAGGTTGTAGTGAGATTGCACCACTGCACTGCAGCCTGGATGACAGAGTGAGACTCTGTCTCAAAAAATATATATACATGATCAGTGAAAAATATGAGTGATACAATCACATCAGAAGCTCACTAGTCTCTAACGTGGGTAGCTACTGTAAAGAACTACCGTAGTTTTCTATACGGCCTCCATCTTTCCTTGTCTCTAATTCTACCATGCCCTCCTTGTGATCCAACACCAGCTGTCTGTCTAAAACATATATCTGATTCTGTCAATCTCCTCATTAAAATCTGTCAATGGCTTCTCATATCTTAGGATAAATTGATCTTCCCTAGCAGGGAATCCTCATATGAATCCTTAGCCATAACTACATGGAATTGAACACATTCCCTAAGGCACACCATGGGTCTCCCACCTCTGGGTCTTTGCATATTTTATTCTGTCTTTTTTGCCTGGAAAAGTCCTGATTTTTCTTAGAGACTAATCGCTAATGTCTATTTGTGAAGCTTTTCTGTACCCCTTCTCTCTCCAAATAGAGTGCGTTATTATATATCTGTTGTCTCCTACAGCACTTGTAGGGATTTCCCTCGCAGCGTTTGTTGTACTGTGTTGTAAGTAGGTACTTATACACCTGGGTCTTGTTTTGGTTTGTTTGGTTTTGATTTTTTTTTCCCTGAGTACTGTTAGGTTCTAGAAGGCAAATTCTTAAGCTATATTCATTCCCAGTACCTGGCACAGGAACAGACAAATGGTAGGTCTATTAGTTGTTTGTTGCTATGTTAACAAAATACCCCAAATATTAGCAGCTTAAAGCAACCAACATTAACTGTGTCATACAGTTTCTGAGAGTCAGGAATCTAGGAGCAGCTTTGATGAGTGGGTTCTCAGGGTCTTTCACAAGGCTCAATTCAAGGTGCCAGCCAAGGCTGCATCATCCAAAGACTTGGCTGAGGCTGCTGAATCTGCTTCTAAGCTGGTTTACTCACAGAACTGTTGACAAAAAGCATTGGATTCTCTTTGGCTGTTGGCAGAGGCCCTCAGTTCCACATGGCCCTGTCTATAGGTCACTGAATGTCTTCATGAGATGGCAGCTGGCTTCCTCCAGAGGAAGTGATCCAAGAGAGAACAAGGCAGAAGCCACAGTTTCTCCAATCATCTATCTCAGAAGTGACATACCATCACTCTGCCGTATGCTATTGGACCCACAGAACACCACTGACAAATGTCCAAGGGCACTTACCCAGCATGCATACCAGGAAGGAGGGAGTCATCAGGGGCCATCTTGGAGGCTGACTACCACAGTCGGCACTCATTCAACATCTGAATGAGCGAATGAAGTGATCTCCTCAGGACCACATCCCAAAGCACTTGTCAGTGAAGAACCAAAGTGAACTCATTTATCTTACAGAAGTCTTGGGTATAAAAATCCATCCCGGCCGGGCGCGGTGGCTCACGCCTGTAATCCCAGCACTTTGGGAGGCCGAGGCGGGTGGATCATGAGGTCAGGAGATCGAGACCATCCTGGCTAACAAGGTGAAACCCCGTCTCTACTAAAAATACGAAAAATTAGCCGGGCGCGGTGGTGGGCGCCTGTAGTCCCAGCTACTCGGGAGGCTGAGGCAGGAGAATGGCGTGAACCCGGGAAGCGGAGCTTGCAGTGAGCCGAGATTGCGCCACTGCAGTCCGCAGTCCGGCCTGGGCGACAGAGCGAGACTCCGTCTCAAAAAAAAAAAAAAAAAAAAAAAAATCCATCCCCAGTCACTGATTAGGACCACAAACAGCACATGAGAGAAGTTCCCATACCTTATTTACTGACTCTCTGAATAGAAGGACCTTGCAATTTTTCAGCAATATAAACTCAGAGCAGGGAAGATGGGATGATTCACCCGAGGTCACTGAGAAGATCAGATGACCCAGGAGGTCATCTGATTAGGATCCAGGTCTTAATCAGGAGTAGACTCCCTGCCCATTGAGAGTTATTGGAGTGAATTTTAGAGGAGCACACCTTTTGGGGGCTGTTGAGTTGCTTATAATGCTGAGTCTACTTCTATCTTCATTAAAGGGAGATGCATGGGTCCAGGGAATGGCCAACTCATAGCACATCAATATGTTAAGCTTTTCCCCTTTCTAATTTTAAGATGAGACACATTTCCACTACTTCCTATTCTCTGCTATAAAAGCAAACAAATAACTGACCATCCCGTCATATTTTTATAAAATATTCTATATTACTTAATAGCTATTTACCCTCAAGGAGGATTCATGGCCTCATCCCTTATTCTTGTCTTTTTGTCTCACACTAGTTCCCTGTATGGGCTGTCCTTTCCTTAACTTCTAATATCAACCTCTTGTTGTTCTACCAGTTCTGTTAGTTCCAGCCAAGTCTCTCCTCCTTCAAGAAGATTCCCTGATCATTTGCTTCAGGGGATTTGTTTCCTTATTAGAACAACCCTATTTTACCATTTGTTTCACTCTTAGGACATTTGACTTTTTTTTTTTTCTTTTTTTTGAGACGGAGTTTCCCTCTTGTTGCCCAGGCTGGAGTGCAATGGTGTGATCTCGGCTCACTGCAACCTCTGCCTCTCGGGTTCAAGCGATTCTCCTGCCTCAGTCTCCCAAGTAGCTGAGATTACAGGCATGTGCCACCACACCCAGCTAATTTTACATATTTTTTTTAGTAGAGACAGGGTTTCTCCATGTTGGTCAGGCTGGTCTCGAACTCCTGACCTCAGGTGATCTGCCCACCTTGGCCTCCCAAAGTGCTGGGATTACAAGCATGAGCCACTGCACCTGGCCTTGACTTCACTTTTTAAGTATTTAGGTACATGCTGGATGTGTCATACATATTTTTATTCTCTGTGTCCCCAGGAATAAATGAATACATTTGATTTCCTTTAATAGAATAAGAATTTAAATAAACCACAGAGGCTCTTTATACTTAAAAACTCTGGGGTAAATTTTCTTGCAATATTCAAACTGTTTTTCAGTCTTTGTTTGTTTTGCTTTTTATTGTGATTTCCGATTTTTAAAATTATTATATTTTTGAAGGCAGGATGCCCATACTGTGAAATTAACAGGTTACATATGTGCAGTATTGATACACTTCCCCTTTAACAAAATTTAATTCACTAATCACATGCATTTCTAAAGCCCTTTGAAAATGTGTGTCATGCTTATGGGTGGCCACATTCCAGAGGGCTGAATATGTGCTAGAAAAGGAGAGGAGGCTTGGGGGTGGGGAGAAAACCCTTACAAGGCAAGAGAACTGAGCATGTGCAAGACTCCTTACTAAACGAAGGAGGGCAGAGGAGTGCCGTTTTGGAAATATCAAGGGGAATGAAAAGAGAAAGAGAATTGACGGGAGAGAGAGGAATCTGCCCACACTCAGGGGATCATCCAGAATTCACAGATGAACAGGGTGCACTCAAGGAAGACTGCCCCTCCATCAGAGCACCACCCCTCAGTGACTGCTGACGTGTAAGACACTTCCAGCATCTTTTTACCAGGCCCCACCCTTGGGGATGCCCAGACCAAGATATCACTCTTTGCACTAAGTGACTCCTGAGATACCAGCCCTTTACCTGACTTACATTCTGTCATCCTGCATCAGAATTGTTTCGAATTTTTAGAGGTATTGTGTTATAATGGTGTTCAATGAAGTTGGAAGAATTCTGGCTCTGCTGCTTAGAAACTGGCAAGTTACCTGATTTCTTGGGACCTCCATTCTCTCATCTGTAAATTAGGACTAATAATACCTACAATGCAGGATATTTGTTAGGATTACACATTAGTTGGTACTCAATAAATGGCAGCTATTGAAAAGCAGTGTAGTATGGTGGTTAAAAGCATGGAGTCTGGATCTAGACAGAGGTTGAATCCTTGCTTTGTTACCTACTGTCTGTGTGACTGATTTTCTATGTGTCTCATTTTCCTAATCTATCAAGTGGGGATAATAATGGCACAGTTTCTATCTCGTAGAGTTGATGAAGAGATATGATGGTTATAATTCAGAGTCTGTCAGATAAAAAGCATTTAGTAGATGGAAGTAGCAGTGGTAGTATCAACAGCAGGAGTAGTAATAATTGTTGTTGTTATTATTATTACAAAATATACAGTGCAAGGCAACAGTTAAGACTGTGTGCTGTGGTGCTGAACCACTTGGATTCACATCCTGGTTCTACTCCTTTCCAGTTTTGTGATCTCACAGTCTCCATTCCCTCATCCTTAACCTGGGAATAATAATAGTATTGCCTTCATAGGATTTAATGAATTAATATATGTAAATTACTTCGAACCTGATAATAAACAATAAATAGTAAACAATAAATTTTAGCCAGAACAGTGATGGTAAACAATAAATAGTAAACAATAAAGGTTAGCCATTATATTCCCAAATTTCAATCAGCTATTGCTCCAGGATTTAGGCATTTCTGTGGGTAGTTTTAAAGTTTGATATCTTATACAATTAAATCAAATGTATGTATTATGTGGTGATTAACCTGTATACCAGTTCCCTGGGAAATAAACGGGCTTTCAGCCATAAAAGGTTTTCAGCTGGGTCCCCGCTGACCATCTCTTCAGTTTCTATGTGTATAGCAGATGGTGGACTGCATTTTTTTAAAGTATTGCTTCTAAAGGGAAGACTATAAAGTTCTTAGAAAAATAAAATGCTCTAATTACAAGAGAATGCCATTGTCTCGGCTGTCTCACCCCACATCTTAATGACCGATACTGTGGAATATGACACAAAGGGAAGAGATCTCATAATTAGGCACATTGGAGAATCTCCTCGTGTGCTACAGACTGTGATTTCCAGTGACACACCAAAAGCCAGCCACTATAAATCCCTTTTTACTTTTCTCTCTGGCTGTACTGCAGTAACAGCACAAGTCGTTCGTTCAGATACCGGAAAGGCTTACAGTCCAGGAAACTTTTTTTTCTTGTCTCCAGCCAATAATCTTGTAGCATGGTGATGTCACCCCACAGTTATGCAATATGACTTAACTGTTGGATAGGTGACAGGAATTCCACGGACACCAAGATCACAATGAAATTGCTTAGCTGCTAAATTAGTCATATTGTACATTAGAGATAAGTCACTTTTAAAAAAGCTGTGATTAACTGCCAGTTCAAATAGTACTATTCTTTGGGTAGGGAAGTCAGGACCCCATCACTCATAGTTTAAATGATCCCATCCAGTTATTCCAGCATCTGAGTAATACAAACAAGGTAGTTATCAAACTTCACAATATCACAGGCCACTTGAAAAGGGACCCAGTGTGAAAAGGAAACACTTTCTATCCTCTATATTTAGGAGGAATTTTGTACAAAATTTCCTGATTGTCTTCCAAAATTAGTAATTTTAATCTCTTGATGACTTTCCTAATCGAAATAGGATGAGAGTAGGATCCTGTTCCTCAATGATGACAAGGATTGTTTAGTATTGTTTTCTTTTTCTCACACAAACTGGGCTCTGTCCTACAAGTCAACTACACTGTGAAAGGGGACTTTTTACTGACCACAAGCCATGATGAGGTAGATGTCACTTATTCTACAATATCGATTGTTAGAATAATCCTTAAATCTTCCCATTTTTAACACATGTGTTAGAAAAACTTAGAAAACACTGAAAAGTACAAAAATAAGCAAAGCCCCCACAGTCCCATCCTTCCCAAAACAACCATAACTAAAACTTGGTTGTAATTTCTTCTAGCCTCAACAAAGATTGAATAAATACAACAGCCTAACAAACTTCTTGCCTGGCAGTGTGCTGAGTGCTGGGCATAGAAAGATAAATAAGACTTCATCACTGCCCCTCAGGAAGTACACAGCTTACTGTAATGGGGTATGTAAACACAAAAAAGGCATTTAGCCCAGGCTGCAGAGAACGGAATGTGGGGTGGAGAAGATGCAAGGGATTATCAGAGCAGATTAGAGAAATCCTAGAGTGGGACTATTCAAAGTTTTGTCCACTAGGTGACTGCAGATTTTACAAGCAACCAATAGAAACTGAGAGTCCTCATTTAAAATTTTCAGAGCAATTTGACAGAGTAACTGTAATTCTGTTGAATCTAATAATTTTTAAAATTGGGTTTGTCTTTTATATTTTTTATCTCATTTTTGTTGTATTTATTTTTATTGTATTTTCAAAAATATCAGTCCACAATGGATTGGAGATTTAAAAATATATAAAACTCTATTCTCATGATGAAGAGTTTGAAAACCACTATACTCAGAGATTCAATAGCTTAGCCAAGTGTAGGGTGACCAACCATCCGGTTTGTGCTAAAACTGGGAAAGTTACAAGCAAATCAGGTGAATTGGCCACCTTAAAAGTGTTTATTTCTAAGAAATAATTATCTTCATGAGTGAATAGATGAGATGAAGGGGAAGCAATCATCATCAAAGAAATAATAGAAGAAAAATTCTCTCAACTGAAAAGAGGTCAGTCATTAGGTCAAAAGGGTTCACTAACGGGCAGCCAAGATTAAAAAGAGTGCTGCAGCTAGCTGTACTTTCTAAATTTCAAGGGCCAAGACAAAAATCCTATATGATTACACAAATTGAGATGAACAAAATAATCAGGTGGTGAAACAGTATTTTCATTTCTAGTGAAATGAAATTTCTAACGAAAATGCTACATTTCTTTAACAAAAAAGATGCTTGCTTTCACTTTCTAAATTGAGAGAAAAGAAATAAGGAAGAATCGTCCTTTATATACAAATGTAACAATGAGGGTAATAAAAGGAAAACAGAAAACAATACCAGGGAAGAGTAACATGAGAAGATGCTAATATTAAGAATTAACATAATTTTTTTGATTTGGCTTCAAATTTGGCTCTCAGCTTCCTGGCTGGGGAAGAAGAGGTTAGAAATCACAATCATTAAAATTGTTGCTATGATGATGAAGGAAGAAGCATATATGTTTCTCAGCAAGACATGTTTTCCTGGTACTGAAATCTAAAACAAATTCAAAGAGTTTAATATTGGGGGCATTAAGTGGTGTGGTAGAGCTACCCTCGATAGCATTTCTACAGTAAACGTAGGAGTGAATTTCACATACCTGCTTCTTGCAGGGATCCTCAGGTCAGTGAAATCAAGATGTCTAAGCACATTATAGCCTATATACCTTATTTGATTCAAGGATAGAACTTAAGAGTACCCTAGAAGAGTAGGTAAGTGGCGTGTCACTTAGTATTCTCTGATTATTTCTCTCAGCCAGGCTTGTAAAATAATAGGTAATTTGAGGTCTCCTAATATCTGAAAGTAAGTTACTCTGGTGCTCTCTATCGCTGATTGAGGGTATACAAAACTTCCAGT
The DNA here is from genome assembly GCF_000001405.40 of Homo sapiens. NCBI lineage: Eukaryota > Metazoa > Chordata > Mammalia > Primates > Hominidae > Homo > Homo sapiens. The sequence continues at coordinate 150,374,339 of NC_000003.12, forward strand.
TTCACAGGAGATACAATTGGACTTTGTTTACTTTCAGCACTGATATTAGCATTGGACATCAATTCTGTGCGAGATTAGGCTATTATGCTTCACATAATGAATATTATTTTAGTAGGTGTAAAAAGCCTTTAACATTCTTACTGGTTTTATTCCTCCTCTGGCACTCTCAATAAACTTAATAAATATTGTAGCACTTTCATTAATGCAAATGGCATTGTTTATCAAAATATTGTTATAATACCCAGTTCTCATAATTTTAAGTTAGAAAAACTTTCTTCATATGTAATCTGTTTGAATGAGCAAGAATCAGTTTGCAAATCAAGTATGTACATTATGATCAATTTTCAGAAAGTATGTATTTGTATGTATGTATTTCATAAATTGTATAATATCTACAAATATATAAGCACAGAAAAAGCATTAGAGAGATGCCTAATGTTAGCCCTGATTATCTCTGGGTGACAAGATTTAGATGACCTATTTTTTTCTTTTTACTTTTCCATATGTTTAAGTGTTCTACAATTAAACTAGTATTATCTTTGCAAGAAGAAAAATAATATCATTGTTTACTTAAAGGCATGTAGGGGTGAAAGCAATTAATGTCTCTATATCATCCCTAAGGCAAATCAGTCAGGTGATCATGCTGCCCTCTCAGGGCTTATATGTTGATTTTAAGAATTGCATAGTTTAAGAAACAGCACAATTTGGGCCAGACACAGTGAGCAACTTTGCCACTTTTGCAGCTATTTGACTTTGGGCAAATGTTTAAACTTTTGATTCTCTGGTTCTTCATCTTCAAAATGGAAACTGGATTGTTTTAAGCATAAATGAAATCTCTGATATAAAGTGCCTGGAATGAAATAGGTGCTCAATAAATATTATATGCTTATTTGCTGGCCCCATTCCTGAAAGTGTTAGACCTGGTTCTACAAGTGTTAGTGCTCTTCCCTACAGTGGCTTTATGCAAACCTGGCTTCAGTCCAATACAAGTATTGGAGGAATAAGGAGACTTAGTCTCATTTTTCCCTTGTTCACTACTTTAGAGATGAGAAAGGGAGGAAAAGGAAGACTTACTGCGGATCTACTAAATATCAGGCACTATGTTACGTGTGTTACTTTGCTTAAGGAAGGTTCTCTATTTTTTCCCAAACACTTAAACATCTGTGAAGTGTCTCAAGTTTCTACCTTATTAATACATTTATCTCTGGAGAACTATTTACATTATATCACCACTCATACTAAAGCAGTTTCGTTATTCCTGTTTTTATCCTCAAAGACTCTTAGCTGTGACATAGAGGTTTGGTGAGTTAGGTCACCATCACAGTTAGGTCACATTTTTAGAACTTCATTTCATAGCATTTGGAACCCTAGAAGTGTATATTTTATTTTTCTATCCCTTTATTTGCATGTCAGTATGTCTCCAGTCTTTATTTTTTACATTAATTGGGCACTATTCTGTCTCTTTAATATATGGTAAATGTGCCTTGTTTAAATGAACCTCATTCTGTGTGGAAAAAGTTAGACAGAAAGCTAATGAAATGGGTATCTCCAATCACCAGTCCTCAGTTTTGAAAATTTGACTAAATTAACCTTACTAAAAAGAACTGAATCTCATCAAATTTACAACACTGGAAAACATTCCACTATGAGAATGTTTCTGGGTCTGTGACAATTCATTTTCTATATAACTTTGCCTCAATATTTCAGACAGAGACAGTTAAGCAATTGTAGAGAGGCCTGCAGCATTTGGGAATGGGGCCTCCCTTCCTAATGATCTATTGCAGTTGTATTGCACATGGATTGCACAACAAAGGTTTCTATTTTCCTACTTTTTTTCTTTATCACGTGCCAACTAAGCCTTTTTTTCTACACTCCCTTAAAATCTGACCCTTTCTCATCTTCTATGCTTTTGTCTTCCTGAGGTGAAAACCCTAAGAAGGCAAATTACTAATTGCATCCCTCAAAGCCTCAAATAAATATGATGTAATTAGCCACACAAACATGACCTGCATCTTTTCCCCTGAAAGCTTTCCCAGCTATTTGTCCACTAAAGCATGGTTTTCTGCAAACTCATTTCCCAGGAAATGTCCTCGAATGGCATGTGATCTTTCCATTTTAGACAAACTGCCTTGATCAGGTGTCACCCAACTGACCTGCTTTTTTTCTGCCTTTATTTCCAACACAGTGTTGTCTCTACAGACTATCAACTAAGTCCTGGTTTTTCCTCACAGAATTCCATTCTCAGCCCTATCCCTACACCACAGTTGACACATGCACTAGTTGGTTAACATATGTTTTATTACTCCCTCATGATTCTCACTGGACCTCTGAGTGACCTTGAAGTGCTGTGGTCATTTCCCCAGTGCTTTCCTCCAATACTTTGGTGGTATGGAGCTTGGCTTCAGGTTTGTTGTCATCTCATTTACTTGTTTAGTTTCCAGTTGGCTGGGAGCCAGCACTCTGCACTCTGCTCCATGCTTACGTTGCAAGCTACCTATCCAGGTCACAATTTTTATTTTTGTGTCTCTCACTATTTGAGGGAGTAAATCCAACACAAAGCAGTGAAGGTGAATGACAAGGGAAGAAATTAACAAGGGCTCTGGGATGCTCTTAGAGCATGAATTGCAGAGCAGAAGAGGTCCTAGATGCCAGCTAGTCCAATTCTATCATTTTCCAGGCAGAGTTGATACCTCCGAGTTTAAAGTCATAAGCCATTCAAATAAATTAATACAAGAGCTGCCAGGAGGAACATTTCCAAGTGGTTGAAATCTTTGACTTTGAAATCATGTAGACCTGGGTTAAAATCCCAAGCTGTGTGGCCTTGTACAATTAATGTAAACGCACAAATCCATAGTATTCTAATCTATTAAAATGGGGATAATAACAACTGTCTTACTGGGTTAAGCTGAATATATGATTGCTATTCATTTTTAACCAAAAACCACCTCTATTGATTTTTAGTCAAATGCTTTTTACAAGGTAATGTTACTATTATGGTTCTAGTGCCAATCTTCCAAGATTTCTAATCTTTACTAACAGTGGTCTGACTTTGAACAACTTATTTACAAAACTGTGTTTCAGTTGATTAATCCATAATACAAAGCTAATAATGATACCTAGTAAATAGGTAGATGTAAGAATTAAATAGATAATCCTTGTAAATATAGCATTTCACATAGAGTTTAGCATGTAAAAAGCAACAAAGCATTGAAAGTTCTATATAGTCTCAAATGCCCAGAACAAATGAATGATCAGGATACTCTCCTCCCATGTACTCTCAGAAACAGATCCAAGGTTATACACTTGGTTCTTTTTGGCTCACAGTGCTTATATTCATTTATTCAACCTGGGGCTTAAACAATAGGTAGCATTAGACCATGTAGAGATGGAAAAAAAAATTTTTTCCACCAAATCAACCACTATGAGCAAAGAAGAGAAAGGGGAAGGTGCATGACATGTCTCTTAAACAGTAAGTAAATCTGTTTGGTTTCAAAGGCTTCAAATTGCCCTCCCCACCTGTAGACTCATCCCCTCCTTGCTGCTACCAGAAACAAAATACCAATTTGAGCATGATTACAATTTTCCCAATTTTAGTGTTCCACATCAAATTCAAAAATAAAGTCCCAACCCCTTAGCACAACCTCCCAGGCCTGTCACAATCTCTCTCTGCCTAACTTGCTAGCCTCAATTCCTCCACTCTGCCAACTGCCCTCCCTGAGACATGTGCATTTATCTGAATCATCTGACTCACCTTCAGCCCTTTGCATGAGTTGTTGTTTCCTTGGCCAAAAACATTGCCCTACTAGGCCTTTAAAACTTAGTTCAGAGGTTGCCTGTAGGAAGTCTTCTTTGACACCCTTTGCCTATCCCTGACACTCCCCCAACACAAACAAGAGCAGAGGTCCTCCTTGGAAGTCCCATAGCATCGTATGTTTACCTTAAGCAAAACTGGCAAGACATGGATTCCACATTTGTATCTCTCTCCCTCTAGAATGCAAGTTCCCTGACCACAGAGGTTGGGTCTTTTAAAGAACCTACTGTGTGCTGAGCGCTGTTGTAAGCACTGAGAAATAAAGAACAAGAGAGGCGAAGTCCCTGATGTCTCGGAGTTTATGGTCTTATGCGGTAAGTCAGACAATTAACAAACAGATAAAAGCATAGTGATAAGTGCTACTCTAGTGTACTAAAGAGTAGTAAGAGAGAAAAAGGAAAACATAAGATCATGTGGTCTAATCACGGCAGAGAATTGAGGAGGAGCCAGTGATGCCTGGAACCAGGGCAAGACTGCTTGATCCTGAGGGCAGAGTAAGAGCTCAGATATTTGCGGAGGGAAGGAAGGAGCTGGTTGAGATCTAGTTCAAGGATATAAAAGGGATTCAAACTCCTTCCATATAGAAACCAGTAGTACAGTAACTTTCCAGTCCAGGAACAAAACGCAGAGAAAAGCACCAACATTTTCAGGTCTAGTTCAGACTTGGAGCCTTGGAAGGTGATAATGGTTTGGATCTGTGTCCCCACCAAATATAATGTTGAATTGTAATCCCCAGTGTTGGAGGCAGGGTCTGGTGGGAGGCGATCAGATCATGAGGGCGGAGTTCTCATGGATGGTTTAGCACCATCCTCCCTTGGTACCATATAGTGAGTGAGTTCTCACGAGATCTGGTTGTTTAAAAGTGTATGGCACCTCCCCCGCCCCATCTCTTGCTCCTGCTCCAGCCATGTAAGACTTGCCTGCTTTCCCTTTGCCTTCCATCATGATTATCAGTCTCCTGAGGCCTCCCCAGCCACACTTCCTGTATAGCCTGTGGAACCATGAGCCAATTACACCTTTTTTCTTTATAAACAATCTCAGGTACTTCTTTTCTTTCTTTTTTGAGATGGGGTCTCACTCTGTCATCCAGACTGGAGTGCAGTGGCGCTATCTCAACCCACTGCAACCTCTGCCTCCTGGGCTCAAGTGATTATCTCACCTCAGCCTCCCAAGTAGCAAGTAGCTGGGACTGCAGGCACACACCACCACACCTGGCTAATTTTTGTATTTTTGGTAGAGACAGGGTTTCATTCGAGACCAGGGTCTCGAACTCCTGGACTCAAGTGATCTGCCTGCCTCAGCCTCCCAAAGTGCTGGGATTATAGGCATGAGCCACCACACCATACCTGCCCTAGGTATTTCTTTACAGCAGTGTGAAAATGGACTACTACAGGAGGGGTGGCCAGAGGCTATGCTGAACTGGTGATCTTAGGGCAAAATAGGGTTTTTTTTTAAAGAGATGGGGTCTTGCTATGTTGTCCAAACTGGAGTGTAGTGGCTATTCATAGGCCCAATCATAGTGTACTGCAGCCTCCAACTCCTGGGCTCAAGTGATCCTCCTGCCTCGGTCTCCCCAGCAACTGGGACTATGGGAATGTGCCACCTTGCCAGGCTTGGTGCAGGTTTTTATAAGCCAACATTCCATGAAGAATAGCCCAGAAACACTAGACTAAGCCCTGGAGTTGCTGGGAAGCCTCAGTTTGGGAAATACTACTCTCCCAACCCCCACCTCACCACCACCTGGGCACTCACAATGTACATTAGCATATTTAAGGCTCTGAATATCTCAGCATGTGGAAAACCTGGTACACTTTTATTTCCCAAATTAATCTGACCACTGTATGCTTTTTGTTTTGTCTTGATTTGTTTGAATACAATACTGTTTTAATCATGTGAACAAGTATTTTGTAAAACAGACTTTAGGAAACTGGTCTAAATCATTCTCCATAACCCACAAGCCTAATTGTGATAATGTCTAGCTTCCAGTAATTTTGTTCAGTAGAAGCATTAAATAAATAAGGTAATAGGACTTTTGAAAAGATATAATAGTTTGGTTTGCACATGTGAAAGTAGAAGGTGCAAGAGTCTCAATAAGTCTAATTTCACCACATTTATTCATCTTAAAATAATTTCAACAGAACTAAAAATGGCTAATATGTGTAAAGATAAATATATATAAATATATACTAATATAAGTTTTATGAAAAAACTAATTACTAAAGGTTAAATTTGAATTCGAATGCATTTTTATGCACTGCAGATTAGTCAGATTTTTTAAGTAAAATGAATCATTTCTGTTCAACCCAGTGCAAAACAAATTAAGGTTATTCATCACAAACCCATCTTGCTTATTTTAATTACAACCACTTTAAATAGCAGAACTATTAGGCTCTATAACGTTAATTTTTTAAAATTAAATACATTAGATTTCATAATAATATAGGTACTTAATGGAGAGAAAAACTCCATGTCAAAGGCTAATTAATATCATTGACACTTTCCCAGTAACTAAAAATAAGACTAATAGCAAGTTCCTCCAGTATCATGCTATATTATAATATATACAAAGTCCATTGGGAAATTGACTTCATGCTTCTTTCATCAGAGTAAATCCAACCAAGGCTGGGTGTGGTGGCTCATGCTTATAATCCCAGCACTTTTGGAGGATGAGGCCAGCAGATCACTTGAGGCAGGAGTTTGAGACCAGCCTGGCCAATATGACAAAACCCTGTCTCTACTAGAAATACAAAAATTAGTCAGGCATGGTGGCTCACGCCTGTAGTCCCAGCTACTTGGGAGGCTGAGGCAGGAGAATAGCTTGAACCAGGGAGCCAGAGGTTGCAGTGAGCCAAGATCCCACCACTGCACTCCAGCCTGGGTGACAAGAGCAAAACTCCGTGTCAAAAATAAATAAATAAATAATAAATCCAACCATACAAAATTATTGTTCTAGCCATTCAAAAATGTTAGATTTATAAAGTTCACATGTACATCATTACTGTATACAGAACTTACTTCCTAGCTAAGCTTGGATTATAGCCATCTTTGTCAAATTAACTCTTCTAAGTTTCCAGCTTTCTAATACCTTTAAAATTATGGGGCATCTTAAATAAAGCTACCTCAAAAGAAGTCACTGAGTAAATGACTGCTAGTAGTTTAGTAACAATAAATATCAATGGTGTAATTTATTCTCAAGTCAAGTTTTATCAATAATTTGCTACCTTGCCCAAACTGGTCTTCAGATATATTAAAGAGCAGTTTAATTATTCATCTGCTTAATGTACATCTAATAAAATAAGGCCAGCATCATCATTAACTAGAATTAACCTAAGCCCTCCACAAATATTGATTTATGTAAGTCTCCAGTCAAAACTCACTTTTTAAAATCTACCTTTTATTTGGCTTCTAACAACCAACTGAGAATTATAACTAAGAACTTTGCCATATTTTAACAAATGCTTGGCTGTTTTTAGCATTTTGATACTTATTCTTTACAGAATAAGGTACTTTTAGCACTCATTTCAATAGATTTTTCTTTTAGATCACTTGGGTCAAATATCAGGAAAATAAATAAGAAAATGGTCAACTGAAATGCTCTCTTGACTGTTAAGTGTCACATCTATATGATAAAATACCATGAGCCCATTAAAACTCACATTGCATGGGGAGAGAGTGGTCTTTTCAATAAATGATAATGGATCAGTTAGATACACACATGAAAACAAAATTTGACCTTCTACCTCAAACTATACACAAAAATCAGTTTTAGATGTATTGTAGATCTAAATGTAAAAGGTAATATGACTTTTAGAATAAAACATAAGAAAATACCCATGACCTTAAAATAGGCAAATATTTCTCAAACAGGACACAGAAAGCTTTAATCACAAAATAAATTGATAAACTGGACTACATTAAAATTAAGAACTTCTATTTCATGAGAAGTCACCATTAAGAGTGAAAAGGCAAGCCACAGAATGGGAGAAGATATTTCCACTACAAATCTGTATTTCCACTACAAATCTGGCAAAAGGACTCATCCAGAATATTAAAAAAGGCTCCTGTAAGTCAATATGAAAAACAGACAACCCAGTTGAAAAATAGGCAAACAATTTGAGGAAACATTTTACAAAACAGGATATCCAAGTGACTGATAAACATATGAAATGAAAACCACAATGAGATGCCACTACCTAACCACCACAGTGACCAAAATTTTCCAGCATTTCTTTAAGTGAACATATCATCATTACAATTAAAAATACACATTTTGGCTGGGCGCGGTGGCTCACACCTGTAATCCATCATTTTGGGAGACCAAGGTAAGTGGATCACCTAAGGTCAGGAGTTCGAGACCAGCCTGGCCAACATGGTGAAAACCCATCTCTACTACAAATACAAAATATTAGTCAGGCGTGGTGGCACGCACCTGTAATCCCAGCTACTCAGGATCCTGAAGCAGGAGAATTGTTTGAACTCAGGAGGTGGAGGTTGCAGTGAGCCGAGATCACCCTATTGCTCTCCAGCCTGGGTGACAAGAGTGAAACTCCGTCTCAAAAACAAACAAACAAACAAACAAAAAAACACATATGATCGATATGCTCCTGCTGAATTTATATGAAAAGAATAAATATATATGTCTTGTCTGTCTAGGTAAAAGAAGAATATCAAGTAAACTATTACCTTCAATGGCCTTGCCTTTTTAGACTGTGCATATGAAGTGTTGACAAGAAAGTGAAACAGGTAGAACTTTTAAACATGACTGCCAAGAGTGTATAATTGGTATAGCCACTTTGGAGAACTGTTTAGCATTATCTATTAAAGCTGAACATATGCTCGCCACATAACCCAACACTCCCTTTCCTAGGAGAGAAAGGAGTGCACATATCCACTAGAAGAGATTTATAAAAATGTTAATAGCAGCACCATTTATAATGGCTTAAGATGAGAAAACAACACAAATGTCCATTAAAAATGGAATGTTTAAATAAACTGTAGTATATTCATACAATGGAATACTATACAACAACAAAAATGAGCCATAGGCTGGGCACGGTGGCTCATACCTGCAATCCCAGCACTTTGGGAGGCCAAGGCGGGTGGATCACTTGAGGCCCAGAGTTCGAGACCAACCTGGCCAACCTGGTGAAACCCCATCTCTATTAAAAATACAAAAATTAGACAGGCGTGGTGACAGGTGCCTGTAATCCCAGCTACTTTGGAGGCTGAGGCAGGAGAATCATTTGAACCCAGAAAGCAGAGGTTGCAGTGAGCCGAGATCATACCATCACATGATCTGGGCTCTGGCAACAGAGCGAGACTCTGTCTCAAAAGAAAAGAAAAGGAAAGGAAATGAGCCATATACAAAAACTGAATGGCTCTCACAAGCAAGATGGGAAGTGGCACCCCCCCAAAAAATACTACATACTACTGTATGATTCCATTTATTAAAAAGTCCAAAACCAGGGGCCGAGGGGAGAAGATCTATGCTTTAAAAGTCAGGATCATGATAACACTTTCAGCATAGTGCCTGGAAGGGGATATGAGGGAGGCTTTTGGGGTGCTGTTATGTTCTCTTTCTGGAGCGCTGTCCTAGTCTGTTGGTTACATGGGTATATTCACTTTGTGGCATTCATCAAGCTGCACACTTACAATTTGTGCATTTTCTGTATGTTATACTACAATAAAATTTATATTAAAAAATCTTTTTATACATATTTGTATAACATATTTTCTTTTTTTGTACTTTTTCTATATTTGATTTCCTTAAGTGAACATATCACCACTGTAATAATAAAAGACAAATACTGTTTTTATGCTCCTGCCAGGATTTATACAAAAAGAACAAACCAGACTTATCAACATATAGGTGGTCTTGCCTGCCTAGACAAAAGAAAAAGTTTTAAGCAATTTCCTTCAATGGTCTGGAAAATTGTGTCAAAATGTCAACCTGATATCAAATACATCTTATATGAAATAGATTATTGAGGTGCTGTGAAGTAGCCTTGGATAAATATGGTCAAGAACAAACTGCCTCTTCAATATCAGGAACTTCCTGCTTTAGAAAGTATCTGAAAAACTGCCTCAGTTTGCCTATAAATCCTAGCACAGCAATAGTTTACCTGACAATTGGACATTTTAAATACCACATCAGAAGTCCAGTGAAATGCATTTTAATAAGTCACAGGATACCCCAGCTTTCTTCTAATATAAGAAGTAAATTAAAAAAAAAAAAAGCAGCCTGGGCAACATGGGAAAACCCGGTCTTTACAAAAAATACAAAAATTAGCCGGGCATAGTGGTGTGTGCCTATAATCCCATCTACTCGAGAGGCTGAGGTGGGAGGATTGCTTGAGACTGGGAGGTCAGGGCTGCAATGAGCCATGATCGCGCCACTGCACTCCAGCCTGAACAACAGATCCAGACCCTGTCTCAGAAAAAATAACAATAAAAAAAAGAAAGAAAGAAATGAGAGTAAATGTTTTCTCATTCTGTCCTTCTCTTCTCCTTCTTTGCTTGTCTCTTCTCTCTCCCTTTTCTTTTCTTCTCTTCCTCTTTTTCTTCCCTTTCCCTATTTAATCTCAGTCATGCGATCGCCAGTGAGGCTAGAAAGTTTTAAGTTTAGTTCTCCTAGTGTTTGAAACACAAGCTGAAGTGAAGGCCCTTGTTATAACTGGGAAATTAGCCTCCAGCCTCTCTAAAATTGGAAGTGCAGAGAGAGAAGGGAAAGTGAACAAGTATCTGTTTCTTCTTCCCTCTCCCGCTCCAGCCCCTCCCCCTTAGTTCTCCAACCCGGGCCTCACTATAGGTCAAAATGAATGCAGCTGCCCAACACTGTGATGCGAGCTCGTTCACACTGACGGACACTTTTCTCATGTTCACGTGGTAGGTCACAGAGCAGTAGGGGAAAGGGAAGTGGTGATGCAGTATCTACTACCTACGCTAGGGGTAGGGGACCAGAAAGTTGCTAGGGGAAAAAAAAATATTCGAACAGTGAAATGGAGCGTGTAACAAAGTGGAGGAGAGTGACTCTTTGAACCGCTATGGTGGCAGGAAGAGCAAATCAGGTGCTGTGTTACAAAAGAACAGGGAAAAAATGTACAAGTGAGATGGTATATATCCAAGTTATTTGAAGACCCTGAAATCCTTCAAATATTAGAGATTATAGCTATGATGCTAAATGCCTTAGGGACTTTCAGAAGAGCTTGTATATTTAAAAGGGGTGCAAAACCTCGAAAATTTATAGGCATCCTAGAAAGTCCCCCAACAGAAACTCTGAAACCTGCATCGAGACTTCCCATTTTACAGTACAAGGAAGGTGGGGGTAGGGGATGGGGTGGTTTCCACCGGGCCCAGCAAAAAAAAGCAGAAAGGTCACCTCCTCCCAATCTGCAAGTATCTGAAATCCCCTCATGGAGGATTGTGACATGAGGCTGAAAGACTCAGAGCACACAGGATGAGACCTCAGGCCAGAGCCAGGTCAGCTCAGCTCGCAAAAGAAGGGTGGGAAGTTCCTACTCTGGTGCTGCTGGCACACCATCCCCCAGAATGGAGGCAGGAGTGGGAGGCAGGCTGCCTGGCAGAACTAGGTGGAGAGGGAAGAAAATGGCCTGAGAATGCTGACTAGATTTGAGTATTTGATGTCTGAAGGGGATTTGGGGTGAGGCAGGGAACAAATGACTTGAAAAGAAAACCACGAAGGCAGATGAAAGACACAAGATAGAAGAGGGGAGGCTAACTATAAGAAAGTGATTGTGGGCAGGTTGAGAGATAGCCATTGGGACAAAAGAAAGTGGTCAGTGAGGGCGAGGAAGGAAGAAATCAGCCTCAGAAGGAGCAGAATTCACACCAGTCTGAAGCCCAAATCTGAAATAGATTCACACATTATTCAAGCCCAAGAGTTGTGGTTTGGGGTGCCCTTATATGGGGCTGGGGGGAGGTGGCAGGAGGGGTTCTTTTTAAATAAATGAACCATAAATGATTCAAAAGATTTTTTTAACTTTTTATTATGAAAAATTGAGCATACAAAAAAGTAAGCAGAATATAATAATGACCTTCATGTACCCAGTACTCTGATCCAACAATTGTCTAATCCTGGTCAATCATGTCATTCAACCACAGCCATTTTCCCGCTTCTCATATTAGTTTTTTTTTTTTTTTTTTTAATTATTGTAGTAATGGCTGGGCACGGTGGCTCACACCTGTAATCCCAGTACTTTGGGAGGCTGAGGCGGGCCGATCACAAGGTCAGGAGTTTGAGACCAGCCTGGCCAACATGGTGAAACCCCATTTCTACCAAAAATACAAAATTATCTGGGTGTGGTTGTGCACACCTGTAATCCCAGTTACTCAGGAGGCTGAGGCAGCAGAATCGCTGGAACCCGGGAGGCAGAGGTTACAGTGAGCTGAGATCATGCCACTGCACTCCAGGCTGGGTGACAAGAGTGAAACTCCATCTCAGAAAAAAAAAAAAAAAAAAGTGACCACAATGTCATTATACCTCAAAAAGTCTTACCATCAGGGGATATTTTGGTGGCATTTCTACATTAAAGCCTCTCTTGTTACTGTACCCAAAAATGCTTGTGCATTTTAGAAGAATTTGGAAAGGTGAGAAGAAATTTTACTAAGAGAAGGGATCAGGAGGTAAAGCTGTATCAGGAACCCTGGGAAGGACAAAGACCTAGCAAGAAAGACTGTTCTAGGCTGGGCACGGTGGCTCACACCTGTAACCCCAACACTTTGGGGGACGAGGCAGGCGGATCACCTGAGGTCAGGAGTTCGAAACCAGCCTGACCAACATAGAGAAACCTCTACTAAAAATACAAAATTAGTTGGGCATGGTGGCGCATGCCTGTAATCCCAGCTACTCGGGAGGCTGAGGCAGGAGAATCACTTGAACCTGGGAGGCAGAGGTTGCTGTGAGCCAAGATTGCGCCATTGTACTCCAGCCTGGGCAACAAGAGCAAAACTCTGTCTCAAAAAAAAAAAAAAAAAAAAAAAAAGATTGTGTTCTGTGGTTGGTCATAGAATACAGCTGTGCAGTGGAGGACATGCGTCTTATAAAACTCCATACTTAGCTCTAGAGAAGTCTGCAGCAATCAGTAGACATCAAAAAGCCAACATTGAAACTGCTCTCATTGAAAGCAGAGAATTAGGGGATCTCTATAGCAGCAAAAATGGTGTTTTCTGTTCTGTCTCCCTTCCCCCAATCTATTGTACTAATATATTATGTGCATCATAAAATATTTAAAAAACGTATCATTAAAGGATGTGATTAAAAAATAAACTTCTTATATTTTTCTCACACTCTAATACATCATCTTGCACCCCTCACTTTGGACACCACAGAGCTTGATTGTCACTGTTACCCCAAGTGTAATCTTTAAGTGGGTGATAGAGAAATCAGGTTTGGCAGGTTGAAAAAGAGCCTAGGGACACCTATGCAAAGGACAGTAGAGGCCAGTGGTCTCAACTCTACTGTACATTAAAGTCGGCCTGGGAGGTTCTGAGAAATGTGAACACTCAGGTCCCACCCCATATGAATCAAATTAGTAATTCAGAAGGTGAAATCTGTGTGGCTTGGTTTTTTTGTTTTGTTTTTTTTTGAGACGGAGTTTCAATCTTGTTGCCCAAGCTGGAGTGCAATGGCGCGATCTTGGCTCACTGCAACCTCTGCCTCCCCAGTTCAAGTGATTCTCCTGCCTCACTCAGCCTCCCGAGTAGCTGGGATACAGGCGCGTGCCACCATGCCCGGCTAATTTTTTTTGTATTTTTAGTAGAAACGGGGTTTCACAATGTTAGCCAGGCTGGTCTCGAATTCCTGACCTCAAGTGATCTGCCTGCCTTGGCCTCCCAAAGTGCTGGAATTATAGGCGTGAAGTTCTGTGCATTTTTAAAAAGTTCCTCCAGTGATTCTTACAGGCAGGGTTGAAAACCCACTGGTGTAGGTGTTTAAAAAAATAGTTGCTTAACGTGAGGATATTAGTTCTGATTTTAAAACATTTTATTCTGCCATTTTCTCATCTAGGAGTGGGACAATGTTTCGCAGGGAAGTGAGAGGAAAAGGAGGGTAGAAAAACTTTAAAGTAGAAATTAGACCTAATAAAAGAATAGTGAAGTTCTCTCGAAAAAGGGTGGTTTTCATTTCTATATTCCAGGTTCTAATTTACTACATCTTAAACTGATCCAAAATTTTGACAGACCTTATTTTCATTCAACCAAAGGCACTTACCCTATTAGATTATTAAAATTATCTAATGACTATTTCATATTGCGATCATGGTTATTTCATATGTCAAAATAATTAATCCCGGCTACTTACATGTTTTCTTTTTAATCAAGTTTATCTCTCAGTTGGGAAAAGAAACAAATCTGATCTTAAAAAGATACAAAGACATTTTCTATCTCTGAGGAACTGACTTCATCAAATTATCCTGGAGGGAAAAGCAAGTACAAAAATATGAACTATAGGCAGCTGGAAAGCAAAATTCTCCACAGTGAATGACACACCAAATCCTGCAGGGAAATATGCACCACAATACTTTGTTTCCTGTGGCTTCCTGCCTGAGGAACACTGAAGAACAGTAAAAATTATTCCAGAAATGATTTCCTCAGCTGTCTCATGGATGAATTTAGCACAGGTATTTGGTCAAAATGTTAAATCACTGTCAAATCCAAACGTGTATATTTATATTTTATATATGTAATCACAGGTTCCTAAAAATGAAGGTTAAAAGAAACTTGAACTGGATTCCATTTTATCACACGCCTGGAATGCTGAAAATGCTGTGGCAAAGTCATCCATTCATTCATCTAAGTGAAAAGCCTATAAAATCATAGGCATCTTCAGCCATATCCTTAAATTTCACCATTTTACGTTTCACCAAAGTTATATTGGCATTATCTTTTGTGCTGGAAACAAAGTTAATTGTCTTCTGCAGGATACTTAAAATAAAATGGGCAATCTCAGTTTATTTTATGATATTTAAGAGGCTAAAATGAGCTTGTTCCACAAATAGCCTTCCTAGTAAATCCTGGGAAGTCATGAGAGGGCTGTGTGACGGTAGCACACACCTACAGTAGATGGCATTGTGCATTTGGCTTGGCCACAGCAAGTGTTTACTAAACTAGGGGTGGGTTGTCACAACAGACTCCAAGGTCATGCAGAAAATTAATATCAATAATTAATATCTTTGTATGGTTTTACATGGTACTTCACGTTTTTAGATGATTTATAATTAGTTATCATCCATCCTTGATATGTTATTGCCATAATTCAGGACCTCCATATCTCTTACCTGGACTACTTCTAAATAGGTTCTCATCTCACTCCAGCCCATCCTCACCATCACATGTTCTCTTGACAATGCATCTTGGAGCCTGTCACTCCTGTTATTTATCTATAGAATGTTCTATCTCTTGTTTCTTGGTTCTCACCTCCTACTACCTTCCCACATTCACTGCTTAACACAGCCACATGGAGTTTTGTGCCATTCTCCAAACATACTGTTTGGTTCTAAGCTCTGTTTCTTCACTGTTCTTCATGAGTATCTTCAAAGTCTCTGCCTTGCCTGACTGGCAAGCTCTCACAAGAACTGGGAAATCAAGCCACAACTTTATCTCTTCTGTGGAAGCCTTTTGGGAAAGTTCCAGGGTTGGCCTTTCTATCTTTTGTGTTATCTTAACCTTTGTACATACTTTTATTGTCATTCTTATCACCATTGTCTCTTTCCAAATCTGGGTTCCCCTCTCTCCACTATCACCCCCAAATAGAAATTGAGTTCCTCCAGGGAAGATACTCTTTCACAGTCATCTTGGTATCCCCAGAATCTGGCAAGTGTTCAATTAAAGAAACTGATGAGCTCAATTGATTATTAAAAGAACTTTTGTTCCTGTTTGAGGTAGAGAAAGTAGAATACAACAAAGCAGAAACAATGTTATTTCACCTAAATCAGAGGTGAGAAATCTATTTTACTGTGAGCCAATTATGAAAATTTAAAGATGCTCACTGGTTATATTTTTAAATTATTTAAAACAAAAATATTTCTACTGAATGAAAGAATTTCAATGTGAAAATAGGCACTTCCTGTTATAGGCACTAAACTGTTAAAATGTGAGCAGATGTGAGAAGCAGCAGCACAGAGATGGTTTTCTGAGCTTTGATCAAAGCTTAGAAGTGGCAGATTGCTCTTCATCAACCAGGATCATTTATTCTTGGCACCAAGTCTTGGCACTTAGATTACAGAGGATCAGAGGACCACATGGTCCTTGTTCCTTAGGGAGGCCTTTCTTCAAAGGTTGACTTTCTTTGCCATCCTCTCTCTGCAAGGGGTCTCTCTGGCCTCTCTAACTTAGTGGATTTTTCCTTCCCCCCTCCCTCCACTTTTGTGAGTCAGGTGTTAGAGTTAATACTTAGCAAAGAAAATATATACACATATTAAAGTTGATCATTAGCAGCCTCATATAAATAACACCCTGGGGAAAATGCCTAAATCTATGAATAGTTGCTTATAAACTATGATTCACAGGGTCTCAAGGGGTTATGTAGCAATTTGGGAGACTGGTTGGATGGGGCATGTTTTGACTATTCCATCACCTACAGGTCTTGAGCGTTCCTGAAGTCTTCTCATGGTACTAGGCCATATGTGACACATAAGCATTCAAGTTGTGTCTACAGGACATCAAAATAGCTATCTAATTGGACTAAATAAATTATCTTTAAAGCCTATCTTTCTAGGATAGGAAAACTGATTATTTTATATCATGTAAAAGTTAAAACAAGAAGATATTTAAATATGTATCTTAATTCCCTACCTGATTGCATTAGAGATGAATATACATTATCATCATATGATTCAAATGATTACTGCTCTGAATCCGTGAGGAGATTCACTACTTCGGATAGGAAGGAACTGATATTTTTTTAGCATCTGCCAGATACTTTATAAACGTAAGTTCATTTAATGGCTTAGCACATGAGGTGGATATCACATGGCCCCATTTTACGATGAGGAAATTAAGATTCAGAGGGGTTGGGTCACTTTCTGAGGTCACATAAATAGCATATGATTGAGCTGGCATTTGACTTGGGGTCTGTGTGTCTACAAATCCAGTGCTTTGTCTTCACACCACACCACTGCTGGAGGCCTACAGAATTATAAGGAACCCAAATGAGACAGGGAAATGCACACAACCTTACTCTATAACTGCACCTAAACCATGCCAGGCTATTGAGTGTTGACTGCTAGTCCCCCCATAGCTCCAGGAAAGGGAATGACTCATCTGTTTAGAAACTCCCATACAACAATCCTTACTAGAACTTACCACTAAACCAAAATCTTGAGTTTGTAAATACAACAAGCAGTTGTCATCACCCTGAGACAAAACAAATTTCCTTACTTTTGGTGATTATTAGGTCCTTAAATATATTTTATGTAGTTAAATAATTTAATTTATTTTTGTTTGCCTTAACCAAAGTTATACAAGCTCATGGTTTAAATAAGCTTTAAATAAGGTTTGATATAAAAAATAATGGTCCCTTGTACCTCCTCTCAATATATTTCTCTCCACTCCAAAGGCGGCCACATTCAATGTTTTCAGCAATTTTGTTTTGTTCGTTTGATTAATTTGTTGGTTGGTAGTTTTGATGTTTACTTCCACAACTTTTTAATGCTATATTTGCTTATGTTACTAATTTGATTTTTCAAGTGTAGGCATTTTCCGTGACTTCTCACTGTGAAATACAAGGGCACAGCTTTCTTTCACCACCCTCTCCCACCCCATCCCACACATCCACCCTTCCCATCTTTTCATCTACTTACTATCTTTACATCAAAATTTTGATTAGATTAATACTTAGTATTTATGTTAGTTATAGTGAAGCTCTGTAGTATATATAATTCTTCTTTTTGTTTTGGCCAAAACTTTTGCTTCCCTGGAGTTGGTTTTTGTTGGTTTTAGCAAATATTCTCTGTGTATATCACTAATTTAACCCCAAACTCTCCATCAAATGCTTAACATTTTTTCTTTCTTTTCTTTCTCTCTTTCTTCCTCTTTCCTTCCTTCCTTCTTTCTCTTTCCATTTTTCTTTATTTTTCTTTCTCTCCTTCTTTCTTTTGAGATGGGGGTCTTGCTATGATGCCCAGGCTAGAGTGCAGTGGCTATTCAAAAGCATGATCATAGTGTACTGCAGCCTAGAACTTCCAGGCTCAAGCCACTTTCCTGCCTCAGCCTCTCAATTAACTGGGATTACAGGCATGTGTTACCATGCCCTTTTTCTTAAAATATTCAGATGCATCAGGAATTCTTTTATTTTTACCCTCCTGAAAAATATCTCCCCTTACACCTTATAACATGCATTACCTGGACAGATGGCCCTGGACACCAGGTGCACACTTGCTACCTGGGACGTCCCTTGCTTATGTCCTGGGAACTCCCTTTGCCTGTCTCTTGTATTCATTGCCTTCCTTTATATTGGCTTCATATCCTCATTTTGGTGGAGCACATCCTTGAGTAGCTTCTGAGAATGAAAACATGAGAGGTAAAATATTTTGAGACCTTACATGACTAAAATTCAACTTATTTTCTATGTTTTCACATTCCTAAATTTCTAACCTTTAATTATTTTCTATATTCTCTAAATCTCATACAATTTGTTACAAATCTCTTAAACTGGTGGGACTGAGACTGACCATAGTATTCCAGTAATAGTCTGAAGAATGTAATACA
Source organism: Homo sapiens (assembly GCF_000001405.40). Taxonomy (NCBI): domain Eukaryota; kingdom Metazoa; phylum Chordata; class Mammalia; order Primates; family Hominidae; genus Homo; species Homo sapiens. The sequence continues at coordinate 150,392,877 of NC_000003.12, forward strand.
AGAATTATTAATACTTTGTGATTCTGAATTTGGTCTTCTAAATTCCTCCCTGACACAGTTGCATACTGCAGTTACAGTGCATTTGTCTTTTCTCCCCACATGTGTTCCTATTTAGGATCAACACCTCTCAATTTTTCTAAGGTCATTTTAAATTCCATTCTTATGTTCTGAAGTGCTAATAACCCTGTCTCTTAACATCAGCCATACTGAGCTTCATAAATATCATAAAAATTACTGATAAAGTACACAATATATAATACTTCTAGACCCTCAAACCTGCTGCCATTACTTCTAATGGCCAATTTAAAATGATTCCAAACCACTAAATAATGAGAAAGCTTGACACATATGACCAAATTATTTCTTCATAAAGAAAAGAATGTTTTGTGGTTGAGTATCAAGATGTCTGAGTTCTGGGGGATTTATCCTATTGTTTTTCCAAGGGTGTTCAGCCTCTACCTTTCAAAGGCAATCTCTTTCCTTATTTAAAAAATTAGGCAGCATATATAGCTCTTTTTCCATACCACAAGCATTCATCCTGTTAATACTAAACAGGTTTATAATTACAGAGGCAGCAAGGCATAGTGAAAGAGTACTTACTTCAAGAGTAAGAAGACTAATGCTAGTAATGCTTTCCTATGATCCAATATTTGTTGGAGATATTATCCATCAAATATGTTTGATGGATTTATTAATCCATCAAATAGGTGCTCAAATGGAACACCTATTATGTGCCAGGTACTGTGCTAGGTACTGGAACTACAGAATGAAAAAGATAGACATGGTCCCAGTCCTTGTTTAAGGGACAACAGATACTGGGCAAGTAATAACAAGTTGAGCATTATAACTTAACCTCCATGAGACTCAGTTTCCTGTGTAAAATAAGGAAAATAATAACTGCACCCCATATGTTCAAATGAGGTCATATTGTAGAAAAAACTTTATAAGCTCTCTTTTTCCAGATGAACTACAGGCATCTTCTACTAGCTTTTGATTTTCCAGAGCCACAGAGCATATCTTACTTATCTTTGTAATCTCAGCAAGTGGTGCAGTGCTTGTCAAGTTAGCAGGACTCAACACGTGTCTGCTGAGCAAGCAACAACTCCAGAAGAAGACAAATCCATATTTTTACACAATTAAAAGCCTTTTCATTTTCTTGCCAAGATTATCCACCCATTCATGAATTTATGAACATTATTAGTAGAAAAGCATAAAGTAAGACTACAGTAAAATGTTTCCAGTTAGCATGTATTCATCATCAAAGTGTATATGTTGGAATAACTTAAATATTACAGCATTTAAATTTTCATCTATTCAATTTAACATAACAAGTAATTTGTACCTAAAATAACTTCTGAGGGCAGAGTGTACTTTTGCGAAGTTTGACAAAATTATTTGTGGCTTAAAAAGCGTCTACATAAGATACTCAAAACAAGTGATTTACTTTAAATTTCAAAATCAGATGTAAAAAAAAATTGAATTAACTCCTAGCAAAATTTTCCTCTACAGAAAAATTTTCTAATAATGCTAAAACACGGTGAAATAAAAAGTCTATGAAAATGCCAACCGACTTGTTTCCCAACAAGTCTACAAGATTGATGGACTTTAATCCTTTGGAACATTAAAATGTATATAGCAGACAGTTTTACCATGGAAGATAATTGTTTTAGTTTTTTTTTTTTTTTGCCTTTTAGAGGGCTTAAAGGATAAGCTGTGCTTTCTGTTTCTCATGGAACTGCAGAACAGAAGGACTGAAAGTGAGGCCTAGGAATTGTCTAGTTCAGCCTCCTTATTTTTCAGAGGAGGAAGAACAGAGGCCCAGAGAGCTGAGGTGATCTGCCAGTTGCAGAGCTGGGGCTAGAACTAGAGTGTCCTCTTCTCTAGGAGAGGAATTAGCAGCAGCCAACCTCAAACAGCAACCTGGTATCCTGGGAATTTGCTTGTATGCTGTGTGGACATAATCTGACCCGGCAGAGTCAAATTCCAAGACAGTTCCACATACGTTCCAGATAAAAATGCATCTTCATTTGAAGTGAAATAGAATGACAGACCAACATCCCCCTCAACCCCAATTTAGCAATAGAAACATAAAATTATCTAATATTTAAAAATCTCTACTCCTTAATATAACAGAAAGACCATCAGAGAGCATCATCTAACCACGTCGGCAGTTCCCAACACACCAGCTTACAAGTGCACCTCAAAGCCTATATTGGTCCATTGCTTCTTTCACTTGGCAAGCAGCTACTTTCTGCTCACTTCATTCCCCTGTGAAGAACCTCACACCTGTAATCCCAGCATTTTGGGCAGCCAAGGCAGGAGGATTGCTTGAACCCAGGAGTTTGAGACCAACCTGGGACAACAAAGTGAGGAACTGCATCTCTACAAGAGCTTTAAAAAAAATAATTAGCCGGCCCTGCTGGCGCATGCCTGTAGCCCCTCACTATCAGGGGCCCTTATCCTCACATTCATCCACATCAGGTTCAACCTCTTTCTCCTGGCCCCTCCCTCCACCAATATGAGGTTTCAAAACAAAACAAAAAACCAGAATGTAGTTCCTCTTCACAAATTTGGGAACATCTGATCTGGTGGTTCCTAAATTATAAAATGGAGTAATGGAGAGAACATATACCTGGGTATCACTCAGATCCAGGTCAACTATGGCTCTGATTTACAAACTCTTGAGGAAGCCCTCAATCTCTTGAAGGTTCGATTTCTTTATCTCTAAATTAGAGATAATAATGTTTATCCTACAGAGCTGTTGTAGAGATTAAATAAAGTCACATTTAAAATGTATTTACCACACTGCCTGGCTCATGCTAGATACTTATTCCTTTCCATCTTTCAATGAAATTACATTTCCTAGCTTCTGAATTATTGTTCTTTATTTATTAGGCTGGTGCAAAACCTAGCTTAATTGAAACTGACACATCTTATCAAATATCTGATGTTCTTAAGTAGGTTTTATTCTAATATGTGAGCTATATGAAACATTAGTGACAAGGTTGACCACTTTATTGTTTATACAATATTACTCAGAAAATATATGTATTTGGAAAATATTATTTTGATCAGAAATATTACCAATTTATCTTCTCAGTTTATGTAATTCATAATAATTCTGGGATTAATTGCCTCCAAATTGGATATCTTTTCAAGAAAACTGGTTGTCATCCATTGTTACATGTAGCCTGAATATTGATCAATAACTAATAAAATCATACTGTTTGACACATTTAAATTAAATTAGTGAGTTCATGGTTCAGAATGAATATTTGGTTATATTCTTTAGAAAACAATATTCTCTACTTATGAGCAGTATTTTGCCCTTTATGATAAAATCTCATGCTTCTTATCTAAACTAGAAAACATCAACCTTTTAATCCATGGTTCTGTGTGTTTCCTGGGACCAATGTGGTTAAACACTTAGAGCCAACTCACTTAGTCTCCCTAAATTTTAGTGTCCCAAGCTAGGTGAATAAAATAATTTTGCATTTATAATAATACCTTTCTTTTACAAAGTTCACAATGCATTGAACTACTCTATTATTAATTCTGAAGCATTCCTATAGACTTAGGAGAGGGTATCTATTAAACCCAGCTTCCAAACAGGAGTCACAGCCATGGGCTGAGTGATTTGCTCAAGGTCACACAGATATAGGGTTATAAAGATCAAATGATATCATGCATGCCAAGAGTTTGACAACCATACAGTGCTATATGTGTGCAGGGTATGACCAGATATATGAATAAATCTGTGATGAGTTTTCATAGTTATTGGCTGCTATTCTCAATACTCTTTTCCTTTGACTTTCTGGCCAAAACCAAAGTAATACATGCCGCCAAAAAATCTCACAGAGCATAGTCAGTAATAACAAGAAGCTGGGACATATACAGAATCCCTTGGAAATATGATGCCATGTAAATGTTATATTAATGGTGACCCTATTATTAAAGTATAAAACAACTTGTTTATTTACTTTTTAAAAAACAATAAAACAAGCTTGAAATTCTGACCAAACTCTAACTTGGGGATCGACTTCCAATACTTTTTAATCTCTTCTGCTGCATCTACTTAATTTCCTACTTGGCTGGAGAATTACTGAGAAATCTTGTAGGAAATTTTAAGTATTTGCTACAGGATACTGGCTATACAGCTATAGAATATCAGCAAAACTTGTATATTATTCTCCCTGATTCTCAGAACTGTTTCAGAGTATAATGAACTGCTTCAGTGGGGTCTGAAGGCTTCTAGTGAAAAGTGGTTTAGGACGTGCCAAATACCATGGTTGCTAAGAAAATTATCAACCAACTAGAAACATTAGCTATTTTATGCCAGAAAAACAGTGTTTTAATAATGATTCATTTCTGGTCATTAGCTGATTATTCTGAGTTCTCATTATCCCGAAACTATATTAGCACTAAGGAAAAATATGATTGCAAATTTGGCTTCTTTTATGTGATGGTTCTATCTCTCATGTACCAACCATAAATTCTTTGCCTCTGGGACTGCAAATGCTTCAGCATGTAATGGAAAGTTAGTATCACATGGCAAGACATTTGTTCTCATCGCAGAGTGAGGCCAGCTCTGAAATTCAAACCCTAATGAGAGCAAGTATGTAAATGAGAGCAGCCAAACCAAACAGATGAAGAAAACAAAGCCCAATGAGTCTATAAAAGACATTTAAAAAATCTAAGTATTCATTATTAATCAATAGCATTTAGACTCTATGAATTCAAAATAGAGCTTTTCCTAATACTTTGTTACTACAGTGACATATCTATAGACCTACATTTAAAAAACTAAATAAGAAGTTTTTACCCTTACAGTGTCTATATTTTTTAGATTTTTCTATGCAAAGGAAATGTTATTTTAGCCATTATACCAAATATTTAAAATATGTCAATGTGCCTTGAATTAAATACGATTAAGAATAGCTAGTGTCAAAGTAATGCGTACTCTTGATCAAGATTTTAATCTTATACTTTCTAAATACTAAATAAGGTATTTTCTCAAGGACTTCAACATATGATCCAATACATACCTTGCATATTTTCTGAAAATTTTGCAACAAATAAAATGCATCAATAAAAAGGTAAAGAAACTTTTATCTTGTAAGTAAAATAGTATCTCTCTTTTATCCCCTTTATAAAAGACATGTTTTGGCCAGGCGCGGTGGCTCACACCTGTGATCCCAGCACTTTGGGAGGTGGAGGTGGGCAGATCACCTGAAGTCGGGAGTTCGAGACCAGCCTGACCAACATGGAGAAACCCCATCTCTACCAGAAGTACAAAAATTAGCCAGGTGTGGTGGTGCATGCCTGTAATCCCAGCTGCTCGGGAGGCTGAGGTAGGAGAATCGCTTGAACCTGGGAGGTGGAGGTTGTGGTGAGCCGAGATCACACCATTGCACTCCAGCCTGGGCAACAAGAGCGAAACTCCATCTCAAAAACAATAAAAAAAAGACATGTTCCAAAAGTATCTGTCATTGCAGGGAATTTCCCACTTTACCAATGTTCCATGTTTTTCAGCATGTTTATTACTTTACTTTCATAAATATTGAATAAAATTGTTGTAGCATGTTGTAAAAATGGAACATTTATTTACATAATATTTACTTAGAATCCAGTATGTGCCAGGCTGTATTATTCACTCTGAGAATATAAGAATGAACAAGACAGATGAAAACCCTCTCCCTCTTGGAATAATCCACTTCAGTATGGGAAGAGAGACAACAAACAAAATAAGTAAATAATGTAGTATATTAGAAGGTTATAAGTGTGCTAGAGAAAAATCAAGCAAAAAGAGGGATGGGAGGTGGAGGCTTGCTGTTTTAAATAGTGTAGTCAGGGAAGTCCTCACTGAAAAGGTGACATTTGGGCCAAGACCTGAAGATAAGGGAATTAGCCATGCAAACAGCTTAGGGAATAAGGAGAAACTATAGTAAGTGCAAAAGTCCTGAGGCAGGAGGGTACATTGGTAGGCTATAAGAATAGCAAGGAGATCATTGTGGCTGGAGTAGGGTGAGCACAGCACAAATCTTGTAGGTTATTGTTAAGACTTGACTCTTATTCTGAGTATGACAGGAAACAATGAATTTGAGCAAAGTTGTAGGAATCAGAAAAATAGAAATGACTTGGATGTATTCACCTTGTCCTAGCAGGAAACTGAAGGCACAGTTCCAAGGAGATTTTGAGTACAAACTAATGTAAAGAACAATTACAGAAATGTGGGCAGAGTTAAGAGGCCAAACAAGGAATGCTGAGGCATTCAGGGGCTAGTACATTGGGATGCCATCACCACAGCTGGATCTGAAGCAGCCCAGTGAAAGTTAGAGCCATGGGCGGGTATCTGACAGGGTACGCAGTTGTAGAGGAATGCCATCACCACCAGAATCTCAGGCTAGCTCAAAGGGAGGGGGAAAGAAATAACCCAAATTCTTTTTTCTACTACCCTCTGACCTCCTGCCAGCAGTTCTCATTGGCTAAACCCAGGGAAGACAAGGGGATCCCTGGTAATGAGAGCCAGAACATCCCATTCCTGGAATGCAAGAGTGCAGAGAAGAGCAGGAAAATGATAGAGAAGAGGAAATCAGGCAATAACCAGCACACTTGAGTGTTACCAAAGCTGAAGCAAAGACATCTTCTGGACCCATTTATATATTGACTGCTGCACGTAAAACCAAGAATCCAAATTTGTTTGGGGAATTTAGATTCATAAAGTCTTGGCACTGAAAATAGTCATCTGTTCAGTCAACTCTTATTTTACAGTTAAAGAAACTGAGGCCCATCGAAATTATGACCTGTTCAGGGACACACAACTAGACACAATGCTGCAGAGACTGTAACAGAACAAAAGTTCCTGACGTCCCACTCTCTTTCAACTTTGCTTCTAATATTTTAATTATTTTTCTGTCCTTTCTGTCCTTGTAATTCTGTTCTAAAATCCTCTTGTATTTCATAAATTGACTCTTAAAAGTTGCTCTGCATTAGTTTGATTCAACTGAAAAGGCACCAATTATTTCTAATATTATCTTTGAGGGCATTCAAATATATACTATTCCCAAGGGACAATTTATCTTTGGATAGCATTTATGAACTATCATCTATCACAACAGCTAAAACTATAATCTTGGCTGTTGTTAATACACCCTTACAAAGTTATTTTTGGCTTAGTCTGGAGTCTGTGGGTACATTTTTTAAATATATAAAAGTAATATATTTAAATAAAAATGATTTGTGATCATTGCAGAAATTTTGAAAAAAATATATAAAGCAAAAAAAAAAGCCTATTACCTCATCCCTTAGAGATAGCCATTATTAAAGTTCCAATGTATTTCTCCCAAATTCTTTTACTATGCATACATGTAATTTTTAAAAGGCATGATATAATTTTAATTTTTTTTACTTGATATTCTAACATATTTAACATTTTTAAAAATTTTCAACAAATGACAAATGTTCATCTTCAAAATGATTTTGACTTTTGAAAACAGAAGTCAACTAGAAGGTCAGGAGTTTGAGACCAGACTAGCCGAAATGGTGAAACCCTGTCTCTACTAAAAATACAAAAAATTAGTCAGGTATGGTGGCATGTGCCTGTAATCCCAGCTACTCGGGAGGCTGAGGCAAGAGAATCCCTTGAACCCAGAAGGCAGAGGTTGCAGTGAGCTGAGATCGCGCCACTGCACTCCGGCCTGGGAGACAGAGCAAAACTCTGTCACCAAAATAAATAAATAAATAAATAAATAAAATAAGTCAACTAGAAGCAAAGTTCATTAATAAGGTGGGCTATAAAGTTTGGGTAATATTTTTCTACCCATAACAAGGTGCTATTTTAAAGCAATATGATCAGGATTCGTAAGCTTTATAATTAAGTTGTAAAATAATCTAAGTTTTAGGATGATATTTAACAAAAATGCAACACGAGCACATGTGTACCCCTTTTAAAGAATTTACGCAATAACTTTGGCATGCTATCCTTTTTTTTTTATTGAGATGGAGTTTCTCTCTTGTTGCCCAGGCTGGAGTGCAATGGCACAATCTTGTCTCACTGCAACCTCTGCCTCCCAAGTTCAAGCGATTCTTCTGCCTCAGCCTGCCATGTACCTGAGATTACAGGTGCCCGCCACCATGCCCAGCTAAGTTTTGGTATTTTTAGCAGAGACAGGGTTTCACCATGTTGGCCAGGCTGGTCTCGAACTCCTGACCTCAGGTGATCCGCCTACCTCAGCCTCCCAAAGTGCTGGGATTACAGGCATGAGCCACCGCATCTGGCCTTCTTTTTTTAGTCTTAAGTTTTTATCATATCTTATAAAATGCCAAATGCCATCAAATAGTAATATATTTCAAAAGTATTGGATAAGATAAGCAAACTTTCTTCTTTTTGCTTGGAATTTATATCACCTATTCACATTTACATTGGAGCCTATGGTATAAAACATCTAGGTGTTTCTTCTCCCATGTTCAACTAGGAAAACAGATTACCTTTGCGTGCTCTAGAGAAAGTAATGGCCTATGGTGGCCTTCCTTTAGATTTTAACTGAGTAGGAACAAATTTAACCTTTGTACATACAGGCCTGAGTTGAGAGAAGATAAAGGCAGATACGAAGAAAGTGCCCAGGCCAGTTGTCCCCACAGGTGCTCAAGAGTGTAACCTTGCTAATAAAGAAATAGCCCGTGAAACAGAGTAGAAATCATCTACTGTTCAATTGTACTGGATAAGGAAAACAAAGTAGTTTCTAAATGAAAAGCAATCCACCAATATCAAAATGCATGGCCTTTCCACCTACCTCTTCCAGAAGAGGTCCCCTCCTCTGAGACCCTTTTATGACTACTTGAATTATTTAAAGTGTCCCTAGATTTGCCTATGGATATTTTTATCCACTGAAGAAAAGCAGTCTCAGCCCTGAGCATCCCTAAAATTAGCTCTATTTTTGTCACACTTATTTAATAATTACATTTAAACAAAAAGACTTCTTTTTCACTGTTGTCCAGAGTTGTTTTTTTTTTAAGTGGGGCATTTCAAGCTTCTCTTAAATATCAAAATCACTGCCCTTAAATTAAAGTTAAGGTTTCATGGAGAAAAAGATTTCTCTCTTACAAAGATTTAGTCATTTTGCAACAAAGTTATTAAGTCTCTGTAAGAAATGCCATATAGATTGTTAAATATTTCTTCCATTTTGATATCACACAAATAGTACAGCCCTACAAAAAGAAACTTGTCTTTGATCATATAAGTTATTTTTAAATCTCTCTAAACATAATACACAATATATTATAAACTATTAGAGGTTAAGATTTTTTAAAAAGGTTTCCTTGTAAATGTAAATCAGATCATGTTAATCCTCTGCTTATAACCTGCCTGTGGCTTCTCAATGCATTTAAAATAAAATATCTGTGCCTTTACGTGGCCAACAATGTCCATATGATCTAGCCCTTGCCTACTACTCAGATGCCCCCTGCTCCCTTCCAACCACATACTGGTTTCCAGCACAAAGCCATTGCCTCATCTGTCTCCCTTAATCAAATGCTCCCCTGATGAGCTTGTCCTTAGCTCAAAGAACATTTCCTCAGGCCTACCTACAGTACATCTGAGTAAGGTACACTGTCTCCTTTCCCACCTTGCATTATTGTTTCATTTTTTTCTTAACACTTATGAATATTTGAAATTATATTTTTTTGCTTATTTCTTTGGTGGTTGTTTCCCCTACTAAAATATAAGACCTATTTGAACAAGGACTTTGCTTTTCTTTTCTGGTTCACAACTATTTTCCCCAAGTCCAACAAAGAGGTCAACACAGTAGGTTTCTTACAGAGTCTTGTTCTGTCACCCAGACTGGAGTGCAGTGGTGTGATCTTGGCTCACTGCAATCTCTGCCTCCCAGGTTCAAGTGATTTTCGTGCCTCAGTCCCCCAAGTAGCTGAGATTACAGGCGCCTGCCAACATGCCCAGCTAATTTTTGTATTTTTAGTAGAGACAGGGTTTCACCATGTTGACCAGGGTGGTTTCAAACTCCTGACCTCAAGTGATCTGCCCACCTCGGCCTCCCAAAGTGCTGGGATTACAGGTGTAAGCCACTGTGCCCAGCCAGGTTTCTAAATACATGTTGAATGCATGAAGTAGAGCTTGTATTATTATATTTGGAGCTGTTTGTTCAAGATACAAGCTTGATGTTACTATGATAAATCTTTTTATTCCACAGAAATAAAATATCTCAAATGAAATATTAGTACAAAAATTATTTTGAACACAGTAGTTATTCTTAAAGAAATTCAGTGGTGAATACTTACTATGATTGAATCATCACAATGTAATTTATCTTTCTTGAATATATGTGTTTTTGTGGGACGGGCTGATGTTTTTTTTCCTTGAAGGGTAGAGCCATTGTATTGATGAAATACCAATGAAATAAACAAAAATGAAATGTGGATAAGCTAAAAATCTAAAATTAGATTAGTTGTTGAGTAAATATATACAATATGCAAAGAAAAAAGATTAGTATCAAAATCCAGAAACAATGGGGAAGGATAGAAATTCTAAATATCTGAAGATGAAAATATATTTACATCTAGTCAATTTAGTTTAACAATAGGTAAATGCCACAAAATGGGTCTCAAAACAATACTGTTACCATTATTCACTAGGGGGTTGATGGCCAAAATTAAAACAACCCTCTGGGTAACTTTTCACCTTGATTTTGCATTTCCCTATGTCTTTAGTTTGGTCACTTCCTTTTCCTTCAAAGATCCCACATTAAGGATGAGGGAAGGGAGTGAATATTAATTTGCAGAGAAGCAGCTCATTACATGATCATTTTAAGCAACACCCAAATCCTTATGTAAACATGGATCATGTGTTGAGCTTTTAATGAGTATGAATGCTTTCAAGGTAGGATTTCAAGTATTATAAAGTTAAATGCTAAAAGTGTTTTGTTTCCAGTGACTAAAGAGCTTGTTATTTTGCAATTAAAACGTAACTGCGAATGCAAGGTAGTCAAGATTCTATCTGTACCTTTCAAAACTTTGGCTTCTATGAATAAAAGTAGTTCAATCAGCCAGGTGAGAATGACCTTCAGATTATCAGTCCGGAGCATTTAGGCTATCCTTCATGTGTGAATACAGTTTATATAAGTTTCTACACTCACATTTTTTAAAATTTTATAAGCTGATAGTAGTAACATACAGAAGGAATTATAACCTCCAAGTCTAGAAATTTGCAGTCTTTCAATGTTCTTTTGTGAGTGTTAGAGTTTTACAGTTTAAAATTACAGGTATGCTACAACTTTAATCAATACTTCAAATTCATATACAAGAAAGACTAGACAGTGATGATTCACTTTGTCAAAGAATGTGCCATTGAATGTCTGTAAATAGCTCATCTATGACAGAATATGGCTTCTCCATAAAATCATGGATGTCTAGTAACTGCTTTCTTCTTCTTTTTTCAATTAACAAATGGTATTGCCAATAGTATCACATTGAGTTGCTATCTTTTCTTCTGAAGATGCCAAAGCTGCCACATCTGTGACCTTTTTCCATACTTTTTCAGTGGATTTGGTAGTTTAACACCTCTTTACCACAATGTTATTTCTTTTTAGTGATAGGGGAACTGAGGGAGTAATAGACTTGTCAGCAATCACAAAACGAGATTATAGCAAAACTGGAGCTTACTCTTGATCTGTCCAACTAGGAAATGTAGTTTAAAAAAAACTTCATCCTGACTGGCCACATATAATATTTAAAAAGAAAAATAAAGAAGTAATATAGTCATTAATGGATTTTGTTTGGATTTTCTGTTGCCCTACATTGCAGAATTTAAACAAGCTTGTAAAACCGCAGAGCTAATATCTTACATTCTAAGTTAAATTCCATAAAATATAATACAGGTCTTAATAGGACATTATGTTTATTTCAGTTCGAAATGCACCCTTTACTTTTACCAAATTGCTACATTTTGCTTGAACATCAAAGGTCTTTGGAAGTCAAGGAAATCTTCATTAAAAAAAAAAAAAAGACAACATTGTTTCATAGTATATTAAACTCAAAAAGAGTATTTAATAGAAGTTTCCTTAAAAACACCTCATTATCAAGTAAGCATTTGTGCATCTCAGTCAAATTATACTTTTCTTTATAATAGTATTTATGGAATTTTATTAGCCTTAGTCCTTTCTCATTACATTTTTTTTTCCTTTTTGGGCAATACCACACAATGGTCTCACTGAAAGGGTTTATTAATATGATATTGTTCCAGAAATGGAACCCTACGAAAATCATAGTAATAAATCAAGTACTACTTATTTAGACAACTGATATTTATTTCCAGCAAATGCTTTGTGGAACCTGAAAACTATTCTCCATTTTGTATTTTTCTATTAGGTTGGTGCAAAAGTAATTGCAGTTTTTGCCATCATGTAAGTGACAAAAACCACAATTACTTTTGCACCAAACTAATAACAATTTGGTAATAAAAAACACAGAAAATAAGCATAAACTATTTCTAAACTCCAGAAAAAATTGTTGACTGGGATATAGGTAGTCCAATTCTTAATACACAACACAGGGAATGTTCAATAAATGTCACTGTCTAACTGATAGTATTAATGCTAAAGGGTTACTTCTCTTTGCCTAGGCCATTGCTTAATTTCTATGGAAAGTATTTTCTTTATCCCATAATGTTTAATGCATCATTATTATTTTAAATATAATATACCTTCATTGAAAAAAAAGAGGTTTTCTTGAGTATCTAGAGTTTACATTCCAGGATTTTCTATGAAATAATTCACCATCTGCTACTGATGAGGTTAGATAATAACTTAGGAAAATTTGGGGGTATGATGTTTACAGATGATGAAAAGATGTTGCTGTAGCAGTTTTTTATTTTCATCAGTAGAAACTGTCCTTAGTTTTTAACTGCTTTTATTCCCCTGCATTATGTTTTCTAAATGTATCTCCCATGCATCACTGCAATTTGAAATATTTGAAAAAAGTACCAGGTACAGAAGAAACAGTCAAGTTGGGGGCTCTAAGAGCAGTAATCGAGGATTCCCACAGCCTCTAGTATGGTCTCTGGGTACAGGCATGCAGCCTGGTAACTGCATTAAGACTCCTAGTCTTGAGGTTTGGGACTCCAAGGATCTCTTTATTCCAGTGAGTTAGGCTACCATCTTACTTACTAACCACTCTCTATACAGGGAGCATATGTACTTGCATATACATACTGCTTTCTATCATTTAAATTAGTTATTGAAAGGCTTTCAATTCTTTGTGGACCAACTTTTGAATTACATACTTTTTTGTTTAGATATAGCTATGCCACTTTTTGTCCTCTACGTTGATTTCCAACTTACTTGCAAAAATCAGAATTCTTATTTCTTTGTAGCAGTTTGATGTAATAAATTCTGTACATTTTTTAAGGGCAAATGTATAAAAGTAGCTAGGGCTTTTAAACTTTTGGAAAACAATATTTTCAAGAGAACTATTAAACACAAATCCTTAACCATCTAAATGACACTTTTAAAAGTTATAAATCATATGCTTTTCCTAAGATGTCTTTTAACATCTTTAGCCCCCTCCTTACCAGAAATTTAGTCCACTTCTGGATCTCTTCTAAATTATCTTTATCTTTCCTTTCATCTCATAATATATCATTTTAAGGAGAAATGGTCTTACAGATTACTTTAAGATTTTTCCTCTAAATGTACGATTTAAGAGTATCATAACGAGTAATCAAGAAGTTTATATGATAAGATAATGTAAAGGGATGAGCAGGCATATAATACTCATTTTTCCAAAAGCACCACCATCAACACTACCCATTATAACCACCTTAAACATCTGGTAAATCAATCCAAAATTAAATTAAGCTTTTATAAATTCATATTGGGTTTAACCATTTGATCTAACTTATTGATGGAAAACTGCCTCTAACAATTACTGAAATTACAGACTTAGAAATGAAACATTCCATTAGCTATCTCTGCCACAATAGCATAACGTTACATTTTGTTCCATTACTTTCGCCCAGCCCCTTAAGAAATAGGGATTTTATGTCGTCTTATTTCACATTCTGACTCCAGTCACTTGGGTTTGGAGGGCATGGTTTCCACTAAAGTTAAAAGACCTAGCTCTATAAATTACAACTAAAGACCTAAAAAATTCTCTGCAAATTTAATTCTCAAAACATCTTTTGGGATAAAAAGTATTTCTATTCTTCAAAGATTAGAGAACCGAGTTCAACGATTTACTGATTTAAGTTATCATTATGTGATTGCTAACGCTGCAGTAGATATGAAATCACGATTTCCATTAAGACTTAGATTTTACCTAAATGACGACTGCTTTAGTATGTCAAAGTTTAGGAGCCCATCCCCATTTTTTTAAACTGCTTAAAAGAATGGCCTTAGCATGCCAAAGTTTAAGAGCCCATCCCCATTTTTTTTTAACTGCTTAAAAGAATGGCCTTACCATTTTCTTTGGCCAGGAACTAACTACAAGATGATAAATTTGCCAGTACTTTCTTTTCATAGTTGTTCTTTGCATTGGAACAGGAAAGGGTGCTTTATCACTCGTTACGGTTGTTCATGGCCCAATCCAAATCATATAATACGCTGGCTGCTACTAACAGTTTTAGAATAAACAAAAAGAAGAACTATAATGCAGTAGGTTCTACATTTATAAAGCCCATGAGCTGATTTCGTGCCGAAAGTAAAACAGTCTCAAGAGTTTAAATGAATCCTGGAATCACAGCAAATTCAGGAAATTTAGGAATATGTTGGTAACCCTTAAGCTTTTTAAAAACTGACTACACCCTGGGCAAGTAACCACCCCCTGATGCCGTTGTGGGAGACAGAATTTCTGGCAGGAAGATAATTTTCTGACTCAATCTGGCTTGCCGTTCTTGTTTAATCATCCCCATTTCTCTGAACATTTTACTCCTCTGACTACAATGGTCAACATTTATTTTCAGAAGTTTTAAAGTGATTTAGTTCTTCCAGCCGCACCTCTTTTTATCCCATCTAAGTCTTCCCCAGCCCCCATTCCTATCGCCCTCGTTTCACTAAGATTTTGCTAAACATTAGACACAAGCACATGACCTCCAGTCTTCCACTGTCTCGGAACAAACCGACATAAAAACATCTGATTAGTTCCATTGTAAGCTTCCCTAGGCTTAGAATTTAAAATGGTCTTTAGCTCGTCAATGCTTAAAGAACCTACAACACAAAATTTAAATTTTAAAAATTTTAAATAAAGAAACCGCTCCCTTTTTTAACCTTTAGCCCCGCCCATTGCCCCCCACCCCAGGTTCCACGCGAAACTGCAGGAAACCGGAGGGGGCGGAGCGGTGACGTCACGACGCCGGTGCGTCACGGAACGGCGGCGGCTGCGGCGCTGGCGGTGGCTGCGGCAGCGGCGGCATTTTAGTCGGCAGCGGCGGCGGCAGCGGGGCTGCTGCTCCTCCCAGCATCCCTGGCGCGGCCATTTCAGCCCCATCTTGGCCCAGCGGAGGGAGCTGCAGCCGCCGCTTCAGCAGTTTGAATTTCAGTTTCTTCGGGGTTTAGGAATTGGGCGCACCGAGGAGGAGCCGGAGAAGCCACCACCGCTACCTCACACAGCCGGGGCGCCTCCGGTCCCGTGCCAGCGGTCTGCCGCCGCCGCCCCTCTCTGAGAGAAGCCGCGAGGGGAGGCCGAGACCGCCGTCGCCGCCCGCCCGCAGGGGTGGTTCCCCCTGTAAGGGGAGGACCGAGCCGGCTTTCCCCTCCCCCAGAGCGGGTTTCCGCCTGAGGCAGTCGACATGTCCCTGGGGCTGAGCTCCGGCTAGAGCCGGGGAGGGAGGGCCGCCTGCCCGCGCCACAGCCCCACCGCCCGCCCGCGGACCTTCAGCCAGCTCCGGCCCGCGGCTCCCGGCTGAATTAGGCATCTCCGACTCCGGACTCGCCGCTCCTTCCCTCAGTCAGAGAGCCCAGCGCTGACGCCGGCACCGGCCTGAGGAGCCCGAGCGGGGCAGCACCGCCCCTCACGCCGCCGCCACCGCCTCCTCCTCCTCCTCTTCGCCCTCCCACTCCCACCCCCAGCCAAGGCCTGCTGACCGCGCCGAGCGCCGAGCTGGACTGACCACGGCTGCCCGGAGACGAGAGAGGAAGCAGCCGGCCCGCCCCTGGGTTCGCGCTCTCGCCGCCTCTGAGGGAATTGAATTGAGGCGCCGCGGCTGCGAGAGCTAAAAAGGAAGGAGGAGCCGCCGCGGGACTGAGACGGGGGCAGAGCCGAAGAGACCGACACAGAGAAGGAAACGAGGAGGAGGATGTCTCACCGGGCGGCCAGCGCCTGGATCAGCCCGTGACTCTTAACAGCGGCGGGCCTCAGACCCCAGCGCAGACTCGGACTTTGTCTTTGGGGGCCCGTGCTCTGCCCTCCCCGGTTTCCGACAGGACCCAGAGGAGCCGGCGTGCCTCTCTGCCCTCCAGCCTTCTTCACCATGTCCAAGATGCCGGCCAAGAAGAAGAGCTGCTTCCAGATCACCAGTGTCACCACGGCCCAGGTGGCCACTAGCATCACCGAGGACACCGAGAGCTTGGACGACCCGGACGAGTCACGCACAGAGGACGTCTCCTCCGAGATTTTCGACGTCTCTCGGGCCACGGATTATGGCCCTGAGGAGGTCTGCGAGCGCAGCTCTTCCGAAGAGACGCTTAACAATGTTGGGGATGCGGAGACTCCCGGGACCGTCTCCCCAAACCTCCTCCTAGATGGGCAGCTGGCAGCGGCGGCTGCTGCTCCCGCCAACGGAGGAGGAGTCGTTTCGGCCCGGAGCGTGTCTGGGGCGCTCGCCAGTACCCTGGCGGCGGCTGCCACTTCGGCCCCCGCCCCCGGAGCACCCGGCGGCCCCCAGCTCGCGGGCTCATCCGCCGGGCCAGTGACTGCAGCCCCATCTCAGCCTCCCACCACATGTAGTTCCCGTTTTCGCGTGATCAAGCTGGACCACGGGAGCGGAGAGCCCTATAGACGCGGCCGATGGACGTGTATGGAATACTATGAGAGGGATTCAGACAGCAGCGTCCTGACTAGATCCGGGGATTGCATTAGACACAGCAGTACTTTTGACCAGACTGCGGAGCGGGACAGCGGCCTGGGCGCCACCGGAGGGTCGGTGGTGGTAGTAGTGGCCTCCATGCAGGGGGCGCACGGGCCCGAGTCGGGAACTGACAGCTCCTTGACTGCTGTGTCACAGCTACCCCCGTCGGAGAAAATGAGCCAGCCCACTCCGGCCCAGCCGCAGAGTTTTAGCGTTGGGCAGCCACAGCCGCCGCCGCCACCCGTAGGTGGGGCTGTGGCTCAAAGCTCGGCTCCGCTGCCGCCGTTCCCGGGAGCCGCGACCGGGCCGCAGCCAATGATGGCAGCCGCGCAGCCCAGCCAGCCCCAGGGAGCGGGGCCCGGGGGACAGACTCTGCCGCCGACGAATGTAACCCTGGCGCAGCCGGCTATGTCCCTGCCTCCGCAGCCGGGCCCTGCAGTGGGCGCCCCCGCGGCGCAGCAGCCCCAGCAGTTCGCGTATCCTCAGCCTCAGATACCGCCCGGACATTTGCTGCCCGTCCAGCCCTCCGGCCAGAGTGAGTACCTGCAGCAGCACGTGGCCGGCCTGCAGCCGCCAAGCCCCGCGCAGCCCTCGTCCACCGGCGCCGCAGCGAGCCCCGCCACGGCGGCCACCCTTCCCGTGGGCACCGGCCAGAATGCTTCCTCGGTGGGCGCGCAGCTCATGGGCGCGTCTTCCCAGCCCAGCGAAGCCATGGCCCCCCGGACGGGACCAGCGCAAGGCGGGCAGGTCGCGCCTTGTCAGCCGACTGGAGTGCCCCCGGCTACTGTGGGAGGCGTGGTGCAGCCGTGCCTCGGTCCTGCCGGGGCTGGGCAGCCCCAGTCCGTGCCTCCGCCGCAGATGGGTGGCAGTGGTCCGCTGTCAGCCGTACCTGGTGGCCCTCACGCCGTGGTGCCCGGAGTTCCAAACGTGCCTGCAGCCGTGCCCGCTCCAAGCGTGCCTAGTGTGTCTACCACTTCTGTTACTATGCCAAATGTACCCGCGCCTCTGGCCCAGTCGCAACAGCTGAGCAGCCATACGCCAGTCAGCAGGAGCAGCAGCATAATCCAGCATGTTGGGCTGCCCTTAGCGCCAGGCACACACAGCGCACCAACAAGTCTACCACAGTCTGACCTAAGCCAGTTTCAAACTCAGACCCAGCCTTTAGTCGGGCAAGTCGACGATACTAGAAGAAAATCAGAACCCCTACCTCAACCACCACTTTCTCTCATTGCTGAAAATAAGCCTGTTGTGAAGCCGCCTGTTGCAGATTCCCTGGCAAACCCCCTTCAGTTAACACCTATGAACAGTCTGGCCACCTCTGTATTCAGCATAGCTATTCCTGTTGATGGTGATGAAGACAGGTATGGAAATCTCTATTTTAAATATTTGATAGAAATGCTTGGCCAACATTGTAGCTTAGGATGCAACTTTGGGAGATTGTTGTCAACGGAGGCCCTTAGCATTTTTAAATACAAAATTTAGTTTTTGGTAAAATTGATTTAGATTGCTGATGCTGATGTCAAAGGGTGTAATGAGCGAATTGGTCTTGTCACCGTTGTTTAAAAGCACTAAAATGGGTAGGGATGCAACATTGTTTACTCAAAAAAAGGTGAATTTAAGCTTAATGCTTACCATTTAATGGTGGTAGCTAGTGTGTTATGCTCCCATAGAATTGTCCTTTTCTTACATATCAATCACACTTGAACACGTAAGGCAGAGAGATTTGTCAGTGTGAGTTTTGAGGCTGAGACATAATAATACTACAAGTTTTCC
Source organism: Homo sapiens (assembly GCF_000001405.40). Classification (NCBI taxonomy): domain Eukaryota; kingdom Metazoa; phylum Chordata; class Mammalia; order Primates; family Hominidae; genus Homo; species Homo sapiens. The sequence goes on from NC_000003.12 coordinate 150,411,721, forward strand.
TTTCTGGAAAACCAGAAGGTCCTCTAGTGAAAAAAAAAATCTATGTAAGGAATCTTCTCCAGTGTATCTGGAAAGGCTGGAGACATAATGGTGAAATGTCAAATCCGGCTTTGAAGATCATACTTAGTTCAGCCTTTTGATTAAAGGAGGTACAAGGTCACGAGTCTTCCCAGGGACTTCTCTAAGATACTATTTTTTTGTTGTTAAGCAAAAAATGTACTGGAAAGATATTCTTACTTTCCATCAGTCTATTTATTATAGGAAAGGGAGGTTGAGATCGATCCTTTAACTGTAGTGAAAGCTATAGTTCTTGAAATTAAGAGTAATTTTATAATAAAAGTGTAAATGTTAATAATTGGCTCCCTGTATTTAGGGATGCTTTTTTTAATGGCCTAAATAAGAATTAGTGTATTGCTACACCAGTGCCACAACAGCTGATGTTTGGTTATGGTTTAGTGAGGATTTTTGTGGTTTTGAGGAGATGTCACATGTAAATTTGACATACATATTGCAAAATTTTAAAAGCTGACTTGTTGCAATGTTTTAAAATTATATTTAAAAATTATAGAAAAAGTTTCAGGAATTTCACAGTTAGACATTTCTTTGCTGGGGTTTTTGTTTAGCGAGAGGCTAATTTTAGGTGTTTTTAAAAGATACAAACTAATATTATGGATTTCCAGAATAATTAGTATGTGGAAGAATACAATGACATGTATGTTAAAGCTTTCTCTTCCTATGGTTTCTTCTGAGTTCCTTCACATTTCTTAACCTCCCATTTCTAATTAGCCTTGTATTTTTGTTATATACTTCTGTTGGTTTGAAAAATACTCACTGACTGAAATTCATTCATCTTCTCTGCTTTTTGTAATTTAAAGTTCATCTTTTTTTGTAGGTGACTTGCTTATGGGGAGTCTTTCTTCACTTGAGAACGCTTAGAGAATACCACGTGTCCATAAGTGAGCTCAGCTAGCTAGTCATTGAGAAATTTTGTGTGTGTGGGACTACTAAGTAAACTGACTCCACAAGCCACTCAGAAAAATCCCTCTACTTTTATAGTTGCTCCCATTGTCACACACAGGGACACACCTGTAACACAGATTGAGTTTATTTTTTCACCTTTGGTAATAATCAACAGGCATCTTCACTTTTCTAGCTGCCACAAGCCAATTTTTTCCTGATAAGTTGGCAAATAACCTTTTGCTTTCCTCTGTTCCTGTATACTGCCCATATCTCTTCAAGAAATGATGACTGGTTTCCTGAGCTACCCCGCTTTCTATACACACACACACCCCTCCACCCGAGAATGCAGATTACATTTTCCCTTCTGTGCACACCTCTCTCAGTTTACAGCATCCATACTTAGATTCCTCAGAACTTTAGTACGATGATAAGGCATGAAGCAGAGACTTCTGTTGATAGATGGAAACTGAAATGTATTCTTTAGGGTATGACATCAAAAATGCATTTATTTTTTCCTCTTACTGTATTAAGAGTTGGTAATCTGAAAACTCTGATTTCCAAATTTGTGAATGGTTGAACTACAGATACTACTGTATCAGTGTTCTTACCAATTGCAACAGTTAATTCAGTGCAGGGGTTTTGATGTATGTACAGTCCTATTTTAAACATGACACTTCCCTCCCTTGCCCCAATCATTTAAAATCTACATTGCTTACCAATGTTCATTTCTGATTTTTGTTACAGTCTTTCATTGGTTTTTAACTTGACATGCTAGTTTCCAAGATGTAATCTTACACATTTGACTGTTTTGTCACTGGTCCAACATACCTGGTGAAGGAATAAATCCATTAGGTAGAAATAGTTGGGTTTTTTGTTTTGTGTTTTTTTTTTTTAATAGAAAGCTTTGGTTAAAAAAAAAAAAAAGAACAGGGTATTTTAAAATTTTGTGTTTGAAATTAAATAACAGTTTTCCAGGCATATGTTTAAATTACTGAGATGAGTACTTTTGAGGAGACTACTATCTTAACTGAAAATTTTAATTTTAATGTGATTTTGGGTTGCCGCCTTAAAATCTGCATGTTTTCAAATTTGAAATAAAACCAACTGGAGTGAGAGGTCTTGACTAATTGTGATTTAAACTTTGCAAGTAGTTTGACAAATTTCAGATCCTAAGGAAATATTTGTAAATAAGATATATGCTTTTTTTAAAAAAAAATTAGGACTTTAGTAAACAGTCTATTTCTTTGAGAAAAGAAAGGAAAATGGGAAATTAACAAAAAGATTGAGGTGGTTTAGGTTGATACATTGAAAACTCTTATCTTGAGATTTTGGTTCCATTACCTAATGCAAAGTTCTATATTGGCTTAATTTTGAGATCATTTATAATTAAAGAACCGGGCCTTATAGTAATACATCTTAATATTATCACACCTTTAAAAGGCTGATGGTTGTATATGCAAAAAGTTCTCAATTAGCATTGCCTATTGACTCTACATTATTAATTACCATAAAGTTTATCTTTCTGGCCATTTTCATTAGAAAGGTTTATGGTCAGTTGTTGAGACTCTTCAGATTGATTTTGTGTAAACTCGTGGATGTGATGGTTGAAAATACAGTCCTTAAATATGTAGCTACTTTTATAGTGAACTTTACAAAACTTGTTTAAACTACGTACACACTTAACAGTCTCCTGTAAATGAGAGGAGGTGCAAAATATTACTGGCCCTTTTGGAAAAGGAACACAGTACAGATCACTTTCCATAGATAGCCAACCAATGTGAACTCTGTAGGCCGCATTCCAGGAACTCTTATGAATGGCTGCAATTGTGAGCTGTCATCTGTGGCCAAAAGACTGTTGAAAACCTGATTCTAAGGATCCTTTGGTGGCAGATATTTCTATGTCTTGTTAATGGTTTTATTTGTGTGGTTTGCTAATGATCACTGATAAAATATTATACATTGTGAATGTTAAGTGGTGTGTCCTGGTATGTGCCATAAATACACATTTTGTTTGTACATTTATATATATTTTAAACCAAATTCTGCTGCTTTTTTTACTTGAAGTTTAAGTGAGAGGATTAAGTAAATGTATACCAGGAGGCAGAACTGTCTCAGTCTTCGACCTCTGTTGTATGAAAGTCTCACTGAATTGAAGTCTCTAAAGATGGAAATTTCTTACTTGAATCTCTGTTTCTTGGAAGCTGACATTTATCTGTTAAATTGTGAAGGTAATTTTGCTCTTGTAGGTTTACAGTTGATGTCTGAATCACATACTAGATACTATCCTATGCCTATCTACACGTTTAAGAGTGTTCTTACTGAGGAGTTAGTAGTAAAAATGTAAATTCGTATATATGTGTCATTATTGTTTAGCATAAAAACTGATACTGATGTATTCATCAGGGATTACTGATGGATACCACATGGATTACTAAAACATACTTTATTCATAAACGTGGCTTGAAATAAAAGAAATGACAGATTTCCAAAAAGGCTTACGATTTTCCAAACTACCCGAAATTCCTAAACCATGAGCTATATCTGTAGGAGTGTGGCCTTTTATATTCACAGTGACACATACTGTATAAAATTTTATGTGCACTAAATCATATAGGCCAAACATTGGTAAATTTTTTTAGAAAACATGATGGCTTATATGTGTGTGAATAATACAGATTTCCAGCTGACTATTTTAGTAACACTTGTTTTTTCTTTTTAGGAGATCACAACCCCTGAACTAAATCACCTTTATGAGAAGTCATTTTATATAGGACTGGTGGTAGGGGTATATATGTCCTCTACTTCCTGAGAATAAATATAATGCCAATTCATTTGTTATTTAAGAATCCTGGGCCAGGAGCGGTAGCTCATGCCTTGTAATCCTGGCACTTTGAGAGACCAAGGTCAGAGGATTGCTTGATGCCAGGAGTTGGAGACCAGCCTGGGCAACATAGCGAGGCTTTGTCTCTACAAAACATTTAAAAATTAGCCAGGTCTGGAGGCCAACACCTATAGTCTTAGCTACTTGGGGAGGCTGTAGGAGGAGGATTGCTTGAGCCCAGGAGCTGGAGGCTACAGTGAGCTATATTATAATATTGCACTGAAGCCTGGGCCACACAGCAAGGACCTGTCTGTAAAAAGAAAAAAAATAATTCTGATAGCACTAATTTGGAAATAGTGAAATATGGTACTGGATCTATGAATCTGGTACTTCCTAATTAGGAATGGGAGTCTATCTTTCTCTGCACCAGAAAAGATCAGAAGCAGTTATGAACAAATAGCAGCCCCACCAATCAAGTAGTAGAGAAACCCAAATAAATCTGTTTCCTAATAAAGGAATGGTAGTTAGGAAAGTATAAAAGGAATCTGACCTTCCTTTCCTAAAATGGCAGGAGTTGGGGAAGGGGAAGTGTAGAATGATAGCAGATAATCAAAATGGAAGAAAGTACAGTGGAGTGGCATGAAATATAGTCTCAAAAGAAATAGGAACACTTGTGAATACTGAGGAATGGTGTTCTAATTCTTTCTTTGAAGAATTGTTTTAGTCCAGTGTGTATTTCCTTTTCTGAAGATTCTGTTTATTTCTTAATTGCATTACTCGTTAAATACTTAAAGTATGAGGAAGGAGAGGCCTTACAAAAGCAGGTCTGTCTGGTTAAACATAGCCTGAATGATATTCCGTAAGTAATTCCTTAAATTGGAAAAGCAGATTTTTGGTAAGAAATATTAATCATATTTAAGGAGTATGTGTAGCAAAACTCCTAAATTAGAATAAATTATTTAAGTGTATGGTTTTTCTTTATACTAAACCAGTGGGCTTGTGATTTGAGGCTACTGTTTTCGATGGTATTGTATTGAGTCCACAGAGAATATGTATACCTGAATCATTGGTATAATGTCTTTCCCACAGCAATTCTTGAACATATCAAATTACTCGATATTTGTTATATTCTTAATCTGGCATTGCTTAGGGCAAAAACTGGGTGTCCCTCATAAAAAGGTAGGAACAGTAGCCAGTTTGCACCATTCCTATACATTATTCCATGACTTTAGGAAGTATACTTTGAGGTATACTCTTCAGATTTGGTTTAATAATATTAAAGGTATATTGATGGATTGTTTCCTGTATGAAAGTATTGCATGATTTCTGCTCTTAAATCAGGTGAATTAAATTTCATCTGGATTGCTTATCTCAAATTTAAAGCCTCAAATCAGACTTAAATAATTAGTATTTAGTATTTAGTTTGATTCCTTTGTACCCAAGCTAATTTTTGTTTAAAAAGAAAAAGTGCTTCCATCCTTTTAAGTAGTACATTTATTTGTGATGTTAGTGAAAGTTCTGCAGGTAACTGAGTTAATTTTATTAGTGTTTGCCTGGGACATATACCTATTATTAGGGTAGGCAGGACAAATAAGTAAAGTCTAAATGTTAAATTACTTAAAGCTTCTTTTCCCATAAGCCTTTCCTAAAATTTGTCTAAAGAATATTGCTTTGTAGAAGATGGAGTTTGTGATTAATGTGTCAATTATTGTAAATAATGATGGCATAGTTTTAAATGTTAGTTTTAGGCTGTTCATCTTATTACACAAGTATATAATTTAATCTGAATAAAGGATTCCCAAAGGTAAGTGTAAAGCCTCTAGTTTCTAAAGTAGAGTTAGTATTTAGTTTTTATCAAGTGGTTTTATATGTTAAAGCAAAACAAATCTTTGCTTGGCATACCGTCTACCTAGTCTTTGAAGACAAAACAAAGGAGGGAGGAGCTGTTTTGATCAAATAAAACCAATAGCGTGTTTAATTATGTGTTAACATATGTGAATGACCATTACAGAGACAGTAGAGTCAGACATACCCGGGCTAAAATCTAACTGCTACATTTGACTTTGAGCTAGTTGGTGTAGATGCCTTGTTTCCTCTTATGAAAAATGGGGATTGTACCTACCTGGGAGAGTTTTAAGGAATTAAATGATGTGTGCAAGTAATTTGAACAGTCTGTAACATAATATATGTGGCAAACGTGTATCACAGAAATGTTAATATTTCAGTGTCCAAACTGCTCTCCCAGATCACCCCTTTACATGTTATAAATCATACCAAGAATCTTCCATTTTAATATGAAAGCGTAATTGTATGGTATGGATGTAGTCAGAAAAAAGGAGATGATGTTTTAGTCTAGACGAGTCATGATGTTGTAAGAAGTATAGGGAATTGTGTTCCAGTCCTGGCTCTTCTATCATTTAGCTGGTTTCTTTGGTCAAGTCATTTCACTTGTCTGTTTTTCTTTTTTGAGACTTTGTCAAATTTTAAGATTCCTTCTAGCCTTATGTATATGAGACCATACATTCAAGTGTGCTTCATGAGAGAACTGCAAACTTAAACTTTCTTCTTTTTACCCCTTTCCTGCCACTTGACTATTGTGTGGCAATAAATGAAGTTTGTAAATACTCATTAAGTAGGTTGATTGCCCAAGAAAACATTTAAAACAGCTTATCAGTCATTCAGCTTTCATGATGCTCTGTGAGTAGTGAGCACTGGAATACAAATATGAGACTATGCTGCCCTCCTAGATCTCAGGCATTTTCATCATCATGAAAATGATGATCAGATGTATACTTTGACATACATTGGAGGTGGTGATGGAGTAATATAAGGTGCTAATGGGAACAATTTGAGACATCAGATCAGATTGGGATTGGGAGGGTAGTAGACTGACTTCTATTTAAAAATTATTCTCTGCATAGGTATTTATATAGTTCAAAACTCAAAATATATAAAAGAGTAAAATCGAAAGCCTCTCTGCTACCTCTGTCCTCCAGCCACCCTGTTTGTCCTTAGAAGTAACCCATTATTACTTGTACATTCTTTTGAGGCTAACTCTTGAACTAAATCTTAAAATGGTCATTCAGATTAAGTCACTAAGAAGAGAAGGGGATAGTTTTCCAAGCAGAGGTAAAAGGCAGTTTGTATAATGATGTGAAAGAGTGAGAATCTATCATTTGGAAAATGGTATTGTTAATTTGACAAGAACCAGAGTGAAGGACTTTAAATGTCATGGTAAGAAATTTCGATTTTTATAGTAAGTTGCTGTTAAAGGTATTTCTGGAAGCTTTTATTGTTAAAATAATATATATCTTGAAACGATTTCAGTATCCTTTTAGTGATTATTGCATTTTAAATTATAATCTTATGATAAAGCTGTGTTAAGGGAATACCTTCAGAGCGCTGAGTCCCAAAAATCAGAATTCTTACCTAATGAAATGTGCTAAATATTTTGGTACCCCTGGCTCTAAGTTTAAGTATTCTGTTTCCCTCAATATTACCTTGATAATGTCAGAACATTTGGTACATGTTGAGATACTCTACCAAAATTTGATTTATAGGTAGCATAATTTGGAAACTAACCTTATATTAAACACAAAGCAAGCTTACTTGTGTCAGGTCCTATGTATATAGACTTTCATTTGATCTTTCCAACAATTTGTAAGAAAGTGGTTTCTTCCCTTCCCCCTTTCTTATGGATTAAGGAAACTGAGACTCTTAAAATTTGAGTCACCTAGGTATTGGGTGACAAAGCCTAGACTCATATTCAGACCTTTAACCTAAAGCCAGTGCTTTTGAATATTCCCAGAGTTAGAAGTTTGTTTTATTACTTGGCACACAATAAGTTAGGAAGAAGGAAGAACTACCATAGCCACTGATTTGTTGTATTGTAACCCTTTACCTAAAGGATTTTTTTAATCATTTAAATTCCCCAGATAATAATACTGGAGATGGTGCTTGTTGATGTTCTTCATATTGTATGTCCCTGGTTTCTATTTAGAGATCTCTGAAGTCGAATTTTGGCATAGATTAAGAGAAAGAGGTGTTTGTTGAGTGCTCAAGTACCTTATGCTTTAAGCTTTGACAATTTTTGTAGCTTAGTTTTGAGGTATGGAATGTTTGTTTTTTTCTCCCTGTTGTACTTAGTTACCCTACAAAGATAGTGTCTTGCAAAAACAGGTAGACATGCCACATGCTTTGAGTCATTTTCTGATGTAGTATTTTCACATACTTGGAAATTAATGTGATGGACTATTGAGTATATAAAGTCAGAGAGAAAAGAATGTATTTTGTTCAGTGATGTTAAAGAATATTTACAAATAGGAAAACAGCATTTTTGTTTAGGTGGCTGAAGTACAGTGTAAACCACATCTCAGTCTTCCTAGAATTGCTTCGTTGGCTCTATATTTAGAATGGTAGTTTATATTAATATCAAATAAACTGTTAAAAAGCTGGTTTCAAATTTTATTTCTTGAGTGGAAGAGAATTTGTGACCACAGCTGCATAAAAAGTCAGTATTTCCTTCTAATAAAATTTTTAATTTCAGTTGCCTCTTCATGCTTTCAGGTTTCATGGACTGTAACCTTGAAATGATCCCATTAACAGCCTTTTCCTTGGGCTCTTAATCTCCTCAATTTTATGCCATTCCAAAATAGAAGTCTCTCTGATGATCAAGCCTTTCAATCTTTACAGATGGCTCTTTTCCCTTCTACTTCCTTGATCAGTGATTTCACAGACTTGACTCCTTTAATCTGTTAGTCAGTGTTTGGAGACTAATTATTGTTGCTGTTTGCTACAAACCCCTCAGTTTATGGATAACATCCCAGTTATAGTATCCCAGAAACAAAATTTCATAGCTTATAAGACTATCTAAATTTTTACCCTTAAAATCTAGACTGTTTAAAGTTTTATGTAGTACATAGATTGTGTAACTGTGTACTATAGAAAACCATGTACTGTGGCTTCTTCACTTTGAATGTATGTAGAAAGAGTGATTGTTAATTGTTAGCTTTTGCAAATTAAGTGTATTCTAATATGTGCTGAAAACTTTAGGTCCATTTATACAGTATTTTATTTCACAGGTTCTTTCCACATCCCAGTATTTACTACTAACTACAAATATGTTCGTTTTTCACCTTTACATTTGACTTAAGAGATATTGCACTATTCTGTAAAACTGCTGGAATTTTATAACAAGTCATATGACTTCATTTGGAACCAATTTACCTGGAATATGAATTTGATTCAAATTAAATATTTGTATTTCCAAAGTCAGAGGATCTAAAGGTCTTTTAAAGATGCCAGGTGTGGTGGCTCATGCCTGTAATCCCAGCACTTTGGGAGGCCGAGGCGGGCAGATCACCTGAGGTCAGGAGTTTGAGGCCAGCCTGGCCAACGTGGTGAAACCCCATCTCTACTAAAAATACCAAAAATTAGCTGCGCGTGGTGGTGGGAGCCTGTAATCCCCGCTACTCGGGAGGCTGAGGCGGGAGGATCATTTGAACCCAGGAGGCAGAGGTTGCAGTGAGCCGCGATTGTGCCATTGCACTCCAGCCTGAGCGACAAGAGTGAAACTCTGTCTCCAAAAAATAAATAAATAATAAAGTTCTTTTAAAGAATATCATCCTTATAAATATATTGTGAGTACTCTTTAATGAATTTTGAATTGTAGACTTGCAGAATAACTTCCAAGATACTCTTTCTTATTCTTTTGTATATACTACCTTCCTCTTTGAGTCACTCCATTTAAACTGGAGGTCTCCAAACAGACCTTTGAGGATAGCAAACTAGTTCCCATATGTTCCTGGGCAAGCCTGTTTTTTTATAAAACAAAAACAACAACCAAAAAAAAAACCAGATTGAATGTTCAATTGGTTCAGTTAGTTTTCATTTGATTTGGCAGACTGACTTCTAAGTACAGCGAAAAAAGTGGCCTGACAAATACATCTTAAGAGGATGTAAGCCGTTAAATAAACAGTAGGTAGAAGCCTCTTAAGCTTTTCTTGTTATTAGCAGGTCTAATCAGTGCCTTTGATTGCCTTAGACCTAGTTAGGAGAAAAGTGGAAAAAGGATTAAAAGAATAGAAAGGAGTTGAAGTAGGGCAAGCAATGAGAAATACACGTATTAGTCTCCTAATTAATCAAACAGTTACTTTGGTGATTCTCTGGCATCTTGGAAGTCTTTTTTTTTTATTGTACTAATAATTCTGCACAGACTTTAAGGCTCTTAATAGGACCCCAGAATTGCCATGTTGTATCTAAACCTCATTTTGTAGATTAAAATAATGCTATTGATGATTCACTGTATGCCAGGAACTTTACATTTAGTCTCAGTTCTTTAGCCTGCAAAGCTAGGTAGTAATGTAACCAGTTAACAGATAAAGAGACAGACTTTTAAAGAGGTCAAACTTTAACACTGCTATGTGTTTAGTGTAGTGGTTTAAGAGCATAAACTCTGGAACTAGATTGCCACCTACTAGCTCAGTGATGTAAGGCAAGTTACTTCTATCTGACCCAGTTTTCTCCTCTATGAGATGGGAGTAATAATGGTGCCTACCTCTTAGGGCTGTTGTCAGAATTTAGTTAATGAGTGTAAAGCACTTAGAATAGTGTGTGGTACCTAATAAACACATTCTTAACTGCTGCTGTTCTGCTACAGCATGGGCTAAGAATTTTAAAAGTTATGTGGCAAAGTTTTTTTGGCTTCCAGATGTACAGGTTGAAGGTGGGGGAGACTATGGAAGTTGCTGAGGAGGAGGGAACAGGTTTGTCAAAAGTTTAAATCCCCGTGGAACCAGTCCCTAGATTTGAGGTGAATCATACTTACTGGGAGATAGTCCAGAAGAGCCCATCAGTTAAGAGTCTATGGTGAAAGCCCTAGGGAATGGTAGAAATGAAAGATAATTATGATAAATAGGCTTTTACCCCTAAAGTAACATTGTACCAATGCTAGAATCAGAAAGCTGCCAAACAATTGCAGCGCCATTTTTTGCCCTAGACGAGGAAAAAACACATATAAATAAATGGATTTTGAAGGTGGAAATGTGTCAAGTCCAACCCAGGAAAGAATTCTTCATTGTTAATCAAACCTTTGCTACTTTTAACAGAGCCTAAGAAAAGTTTTTATATTGTGAAGATATAGCTTAACTTAGTTTATATGAATACCTAAGAACAGCCTTGTTAAACTGCTAAACAAGATAGATATTTGTAAAGGCATTTGATATAGAAGAGTGTTGATTAGGCTATGAATTTGTCACATTTATATGCACGCACACAAAATTGGATGCTACTTAGTATTTAGTTTCATCTGCCTTACCTCTTTATTTTATAACTGTGATCCTGAATTATTGTTGAAGTCTGCTGGATTTTGTCCAGTTTTTAATTTCTTCTAAAGTGTTGTTTTAAGCAAACTTATGTGGTTTTAAAATCTTTTTATTATTAAAAGTTACACTGTATTAGAAATCTAAAATCTTCCATCTTCTTTTGAAAAGTAGTGATTATACTGTACGTTCTCAACCTCATTTCCATTTGATTCTCGGATCTCACAGGAATCCTTCAACTGCTTTCTACCAAGCGTTCCATTTGAACACGTTAAAGGAATCAAAGAGCCTCTGGGATAGGTATGAATACTTACATATGGAATGCATACATGCAAAACTGTATGCATGAATTGCTTTGCACTGTACTGGTTTCTCATTAAAACTGATCTTTGTTATTTTAGGGGGGAAATCACATGGTATCTAGCATGGGACAAAGCAGCAAAATAAACCAAAAGGACAATCTCTATTTTATATAGAAAATAAACATACTTTTCTGCATCCTGTGTACTTTAAGTATATCTATATTTTTGAAGGGTTCATACTGTGTTGAATTTTTCTTATGAAATAGTCACTTCCCCAGTGTATTTTAATGCAAATGCATATTCTATAAAATAAACTATATTTTAATTTTTGTGCTATTTTATGTTTTTTTTCTGTAAAAGCCATAGTGATTCAAAGCAAAATGTTATTTCAAATTATGAAATTGGAGGAGGAACAAGACCAAGGTATCAAAGTAATCATTGTTTAATTTTTGGCAAGAAACTTTAACTTCAAGTTTGTTTGCTAGAATTCACTAGGTCTGCATTACTGATTTGTAAGCCCCTAAAACAGTTTGCTTTCTTACAGAAATGTTGTATAGATTTTACTGTTAACTTTTAAAAATACAGAATGAAGTCTTGGAGTTCTTTTATGGCAAAAGATACTTTGGTTTATCTTTCTGCTTAACACACATTTTAAGTAGTGTATGCTCTGTTCAATCGTTTTGCTGAATATTTATTAGCATTCCATCACTTTGTGTTTAATTAATAGAAGTTGAGTTCAAACAATGTTTTTAAAATTCACACAAAGCTCGTTAGATTCTTTTAACTCTGCCTGGCAACGCATTTGTGTCTTCTGGCATAGTTTTGGATAACACTCATGAACTCAACTCCATCTCTTTCATTAGAAAAGAGTATTGCTAAGTGCATGTACATGTCATATTAAGACATGATACACATTGCCTAGAAATGCTAAAACAGTCTTAATTCTTCGGCTTGATTTGCTTGTGTGTGTCACTCTAGGGAAATTTTCTAACAGTATCTTTTTGATGGTGTGTTCCAGAAATCTTTTTAAATAGTTACTTTTAGAACAGGAAGTTTTAAAATTTGTAGTACCATGTTTATAAAATAAATTTTTAAATAGTTCTGTAGCCATTTAAATTAATACATAAATGTAAATTGTGAGATGAGATAAACATGAAGGTTTAATCTTTCAAATAGTTTTCCAAATGTAGCCAGAATGTGAGTACTTTGGGGTATGCTTTATAGTTTCTCTTAGAAAAAGGAAAAATAGCACTCTGTTTAGAAATGTAATAAGAGTAGCTTTCAAAAGTATGATGATTTATTTCAAATAGCTAACTTTGAGCTGTCATGATGTTGATGTGAATGATATATATTATTTTTATCAGTGTAGGAAGGTTTGAGCTATATTTTTGATAATTTGAATATGATATTGAAAGGTTTATTTTGTTTCATAATAAAACCACCATAGAAGTTGCCTGTACATCATTTGTTGTTACAGCTAAATACTCCTTATATGTTTTCTTTTTTTAGATACCTGAAACTTTTAAGGTATCAGAAATGAGGCAAGTTGCGTATCTATGGTTTCTCATGGGTTGAAAATATTTATTTTCTCTCCTCCTTGGAGCCTGTTGTTCAGAGCCAAAGAAGTTAGTGGATATTTGTCTGTAGTGTGTTAATGCCAAAATATAATAAAATCAAAATATAATCAGATCAGCCATTCTTCACTGTAAGTTGGCCTCGTTGGTACTAAGGTGACAAGGCCAACCCAATGGAAACTGACTAGTGGCTTTCTTTTAACTTTTCAACTAGCTTATTAAATTTTCCATTGAGAGGAGCAATCATGGCTAACTTTATTAGTTTTAATAGTCTACACTTTCAGTTGGCAACTATCTACAGAATTACTGATAGGTATATCAGCTAATAAAGTATCATGAGACCGTTTATTCCAAATGGGTTGAAGATTTGTGTGTGTTAAGCTTTAAAAAATATTAAATATAACTTCTGACCTTGATTGTTCTGGAAATCACCAAATCACATTGTTCATTTTTACTATTATAAATTTAGGATTTTTTTTTTATTTTACTACTAATTTGGCAAATAGGTATTTGGCAGGGGTGATTCTCCTATTAAAGAGAGACATAGACTGGGCGCAGTGGCTCCCGCCTGTAATCCCAGCACTTTGGGAGGCTGAGGCAAGTGGATCACCTGAGGTCAGAAGTTCGAGACCAGCCTGGTCAACATGGTGAAACCCCATCTCTACTAAAAATACAAAAATTAGCTGGGTATGGTGGCACATGCCAGCTACTCGGGAGGCCAAGGCAGGAGAATTGCTTAAACCTGGGAAGCGGAGGTTGCAGTGAGCTGAGATTGCGCTATTGCACTCCAACCTGGGTGACAAGAGCGAAACTCCATCTCAAAAAGAAAAAGATATTTGGAAGTTTAAGGGACTGCAAGTCCCTAACGTTATCTTCTACATTATCTATTTATTTTGAGGCATAAATTTGTCTCGCTATTACTAGATAACAGATTTTAGGCTCCTATTTATGAAATGTTGGAAATCATTTTCAGTAGGGGCAGCTTTTAAGTGCCCATTTTCAGTAGACCTACCCTAAATAGCTGAATATCCCTAGTTTGATTTTGTCTAACTAGAAAGACAAGAATCTCCTTTTTTCCTCAGGAATCTTTCAGTTTAGCAGAATATCTTTTAATCAAAATGTAAGTAACTAATATACCTTTCTCATATTGACTTAAAGTTCTCTAATGGCCCCTTTGTTTCCTTCCATATTTAAATTAGAATTGGCAAATTAATAGACTTTTCACCAAGCAGCCTGCCTCTGCCTATATTTAGATATTTCTCCTTCCATTTATATCCAGTGCTTTACTCAGTTATTGTACTAAAATTGAAGCTACCCTCAAGTCTTCCTTTCCCTTTTTCTGTAGGTGCCATCATGGTTTCTGTCTTCTCTGTTTGCCATTTGCAGAGCCCTCAGGGAATCAATCAGCTGAACCATCTTCAAATGTAGGGACAGTAGATACTGATAACGCAAAAATAATCCAACCCTTTCTGCAGTAGCCCAAACTGTTTTGAGTTGACTCTTTATTAAAATAAATACTATAACTTACATAGTTAGCTTTCTGGGAGATTATCTTACTATGGAGGAGTTAATTTTTCCTGAGATCCTAAGCCTACTGGCATTTGAGAATAGTAACTTTAAAATTTGACTTCCTATTTTCTAAAGAACAGTTTTCCAAAGTTAATACTTGGCATTGCTTTGTTAAATTGGCAGAATTAGTTTAGAAACCTATCCTGATGATCACTGGGGAGCGGCAAGCAGGTTCTCATTGGGAGTCCTTTGTTTACAAAAGCTCAGCGTAAGGGTTTATAGCAAACAATTTTACCCTCTTCTAAATACCAGGTCACTAAAGTAAAGGAGTACTAAGGGGAAGAAACTTCAGCTAGACTAAAGGAAGAAATCAGGTAGCTTGTAAGGCTTTAACCTCATCGATAAGCACTTGCAGGGCTTTTGTCTTCATTAAGAAATGCATAAATGTACTTAAAACAAGTGAGAGAACAGTTGCTAGGTGTACATCCCCTTGAGTCTGCTTGTCTGTCCTTATGATAGCACCAGTATTTAGAGAGAAGTTAATAAGGAAAGTAGTAGACATGGGTTATTAACTTAAAATGAAAGTCTAGTAAGTTTATCCTAAATTTTTTTACTAGATAATTGATGATCTCTCAAATTGTTTTCTACAGTGATTATTCACTTATTACCTCTAATTTTAAAATTATTGGATAAAAAAAGTCTTCTTATTTAAATAGCCTCAAGTATTTTGTGTAGGGAACGCCTTCCAGTATTTCCTATCATTGTTTCCTATGAGATTTTTTTTTGAAGCTAGGAATAAATTAGAACTAAGCTGTTTATGTCATAAATACCATTGGTACCATATGAGACAATTTATTTTGTTTTGCTCATCTCTAAGAATCTTGGGTCCATCATTAACATCCACCAGTACTTGTTATCCCAAATGGTAAAACTCAAGTTATGCAACTTAGCTGATCTAGTTTTTGAATGCTTGGTGATAGGACTTGTAAAATTTTTTTATTGAAGTATAATTTGTATCGGAAAAGTGCACCATTCATAAATGTATAGCTCAAATTGAACACACCTGTGTGGGCAGCACCCAGATCAATACATAGAATATTATAAGCCCCTTTCATGTCCTCTTCATGCCCCCCATCAGTCACTTCCCCTCCCAATCCTAATTTCTAATGTGTTATATATGTAGGACCATACACTATGTGTTTTGTGTCTGACCTCTTTCATCCAGTATTGTATTTGAGATTCATCTGTATGGTTCTGCATAGTTGTAGATGTGGACTATATAATTTTAAAGAATCACTCAAGTAGCTTATTTGTTGGAGATTGGTATTGGTTAAATGTTCTCTCCTAGTGATTATGCATAAGTATCTTGAGGATATGTACCTGAACCATTTTGTGACCAACCCCAATATATTCCTTACTAATTTGTACCTAGTACTTACATAATTTATTATCTGATTATATTTCAACCTGTTCCACTAAAAGACATCTAGTAGAGGATAGTACAAGAAGCTAAAAATTATAGCATAGCTTTTTAATGATTGTCACCTTTTATTCTTCCTCCCTCCCTCCCTCTTTCCTTACTTCATTTCCTCCTTCCTTTCTTCTTCTCTTCCTCTCCTTCCTTCCTTTTATTTTACTTTTTAATCTGAAATATTTTAGATTTAAAGTTGCAAAAATAGTGCTGAGGCTTCTTGTATGTCCTTTACCTAGCCTCCCTTAATGTTAACATGTTGTACAACCTTAGTACAATTATCAAAGTTAGGAAGTTAACATTGATAGAATACTATTAACTAAACTACAGATCTTATTTTAATTTTACCAAGTTTTCCACTTTTGTAAGTGTCCTTTTTCTGTTCCAGGATCCAATTCAGGATTCCACATTGTGTTTAGTCATTGTGTCTTCCATTTTAATTTGTAACATAGCACTGTTCCTTTATTGAACATAGGGAGTAGCAAGTCTGGTCTTATTGGTGTGGAGAGTCAGTTAACTAAGATTGCCTACAAATTTCCACCTTTTCTGCAGTGCTTACTACAGTTGCTATTCTCACAGGACTCTTTCGTATCACATATATAAATGTTTTCATCAGTAGTTTAGTTTGTAGTTCTTAAGTGGGGGATGGGGCAGGCCCAGGGTAGGAGGGGCAGGTAATCACTGGTACTTAGAGGATGAAAGCTTTATATATTCCCTCTAAAACTCATTTTTGGATCCCTGATTTAGATGGAAACCTCAGGGCGTGGTTATGTTCAGATGACATTAAATCAAGGAAGTGATAGCCATTGTGAATGACAGCATTTATAAATTTAACTGAAACAAATACAGAAATCAAGAAATTGGAAGAATTTATATGTAAATTCAGGGAGGTTGAAACCTAGGTTGACTGGGTATAGTAAAAAAAAAAAAAAACATACTTAGATATGTGTGTTAATGGCATTTTGTAGTATTGGTTAGCAAGTGACAGTGCTGCCACAAAAACTAATGTGATTTTAGGTGATGTTGAAATGATGGTGACTAATCTGTTGTACTCCATTTCTACAGAACAGTTGTTCTAAATACAAAACTAACTAGAAAACCAAATTTCTTTATACTCTATTTGCATATCCAGGGGTATTTCAACAGGCAGGCCTGAGCGAGCTTACTGAAAAGTAAACAGATCCCTTGGGAAATGGTCTTGCCATCACTAGAAATAATACAACTATCTTCCTGTCTGTTAACCAGGGATGCTGATTTTAAGTGAAATTTAATTTTAGTTACATTTAAAATGCCTACTCTGGAGTTTTATTTCCCCAACTTTTCTAAATGGAAGTACAAGCATTGGAATTGAACTCCTTTACTTCTGTTTCGTCATTATTGGCTGTGATTATCAGTAAAC
Organism: Homo sapiens; assembly: GCF_000001405.40. Classification (NCBI taxonomy): domain Eukaryota; kingdom Metazoa; phylum Chordata; class Mammalia; order Primates; family Hominidae; genus Homo; species Homo sapiens. Next base: position 150,429,076 of record NC_000003.12, read on the forward strand.
CTTAAAGAGCTGTGTATTTGCTTAAGGAATGGAAGGGTAGTAAACTATTCTGCTTTTTTAGGGAAGAATTCCATGTCAGAGGCAGTAAATGTTGATCTGAATAGAGAAACCAATGGAGCTTCCCTCAGAAGAAAATGAGTGACAGTAAGCTTATTTGGAAATGAGAATTGCCATAGGAGTGGTGGTAAATGAAGCCCCACAAATAACTAGGCACCAGTTATCACCATGCTGATGATTTCAGCAGCATCTTAAAAACTAGTGAATTCTTCCTACCCAGGTGCCAAGGGGAGGTAGAGTAACTCATGGAGAAAAATAACTACACATTACAGACTGACTGGCAGAATTTAAGGTTAACTTCATTTAGAAATCATGGACTATATATATAAATGGGCATCAGTCTAGGTCATAGTCATAGGACTGTAGGGAAAACCAGGTCTCCAAGTTTTTAAAAGCCACATGCTTGGTTATGAAATTGATGCTCTCAAAATATAATTCAAATTCTTGTTGATCTGGAAATAAGAATAGTGTGTGGGAAAGAAAGAAATTGTATGTAGAGTGTAGTGAAGGTAGGTCATTGGGATTTTAATGGAAGATGAAAGAAGCCACTTAAAACTGTTTGAAACTCATGCCTATGGTGTTCTGTAAAGCTACTTGGGAAGTTCAGTAAAGTATTAGATGCCTGGTCATATTATAAAGTAGTCTCTTTAACAATACGTGTTTGTCCCCAATTATAGTTACTTGCTATTTAAGGCATTTTCCTGTTACCATCTTCAGTGGTCTTAGATCACCTTTTCCAACCAAAAGATTCTAAAGCCTTAAAAATCTCACTTTTTTAGAGTAACTCAGAATGAAGCTGAGGGAAAATACCAGGAACGTTTGCAATTACCTGACTCAGCAAAAGTTTGTTCTCCTATAATTAAATACTAGAAGAAACAATAAGATTTAGTAACTGCTTTCAGTGAGCTTGGTCTTAATATGGAAAATGGTAAATACATTATCACATGATTGAAAGTAATAACTCATATAAAATGTAAGCACTTCATATCTCTCAAGTACAGCTGGAGGGATTGGTCAAAGCTTCTTCAGGAGGTGGCTTTTGAGTTGGAAACTGAAAGGTGGGTAGAATTTGGTCAAGCAGAATTAAAGAACTGAGGGGAAGGGAACATTCCAGTTAGAGGAAATATTGTGCACCACTATGGAAGTACTGGCCTTATATGATAAGGATAAAGTTAAATTTGGTAGGTGTATAACATTTGAAGACAGGAGAGGAGAGCAGTTAGATTAGAGACAGAGATTCTAGAAAGGTACTGAAGCCTGAATTAGGCAATGGGGATGAGATAGGAATTACAGGATTTTACAACTGATTGGTCATGATAGGGGAGCAGTCAAACTTGACTCCAAAGTGCCAAACCTAATTGACTGAGGGAATGCTGGTACTGTTAGAAAGTATTAGTGAAAGAATTAGTTTGGGAAGGAGAAAGTAGTGATGAGGTTTTTGTTTTTAGCTGTTTTTTGGATGAGTTGATAAGCTGGTACAAAGTCAAGGTGAAAATATTTGGGGTGCAGCTGAGGCTGCAGACTTGCAGGTTGGTATAGAAATTAAAGCTAGTTGAGATTTAAGAATGTTTTATTAGAGTTCAAGCTTTAGGAAAGGCCAAGATTGCCAAGGATTAGAGTAGGGTAAAGGGTCAAGCCAGGACCTTAGGCAATACCACCTGCATTTAGATAACAGAAGGAAGTCTGAAGAGGATGATTGGTTTTAGAGATTAGACCATTCTGAGGATATTATTTTCTAATCAAAAAGAAGAGAAAGGTCTGAATCTTTAATTTGAAATAATTTCAAATTTACAGAAAAATTACAAGAATAGTACAAAGAACTCAATCTTCTTACCAAGATTCAGTGTTTGTTAACATTTTGTCATATTTGCTTTATCATCCTAACATATTATTTTAGGAACCACTAACAAGGTGAAACCCCATCTCTACTAAAAATACAAAAATTAGCCAGGCGTGGTGGCAGGCACCTATAGTCCCAGCTACTCGGGAGGCTGAGGCAAGAGAATAGCGTGAACTCAGGAGGCAGAGCTTGCAGTGAGCCGAGATCGCGCCACTGCACTCCAGCCTGGGTGACAGAGTGAGGCTCTGTCTCAAAAAAAAAAAAAAAAAAAAAAAAAAAGAGTAGATAGGAAATACCATATCCATTTAACTTCAGATACTTCAGCTTATGTTTCCTAAGAAGATTATTCTCTTACCAACAATATAATTACCAAATTCAGGGTATCTTATATTAATGTGCTATTATCAAATATGAATATACAGTGCATATTCAGATTTTGTCAGTTATTACAATAATGTCCTTCATAACCATTTTTTAACCTGTTCGAAGAGCCAGTATAGGTTCACCAATTATACTTAATTAAACAGTTGTCTTTTTCCCTTCCTGTCTTGTTTGAATATGTAAGTACTTGTGTTAGTCACCTAAAGGATTATTTAAAATTTAAATATTTAATAAAAAATGCAGTATTAATGTTTTTGGATAAAATACTAGGAAAAAAATGTACTTGCTTAGCTAGTTTGTACTATTGGGAGTATTCGAAAGGCAAGGGAGTACTGCCTAAAATCCAGCTGAAACGACTACTAGAGTTGGTGAAGTTTTATAAGGGGAGGTCTTTTATTGCTCAGAGTTGGGTGGTGGGTGGCAAGAGTAGGAGAACATTTGGATATTAATGTGTCCCTTAGAAATTGAAGTATATTCATGTACTTCCCTTTCTGTACTGTGATTTTTATATGTATGTATTAAATTGGGCTTTTAATTATTTTGAGTTGGAAAAAATAGTGTAATTTGAAGACATTTTACATCACCACTTGGGTTTGCAAATTATGTATTGCTATCCTGTATATACTGTTGTATCCTCTTAGTTTTATTCTGGTAGTTGTGTTAGGTGGCTTGTCTGCTGCGAGATTTTTAACCACAAATCTAAATCTCATTATTCGAAGTGGTGTTTCACTGGACCCTAAACATCTCTTCTCTTAGCTTTTCTATGGCTAGCTGAAGTGGGACACTAAACATTCTGACATCTGTTTTCGACACATTACCAGGTTTCAGAATTGGCAAAGAGAAATTATTTCTTAACTGCTCACCCACCATTATATATGCTTTCCACCCATATGTTTACCACCTTCCTCTTTAGTAAATTTAATATGTTATTTAATAAATTTCTAAACCTAAGTCACCCCAGCCTATTTTGAGATGTTTTGATAATTATTTTCAGGTGAAATTTTAGAAACAGTTTTGAAAAAGGTGGGAATAGCTGGTAAGGTCTCTTTATTATTTATTTATTTATTCATTTATTCAATTCTTTTTTTTTCTTTTCACCAAATAGATTTTAGGTAAACCAAGGCTTTGAATAGAACAGAAAAGTGTATGTATGTTTGTACATGTGAACTAATTCGCCAAATTCGATGTATTTTTTTCTACCGAATCTAAAATTCTATTGAAGAGCTTTTTTTAAAAAAAAAAAATAATAAATAACTGAACTTGTTCAGACAAGAAAGAAATTTAAGGAACCTGGAATTGTTGAACCAGGATAAACATAGAACATCTTTTAGGGTTTCGTCATTGTTGTTGGTTTTCCATTCTAGTCCTCAGCAATTTAAAATTTTAAATTCACACCTCTTCAGTTGTATTTAAATCCGCAGTTGGGCAACCTTTTGGGAAGAAAGAAATATTAATGGAATTATTTTAGTTTTTTATTTTTATTAAGATTTGGGGTGGTAGGTAGAGGTAGAAGAAAGAGATGACTGACTCTATTCTAGCCTGACATTCTTTTTGTTTGTGTGCATAAACATGCTGATAGTAATATTCCAAGTTACTCAAATCAGGGAATATATTAAATTTTTGTGATTGATACAGAGCTTTTAAATGCCTTAGCTTACCAAAAATTAGCTCCTGTGTTTAAACTTTAGTTGGCTACTTCTAAAGTATTTTTCATATTTGACAGAAATAAATTTAAATAAGTGATAATAATTTAGAATGTTTATCCATTAGTAAATATCCTCAAGAAATAACATTTTTATGCCAGTTTATCTCCCAGTTGTTTCAAAGTTTGAAGATTGTTGGTTATAAATACTAAAAGATTTGGAAGGTGCTATTGTATTTTTCACTTTTTAATTGTGTGATATTTGGCCCAAAAATAGTGGTGTCTTCACTAAGTTAAAGTATGTATGCAGACAGCATGGCTGTCAGTGTCCCCAGCTGTTTATGTGGCCACATATTGAGAATTTTATTTGTAATTTCAGTATCAATGCTAATGGTGGTATCCATAGTAGCTACGTATTTTCTACCAATAGCAAGATGTTCAGAATATATGTAACCTTTGTCGTAGAAGACAGAAACATCTTTCTGCATATCTGCCTGGTGATAAAGAAGGTATATTTTCCCTAGTCCTACACAGTATCGGAAGGGGAACAAGGAGGGAAAAGAGTTGCAGTGTCTGGCTGATAACACTCCTGTTTACAGTGATGCTAACCGTTGGTCTTCAGAAAATTTCTGCGTTTATTTGCAGTAGCTGTTTTTATTTTGGATAGTACTTAGTCCAGAAAATGTTGCTAAATGTATTTTTCTAGAGTAGTCATAACTACTTTTGTTTCAAGAAATAAGAGGTATCAACTCTTCAAAAAGCATAATATATTATGGTTTCTTTACAAGTTCTGTTTCTCCTGAGCACAGTGGCTCATGCCTGTAATCCCAGCACTTTGGAAGGCCAAGGTGGACAGATTGCTTGAGCTCAGGAGTTTGAGTCCAGCCTGGGCAACATGGCAAAACCTCATCTCTACAAAAAACACAAAAATTAGCCGGGTGTGATGGTGCATGCCTGTAATCCCAGCTACTTGGGAGGCTGAGGCACAAGAATTGCTTGAACCCACGAGGTAGAGGTTGCAGGGAGCCGAGATTGCACCACTGCGCTCCAGGGCCACAGAGCGAGACTCTGTCTCAAATAAATGTATAAATAAATGTTCCATTTCTTTTATGTTAGCTATTATTAAGCTCAGAGTCAAAAAATAGGAGGGTTTTTTGTTTTTTTTTTTTTTGGGACAGAGTCTTGCTCTGTCACCCAGGCTGGAATGCAGTGGCACAATGTTGGCTCACTGCAACCTCTGCCTTCTAGGTTTAAGTGATTCTCTTGCCTCCCGAGTAGCTGGGATTACAGGCACCACCACCACGCCCTGCTAATTTTTGTATTTTTCATAAAGACAGGGTTTCAGCACGCTGGCCAGGCTGGTCTCAAACTCCTGGCTTCAAGTGATCCACCCTGCCCTGACCTCTCAAAGTTCTGGGATTACACATGTGAGCCACTGTGTCCAACCCAAATATTCAGCTTTCTGTTAACAAAGCATGCAGTTCCTTATTATACATATATTTGAGTATTATGTAACTGGCTTCCACTTCCTTTGATTTTCCGTTTTTAGAGGGAGCTCTACCTTTAATTTCAATATCTTTTTCCTTTGCCTTCTTTCTAAGCTGTTTCTACTCCTTTGAAAGGATCAAGTGTATAAATCATTTGAGAGTAAACATGTTAAAAATACCAATAGCCTGTCTTCTTAGAGCTGTTTTTCAAAGGTGTATTAATGAAATTCTTTAAGCTGTGTATTTGGTGTTTCTTCTACCAATAGGTGCATTTGCTATAATGCATAACATACCAAACACTTTATATATGTGTATATACATGTACTTATGCTTATATATGTATGTGTATATATGTACATATGCTTATATATGTATACATATATATATTTAGTTTCTGGCATAGCTAATTGTGTCTTAAATTATATCTTGGCTCAACCACAGATATATGAAGTTTCTTGTCATTGTGTGTTATGTGTCTTTTTATATGTGTCTTTTTATTTATTTATTTATTTTGAGATGGAGTCTTGCTCTGTCACCCAAGCTGGAGTGCAATAGCACGATCTCGGCTCACTGCAACCTCTGCCTCCCGGGTTCAAGCAATTCTCCTACCTCAGCCTCCCGAGTAGCTGGGATTACGGGCGCCCACCACCATGCCTGCCTAATTTTTGTATTTTTTAGTAGAGATGGGGTTTCTCCATGTTGGTCAGGCTGTTCTTGAACTCCTGACCTCAGGTGATCCACCACCTCTGTGGGATCCCAAAGTGCTGTGATTACAGGCGTGAGCCACTGCATCCGGCCTTTTTATATGTTAATTTTTTGGAACATACTGTCTTCCTAGCAGTTTTATTTTATTTAGGTACATTTGTACTAATTTTTAAAGTAAATTTATCTTTGATATTTTAAAGCTTATTTTTTCAATATATATAACCTATGGAATGACTCTGTGTAATTTATTGGAGGACATAAAGGGTTGCCCTGTTTCCCCCCTTTCTCCATTTAAAACTAAGTATTTCTGACCAAGCATTGGTTTATCATGGCTAGGATTTCTCCAAACAATGTAGTGAACTTTTTTGAACAGCAGGTTGAAAATCTGGCTATATTAGTGGGTAGTCTTATAGAATTTTCAGAATCTTTTAAGGAAATGTGGTTTAAACCTGAAAACAAAATTTTCTATCAAACTAAGATAAGCACATTCATTAAAAAACCAAGTTCCTTTAGGAACTCTTTTAGACCTGTTTGATTTAGCATATCCATTTTCAAGTAATTACTTGGAAATTATAAATCATCTACCTTCTTCCCCTTTCACTGTTTTTTTATTTTAATATAGTTTCACCTTCTCACAAAAGGAAATGATAAATAACTGTAGGGAATATTTGGGATTTGGTTTTGGTAGCAGTCTTGCCAGAGATTCAAGATTATGATTGATAATATTAGTACAGTTTTCTCATTAAATATTCATTTTTAGGAAGAATTCTAATTTTAAATTTTGAAGGGTATCTGGTTAATCTGAACGCTGTTCATCTGTAACTACTTTAGTTACCCAATTTCATTTCAGGTTGTTAATAAGGATGTCCTACATGTTGGAATTTAATGACTTAAACTCTTGAAATATGACCCTGTACTTGGTAACAACTAATTTTGAAAATATATGCTTAGGAAAATTTTGATATATAACTTTTGTATCTTTTAAAACGTATACAGCTCTAAAGTCCTGATTTAACCATATATTTGTGTAATGTATACACCCTTAAAATTTTTTTTTGTAAGTTTCGTAGTAAAATAACTGCTTCATATGACTGGTTTAATTGTATCTTCCAAAAAGACTTTCCAAGCATTTACCGTAACAAGGCTTTTTTTGTTGGCAGGCCCTTTAACAAAGGGTCAAGCAGTCGGCCCTTTAACAAAAGGTCAAGCAGTCGGCCCTTTAAATGACCTTAAATTAAAGCCTTGCAGACAAGCAGATTTACCAGCATTATAGATAAGTATTTCAGGAAGTATTTACTTTACTAAATATGACTGTATATTTGTCCTATAAAAAGTAAATCTTCAAAAGATTTTAAAAATTACAGTATTTTGGTTGATAGGAGATAAGAATGTTATTAAAACTTTCTTAAAACATTTGGTAATACATTAATGAAATGACCACAACTTTAAACGACCACTTATCCTCATAAATATGGATTTTTGCCTTCACCAGGTGATTACATTATAAAGCTGTGCTTTCACAGAAGACAAAATAAAGTTGTATGATTTATATTGAAGTCAAATGTGTTGTGAGATTACATTTGGAAAGATTATATTGGAAAAATTCTAATAGTTTTTCAGACTACGTGAGAGACTTAAGTGACCATGTGTAATAGAAAAGTTCCACTGAAAGTTAAAATCTGTAACAGCATGACCCAGCCTGTACATTTGGGTCAAGTATCTTTTGAGATAGCTGCAGAGTTTCCTTTACAATGCTGTCTTTCAGTTTTCTATAGCTTTATGCGTATTGATCATCCTCAGTAAGGGCCCTTTTCTTTCCCCCATCCCTTCCACCCCTTTATAGTGTTTTATTTAGGGGATTAATTTAGGCAAAACTATGCCCACAAATCTATGGGTTTCCTTTCCTATGGGTTACTGGCAACTAAAAATATAAATGTACATTCTTATCAGACAGAAAATGTTATTAATGATATTATTCAGTGATTAACATAGATGCCCAATTGAAAGCTTTCTGGTAAAATTTAATAAATTTAACAGGATATTTTTAATGAAGTGATTTTTGCCATTATTAAATCTTCCTACCTCCAGTTTTCTTCCGTGCCCATATACAGGTGAGCAATAGGGACCACTGCTGCATAGGATACATTGTTATTCGGTTACATAAAGCACATAATAAAATTTAATTCTTGCCATTATGTTGTCTATTTTCAAAATTGGGGGTAGTAGAGACAGATGAAGATTTAGATATAGAAATGGAATTCTGTCTTAAGCACTTAAATGATCGGTATGGATTGTTACTGATCCAGCCACCCATGCTATAAGTCTAGAAACTCAGCCAGGCATGGTGGCTCATGCCTGTAATCCCAGCATTTTGGGAGGCCGAGGTAGGCAGATCACGAGGTCAGAGATCGAGACCATCCTGGCTAACACAGTGAAACCCCGTCTCTACTAAAAATACAAAAAAAAAAAAATTAGCCAGGCGTGGTGGCACGTGCCTGTAATCCCACCTACTCGGGAGGCTGAGGCAGGAGAATTGCTTGAACCCAGGAGGTGGAGGTTGTAGTGAGCTGAGATCGCACCACTGCACTCCAGCCTGGGCGGCAGAGCGGGACTCCGTCTCAAAATAAATAAATAAATAAATAAAATAAAATAAAATAAGAAACTCATATACATGGATGTGGACCAAACAATATAACTCAAATGCCTTTCTACAGGACTACAAAGCTGTCTGTATCAGGTTATGGTGTTAAATCATAATTTCTGGATCATGATCTTAAACCTTTAATTGGTTCCATTTCTACTTTACTCTTTACTAACAAGTATCCTGATGGCCTGAAAATCCATGTTGAAATTTGAAGTTTGAATTTTCCAGATCAAATATGAAATTTATTTTCATTTTTTAAAGTACAAAATATCAGTTGTATAATCATGGTAAAACATAAAATTTTGCTATAAAAGATTTTTAAAGGCTATTTGATTAAAACATTTATTTACTTAAACTCTTTGCTAGAATTTTTTTTAGAATTCAGCATCGGAGGAGGAATGTGACATAATAATGATCGAAAGCCGAAAGTTTAAAAGTTGTGATGCCCTCACATGGTTGGAGGGTTATTCTAGCTTCTAAGGACTGAATGTTGTCCACAAGAGTGTCATCAGGTCATAAATTGGTAAGACTTAATGGCTTAGATTTTATGTATTATACCTGATGTTATTGTATTGAGATGAATATTTATGAACAAAATGAGCACATTGTGTAAGAGTATAGTATTAAATATAAGTTAAAACTTGGAATTTTAAATACTTGGAGTATGTAAGCCTTTCGAAGTCTCTTGAGGCTGAAGGCCGTATCTTTGCAGTGGTGTTTAGTAAATACATCAGTTTAAAAAAAGAAAGTGAAATCCTGTATTATAGTAAGATTATTAAAATATTGCTATTGCATCTGCTGTAGATGCCTACAATATAGTGAAGAACCCAAATACTTTTTAGGTGTTATACCAGGAGATATTTGAGAAATAATATATTCATCTTTTCTTTAAAAAAAATCCATTTTCTTAATAACATACAGCTTAATTTTATTGCTTTGGAGATTTTATTTCTTAATAAAAGACATGTTTCCTCTAAATGTCTAAAATAAAGCCAAGAAAATTTTTTCAATTCTTACATTGAGAATACCTAAGATGCCAATATCATATGAAAATGATATATTAGAAGTCATTGCACATTTTTTATATTCCCCGAAAATTAATTTTCTCTCAGTATTCTGCTTAGAAAAAAACTACTTTGTTTTGTGCAGTTTCTTATTTTGCTTTGTTTTACACAGCTGTATTTTGTAGGGGGACCATTGGAAGGATAGAGTTTAGCTCAGGATAAGACCTTATATCTTTTAATCTCAAGATTATAGTATTTTGCAGATGAAGAAAAGGAGTCTGGATTATTTGTCCAAGGTGATATAATTGTAGAATTCATATTTTCATTAAAGTGTGGTATGCATATCCTGCATGTCAGTCAAGAATTATTTGAAATTATTTATTTTCCAAAAAAGCCAGAAGGCATGGGTTGATATCAGCTAAACAGGCCACTATATATATTCCAACTTTATCCTTAACCAGAGATATGTTATTTTATCCTTTGCCCATTCTGCCTTTTGAATAATATTCTAAATTGTTTCTGATATAGTATTCCATGACTTCATTACATTCTGTAAGCTTAAGTCCCTTAAGCCAGTAATTGCAATCAATAGTAGTCTGGAAGGAAATACAACAAACTAATTAAGTTATCTCTTATTCCGTATACTTTTCTATTTTCTTTATTTTCTATAATCTACATAACTTTGATAATCAGGAAAATAACTTCTAATTTCTCTAGTATAGGATATCCATATGTAGTAGTCAGTGGCTGGGGTTCAGGAGATCACGAACCATGTGAGATTTTGGGTAGAATTTTTTTATGTTCACTTTTCTGTGAAAGGTTCAGAGCATTTGTCAGATTTTTTTTTCAGAGCATTTGTCAGATTTTCATCTGTCAAAAACAGTTAAGAAACATTGCTAGTGAATGTTTTGTGTCAAAAGGACAATCCTTGTTAGACACCTAAGTATGAGTCGTGAAAGAAATTTCTAATGAGAACATTGGTCATATGACTTCTACTGATGTTTATTCAATGCTGGGTTACTATAAATGCCCATTAGACTGATGGGACAAATCAGAGCCAAGCCACATTTAGTTTAGGAATTTCGTACTGTCAGTCTCTGTGCTCAAAGGTCAATTGGATTTTTCTGCAGAGTAGTCGTGTTTTGGCTATTGAGTGTCAGGCACTGTGCTGAATATTTTTGGCACATTATCTCATTTAATTTTCACAAAGTCATATATTAATAGATATTATCAATATCCTCAGTTTACAGAGAAGAAAATTGAAAGCTTAGGGAAGTTAAGTAACTTGCTCAAGTCGCATAGCCATTGAGTGGTGGAGCTAGAATTCAAATCTTATTACTGACTGGAACCTGGGTATCAGTATGCTGGTATCCTCTGAAAATTTGAAGGATAAGATAAAGGAGAATTTTACATTGTATGAAGATGTGAATTCATAAATTTGATTTATCTTGAACTTAAGTAGCAATGGGTCATCCTCCATTACAAAACTATCTTTTATTATTTGCCAAAAAATAAATGTTGGAGGTTGCTTACTATCTAAAAGTTAAGTATTAATTGCATTAAAAAATAAATTCTTTTTCAGGTTTAATACTTATGAATATAAGCAAATATATGTGTATTTTTTTTTTTAGAAAAGTCTTAGTACTTATTAGAATAGTATTATTAAGGAACTCACCCTTTAATATTTAGGATTTATAAACAGCAAACACTAGGAAGCATTAATTTAAAAAGCAGCTTTGAACTGCAGATATTTCTTGGGATAGTGGGATATATTGCATGTAAAACCCTTATTAAATGCTATGTGAGAGTTTTCCATTTGCCTTTAGTTGCGAATAATTCTGAGAAACCTCCTTTTTTGCCCACTTTTAAAGCATTTATCAGGCAAAATTAATTTTTTGGGATACATGAAGTTTTTTGGTTTTGTTTTCCTTTGTACTTTGTCATATCCTTTTTGTTGGTTTAATTTTACTCTCCAATGAGCTCCACATCTTATAACCTTTTCCCTGTTTTTAAGTATTAATAATAAAAGGTTGAATCTGCAATAATAGTACTGCTTAAAACCATAAGAATTTGTTTGCTCCTGAGTGATGTTGAAATAGTCTGCAGAGCTAGTATAAACTGTTTCTTTAGCACCACGATTAAAAATGCACAAACAACGTGATAGGTCATCAGAATATGAGAATTCTATCTAAAAGTCTTTTTATATATATATTAAAAAATATATATATAATACATATAAACATATAAAATACATTTGTACCCCAACTTCTGTAGTAGTAGTATGTTTGCCTTTTCAAAATTCAAACTGGGAAGTTTGGAAAATAGAATAAGAATAATCATACTTAATCCAAGTTTTTAACACAATTACCATCTTAGTGTTTGCATATTCCCAGACTTGGAATACATATATATTAATAGTTGCAATCATGGTAGATAAGTAGATTTTCAATAGTTTTTAAACTGTGTAGTTAAAACTAAAGCTAATACTGATATGTGATACGTTTTTAATTTTGAACTGATATTTGATATTTTGACATCTGTGATAGCATTCCCTCCTGTTTTTCCTTCTACCTTGCTGGTTGTTGCTTCTCAGACCATTTGGCAGGCTTTCCCTTCTGTCTGCTCTTTTAAATATTATTGGAGGCCGGGCATGGTGGCTCATGTCTATAATCCCAGCACTTTAGGAGGCTGAGGTGGGCAGATGACTTGAGCCCAGGAGTTCAAGACCAGCCTGGACAACATAGGGAGACCCCGTCTCTACATAAATAATTTGCTGGGTGTGGTGGTGCACACCTGTGGTCTCAGCTACTTGGGAGGCTGAGGTGGAAGGATTGCTTGGGCCTGAGAGGTCAAGGGTGCAGTGAGCCATGATCGCACCACTCCACTCCAGCCTGGGCAACAGAGTGAGACTCAGTCTCAATCAATCAATCAGTCAATAAATAGAGTCATCAGAATGCTGTCTTCTTACATTCTTCATCGTGGTAAGAGCTTATAGATGGCTTCCATGCACATATCATCTTTATGCTATAGGAAGTCACCTGTATGCTCTAAGGTGCTCAAACCCATTACTTCCAGCCTAGGCATCTCTCCTTACATTCAAACTTACCTGATCTCTCATAGCTGGTTAATCACAAAGTACTGCCATATCTGCCTCCTCAGTGTTTTGCCAGCCTATCCATCTCTTGTCCTCATTCAGTGTACTATCCTTTCTTATGTGAAAATGCAACAACCTTCTGACTAGTCCTTGTCGTTTAAGTTTTCTAATGTGGCCAACTGCACCTACTGTTCTTTTTACTTGGAACATTTTTTTGTACCTATCTTTTTTTTCTCCACCCAACTGTGGCATTTCCTCTACTAATTCTTTCCTGATCCAAGAGCTATGTGCCCCCAGAACACCCTCTAAAATCTTGCTCTGTCTTAGCACTTATCACACTTAACATCTTATATATCTCCTGCACTAATTGTAAACTCACAAACTCTGGAATTATGTTTATTTGACGTTGTATCCCCAGGGTCTGAGAAATGTTTAAGTTCATTACAACCCCTTTGGAATGTGGCATCACAAAATTTGGTGTCTGAAAATAATGTTAGAGATTATTGTATACAATTAGAGACAAGACTCAAATGTAGGAACCACATTACCTAACTCCTAAGTCAGTGTTTCTTGTGTATTTCATGACATTTAGATTTTGACCACTATAAATTATTACGGCAAGTTATTAGGTAACATAGTAAGTGTTTACCATATGCCAGATACTAATGCATTATCTCACTGAATCTCAGTACCCGGTCCTATTATTGTCCTTTGGGGAGGCTAAATATTAGCTTGTCTAAAGTCATATCTCGGTTTTGGTGCAGTGGCTCAAGCCTGTAATCCCAGCACTTTGAGAGTCCAAGGCAGGAGGATTGCTTCAGGCCAGGAGTTTAGGAGCAGCTTGAGTAACCCTGTCTCTACCTGCAAAAAAGAAAAATTAGCTAGACATGATGGCACATGCCTGTAATCCCACTGAGGCAGAAGGATCACTTGAGCCCAGGAGTTTAAGGCAGCAGAGAGCTATGATGGCGCCATTGCATTCCAACCTGGAAGACAGCAAGACTATGTGTTATAAAATAAGGTGAGAGATGGGATTCAAACCTGGGTATAACTCCAGAACCAATGCCCTTTTATTTAATATCACATCTCAGAATTTATCTTCTGAGTTTTGAATTATAAAACTGAGTTAGAAGGGAATTTAATGGTCATTTATTCTAACCACCTATCCTATACTTGGATCATGTCTACAGTGTTCCTTTCAAGTTGTCATCCAGCCTCTGAATACCTCCAGTGATGTCTTACTTTTGCATCCTGGTCTCTTTTTGTATTTATAAACCTCTCATAAACCCTTTCTGTAAAATAGGGAATCTTAAAATGTGAAGCAGAAAAATCAGATGATTGCCATCACTTGAAGCATATATAAGCAGCACTAAAAAGTCTGTGGAGACATTGAACTGGGTACATCCTCTAGATATTTCTGTATTTTCATAGCTGCTATAATCAAGAATGTGGTTTCCAGTTCATGGCCGTAAGTCACTGGTTTTAGTACATAGTCATAAAGTTCTTTTTCAAAAATGGATAAGGAGACATTGCTTAATAACTTAGAGATCACAAGGACGTTTCTCTACTTATTGATTCTAGTGATGATACAAGGACTTCATGGGAAACCTTTATATGTGACCTGATCCTCAATGTAAAAAGAGTGAAATAAATGTGAATGACTTCAGACTCCTGGATCTAGTTTACATATAACTTGCACTTATTCATGAGTCATGCTTAAAGGCATGGTAGTTTGAATTGTCTTTTTTATCTGACCAAAAGCATTTAGGATTTTTAATTCACCCTTTAGACTTAATTTTGATTCAGTAGAGAGTGAGATTAGTCAGCTGAGAGAACACATAGATACTTATGAGGCATGATTATACAATCAAGCTTTTCACCAGATTTACAAATGGTTTCTCCTTAAATCCATGATTCTAATGTAAAAAAGTCTCTGTCAAGGTTTTTATCTTAAGATCATTAAGTTTTTAACATCCACTTTATTATCCATGAAGTCTTCTATGATTTAGTCATCACCATGATCAGTATATGGAGTTACCAAGTTTCACTGGCCATGGCAGCAGTAACCTGGAAATTCATAGAGCCTAGCCCTTTTCTGTTACTCAAACTTGAACCCGTTTTTCTATTTACATCAGTTGCCTATATTACATAGAAACTGGCGCACTTTCCTTCTTTCTCAGTAGGTAACAACCAGATGCAAGGAACATCAAAAACCTACCTTTATTGGGGAGAAAAAAATTCTCGAGGTCTGCCCATATTTTACTGTGTTCCAGCGATACCCTTAATTAGTTTCTAATAGTTTAAATAGTTGGTTAATTTCTTAGATCTTTGTCCTGGCATGATGAGCTCAATATAACATCTGTTTATACCAAACTTATAAAATATAATTAGATAATATATTGTAAGTTGTATTCTGTCTTTTTCTTCAAGTAATATGTTTACTATCAATTATATGCAGAGTAGTGTTGTAATAAGTAGACCCTGGAGATGGACAGTTTCTGCTTTTAAGGTTTAATTCAAGAGAAAGGAACATTTGATAAAGACAAAAAAATTATGGACGAATCAGAGAAGTGGAGCCTGTTGGCAAGAAAGGAAGAAGGCTAAGGAAAATGTAGGTGGAGCATTCCATCTCAAGTGACAGTCTTATCTCTGGAATCTAAATCGATTTAACAAATTTCAGGTCATGATGTAAGTGTAGAATTCATCATAAAAGATTTCACACAAACTATTGTAAAATTCTGTCATTCACCATGTCTAAATTATTAGAATTATTACCTAAAAGAATTCAAGGACATGAATCTAGACTGAAATGATAAAAACTTAGATGTTAAACTTTTTGTCTCTGAAAATGTGCCTACTTGAGTGCAGTTTTGCTTGAGTGAAAAAAACCTAATGACCCTTTAGATTTTATAGTAGTGCTATTTTTTACTTTATGTCAGAATCCCTTTGAATAAGGTAATTCTAAAGCAGTGATTCTCAGCTAGGGTAATAATTTGTTTAAAAGCAAACAACACGTTATACCACTTTTCTTATTTGCTTTTAGTAATATTTATTGTTGAATTTTCATATAACACTACTAAAGGAAGACCTGGGATATTTTTAAATACTCTTTTTGGAAATTTTTATTTGAATTAAATTAGTTATATTTCAGTGGGCTTTGGAAAAATTTCCCACAGTAAGTTAAGATTATTTTACTCTAAATAATGAAACATCGAGATCCCAAAGAAGATCCGTAAGAATGTTATTAATGTCCAGTCCACGGGAATCCTGTGTTTAATATGCCTTGTACAGGAGAATCGCTTGAACCCAGGAGGCGGAGGTTGCACTGAGCAGAGATCGCGCCATTGCACTCCAGCCTGGGTGACAAGAGCAAGACTCTGTCTCAAAAATAATAATAATAATAATAATAATAATAATAATAATAATAATAAGCCTTGTAAATGTAAATCTCAAGTCAAACAATTTTTATTAACATATACTTTGTGGCTGCATTAAATCTTTAACATTTAATTGAATACAAAAAATCAATTAAGGAATAACTAGGATTTTATTTTGGGTGAAACATAAATATAAAACCTGTTTCTTAATACTAATCATAATTGATTTTTATTCATGTTTCACTGCCTTGGGAGATTAACTCTTATTTAATTTTCCCAAGATACACTGGGAAAGTAGACCTTATAAAGTGTCAAAGTCCAAATTGATCCAAATGATAAAAGGAACTAATTGGGTTGTTGTGTGTACTGTTGTAAACAGTCTCACATAATCCTTATAGCCGTCCTTTAAGATATGTACAACTGTATCCCATTTTATAGTTGAGGAAACTAGTTTCAGTATGTTAACTTGCTAGGATCACCCCACTAGTAAGTGGTTGGAGTTTGGATTAAAAGTCAGCTAGCCTCACGCCTGTAATTCCAGCACTTTGGGAGGCCGAGACAGGTGGATGACAAGGTCAGGAGTTCGAGACCAGCCTGGCCAACACAGTGAAACCCCATTTCTACTAAAAATACAAAAAGTAGCTGGGCATGGTGGTGCACACCTGTAGTCCCAGCTACTCGGGAGGCTGAGGCAGGAGAATCGCTTGAACCTGGGAGGTGGAGGTTGTGGTGAGCTGAGATTGTGCCACTGCACTCCAGCCTGGGCAACAGATCGAGACTCCATCTCAAAAAAAAAAAAAAAAAAAAATCAGCTAGTCTAATTCTAAAGTCTATGCTTTTAAGCCATTTTATTATTCTGTGTGAATTCAACTTTTTGCTTAGACAACTGCTGAGTGAGAAACTGTCTTACCCCTCAGAATGTCTGACCCCAGAATGAAGTGGAGAAGAAAAAATACTTTAGACAAGAGATAATAAACTGAAACGTAGACAACTTTAATTCTTCAGGGCCTGTATTTAGAGTGTTGCCTTTATATTTGTTGAAAGTGAAAAATGTAATCCTTGGCTGGGTACGGTGGCACACGCCTATAATCCCAACATTTTGGGAGGCCAAGGCAGGAGGATCACTTGAGCCCAGGAGTTTGAAACCAGCATGGGCAACAGAGTGAGATCTGTCTTTACAAACAAGTCAAAACATTTTTAAAAAGAAAGATGTAATTCTTTGCTCAAACCCAAGCCACTATAATTTTAAAAAACATTCCAAATGGAAAACATTCATTGATTTATTAAAAATAAAGACTAGGCTTTCCCCCCACCCCCAATATGATATATTCTGTTCATTTCATTAAGGAATGATGGCCATGCTTGTGCTCTCCCTTTAGTCTAAATCAGAATCAAGCAACTGTCTCTTTAAAAACCCCATGATATTCTTCTGAGTTTAGCCCTATTTTGAAACGGTCCCTTGACAACCTTTATTTATTACTGTACTTGGACTTTAGGAGACAGATTAGGAAGGAGACTTGGTAGCAAAGAAAAATTAGTTAATAACTTTGGAGCAAATTCTAGTCACGAAATCCCAGTGACTAGCCTAATATAATTTTACTTTGTCAAATATATTGTTCATAGAATTATGCTTTTTCTAGAAAGCTATTTTAACTAACATTTCTGCACTTTCAAGAAATAGGCATAAAGAAAAGAAATAGGCAAAATGAAAAGATGAGCAAAAATTATGTGCTTTTCACTGGTATTTGGCTTTTGGTATATACATATACCAAAGGGGATAGTCTCATTTTTACTTTAGTCAGGCCTCACTGTAGAAATGGGATTGAGAAGATATTTAAACAAGGCGTCTAAACAAGAATGACTTTAATAAAAAGAAATAATATGTTGAATGCTTGAGAAAGAGGAGGCAAATGTGAGGCCATTAGATGAAAAGAATAAGTAGCATTCCTAAGAATAGTTTCTTCCCAAGCCCATCTTTTTCCATGACTCTTTACATGTTAGTGTTCTCCAGTGTTTTGGCCCCACTTGTCTTTTCATTGTTTATGCAAGTTTGTTTTCTCCTATGGTTTGAGTCGCCTACTGCATTCTTACAACTTTCAAATCTAGACTTCTAGGCCAGAGATTACTCTGGAGTTCTCAATACCTATATCCAGCAGCCTTCTCTCTATATTTCTCCAACAGGATTCTACATTTCCATGTCTCCAAATTCAGTAGTCCCAAGTGAAACTTAAATTTCTTTTCTCGTCTTTATTTGCAGTGCTTTATTTGCACCACCTACTCCCCACCCCACTTCATCCCCCCACCAAATCTAGCCACCTTTCTGTGATACACCAGCCAACTCCTAGTTGCTCCAAGAATAAAGCCCCAGGCATCCTTAGCATTTTCTTTGTCACAGATAGTCTCTTTTCCTTATCATCTCACTGATCTCTCAAGATTCTGTATGCTTCAATTGAAACTTGAAATATGTTCTAATCCCTCTCACCCTGTTTTTCCTCTGAGGTACCAGTGTACATCTAAGTCTAGGTAACTGTCAGTCTTACACTATTTTTCCAGTCACCAAGAAATAATTTAAAGTAGCAGGTATTATAGTGTCGAGTTTTTAATTTGGGCTTACATCCCTTGGTATGTATTATTCACTCCTCAATAATGTGCTGTCATCAGATTAGGTAGTTGCTGCTATGTAAACAGTAAAATGAAATCTCTTTCAAGAGAGCCTGCTCTAAATGTTAAGTACTTCAATATCAAGGAAAATGCCACCCTCCTCATACCCCTTTCTCCTGTCCTTTCTTAGGTCTTACTCAGAGGAAGGAAATAATCTTTTCAACCTGTTAAACTTTGCCTATTGTTAGTCTATTAAGAAATAATGATTTCATCTAATAAGAAATAATGCTACGTAGGATGACTGCTTCCTGTAATCCTAGCTACTCAGGAGGCCAAGGTGGGAGGATTGCTTTAGCCTAGGAGTTAGAGACCAACCTGGGCAACAGGGTGAGGCCCTGTTGCTAACAACAAATTTTAAAAATCAGCTGGGAATGGTGGTGCACACCTGTAGTTCCAGCTGCTTGGGTGACTGCGACTGAAGCAGGAGGATTGCTTGAGCCCAGGAGTTTGAGGCTGCAGTGAACCATGATCATGCCACTGCACTCCAGCCTGGGCATCACAAGACCCCATCTCTATAAAAACAACAACTAGCTAGCACACAAAGTCAAGTATCTTAAATAAATGTAATTCCATATTATTATAACATTTAAGTATTAACTTGAAATAGGATATTAATTAAACTTTGTTTGGAATATTTGGACTGTAATAGTGAAATTGCTGTGCAAATTTTACTTTTGTATCAGTCTTCAATTTCTCCAGACTAAATTCTTATCTCTTCCATTTTGAATGTTTTAATAGATTTTTAGTTCAGCTAGTTTTAAAACGAAGTTTCTTTAAAATGGCTCTACAAGAAAAAAGTAATTTTATCAGAATTTTACTACCAAATATTAAAATGATCCCCCCAAAATATCATAACTTGGAAATGTGAAAGAGATCTGGAAAAAGAAGATAATGTTAATTTTAATCTTGTATATATATATATATATATAATTAGGGGATAAATTTTTAATGTAACATTTTTATTGTGTAAGTTTACATGACTTTTTGTATTATAGATCTTTACCACAAATTTTTACCATTTGCTTACCAGATTTACTTTGAATAAACAGAAATCGCTGTACTGGGAGCTATAAACATAATTTACATCACATTCTCAGATGGTTATAATTCACTCTAAACCAAGAAACAGGATTTTTACAAATCACAAATATCACTTATGTTGATCATTGTTTTGTTTGTTGAATATAGTACCTTATCTTGCAGAATGAAATAGTTGCTAGAGAAAATAGAGTTGGCACCTCTTCCCTCCTTTCTCCCTTTCCTATTTTCTGTCATTGCTTTTCCTGTCTGCCATTTGTTCATGTCTGGAGTTTACACTGTAAAAGATAACTCCTTCATGAGTCATTTTCATTTTGGAACATGTTTTTCATTGTTCTTCAAAATGTAGTAGAAGTACTCTTGCTTCTATCTCTGTCCTGCATCTGCCTGCCTTCCCAAACAGCCACTTTCTTAATGTGTGTATATCCTTCTTTATGTGTATATAAGCAAATCAATGTATATTATCTTCTTTAATGTAAATTATAATGTATTGTGCACACATCTGTACCTTTACTTTTAAAGATCTCCAGAATACATTGTTCCCATCTCAGTACTAGAAAAGTATCTTTGTGGTTTTTTAATAGATGCATACTATTTAATTGAATGGATGGCTACACCATGATTCATTTAACCAGAAGCATTGCTGTTATAAACAGTGTTGTAATGAGTAGCCTTGTTAACATTATTTGCTATGTATATAAAATATCTAGAGGATAAATTCCAAGATGAATGATTGCTGGCTCAGAGAGTGAATAATTAAGGGGAGGTCGGGAGAGGAGAGAAAAGGAGAGAAATCTGTTTTGGAAAATAGTATTACATTATAGTTTTAATTTGTATTTTTATTTTATGATTCAGATGTTGAGTATTTTTTCATGTCTTTCTTGTTAATGTTCAGTGTGAATTCTCCCCATTTTTCTATTGGGCATCTGGTCTTAACAGATTTTAGGAAAATTTATTAGAGACTTTTTAACTTTAAAAAAAAATTAGACATGCAGTTACATAGTCCTTTCCCACCAAAGTATTAAAGAAATTCTAATTAAATGTGTTTATTTAAAGTTCTTAGTACAGATGATAAGACTGACTCTAGACAAAGGGGGTCTAAGGTAGGAGATGGACTTCATATAGATTGCATGCTCTTTAATCTACGCTTTACTGGCTAGCCATTTGACTGAAATTAACAAGATAAATATAAAATATGCTGAGGGCATTGGTGAACAAGGTTTTTGTAGAAGATGCTGACAATAAATATCAATATATAAATATTTAACTGAGTTTTTAATAGTTCCTTGGTAAAGGCATTCATCACACCATTGCGGGACTGGCTACTTGAGAAAAAGTAACACTTAAGTTTTGTAAGTAGAAATTTTACCTGCTTGCTCAGGATGAATAATAGCTTTAAAATAACTTATTTTGTGTTACTGCTAATAATAATCTCTATGGGGCATTTTGGGTTTTTTTTTAATCATGAAATTAAACATTATTTGTTTTACATTGGTAGAACTGATGGTCAATAATTAGAATAACATAACATTTTGAGTTCTTAGTTTAATTTATTATTAACTTCACCCAAGTTTTATTCTTAACCATAGAGGTTTGCATTCAGCCAGAGGTTGTCTATATGAATTTTATTTATTTAGGCCCTTTTGAAAGGAAAATTGTTATTTGTTCTTAAATTAAGCTGTAAATATTTTTTAGTCTCCTCTTACAGAAGAGTGGTGGATTTTTAAAATTATATTTAACCTCACAAGTTTACTGAACTGTAGATTGATTAGATTTATTCCTTTGTAATCAGTGACTCGCATTTTCTTAATTTTCTTTCTAAAAAAATAAAACATGCATTTGTTAGAGAATAGGCAAAATGTTACCCAGGTTAGAATTAATGCATTTTAGTAGTAATGATGTTATTACAGTGCTTATTTTGGGAGATGGGAGTGGGTGGAATAAAAGTTATAGATGATTTACTGGAAACAGTGTATGATTCCTTAGGACTGCCCCCAAAGAAAGGTATAGCTTCCTTCTACTTGTGAGTTTCTGAAGAATCAGTTTTAGTTGGTTTGGGCAAGGGGGTGTGAGCATGAAGTATGCCAAATTTACCAACTTAAAGGAGTTTGTATTACAAAAGATTTGATTGTGTAATTTGGAGAGTTCCTGTAGTGCATTTATAGTTGTGATTGTAACTCAATGCAAAGTTAGAGGAGTCTTTGAGTAAAGCAAGGCATTTATTTTATTTATTTATTTTTTGCAGTATTTTAATTAAAGATACATAAAATTTTTAAGGCATCTTCAGCTTTCTAACAAACCAGAAGAACATTTTCGTTCTTAGCAATTAGGTAAACTGTATCAGCTATAAAAAGATCACTAAGCAAGTGCCTTTTCTAAGAGGTTCCCTCCCTTATTCTCAGAGCTGAACCTCTTCTAGGAATTTGCCAGATAAGATAAATGGCATATTCTGAGCATGGTTTAATCTTTGGATCCATGCTTATGGTTTCACAACTTAACATTTGGTACTTAGTTAAAGCACTCTTAATAATACACATAATTCTGGATTTATTTCAGGTCATTAGAGATTATTTTTTCACAGTCTTAGTATTATGGAAGAAAATATGTGTGTTTTGACATTAGGTCCAGGTTTGAATCCTGTTCCTAGTATTGTGTCTTTGAGCAAGTTACTTGACCTCACTTTCCTCAACTGTAAAATGAGAATGTTGCTCAGGCTTATTGTAAGGACTCATTAAGATAAAGGTGTGCCTGCCCTAAAATAGACAACCATTAAGTGTTCTTTTCCTCTATCTTGTTGATTTGTTAATTAGCATTTATATCTAGGGAAAGACAAAGTAGTCAAAATATGTCCATTTTGAAAAAGAGAAGTAGTTCTCTTATTTTTTTTAGAGACAGATCTGGCTCTGTCACCCAGGCTGGAGTGCAGTAATGAACCCTGAGCTCCTGGGCTCAAGCAGTCTTCCCACACAGCCTCCTGAGTAACTAGGACCGTGGGCTTGCTTTCTTTTCTCTTTTCTTTCTTTTCTTTCATGGGTTCTCACTATGTTGCCCAGGCTGAATTTTTTTATTTTAAATAAGTAGTCACCATGTCTCTGTCCACATTACTACAGATAAAGAAAAAAGTTGGTTTCTCATAGTTTTTTAAAAATAGAGATCAAGGCTGGGCGTGGTGGCTCACGCCTGTAATCCCAGCACTTTGGGAGGCGAAGGCAGGCAGATCATCTGAGGTCGGGAGTTCGAGACCAGCCTGACCAACATAGAGAAACCCCGTCTCCACTAAAAATACAAAATTAGCAGGGCATGGTGGCACATACCTGTAATCCCAGCTACTCGGGAGGCCGAGGCAGGAGACTCGCTTGAACCCGGGAGGAAGAAGTTGCGGTGAGCTGAGATCGCGCCATTTCACCCCAGCCTGGGCAACGAGAGTGAAACTCTGTCTCAAAAAAAAAAAAGAGAGAGAGATTAAATTAGATTACCTTTTTCTTTAGTGATTTTAACTTGTGACAGAGTTGGAAATTCTTCATCCATCCTCTTGCTTTCTCAGTAATGTTGCAAGTAATCTCATGGTAAGAGTAAGGAAACCTAGGAGGAAAAGCTGTGGTGGAGAGCCAGTTAGGATCAATTAAAAGATGAACAGCATGGAAAGCCAACCTGCCTTACTGTAGCATTGATACTCTGAGTTATACTTTTTCTGTGAGTGTAAGTATAATTAGCTTTAAACACTGAATTCAAGCTCATTTAGTTATTTTGGAGCAGCAATTCCAGTAAATAAATATTTTCTTGTAGGTCTTTCTTACTTTCCACAGCTCTATATTTCTGTTCATTCTCTCCATATCCACAATTTTTAATGCATCTGTAAATGCTAATAAATGTTTGATTTTTATTCTAAGAATGATTCATAGTAAATAGAAAGTTTATTTTTAAAAATTATCTTTTGACTTTATTTAGCATTTCCAGTTTACCATAATAGTTTAAAAAAGAAAATTCTGAACTCATTTTTCCCTCATGCTTCTGTAGCAGTAATTGTAACACTTGATTTAAAATTGACTTATTTCAGTTTGAGTATGTATCTATACATACACACTAATCTGAAATATTTATACTACCACCATTGTAGGGTACCGGGTATATATACTTTGTGCTGGAAGTAAAGACAGGAAGCCTTTTCTTAGGGAGCTTAAGTTTGGAAACTGGTTAAACCATCAAAATATAATGTGCTGAATATAATAATTAAAAAGAAAACAAGGTATATAGTATTATAACATTAGGTGAAGGAAGGAAATTATTGATTCTGCTTCAGTTGATCTTTCTCATTTTAAAAGAGTCAAATCTCACTATGATAACTTTGAACATAATAGAAAACATCTTGATACCCTCATTGAAACAGTATTTTTAAACCATATTCTGGGATCTTGAAATAAAATAGTCTCTTATTTGCTTAAGACTACCATATTGGTATCTCCATCGTAAATATGGCTAAAGCAGTGGTTCTCATACTTTAGTTTCTATCTGAATCGCCTAGAGAGTTTGTTAAAATAGATTACGGGGCCCCGCCCCAAGAGTAAATCTGGGGTGGGTCCAAATATTTACATTTCTAACAAGGTCTTGGTGGGTCCAAATATTTACATTTCTGACAAGTTTCCAGGTGATGCTGATGATTCTGGTTCAGGGACTACACTTTGAGAACTGATTTATCTGAACTCAAAAAATTTTAATGCCTTCCTCATATGAACCATTAATTGTTTCAAATCTATCATATCTAATTACTATCAGTATGCATTGAGTTACTATGTGCTAAGCACTGAATTCACTTATTCACAAAGATGAAGAAGTTATGGAACCTTTCTCAAAGAGCTCAATCTAATAGGATCAACAGTGGTAGTATTACAATACTCAAAGTAATCACTGTCTGTATTGAGTGCTCAGTGTGCCAAGTACTATGCATTATGTAAACTCATTTAATCCTCACAATTGGCATATAATCCTTATTTTAAATGAAAAAACTGAGGTCTAGAAAGGTTAAATAATTTCCCAGAATTCATATAGTGAGTATATGGAGGAGCCAGAATTTGCTATTCTGCCTTTTTGCACTATAAAAAGTTTGCGAAGATTGGTAGACCCCAGAAAGGATGGAGTAATTGGCTCTACCTTAGAAAATCAAACAGCATCACAGAAGAGATGGCACTGGAGCATCTTAAGGGACAGGTCTAAGATAGCCAGATGAATTGGAACTGTGAGCATTTCCAGCTGAGGGAGCAGTTTCTGCAAAGCCAAGGAAACCCGAGAGAACATATGTTCCACAGACTACAAATAGTTGTATAAGACCATAACACAATAGGCAGATGGAGTATAAGAGGAAAACAGACTGTATAAGGCAGAGGTCAAAGTCATAAAGAATTTTATATGCCAGGCTAAAAAGTTTTAAAAATAGAATTAGGCTTCTTAATTTTTCCTCCTATAACTTTCATTTGTAAGCCAGCAGTTCTCAAAGCATAGTCAGACAGTAGATTCCACATCATCTGGGAACTTGTTAGAAATGCAGATTCCTGGTTCCATGCCTACTGAATCAGAAACTCTGAGTGGGGGAGCCCAGCAACCTGAGTTTTAACAAGACCTCCAGATGATTCTGGTGCATGCTAAAGTTTGAGACCCCTGCAGTAGGTTATAGAATTCTTGAATAATAGCCTTCAAGATAGTTAAAGGTCACTATAGTGGTAGTAATTATATTTGACACTGATTTATTCTATTAGAGTACAACACCTAACAGTTGAAATATTAACACCATTTAAGGGATACATCTTCATCATGATCTATTTATACCTTGCAAACCTGTTTCTTCTGTTGTCATAAAAGAGATCTTAGGACAAGAGTTTGTTAGGTCAGCATTCAAAGAATAGCATGCTAACTATTCTTCCTTAGCTATGGGAATCATTCTAAAACTCGCTGACTGATTTTAATTATCAAAAAAAAACCCCAGTAATTTTTGTTTTTTTTACTGCTTGTTAATACATAAAACTGATGTTGTAGTTAGTATTTAAGGTGTGCTATTTAAACCAAATGTGTTGAAGGAATCAAATGATTTAAGTCATGACATGACTTAAAAGTAATTCAATCTTTCCTTGTCATGTCAATAAAAATATAGAAAGTATAATCTGGGATTCCCAAGCAAACTAATTTAAATGCCTGTCACCGTCTTTTTTGCCAAAATGTGTTCAGTATTTGTGGTGAATATGTCTGCATGGTATCTGGCACTGAAGTATATACTAAAGCGTTATGGTTGACTTAGTGGTTCTGTAGTTTATAGTTACATATAGTCATACTTTGCACAGCTCACTAAAAGCATTTAAAGCCCAGCACATATAAAGTATTTGTTAATGATCCATAAATCCTTTCTAGATATTAGATATACAAAACCTCTTTTCATCTTAGAAATAGTAGCAGCAAGAAGTGAAGGTAGTATGCTGTAATTAATGTGGTTAATGCTCAAATAAACAAACGTAGTTTCCCATGTAATGATTCAAGATTTCAAGGATTTAGAAGTGGAAAGTCCATTGAGGCATTGACATCAACCCCTTGTTTTACAGATGGGGAAACTCAGATCCAGGGAAGTTAAATAGGTGATTTGCTGATGTCCCATAGGAAGTGAATAGCAGGATATCACAGGACAGGATATTTCTGAGCCTCAATCTGATACAACATTATGGGTCCACACCATCTAAAGTAAAGTAGTTTCCAGGTATTTTAGCACTAAAATCTTAGGTGGAGTATACTTTATGAAGAATATTTAGTAACATATAAAAAATTATCTTTTCGTATTGATACAATAAGCTACAGTATCAGATTTTTCTTTACAAGAGTAATTTTTAAAAACCTAATAACTGTTTTTAGAAATAAAATTCATTAAAAAACAATAAAAGGGTATAAATTCCAGCTATTCTTACTACTTAATACATGGTAGAATATAAACCACCAAAGAGGACAATTAGCCTTCTGTGTTATTATCATACAATTGCTAAGGTGATATTTGAACTTGGAATGTGCTTACAGGCTGGATAACTTTTCAGTTATTCCCAAGAAGAACTGATCTAAACCACACATACCTTATAGGTGATTTTTGCCAGCAAGTAACCTACAGTCAAATACATGTAGGTCTGCCAGAATGTTGTTTCTTTTTGTTTTTTTTTTTTTTGTTTTTTTTTGAGATGGAGTTTTGCTCTTGTTGCCCAGGCTGGATTGCAATGGCGTGATCTCGGCTCACTGCAGCCTCTGCCTCCTGGGTTCAAGTGATTCTCTTGCCTCAGCCTCCTGAGTAGCTGATTACAGGCACCCGCCCCAAGCCTGGCTAATTTTTTTTGTATTTTTAGTAGAGATGGGTTTTCACCACGTTGGCCAGGCTGATCTGGAACTCCTGACCTCAAGTGATCCACCTTCCTTGGCCTCCCAAAGTGCTGGGATTACAAGCGTGAGCCACCACGCCCGGCTGAATGTTGAGTTTCTTGTTAACCAATCCTACCCAAAGACTTTCTGAACCATTTTTAGAAGCCATTAAGTTTTTTTTAAAAAACTAGATGTTAAAGTATAAAACTTATACCAGAAAAGTCTTACTAAGAGGAGGGACTAGAAAAAAAAAAGTCAAGCCATCATCTGAATTTTACTACAATAAGTAATTATTGGAATTTCTACATGAAAGGCAATTAGAATGTATAGTTGGTTAATGTAGAAATTTAAGAGATACGGAGAAGACACTGCCCATTTAAAATGTATCCTTTTAAAACCACTGAACAGAGAAATTCTTAATACAATTGAGAGTTAGTTTTAAAGTAGCATACATGTATTACAGGCAAATTAGAAATGTTGGCACTACAAAGGACCTGTAGAAATCATCTATTTACTGAGACTTTCATTTTAGAAATGAGAGCTTTGAGTACTGAAATTGTCAGAACAGAATAAGCTATTTTAAATTACTGTATATTTGGTTTTAAGTGAAACACAAATGTCTTTTACATTCTTTTAAGAGTTGGAAGGGAGGTTAAATTTTTTAGAATAATAACATATTCTAATTTTTTCCAGTGCATCTGGGGGAGGTGTTGTAGCCATTGACAACAAAATAGAACAAGCAATGGTAAGTAAAAGTTTACAGTTCTCCCATTTCATAGATTGTTGGTTGTATGGAACACTTAGCTTTTGTCAGTTTTAGAAAACAAATAAGTTATTTAAACCAAAGATGACCAAATCATGTTTTTTGATAATGAGATTTAGTTGAAGATGCTAGAACGTTGAGAACTTTTAGTCTAGAAATACTATTTAAGTAGATATTTCTTCCATTTGAATATCTCACATTTCATGCATTATCATTGATAAGGGCCATTGGTGAGGGGGCATACATATTTAAAGACAATATGTTCCCCAGATATTTCAGCATTGAAAATACTTTAGAGTGAAAAAGAGTATTAAAGCAAAAACAGCTGGAGGTCTGATTGAAGTAGACTGTAAGTAAGCTATAAGTAGGCCAGGCACAGTGGATTGTGTCTGTAATCCCAGCACCTGAGCTGAGGTGGGAGGATCACTTGAGGCCAGGAGTTTGAGACCAACTTGGGCAACATAGCAAGACCCCGTCTCTACAAAAAAAGTTGGTATTTTTGTTTGTTTTGAGATAGTCTCGCTCTGTCACCCAGGCTGAAGTACAGTGGCATGATTTTGGGTCACTGCAACCTCCACCTCCCAGGTTCAAGTGATTCTCCTGCCTCAGTCTCCTGAGTAGTTGGGAGCACAGGCACACACCACCACATCTGGCTAATTTTTGTATTCTTAGTAGAGACGGGGTTTCACCATGTTGGCCAAGGTGGTCTCAAACTCCTGACCTCAGGTGATCTACACGCCTCAGCCTCCCAAAGTGCTGGGATTACCGGTGTGAGACCTTACAGGACTGTTAGTCTCAAACTATTTTTTTAAAAATACCAAAATTTTAAAGTCCAAAATTACAGATCACTTTAAAGCAGTACTATGACTAGTTTAACATCAAACAGCTTTCCGTTGGAATATTGTTCCTTTGTTCTCTTTATCTACCATTTTAAGCATGTGATTTTAAACTTTTTTTTTTTTTAATTCTAAGCTTAGTTGACAATTTAAGAAGCTAGTATTTTTTGGAAATCGTCCCAAACTTTGAAAAGAAAATTCTGGGCTTACTGCTCTGGTTGGGAACTGGATTTTTTCCAACCCATCTTCCATAGGCTCGGTCAAGATAAAGCAGAAACATTAAAAGCAAGAGCAGGAAAACTAGTATAAAAACTTAGCACCAAGTAGGCCAGAACCAGATAGCACCACCTTTATCTTTTCACTCTTTTGACATTCCTAATTTTGTTTTTCACAGGATCTGGTGAAAAGCCATTTGATGTATGCAGTAAGAGAAGAAGTGGAAGTTTTAAAGGAACAAATAAAAGAATTAGTTGAAAGAAACTCTTTACTTGAACGAGAAAATGCACTGTTAAAATCTCTTTCAAGCAATGATCAATTATCCCAACTCCCAACCCAACAGGCCAATCCTGGTAGCACTTCTCAACAGCAAGCAGTGATAGCACAGCCTCCGCAGCCAACGCAACCTCCACAGCAGCCGAATGTCTCCTCAGCATAAAGCTTTCTTAAGCCTCATTAAGAAAAAAACTGAAAGCAATCTATCCTTGTGTGCCACTGGTGTTCTTTCCACTTTATACGAAAGCAAGTAGCCATGCTTTGGTTGTGTGTTTGGCCTTTTCAGTATTAGACAATCATTCTACAAGAGCTTTTCCTCTCTCTGAGATGTCATGCAGCGCTGTTGATGTCCAGTTCTATGTCATCAGTACACAAGGAGAATAATAGATGGGGTTTATTAAAGCGAGCAAAGTCTGCATTTTACCTGGTGCGCATGAGTGGGGTCTTTAAGAGTTTTGGTGGCTCTCCCATGTTTCCTATTACCCATGGATTTACCCTGAGCCTTCCTATCACATTATAAATAACAGTTCATCTAAAGAGCCACTTTTCTTTCTGATTCAGTAACATTTGCCTACATAAGTTTTCATTTATTTGTGTTTTATTTATTACAGGGCTGCTATTTTCATAATGTACATGAACAATGTCACAGAACTTTTTTAATTTTTTTGAATAATTATAAGTATCAGTAAAGGAAGTGAAAGACAGGATTGCATTTAATAGATAAAACGTTTAGGCAATAATTGAACAAAAGAATCCTGGCATATTTCTAACACTAATGGCAATTTACTTATGGTATTTATTTTCAGTAGTAAAGACCCAGCTTGAATGTAAATTTTGTATAGTGTAAGTATGAAGAACATAGTGCAACTGTACAGGTAGTCACCAGTTATTGTGATATGATAAATAATTGGGCTATTTTGATGAAGAAAACTTTGTTCATTTGTTTCTACTTTCTAAGAGAAATTGCCACGATTCCTCTGCTTTTCAACATTTCGTATGACTTTTTTTTCGGGTGGGAATAAAAAGCTGTGAAATTGTTCAACCTACTTTGTAACCAAAGAAGCAAAGCTGTGTAATGGAGTTTGGTTTTTTTTTGTTGTTTTTTTTTTTTTGTCTTTTTTTTTTTTTATAATGCACATTCTTTATGTATTTTTATTTAGTGTTTTCTCAGTCACAATTTTCTTTACTGTCTAGCATGATCTGCATGACCTATAATCTTTGAACCACTTTCGTACCTCATGTTTTTATCCAGCACTCTTATTGTAATATGTACTAGTCTGTGAACAATGTCAAATAAAAGAGAACGAACAGGTAGTTTGGTGGAGCTGAGCTAGTGTACAATACACTAGTTGTAAAAAAAAAAAAAAAAAAAAGTGAGCCATCTTTTGTTCATTTAAAATGGTGTTTTGAATTTCGTATGCAGAAAACGTTTTGTTACATTGCAGATTTTAATGTATTTAATAAATGCAACATGCAGATTAAGTGCAGTGTATACTGAGTATTTAAATTAAAATGTACATTTCATAAATACAGTTTCAAAAGAAAGCATCATTTTGTGTATACTAACACATTAAGTGTATGTCAGAAATTGATGTATAAATATATATTTTAACATTTTCTGAAATTAAACTGCAGTTTTGTTGAAATATTTGGCTCTATATGTGTTCAAAATTTGACTAGATTTGTATTTTCACAGTTCAAAATACTCCTTAAAGACCTGTTAATAATGACTTACTGATAGTTCTTAAATTTTCAAAGTAAAACAATTTAAAGAATGCAAAAATAGTGAGCAATATTTGTACTCAATATTCATATTATGTTAGTGATACTTAAGTAGGAAATCCTTGTCTACCAAAACTTTTACTTGAATTCAGAAAGGTGCCTGTAGAAATTAACATGCACTGCATCTGTAGCCAGCTAGCTAATCAGAGTTAATGAGAACCAGTAGTTAGTTCTCCGTGTTAAAAGACTTATTTGAAGTAAAAATTTAATCAGATTAGCCACAAACAAACAAGGCATAAAATTGGGATGTACATGAGATTGCCAAATATTTTCTATTCTAGTTGTGCTGCAAGACATTGAACAAAATGTTAATGAATAACATTATAAATCAAGGAACTAAGTACATAGGCTTGAGTAAGCAACCCTAAGGATGTGTAGTAAGATTCCAAGTAGAGCTGCTACAGGTGAGATACTTAATGGAATGTGAAACTTCACTGTTGGACTGTTAACCGAAAAGGTTTGCTGGCTGTGCCCCTCCAGTGCTAACTGTGACATGTGATATTTAATACAGGTGGAGAAAAACTAGTCTTAGAAATGGGATTTTTGTGAAAATAGATTCCATTTTGATTCTGGGGCTGGAAAAACACTTCATAAACAAAGTAATAGTCTCCAAGGAAATGAATAATAAGGTTTAAAATGGTAACAGCAGTTATTACTACTTTTATATTAAGAAAAACAGTAGAAAAGGAGAGAAAATATGGGTAGTTCACAGAAGAGATAAATGGCAGTTTCTAAAGGTTCAACCTCTAGTAACCTAAGAAATGCAAATTAATGTTTTTGGCGAATTGTAATAAGTGTCCTAAGTAGCAGGACTTAACATAGAAAGAAAGACAGGCTTTCCTGTGTACTTTTAGAAAGTAATTTGGCAGTATGTATCTAGAGCCTTAAATAATAAGCTTTCCAGTGTAACGACAGGAGAAGATACTCAACTCATGGTCCATTGTTCAAAAATGCAGAATTATTGTGGTGTCTGCCCTCTGCTTTCCCATCATCCCCTCCCCTCAAAATCCAAACTATCCCTACTGTCAACCCTTCCCCCAGCTGATTGTTTAGGATCTTAAGTAACTTCCAATTCAGCTTTGGAGATTTAGTCTCCTGCTCCAAATAGTTGTAAATATTAACTGATTGAGATCCCAATTTGGAGGCACAGTCTTACAGGAATGCCATCTATCTAATTCTGTCAGTGTAATGCCCATAGAGCAAGGTCCCACATAAGCTTTTCTGTTTTAATTTAGCCGGTAAATCATAAGTAGAAATTTTTCTGATACGGTAATTGTCTACAATTCAAACCTAACTTTCCCCAAATAAAATTTAGTTTGTTCCGATGTGATCTCACAGCTTGCCACACCAAAAACAAATAGTAGGGGTTAGGAGGCATTAAATAAACAGTTTCCTTAACTCCTGATTGTCCAAAATAGCTGAATTTTTCCAATTCTATTTATAATATCCTATGCTAATTAGAAGTATTGAGATAACGTTTTATAATCAAGCCTCCAGTGACTGGGGATCACAGCTGCCATTATTCACAAGAATTTTCACAGGTGAATGATTATATTTCTCCAAGTTGCAAACTCCAGTAATTCATGGACCTTTTTTTAAAAAAAAAAAAAGTCTTAATAGAACCAGAATATCTCTGTTCTTGAAAATTTATCTTTGCAGAACCAGAAATAGCTAATTGTCTGGAAACAATTTTTAAGATTTGAAGTCACATTTTTAAAAGAAGCTTTATGGCTCAGTGGCAAGCACTTTGTGACATTTCTTTAATAATCCTATGAAAAGGACAAAACCCAGCCCTCAAAATTGACAATTTGAGGACATAATAAGCCAACTGATAATGCAGTGAGGAATACTTGTTACTATGTACAGTCAGGGATGGTTTTGTCAGGGTAGGTTTCCTCAAAAACATGACACCTGAGTCTTGAAGGTCATAAGAGCCAGAGGGAAGGGTGTTCCAAGCACAAGAAAAGAGAACTCAATGGCTTAAAAGTATAAACAAGGCTCCTAGGGCAGCCACAGAATTGCATTGGAGACAGGCAGGCAGTGACTTCCCCACTGACCTAGTATTTTGGCATCTATTCAGAAAGCAAGAATGATTTATTGAATGGTTTTAAGCAATGGGATACTATGCTCAAATTATGCTGGATGTGCACAATTCCAGTGGCAGATGGGAGGTAGGTTAGAGTAGCTGAAACTGGAAGCTGAGAAATAATTTAGGAGGGATGACAATCCGGAAAATAAATGAAAGGGCAAAATTACATAGGCAATTTTGTGAAGGTCATGAAGGAAGTTTGTCTTGGGTCTTTCTGTACCATTTTCCTCTCCACAATGAACATCCCATTCCCAGTGTCAGGTATCAGGTGCCTATTTTCTTTTTTTCTTTTTTCTTTTTTTTTTTTTTTGAGACAGAGTCTTGCTGTGCTCAGGCTGGAGTGCAGTGGCAAGATCTCGGCTCACTGCAACCTCCGCCTCCCAGGTTCAAGCGATTCTCCTGCCTCAGCCTCCTGAGTAGCTGGGATTACAGGCGTGTGCCACCATGCCAGGCTAATTTTTGTATTTTTAGTAGAGACAGGGTTTCACCATGTTGGCCAGGTTGGTCTTGAACTCCTGACCTCAAGTCATCTCCCCCGCCCGCCTGGGCCTCCCAAAGTGTTGGGATTACAGGCGTGAGCCACCGCACCCAGCTGCCTATTTTCTTGTCCCTCCAAAAAAAGATTAAAGAGTCCCAACTCATACTTGAAAGTTTGACTCGGTCTTTTCCTTCCAACAGTTATAAATCTGTGAAATGAAAGTCTTTGTTTCCTTAAAGGGATTTCAAGAATTTAACAAAAGGGTTGGGGAATGGAACCTTTGCTGTCACTATGCCTGTCTCTCAATTCTACCCTAAAGGTAAACTAAATGGAATCCTTTTATGGTGACTAGGATTAGGATGTTGATTCCAAAGCCTTTCCCTAAAATCTATTCCTTGCTCCCTGGAAAGGATAATACAGGTTCTGGCCCCCACTGTAGGTACTGACAGCCCAAGGCAGAATAGGTTTTGCTAGGCTTTAGCCTTTTATTCTTTGACATAGGTCAGTCCTGCAGGCTTCTTTTTTCTAAGTCTCCTGCCTATCCAAAACCAGACCTTTTCTCCCACCTCCTTCTGCTTCAAGCCTCTTAATAATCCATATTTCTATTTTCTAGCAATAGTAATAGTTTATTATTTAGTGATGTATACTTGCACCCCATTTACTCCTTTTCAATATTTCAGGATACATCTTTGTCCTGTATTTCTGTACCAGTTCACAGAATTTCTACAGCAAGATCCCTTTAAATGTATGGCTTTCCTTCATAGGTTGCAAGGATTACTTTATACAAGTGCTACTGTAACTATATCTTTTGTGGAGTACAATTGGTATGACATGCTGTGTTCATAGATGAAAATGCTAAGTGAGGCACTCTGAAGCAAGTTAAAGTTCACAGACA
Organism: Homo sapiens; assembly: GCF_000001405.40. Classification (NCBI taxonomy): domain Eukaryota; kingdom Metazoa; phylum Chordata; class Mammalia; order Primates; family Hominidae; genus Homo; species Homo sapiens. Next base: position 150,463,718 of record NC_000003.12, read on the forward strand.
TTCTTGCTTGCCCACCACCCCCCCGAACCCCGCCATGGAATCATCAAATAAGAAAAATAAGACAGATTTTCAGATTGGTGATGGCAAAGTAAGACGCTGGTATTTTGCACTGGCGCAGTCCATTTAGTTGTTGAATTTGTTCAGCATACCTGGATGGTGAGTGAGTTAGCTTTATTTTTCATTCTCAGCAGGGAAACTGATAGACTAGGCAGTTTGGGGAATTTTCCCATTGTCTACTGTCATGGGTCCATAGTATTTAAGTTTACAGACTACAACATTGTCCACAGAAGCCATATTTATCCCCTTGGAGGGAAGGGAAAGGTGTGCTAACTTAGATCATAAAAACAACTGAATTTTAAAACAAGGCAAATGCCACAGTTCAACTTCTCCATAAAAAAGTTAAGTTCATCTCTCCATTCTTTTGCATGCCTACAATATTTCCATATAACAACTGTAAAATACTCTTGCCTGCTGCAATCCAAATGTTATCCGGATCACAGTTCTTGCTGTCATTTCACAGGCATGCAATGTATCTATAGATAGGTCATATCATACCTGAGGAAGATCAGAGACAGCAAGGGAACATTTTCCCCACACTTGAGATGGAAATAATAACAGGTCAGTGGCTAATAAAAAGAAACATGTATGACTTTGTAAAACCCTAAAAGTGATGTTTTCAAGAAATTTAGGTTTCTTTTTTTTATTTTATAAAAAAAATGTTGACATGCAATTTAATTCTATTTCAATTTAGGTGCTGCAACCTGTACTGGATGTTTGGGGATAGAAAGATGAATGGGACATGATTTGTGTGCTCCAATGAGCTCAGTCCAGTGTAAGTGTAAAAGTTAAAGTGCCATATTGTTTATTCAGAGTATATGTTATAGTTTGTGAACCTTATATCATTTGTTAAATGAAAGGTTTTTATAAATCAACAGTAATATTGCCATCCCATGTAAAAATCCTTTGATATTGCCAGGAAACAACTTTAAATCACCAGAAAGCTTTAACATCAAATAATACTTTTAGAAGGAGGGGAAAAGCCTTCCACCTCGACATCGAGCCTATGAAGTATTCCCTAAAAAAGAGGAACTAATCTGAGAAAAGTTTACACATTTTTAATACTCTAAGTTGTAGATAATGAAATTGATTTAAATCAAAGTTAACTAGAATAGGATTCATGTGTCATGAATTATATTGTCTATTGTCTCATAAGCAACAAGTGACACTTATTATCTTGGCTGACAAAATCAGCTACCATTTAATGAACCAAGTTAAGAATAACTCAGGTGACTGATACCAAAAATAAATCTCTAATACAGCTGAGAATCCAGAAACACAAATAATATGTTGAGTAAGTAATAAAAGTGACATTTCAAATTAGTAAGGAAAAAATGGATTATTCAACAAATAGTATGGGATAGCATAACAATTTAGAAGAAATATAAAGTTAGATCTTTCACAAAAATTAATTCTAGCTAGACTAGCAGTTAGTCTTCTACTTTTTGGTTACTCCCTTTTAGAAATTGGAAGCTATGAAGCTATATACCCTGTCCATTTGAAAATGCACATAAGCAAAGAACTTTACAAATAGGTTATAAAGAGAAGCTCAATCTCAGCAAAATAAGGGAAGTGCACATTAAAACACAAGAAACCATCTCAGATCCAACTAATATTTAGCGTGCATACAAATCAAAAGCTGGAAAGGGTGTGGAAAAACAGGAATACATTGCTAGTGAGCATACAAATTGGCACAGCCTCTTTTAAAGACAATTGTGTATCACCCATTAAATTTTAAAAGTCACATACCCTGTGACCTAACAATTCCAACTTTTAATGTCCTAAAGAAACATACATGTGTTCACAAGATAGCCTGTACAATGATGTCAATTGCACCTTTGCTTGTACAGTAGACCCCCTTATCTGCATTTTCACTTTTTGAGGTTTCAGTCATCCAAGGTCAACCACAATACAAAAATATTAAATGGAAAATTCCAGAAACGAACATAAGTTTTAAACTTCAAACCTTTCTGCATAGTATAATAAAAATCTCTCACTATCCCTCTCCATCCTGCCTGGGACAGGAATCATCCCTTTGTCCAGTGTATCCACAATGTATACACTCATTATATACCCATTTTATAATGCCCATTAGTCATTTCTATTATCAGATCATAAAAAAACATAGTACATAGAGGGTTTGGTATTATTCATGGTTTCAGGCATTCAGTGAGGGTCTTGGAAAATATCCTCCATGATGGGGGAGCTACTGTAATACTATGAAATTGGAAAAACCAAAATACTCATCAAGAGGATGGACTATGGTACACATGATGAAGTATTAAGTATCAATGAAAAAGAGAGAGTCCTACATGTCCGGCATGGAAGGATCTCCAGGAGACAATGTTAAAAGTTTGGGGGAAAAATTGAAAGACAATACCTGTAATACATATGATACTAGTGATGTTAAATCACATCACACACACACACACACACACACACACACACACACAAATACTGTATAGTGTACTTCTACAAGTACATATTTGTGTATTATATAGAGAGAAGGTCTGGAAGGATACTAACCAAACTGTCAACAGTAGTTTGGTAGCGTGCATTAGCTTTAACTGTAATGTTTGATGTTTTTGAATATGCATTTATGTATTGTTTGTGTAATGACAAATTAATAAATTAGAAATAAAATAAAATAATGTGTTTTCTTCTTGTCTGCTGCTAATGTTTCCCCCTGGTACCTGGGGTCTCATCATGTTCAGCATCTTTCCTCCCCAGGAATATCTTCCCCCCCTACCTGTTTCTTCTACTTCGCCTTCTCCCATGGCTTTTTCACATCAGTATTTATACAGGCTCAATAAATAACTGGCCAATAAATGAGTAGACCACCTCCCCTAACTGAAAATATGTTCCCTTCACTTGCTTTTTCAGCTCCTTCCTCTTCCTTTCCACTTTTTCCTCTTCCACGTACAGCTTATCACAAACGCAGTCTGGCTTTAGCTCCCATTGTGCCACTGAAACTGTTCTTGTCAAGGTCATTGATGATCACTTTGTTGCTAATTCTATCCCATATCTTATTGAACTGCTTTACTCCTAATTTCTCTTTATGATCATTTCATTACTCTAGTAGTTTTCTATCTCTTCATTTTCTAACTTCACTTTTTTTTTATAAAGAGTTTCCCTTATAAAAAGTATATAGTTGAATTTTCTTTTCTGAACCAGGCAACACTTCATTCCATGAAATAGAATAAGTGTTCCCAATTTTTTTCTTTTATAGAGATGAAGTCTTGCTATGTTGCCCAGGCTGGCTTTGAACTCCTAGGCTCAAACAATCCTCCCACCTCAGTCTCCCAAGTAGCTGGGACTACAGGTATCCACCACTGTTTCTGGCTTGAATTTTTAATTTCTTAACCCAATCTGTCTTTTGATAGAAAAATTTAATCCATGTCTATTTCATCAGTGGCATATTTGGATGTATTTCTGCCATCTTATTTCATGTTTTCTCCTTAAAATGCTTTCTAGACACCCCACCCCCGCACCGGCCACTGCCTTGCCACACACACACCCTTTTTCCCTTTTCTTGGCTTTCATTCAGTTGTTTCTTATTCATTTTTGATCCCTCTTTTGGTTGGGAAGTTATACATTCCAGATACATTCTTCCAGTGGTTACCTTACAATTTTGTTTATCATTTTGTTGTGGATTTTTCAACCATATACAACAGTGAACTGTATAATGAACTCCCATGTACTTATCACCTAGCTTAAACAATTATCTACTCATGGCCAATCTTGCATTATTTATACTCCCACTCATTTCCCCTCCCCAGGATACTCAAGAATGTCACCCCCCAGAAGGGAGTTCCAAGAGGAGGAGGAAAATGTGAACCCCAGGACGGAATTCTAGGGGGAGGAGGAGAAAGGGCTCTGGGACCTACATATGGGGCTTAAAGTGAAGAGCCTAGGAAACTTGGGGTGAGAGAATGCCAATACTTAGAAAGAATCCATGATCCTCTGGATTATTTTGAAGGAAATCCAAGATATCATAGACTTTATCCATATATATTTCAGCGTATACCTCTAAAGGACAAGGATTTTTTAAAGAAAAATTATAACTAAAATACCATCACCCCACCTCAAAATGAACAATTCCTTAATATTACTAAAAATCTACTCAATGTCCACATTTCCCTGATTATCATAAATTTCTTATGGTGTATTTGTTTGAATGTGGGTCAAAATAAGGTCCATACACTGCAATTGGTTGGCATTCCTCTAAAGTCTCTTTTAATATGTGGGCTCCCCATACCTCTCTTTTCATCTTGAAATTCTTCAAGAATCTCAGTTATTTGCCCCATAGTTTTTTCTGAAGTCTGAGTTTTCCTAATTGCATTCTTATAGAATCCTCTGTCCCTGTATTTCCTAAATTAGTTCTAGAAGTTTAATCAGATTTATATTTTGTCAAGATTAATTCATAAGTGGTGGTATATACTTCCATCATATAATGTCTGTCTCTATTTTGTGATGTTGGAAGCATGGATAATCATTACCTAGACCCATTAGCCTATTAATTCTATTATCCCTTCTCACTCATTAGCGAAATACTTCTCTAAAGAGAGACTTGCCCTTACCAACTATTCAGCTACCCTGTGGTACAGTTTGTATAAGAAAGGGAGAGACTTAGTTCTTTCCTTTTATTTCCCAGTTTTCAAAATAATGAGTTGAGTACCTACAAAGGAATAAAAATAAATAAGGCATGATTAGGGAAGACTTACTCTGATATTTTATTCTGGGAAGAAGGAAAAGAGAATGCAGTGAGTTGATTTAGGATGCTATGACTCAGGTGTTAGTAGAGAGAAGCCAGGAAAAAGCCCCCAAAAAGTTGATAACAGGAAATGGCGACCTGAAGATTTGTCTGTTTACTGCTGAGTCTGGAAGCAACTTCTAAGTGAAGAGTACCTTGAGGGAATAGGGGTGGGAAGCCCATGTCTGGGCAGAGAAAGGGCTAGTTCAGAAGAAGCAACTGCAGGTAAGAAAAGCAGGTCGGTTAGCCCACGGATTCAGAGAGTGAAAAGTTACAGAAATGAGCAGTGGATTTTTCTGGGTTTACTTTCTGCCACACAGAGACTAGACATACTATCCTTACAATCTGACCATGAACCAGGAAGTTTACTAAGAAAGGCTGCATGGGGTAGGTAACATTTAGCACATGCAACAATACTTTTTATTTTATTTTATTTGAGATGGAGTTTTGCTCTTGTCGCCCAGGCTAGAGTGCAATGGCGCGATCTCCGCTCACAGCAACCTCCACCTCCCGGGTTCAAGCCATTCTCCTGTCTCAGCCTCCCTGGTAGCTGGGATTACAGGCATGCGCCACCATGCCAGGCTAATTTTTTGTATTTTTGTAGAGACAGAGTTTCACCATGTTGGTCAGGCTGGTCTCAAACTCCTAACCTCAGGTGATCCACCCACCTTGGCCTCCCAAAGTGCTAGGATTACCGGCGTGAGCCACCGCGCCCGGCCAACATGCAACAATACTTCTAAGCAAGGCGATACAGATCAGCAACTCTGGTGCCGATGTGTTCTATTTCCTTTGGTATCTGTGTCTTGATTCTTCACGCAGACCAATTTTGTTATCATCTTAATGGTCTTTCCCATAAGGAACCCACTAAGAGGTTTCAGTGTTGGGACATTAGCTTAAGAACCTAGGTAGTCAGCACGAGAACCTAGGTCTGTGGGACTCTCCTATTAATGACTCCTCTTACCTACCATTCTCCAGCCAGCGTTGTCTCCTGTTCTTCTCACCTCCCCCTATTCCATCCTGCCCCGAGTAGTCTATTCGTGCTAAAGCATTCACTGAGAAAAACTGTAAAGGGAGAGTCCCTTCTCAGAAACACCAGCTTCTTTTAAAATGGAACTTTTGAAGACCTCCCTGTTCTGTTCTCTGGAGAGAGTGAACAAGTAGAGACTTGGCAATAGCTGTGGAAACACCGCCAGCCTCTTGCTTCCAGCAACCTTGAGTTCCAAACCTGTGAGTCTTAGTTTTATATTCACTGACTTCAGCTTCCTGAACCCATCCCAGTTCAGCATTAGGTAATGGCTGTGATGACAGCTGACTCATCTGGTAATGCAGCTTTCCTGGAGGCTTCCTCTGCTCAGATAATCACACTCTGGGAGGGAAAAAAGGTTACAACAATCTTCTACCCCAGGATACTCAAGAATGTCATCCCCCAGAAGGGAGTTCTACGAGGAGGAGGAGAATGTCAGCCCCAGGAGGGGAGGTCCAGCGGGAGGAGGAGAAGAGGCTCTGGGCCCTACATAGGGGGTTTAAAGTGAAGAGCCTAGGAAACTTGGGGTGAGAAGGTGCCAGTACTTAGAGACAGAAACTGAGTGGTATAAAATGGAATGAGAATCCCCTCATTGCCCTTTGACAGCTGAGAAACTTCAAACTGGGCCCCGTTTGAGGGTAAGTTCTGCGAGAGTAGAGACTTCTACTTATTTATTCACAATTGTATTCCTGGTAACTAGTACGGTGATGTATTGCTTGACAGAAATACATTCTGAGAAATGTGTCGTTAGGATTTTGTCATTGTGCAAACATTATAGAGTGTACTTATACAAACCTGGATGATCTAGCCTACTACACACCTGGGTTATATTGTATAGCTATTGCTGCTAGGCTATAAAACTACAGCATGTCACTGTACTGATACTATACTGTGACACATGGTAAGTATTTGTGTACCTAAACATAGAAAAGGTACAGTAAGGATACAGTATAAAAGATTTAAAATGGTACACCTGTATAGGGCACTTACCATGAATGGAGCTTGCAGGACTGGAATTTGTTCTGGGTGAGTCAGTGAGTGAGTGGTGAGTGAATACGAAGGCCTGGGGGCATTACTGTGCACTACTGTGGACATTATAAACACTGTACACTTAGGCTACACTAAATTTATTTTTAAAACATTTTCCTTTAATAATAAATCAACCTTAACTTATTGTAATTTTTTTTTTTGAGACAGAGTCTTGCTCTGTCTCCCAGGCTGGAGTGCAGTGGCATGATCTCAGCTCACTGCAATCTCTTCCTCCCAGGTTCACGACATTCTCCTGCCTCAGCCTCCCGAGTAGCTGGGACTACAGGCAGCCACCACCACACCCGGCTAATTTTTTTTTGTATTTTTAGTAGAGACGGGGTCTCACCGTGTTAGCCAAGATGTTCTCGATCTCCTGACCTCGTGATCCACCCTCCTCAGCCTCCCAAAGTGCTGGGATTACAGGCGTGAGCCACTGTGCCCGGCCTTTTTTTTTTTTTTTTTTTTTGAGACAGGGTCTTGCTCTGTCACTCAGCCTGGAGCATAGTGGTATGATCATGGCTCACTGCAGCCTTCACTTCTTGGATTCAAGCAGTCTCTCACCTCAGCCTCCCGAGTAGCTGGGACTTACAGGCACATGCCACTGTGCCTGGCTAATTTTTTATAGAGATGGGAGTTTCCCTTTGTTATCCAGGCTGGTCTCGAACTCCTGGCCTCAAGAGATTCTCCCTTAGGCCTCCCAAAGTGCTGGAAATACAGGTGTGAGCCACCATGCCCAGCCACTGTAACTTTTTAGTTTTATAAACTTGAAATTTTTTTAACTTTTTTACTCCTTTGTAATAACACTTAGCTTAAAAGGCAAACACATTCTATAAGTGTACAAAAATACTTCCTTTATATTATTATATAAGCTTTTTTCTATTTTAAAATTTTTTAACTTTTTAAACTTTTTTGTTGAAAATTAAGACACAAACCCACATATTAGCCTAGGCCTACACAGGATCAGGATCATCAACATCACTGCCCTCTACCTCCACATCTTGTCCCACTGGAAGAGGTCTTTAGGGGCAATTACATGCATGGAGCAGTCATCTCCTATGAGAACAATGCCTTCTTCTGAAATACCTCCTAAAGGGCCTGCCTGAAGCTGTCTTACAGCTACCTTTTTTTTTTTTTTTTTTAATAAGTAGGACTGCACTCTAAAAGATAAAAAGTAGAGTATGGTAAATATATAAACCAGTAACATGGTTATTATCATTATGAAGTATTATGTGCTATACATAATTGTATGTGCTAGACTTTTATACGACTGGCAGCACAGTAGGTTTGTTTACATCGGGCATCACCACGAACATGTGAGTAAAGCGTTGCCCTGTGACTTTACTGATGGCGGCCCACAGTTGACCTAAATGTTGTTATGCAGCACATGATTGTACTGTTATTAAATGAATGAATGAGGGTTCACACCTATCTTACATATTCTTTATTCTTGAGCTTTCTGATCTCTAAATGTAGCCTGAGATAGCCAAATCATAGCCTTGTTGTAAGGATCAAACAATATAAAATATGTAAATCACGTAACTTGGATCTGGCCCACAGCAAGCATACAGTAAATGCTGCTCTTGTTTTCTTTCTCACCCCTTTCTAGGCATCTGGTTGAAGCAATGCTCTTTCTCCTCACTGCTTTTTGACCAAAAGCTTGGGAAAAAGACTAGGCAATCTTTAGGCCCAGGAAATAGCACCTGTGATAAATCCAAGGTCACCTAGATAGGTTTAATCACCTTCTCCAAATAATAACACTACCAAGTTTTACAGCACTCCTGACAAAAATCTATTTTTCCTCCTTTTCTTTCCCTTTAAGACAGGGTCTCACTCTGTCGCCCAGGCTGGAGTATAGTGGCACGATCACAGCTCACTGCAGCCTCAACCTCCTGGGCTCAGGTGTATTTTTCCTCCTTTATCTCTTTAGAACCTCACAACTACCCTAGTAAGCCTTGGGAAAGCAAGTATTTGGCTCATTTGACAGATAAGGAAACAGGTTCAGAGAATCCAGAGAGCTTGTGACCTGCCCAAGATCTCAGATCAGATTAGTGGTAGAACTAGATTCCAGCCCATGGGTGGCCATAGCCCACATTTTTCTCCCCATTGTGCTTAAATAGGTTAGAGGTCACAGGAAGAAAGAACCCCTTTTCTGGAAAAAATTATGTTGAAACTGTACCCAATTTATTCCTATTCATTGATTCATCTACTTGATTTCATTAGGCAGCTCTGTGATTCAAGAGATGGCCATTTGGGATGGGCAAAAGAGAACAATATATGACAATATACACTCCTTGGAATGAAGAAAGGTAAGTCTCCATCCACAAAATACCAAACAGACTTCAATCAGAACACTCTCAGTTCAAGAGGATTGGTGCTGATTGTTTATTTGTTAGAAATGTATATTTTCTGGCTGGGCCCAGTGGCTCACGCCAGTAATCTCAGCATGTTGGGAGGCTGAGGTGGGCAGATCACTTGAGGTCAGGAGTTTGAGACCAGCCTGGCCAACATAGTGAAAACCCATCTCTACTAAAAATACAAAAATTAGCTGGGCCTAGTGGTGCACACCTGTAATCCCAGCTACTCGGGAGGCTGAGGCAGGAGAATCGCTTGAACCCGGGAGGCGGAGTTTGCAGTGAGCTGAGATGGCACCACTGCACTCCCACCTGGATGACAGAGTGAGACTCCATCTCAAAAAAAAAAAAAAAAAAAAAATGAAAGGTGTATTTTCTTAATAAGTAGCACATGCTCACATACACACCATGGAATACTATGCAGCCATGAAAAAGGATGAGTTCATGTCCTTTGTAGGGACGTGGATGAAGCTGGAAACCATCATTCTGAGCAAACTATCGCAAGGACAGAAAACCAAACACCACATGTTCTCACTCATAGGTGGGAATTGAACAATGAGAACACTTGGACACAGGGGAACATCACACACTGGGGCCTGTCGTGGGGTCGGGGGAGGGAGGAGAGATGGCATTAGGAGATATACCTAATGTAAATGACGAGTTAACGGGTGCAGCACACCAGCATGGCACATGTATACATATGTAACAAACCTGCATGTTGTGCACATCTACCCTAGAACTTAAAGTATAATTTAAAAAAACTTCAAAAAAAAAATAAGTAGCACATGCTCATTGAAATATTTCAATAAAGAAGTTAATTTTCAAAAAAAACAAGGCAAAATCTCCCCTCTCTATTCATCTGCAATCCCACTCTGCAGAGTAAAACTGCTAAGTTTTCTCTGCACATAATTGAGATACACACATTTTGTGTTTTCATTTACCATAAATGAGATTATACTAAACATATTTTTCTTCAACTTGCTTTCTACAAATCTACAGTAATCACAAACATCTTTTCATGACAGAACATAGAGATTGTCTTTATTCTTTTAAATAGCTGCATAGTGTTGTATAATAAGTCATATCACGACAGTCCCCTACTCATGGATGTTTAGATGGCACTCAGTTTTTTTCTGTAATCAAAATTGTTTCTCTATACATCTTTGTCTAGTTACATGAGAATTTCTTTAGAATAAGAGTGGCCAACATTTCTTGAGCCCTTTACCTTCACATCATGTGAATAAGACAAATCGCTGAGCCATGGGTAGGGCATTTCACTGTAGACAAGCAGAGACGTGAGGCTCACAAAGGGTAAAGCTAGGATTTTTTGATATGTAATCAGAGTAGAAACTCAGTTCCCTAGCTCCAAAACCCAGATTCCTTTTAGCCTCCAAATACATGTATTTTTTTTTCTTTTTCTTTTTTTTTTTTTTTTTTTTTTTTTTGAGACAGGGTCTCACTCTTATTACACAGGCTGGAGTACAGTGGCAGGATCTCAGCTCACTGCAACCTCTGCCTCCCAAGCTCAAGCGATCCTCCCACCTCAGCTTCCCAAGTAGCTGGGATTACAGGTTCATGCCACCACACCTGGCTGATTTTTGTATTTTTTGTAAAGACAGGGTTTTGCCATGTTGCCCACACTGGTCTTGAACTCCTGAGCTCAAGCAGTCTGCCCACCTCTATTTCCTGAAGTGCTAGGATTACGGGCATGAGCCACTGCACCAGTCTAGCCTCCAAATATATTGATATTCTGATAAGATGCCACAGGGCTATATATCTTTTATTTGAACCCCTTGCGTCGCTCTGTTCCACTTAGCTAAAAAACTACCTATCCCCAGGGGGAAAAGCTGAGTGAGTGAAAAAGCAAAAAATGGTTAAGCTGCAGTACTCCAAGGAGACTAATCAAAGCATGTAAATATTATTTAAAATATCCTTTTAGGCTGAGTGCGGTGGCTCACACCTGTAATCCCAGCACTTTGGGAGGCCGAGGTGGGCGGATCACCTGAGGTCAAGAGTTTGAGACTAGCCTGGCCAACATGGTGAAACCTCGTCTCTACTAAAAATACAAAAATTAGCTGCGTGTGGTGGCGGACACCTGTAATCCCAGCTATTTGGGAGGCAGGAGAATTGCTTGAACCTGGGAGGCAGAGGTTGCAGTGAGCCAAGATTGCACCACTGCACTCCAGCCTGGACGACAGAGCGAGACTCATCTCAAAAAATAAATAAATCAAATAAGATATCCTTTTAATATATTTTAATCAGCTTTATTGAGGTATAATTTATTCACTAAAATGCACATTTTAAATAAAGCTTGCTGAGTTTTGAAAAAGTATACAGCCATGTAACCACAATCACAGCCAAGATGAATGTCTTTGTATATCCTATACACAATCTTTCATCAGATATAAGTACTGCAGATATCTTCCCCCAGTCTGTGACTTGCCTTTTCATTTTGAGCAGAAAGTTTTCATGTGACAAAATCCAATTTATCAAAGTTTTCTTTTATGGTTCACATTGAGTCTAAGAAGAAATCTTTGCCTACCCCAACATCATGAAGATTTTCTCCTATGTTCTCATCTAGAAATTTTATATATTTACTTTTTACATGTAAGTCTCTTATCCCTCTTGAGTTAATTTTTGTATATAGTATGAAACAACGGTATGAATTTACCTTTTGCTATGGATATCCAATTGATCCAGAATTATTTGTTGAAAAGATTATCCTTTCTCTATTGAACGATGTTGGTACCTTTGTCAAAAATTGACTATAAATGTAAAACCTTCAAATGTAAATATAAACTCTATTTCTGTCGATTCTATTCTGTTAAGCTATATGCCTATCTTTATGCCAATACAACAGTGTCTTGATTTCTGTAGCTATATAGCAAGTTTTGAAATCAGATGGTATAAATCCTCAAATTTATTCTTTTTTTTCAAAATTGTTTTGGCTATTGTAACTACAGTTGATAGAATTGACCAATGAAGCTGCAGCAGGCAGAATTCTAAAATGCCCTGGGACTGTAAATATGATGGGTTTTACTCTTATGATTAGCTTATGTTATATGAAACAGTTGACTTAAAGAAAGGGAGATTAGCCACATGAACCTTTTAAAAGCAGAAAGATTTTTGGTTGATGGAAAAAGAGAAAGCTAGAAATCTGAAGCACTAGAAATATTTAATGAGCTATTGTGGCTTGAAGATGGAGCAGGCCACATGACAAGGAATGCAGGCAGCCTCTAAGAGCTAAAAGCAGCCCCTGAGGGACTACCAGCAAGAAAATGGGGATCTCACTCCTACAAGGTCAAGGAAATGAATTATGCCAACAACCTAAGTGAGCTTGGAAGTGATTCTTCTCCAGAGCCTCCAGATGAGAACTCAGTCTGACAGACATCTTGATTTCTAGTCTCACCATGTCAGACTTCTGGAATACAAAACTGAGGGCTAATAAAAGGGTGTTATTTTCAGCCTCTACATTTACAGCAATTTGTTATACAGCAATAGGAAATGAATACAGAGCTGTCTGGACCCAAGCTTTTCTTTATGGGAAGCATTTTATCTATTAAATGAATTTCTGTACTTGTTATAGGTAGATTCAGATTTTCTAATTATTCTTAGTTCAGTTTTGGTAATTTGTATCTTTCTAAGAATCTTTGCATTTAAGTTTTCCAATTTGTTAATGTAAATTTGTTCATAGCAGTCCTGTGAACTCTTTAATTTCCATAGGACTGGTAGTGATGAACCGTTTCATTTCTGATTTTGAAAATATTCTATTTCTCTCTTCCTTCTTGGTTAGTCTAGCTCAAGATTTCTCAATTTTGTTGACTTTTTTCCAAGAACATGATTTTTATTGGTTTTTATTTTCTCAAGTTCATTGATTTCTACTTTTTATTATTTCTTTCCTTTTGCTTGTTTTGAGTTTATTTTACTCCTTTTTCTAGATTCTTGAGGTGGAAGCTTAGATTAAGATTTTTCTCTTTTTTTAATGTGTTTAATGTTATAAATTTCCCTCCCTGCACTAACTGCATGCCACAAATTTTGATTTTGTGTGTGTTTTTGTTTTAACTCAACTCAAAATATTTTCTAATTTCCCTCATGATTTCTTTTTTGACTATGGGTTATTTAAAAGCATGTTATTTAATTTCCAAATATCTGGAGATTTCCAAATTTCCTTCTGTTGCTCATTTCTAATTTAATCCTGTTGTGGTCAGAGAACATACTTTGTATGATTTCAATTCTGTTAAATGTGGGCCTTGTATCATGGCCTAGCATCCAGTCTATTCTGGAGAATGTTCCATGTACACTAAAAAGAATGTGTATTCTGCTGTTATTAGGTGTGGTGTTCTAAAAATGTCAGTTGTATCAGGTTGGTTGATAGTCTTCTATATCGTTACTAATTTTCTATCAAATGGGGTATTGAAGTCTCTTTGAATAGTGTTTTTCTTTTTAATTCTATCAACTTTTGCTTTATGTATTTAGGGGCTCTGTTGTTAGGAACATATACATTTATAATTGTTACATATTCATTATAAAGCATCCATCTGTCTCTAGTAATATGTCTTGTCTTAAAGTCTATTAATATAGCCACTCCAACTCTCCTATGGTACTGTTTTTATGGCATTTTTCCCCATCCTTTTACTTTCAACCTATTTTTATCTTTAAATCTAATGTGTCTATTGTAGGTAGCATATAGTTAGATCTTGCTTTTATTAGTCAGTCAATCTCTGACTTTTGCATAGCATTTAGATTGTTCATATTTAATGTAGTTATTGATATGGTTCAATTTGTCTTCCATTTTACTATTTTATTTATGTCCCATGTGTTTCTTCTTCCTTTGTTTCTCCTTTACTGTCTTTTGTGTTAAATGGATATTTTTGTGTGTGCTGCTTTTATTCCTTTGTTAGTTTTTAAAAATTATTACATTGTTTTGAGTTTTGTAAATTTTTTAGTGTTTGCTCTAGGGATTATAATATGCATCTTAATTTAACAAAATCTACTTCAAATTAATATGAATGTAATTCTAGTAAAATTATAAAAATTTGCTCCAATATAGCTGCATTCCCCCCTTTTTGTTATTTTATTATTGTCATATATATTATTTCAAGGTTGTAAACTCAAACTCAATACAAGATTATAATTATCATTTTATGCAATCTTACATTTTATAAAAATGTTAAAAGATTTATATATATACTTATATATTTACGTATATATAATATTCCTTTCTATTTACCCATTTATTTGCTTTTTCATGTGCTTTTCATTTCTATGTATGAATCTGAGTTACTATGTGGTATCATTCATTTTCAGCCTGAAGCATCTTCTTTATCATTTCTTTAAAGCAAGTATACTGGCAATGCATTTGCCTGAGAATTTATTTCTCCTTTATTTTTGAAGAATAATTTTGCTGAATATAGAATTCTTGCTTAACAGAATTTCTTCTTTTTTTCTTTGAAATGGAGTCTCGCTCTGTCGGCCCAGGCTGGAGTGCAGTGGCACACTTATTAGCTCACTGCAACCTCCACTTCCTGAGTTCAAGTAATTCTCCCACCTTAGCCTCCCCAGTAACGGACTACAAGTGCATGCCACTACACCTGGCTAATGTTTTTGTATTTTTGGTAGACACAGGATTTCACCATGTTGGCCAGTCTGGTCTTGAATTCCTGAGCTCAAGCCTTCACCTCCCAAAGTGCTGGGATTACAGGCATGAGCCACCACACCCAGCCCTATGTATACTTTTACATGTTTTTTTTTTTTACATGTTTTTAGGTTGGCTAAAACTTTTAATACAAATGCTAATAGATGCAAAGAATATAGTATTTAGATTATTATAAAAACTGGTTTTTTTTGTTTTTTTTTTTTTGAGACCGAGTCTTGCTCTGTTGCCCAGACTAGAGTACAGTGGCACGATCTCACTCACTGCAACCTCTGCCTCCTGGGTTCAAGCAATTCTCCTGCCTCAGCCTCCCAAGTAGCTGGGGACTACAGGCACATGCCACCATGCCCGGCTAATTTTTTGTATTTTAGTAGAGATGGGGTTTCACCGTGTTGCCCAGGCTGGTCTCAAACTCCTGAGCTCAGGCAATCCACCCGCCTTGGTCTTCCAAAGTGCTAGGATTATAGGCATGAGCCTCCATGCCTGGCCTATGGCTGGTAATTTTTAAAGTTAATTCATGTATCCATGGATGAATATTACTTGCTGCTGGGCACAGTGGCTTGCACCTGTAATCCCAACACTTTGGGAGGCTAAGGCAGGTGGATGGCTTGAGGCCAAGAGTTTGAGACCAGCTGGGCAACATGGAAAAACACCTTCTCTACTAAAAATACAAAAATTAGCCATGCGTGATGGCACATGCCTGTAATCCCAGCTATTCTGGAGGCTGAGGCACAAGAATCACTTAAACACCGGAGGCAGAGGGTGAGCTGAGATCATGCCACTGCACTCCAACCTGGGAGAAAGAGCTAGACTCCATCTCAAAAAAAAAAAAAAAAAAAAAAATTACTTGATGGTTGAACAAGACATATTTAACATCAATTTTATTTCTTTTTTTAAATCTGAGTTAGTTTTGTTTCAAGCATCAATTCTATTTCTATTTTTCACTTTTATAGATGTTGGCTCTGAAAAACCTTGTTGACTTAAGTAGATAAGGATGGGAGTGTTGTTACATCAACATCAGTCTTTGAATTTAGTTCTATGCCAAAATTTACATGGTGATTGCTCTTCAGATATTATTTTTCATGATCAACAAGCTAAAAACTCAATTAGGTCTTTCTTCAATTTTGCTGAAATCAAAAATTGAGAAATTTCTGCTTTGCAAAAGGACTTGTTACCTAGTCAATAAAACCTAAGGTGATATTCCAAATTGTCCATTTGTTTGAACCCCAGAGCTTTTTAGGCTCCAGGGAAAGGCCACACAGTAAGAACTGTATGAGGAGAGGAAGGAAGAGAGGGTGCATTCTCAGTAGAACTGTGTTAGGAAAGAGTACCTATGGAAGTTGAAGATATGAAAATTGATTGCCTTAAAACTATTCTTGCCTGATTTCCTTTTTAAAAGTCTTTGTACCCCACTTCAAAGACCACTAATGTAAAATTTCCTTTTAAACTATGCTTACGGCTGGGCATGGTGGCTCACACCTATAATCCCAGCGCTTTGGGAGCAAGGCAGGCAGATCACCTGAGGTCAGGAGTTCAAGACCAGCCTGGCCAACATGGTGAAACCCCGTCTCTACTAAAAATACAAAAATTAGCTGGGTGTGGTGGCATGTGCCTGTAGTCTCAGCTACTCAGGAGGCTGAGGCAAGAGAATCACTTGAGCCCAGGAGATGGAGGTTGCAGTGAGCAGGGTTCACACCACTGCACTCTAGCCTGGGCAACAGAGTGGGACTTCGTCTCAAAAATAAATAAATAAATAAAAAATAATAAAATAAAATATGCTTATAATGCCCCCCAAATGGGTCAATTTAAAAATATATCTTAAGAAATAAAGCAGTGGTACATAAAGCAAAAATCTTAATGGTGGCCAAGTGACTGAAGCATAGGGAATCCCACCATAGTGAATAAAGTACAGGCTTTGACATCAAACAAATACAAATTTGAATTCTAGGGACCTTGCACAAGTCACTTTACCACTCTGAGCCTCAGTTTCTTCATCTGTAAAATAGCAATACCTACTTCATAGGGTGTTTTTAAGGGCTAAATGAGGTAATATATAGAAAAATGCTTCCGTAGACTACAAAACAAAGCTATAAAGCCTGTTGAAAGTAATATATTTCCACCGTGTCCCCCAGTATTAATTGAATTAGTCATAGATATCTCGTAACGGAATATCCTCCCTTGGGCCTGAGTCCTAGGCTAAATAACCCAGATTCAAGAGTGTGACTCTGATATCAGAAGCTGGACCCACAAGTTAAATCTATAGCATTTTATCTGTATTTATTTATTCCCTTGCTAAATATAACAATTGTGTTCTAAACCATAAAGCTTCAGAGAATACTAATGTTGCTTCCTATCCCATAATACCAGGAAATGGAAGGAGAAAAATATCTCATGCAAAAGTGTGTGACTATTTCCTGAGTGCACACATGCTGGGAAGCACACACTTCTGTCTCATAGCACATCCCCTCCTGTATGATGGCTCCATTGCCAGGTGTCTTATCTCATAATTGTCACACATATTTGAGGTTATTATTTGATGTTTATGGTATTATGAAACACATACAAACTTGTTCCTCATTAACCTAAGGCTGACAGAAGAAATGAAAAACCATCTTATAGTTCAAAATCTGTGTGTGAATTAAAAGAGCAAAATGGTTAAACATAAAAATGAATGATAGTACCCATAAATTTCTAGAAAAATCAACAGAGAGCTATAAAAGATGATATAATTAAGGCTTTTTAGAGCATGTAAATCAAGAATACATAGAGATTGTAAAATACTTGTACCCTGTCCATGCCCTTCTTTCTTCTGTTACAGCGTACTTATATATATTTAAAAAAAGGATTTTTCTATATTGTGCTATGATGAGAAAATATGTAGCAACAAATCTGACATTCTAACACATAAAAAATTTTTACCCCAAAACAATATTGCAGCTATTACACTATGGATAAAATGGCCCCAAAACACTATTATTTTAATAGTTTGCTTTTAGGTCACATTTTATAACAAAACAAAATGAAAATATTTTATTAATGTGACTATGAGACTTATATTGATCTTAGAAATACAAGGATTTAATTTTTCATTTTTATTATTGTTCTTGTTATAAAGATTTTTAAATGCAATACATTATTTATATAATTTCTTGCAGTAATAATCTGTTCAGGAGACATTTTTTAGTCTCTATCAAACCAAGCACACATTATCTGCCTTGTACTCTTGTAGATATTCAGTTAAAATACATCCTAATGTTTAAAGTGTTCAAATACATTTGGTAAATGTGAAACATTTAAAATCACCTAGTGCCCAAAAGAACTGCCTAGATATGTAAAGATACATATGAATATTCAGGACCTAGGTTTACTGAAGAATTATGGAATACATCAATAATAATTTTATGTACTAAACTCTATATGTACTTAAAAATCAGAAAAATATCCTCCAAAGTGTCAGCAAAGATTAAGTTTGGGCTAGGGCAGAGAAGAAAGGGGTATCAGAGGTTTTTATTGAATATTTTTATAATGGGCAGACATAATTTTTCTAACATAAAGATGTATATTTAATTAAAATCAATTGGGAATGCAGTTTCAGCAGTAAGAAAACTAAGTTGTGACAGTTACTTTTTTTATTTTTTTTTATTTTTTGAGACAGACCCTTGATCTGTTGCCCAGGCTGGAGTATAGTAGCGTGATCTCAGCTCATTGCAACCTTTCCTCCCAGGTTCAAGCAATTCTCCTGCCTCAGCCTCCTGAGTAGCTGGGATTACAGGCGTGCACCACCACGCCTGGCTAATTTTTGTATTTTCAGTAGAGACAGGGTTTTACCATGTTGTCCAGGCTGGTCTCGAACTCCTGGCCTTGTGATCTACCTGCCTCAGCCTCCCAAAAGGCTGGGATTACAGGCATGAGCCACTGCACCCAGCTGACAGTTACTTTTAAAAGTGAGGCCTTAGCCTAACAACATCTGTGAAATCTGCCTAATCCAGCAGTGAAGGAATTTAAGAGCACCTCCTCTGTGCATGCTTCAAGCTCCCTGAGTCCAAGAGCAGGAGATGCCTGCCTAAGGAATAGATATTATTGATATGTAAGACTCATTTCAACTAGCCCTTTTATCTACCATGTTCTTGACTTGAAATGCTGTAAAAAAGTTCAGAGCAAGCTTTTCAGAAGAGAATATCTTAGTCTCAGCGCTCAAAATGAAACAAAGTTCATTTCATTCAGTTTAGAAATATTCA
The DNA here is from genome assembly GCF_000001405.40 of Homo sapiens. Classification (NCBI taxonomy): domain Eukaryota; kingdom Metazoa; phylum Chordata; class Mammalia; order Primates; family Hominidae; genus Homo; species Homo sapiens. The sequence continues at coordinate 150,482,823 of NC_000003.12, forward strand.
GAAAATTCTTAGCCTTTTGGGTTCTCTTTTAAATTGCTTACTTCCCTTAATTATACTTGGTTTCTCTATAACACTGTTTTCTGCTCTGTGAAATAGTTACTATCTACACACTCTGTCTATAATCTTCATATTTTTTGGTAAAGTGTTTCCCCAACTTCTCTGATCACAAGAGTCACAAACCAAGGATGTTTGTTAAAAGTAAAATTCCTTGGCCTTCCCTCCCCCAAGAACTGCTTAATTATGATCTGGGAGGTATCTTAAAATCACCCCAGGTGATTTTTATGATCAGTAAGTTTTAGAAACACTGCCTTAGTTAAACAAATATCTAATAGAGTCCTAAGTTTTTGCAACCAGCTGAGTCCAAGAAACGCTCTAGACAAGTGGCTCCAAGTTTTAGCATTCATCTGAATCACCTGGAGAGTGACAATAGCAAGGTGGCAGAATAGGAAGTCTCAACCCTCATTTCCCACAAAAACACAGATTTAACAATGATATAAGTAATAAAATGCCTTTATAAGAACTCTAGAATCCAGTTAGGAAGTTACAATACTGTAGACAAGCATAATCAACATCAGCTGCACTGAATTGGGTAAGAAGAGCAATTTCACTTTACTTGCATCAGCCCTTCCCCCAAGCTGTATAGCTCAACAATGAGAGGGATTGGGACTCTTTTTGAGGGGTTGGAGGAGATGGTGTGGCAAAAATCCAATGTCCCTGTTTTTTCTTTTTTTCTTTTTTTTCAGTATAATACCCATGGAGTTGGCTTCTATCTCATTTTACAAAAAGTGCCAAAAGAACTACATAGTCCAGATCCCTGGGGCAGCTAAGGGGACAGGCACTTTCCCAAGGCCACCATAGCTGTGAGAGGCATAGAGACAGCACAGAACTGAGATCTGTCCTCCAGGAGGGAGGGGGAAATGGAACATGCCCCCAACATCCCCACCTTTCAGTGTACTGCCCAAAGGGCCAGGCTCTATCTCACCTCACACAGAGTGGTGACAGAACTGACATAAGACATTTTTTTAAAGGGCCAGGTGCGGTGGCTCACACATGTAATCCCAGCACTTTGGGAGGCTGAGGCAGGTAGATCACTTGAGGTCAGGAGCTCCAGACCAGCCTGACCAACATGGCGAAATCCCATCTCAACTAAAAATACAAACTTAGCTGGGCGTGGTAGTGCACGCCTGTAATCCCAGCTGCTTGGAAGGCTGAGGCGGAAGAATTGCTTGAACTGGGGAGGCAGAGGTTGCAGTGAGCCAAGATCATGCCATTGCACTCCAGCCTAGGCAACAAGAGCGAAAACTCTATCTAAAAAAAAAAAGTTGGGGGGACTGGATGATGCCTGGCACAGCTAGGAACAAAGACCCAGAATCTCTGTCTGGGATAACTGGTGATGATTTTTCCCAGTGAAAGCAAGTACATAAAGACTAGGAGAGGCAGCTATTTTTTTCAAATGTGCTAGAAACCAACACAAATCTACAAGGAACATAAAGAATCAGGAAAACATTATACAATCAAATGAACAAAAGAAATCTCTAGTAACTGACCCTAAAGATATGAAGATCTGCAAATTGCCTAATAAGAAATTTGAAACAATCAAAGAAGCTCAATGAGTCACAAGAGAACACAGAATGACAACTTAAAAAAATGTCAGGAAAACAATACATATACCAAACAAAAATATTGATAAAGAGATAGAAGTGATAAAGAAGAACCAAACAGAAATTCTGGAGCTGAATAATTTAATAACTGAACTAAAAAATTCACTAGACATTCAACAGCACACTTGATCAAGCAGAAGAGAGAATCAGCAAACTCAAAGGCAGATAATTTAAAATTACTGAGTGAGAGGAGCAAAGAGAAAAAAAATTTAAAGAGTGATGAAAGCCTCAGTAAACTACGAAACACCATCAAGTGAACCAATATACACATTATGGGAGTCCTGAAAGGAAGGAACAAAAAGGCTATTTAAAGAAATAACATGCAGCCATAAAAAAAGAATAAAATCATGCCCTTTGCAACAACATAGATGCAGCTGGAAGCCATTATCCTAAGCAAATTAAGGCAGAAACAGAAAACCAAATATTGCATGTTTTCATTTATAAGTGGATATACACGGACATAAAGATAAGAATAATAGACACTGGGGACCCCAAAAGATGGAGGGAGGAAGGGAAACAAGGCCTGAAAAACTTCCTATTGGGTACTATGTTCACTATCTGGGTGACAGGATCATTAGAAGCCAAAACCTCAGCATCACACAATATACCCTTGTAACAAATCTTCACATATACCCTCTGAATCTAAAATAAAACATTTTAAAATAATAATTATCTAAAAATTAAAAAACAAATAATGATTATAAACTTCTCAAATCTGAGGCAGGAAATGGACATACAGATTGATGAAGCCCAAAGTACTTCAAATAGACTTCAAATAGAACGAGCCCTATAAAGTCAGCATCAAGGCACATTATAGTCAAGTTGTCAAAAGTCAGCTGCACACACGCACACACACAAAATCAAGCGAAAGAGAAATTTTGTTTGTGTTTTTTGAGACAGGTCTCACTCTGTCACCCAGGCTGGAGTTCAGTGGTGCAATCACGGCTTACTGCAGCCTTGACCGCCTCAGGCCCAGGTGATTCTCCCACTTCAGCCTCTTGAGTAGCTGGGACTGCAGGTGTGCACCACTAAAACTGGCTAATTTTTTGTATTTTTTTGTAGATACAAGGTCTCCCTATGTTGTTCAGGCTGGTCTCAAACTCCTGGGCTCAAGCAGTCTTCCCACCTTGACCTCCCAAAGTGTTAGGATTACAGGCATGAGCCAACGTACCCAGCCATAAAGAGAAATTTTGAAAGCAGTAAGAGAAAAGTGACTCATCATGTTCAAGCCCCCCACCCCCACCCCCTGCCCCCTGTCAAATGAGACAATCAGTGGATTTCTTGGCAGAAAGCTTGCAGGCCAGAAGACAGTGAAATGATATATTCAATGTGCTGAAACAAAAAACTGTCAACCAAGAACATTATACGTAACATAACTGTCCTTTAAAAATTAAGGAGAAATAAAGACTTTCCAAGACAAACAAAAGCTAAGAGAGTTTATGACCATCCAAACCTGCCTTATAAGAAAAGCTAAAGAGAATTCCTAAAGTTGAAATAAAAGGACTCATATGGGCTGGGTGCAGTGGTTCACGCCTGTAATTCCAGCACTTTGGGAGGCTGAGGTGGGCGGATCACCTGAGGTCAGGAGATCAAGACCATCCTGGCCAACATGGTGAAACCCCATCTCTACTAAAAATACAAAAAATTAGCTGAGCATGGTGGCACATGCCTGTAGTCCCAGCTACTTGGGAGGCTGAGGCAGGAAAATCGCTTGAACCTGGGAGGCAGATGTTGCAATGAGCTGAGATCATGCCACTGCACTCCAGCCTGGTGATAGAGCCAGACTCTGTCTCAACAACAAAAAAAAAGGACTGATATGGTTTGGCTGTGTCCCCACCCAAATCTCATCTTGAATTGTAGCTCCCATAATTCCCACATGTTATAGGAGATACCCAGTGGAAGACAGTTAAATCATGGGGGCAGTTTCCCCCATACTGTTCTCATGGTGATAAATAAGTCCGAGATCTGATGGTTTTATAGGGGGTTTTCCTTTTCACTTGGCTCTCATTCTCTCTTGCCTGCTGCCATGTAAGACATGTCTTTTGCCTTCTGTCATGATTGTGAGGCCTTCCCAGCCATGTAGAAATGTGAGTCCATTAAGCCTCTTTTTCTTTATAAATTACCCAGTCTCGGGTATGTCTTTATCAGCAGTGTGAAAACAAACTAATACAAGGACACTAAACAGTGACATAAAAGCATATAAAAGCATAAAACTCAGTAAAGGTAAATTTATAGACAAATAAAGAATACTGTAATAGTATAATCATGATGTGTAAATCATTTTTAGCTCCAATAAAAGTTAAAAGACAAAAATATTAAAAAGTACTATAAATACAAAAAATGTATTAATGGATACATAATATAAAAAGATGTAAAGTATGACATCAATAACAAAGTATATGGAAGTCAAAGTTAGTTTTTGTATGCAGTTGAAACTATCGGCTTAAAAGAGAAAGTTATAATTATGTTTTATGTAATCTTCATAATAATGACAAAGAAAATTCCTATCATAGATACATAAAAGAAAAAGAAATCAAAGTGTATCACTAAAAAAAGAAAAATATCAACAAATCACAAAGGAAGACGGCAAAAGAGCAATTACAAAAAAGAAAACATTAACAAAACATCAATACTAAGTCCTTACCTATCAGTAATTACTTTAAACATAAATGAATTAAATTCTACAATCAAAAGAAATAGAGGGGCTGAACGGATTAAATAAAGTAATGAGATGCAATTATATGCTGTTTATAACAGACTCATGTTAGAATCAAAGACCCCCAAAGCTGAAAGTGAAGGGATAGAAAAAAATATTCCACCCAAATGGTAACCAAAAGAGAGCATGAATGGCTATACTTATATCAGACAAAATAGACTTTGAGTCAAAAACTGTCATAAGGGAATAAGAAAGTCACTATATAATGACTAGCAGAACAATTCATCAGAAAGATATACTATTATAAATATATATGCACCCAACATGAGAGTACCTAAGTATATAAAGCAAACACTGACAGACCTAAAGGAAGAAATAGATAGTAATACAATAATAGTAGCAGACTTTAATATCAAACTTTCAATAATAGATAGAACATCCAGACAGAAAATCAATAAAGAAGCAGCAGAAATAAACACTATATTTCAAATGGACCCAAGTGACATATTCAGAACATGACACTCAACAACAGCAGAATAGGCATTATTCTCAAGTACACGTGGGACATTCTCTAGAATAGTACACATTTTGGAAAACAAAACAAGTATCAACAAATTTAAGAAGATTAAAGTCACATCAAGTGTCTTCTCCAACCACAATGGAATAAAACTGGAAATCAAAAACAAAAGAAAAAATTCACAAATACATGGAAATGAATATACTTTTAAATAACCACTGGGTCAAAAAAATCAAAAAGGAAATTAGAATATATCTCAAGACAAATAAAAATGAAAACATAACATACCAAAACTTAGGAGATGCAGCAAATGCAGTACTAAGAGGGAATTTCGTAGCACCACTATCAATACTTCTATTCAACCTAGTACTTCAGTCCTAGCCAGAGCAATCAGGTGAGAAAGACATAGAAGGCATCCAAGTCAGAAAGGAAGAAGTAAAATTATCTCTGTAGATGACATGATTTTATATGTAGAAAATCCCAAAAATTCCACACACACACACACACACACACACACACACACACAAAGAACTGTCAGAACTAATAAACAAATGCAGTAAAGTTGCAGGATACAAAATCAACATACAAAAATTAGTTGAGTTTTTTTTTTTTTTGAGACAGAGTCTCGCTCTGTCACCCAGGCTGGAGTGCAATGGTGCGATCTCAGCTCACTGCAACCTCCACCTCCTGGGTTCAAGCTATTCTCCTGTCTCACCGTCCCAAGTAGCTGGGATTACAGGTGCACACCACCATGCCCGGCTAATTTTTGTATTTTTAGTAGAGACAGGGTTTTGCCATGTTGGCCAGGCTGGTCTAAAACTCCTGACTTCAGGTGATCCTCCCGCCTCAGCCTCCCAAAGTGCTGGGATTACAGGCATGAGCCACCATGCCCAGCCAATTAGTTGAGTTTTTATACACTAACAATGAGCTATCTGAAAAGGAAATAAGGAAACAATCCCATTTGCCATAGCATTAAAAATAATTAAATATTTAGGAATAAGCTTTTCCAAGGAAATAAAAGAATTATATACTGAAAACTACAAATCATTGATTAAAGAAATGTTAAAAGACACAAATAAATGGAAAGATAAACCATGTTCATGAATTGAACCAAAAGCGATCTACAGATTCAGTACAATTTCTATTAAAATCCTAATGGCATTTTTTACAGAGATAGAAAGAAAAATCCTAAAATTTATATAGCACCATAGAAGACACCAAGTAGCCAGAGCAATCTTGAGAAAGAAGAACAAAGCTGGAGGCATCATACTTCCTGGTTTCAAAATACATTATAAAGCTATATTAATTAAAACTATGGTACTGGCATTAAGTACAGTCTTATAGACCGATGGAAAAGAGTCAAGAGTACAGAAATAAACTCATGCATATACAGTCAGCTGATCTTCAAACAAGGATTCCAAGAACACATAGTGGGGAAAGGACAGTCTCTTTGTGCCAAGGAAACTGGATATCCACATGCAAAAAATGAAATTGGACCGTTATCTTATGCCATATACAAAATAAACTCAAAATAGATTTGAAAAAAGAAAACTCAGAGCCATCTGAGCTCTGTGAGGTATGCAGGTTCAGAGAGACATGCATATGGGACTTCAATCATTCTCCCTTCTACCTACCCTGTATCCCCCTCCCACACACATGCCTGGGACGATTGTTTAAAGGTATTTTGTTCCTGACTGGCTGTCTCCCCCGTCATCTTCATGTTCCTGGAATTTGTGATAAAAAGAACAATGTATATGCAATAAATAGCTCATGTTATTTTAGTGTAAATTCTCAGTAAGCAACTTAGGAATGGCCTCTTCTTTTCCTCTAACAACCTACTTGTAACTGTTGCTAATTAGAATGTATATTCAGGGCAACTTGAATCTATGTTCCTGGGTTGCAATCCTCAAGTTTGGCCCAAATAAACTCTCTACTTATAATAATTTTGCCTCAGCTTTTTCCTTTTAGATCAACATATCAGACTTAAACATAAGAACTGAAACTATGAAACTGCTAGAAGGAAATACAGGGAAAAATCTTCTTGATATTGATCTTGGCAATGATTTCTTGGATATGACACCAAAAACGCATGCAACAAAGGCAAAATTAGACAAATGGCACTACATCAAACCAAAAATCTTCTGCACAGTGAAGGAAGGAAACAATAGCATGAAAAGACAAGCTACATAATGGAAAAATATTTACAAATCATATATTTGATAAGGGATTAATATCCAAAATATACAAGGAACTTCTGCAACTCAACAGAAAAAAAAATTTAATGGGCAAAGGACTTGAAAAGACATTTCTCCAAAGAAGACATACAAATGACTGAGAAACATATGAAAAGATGCTCTACTTCCCTAATCTTCAGGAAGATCTGAATGAAAACCAAAAGGAGTTATCACCTCATACATGTCAGGATGGCTATTATCAAAAAAACCAAAAGATAAGTGTTGGCAAGGATGCAGAGAAATTGGAACCCTTGTACACTGTTGGTGGGGTTATAAAATGATGCAGTTGCTATGAAAAATGGTCTGGTAATTTCTCAAAAAATTAAAAATAGAATTACCATATGACTGACAAAAGTGAAATCTTAAGCCCCCCAACTAACTGAAAGGACCCCCTTTTGGCCAAGGGGACCCCAGAGAAAACTTGAGAGCTATGTTCCAGCCATAACATGATGGGAGTTCAGACACACCTTGTTCTCCCTCCCTTCCTACTGTCATTAGGCCTTCTTTCCTAAGGGTTAAACAGAAACCAGCCCTTTGGACTCATTCCACCTCTGGTATCAGCCAACTGCCTTGCACTGCCTGTCTCTTTTATAGTTTCAACAAAACAACCAATTAGCATTCCCCTTCTTGGTAAGAGACCACCAACTGTAGAGTGGTTCTGACCAGTCTACAGAGGATGCACAGTAAAGGTTTGTGTGTCTTCTGCTTCACCTTTTGATATCAGAGGGCCAAAAACTCCACCCTCAGATAATGCTAATACTATCATTTTTTGAACATGGGTTCCATGGAAAGGTGTGAAGCTCAATTATGCATGTGCAAGTTTCTCCTTTCATAAATATTCATGACTCCTCCTTTAGCTTAGTAAAAATATATATATTCAGCGATTCTGGTCAGCATAAATTCCTGTTCCTTTTGCCCCTCCCTAGAAGTGTCTGTTTCTGGCTTCTGGCTGGAGGCTATACTTCCCAGCTTGTCCGAATGGTCACCCTGCAGGCTGCAACACTTTATGAGAAATGAAGTTATCCTTACCAAATTTATGAACCTCATTATTCTTCAGTTGATATGAGCCAGCAGTCCTACTTTTGGGTATATATTCAAAAGAATTGAAATCAAGATCATGAAGAGATACGTGCACTCCCATGTTCATTGCAGTATTTTTCACGATGGCCAAGATATGGAAATAATCGAAATGTCCATCAACAGATGAATGGATAAAGAAAGTGTGGCATATACATACAATGTAATACTATTCAGTCTTAAAAAACAAGTAAATTTTGCCATATGTGACAACATGCATGAAACTAGAGGACATTGTGCTAAGTGTAATAAGCCAGTCACAGAAGAAAAACACTGCATGATTTATTTATATGAGGTATCTAAGATAGTCAAACTCATAGAAACAGAGAGTAGAATGATGGTTGCCCAGAGATGGGTAGAGGGGGAAATAAGTATAAAGTTTCAGTTATGCAAGATGAATAAGTTTTAGAGATCTGCTGTAAAACATTGTGTTTATAGTTAACAATAATGTATTGCACACTTAAAAATCTGTTAAGAGGGTAGATCTCACTTTAAGTATTCTTACCACAATAAACAAAAATAAATAAAATTAAAATAAATGGCTAGGTGTCAAATTGAATAGATTAAAAAATAAAATAAACGGCAAAAAGCAAAAATATGTCATAAAATACATATAAAAATACAAGGTAAAAATAGTGCTGAGGTTAACAGAAGATATCATAAAGGTAAACTTTCATTATACAATGTTTTTATTATTTTTTATTTTATTTTATTTTATTTTATTTTATTTTATTTTATTTTTGAGCTCTGTCACCCAGGCTGGAGTGTAGTGGTGTGATCTCGGCTCACTACCACCTCTGCCTCCCAGGTTCAAGCGATTCTTCTGCCTCGGCCTCCCAAGTAGCTGGGATTACAGGCGCCTTCCCCCCAACCGACCCCAAAACAATCAGCTAATTTTTTTGTATTTTTACTAGAGACGAGGTTTCACCATGTTGGCCAGTCTGGTTTCAAACTCCTGACCTCAAGTGATCTGCCCACCTCGGCCTCCCAAAGTGCTAAGATTACAGGTGTGAGCCATGGCACCTGGCCTATTTTTTTATTTTAATTTTAGAGTTGAAAATAGTTGACTAAAATAAAAAAAGAACTACACCAAAAAAAAAAAAAAATCACCTAAGCATTAAACAGCTGTGGACTGCACCCCACATTTCTAATACAGTAAATCTTAGATGGGCCTAGAGAATTTGCATTTCTAATAAATGCCCAGGTGATACTGCTGATAGTCTGAGGACTACACTTTGAGAAACACTGCTCTCACCCGTTGCTTTCAATTTTTCAAAAGATGACCCACAATGGGAGATACACTTTACATCAGAACCCAGTACTCACACATGTGTTCATCTGTAAATTTTCACAGACAACACCTAATTCTTACTATGAGCAATGACATTGATATTTTATTTCACTCTTTAAAAATTCACTAAATTGTTTGCACAACCCATCAAGCAGGTTGTAACTGGCAATCTGAAAAAATACTGAATCAGCCGGGCGCAGTGGCTCACGCCTGTAATCCCAGCACTTTGGAAAGCTGAGGCAGTTGGATCACTTGAGGTCAGGAGTTCGAGACCAGCCTGGCCAACATGGTGAAACCCTGTCTCTACTTAAAAAAATACAAAAATTAGCCAGCTGTGGTGGTGCGCAACTGTAATCCCAGTTTCTCAGGAGGCCAAGGCACGAGAATCACTTGAACCTGGGAGGCAGAGGTTGCAGTGAGCTGAGATCGCACCAACTGCACTCCAGCCTGGACGACAAAGTGAGACTGTCTAAAAAAGAAGAAAAAGAAAAAAGAAAAAAAAAACACCAAATCTGGCTTAATCTTTGAATGATATAGGTCAGTAATCTCCATATATTTTATAATCATAAACCAGTAACAGGAAAGCATTTTTGAACAGGCACCCCCTAATTTGTACATGTACAAATTATATACTTTTTTTTTTTTTTTATATTTTGTTTATTGTCTGTGATCTCCAAATAAAATATAAGATCTGTCAGATCCAAGAGAGTAGGGACTTTCTCATTTGTTCACTACTGTATCTCCAGTGTTTAGGACATTCCTTAAAAACAATAAATGTTCAATAAATGTTTATTTTAATTGAATCAGTGAATGAATAAATGAACGGATCTGATAAAACAGACTTTACAGCCAAAAGCAATTTTTTTTTTTTTCATGTGCATGCATTTTTTTTTTTTTTTTTTTTTTTTTTTTTTTTTTTTAATACTCTTAAGTTTTAGGGTACATGTGCACATTGTGCAGGTTAGTTACATATGTATACATGTGCCATGCTGGTGTGCTGCACCCACTGACGTGTCATCTAGCATTAGGTATATCTCCCAATGCTATCCCTCCCCCCTCCCCCGACCCCACCACAGTCCCCAGAGTGTGATATTCCCCTTCCTGTGTCCATGTGATCTCATTGTTCAATTCCCACCTATGAGTGAGAATATGCGGTGTTTGGTTTTTTGTTCTTGCGATAGTTTACTGAGAATGATGGTTTCCAATTTCATCCATGTCCCTACAAAGGATATGAACTCATCATTTTTTATGGCTGCATAGTATTCCATGGTGTATATGTGCCACATTTTCTTAATCCAGTCTATCATTGTTGGACATTTGGGTTGGTTCCAAGTCTTTGCTATTGTGAATAGTGCCGCAATAAACATACGTGTGCATGTGTCTTTATAGCAGCCTGATTTATAGTCCTTTGGGTATCAAATTATATACTTGTACTCAGTCAATCCATATACCAAATATTAGTAAAGCTTAACATTTTCCCTTACATTTTAGATGGAAAATTATAAGTAAAATTTCTAACATTTCCTCCAGCTCCTCAATGGATCATCTTGCCCATGTCCCCAGGACTGCATGCTCCACCTTTGAGACTCAGACACCCAGAGAGGTTGAATGAGTAGCCCAAGGTCACACAGCTGGCTTCCAGTGAGGCAATTTTAATGCTCTTAAAAAGTAAGTAGGTACTTGTTAAATGACAAGACAGTGTTGGCTTTTTATTTTTTTGCTCCAATTTTTTTTTTTTTTTTTTTTTTTTGAGATGGAGTCTTGCTCTGTCACCAGGCTGGAGTGCAGTGGCGCGATCTTGGCTCACCACAACCTCCGCCTCCCGGCTTCAAGCGATTCCCCTGCCTCGGCCTCCCGAGTAGCTGGGACTACAGGCACACACCACCACACCCAGCTAATTTTTTTGTATTTTAGTAGAGATGGGGTTACACCATGTTGGCCAAGATGGTCTCAATCTCCTGACCTCATGATCCGCCTGCCTCGGCCTCCCAAAGTGCTGGGATTACAGGCATGAGCCACCGCGCCCAGCCTTTGCTCCAATTTTTTAAAATTCCCCAAGTGTTATAGGAAGAAATGTGACATTTTTATCAAAAGGCTACCAACTTTCATATACTTTTACCAAAGTCTCAAATGTGATAAATTGTAATGATTCACAATGCCTATGAGATGAGTTTTTCTAAAACAGGCTCGTTCCAATACCCCGCCCCCATTACTTTCTAGTTACAATGACAAACTGTGCCCCACATTTCATCTGAACAATGAGACTCATGGAGAAGTTCAGCTCATTACTAGGACCTTGCTCCTAACTTCATTGCATCCAGTTCCTTGTAAATAATGAGAAGTGAACTGCAGAGTGAGGGCCATTTCCTCCTCTTTGTGATGAGCTATGGTGACTGAAACTTTTGGATCCTTCAATAGGCAGACAGAAGGGTCTGCTGTTACCCCATCTTCCCAGAGAGGAAATTCTGTCTTTGTTCCTCTGGTAGAACATCTTCACAGGGCTCTAAATAGGCACACGGGCATGTGACTGCTAGCACACGCACACGTGCACACAGTAGGTTTGATTGTCAATAAGGTTCAGAACAATTATATGGCCACTAGAATTATAACTTCCAACTACTATGAAATGAGAAACCCCCAAATAAAAAATAACAGGAATAAGGCTACCTGACCACCTGTGAATATTAACTATATCACCCCCAAATTTCTAAAGTTACAAAGAGGGAACTTTTAGAAACTCGAGTTTTTAAAGGGGTTTTCCTACCCCCTTTACATGGAGTGGGAAAAATCTTTCAATTTTGATGGAAAGAGAAATCTTCATTTTGAAATTAAACTTTGAAGTTTGAAAATAAAAGCAGAACCAATTCGCAGTTCAGAAAGGGGATGGTTGGAGGTTAATCAGCCTTTTAAAGAGCTCTGTGGGACTGCTGACCCGGATACCCTCAGTACACTTGGAGAAGAAGGATCAAAACCATGCTGGCCCCATAACAGGCATGGACCTTGGCTGTCTCTGTGTGTCAATCTCACACTCTAGGCCAGCTTCAGCCACTCAGTGTTTCACTCTGTGTATGCCTGTCTGTGTCTGTGTCTGCTTTGTTCTTCCTCTTTCTTTCTTCTCCTTGTTGTTTTGTTTTTTCCTATTTTTCTCTACTTCATCTTTCACATTCTCTAACTGGCCATAGTGTCACCTGAAAATTTTATTTTTTTTAATCTGGCTCCTGCAGGATGAAAATATATTTACTTTTTAAAAACTTATTTAAAATATACATGTTTCCCAGTTTTAATTTTAACAGATATTGATTTGAACACATTATGGCTCTCTTCAAAAATTGTGCTTGTTTTGAATTTGTATGTGATCTTTGATCTATGAAGTTTTTGGCCCTGTGAGTGGCTTATTCACAAGAGAAAAGAAAAAAAAAATTCTCCATACTCCTGATTTAAAGAATTGCTCAAATTCAATATAAAGCTCAAAATATGGGAAATACTTTAGTTTTGTTTTGTCTCCACCTGGTGGTTGTAAGTCAGAACACAAGCCCTTAATGGAACTGGAAAAATAATCACTTCAGTGCCTCCCTTATGTATATGAGATCAAATTATTTAATTAGAAAATGTTTTCAAACTGGAAAAAAGGTAATTATCACAAAAACTTTAAAAACTGATCTACGCCTTTCTTTCTTTGTTTTGCTTCCTTGTAGGAGCCAAGAATAGAGAAACTTCTTAATTTTCAAATTTCTTTCTGGGTTTACTTTCTACCAGGGGCTGGTATTTTCCCTAACCTCCTATCTTCATCCACCACAGCAAAAAGCTGCCGCCCTCCAGTCCCCTGGCTCCCCCCACTCCAGATGCATTCACAGTTTTTAGTGTAGATTCCAAATTTGGAACTGAAAAACTCACAGCCTTGAAAGTCCTACTATTGTAGCAATCTTATTTTGTTAAAAACACAAAAAAATGAACAAATAAACAATACCCAGCAGAACTCATGAAAGCCCATCACACTTTGAGCTATATACTGCATAATGAGACTCCAATGTTAATTTCTCCCCTCATCTATTATTTTTTCTGATATGCAGTATTTTTTCACTCTGCAAATATGTTGAATGAATATATTAAATATAGATGTTTATGATGCTTCTATAGAACCTTCTCATAGAATCTTATAATGTGTCTTCACACTGCAATTATTAAACAATTAATTTCAGTTACAGTTATTGTTATTTTTGGTAGTTCGTGTTCCATGAAGTTGCAAATATTGAACCACTGCTTTTAGGGGAAATATACGGTTAGGATCTTGCGAACCTCTGGTCACATTTTCATCAACTGGTCAATACACAACCTTGTTTTAGGTGTGTTGCCATTAAAGAATTTCATTATATGTATATGTGTATATATACATATGTGTATATATATATACATATGTGTGTATATATATACACACACACATATACATATAATGAAATATATATATAAAATGAAATATATATATATATATATTTTAGATGGAGTTTGGCTCTGTTGCCCAGGCTGAAGTGCAGTGGCACAATGGCAGCTCATAGCAACCTTCGCCTCCCAGGTTCAAGCAATTTTCGTGTCTCAGCCTCCCAAGTAGCTGGCACCACAGGCATATGCCACCACGCCTGGCTAATTTTTATTTTTAGTAGAGATGGAGTTTCAGCATGTTGACCAGGCTAGTCTCAAACTCCTGACCTCAAGTGATCCACCGGCCTCAGCCTCCCAAAGTGCTGGGATTACAGGCATGAGCCACTGCGCCCAGCCTAGTATATATTGTTGATTCATTAACAATGAAATCATGGCCAGCTCATACCTGAATGAAGCTTATCTAACATGTTTTATCTGTAAGACACATTGCACCCTTCTGCTTAGGAACACTAGACAGCACTTCAGCACGATGTTTGGGGCCATTTTAAACTGTGAAATCACCAACAAAAAGCACAAAAATGAGAAAAATATGGGAATAATAGACCACAAAAAGAATACTTGTTTACAATATGGGAGCCAAAATAAGAAGTCAGGGAGTCACCTTGTTCAGCCTCAGGAACGTGTGCAATAGACAATACAAATTTCTTGCTGCTTTGCACATGTCTATAAATGACCACAGAAGTGCTGCAAATATTGATTTGGGGGTTACAAGTAAATTTTAGCAGGCAGGCTATTATAGACTGTCCTGTATCCTCCCAAAATTCATATGTTAAAGCCCTAACCCCCAATGTGACTGTATTTTGAGATAGACCTTTAAGAAGGCAATTAAAGTTAAATGCAGTCTTATATAAGAGTGGGCCCTAATTTGATAGAACTGGTGCCCTTATAAGAAGAGAAAGAGATACCAGAGAAGCCTCCTTCCCTCCTCTTTCCTCTCTTCTCCTGTCTCTGTATCTCTCCTTCCCTCTTCACAACATGACCAATAGTGAGAAGGCAGCCAACTGCAAGCTGGGAAAAAAGGTCTCACTGGAAACCAAATTTTCTAGCACCCCAATCTTGGACTTATAGTCCCCAGTGAGAAAATATATTTCTGTTGCTCAAGCACCCAGTCTGTGGTATTTTGTTATGGCAGCCCTAGTAGACTGACCCAAAGGCAAATTCACAAATTCGGAATCCACAAATAATGAAGATTGACTCTATTTCCTTAATGTCAGTCTCCCTGCTGAATTGTAAGGTATCTGAGGGCAGGAGCTGGGGAACTGCTTGTTCACCACTATTACCTCAGAGTGTACTGCCTTACCTATGGTCAATACTCAATAAAGAAAACATGAATGAACAAATAAATGCAAAGCACTTTATGTAGTTTTGTTTCTTATATCTTTTCTTGCCCTCTTATTGTCTTGCTCTTTTAAATATACGGTGTTTCACAATTCTACCGTTTTCCTATTTTAATACTGCAGAGAAATTGGGATGAGTCATACAATCTGATGGTATCTTGTGTTTGCTGTTGGCCAGGCAGTAGCTGTGACAGAGATGTCATTGCCTGTGATTCATGAACCTGGTCATAGTTGTTTATATTCTCTTCACTTTACTATTTTTAATTTATTTTTCTTTTTTAGGTTTTAGAGACAGGGGTCTTGCTATGTTGCTCAGGCTGGTCTCAAACTCCTGGCCTCCTGCCTCAGCCTCCCAGAGGCTGGGATTATGGGTGTGAGCCACTGCACCTGGCTTATATACCTTCACTTCTGTTGAGTCGTGTGCATTGTTCCTATTGGATATGTTCAGCTTAAGTGCTCTTTAAAATGTCTTCAAAAATTTTACAGTATAATTCAATGCTGAAACAAAAAGGCATACAAAGAAAGGCCTAGCAAAGGTGGAAAGTAAGTTTGATTATTTGTAAAGGAAATATTCATTGTTAGAGGAATTACTATAATCCTGTGTTTTTCTATAAAGCAACAAGCAAGTAGTTTATGAGATCTAAGACAGGAAAAGACTCACAAGTAGATGAAGAGGAGCTACATTTGGTTAGGGAGATGTATGTAAAAGATGACCTGTCACCTTGCTACTCAATGACTGGTTTGCAACCAGCAGCATCGGTGCCACCTGGAAATGTATCAGACATGCAGAATTTCAGGCCTACCCCCAGACCTACTCAGTCAGAACCTAACATTTTTTAACAAGATGCTCAGGTGATTTATGTGCCCTGTCAAATTTGAGAAACATTGGCATAGCACATGCTATGAAATGCATCCTGAATATATTTGGAGATCTTGCCAAATCCTTCAGAATAGATGAAAGAATTGTCAAAGCAATGAGAGGTTAGTATAATCAATTACTGCATAAGTATTACAGCTAAGACACCACATCATAGTTTAATTGGCAACATTCCTTTTTGTTCTTAGTGATATATAAAATAATGGTCCTTCCTACAATCAGTGGCATCTTAGAATTGATGAAATACCATGGTATGGGTTCAAGACCTTTCTTCTGTTCTAAATTGTCATGGTCACAGGTGTGGAGATCCAAGAGGAGCTCGTTTTGTCTCAATGTGTAGTCACTTAAGCAGCAACCTCTCAATATTTTAGTTTCTGCTCTTAGAAGAGCCTAGATTACAACATCAGTGGAGCAGAGAGAGAGACAAAGGGCCCTTCTTCAGAGAGGAAAAATAATAATAAACCACTTCTTCATGGGTGATCAAAGTGCATGAAATAGATACTACTTTGACTGAAGATTGATGGGGGATTCAAAAGAAAGGGAAGTAGAAGATGAAAATATGCAAGAATACTCCTCATTGTGAGAGGCGAGTCTTCTTTAAATTTTTTAATTAAAAGAACTTGGTGATATTCTTCATCATTCTGGTCTCCAATGGGGGCCAGTAAATGAAAATAGACGTGGGATAAAATGCACAATTGGCTTAATATTAACAACATTTCTTTTTTCTTAAGCATTTCTGAGTTTTTATAACTACAAGCAAATGCAAAATGTTTGCAAGCCTACCCACTTCAAATCCTCAAATACATTACTTCATATTATAAAGGTTGATTTAAACCCATGGGCTCTGAAACTGACTGCCAAAGTTCATAACCCAGCACCCGCATTTAGTTCCAATGTTACTTTGAGAAAGATACTTAACCTCTCTGTATTAGCCCATTCTCACGCTGCTATGAAGAAATACCCGAGACTGGGTAATTTAGAAAGAAAAGAGGTTTCATTGATTCACAGTTCCACATGGCTGGGGAAGCCTCAGGAAACTTACAATTATGGCGGAAGACACCTCTTCACATGGTGGCAGGAGACAGAATGAGTGCCAGCAGGGGGAAATGCCGGACACTTATAAAACCATCAGATCTCGTGAGAACTCACTCACTATCACCACGAGAACAGCATGGGGAAAACTGCCCTCATGATTCAACTACCTCCCACTGGATCCCTCCCATGACATGTCAGGATTATGGGGATTAAAATTCAAGGTGAGATTAGGGTGGGAACAAAGCCAAACCATATCTTTCAGCCCCTGGCGCCTCCCAAATCTCATCTTTCTCACATTTCAAAACACAATCATGCCTTTCCAACAGTCCCCCAAAGTCTTAACTCATTCTGGCATTAACCCAAAAGTTCAAGTCCAAAGTCTCATCTGAGACAAGGCAAGTCCCTTCTGCTTATAAGCCTGTGAAATCAGAAGCAAGTTAGTTACTTCCTAGATTTGGTGGGGGTATAGGCATTGGGTTAATATGTACATTCGAAATGGGAGAAATTGGCCAGGCACAGCAGCTCATGCCTGTAATCCCAGCACTTTGGGAGGCCGAGGTGGGCGGATCACCTGAGGTCAGGAGTTCAAGACCAGCGTGGCCAACATGGTGAAACCCTGTCTCTTCTAAAAATACAAAAATTAGCTGGGCATGGTGGCAGCTGCCTGTAATCCCAGCTACTTGGGAGGCTGGGGCATGAGAATCACTTGAACCCAGAGGCAGAGGTTGCATGAGCCGAGATTGTGCCACTACACTCCAGCTTGGGTGACAAACTAAGACTCTGTCTCGAAAAAAAAAAAAATTGGTAGAAATTAGACAAAACAAGGGGAGCTACAGGCCCTATGCAAGTCCAAAATCCAAGAGCACATTCATTAAACCTTAAGGGTCCAGAAGGATCTCCTTTGACTCCATGTCTCACATCCAGGGCATGCTGATGCAAGAGGTGGGCTCCCACAGCCTTGGGCAGCTCCACTTCTGTGGCTTTGCAGTGTACAGCCCCCATCCCAGCCACTTTCATGGGCCAGCATTGAGTGTCTGCAGCTCTTCCAGGTGCACAATGCAAGCTGTTGGTGGACTTACCATTCTGGGGTCTGGAGGACAGTGGTCTTCTTCTCACAGCTCCACTAGGCAGTGCTCCAGTTGGAGGACTCTGTGTAGGGGCTCCAACCCCACATTTCTCTTCCTCACTGCCCTAGCAGAGGTTCTCCAAGAGGTTCTCCATGAGGGCTTCCCCCTCGCCAGCAAACTTCTGCTTGGACATCCAGGTGTTTCCATACATCCTCTGAAATCTAGGTGGAGGTTCCCAAATCTCAATTCTTGACATCTCTGCACCCACAGGCTCAATATCATGTGGAAGCTGCCCAGGCTTGGGGCTTGCACCCTGTGAAGCAGTGGTCCAAGCTGTGCCTTGGCCTCTTTTAGCCATGGCTGGGATGCAGGACATCAAGTCCCAAGGCTGCACAGAGCAGCAGTGGGGCCATGGGCCTGACCCACAAAACCATCTTTCCCTCCTGGGACTCTGGGCCTGTGATGGGAGGGGCTGTTGTGAAGTTCTCTGACATGCCCTGAGACATTTTCCCCATTGTCTTGGTGATTAACATTCAGCTCCTCATTACTTATGCAAATTTCTGCAGCTGGCTTGAATTTCTCCCCAGAAAAGGGGTTTTCCTTTTCTACTGCTTCATTGGGTTGCAAAATTTCCAAACTATTGTCCTCTGCTTCCTTTTGAACGCTTTGCCACTTAGAAATTTCTTTCACCAGATACCCTAAATCATCTCCCTCAAGTTCAAAGTTCCACAGATCTCTAAGGCAGGGGCAAAATGCCACCAGTCTCTTTGCTAAAGCATAGCAAGAGTAACCTTTACTCCAGTTCCCAACAAGTTCCTCATCTCCATCTGAGAACACCTCAGCCTGGACTTCATTGTCCATATCACTATCAGCATTTTAGCCAAAGCCATTCAACAAGTCTCTAGGTAGTTCCAAACTTTCCATCTTCCTGTCTTCTTCTAAGCCCTTTGAACTGTTCCAACCTCTGTCTGTTGCAAAGTTCTAAAGTCGCTTCCACATTTTCAGGTATCTTTATAGCAGCACCTCACTCTCTTCAGTACTGTTCTCATGTATTAGTCCATTCTCATGCAGCTATGAAGAAATACCTAAGACTGGATAATTTACAAAGAAAAGAGGTTTAATTGACTCACAGATCTGCATGGCTGTGGAGGCCTCAGGAAACTTACAATCATGGCAGAAGGCATCTCTTCACAGGGTGGCAGGAGAGAGAATGAATGCAAGCAGGGGAAATGCCAGACACTTATAAAACCATCAGATCTCGTGAGACTCACTCACTGTCATGAGAACAGCATGGGAGAAACACCCCCATGATTCAATTACCTCCCACCAGGTCCCTCCCACAAAACATGGGGACGATGGGGATTACAATTGTGGGTAACACAAGTGATCAGAAGGTCACAAAGCCTAACACAATGTACTGGGAGAGACTTTCTTCTAAGACTGTGTAGATGCTTAGAATAAATAAATGCCATGAAGTGGCACATAATTATTTTTCCATTTACTTTTCCTTCAAGTTAATGTTGTCCTCAAATCACAAGAGTATTCCTTATAGCAAAAATTATTTTTTAAAAAAATCAAAAGTATAAGCAACCCTATTATCCATCAATGGATAAACAAAATGTGGTATGTACATGCAATGGAATATGATGCCTTAATATTTTACATATACATAATATTATTTAGCCATAAAAAGGAAGGACATTCTGACACGTGCTCATAATTATGAATATGCTTAACCCTACTGAGCTGTACACTTAAAAATGATTATAATGGTAAATTTTGTGGGTTTTTTTTTTTTTTTTTGAGACAGAGTCTCACTTTGTCGCCCAGGCTGAAGTGCAGTGGTGTGATCTCAGCTCACTGCAACCTCTACCTCCTGGGTTCAAGTGATTTTCCTGCCTCAGCCTCCTAAGTAGCTGGGATTACAGGTGTCCATCACCATGCCTGGCTAATTTTTTGTATTTTTAGTATAGACGGGGTTTCACTATGTTGGCCAGGCTGGTCTTGCACTCCTGACCTTGTGATCCACCTGCCTCAGCCTCCCAAAGTGCTGGGATTACAGGCTTGAGCCACCATGCCCGGTCTTGTGTTTTTTTGTTTTTTTTTTTAACCACAATTTTTTAAAAATTAGGCTTCCCCTTAAAAATAGTTAAAATGGGATAAAATAGAGTGAAATCCTCTGACACTCATCCCCACCACAAAGACAGCCAAAATAATCAACAAACAACTACATTTTAACAAAAATAACTAAAGAATAGCACCAGAGAACATCGAAGGAGTGACAAAAAACCAAGTGAGCACTGAAACTGAGGGTAGCCACATAGAGAATAGAAGGAAACAAAGGGACTCCACCACCACATACGTCAGGCTGCATCAGCAGAGAACCAGGAGAAACCTCTCCCCATGGCAAAAAGGTAAGCAGGAGGATCCCAGCAGCCCCCATCAACACCTTGGACATGGAAAGTCTTCACCATTGGGGTCCCCTGCAGTTCTCACAAGCACTAAGACCAGCTGAGGGAGCCACCTGGAGTCCCCACAGCTGTGCTTCCCACCCAGAGAAGGAGCTGACATTGGGCCCTACCCCTAGTGGCCCTCAGGGCTACCGCACTATGTTATCTTGGAGCAAATGAACAAATGTTGGAGTGTGACTTGCTCTGGGTACAAGTAGCTACGGCATGCCTTCATCCCTGAGACTAAGGCACCAAACCACCTTCACCTGGTGGCCTCACATCCCCAAGCTGAGCTGCAAGCAGCTATTACACCCTTCCCTCTGGGGCCAAAGCTGTACAATCCCTCCTGGGAAAACAGTACTTTGTCAGAAACCTCTATCTACCTCTCATAGTTGTAGCGGAGCCTGCCCCCTCAGTCTGGAGCTGAAGTAGCACACTCCCTCCTGGAGGAAGGGTGTCTTGGTGGAGCTACTCCATCCACCCTTCACAGTCACTGCTGCTGCTGCTGCTGTGCCCTGCACCTAGGGACCACAGCTAAAACAGCATATGCCCTCCTGGGGAAAAGGTGCGGAGGCAGAGCTGTTTCAGCCACCTCCCCTAGTCACTGTTGTGCCCGGCCCCTCAGGGCCAGACCTAAAGCTGTGTCCCCGCTCCTGGTGAAACGGTGTCTTGGTGGAGTTGCTCCACCTGCCCTTCCCAGTTGATGCTGCACCCTATCCCTAGCGGCATGAGCTGAAGCCATGCACCTCCACCTGAGAAAATGGTAGATTAGCAGAGCTCCTCCAAAAACTCCTCCTAGTTGCTGCCGTGCCTTGCCCCACAGGACTCAAACTGAAGCCGCGCACTGCCTGCTAAGAAACAGTGCTTTGGCAGAGCCACTTCACATAACCCTCCTAGTCACTGCTGCATCCTTCCCCCTTGTGCTAAAGCTGAAGCAACACCAGGCAACCTGGGAAAATGATGCCTTAGCTTCCCAGAACAGCCACACCTCCCTGGTGCCTAAGTTGAACCAGTACACTGCCTCTCAAAAAATGGTGCCACGGCCACCCAGAACAGTCATGTATCCTGGTACCTAAGCTGGGACAGTGCCCTGCATTCCAGGGAAATGGTGGCTGGGCTACCCAGAACAGTCACACTCCGAGGCCTGAGCTGCAGTGGCATATCACTCCCAGAGAATTAGTGCCTTTCCTGAACTGAGCAGATGCACATCCTGGAGCTGACCTGACATAGTAACCCACGTTCCAAGGAAATGAAGCAGTGGCTGAGCTGAGACACAGTGCCATACAGGAAAACCAAATCTAGTAATCTGCTTTTCTGAAGCTGGACTAGCCTAGAGAATGAGTTGCTGAGACACTTCTTTCCCTAGGGAGTGGAGTCATTGTTGTGATGGTCCCTGGCCCCCAGATCCCAAACAACAGCTGTGCTCCACCATTCTGGGGGTACTTGTTGCCACTGCACTTGGCCTCATAGAGTCTGGGGTACTGCCAAGCCTTACCACCCCAGGGTCTAGCATCACACTACATGGTGCCTCAACCCCTGGGACCCAAGTTGCTACTGAACCCTATTGGCTCAGGCTCCCAAATTGTAGCTTACCCTATTACCCAGGCCCAAACTTTCAGAGCACCTCTCCCCCAGAATTAGGCCAGTGCTGTGTCCTTCCCTCCAGTGATAGAATCATAGCTATAACCTGGCCCCCTGAACCTGAGCTGCTAGGGGGTATCCCAGAGTCATAGATCCTGGCTGTGTGGGTAACCTACATCCAACACAGCCACAGAGAGAAAACTTGTACCCTAAGACCCAGGTACCAGAATAGTTTTGTGAGACTCTGAGCCTAGGACCCTGGCCCCACAGCTGTTCCAAACACCTGCACCTGGAACCCAATACCACTGTGGCTGTTTGTAGGCCATGTCAGACCTGACACCAAAAGGGATCATCTTGGCTATGTCTTTCCATCGTATCCCCATGAAAAGAGAAAGATTCCCCAAACTCCTTGCTACTAAGGACATCAACAACCTACACCACTATGGTCTCTACAACAAACTTCTACAGCCTAGACAAATGAGGTGCCTACAGTTATTGCTGATGTTGCACACAGCTGAAGAAGCTGAACAGAGTCTATACCACTGCACCTACCTGGAAACAAAGTCACCACACCCTTCCCAATCAGCACACTAAGACTCAACTGCAGGTGAGAGTCTTTCTCTATAAAAGCCATTCTAAAAAGTTTGGAAGAAGTGATTGTTCTACCAGATGCATAGGCACTAATGCAAAAAGGCAAGAAACATGAAAAAGGAAATATGACACACCAAAGGAACATAATAACTCTCTAGTAACAGACCCCAAGGAAAAGGAAATCAATGAATTTCCAGAAAATGAATTCGAAATAAGGACTTTTTTGTTTGTTTTGAGATGAGGTCTCACTCTGTTGGTCAGGGTCAGGCTGGAGTGCAAAAATAATGATCCTAAGGAAACTTAACAGACACAAGAAAATACAGATACAAAATTCAATGAAATCAAGACAACAATTCACAATATGAATGAGAAATTCAACAAAGATAAATCATAAAAAAGAACCAAAGAAATTGTGTGGCTGAAAAATAAAATAGAAAACAAAACAGAGAGTTTCAATAATAGACTTGATTAAGCAGAAAAAATAATCTCTGAACTTGACAAGTCATTTGAAATTATCCAGTCAGAAAAAAACAAAACAAAACAAAAAACTCCAAAAAAAAACAAATGAAAAACAGTGAAGAAAGTCTACAGGACTTAGGGGACAACATTAAGTGAACAAATATTCACATTATAGGAATGCCAGAAGGAGAAGAAATACAAAAGGTGTAGAAAACATATTTAATGAAATATTAGCTGAAAATTTCCCAAGTCTTAGGAGAGGTATGGACACATAGATTCAGGAAGCTGAAAAGTTTCCAAAGAGATTCAATGTGAAAATGTCCTCCCCAAGGCACATTATAGTCAAAGACAAAGAGACAAAGAGAATTGTTTGTTTCTAAATATTTTTTCAATTATGCTTTAAGTTCTGGGATACCTGTGCAGAACGTGCAGATTTGTTACATAGGTATACACGTGTCATGGTGGTTTGCTGCACCCATCAACACGTCATCTACATTAGGTATTTCTCCTAATGTTATCCCTCCCCTAGCCCCCCACCCCCTGACAGGCCCCGGTGTGCGATGTTCCCCTCCCTGTGTACATGTGTTCTCATTGTTCAACTCCCACTTATGAGTGAGAACATGTGGTGTTTGGTTTTCTGTTCTTGTGTTAGTTTGCTGAGAATTACGGTTTCCAGCTTCATCCATGTACCCTACAAAGGACATGAACTCATCCTTTTTTATGGCTGCACAGTATTCCATGTTGTATATGTGCCACATTTTCTTTATCCAATCTATCATTGATGGGCATTTGGGTTGGTTCCAAGTCTTTGCTATTGTGAACGGTGCTGCAATAAACATACGTGTGCATGTGTCTTTATAGTAGAATGATTTATAATCCTTTGGGTATATACCCAGCAATGGGATTGCTAGGTCAAATGGTATTTCTGGTTCTAGATCCTTGAGGAATCGCCACACTGTCTTCCACAATGGTTGAACTAACTTACACTCCCACCAAGAGTGTAAAAGTGTTCCTATTTCTCCACATTCTCTCTAGCATCTGTTGTTTCCTTTTTAATGATCGTCATTCTAACTCGCATGAGATGGTACCTCATTGTGGTTTTGATTTGCATTTCTCTAATGACCAGTGATGATGAGCTTTTTTTCATATGTTTGTTGCCACATAAATGTCTTCTTTGGAAAAGTGTCTGTTCATATCGTTTGCCCACTTTTTGATGGGGTTGTTTTCTTCTTGTAAGTTTGTTTAAGTTATTTGTAGGTTCTGGATATTAGCCCTTTGTCAGATGGATAGATTGCAAAAATTTTCTCCCATTCTGTAGGTTGCCTGTTCACTCTGATAATAGTTTCTTTTACTGTGCAGAAGCTCGTTAGTTTAATTAGATCCCATTGAGATAAAGAGAATTCTAAGAACAGCAAGAGAAAAGTGAAAAGTCCCATATAAGGGACTCCCCATTGGACTTGCAGCAGATTTCTCAGCAGAAACCTTACAGGCCAATAGAGAATGGGATGATATATTCAAAATGCTGAAAGAAAAAAAAATTGTCAGTCAAGAAAGCTATACCCAGCAAAGCTATCTTTCAGAAAGGAGAAATAAAGTCCTCGCTAGACAAGGGAAAACTGAGGAAAATGTATCACCTCTAGACTAGCCTTCCAAGAAATGCTCAAGGGATTCCTATATTTGTAAGCAAAAAGACAATAATCACCATCATGAAAACATTCAAAAGTATAAAACTCCCTGGTAGAGCAGATACACAAAAGAGAAAGAGAAAAGAATCAAACCTTATCACTACAGAAAACCACTAAACCACAATCATAAATAATAGGAGAGGAAGAAAGGAATAAAGAATATACAAAACAACCAGAAAACAATTTTTTTAATGAAATGAGTAAATCTTCATCTATCAATAATAACCTTGAATGTAAACCAATTAAATTCTCCACTTAAAAGATATGGACTGACTGAATGGATTAAAAAACATGACCCAACAATATATTGCCTACCAGAAACTACTTCACCTGTAAAAATACACATAGATTGAAAGTGAAGGGATGGAAAAAGATATTCCACACAAATAGAAATCAAAAACTAGCAGAAGTAGCTATACCTATATCAGATAAAATAGACTAAGTCAAAAATTGTTTCAAGAGACAAAGAAAGTCATCATATAATGATAAAAGGATCAAATCAGCAAGAGGATATAACTGTAAATCTATATGCACTCAACATTTGAGCACCCAGATACAAAAACCAAATATTGTTAGATCTACCAGGGGAGATAGACTCTACTACAGTATTAGTTGAGGACATCAATACCCCATTCTCAGCATTGGACAGATCATCTAGACAGAAAGTCAACAAAGAAACTTTGGATTTAAACTTCACTTTAGACCAAATGAACCTAATAGACACTTATGGAACATTTCATTCAACAGCTGCAGAATATACTTTTTAAAAAAATCAGCACATGATGCATTCTCAAAGACAGACTACATGTTAGGCTACAAAACAAGTCTCAACAAATTTAAAACAACTGAAAGCATACCAAGTATCTTTTCTGACCACAATGGAATAAAACTAGAAATCAATCACAAGTGGAACTTTCAAAACTTTATGAATACATGGAAATTAAACATGCTCCTCAACAACCAATGAGTCAACAAAGAAACTAAGAAGGGAATTTAAAAATGTCTTGAAACAAATGAAAATAGAAACACAATATACCAAAGCCTATAGGATATAGCAAAGGCAGTATTAAGAGGAAAGTTTACAGCAGTAAATGCCTAAGTCAAAAAAGTAGAAAGATTTCAAATAAACCACCTAATTATATATCTCAAAGAACTAGAAAAGCAAGAATAAACCAAACCCCAAATTAGTAGAAAGAAAGAATTAAAAAAGAGCAGAAACAAATGAAATTGAGGCTTAAAAAATACAAAAGATCAACAAAACAAAAAGTTCATTTTTTGAAAAGACAACACTGGTAAACCATTAGCTAGATTAACTAAGAAAAAAGAGAAAGAACACAAATAAAATCAGAACTGAAAAAGAGGCATTACAACTGGTATCATGAAATACAAAAAATTATTAGAGACTATTATGAACACTTATATACCAACAAACTGGAAAAATCTAATGGAAATGGATAAATTCTTGAACATGTACAAGATTGGAACAGAAAACCTGAACAGACCAGTTACAAGTAATCAGTATTACTAGATCAGTAATAACAGGTCTCCTATCAAAGACAATTCCAGGACTGGATAGCCTTACTGCTGAATTCTGCCAAACATATAAAGAGAACTAAACCAATTTTTCTCAAACTATTCCAGAAAATTGAAGAGGAAGGAATTCTTCCTAACACATTCTATAAGCCCACTATTTCTATTTCTCTGATACCCAAGCAGACAAGGACACAACAAAAAAAGAAAACTACAGGCCAATATCCCTGATGAAAATAGATGCAAAAATTCTCAACAAGATTCTAGCAAATGATATACAACACATCATGTCTCCATGATCACAAGGGATTCATCCCAAGGATGCAAGAATTGTTCAACATATGCAGATCAATAAATATGATACATGACATCAACAAAATAAAAAACAAAAATGATATGATCATTTCAACAGATGCAGAAAAAAATTGATAAAATTTAACATCCCTTCATGATAAAAATTCTTCAACAAATTAGGCATAAAAGGAACATACCTAAACATAAGAAAGGTCATATATGGGGAAAACCTGAACACCTTTCCCCTAGGAACGGGAACAAACAGAGACACCTGTTTTCAACGCTATTATTCAAGACAGTACTGGGAGGCCTAGCCAGAACAATCAGGCAAGAGAAAGATATAGAAGGCATTCATTCATTCACATTGGAAAAGAGGAAGTCAAATTGTCCACCATTGCTAATGACATGATCTTATTCATAGAAAAACCTAAAGACTCCACACATACACACACACAAACACCTTTAGAACTGATAAATTCAGTTGCAGGATACAAAAATCAACATGCAAAAATCAGGATCATTTCTATACACAAATAATGAACTAGCAGAAAAAGAAATCAAGAAAGCAATCCCATTTACAATAGCTGTAAAAATTAAAATGCCTAGGAATAAATTTGAGCAAGGAGGTAAATGACTTCTACAACAAAAACTACAGAATACTGATGAAATAAATTTAAGGGGACACAAAAAATGGACAGATATTTCATGTTCATTAATTGGAAGAATTAATATGACCATACTACCGAAAGCAATCTACAGATTCAGTGCAATCCTTAAGAAAATACCAGTAACATTATTCACCAAAATAGAAAAAAAAATCCTAAAATTCATATGGAGTTATGAAGACCTCAAATAGCCAAAGCAATACTGAGCAAAAATAACAAAGCAGAGGCATCAAACTACCTGTCTTCAATATATACTACAAAGCTATACTAACCAAAACAACGTACTACTGGCATAAAAACATACACATATAGATCAAAGGAACTCAGGAATAAGTTCATGTATTGACAGCCAATTCATTTGCAACAAAGGCACCAAGAACATTATTGGAGAAAGGACAGTCTCTTCAATAAATCATGCCGGGGAAACTAGATATTGATAGGCAGAAAAATGAAACTAGACTCCCATGTTTCTCATCATATACAAAAATAAACACAAAATGGATTATAGACTTAAATGTAAGGCCCAAAACTATGAAAATATTTTAAGAAAACAGGGGAAATATTTCAAGACATTGGTCTAGGCAAAAATCATATGGAGAAGACCTCACAAACGTAGGCAACAAAAGCAAAAATAGACAGATGCGGTATCAAACTAAAAACCTCCACACAGCAAAGAAAACAGTCAGCAAAGTGAAGAGGCAACCTGTAGAATGGGAGAAAATATTTGCAAATTATTTATCTAACAAGGGATTAATATCCAGAAAATATAAGGAACTTAATAGCAAAGGAGAAGTAATCCTAATAAAAAAAATGAACAAAAGAGCTGAATAAACATTTCTCAAAAGAAGACATACAAATGGCCATAGCTGTATGAAAAAATGCTCAATGTTACTAATTATCACAGAAATGCAAATCAAAACCACAATGAGATACTATCTCACCCCAGTTAGGGTGGCTAAAAAATAACAAATGCTGGTGAGGATGAGGAGAAATGAGAACTCTTAAATACACTGTCGGTGGGAATGTAAATCAGTACAGCCATTATGGAAAAGAGTACAGCGGTTTCTGAAAAAACTAAAAATAGAACTATTATATGATTCAGCAATCCCACTACTGCGTATTTATCCAAAGAAAGGGAAATTAGTATGTCAAAGAGGTATCTGCATTCCCATGTTAATTGCAGCAGTATTCACAATAGCCAAGATTTGGAATCCACATAAGTGTCCATCAACAGATGAATGGGTAAAGAAAATGTAGTATGTATACACAATGGAATACTACTTAGTGATTTTTTAGAAAGGAATAATATTCCATTATTCATGGCAACATGGATAACCCTGGAGGGCTTTATGTTAAGCAAAATAAGTCAGGCACAGAAAGGTAAATACTGCATGTTCTCACCCTTATGTGGAAGCCAAAAGAGTTGATCTCATACAAGTAGAGGTAGAAGAATGGTTACTAGAGGCTGAGAAAGAGCAGGGAAGGAGGATAGCTGCTTTTTGTGATGGAAATGAAAGCGCATATAGATAGGAGGAATAAGATCTAGTGTTTTTATTGCACTATAGGGTGACTACAATAAAACAACAACATATATTTTCAAATAGCTAGAAGAACAGATTTTAAATCTTCTCAACACAAATAAATGATAAATGTTTGAGGTGATGGATATGATAAATATCCTGGGTCATTCATTACACATTGTATACATGTACAGAAATATCACACTGTACTCCATAAATATGTATAATTATTACATGTCAATTAAAAATAGTTAACGATGACTGACAAAAGAAAAAATGGTTAAAATGCTAAATTTTTATTATATATTTACCATAATTTTAAAAATGCAAAAAAATTAATTCAAAAAGCCAAAGTGCCACATAAGAACCCTACTTTTTCTTTATGCTTGGGTCTAAAAACAGTCCTATACCGGCCAGGTATCGTGGCTCACACCTGTAATCTCAGCACTTTGGAAGGCAGAAGCAGACAGATCACTTGAGGTCAGGAGTTCAAGACCAGCCGGACCAACATGGCGAAACCCCATCTCTACTAAAAATACAAAAATTAGTCGGGCATGGTGGCTTGTGCCTATAATCTTAGCTACTTGGGAGGCTGAGGCAGGAGAATCACTTGCATCTGGGAGGTGGAGGTTACAGAGAGCTGAGATCGTGCCACTGCACTCCAACCTGGGCAACAGAGTGAGACTCTGTCTCAAAATAAATAAATAAATAAAAAATAAAAACAGTCCTATTAGACAGTAGATATTAATTATTTTTTATTTTTTTATTTCTTCTTCTTCATTTTTTTGTTTTGTTGTTGAGACAGGGTCTCATTCTGTCACCCAGGCTGAGGTATGCAGTGCTGCAATCATGGCTCACTGTAGCCTTGCCCTCCCAGGCCCAAGTGATTCTCCCACTTCAGCCTCTCAAGTAGCTGGGACTAGAGATACAAGCCACCACGCCTGGCTAATTTTTTCTATTTTTCGTAGAGGTGGGGTTTTGCCACATTGCCCAGGCTGGTCTCAAACTCCTGGGCTCAAGTGATCCACCTGCCTCAGCCTACCAAAGTGCTAGGATTACAGACTCAAGCCACTGCACCAGGCCAGAAATAATAATGTTTTTATTTTTGTTGAGAGAAAAAAGCCCAGAAAGAGTGGTTGACTTGCCTGAGGCCACACAAAAATAAAACCTAGGTAGTCTGCCTCAACATCTGCTTTCATAAATGCCAAACTAAATAACATTCTTTCAACAAGGAGAGATGAATTCAATAAGAAAATGCTCCTTGTCAATTCAGGACACCACTGCTGTCCTACAGATAGGAAGACACTCTGCCTCTCTCTGACCCTGTGAATATAGCTAAAGTCTCGAAATATATGCAAGAATATCCCATAAGAGATAATGAGCAGCGGCTGTGTATTCAATCTGAGAAAGGGACAAACAGGGATAAGCTTACATTTCATCTGAGAAATTTGGGGTGAATGCAAAAGCTCAGAATGAAGTTTTTCTGGAATGTTGTTGGTATCATCCTACACAAAGTCAAAAGGATGAATAGAAAGAAATAATCAAGATCTCCTTTAACTCTATGATTCTTTTGTTAACTAAGATTAGTTGCATTCTCAGGAACTCAAACTGAGATTGGCAGGAGCCCCTGGGGTTACCAATTCACCTGATAACAGGAAAGAAGAGATGAAATTGTGGTTGTGGAAAGCTACCACAGTGTGCACGTGGAATACACAGGAGTGGAGCCAGGACCGAGACAAGACTGAAGTCGAGGCAAGTATCATTACCTCATTTTGATTTTAGGTTTTAGATATTTTTATGGTTTCCAAATTTCCTATAATGAAAAAATATCACCACTTTATTCAGGAAAAATGTACAACTTCTCTTTTCAAATCTGTAGCAATTATCTCTTAACCAATTTTAGTGCAAAGATGAACAGTCTCTCTTAAAGGTAATGAAAACTCACAGACTGTTGTATATTTTTTCCATATTAAAGAAAAATAAAACTAAATCCCCAATTTGCACCATGTATTAAAATAAATTTCAGATACATTAAAGAATAAATGTTTAGGCTGGGCACAGTGGCTCATACCTATAATCCCGGCACTTTGGGAGTCTGAGCTGGGCAGATCACTTGAGGTCAGGAGTTTGAGACCAGCCGGGCCAACATGGTGAAGCCCTGTCTCTACAAAAAATACAAAAATTAGCCTGGCGTAGTGGCACGTGCCTGTAAGTCCAGCTACTTGCGAAGCTGAGGCACGAGAATTGCTTGAGCCCAGGAGGTGGAGGTTGCAGTGAGCCGAGATGAGCCACTGCACTCCAGTCTGGGCAACAGAGCGAGACTCTTTCTCAAAAAACGGAGAAGAATACTGAGATAAAGATAGAATATTTGTATATTTCTAGATGAGAAAGGCCTTTCTTAACATGACACCAATGCCAAAAATCATACGGAGTTGGCAATGTACTGGCAGTTCTACATCCATCAAATAAAACCACCGAAATAAACAAAGGTTCTGGAAAAATATTAATAAAAATGTGTAAACGTTACAGATAATAGAACAATGACCTTAAAACCCAATAAAAAATCAAATATCTTATTTTTTAAAGGCAAAGAACATGAACAAAAAAACTACAGAATACAAAGGACCAAGAAAGCTATGAAAATTTGTTTCAATATCATTAATAGTTTTAAAAAATTGAAAACAAAAATGTGTTATTTTTCACATCTTATGTTGGCAAAGATTAAAACCCTTCATTTTCCCCACTCTACTAACCACTCCCACCAAAGCGCCCATGGAAGTGCTGACTCTGCTACTCCTGCATTTGTGAAAGTATGGGAACCACTGCCCGTAGCCATAGTGCTGGCTGGGCATGCAGTTGTCCCCTAATTTTTATGGCAAAGGTGAGGAGATGGTACCCTTAGTGAGTGGTTTAATAAAGCAGCATCCTGCAGAAACAACTGGGGATCTCATAAGATGCTGGTAGGAGTGTTCATTAGTACAAGCACTTTAGAAAACTGACAGATGCAGAGGCTCACGCCTGTAATCCCAAGCACTTTGGGAGGCTGAGGCGGGCAGATCACCTTAGCTCAGGAGTTTGAGACCAGCTTGGGCAACATGGTGAAACCACACCTCTACAAAACAATACAAAAATTAGCCGGGCATGGTGGCTCACGCCTGTAATCCCAGCACTTTGGGAGGCCGAGGTGGGTGGATCACAAGGTCAGGAGTTTGAGACCAGCCTGGCCAACATGGTGAAACCCCGTCTCTACATAAAAATACAAAAATTAGCCGGGCGCGGTGGTGGGCGCCTGTAATCCCAGCTACTTGGGAGGCTGAGGCAGGAGAATGGCGTGAACCCAGGAGGTGGAGCTTGCAGTGAGCAGAGATCGCGCCACTGCACTCCAGCCTGGGAGACAGCAAGACTCCGTCTCAAAAAAAAAAAAAAAAAAAAAAATTAGCTGGGTGTGGTGGCACGTGCCTGTAGTTATAGCTACTTGGGAGGCTGAGGTGGGAGGTCGGCTCAAGCTCCAGAGGCAGAGATTGAAGTGAGCCATGATCGAGCCACTGCTCTACAGCCTGGGTGACAGAGCCAGATCCCTGTCTCGAAATAAACAAACAAACAAACAAAAACCTGTTTGACAATGTCCACCAAAGCTAAACTTATTCATACCCTATGACTCAGCATTTCCAGTCCTGGTTATAGCCACAACAGAAATGAGTACTTAATATGTACCCAAAAAGTAATGTACAAGAATATTTACAACTTCAACAGCTCTTCATGGTAAAATCACTCAACAGACTAGGAATAGAAGTGGACTTTCTTCAGCAAGCTAAAACTGATTATAAACAAAAACAACAACAACAAACACGAATTTCATCAACCTGATAAAGGACATCTACAAAATACCCACAGCTAATATCATTCTTAATGGTGAATGACAAATGCTATTTTCCTAAGATCAGGAACAAGACAAAGATGTCCACTTTCAACACTTCTATTCAACACTACACAGAAAGTTCTAGCCTCCAAGCAGTGAGGCAAGAAGTAAAAGGAAGTAAAAGGCATACAGATTGGAAAGAAGTAAACCTCTCTCTATTTGTAGACAGTACGATCCTGTAGGTAGAACATGCTACAGATTCCACTAAAAAACTACTGGAACTAATTAAAAAGTTCAGTAAAGTAGCAGGACACAAAATCAATATACAAAATCAATTGTATTTCTACAGAGTAGCACTGAGCCAACAGAAAATGAAATTGAGAAAACAATTCCATTTACAAATACATCAAAAAGAATAAAATACTCGGGAGTAAATTTAACAAAAATGTACACTCAACACAAACATTGTTGAAAGAAATTAAAGAAGACCTAGTTAGATGGAAAGTATCCTATTTTCTTGGATTGGAAGATTTAATATTTAATTTAAAATAGCAATGTTTCCACAAACTGATCTATGGATTCAATGCAATCACTGTCAAAATACAAGATGGCTTTTTTGTAGAAATCGAAAAATTCATATGGAATTACAAGGGACCCAGAATAGCCAAAATGATCTTGATAAAAAGTAAAGTTGGGCCAGCACTTTGGGAGGCTGAGGCAGACAGATCACTTGAGTTCAGAAGTTCGAGACCAGCATGGCTAACATGGTGAAACCCCATCTCTCCTAAAAATACAAAAATTAGCCGGGTGTGGTGGCATGCGCTGTAATCCCAGCTACTCAGGAGGCTGAGGCAGGAGAATCACTGAACCCAGGAGGTGGAGGTTGCAGTGAGCCAAGATTGTGCCACTGCACTCTAGCCTGGGTGACAGCGAGGCTCTGTCTCAAAAAAAAAAAAAAAAAAAAGGAATAAAGTTGGACAACTCAAACTTCCTGATTTCAAAACTTTCAACAAAGCAACAAAGCTACAGTAATCAAGATAGTGATACTGGCATAAAGCTAGACCTACAGATGAATTGAAGTGAGAGTCCAGAAACAAACTCTCACAATGATGTTCAACTGATTTTGACAGGGGGCCAAGACAATTCAATGGGAAAAGAATAGTCTTCAACAAATGATGATGAGACAACTGGATAGTCACATGAAGAATGAAATTTGACCTCTACCTTACAATACATACAAAAATTAACTCAAAAATGGAACAAAGACCTAAATGTAAGAGCTAAAACTATAAAACTCTTAGAAAAAAAACATAGGCATAAATCTTATGACTTTGGGTTTGTTACATACGATGCCAAAAGTACAAACAACAAAAGAAAAATTAGAGAAGGTAAACATTATCAAAATTTTTAAATTTGGGGCATCAAAGGACACTATCAAAAAAGTGAAAAGATTAGTTAGCCAGGTATGGTGGTACACACCTGTAGTTCCAGCTACTTGGGAGGCTAAGGCAGGAGGATCACTTGAGCCCAGGAGTTTGGGGTTGCAATGAGCTATGATTGCGCCACTGCACTACAGCCTGGGCAACAGAGCAAGACCCTGTCTCTAAATGAATTAATTAATTTAATCAAAGTTAAAAAATAAAGTGAAGAGAAAATTCACAGAATGAGATAAAAATTTGACAAATTGTATATTTGATAAGGGACTTATATCTAGAATATATAAGAAACTATTACAATTCAATAATAAAAAGGCAAACTACCCATTTTTTTAAAAACAGGCAAATGATCTAAAGAGACATTCTCCAAAGAAGATATGCAAATAACCAATGAGCAAACAAAAAGATGCTCAACAGCATTAGCCATCAGGAAAATGTACACCAAAACCACAGTAAGATACCACTCACACCTTCTAGGATGGCTAAAATAAAAAAGACAGATAACAAGCTTTGGTGAAGATGTGGGTAAATTGGAATCCTCATACACTCCTGGTGGGTGTTGGGAACAAGCCCCTCAAAATCTGGCTGTAAACTGGCCCCAAAACTGGCCATAAACAAAATCTCTGCAGCACTATGACATGTTCATGATGGCCATAACGCCCATGCTGGAAGGTTGTGGGTTTACCGGAATGAGGGCAAGGAACACCTGGCCTGCCCAGGGCAGAAAACCACTTAAAGGCATTCTTAAGCCACAAACAATAGCATGAGCAATCTGTGCCTTAAGGACATGCTCCTGCTGCAGTTAACTAGCCCAACCTATTCCTTTAATTCAGCCCATCCCTTCGTTTCCCATAAGGGATACTTTTAGTTAATTTAATATCTATAGAAACAATGCTAATGACTGGCTTTGGCAGGTGGGAATGTAAAACGGTGCAGATGCTTTGGAAAATGGTTTGACAACTCCTGAACCAGTTAAATATAGTTACCACATGATCTAGCAGTTTCACTCTTACATATATACCCAAGAGAAATGAAAACATATTTCCACTGTCCACACAAAAACTTGTATACAAATGTCCATTGCGGCATTATTCACAATTGCCAAAAGGTGGAAACAACCCAAATGCCCATCAGCTGATGAATGGATAAATAAAATGTGGTATACTCAATATTTTTCAGCAATAAAAGGAAATGAGGTACTAATGTAGTCTACAACATGAATGAACCTTGAAAACATGCCAAGAAGCCAGTCACAAGGACAAAATATTGTGATTCCATTTATATGAAATTTTCAGAATAGACAGATCTATAGAGAGAAAGTGGATTAATGGTTTCCTGGGGCTGGGGAAATGGGGTGATCAGGTTGGAGGTGAAAAAGAACAAACTCTTGCTACAGGCAACAGTGTAGATGAATTTAACAGACATAGTGTTGAGTGAAAGAAGCCAGACACAAAATAGTACATACTGTATGATTCCATTTATACAAAGTTCAGGAACAGGTAAAACCATTCAACGGCAAGAGAGTCAGCAGCTGTTACCTTTTGGGGTATTGGCTGGGAGTAGGAATAAGGCAGCCTTTTGTGGTTTTGGGAATGCTCTATTATCTTAATCTGGAAGGTGGGTACAAGAGTGAGTGTGAGTATGTATGTTTGTGAATACATCTATGTTAAAGAATTCATTTAGTTGTACACTGAATATTTGTTCACTTTACTATGTAAGTTCAAGCACAATAACAAAAATTGTATAGATAAAATAAAAAGTACTATCCCACCAATCTAGTTAGCTTGGGAGCTTCCCTATAACTGAAGCAAACTGGATCAAAATGCTTCTCTCCTCTTCTCCAGGGCCACATAGTCTGCATATTTTTAACTTTTCCTCTTCATGGCTGCCTTCGATTGTCAC
Organism: Homo sapiens; assembly: GCF_000001405.40. Lineage (NCBI taxonomy): Eukaryota > Metazoa > Chordata > Mammalia > Primates > Hominidae > Homo > Homo sapiens. Next base: position 150,518,984 of record NC_000003.12, read on the forward strand.
TAACTGATTTCAGAGAAACCTTGAGGCAGAGAAACCTTGTGGCTTCAGGGAATGCCAGAACTTGGACCTTTAGGTCTCAGAACCCCTCTAAAAAGGTTTTCCTTTATGGCTGAGGCCTCTTTCTCTTTCCAATTGAAGGCTTATCAGGAAGGAGGGTTCCCAGGAAGCAAGCTGGGCAGGCCTACGTACTTGAAGTCTCAGAGAGTCATATAATTAAAACTCCTTTGTATTGCCTGGGTTTTCCTCTCATTATGCAGTAACCACACCCTTTTTATAACATTTATGATGTTACCTGCACATATACTCACTGGGAAACAATGTGAAGTTAAGCCTAGATCTGTGACTAACACCATAAAAGCAAAACAATCGCTCTACCTCATAGGAGTGCTGCTAAAAAGACACAAAGACATATTTTAAAATATTTACGTTAAGAGCAATACCATAACCAGGTAACATAGATGAAAACTTCATAAACTGAAAGAGGTCACACAAATGACCAAGACATAGTTTTAACTATATCATGGAAATCTCCAAAAATTATGTTCATCTATAAAGTAAGTGAAAGCACCGGAACAGCTTCCTCCAAATGAGCCTTGTAAATGGATCTACTAATAACACACTCCACTCTTAAATCTGAAAATAAACCAAGCCAATATTAAGTGAAAAGTAACCTCTGGTAAAACTGACACGCCACTTTAGGTAGCTGCAGCCATGCAAAAGTTTGATATCAAAGTATCTGAAAAGCATAGCATTCACCAGTTGTCGAAGCACCGTTCCGGGACTTGCAGCATCAGCTTCACTTGAGAACCTGTTAGAGATGCACATTCTCGGGCCCCAACTCAGGCCCACTGAATCAGAAACTCTGGGAATGGGGTCCCCAGCACTCCAGGTGTTTTTGTTGTTGTTGTTTTTGGGGTTTTTTTGAGACGGAGTCTCGCTCTGTTGCCCAGGCTGGAGTGCAGTGGCGCGATCTCGGCTCACTGCAAGCTCCGCCTCCCGGGTTGACGCCGTTCTCCTACCTCAGCCTCCCGAGTAGCCGGGACTACAGGCGCCCGCCCCCACGCCCGGCTAATTTTTTGTATTTTTAGTAGAGACAGGGTTTCACCGTGTTAGCCAAGGATGGTCTTTATCTCCTGACCTCGTGATCCGCCCGCCTCGGCATCCCAAAGTGCACTCCAGGTTTTAATTACCTCTCGGGTGATTGTGGTGCACGCTCAAGTTTGAGAACCTCAGCTGTACCCAATTACTTTAGGTGGGCAAGGGCTTTCTAGAAGATCAAACACTTCAAACACCTGGCTTCAGCTCACAAGCACGGGACAAAAGCTCTCGGTCCTCTTCCTTGTTCTCCGCGGGGTTTGTAGTATGAATCTCAGGTCACAAACTCGGACTATCACCTTAATTCAGACCCTCCCTCCCGGAGTGATCTAGGTCGTGTGTCGTCTCTCCTTCTCCGCTGTTGCAGCACAGATGGAAATGGAATGGGTCTCGCTTGCAGTCTGTCACGACCTCCACTGACTTCTTCAGGGTGGTCGCTCGCGGTGGTCCTAAGGCGCTCTCATCCTCCACACCTCGCTGGGGGACCGGCGATCTCCTCCAAAGGGTCGCCCCAAACCCCGGCCGCGCCACCCCCAGCTCCAGGGGACCAGCAGCTGGCAGCTCCGCTCTCCCACCCTCAACAATGCCGGGTTTCCTCGCTTCTCCGGCTTTTACAAGAGGTCGGGAGAACGTTTGAATTGTGGTTGCTTCTTCTTTGAATCTTGCAACATTCCTGAAAGCCCTACGGAACCGAAATTTGGAGAGAACACAAATAACAAGTCTAAAAATTATCTTGCCACAGGATAGTAGGTGCTTCCTACCATTACCTAAGTAATTTGACACCATATATTATTTAATACACTTCAGGGTTATACATAAAGGTAAAATGTGAAAGCTTGCAACTAATAATTACAGCAATAAGCAAACACATGTTTTTCCTCTTTAGTTTCGCTTTTTAAAATTATCAAATTATTTTTATGGACACAGTAATCAAAATAGAAACAATTTAGCCTAGGAAATTTAGCAAGACTCCATCTCTACAAAAAGTTAAACAATTACTTAGGTGTGGTGGCTGGTACCTGTAGTCCCAGCTACTCCGAAGGCTGAAGTGGGAAAATTGCTTGAGCTGGGGAGGTAGAGGCTACAGTGAGCTGATCACACCACTGCATTACAGCCTGGGCAACAGAGACCTTGTCTCAAAACAAGCAAACAAACAAATATATTTTACATTTTTAAAAAACACCCACATAACCCTATCACAAAAAAATCCACCAAGCTAATATTTTCATATTCTTTTCCCATTTTAGTATGTATATATCAGTACACATATTTTATGTCCTGCCCTTCTCACTTATTATTGATTTCCATGTTACCAAGTCACCTTGTTTCCATATAAGCTTTATGAAATTAATTTACAGGAACTACATGACACTGATTATAATATGCACATATCCTTCAACCTATTATCCACTCCTCAGATTCTACTTAAGTATTCTTTTTTAAGTATACTACAGTCTTTTCTCCCCTGTAAGTTTTTCATTTCTTCCCACATTTAGAGGAAACAATGCTTTCCACATCTTACTGCACCCCCTGGCTCTCTTCTGCTCAGTAACAGCAACTGTCTCAGTCAAGCGCCTCTCTGTGGAACACTGCTGTTCCTTCACAGACAAAGCCATAAAATCAGTGAAAAGCAGAGCCAGCTGCTCGCCCACTGCTAGAGGAAGAGGTCATCTCTCTTGCCTTTTATCCCATCTCAAAACATGTTATCCCTCTAATGCCTTTAGAGTTCCCTGGACTGGGCATACAGAGGTGTCCTCAAAGTGTTTTCAGAACTCTGATAATATAGGAGCAAAATCTGCTGAATCTTCCTTCCTAGAAACAAAAGTGATAAGGCCCAACCTTGAAATCTAGATGAAAATCCTGAATGTAACTTCATCTTTCAAGTTTCTGCAGTGGTTTCCAAAATGCATTTCACAGGGAGCTGTTTGGCATAGGTCAATGAAGAATGGATTTTCTGTTCCCAGAACCTTAAAATATTTATACTCTGTGCATATTCCAGAAATCAACAATAGCCCCCTACTGCCCATCACCAATTCTTCCATAAATAGATAAAGCACCTAATAGGTAACTCCCTGACAGTGGCTAGAATCAAGTGTTCATTTAATGGCCCCTTAGAGTTTCTCAGAAGTTTCTGGAGAAAATGGGAAGAATGATGTTAAAGTGCAGTCAGGTGTCACTTAACAGGAACATCTGAGAAATACGTCACAATTTCACCATTATGTAAACATCTTATGCTGTACTAAACCTAGATAACATAGCTTACTACACACTTAGGCTACATGGTATAGCCTATTGCTTCTAGGCTATAAACCCATACAGCATGTTGCTGTACTGAATGTGGCAGGCAATTGTAACACAATGGTAAGTATTTGTTTATCTAAATATATATAAACATAGAAAAGTTAAAGCATTGCATTATGACATTACGATGGCTTATGACAGCTATGATGTCACTAGGAAATAGGAATTTTTCAATTTCATTATAATTTTATAGGAGCACCGTCATATATGTGGTCAAATGTTGACCAAAACATTACTATACAGTACCTGACTATAGTTCCTTTGCTTTATCCCTGACTCCTACTCCAAAGTTTGGCTCTATCAACTGAGCAAAAGATAGAGGAAAAAATACTGTTTTCTTTCACTATGAAGGTAAAAAATATAACAAAGTCTTCTCGGAAAAATTCCTATAAAATCCAAGGTTAGAACATTTGGAAATAGCAAAAAAGATTATTGGGTATCTCAAATGGAAAACTAAGCACTATTTAGAACCCACCTTTCAGGTTATCTGATTGTACCTTTCCATTGCTTTTGAATTATTTTACAACTCTGTAAATTGTCAATAAGTGATAACAATGCAAAGTTAGTGTTGTTTACAAAGACATTTTGTTAGAGATCCAATTTTCTGCCCCCTGTTGAAAAAGTCAGTTTCTCCATCCATTTGTAAATTCATTTCAGTATTGCTTTGCTCCACATAAATTTGTGCTTCTTTGACTTCTCCTTTGAACTCATTGTTTAACATCTTACTATTTCTTCATTTATAATGACTTAAATAAAATCTTTAACACATGTTCATTTTATATCTGTATAGAGTCATAATTTTACCCCTCTGTGAAAATCATCCTTAGCCAGGCACAGTGACTCGTGCCTATAATTCCAGCACTTTGGGAGGCCAAGGCGGGAGGATCACTTGAGCCCAGGAGTTTGAGACCAGCCTGGACAACATAGTGAATTCTCTGTGTTAATTTCACTTTTTAAAAAAAAAATTTTTCCCCTCGTACAAACTCTCAGTCTCCCTGTGACTGAACATCACCAATGATGTTCTGAAAGACTCAGGTGAAAAGTGAAGGATTGAGGTAGAATTTGTTGTCTGAGAACAGATCTAACAGCCAGAACAAATAAGTCCTGCATAGGAAGCCAAGTTGGGAGCCAGCGAGGAAGGATAAGGGGGCAGGGACTCAAAGTAGGTGGTCCACTTTCCCTTTGGGGGTAATTTCATCCTTTGGGGGTAATTTCATCTCTACAAAAAATAAAAATAGAAATAAAAATAAAAAATTAGCCAGATGTGATGGCACATGCCTGTAGTCCCAGCTACTCAAGAGGCTGAAGGGGGAGAATTGCTTGGAGGTCAGGGCTGCAGTGAGCCGTGATTGTGCCACTGCATTCCTGCCTGAGTGACAGAGCAGTGCCACTGTGACAGAGTGTGCCACTGCATTCCTGCCTGTCTCAAAAAAAAAAAAAAGTGAAAATCATCCTTTAACAAGGTCAAGCCTTCCAATTTCAATAAGAGGACTGGGAAAATCTACCCCTACGTTCAAAGAATTGCTAAATAAAATACAACAATAATTCTCTTGAGTAGCTAAACTCACAAGTTATAAAGGAGAATCTCCAAGTGCCAGAGTGAAGAAGGAATGGAAAACTGAGCACAGCAGATAATCCTGTGGCTGTCCTAGAAGCTACAAAGGGACTAGAGATAAACTCTTGAATCCACAAAGGTTAGGGAGGTGAAGGTGAATAAATTGAGATCTTTGAGTTAAAAAGTGGACCAGCATGAAATGTATCTACTACCAAGTCAGAAAGATGCTTAGGAAGCTTATCTTCCTCTTTTCTGGACTTTGGAGTCCAGAAAATAAAACGTATTTATTTATTTGAATTTTAAAACTTTGGGCCTAATTACCTCAACTCAGATCTGGTGTAAAATTATTGTTATTATTATTATTATTTGAGACAGAGTCTTGCTCTGTTGCCCAGGCTGGAGTGCAGTGGCACAATCTCAGCTCACTGCAACCTCTTCCTCCCGGGTTCAAGTGATTCTCCTGACTCAGCCCCCCGAGTAGCTGGGATTACAGGTGCCGGCCACCACACCCGGCTAATTTTTGTATTTTTAGTAGAGACGGGGTTTCTCCATTTTGGCCCAGCTGGTCTCAAACTCCTGACCTCAGGTGATCCACCCACCTAAGCCTTCCAAAGTGTTGGGATTACAGGCGTGAGCCACCGCACCCAGTCCGGTGTAAAAATTTTAGAATCCAAGAACTTTAACCCCCAAACCTCGGCTGAAAAATTAACATAAAATAATGTGAGATTAGCAATATCCTTGGGTCCCATGGCTCTTTGCAAAGCCAATGCCCGTTTATGAAAGAATATTTCTACAACTCAAGCCACTGACAATTTTCAAGGAAAACACAGCCCCCACTAAAGATGGGCTACTGTAGAAAATTGTTAAAGCAATGAATTATTCCACCATAAGTGAGAGTCAGTAAACACAAGTACCAAAACTTGAGACAATAAAAAAAAACTGGAAGAAAATAAAATAATTATGTTTAAAATTATTAAAAACATGTTTTTAAAAAAATCACAACCTCTGGTATGAAGAAAGCCAAATTAAAAAAAATAATTAAAAAAGAAAAAGAAAACCCAAAGAAAATAAGACCTTATTTAAAAAACAAGGAAGATTGCAGAAAAAATCTTAAAAGGAATCAAATAGAAATTTTAGAAGTTAGCCGGGCATGATGGTTCACACCTGTAATACCAGCACTTTGGGAGGCCAAGGTGGGTGGATCACTTGAGGTCAGGAGTTTGAGACCAGCCTGGCCAACATGGAAAAACTCCGTCTCTACTAAAAATACAAAAATTAGCCAGGCGTGGTGGCGGGCACCTGTAATCCCAGCTATTCGGGAAGCTGATGGAGGAGAATTGCTTGAACCTGAGAGGAGGAGGTTGCAGTAAGCCGAGACTGTGCCACTGCACTCCAGCCTGGGCAACAAAGCAAGATCCTGTCTCAAAAAAAAAAAAAAAAGAAAGAAATTTTAGAAGTGAAAAGGAATTATCGGAACTTCAAAGCCACAAAAGACGAGCAAAACAACCCATTAGACCAAACTAAAGAGATCATTATCAAGCTAGGAGGCAGATGAGAAAATGACCCAAAATATTGCTGAGAGATAAAAAGAAGGGATTGCAATGAAGAGATTAGGAAACATAAAGACAACACGAGAAGTTTAAACATATTTTAATAGGAATTCTGGAGGGAAAGAAGAGAATTCTGGAAGGAAAGAGAGAGAAATTTGAAGAGATGAGCTAGGCACACAGTGGCTTGCATCTGTGGATCACTTGAGGCCAGGACTTCAAGACCAGCCTGGACAACATAATGAGACTCCCAATTCGACAAAAAAAAAATTTAAAAATTAACCGGGAGTGGTGGCACAAGCCTGTAGTCCTAGCTATTTGAGAGGCTAAGGTGGGAGGATGGCCTGAGCCTGGGAGGTCAAGGCTACAGTTAGCCCTGATGGTGCCAATACACTCCAGCCAGAGCAACAGAGAAAGACTTTGTCTCTGAAAAATAAAATAAAACAAAGAAATAAAAACGAAGAAATTTGAAGAGATAAAGGGCAGAAAAGTTTCTAGCCTTGGTGAAAGACATAAACCCCAGATTCAAAGATCACTATGTTCACAAAGTTAGAAAAGTAAAATAGACCTACTGTCCCACGTAACTTAGTGAAACTTCAAAACACCAAAGTCAAAGATAAAGTCTTTTAATACATTTTAAAGATGCTGAGAAAAAATATATATTACAAAGAAGGACAATAAACTGGCTAGGCACAGTGGCTCACACCTGTAATCCCAGCACTTTGGGAGGCTGAGATGGGCAGATCACTTGAGGTCACAAGTTCAAGACCAGCCTGGCCAACATGGTGAAACCCCATCTCTTCTAAAAACACAAAAATGAGCAGGGTGTGGTGGCACACACTTGTAGTCCCAGCTACTCAGGAGGCTAAGGTGGGAGGATCACTGAGTCCAGGGGGGTTGAGGCTGCAGTGAGCTGTGATTGTGCCACTACACTCCAGCCTTGGAAACAGAGCAAGACTCTGTCTCAAAAAAAAAAAAAAAAAAAAAAAAAAAAGGACAATAAAACTGATAACTGACTTTGTAACAGCAATAATAGAGACGCCAGGAAATAATCTGATCAGCGACCATGGTGACTTGAGACCAGCCTGGGCAACAGGATGAAATCCCATCTCTACAAAAAATACAAAAATTAGCCGAATGTGGTGGCATGCACCTGTAGTCCCAGCTATTAGGAAGGCTGAGGTGGGAGGATCACTGAGTCCAGGGAGGTTGAGGCTGCAGTGAGCCACAATCACGCCACCGCACTCCAGCCTGGGCGGCAGAGTGAGACCCTGTCTATAGATAAATAAATAGAATAACATCTCATGGCTGAGGGAAAATTATTGTCAACCTAGAAGTGAATACCCAACTCATTCAAGAGAGAAGGCAAATTAAAACATTTTCATGCGAAGAGATGAAAGAACTTGTCATTGATAGTTGCTGAAAGAACACTAAGGAATGTACTTCAGGAAAAAGAAAATGGAATCCAGAAAGAATGAGATGCAAGAAGGAATGATAAGCAACTTAAAAACAAAAAAAGCACATGCTTATAAAAAACAATAATAATAGCTAATTTGGGCAAAAATACTAGATGACATTAATGTAAAATATGGAAGAGATAATTGAAATCAAAGTATTTTACAGTCTTTGTTCAAGAAGAAAGTAGAAATAAAGATTCATTTTAGACTTCATCAAATATACCTGATTATGTTTAAAAGGTGTTTTTGAGAGAATAGAGATAGAGCGTGTAACTATGAAAAACACAGAGGGGAGAATATCATAAGGAAATCTCAAATGGACGCTCTCCCAAATGCGCCAGCGTTCTCCCATACGCAGTATCAGGCCTCCTGTAACTGCTGTGCCCACACACCACAGAGGGAGATAGAGACCCAGCCCTCCACCCAGCTCTGCCCAAGAACAAAGGTAAAAATAGGTATGGTGGTAAGAACAAGAATGAATCTGAAATGAGAATGAATCTGAGAAGGAGAATGGACCAGTAAGCTCAGATAATCTACATGTTGGCAAATGGACAGTTAGAAACAACATTGTTTTGTTTGTTTGTTTGTTTGTTTGTTTGAGATGGAGTTTCACTCTTGTCACCCAGGCTGGAGTGCAATGGCACAATCTCAGCTCACTGCAACCTCCACCTCCCAGGTTCAAGCGAGTCTCCTGTCTCGGCCAGGCTGGTCTCGAGCTCCTGACCTCAGGTGGTCTGCCTGCCTCTGCCTCCCAGAGTGCTGGGATTACAGGCATGAGCCACCGCACCCGACCGAAACAACATGTTTTGTTGGTCAAAAGAAATTGAAAGAAAAAGTTTGGATAAAGACTTCGGACATTATATGGCTGGGCTTGCAAGACTACTAGACAACAAAGTTACATAATTTTACATTACATTACAAATAAAGCTGGACATCTAAAGGTCCAAGTTGAGCTTCCAGGTCAAACCACTGTCAAAAGCAGGTTACGTCTGTTCCAGGAGAGCATGCCTAAATCCAGTCAATGACACTGGAAATGATGAAGACACCGGGGATATTTAAACTGAACTCAACATTTTACATTCCAGTTTTTCAGAGAATTGCTGCACAATTTGGATGATAGCCACAATCCAGGAAGAAGACTAGATCATCAGAATGAGTGAAGTTTGTTAAAGCAGACTGATTTTTGATGTTTGTTTTAAAATTGTATGTTTCTTTCACAACTTATGATACTGATTTACCTTAAGACAAATGTTAAACCTACTTGTTCTTTTGTCGTAAGGAATTTATTTGGATGAAAGACAATAACATCTGTTGTTTAGAGAAAAAAGGAGAAAATGCGTTGCTAGTTTTCCTGCTGTGACCACTTCCACCTCCAGTAAATGGATGTTTTGAATAATTCTATGCCCTATAATTATCATGGACTATGTATAAACCCCCAGTTTTAACTAGTTTGTGTACTGATTAAGGTCCTAGGGGAGGCAGAAATCTGCATTTCATATCATAATGCATGGGTCTGGTTTCATATTTTAGTAGCTTGTGGCTATTTTTCTTTTTTACAAATGTTGACATTATACACATTCTTCTCGTAACCTTATGTTACAGAGCAAGACTGTGTCTCAAGAAAAAACAACAATCTTACGTTGTCACCACAAAAAAAAAATCAACAAAAAGGCATTTCTAAATACAGCTGTAGGAAGTTGGGTTTGAATTTGTAAGATTAGTAGTTGTGGAAATTGAACACTGGGGGGCACCCAATCATTATAAAAATACTAACATTTATTCACTTTTTAAAATATAATGTGATTGAAAAATTTCACAAAGAAGAGGTTTTTGTAATCCTTTGCTAAATATGGAGTTTAAAACTTTTTATTTGGAAATAATTTCAAAGTTATAAAATGTTGCAAAAAAATTTTTTAAACTACCAAAAACAGCCATATTTACCCTTTACCAGATTTACCTATTCAACATTTTATACCATTCACTTCATTATTTTCTCTCTCTTTCTCTCTGGATATAATTATTTTCCTGAACTATTTGCGGGTAAGTTATATACCTCATGGGTCTTTACCCCTAAATATTTTGGCGTGTATTTCCCAATAATGGGGTTATTCAAAAGAGTCTATCTTTTGATAGTAAGCATTACATATATTATTTTTACAGTACAAAAGATTATGATAAAAATGTCGTTTTCCCCCCAAAAGCTACATGGTAAGCTACAGTTTTCTGTACTTTATGTAAGTATAAATTATGATTTCTAAATGAAAAAACAATTTCATATTAATTTCTACAAATTAAGCCTTTCTCAAATTATCCCTAAAGTGGGAGAGAGGAAAGAAATACAACTTAATCACCACCAGTTTCTGAAATAGAAGAGCCACAGGTAAACACTACAGTAAATAAAATGTTGCCGGGCATGGTGGCTCACACCTGTAATCCCAGCACTTCAGGAGGCTGAGGTGGGTGGATCACTTGAGGTCATGAGTTCGAGACCAGCCTGGCCAACATGGCGAAACCCTGTCTCTACAAAAATACAAAAATTAGCCTGGCATGGTGGCGCATGCCTGTAATCCCAGCTACTTGAGAGGCTGAGGCACAAGAATTGCTTGAACCCAGGAGGCAGAGGTTTCTGTGAGCCGAGATTGTGCCACTGCACTCCAGCCTGGGCGACAGAGCAAGACTCTGTCTCAAAAGAAAAAAAGAAAGAAAGAAAAAAGAATATGCCATGCTGGAAATCCCAAATCCCAATCAATCCAACAGAAAGAAGTTAAAAGTAAGCAAAATAATAAAAACTAAAACGTACAGTAATCAGAAAGGCAATAAATATGAGAGTAAAAATAAATCCAAAACATTACTAATTTTAATATATGCAGATGAATTAAACAGTATTTTCAAACTACATAAAAACATAATTATAATCCACATGTTTATACTAGATACTTAAAACGCAAGGACATAGAGAGATTGAACATAAACGAGCAGAAAAAAATACTTTTGGATGCAAACTGCATCCAAAAGAAAGGTGAATACATATATTTATTACACATATTATTTGAATATATAAATATATATTTGAATATGTATTGTTCAGTATGTTTGAATGTATACAGTTGCCCTAGGTATCCATAGATTGGTTCCAGGACCCTGGCAAATACAAAAATCTGTGGATGCTCAAGTCCCTTATATAAAATGGCACAATATTTGAATATAACCTGATATATATTCAATATATATATATTGAATATATAATAAAGTATATGGCATTCTCCCATATACTTTAAATCATCTTTAGATAACTTACAACATCTAACACAATGCCTACATATCATTTCATTCATGTAAATTCAACACAGTACTAGGCATGGCAAGTTCAAGTTTTGCCTTTTGAAACTTTATGGAATTTTGTTCTGAATATTTTCAATCTTTGGAGGGTTGAATTCACAGATGCACACAGATATGGAGGGCCAACTATGTATTTGAGTATATACATATCTGTGTGTGTGCATATATCTATATATATATATATATACTAAAGATTATATGTAACCGTAATATCAAATATAATAGACTGTAAGTGAAAAAGCACTATTAGAGATTCGGATGGATGTTACATAATGAAAAAGAAACAATCTATCAGACAGATATCTCTAAATTTGAATATACTTAACAGAGCCTCAAAATATTTAAAGAAAAATATACAGAAATATTGGAAGAAATTTACAAGTCCATAAACCTCTATCAAAAAGTAAAAAACTGATAAGAATCTAGATGTAAACAACATAATTAACAACTTGAACAAAGAAACAAACACAGAACTGGCACCAAAAACTAGAGAATACACTTTTTAAATTATTATTATTATTATTATTATTATTATTATTTTGAGATGGAGTCTTGCTCTGTCGCCAGGCTGGAGTGCAGTGGTGCGATCTCAGCTCACTACAACCTCTGCCTCCTGGATTCAAGCGATTCTCCTGCCTCAGCCTCCCGAGTAGCTGGGATTACAGGCACGCACCACCACGCCCACCTAATTTTTGTATTTTTGGTAGAGACGGGGTTTCATCATTTTGGCCAGTATGGTCTCGATCTCCTGATCTCGTGATCCACCCATCTCGGCCTCCCAAAGTGCTGGGATGACAGGCATGAGCCACCACTCCCGGCCTATTATTTTTAATCATATATAGTACATTATAAAAAGTAACCACATAGGGATACCGTCACTCTGATACATTGCTGAAGGGAATATAGAACAGAATAACCTCAATGGAAGGGAATTTGATAATACTGAACTGCATTTATCCTTTGGCTCAGAAATCTTACTTCCAAGAATTTATCCTAAAAACACACTTGCACAAATATGAAAAGATATAATACATAAGGTAATTTATTTCAGTTCTATTTGTAATGGCAAGAGACTGTAAAACTAATGTCTATGAATAGTGACTGGTTGAATAAATCATGGCACATCCTGATCATGGAGCTATAAAAAGAAGTGAGGAATATCTCTATACACTTACATGGGCTGATGCCTAGGATATATATTTTTTGCTTTTGGTTTCCAGGATATATTTTAAGTGGAGAAAGCAAGATAAAGAAAAGGGTATCTGTGCAATCCTACCATTTATCTAAGAAAGTGAATATTTATATATCCATATCTCTATTATCCATCTCTTAATAAAAGCGTAAAAGAAAGCCTTTTTTAAAAAGGTTATCTAAAACCCAAGAATTGTTCCCCTAGGTACATACCCAAGAGAAAAAAGAAATCACATATGTCCAACACAAAAACTTGTACATGAATGTTCATGGCAACATTATTCATAATAGCCCCCAAATGGAAACAATCCACATGTCCATCAACTGATGAATGGGGAAACATATCAAAAAGAATGAAGTACTGATTCATGCTCTAAAATGAATGAGCCTTGAAAACATTATGTTAAGTAAAAGAAGTCAATCACAAAAGGTCACATACTGTATTATTCCATTTATATGAAAAGTCCAGAGTAGGCAAATCTAGAGAGAAAGTAGATTCTGTGGTTGCTAGAGGTTAGGGGAAGGGGGAGGAGCAATGAACATCAATAGGTATGGGGAAGGGAGTGATAGATACAAAGTTTATTTCTGGGGAAATGAAGTATTCTGAAATTTGGTAGTAATGATGTTGCATAGCTTTGTAAAATATACTAAAAACCACTGAAATGTACACTTTAAAAGGGTGAATGTTATGCCATATTAATCTCACAAAATATTGTAACCTTATCAATAGGAAGAGACAAGAAAGTAGAAAGAACAAGAATAGGAACTGAAGGCAGGCACAGTGGTTCACACCTGTAATCCCAGCAATTTGGGAGGCTGAGGTGGACAGTTCGCTTGAGCCCAGGAGTTGGAGACCAACCTGGCAACATGGTGAAACCCCATCTCAGCACACACAAAAAAATTACAAAAAATTAGCCCGGCATGGTGGCACACATCTATAATCCCAGCTACCCAAGAGGCTGAGGTGGGAGGATCACATGAGCCCAAGAGGTAGAAGCTGCCTGTAGTGAGCTGTGATCATGCCACTGCACTCCACCCAGGGCAACAGAGTAAGACCCTGTCTCAAAGAAAGAAAACAAGAAATAAGAACTAGATTTCTCTGAATATACCTAGTTTAATAGATTTGATATTAAAACCAAGAAAATATAATATATAGTTACTAAACTGAATTAAAAATATAAAAGCAACCACTAAGATTCTCTTTCTGGCATGGCAACCTGAGGACCTCCATGGACCCACTCCACAATGAAACTGGTGAAAATCATTAAAAAACAAAATTTAAATTCTCTAGAAATGGTCTTAAGGCCATACAGCAAATGAAGAAACATTTATTCGAGAAAACCTACTAAAACTGGCCGGGCATTGTGACTCATGCCTGTAATCCCAGCACTTTGGAAGGCCGAGGCAGGCAGATCACCTGAGAAGTCAGGAGTTCAAGACCAGCTTGGCCAACATGGGGGAACCCCATCTCTACTAAAAAATACAAAAATTAGCTGGGCGAGGTGGTGCATTCCTATAGTCCCAGCTACTCGGGAGGCTGAGGCAGGAGAATCACTTGAACCCAGGAGGAGGAGGTTGCAGTGAACCAAGATGATGCCACTTGCACTCCAGCCTGGGTGACTGAGTGAGACTCCATCTCAAAAAGAAAAGAAAAGAAAAGAAAAGAAAACCTACTAAAACTAGTTAGGAATGGTAAGAGTCTATGGCATTTGAGTCATGACCAATTTCCTTCCCCTTCCATATTCAGAGTGATGGGAACCCTACTCCAGGTAGACACAGCCAAGAACACAGGGCTCCCTCTGCCCTCACCTCCCATCTAGAGGGCTGCAGTATCTTCCCATCAGGGCAGCATGTCTCCATTTCTCCTCCTTTCCCAGCTACCTGTTGCAAAGGCTAAGTTCTGGGTGGTGTAGCCGAAAGGTGGGAGCCCCCTTCTTCTACCCAGCCCCCACTCGTGGGATACAGAATCTACTGAGAATACTGGGTCCAATCCCCATCACTCCAGCCCATTCATATAGCAAAGGTTCCATGCCAGCACAGGCAAGTCAAGAATACCAAGGGCTATAGAGCAGAAATTGAAGAAATTGAGTACAGAAAAACAATAGAGAGAATTAATAAACCTGAAAGTTGGTTCTTTTAAAAGAGCAACAAAGTTGACAAACCTTTAGCTAGATTAACCGAGAAAAAGAGAGAAGGCTCAAATGAAAGAGGAAATGTTACCATTAATGTTACAAAATAATAATGATTATAAAGGAATATTGTGAACAACTGTATGCCAAGCAGATAACAGACAAAATGAACAAATTTCTAAAAAGACACAAACTACTAACACTGAATCAAGAAGAAACAAAAAATCTGAACAGACCTCTAACAAGTAAAGAAATTGAATTTGTGGGTGGGCACAGTGGCTCACACCTGTAACTCCAGCACTTTGGGAGTCTGAGGTGGGAGGATCACTTGAGCCCAAGAGTTTGAGACCAGTGTGGGCAATATAGCGAGGCCCCATCTCTACAAAACAAAAAGTAAATAATTAGCTGGGCGTGGTGACATACACTTGTAGTCCCAGGTACTTGGGAGGCTGAGATAGGAGGATTGCTTGAGCCCAGGAGGTCAAGGCTGCAGTGAGTCATGATCGTGCCACTGCACTCCAGCCTAGGTTACAGAGGAAGACCCTGTCTAAAGGTGGGGAAAAAAAGAAATTGAATTTGTAACAAAACAACTATCCACAAAGAAAAGCCTAGGCCCAGATGGCTTTATTGGTGAATTCTACAAAACATACAAAGAATTCATGCCAATTCTTCACAAGCTTTTCCAGGAAACCGAAGAGAACAACTCCCGACTTATTCTACGAAGCCAGTATTACCCTGATAACAAAACCTACACAACAAGAAATGAAAACTACACCAAGATCTCTTACGAACATAAATGTAAAAATTCTACAGAGATACTAGCAAACCAAAATCTCTACCTGAAAAAGGGCATCTTCAAAAAACTCACAACTAACATCATACTTCATGGTAAACAACTGAATGTTTTCTTGTTCTTGTTAAGATCCAGAAGAAAACAAAGATGTCTACTGTTGCTGCTTTTTTTTTTTTTTTTTTTTTTTTGCCCAGGCTGGAGTGCAGTGGCAAGATCTCCGGTCACTGCAACCTCTGCCTCCCAGGTACAATCAATTCTCCTCTCAGCCTCCCAAGTAGCTGGGATTACAGGTGTGCACCACCATGCCCGGCTAATTTTTGTATGTTTTGTAGAGACGGGGTTTCACCATGTTGGCCAGGCTGGTCTTGAGCTCCGGACCTCAGGTGATCCACCTACCTTGACTTCCCAAAGTGCTGGGATTACCGGCGTGAGCTACCGCACCCAGCCCACTGTTGCCACGTCTATTCAATATTGTACTGGAGGCTAATTCTGACCAGGGTAATTAGACAAGTAAATGAAAGAAAAGGCATTCAGACTGGAAAGGAAAGAAGTAAAACTATCTCTATTTGCAGATCAATCTTGTGTGTGGAAAATCCTAATTCACTAAACAACTATTAGCACTAGTAAATGAGCTCTACAAGGTTGCAGGGTACAAGATCAATATACAAAAACAACTGAATGTCTATACAGTAGCAGTGAGCAAAAAGAAAATAAAATTAAGGAAAAAATTCCACTTACAATGGAATCAAAAAGAATAATGTACTTAGAAATAAATTTAACAAGAACAAAACTTATATTCTGAAAACTACAAAACATTGTTGAAAGACAGGAAGGAAGGCTGGGCAAAGGGGCTGTTTGTAATCCCAGCACTTTGGGAGGCCGAGGTGGGAAGATCACTTGAGCCCAGGAGTTTGAGACCAGCCTGGTCAACATAGTGACACCCTGTCTCTACAACGAAGTACAAACAATTAGCCAGCCATGGTGACGAGTACCTGTAGTCCTAGCTATTCAGGAGGCTTACGCAGGAGGACCACTTGAGCCCAGCAGTTTGAGGCTTCAGTGAGCTACTCCACTAAACATGCCTGGGTGACAAAGCAAGACTCTGTCTCTTTAAAAAAGCTTTTTTTTAAAGGGATACAAACATAAAATTAAAGACATAAATGAAAACCTATTTCACCATACCTCATACATTTGAAGATGTATGTACCTCATGCCCAGACATTCCAAATTCCAGACTAGAGAAATTCTGTATACAGTTAAACAAGGAGAAAATATATTAATATAAACACCCATATTCATTACAACCCACATTGCAAACAAGTGGGAACAAGTGGAAACAACTTCAGTATCCCTCATAAGGAAGTTAGATAAACAAATGTGGCTTATCTATAAAAAGTATACTCTATAAAGCAATTCAAATGAATGAAACAGATCCACTGAAGAAACCTCAAAATGATGTTGAGTGTAAAGTTTCATACGACAATGTACAGTTTGATACCACCTCTTTAAATCTTAAAAGTGTACAAGGGTATGTTTTATTTATAAATGTATACATGTATTCTAAAAGTATCAGAAAAATATGTAAATAGCCTACATTGACTTTAGGGGGCAAATAAGGGGTATTTTCATCCTACCTGTAACATTTTGTTTATATTTTTAAAAAGAGATTTGAAGCAAATATGGCAAAATTTTAACAACTGTGGCATATTGATAATGACATGTAGACATCTCATGTTATTTCATGTATATTTGAACTTTTTATAATTAAAATATTTAAAAATCTAGCATACTGAATTTTTATCTGATATCTGATATGAGGCACAATTTGCTCATTACTAAAAAACAAACAAACAAAAAAGAGGGCCAGGTGCAGTGGCTCATGCCTGTAATCCCAGCACTTTGGGACACCGAGGCAGGAGGATCACTTGAGGCCAGGAGTTTTAGGCTGCAGTGAGCAATGATCGCACCACCGTACTCCAGCCTGGGTGACAGAAAGAGACACTCTAAAAAAAACCCCAAAAAACAAAAACAAACAAACAAACAAACAAAAAGACTGAAGGCTACATTGAAGTGTGGTAACTTTGAGGGAATCCAGAAACAGAAAAGGGTCATTAGTGGAATATTGGTGAAATCCAAATACAGTCCTAAGTTAGTTAAACTATTATTGCTGTACTGTTAATTTCTTGGTTTTGAAAAATATACCATGGATATAATAAGATGTTAATATTAGGGGAATTGGAGTAAAGGATATACAGGAACTTTCTATGCTATCTTTGCAACCTTTCTGTAAATCTAAGTTTATTTGAAAATGAGGAAGGTATAAAATCAAATTCCATTTTGTTTACTTATTTTGAGACAGAATCTCACTTTGTGACCCAGGCTGGAGTGCAGTAGTGTGATCTCAGCTCACTGCAGCCTTGACCTCCCAAGCGATCTTTCCACTTCAGCCTCCCAGGTAGCTGGCACTACAAGCATGAGCCACCACATTTGGCTAAGTTTTTTATTTTTTATAGAGATGGGGTCTCACTACATTGCCCAGACTGGTCTCAAACTCCTGGGCTTGAGCAATCCTCTCACCTTGGCTCCCAAAGTGCTGGGATTAAAGACATAAGCCACCACATCCAGGCCAAATTCCATATATTTTCTCTAAACATTTTTCTGTTTTCTTTTAATGGGAATTCAACTTTTCAAGGACAAGTTTTAAGAGCCTATATATTTGCCGAGTGCCTTTTTCATGTCCAGGATGGCATTACCTGTAGGTACAATCACCGCACTTCCCACTGATGGCAATTTTGATGTAAGGTAACAAAAGGGGTGTCATAGGAGCATCTAAAGCAGGGCTAACTAGTGTGGAAGAGTAATCTTTGAGACCAATATGCTCTCAACCTGCTACATGCAAAACATTTTTTAGCGGAAGCTACATAGCAGAATATGATGCATAGTCCTATACAGTTTGAGAAGCCATTTGGAAGGCCAAACTTTGGAAAGGTAAAAGTATAATTTGAGATCTACAAATAACTAGTGATCCTAGAATGGTAGGTGACTTTCAGCCAAGCCAAATATCAATATGAAGGCTATGATTTCTTTCTGTTTTTAGTCAGGAAGGTCCTTCACCCTATCAAAGCTCTATTGGTTTTGCAGCTCACAAAGTCAGTGGTATCTTATTTGCATAGAATATTTCTAATTTTTCAAAGTGATTTTACCATCATTAGACTTCACTGTATGAGGCAGGTGGGTGTTTCGTCTTCCTCAAGTGAAATGAATGAAGCTCAAGGAGGTTTTGGGATGCAAGACTATGGAACTAGTTAGTGCCAGAGCTGGAACCAGAACTCAGGGCCCTTTTCAATACTTCTCAAAGTTTTGTTTGCAGATAGATCACCTGAGGATCCTGTGAAAATGCAGATTCTGATTCAGTGGGCCTTTGGTGGGGTGTCTGAGACACTGCATTTCTATCAAGCTTCCAGGTTATTGCTGGTCCTCAACCTACACTCTGAGTAGCAGATTAGATCAGGCTGAGTTTTTGTTTTTGTTTGAGTTTTGTTGTTGTTGTTGTTTTGTTTTTGACAGGTTCTGGCTCCATTGCCCAGGCTGGAGTGAAGTGGTGTGATCTCAGCTCATTGCAATCTCTGCCTCCGGGGCTCAAGCAATCCTCCCATCTCAGCCTCCCGAGTAGCTGGGACCACAGGCACACACTACCAAGCCCAGCTAATTTTTGTATTTTTTGTGGAGACAGGGTTTCATCATATTGCCCAGGCTGGTCTCGAACTCCTGAGCTCAAGCAACCCACCTGCCTTGGCCTCCCCAAGTGCTGGGAGTATATAGGATTGAGCCACCGCGCCTGAACAAAACCAGGCTGAGTATTAAACTCTGCTGGGTCAGCTTTCCCTGTGTGTATTTGGCAACACAGATGAATTTTAGTGGGATGTTTACAAAAAGAAAAGAATCTGGCCTTGAAAAACATCTTTATACTATTCTCAAGAAAGAACAAATGACTTTCCGGATGACGTTCATTGTCTGTGGTACCTTTCTTCTCCACTTAATCCACGAGTAATTAACAGGCAGATTGTGCACCAGTAACTAGGGCTGGAGCTAGGCAGAAACATGCTTGGATACTCCCACTGTAAAATCACCTTTATGATTTAGGCTTTATCTGCAATTACAATCTATCTCAATCCCGAATGTATTTGTGCTTTAGGATCTGCAGTTGTGCGTTTATTGGTGCTCACATGTCAAACAGAAAACAAAGTTGCAGCGTCTTGGTGGTTTACCCTGGTCTCATGGCACTTCTGGGTGCCAGAAGCTAAATGTGCTGAGTAGGGTGCTCTGTGTGGCTCCATGGATGACACTTTCCCAAAAGGGTGCTGGAGTCTCCTTTGCCCAATGTGAGACTTGGTTTGGCAGCCACACCACATCCTAAATGATAGTCAAAATGGTGTGGACTTGCAGTGGGGAATTCCTCTGTGAGAACAAGCTACCTCTACTCAGGGACTGGATTTGGTTTGGAGTATACTCGCCTGGTTTGCATGGGTCTGGCACAGAGAAGGGTGCACTGGTGTGGTGTCCTTGTACCGTCCTATACCCTAGGATGGGGCTGAGACAGAGGGCAGCTGACAGCCCACAAGCACCTGCTCTAACAGCAAGTATGGCTGTTTGACTCTTTCCTTATAACCGGACTGACCAGTGTGGTAAAGTGTCAGCTTTCTTTGATAAAGTGCTTTTTTGTTTTCTCAATGCCACATTATGAACCGTTCTCAAATACAACTGAAAGACAAATATCACACTGTTGAAGTACTTCCAAATATCAAGCCTATCCTGGAGGAGTTTGTTTAAAGGGTAAAGAAACTGAATTCTGGTGCTGAGCCCAGTCATCAACCAGAGGTCACCAAGCTTGGAAGTAGTTGGGACGACTGTTATACCAGGGTTAGGGGATTTTACAAAAAGACCTGCTTCTTAAAGATTATTCTGATATAAGGCATTCATCGATCTTTTTCACTTTATCACTCAACTAATATGTTGAACTCCCACTATATGTGTAAAGCTCTGTACTAGCCAAGGGAGTGATGACGGTAGATGAAGAAATAAAGAAAAGATATGGCCTTTGTCCTTAAGGATTCCATGTCTGAGAAACTAAGAAACAAAAATAATAAACATGTGAATGTAATAAAGCTAACTGGTCCAGAGCTGTAAGTCCCAAAGAGAGTCTTCCTGAATCCCACATCAAGAGAAAGCTTTACAGGAGAGGTGAAATTAAAGCTGGAAAGGGTAGGTAGTATTGTAACGCAGGAAAAGTGGGCAAAACAACCTTAAGTTCAAGGTATCTGAAAAATCAGGGCTAGAACAGTTCTATGGAGGGAAGCTGTGGGGGACAAGGCTGATAGGTAGGTTGTGAAGCCTCCTGAAAACCAAGGCAAAAAGAATTATTTCTTCCCAATGGCGGTGGAAAGCCATTTGAGGTTAATAAATGTTCAGATTTTACCACCATGGAGAACTCATTGAGTTTCGTTAGATTAATACATAATCTTCAAAGGTAAAAGGAAAACATTACATTCTTAATATAAAAGTTTTAAATTGCTAAAAAAAATAGAGGAGACATGCTTAAAGCATCATAATTCCTTGACATTCAACATACTAAGTGCCAATTTCATCATTACAAAACCAGTTTTCTAATCCTTGCTCTGCCATTGCTTTATTGGTGTTAGGAAGGACAGTATCTCTAGGCCATATGTCCTCAAATGTAAAATAAAAGGCCCAATCAAGATCATTTCTAAAGCTCCTAAATCAATTATTTCAGTTCAAAGTAAACTATTCTCATTCTCCGTTTGGCAGGCTTTCTCCATAACACACTGTTAGAAAATAAAAATTTGTTGTTAGTCCATGTAATGATACTGTAATGTTTTAATAATTTAAATACACAGATGTATTCTATCTGCACTGCAAAGTAGAAATCTGCACACTGGAAAATCTTCATTAAACCCTTTGTTATAAAAAGTATCTCTGGGGAGCACATTGCTTCATTTTTCGGACTACTGGACTGCCTATTAAAAATTTTTATTTTGGCCAGGCATGGTGCCTCTTGCCTGTCATCTCAGCACGTTGGGAGGCTGAGACAGGAGGATCACTTGAGCCTAGGAGTTTAAGAGTAGCCTGGGCAACATAGCAAGACCCCACCTCTATTTTTTAAAAAATTAAAAACAAAATAAAATTATTTATTTTACACTTTTCAACAACACAGATTAAAAATTTTTTAATTTTTTTTTTTTTGAGATGGAGTTTCTACTCTTGTTGCCCAGGCTGGAGAGCAATGCTGCAATCCTGGCACACTGCAACCTCCGCCTCCCAGGTTCAAGATATTCTCCTGCCTCAGCCTCCCAAGTAGCTGGGATCACAGGCATGCGCCAGCACACCCGGCTAATATTGTATTTTTAGTAGAGACTGGGTTTCACCATGTTGGCCAAGCTGGTCTCGAACTCCTGATTTGAGGTGATCCACCCGCCTCGGCCTCCCAAAGTGCTGGGATTACAAGTGTGAGGCACCGCGCCTGGCCCAGATGAAAAATTATTAAAAACTCTAGCAAAATAATTTTTAAAAATGTAACCTTAAATGTATCACAGTGGTAACATTACTAGCCCTTGCATTTTTGTGCTGTACAGGGAGCACCACTAGTAAATTTGTCACTAGTTTTTTTTAAATGCACCCATAAAAGGACAGATTCCTTTTTCCTTCGAATTGGCAATTAAAAAAAAATTAAAGAATTTCTGTAAAAGCAGAAGCAAAGAGCTCGTGAAAACAGAAGTGTTCTAAGTGTAAGTTTTGCAATCATTCCTATTACCATAAAGTACAAGAAACTTTGGTTCGTTTCTGCTCTCCCCCAATTAGCTCTGTGATTGAAAAAAACAAAAAACAACAAAAAAAATTTATCTGGCTTTACTTGTCCTTTGACATACTTATTACAATTGTAGTTATGCTTTCATTTTGTCTGTTCCTTCTCTACTGGTCTGAGATATTTCAGTGTCAGGACTATGTATTCACAGTTCCATACCTGGCATATAAGTTGTTCACTGACTAAAATGCATGTTTTTGTTAATCTGCGAATTGAAGCAGTTGGATTAAATTTTCCATGTCCCTTCTTTGTTTCTGTGATATATATTTACTTTGAATTACCTAAGCCTAGGCAGTTAATTTTTCCCTTAATTTCTAGCCTTTTATTGCTCATTAATCCTCTTTCTAAATAAGGACATGTGTCCTAATTCAATTTGAAAATAAAGTAGTACAAGTAGCTACTGTGGTACTAAGTAAGTTTAGACAGGAAATGCTTCTCTGAGGGAGTGCCATAGAGTTTGCTGTTGAAGCCAATCAACTCCTACCTCTTGAAGTTACGGTTTGCATCTAAAAAATAAATTTAAAAACTACAAAGGCAAGTAAAGGCAAATCAAACTTAAGAACAATTTCTAAATGGAGAATCTGATGCTCTAAGTTTCACAAATGAAGCATAATAAAGTTTTGCTGGTGAACCTACTAAGCCCAGGAACATAATCCAGCTCTCCATGGTTGTCCTTTGTACCAACAGAACTCCAGTAACCTCAGTGAGAAGAGTCATGGCCCTGCAGTTGACTATCCACATTTCTTTAATGTAAGTCAAAGCCCATCACAATGCATCCTGTTACAATGGAAATCTTATTTTTGGAAGTCCACTTAATTATTTTGAGCAACATTATATACAACCCAACAGATACAATTAATTGACAACTTGTTGAAATGTTAGAGTTAAACCACAAAGAGTAACTGAGTAATGTTGACAACCCCAATATTTATTCTCATACTGTGCTCAACATTAGATGATCTATAAAATTCAACTGGCAAAGGGAGATCAAAGAATTGTGCTTCATCTTGAGCTTGAATTGGATGACAAGGAGATTAGGAAATCCTAAGTGGAAAAATATTCAAATCATTGTGCTTTCTATATATTTTTCTTACCACCTATTTCCAGTTATAAACCTTACATCTGTGCCTCTGCATACCATTTAAGTACAATACTAAACATTCTTTAAAATCATTTTCTACTAACTATAAAAGGTACACTCAGATAACTGTAAAATCATTTCCGTTTAGAAGAAAAGCATCAAATATTCAGGGAACTTTATTTTTAAAGAATAAATCAAGTAAGACACAGCTTTCGTTTACCTAAACATGCATAATCCAACCTGAATATAAACTGCACTTAATTGGTGAATTACACATGAAATACAAAGGGAATGCAATTTTACATATGTAAAATGATTGCTAGCTATAGCAATTTAACAGTCAAATTTATCAGAACATTGTACATTAAAAAACACAAACAACAACTTAAAGCCAAATATCTATAGTAAACCAAGGAAAATTCTGATATGGAATGGTTTGACTAAAAGCAAAGAATAAGGCACCTGCTATGAATTTAGCACAACCATAAAACAGAATTAGTTAACCAAGACACTTGTTTCAAAAAGGGAAACAAGTACAGAGACTGATTAACTGGGTGAGAAAGGCAAGTAACAATTTAGTTAAAAACCTGCTGGCCCAAGGTCAGTTGATTCATTCCTTATTCCAGAATAGTTAAGTTCCTGAAAGTCCTTAACCACTCTGCTCCCTTACTGTTCTCCATGTTTGAGGGTATCAGAAGCCCCCTGTGAGGTTCACGCTGTGTATAGACTAGGTAGCAGATTTCCCTTCTGTTCCTCTTAAAACAGCTTATTTTAAAAGAAATATCCTGAGGCAATTAACAAAGCAAACACAAGCAGCTTTCTTTCCAACGCATTAATACATAGACACTGCTCAGGTTTTTTTTCACCAAGTTATGGCTAAGTATACAAATAGCCAATACTTGCAGTTTTCAACAGTACTAGAAAACCCAAAACCTGCCCTATGACCCTCACCCTTACCATTAGTAAAACGTAAATTTGATCAATCATAACCTATAAAGTCATATAACAAAGGGAAGACTAAAGACTGATCATTATCAGTAAATCCATTCAATTCCAGATGCCACTTTAGGCTGATGTGTCTAGTACCCTAATGATTGAAAAATCATTAATCTAGAAAAAGCATTTGCAAACTAAGGATAACTTCGCAGTTGATGTGCCTTTTTTTGCTATTAAAAGTGCTATTTAACATGCTAAAATGTCTTATGGCACATTGGACTCAACAGCATGTTCTGATGAGGCATCCATTTTTAGCAGTATTTTTCCCTAGAATTTTGTTTGGCATAGTAAACCCCTTTGATATATTAAAATAGTTCTGGTGAAATAAATGTAACATAAACAAACCTTCCCTGACTGACTTCACTCCACCACGGTAGCTTTTAGTGAAACCACAGTAACTGATTAAGTCAGAAAACGATCAAGTTTTTTTTTTATGGCATCTTGGGTTACTATACTCACTCATGCAAAATCCAAGGTAGTGTAATGGAAACAATATTGGTAAAATAGATGTTGTGGCTATAAGCATCTCCCTTTATATTAGACATTTAGAAGCTTTTAAAACTTTTTAGATGCTAAAGGTTGTGGCAAAACTAGGCTGTGTAGTTGTTCCATTTATAAGCACCTTATTACAGGACAGTTACATGAACCTATAAGGGAGTGTGCTTTCAGTTCAAAAGAGTAATAAAGTGCCTAGCTATATAAAAACCACAAGACTTCAAATTGTAATTTAAGCTAACTGCAGTTATACATTTGGGTTAACAAAATCTAGACCCTGTCTATGCAGAGTTAGACTAATTGTTCATACTGTTTTAATAACCACATAAAAAAACTTACTCTTAATTGACTGAATAAGTAGGGTCCACTACTGTATCTTAACAATCAAATTTTATTGCTTTATTCATGTGGTGTTTTTTGCAAGGCACTGTGGTATGGACTAGAAAACTTGGAATGACTCATGAAGAAACCTTGGAATGACACATGAAGCATGATAGGAAAGTCATTCTGAGGCAGGATGCTTTACTGAATTGTTTTCAACCAGGGTATCAAACATCAGGAATGAGTTCAAGTTAAAATTCACAGGAGAATGGAAACATCTTAAGGTCAGTCACTTCACATGCCCATCCTGATACTTTGAATAATCTGGAAAATTGCTGTAAAAAGAAAGAGCAAATATTAAAATAAGCTTTGAATAAAATAGGTCTGGTGTCTAACAAATATTTATTAAGGTAGCTGAAGAATCCAAAGGTACTCTTACATTTGCAAATGGTACATAACTTCAGTATAATAAGAAGTGAAGACAGGCCTGTCTGAATAAATAAAACAATGAAATATCCCTGAGTTATTTTTTTATCTTAGCTTCGCTGAACTTTATGTCTAAGTATCCAAGAGAACTTGCAGATAAGTAATCATTTTACAAAGAACTTAAAGCACCAAAGCCAACAGGTTTTTCCAGCATAGAATTATTTTGGTTTATAAGCATCCTTTTAAGGCCTGGCCTGTAACACATGCATGTTTCCTCATTCTCACAAAGCTGAAATTCAATCATCTTCAGGTTATATAAACTGCTTGGCTCTCATCCATTTATCAGGAAAGCTTCCAATTGGTAAGTGAAGAAGAAAGGCAAAGTGAAACGTTAAACAGAAATCTCAGTAATTTTAGAATGTGGAAAACAAACATCTACTTCAATATTAACAGCTTGCATATTAAAATGATAAATGAAGAGAGGAAAGACCTTTTTTTTGTAATCTATTTGCAAAGGCAAGTGTCTGTTACTCTTAGGGGACAGCAGGCTACCCCGACACTTTTTTTTTAAACCATGTATCAAACGTTTCTTTTATTAACCTAAAAACATTTGACTCACACATTAAAATGCCAATCAGGTAATTTCCTCTATAGTGAATCAATTCTTTGCACAAGCTTTATTTTATAAAATATACTCAATTTTGACATTAAGACATTAGATTCTGGTATATGTTAAATCAAGTTCTAACATCTATAGTACATATTTATAATTTTCTTTGCAAAGACTGATAATGGAGTTACAAAACATTCTAAATTCTCATTTCGTTAGGTTTTGTCCGGTCTTAACATTTATTCCAACTGGATCATTACCAAGACCTGACCTCCTTTTTGATCTCCTGTGAGTACAAATTAAGCTGGGAGAAGTTTCTGGAGCACCACCCTCTGTGCATATGTGGAACAAGTAATTTGGTTCAGACGAAACAGAATTATGTGGAGTCCTCGGCAGGTGGGTTGAGAACTACGCAGGTAGGACTCACTACTGACCGGTCACCACGTCATCCCAAATCCTTTCAACCCAAGACTCTACCTGATGGGAGCCCCCAAGCCACTTACCAGAACCACAGACAACAAAAATGAAGAGAGCCAATAACCAGGGTCCTACAGACGCCTTCTCTTCGGGGGCATTTCTCTGCAAAAGCGAAAATCCACCATTTCAGATGCAGAGAAACCACTCGGACCCCAGGCTCCCACGCCTGCACGCCGGTCGCCGGCCCCCTCACCTCACAGGTCTCCCCTTCCGTTCCCGAGCCCCCACAGTCTGGCGGTTCGCAGACTCGGGCCCCTACCCCTCCACGGCACCAGCCCACGGTCGGCCGGATCCGGGAGAAAACGCGACGCGGCCCCAGGGACCCGGACTCAGCTCCGGCTGCGGAACGCAGAGGGGCGCCCGCTCTTTCCTTACCGAGGTCTTGGCGACGTTGCCGCGCTGGGTGATGTTCTTGCTGTGCTTCTCGTTGGCCATACGGATCCTTTGCTTGGCGACCATCTTCGCGGCGCCACCACCTGCCCCGGCCACCCCTCGGACTCGCTCACTCGCCTGCCTCCTCTGGAGCCGCTGCGAGGCTCGGCTCGTGGTGCCCGCGCCGCCGGAGCGCCGAGGTTCTCAGGCCAGACGCTAGCTACGGCCGCTGGGCCTGGGCGCCGCAAGCGCGAGGTCTGAGCACAAGCCGGGCGCCGGCCGCCGACTGACTGACCGAGCGGGGCAGGTGCGCAGGAGGAAGAGAACTGGCCGCCGGGTCGTTCTCGCGCCGCCGTCGCCGCCGCTTTGGCCGCCGCCGTGAGCGCGGAGTGAAAGAGGAAGGAAACGCAACGCAACAACGGGAATGTGCAGCCCGCCGCCTCGATCTACTTTGGGTTCGGCTGCCAACGTCAGCACTAGACGGACTCCGCCCCGCGGAAGTGCGCGCCCCTCCCGCTGGAGAAGGAGGGCGAAAGCAGGCGCACCCTCCCAAGCTCTGTCAAGCGTCGCCCTAGATTTGCGCGTGCGCGTTTGGGCGCCTTTTCCGCGTCACTCCGTAACCGGAAGTGAATTGGCCCCGAGGCTGATGGCTCCGGAAACACCAATTCGCTGTCTCCACGCATGAGGAGACGTGTAGGGGCCGGGTTCGGCCCTGGTGAACTCTCACCCGAGCGGTTTCTCTTTCCGGGACAACATGGCGCCGTCCACGCCGCTCTTGACAGGTGAGTTCTGAAGAAGCGAGGGACTCTCTTTCTTCAGACTAGTTTCTTATTTTTGTCTTTGCCTTTGAGAACTACCCGAGGAGCCGGGGAGTCTGATCTGCCTTTTCTTGTGGCTTGCGGAAAGGCCAGACTGTTGGCTTTCTTGATATAGCGTGGCAATCGGAAGTGAAGTCTCCGCCTCTGGGCTTTCGTATTCCCCCTCCCTTTCACCCATCCATCATTCTTGCCTGCGGATTCATCTTCTACAGAAATAGAAGAAGGGGGAGAAAAACAATGTGCTAGTTGAATTTGTGACACATGGGTCTGCAATACTGGTGTTACACGGGCCCTTGTGAAGTCATTTAGGTCTACAATAAGAACAAAGACAAACATGAGTTAGTCCTCTAGAATGATCACGCACTTTAAATACACCTGGACTTAAGTAATTCCAGATTCTGGCCTTCCTGCCTTAATGAGGTTTGTAGGACTGAATAGGGAGAGTGGAGCTGTAATGCAGGTTTCAAATGATGAAGGTGTGGTTGGGAGAGGGTGTAGCAGTGAGCATGATAGAGATATTCTAGCAACATTTGATTTTGAAATGGTTATGAGCATATTAGAAATAGAACATTAGAGGACTCTTGAAATTTTGAAGCTAAAGACTGTAGTGTTGGAGGAGATAATAAACTTAGATTGGAAAATGCTGGGGAAGTTGCTTTACTAGGGTGTGGCTAAGAGTCTGCATATGAGTATTACGTAAGGAAAAGAGAGTCGGGAAGGAAAAGAAGGTTTTGGTTAAGTTCTGATAACTATATAGAAGGAAAAAGTCATTAAGAGAAAGGTTGTCTGCATTTAAGGAGGGAGGCTATTCCCTCCCTTCCCCCCCGCGAAAGGAACCTTAAAACATTTTTGCACTTTTTGCCAGTCTACATTTCTATTTTTACATTTTAAAATCTTTGTTATTAAGCGCCATGCCCACTGATGCTCAGTCTGTCTTCTGCAGTTTAGTCATCATTTATCAAACGCCGAGTATAATCTTCTAGATAATATACCAGGCAAAGACTGTTTAAAAGGCAAAGTTACATAATAAATTTTTTTTTAGGTTTGTAAAGGTAGCTTGTTATTCACAATTTTTAATACTAAATGCTTATTTGAACTCTAATGAAAAAATTACATTCTAAAATCTGATAAATAACCCCTCCTTTAAAAATGCCTACAGTAGGTAGTTCCTCTCTGCTTACAGGGTAGATTCCATCCTATGTAGCATAGTTATGTAACCATTTATAATCTTTGAATTGCTCTTGAGACTCATTTATTTCCTTGCCATCCCATCTTATTTGGTGCTCCATCAATACTGAACTGCTTCTGAGTCCCTTTGAACAACCTGTTTCTTCAGTCTAGTACTATCCTATGCCTCTTGTTGATTTGGCAAACTCTTTTTCATCTGTTGAAATTAAAATTCATTTTAGATATCATTGCTCTGTGAAGCCTTTCGTCACTCTACCCAGATAGAGTCAGTCACTTCCTGGGCTATTTTTGTACCTGAAATATATTTGAAATTTTATTTCACTTACTAAGTAGGATAATTAGACATTCACTTGCCTTTCTCCCCTGCTAGACTGTGAGTCCTTCAATGTCAGCGACAGGGTCTTATTCATATCTGTCTTCTCAGTACTAGTGCAGTGCCTGGTAGACAATAGATACTCTAAATCAGGGGTCCCCAACCCCCTGGGCCGGACTGGTACTGGGCAAGCATTACCACTTGAGCTTCCCCTCCTGTCAGATCAGTGGGGGCATTAGAGCCTCATAAGAGCGCAAACCCTATTTTGAACTGTGCATACAAGAGATCTAGATTAGATTTGTCTGTTTAGACTATCCTTTTAAATTAATGAAGGATAGCCACTTTATAGTAAATTAACCAAGGATGACAATTGTCTTACAGTGCTTAAAATCAGGGACTTTGTAAGAGCTTAAATGTTGTCTGTTCAGTCTACTCTTCATATTCTCATATTCTTAGAGGCCCAGAGAGATTAAGTGGTCCGATTCACACTGCAAATTGGCAGGATTAGGATTATACTTATTCAGATTGTTCAACTCTGTGGTCCATTTTTCTTTCACTAGAACAAACTGTTTAATCTTTTAAACATTCTCAGTGTACATATTTCATTCAACAATAGATTATTTTACTTCCAAAATCTTTTGTTAAATTTAGACTCGTGGGATTTTAGAGCTGTGAATAATTTGCAGATTAGCCAGTAAATTTTGTTAACCCCAACTCTTAATTGGGAGTGACAAGCCAAAGCAGGTGAAAAAGGGATTTTTTTTTTTAAACTCGTATAACCTAAAAGCCTCAGTACTGCTAGATCCAGATACTCACATGGCTTCAGAAATCTGTTTTTCTTTCTTTCTTTCTTTCTTTTTTTTTTTTTTTGAGATAGTTTCGCTCTTGTTGCCCAGGCTGGAGTGCAATGGCGCGATCTTGGCTCGCTGCAACCTCCACCTCCCAAGTGCAAGCAATTCTTCTGCCTCAGCCTCCTGAGTAGCTGGGATTACAGGCGTGCACCACCACGCCCAGCTAATTTTGTATTTTTAGTAGAGTTGGGGTTTCACCAAGTTGGTCAGGTTGGTCTTGAACGCCTGTCCTCGGGTGAGCCACACGCCTCTGCCTCCCAAAGTGCTGGGATTACAGGTGTGAGCCACCATGCCTGGCCAGAAATCTGTTTTTCTTCATCTGTAGGTTCTTGCTTTCCTCCAGATTAAATTCATCTTTAAACTGACATTCAACCAAATGCCCAGCTCCAAAGGAAAGAACACATTTTTGCCAGTAGTCTCAGCAAAAATCTCAAGGCTAGCTGCCTTTGACTTTGCTTGGCTCACCTTTGTATCAGTCAACTTTTAATCATGTAGTCAGGACTAAATTATCTTCCCACTCCTCGATACTCCTCAAAAGAAAATGAGCGCCTCCTAAAGAAGAGGAGCTGGTTGCTAGGCACATAAAACAGCAATGTCCATTACGTGAAATTCACATTGTCTAATCTGCTTGACCAGTTGAAGTCACAGAGATAATTTATTCAAAATTGAGTGATTTTCCTAAACTAATACATAGTTCAGTGAATGTAAGAGTTGGGAAAAGTATCGTATTTTAAAGATGACTACACCCCTGCCATGGGATCCTTGTTTATTGAAGCCCTGTGTTTTTCTCTCTCTAACTCAGGCCTAGAGCAATAAATAGTATATGAATGTCTAAAAAGGCTAGTAAGCTTGGAAAAGATTATGTAGATGTTTAATGTATTTCACACAGCTACTGTGTGAAACTGGCGTTTATTTGTTGTCTTAAAAGAACTGCTTGCATTCTAGATTTTTCTTTCTGCTAGAACATATTGCCAATCCCATTTGATTGAAGAGGGAAATCACTAAAAACAGGGAATCACACAAACTCAGAATACACTATATTAAGCTAACTACGCATTGTATTTAGTTTCACAGATACTTGTAACTAAAAAGGATTCCTTGTTAGAAAGTTACATGTAGAAAAAAATTGTTTCAGTATTGAGAAGTTTTTTAGTCCCTATTTATTTTTGCTTTTATTAGTTTAAAACAGTTTATGTTCTGTTATGGACCTGATTTTGTGTTTTTTTCTAATAAACTTTGTATCACAGCTTATCAGGAGTAAATTAAACTGTATATGCTTTTATTAAATTTATTTAATAGAAAAACTAATTAAATCTAGCAAGGCATCTTAGAAGTACAAAATGTCAGTTTGGGCCAGGTGGCTTACAGCTGTAATCCCAGCACTTTGGAAGGCTGAGGGAAGCAGATTGGATTGCTTGAGCTGAGGAGTTTAAGACCAGCCTAGGCAATGTAGTGAAACCTCGTCTCTACAAGAAATATAAAACTTAACATGGCTTGGTGGTGGGTGACATGATCATGGTTCACTGTGGCCTTGACTTCCCAAGTCCAGGTGATCCTCCTGCCTCAGCCGTGCGAATAGCTGGGACTACAGGCATGTGCCACCGTGCCCAGCTAATTTTTGTAGAGACAGCATCTCCCTATGTTGCCCAGGCTGGTCTTGAATTCCTGGGCTCAAGCCATCTGCCTGCCTCGGCCTCCCAAAGTACTGGGATTACAGGTGTGAGCCACCACGCCTAGCCTGAGCCCTATTTTGTTTTCCAGCTTCATCATCCTCTAGCCACACAGGCCTTCTTTCCATCCCCTTGACGCTCTGTCGTTTTTCTTTCCATGGGGTTTTTGCACTTGTTAACTGTTCTCCTTGCTTGTTAACTGCCATTGATCCTTTACATCTCAGTATACAAAACACTTAAGGATGCTTTCCCTAACCTTCCATTTTTAGGTTAAAACTCTCTTTTATACCCTCAGTGGTACCATATACCTTTCCTTTGAAGGACTAAACACAGGTATATGATTCCGTATATTTGGCCAATTATTTGATTACTGTTTGCAAAGTTCAATGAGGTCAGAGACAAGGCTGATTTTCTTTCCTATTATTTCGCCAATGTTCAACACAGGGCCTAGGAGGTAGTTTGTTCGTTTTTTTCCCACTAAGCATTTGTTGACTAAATGAATCTATTTATTTGGTTCAGCTTTAGAAGCATTTAATTCAACCATTTAAAAAAGTATAGTCTAGGCTAGGTGCGGTGGCTCACACCTGTAATCTCAGCACTTTGTGAGGCTGAGGAGGGAGGATTGCCTTAGCCCAGGAGTTAGAGATCAGCCTGGGCAACAGTGAGACTCTGTCTCTACAAAAAAAAAAAATAGCCAAGCAGGGTGGCACATGCCTGTAGTCCCAGCTACTTGGGAAACTGAGCCAGGAGCATCACTTAAGTCCAGGAGTTTGAAGTTGCAGTGAGCCTTGATCATGCCACTGTACTCCAGCCTGGGTGACAGCAAGACCCTGTCTCAAAAAAATAAATAAATTTAAACATAGAAATAAGAAGTATAGTCTAGTTCTGTAGATGATTATTTAATCTTGAACTTTGTTTCCACTTAATTTTTTAGGCTATTACTGTCATTGGGGCCTTAATAAATGAATATGTCTCATTCCACTTGTTCTCTTAGTTTGATAAATTGTGAATATATTAATATTGCCTTATATTTCTAAAAACTTTAAACATATACTTTTTTTATTACTTTATATAAAGCATACAGCTATCCTGTGTTCTGATATTTCCATTTTACAGATTAGGTCACAGATTCAGAGGTGGTAACGTATCCAAGGTTCCACAGGCAGTTATAAACTTAGGTCAGGCTCTGAATTCATGTCCTCTTTACCACAAGACAGCTGCCTTTCTTTCAGTGGTGACAAAGTTTCGAGTTTTATTTAAAAAGTTACGTATTTCTCAGCAATTATATGATTTTATGTAACAGAGTAAGAAAATATGCCCTTTTGTTGCTAATATTCTATAGTTCAATGAAATATTTAATGATTTCATTAATATTTTGACTAAAGCTGCTTTTTTAAAAAACACATTTGTGTTAACTGAGTCTTTATTAACAAAGTAATTGTGGTTCTTTTTATTTTACTTCTTTAGTCCGAGGATCAGAAGGACTGTACATGGTGAATGGACCACCACATTTTACAGAAAGCACAGTGTTTCCAAGGTATGATTTATTTTGTTAAGTAATGTTATAGGGAACATACAGTACAATCTAAAATGGTTTTGTTGGTGGTGTATTTTGAACAAGAAAGGAAAAGAACAGATGAACTCATTTTTATTGTATAATATTTACCGAAGATGAAAAGAATACATATTCTCTATCAAGGAAAATGATCTTCAGATCTGAAAATAGTAACTTAAGCCTATTTATAAGGTAGGGGGAACAATACTAAGAAAAAGTGTAGACACTAGTGTAATTGAATACAAGCCTTTATTTTACAAGAGTTGTATCTTAAGGAATGAGAAAAACTTGCAAATTTGATAGCCAAATCATGGCCAGTAATCTTAGTGAAATCATAATGAAAAAGATATTAAAAAGGGAGGACATATATATGCACATAGTATATAGCTAGCTAGATTAATTTTTTTTTCCCCAAAGAAACAATGGACAAGTAAACCAAAAACTAGTTAAAAATGCTTATCTATAGGGGGAGAGAGTTACAGAATGCGGGGGAGAGAGTTACAGGATGCAGGGGACACATCTGTGAAAGAGCTTTGGTATAGTTTTGACTTTGGACCATATAATTGTTTTAAATTTAAAAATTAAATTAAAAGCTGGGCCCGGTGGCTCACGCCTGTAATCCCAGCACTATGGGAGGCCAAGGCAGGCCAGATCACCTGAGGTCAGGAGTTCAAGACCAGCCTGGCCAACATGGCAAAACCCCATCTCGGCTAAAAATACAAAAATTAGCCGGGTGTGGGGGCAGGCGCCTGTAATCCCAGCTACTCTACTCGGGAGGCTGATGCAGCAGAATCGCTTGAAACCCGGAGGTGGAGGTTGCAGTGAGCCAAAATCAGGGCATTGCACTCCAGCCTGGGCAAAAAGATGAGACTCCGTCTCAAAAAAAAAAAAAAAAAAAATTGGGAAACTAAAATAAGTGATTCTAGCTTTATATCAGGTTGGTGGCATAACCATGTGAAGACCTGCAAAATTCTTTTTTTTTGAGACTGAGTTTTGCCCTTGTTGCCCAGGCTAGAGTGCAGTGGTGCAATCTCGGCTTAATGCAACCTCTGCCCCCCAGGTTCAAGCGATTCTCCTGCCTCAGCCTCCCAAGTAGGTGGGATTACAGGTGCCTGCCACCATGCCTGGCTAATTTTTTTGTATTTGTAGTAGTGACAGAGTTTCACCGTGTTGGCCAGGCTAGTCTCAAACTCCTGACCTCAGGTGATCCACCTGTCTCATCCTCCCAAAGTGCTGGGATTACAGACGTGAGCCACCATGCCTGGCCTAATAGTTTTCTTTTTAACTGAAAGTTGATATTGTCATTTGAATCTACTATAGGATAGAGTAAATTAATTGTATTAATGTTGTTAGGCACCAAGATTTTTCAGCATTAGAGTGAAAAGATAGACTTGCCTATATCAGTATGAACTCATGATTTCCTTTCATAAAACATTTGCATTTCCTAGTTCTGGCCAATGAAAAGGCCTGGAAGCAGTGATAACACAGTAGCAGTGAATACCCCATCCTCACAGATTGTGATCTCTAAATACAATTCTTCACTAAAAGGAACCACTTCCTTGGAGAAGTGGTCAACTCTAGGTCTGGGACAGAAAATGTACAAGTTGAGGTAGCAACTTTTGTGCCAGAAAGCAAAGCTATAAAAGACTAATGAGATTTTGTTAAAGGGTCGTAGGAAGCAACTTGAAGAGATTCACACCAACCTAAGATGGGAACATTAAGAATTATGAATAGAAAGATAAAGCATGTCAAGTATATAAATGCTCCCCCGAAAAATCCCCCCTCCGTTTAAACCTAACTGGTCAGCATTGGTGGTTGATGGAGTCCTCACTCATTACTTTGAAAATTGATAAATAAAGGGAAGGAGTCAAGCATTTATCTTGCCTTTCTTATACAAACTGTTTCTCAGAGTAACCAAGTGGTTGATGAGAAAAAGAATTTTATAGACGAATTCCAGTTAATAAATGGAGAATGGATGCTGGATCAGACAATTACCATTTTGTAATCCTCAAGAAATGGATCTAGGCCACTGGTTCTCAAACTTTACCAAGCATCAGAATCATCTGAAAAGCTCGTTAAAATCCAGATTGCAGCTCTCTTTCCAAATGTTCGGATTCATTAGATCAGCGGTAGGGCCCAATAATTTGCATTTTTAACAAATTCCCCAGTGATACTGATGCTGCAAATCTGGGGACCCCCCTTTAAGAACCACTGATCTAGGCAGATGATCATCAAAAGATGCTGAAACCTTTAGCTGAACTGTTTGATGACTGTTAATGGGGAACTTTATAATCAGGCTGTTGTCATCTGACTCTACTGACCAATTTTTATTAGGCCCAGTTCTCTAGAACCTTGCTACAGGAAGCATGGGCCCAACCAAGACCAACTATATTGGCATCACTCCTGAGCCAGTACAGAAATGCATCTCAGGCCCTACCCAACTTACTGAATCAGAATCTGTATTTTAGCTAGATCTTCAGATGATTTATATGCACTTTTTTTTTTCCAGAGTCTTGCTCTGCTGCCCAGGCTAGAATGGAGTGGTGTAATCATGGCCCACTGTAGCCTCAATCTCCCAGGCTCAAACAATACTCCTGCCTCAGTATCCCAAGTAGCTGGGACTATAGGCGCATGCCACCATGCCTGGCTAATTTTTGTATGTTTTGTAGAGATGGGGGTCTCACTATGTTGCCCAGGCTGCTCTCCAACTCCTGGGCTCAAGAGATCCAACCGCCTTGGCCTCCCAAAGTGCTGGGATTACAGGCCTCAGCCACCATGCCTGGCCTGTATGCACATTATTTATTTATTTACTTATTTATTTATTTTTTTTGAGATGGAGTTTCACTCTTGTTGCCCAGGCTGGAGTGCAATGGTACAATCTCGGCTCACTGCAACCTCTGCTTCCTGGGTTCAAGCGATTCTCCTGCCTCAGCCTCCCAAGTAGCTGGGATTATAGGCACCTGCTACCACACCTGGCTAAATTTTTTTATTTTTAGTAGAGACGTGGTTTCACCATGTTGGCCAGGCTGGTCTCGAACTTCTGACCTCAGGTGATTCACCCTCCTTGGCCTCCCAAAGTGCTGGGATTACAGGTGTGAGCCACCACACCCGGCCATGTATGCACATTAATGTTTGAGAAGCACTACTCTAGAAAACCCAGTCTGGCTGGGCGCGGTGGCTCATGCCTGTAATCCCAGCGCTTTGGGAGGCCAAGGTGGGTGGATCACTTGAGCCCAGGAGTTCAGGATGAGCCTGGGCAGTATGGCAAAACCCCATATCTATTTAAAAAACAAAAAACAAAAAAAAAACTATGGCAAAGTTATGTGCTACACTTCATTAGGGTATGCAGTCCCAAGGCTGCAGGAGTAGGGGAGAAAGGGAAATGAGACAGGGAAGGAGTTAAAGCAAGTATGATGGGATATACTGAGGTGACCACAAATCCACAAAATATAGCCAACTTGCTTGGTCATGTGTGCAAAATTTTTGTCTCCAGAAAGGCTGTATGGAACATTTGTACTTCAGAACAGTCTGTTGTGTGGAGACAGGGTAAGAAGTTTACTACAGCCTCTTAGCCTGTTTGGGTTGAATCTGAGTGCCAGAGCTCCTCCATGTGCTGCCGCAGTGCATGGTGGAAGCCATGTGGAAGTATGGCCCTTAACTCTGCAGATTCAAAGACAACCAGTGGCGTTAGGAGATGAGGTCTCTTCATTGAATAGTTGAGGCGTGGCAGCAGGAAGAGTTAGGTAGATACAAGGAGGCACATGACTGAATCCAGTACAATCTCAGTATCACTAAGAGTAGAACAGAGAGATATTTATGTGTCTCCTGGTGAGTTATTATACAGTAGGAACTGTGCTGTACATATCTTCTACGAAAGTTAAAAAAACTTCAAACTCAGAATTTAGTCAGTCTTTTACATGAGTAGTTCTCAAATGTGGCTGCACAATAGAATGACCTGGGGAGCTGTTAAAAAACCCAGATATCCAATCCAAGTATTGGGTATTAAATGATATTAAGAAGTTAATTTTGTGAGATGAAGTGGCATGGTGGTGATTATGTTTTTAAAAAAATATACTCACTGGTTAGAGATGCATAATCAAGTATAGAGCAATATGATAATGACATCTAGTTTTTGCGTTGGAATGTTGTGGCATGAAAGATAAAAGTGGGGAATAGATAAAATTGGCTCTGAGTTAATAGTTACTTAAGCTTGATGATGAGTGCATAGGTGGATTATCATACTTTTTCTCTATTTTTTGTGTATGTTTGAAATTTTTCATTCAAAAAATTATACCAGAAGGAAAGAGGCAAAATTTCCCAATTGCCAAGACCAAGAAAATAATCGAATTCTGGATTCTGTAGTTTAGTAAGTTTATAATCATTGCGATAAGGGGGTGTTTATTAAGTCAAAATGAGCTTCCTAAGAACAAATTGTTTCAAGCTTATCTCGTTTCCTTTCTGGGTAGAATTTCCAGACAGAATAATAGAATACACATTAGAATAATAGAACTGTAAACATAATTTTGGCAAAATATCTGAGAAATGAGAAAGTCTTTGGGTTGCATGATGATGACAGAATTGTCATTGGTTAAGGTCAGTAAAGTCAGCTGATTAATGAGTTAGTTTTAATTTGAGGGAAGGACTGTTGGTGAGCCACAGGATCTTGTTCAGAGCTCACTGAACAGTCTTATAAATAATTTAGATGATAGCCTAGTAACAGTTTTATAATTTATATATTACATACTTCCGTATGTAATGTAAGGACTGACTAATGTTTTAAAAGAGAAAATCAAGATTTAAGTAGGCCTCAGTAGGCTGAAATGATAGGCCAAAACCTGGGTGGAATTTAATAAAGATAATTGTAAAATTCTGCCGTAAGGTTCAGAAATGAGTTGCATAAGTGTAGGGTAGTATAGGATGGGGAACATCTTGATCATAGCTGTTTATGTGGGAAAGATTTTTTTTATTTTTATTTTTTTGTGTGGTGGAGTCTCACTCTTTCGCCCAGGCTGGACAGTGGCGCAGGGGTTCACTGCAACCTCTGCCTCCTGGATTGAAGCAATTCTCCTGTCTCAGCGTCCTGAGTAGCTGGGACTACAGGCGCCACCACCACACCTGGCTAATTTTTGAATTTTTATTAGAGACAGGGTTTCGCCATGTTGCCCAGCTGGTCTCGAACTCCCAACCTCAGGTGATCCGCCTGCCTCGGCCTCCCAAACTGCTGGGATTACAGGTGTGAGCCATTGCACCATGAGAAAGAGATTTTAAAAATGTTTTATTATCTATAAACTGAGTGTAAGCTGTCATTATTGTGTGATTGCAGAAGCACAAATGTCATCTTCATTTGTGCAGATGAATTAATGCAAAGATAGTGTAAGGGATGTATCAGTCAGTTCTCAATGCTTTTGTTGTTATTTAGCAATTCAAATTATTTTTTAGCCAGGAAGTTCTCATCTCATGTTGTGACTACACTAATGTACATCTACATGTGCACAGATACAAGTTTCTATTTGGGTATTCATTATCACTGGGTGATGTATTCATAGTAAACATCTTCACTTCGGAGATACAGTACTTAGAGTTTTGAATACTTGATAGAATATTCCCAAGTAGTTAGGTGAAGAGCCTCTTATTTTTGTTATACTTTCTATCTCTACACATGAGAAATTGATGGAAGGCCTACCACACAAACTTATTCACCCAAAAGGGCTCTATTTTTTTCTTAAAATCCATCTGTTAGTATGAAATCATTTTCCAGCTTACTTTACAGTGATAGCATTGCATTTTAAAGTATTTTGGCAGATGAAAGCATTTTGGAATTTTCTGAAATTTGTGCAAGTTCTTAGTTATTAAATTGATAGTGAAATGGTTGACTTTATAATCAGATTTTTTTGAAAAGTATTAATGCTTATTCATTTAAACCTTTTTTTTTTGTCATTTTCAGGGAATCTGGGAAGAATTGCAAAGTCTGTATCTTTAGTAAGGATGGGACCTTGTTTGCCTGGGGCAATGGAGAAAAGTTAGTGTTCATTTACATAACATATTTTGTGTGTCACGAATATAAACACAACTGGCATTATTTGAATAACAGATATTTGAGTGTCATTAATAAAATCCGTCTTTTAATGTCATGATGTAGTGAGATATTACCTCTCGTTACACAAAATACCTTCAAAGTTGTTCATTTCTATGTATATGCCATGACTTGTTTATCTAGTTACTTAGAATTAAAAATTAATATATGAAAAATATAATTTAATGCTAAAGAAGTTGAGTTGTTTTAAACAGTGCTCTAAGTTATTGGTTGGAGTTTCCTAAATCTGCAGTAACACTGAGAAAATAATTCTCTTTACTCATTTAATCCTAGATGTAGATACTTTTTTACCTTTGCTGTTAAATTACTAACAACTGCCTGCAGTTATTATTATTAGTCTTATGTATATAAAAGTGTATGTTATTCAAAAGAACGTTTAGTATAATATATGTTACATAAAATACCAGTTTACAAAATTGGTCTTGCACAAAAAATTATGTTGATTAAATGCTTATATTTTATTAAGAAAACCAGTCCTTTTTAATTTTTCAAGAGTTACTACAACATTTTATTTCATAGACCATGCAAATGCCCAAATATTTGTTGCTTGGCTTAAAGTTATCTACATTGTTCTAAACCACATATAATACTGTTAGGTTTTTCAAAGGGGAGAAACTGCATGCATTAGTTTGAAAAGTAAATTTTAAACATTGTTCTTTACAATGGTAATGTATTCAGAAGTGTTTAAACTACCCATTAATACTTGCTTTTTAAAAATTGACTACTAAAGAGAACATGTTGAATTAGTTGATTCACCTTTTATGACTATAAGTAGCTGGCAGAATTAGCTTTTATAATTAAAAAAAATTGGTCTTTTATTCTTTTTCTTTTTTCAATTTTAATAGAGACAGGGTCTTGTTATGTTGATCAGGTTAGGCTCAAACTCCTGGCCCCAAGCAGTCCTCCTGCCTCGGCCTCCCGAAGTGTTGTGATTATAGGTGTTAGCCACTATGCCCAGCCCTTTTTTTTTTTTTTTTTTTTGAGACAGGGTCTCACTCTGTCACCCAGAGTGGCGTGATCTCAGCTCACAGCAACCTCCGCCTCCCAGGTTCAAGCGATTCGCCTGCCTCAGCCTCCCCAGTAGCTGAGACTACAGGCAGACAACACCACATCTGGTTAATTTTTGTATTTTTAGTAGAGATGGTGTTTCACCATGTTGGTCAGGCTGGTCTCTAACTCCTGACCTCAAGTGATCCACCCGCTTTATTCAGCCTCCCAAAGTGCTAGGATTACAGGCATGAGCCACCTCACCCAGCCTGAATCTACTACTCTCAAATCATTAATAATATAATTATAATGAGTCTTATCTACAATGTTAACAGTTTTAATCTCAGCCTCAAAAAGTAGGATGTGATCTCAAAATTTCTTACTCTTTTTTTGTGTAACCTATTGTGGGTACTTAAATTTTATTTTTTAATCCATATTTTAGTTTGTAGTATTTGAGTAATGAATCAATAGAAATTTACTACCTAATGGGCTATACTATACTTCTTTTCATTGTCTTTTTTTGTTTGTTTGTTTTTGAAGTATTCCTTGTTCTTCTAGCTTAGAGTTTGTTGAATAAGTCTGTTTTTACCTTGGCAGTTATTGTTAATAGTTCACTCATATCCACACTTAACCTTCTATGGGATTCAACTCTGAATCTTTTTAGTATGTCCCCATATGTCATGTCCATGATTTTAATAGATATCTTCTATATTAAGTTCTAGCATTTATTTCATTAAAGTGCTGTGACCACAATGGTACTTATTGTTCTGGGGCAAGAGAACTAGATTTCATGTATTGATTGTGGTCTTTGTTCAGTTTCTGGTTAACTAAGTCAGAAACCGTTACTGATTCTTCCTTAAATATGTTTTTTCTTAATTAAAATAAACATCCTTCATTAAACTAAGAATAACTCTTAAAGACCATCAATTCTGAGTAGGCTCCAGTTGCAAAGCAAAGAAAAAAATAAAGGTTAACAACAGCAACAAGAAGAAAACAAGAAAGCGTCTTGTAATTCTAAAATAGGTTATTTGCAGCAAGTTGTAAAGATTTCCATGTTAGGTGTGTGTGTTTAAATACTATGTGGTAATTTTTCATTCTTTTCAGTGACTGCTTATCTTAACCTCAGTTATCTTCCTCAAACCTGAGTAGAACAAAGTTACTTACAGCAACTTCTGGAATAAGATGGAGAGTCTTTTTTTTTTTTTTTTTTTTGTTAAACACCCCAGAGTGTTTAGTACATAACAGTAAGT
This sequence comes from Homo sapiens, assembly GCF_000001405.40. Taxonomy (NCBI): domain Eukaryota; kingdom Metazoa; phylum Chordata; class Mammalia; order Primates; family Hominidae; genus Homo; species Homo sapiens. The sequence goes on from NC_000003.12 coordinate 150,560,775, forward strand.
CAGGCCAAACTGATTTCAAAGCTTGGCTGTGGCATTTATCAATAGTATGATCTTGAGCAAATCGTCAAATCATTTTATTTTTCTAAGCCTAAATTTCAGCACTTGTAAAACAGAAATGATGACATTTGTAAGATTGTTGTAAGGATTAAATGAGAAAATGTACATAAAGTGGTTAGGTACATAGAAAACATCCCAAAATGGAACTGCTTTTATCATACAATTATTGTCATTTTTGTCATTGTACCATAATAATTCTTAGAATCATATCTTTTAGAGATTGCTCTTGAGATTGTAGTAGACATCAAATGTCTCCTTACTGATTTCCCTAGCTGCTATAGCTTCTATTTATTTAAAAAAAATTTTTTTTTTAATTGAGATGGGATCTTGCTATGTTGCCCGGGCTGGTTTTGAACTCCTGGGCTCAAGCAGTCCTCCCACCTCAGCCTCCCAACATGCTGGGATTACAGGTGTGAGCCACTGCACCTGGCCCATTTATTCAAATTTAAAAGTATACTTTTGCGGGCCGGACACGGTGGCTCATACCTGTAATCCCAGCACTTTGGAAGGCCAGGGTGGGTGGATCACCTGAGGTCAGGAGTTCAAGGCCAGCCTGGCCAACATGGTGAAACCCCGTCTCTACCAAAAATACAAAAATTAGCCAGGCGTGGTGGCATGCGCCTGTAGTCCCAGCTACTCGGGAGGCTTAGGCAGGAGAATCACTTAAACCCAGGAGGTGGAGGTTGCTGTGAGCCAAGACTGTGCCACTACACTCCAGCCTGGGTGACAGAGTGAGACTCCATCTCAAATAAAAAATAAAACAAAAGTATACTTTTGCCATTTTCTCTAGCACCTCTGCCTTTCCTTTGGTTTGATAGACCTCAGCTTCTCTATAGATTAGTTTTGTGTTCACTTAAAGGCATTTTTTTCCTTTTCAGCTGAAGGTGGAATCATCCATGTGTCTTCTATTTTATATCATTTCCCAGCACTAGCCTTATATAGGAGCCTTTTGGTAAAATATACATTTTTTTTTTTTTGAGATGGAGTCTCACTCTGTCACCCAGCCTGGAGTGCAGTGGCACGATCTCAGCCCACTGCAGCCTCTGCCTCCCGAGTAGCTGGGATTACAGGTGCCCACTGCCACGCCCGGCTAATTTTTGTAGTGTTAGTAGAGACAGAGGTTCTCCATGTTGGCCAGGCTGGTCTCGAACTCCCGACCTCAGGTGATCCACCCACCTCGACCTCCCAAAGTGCTGGGATTACAGGTGTGAGCGACTGCACCTGGCCCTTTTTTTTTGAAGTTAAGGTATTTCCCGCATATTTTCTAGAACCAACTTAAAGTTGATTTTTATGAAAAATGAACATTTTGGGCTGGGCATGGTGGCTCACGCCTGTAATCCCAGCACTTTGGGAGGCCAAGGCGGGCGGATCACGAGGTCAGGAGATCAAGACCATCCTGGCTAACACGGTGAAACCCCATCTCTACTAAAAATACAAAAAATTAGCCGGGCGTGGTGGCGGGCACCTGTAGTCCCAGCTACTTGGGAGGCTGAGGCAGGAGAATGGCATGAACCGGGGAGGTGGAGCTTGCAGTGAGCCGAGATTGCGCCACTGCACTCCAACCTGGGAGACAGCGAGACTCCATCTCAAAAAAAAAAAAAGTCAACATTTTGGAGTGATCTGTATTTGAAAAGAGGTATGAATGTTTTGGTTAGTGTTGACTACTATAAAACAGTATTTCATTGCTGAAATAATTTCTTTTGAAACCAGAGTAAATATTATCAGTGTCACTAACAAGGGACTACTGCACTCCTTCGACCTCCTGAAGGCAGTTTGCCTTGAATTCTCACCCAAAAATACTGTCCTGGCAACGTGGCAGCCTTACACTAGTAAGTATTTTCTCAGTGTAAAAATACTCTGACACGATCAATTACGTTTAGTGGGGGGGAAAAAGTTATAAAGTTTATAACCTCATAAGAAAGTAATTAGTCTTTATGATAGTAAATAGTGTTTGTGAATATTTATGATCTACAGTGAATCTTGTACTCTCCAAATAAACAATGTATTGAAAGTAATTTCAAGGTATATGGTAAGTTAATGTAAAGAGCCATTATGAGCTAAAGGAAAAGAAAAAGCTCAAGGGAAAATTCAGGAAGTAAATAACTGCTGGATAGAGATTTCTGAAGATTAAGAATAATAATGACTTTTAAAATCAAGACTTTTAAATAATTATTATGTGAAAGGAAGTACAGTAGACAAAACATCTAAGGGATGTGTATGGTAGAGTCGAAAATGTTGTGCCATTTTCCAAAATATTTAAAGAGATACTTAATGATAATACATTATATGAACATTTCATATAACTGTGTTTCATGTAATAAAATAGTTATAGGGGCTTATTTTAAGAAACATTTTCTAATAATGTTGATATTTTTGAATAAGTAAATGATAATAGGTCATTATTGGCTTACAAACCTCCTGAGTTTTTGTTCTTTCAAGAGGTATGAACTCTCATGAATCTAATTTTTCCAAGTAAATGAAAGAGATACTGAGAATCAGTTGAGAATCATGAGTGGGTTATGTAACCTTTCATTTATTTATTTATTTATTTTGGTAACACAGAGGCAAGCTTTCATGATTTAACCCATTTGATAGTAATCCATATCAAACTTAATAAATAAGAAAAATAATCCCTTTACAAATGTTACAAGGCAATTACTGAAAAAAAGAAATTTTATTGCAGCTTCTAAAGATGGCACAGCTGGGATACCCAACCTACAACTTTATGATGTGAAAACTGGGACATGTTTGAAATCTTTCATCCAGAAAAAAATGCAAAATTGGTAAATAAATGGCTTAAAATACTAATTTTTTACATAGTATTTTTAATGTCATCACTGTATAATATTTGTTTTCCTGATATTGATTTAAAAAATAACTTATCAGACAAAAATCTACATTTTTAAGGATTTTGTATGTAGGAATGTAATAGAGCAAAAACTTGATCCTTCTTTCCTTTAGTATTAAGTGGAAAGGAACAATGTTTTCTTTTTTTTGTTTGTTTGAGAGGGAGTCTCGCTCTGTCACCCAGGCTGGAGTGCAATGGCCTGATCTTGGCTCACGGCAACCTCTGCCTTCTAGGTTCAAGCAATTTCACCTGCCTCAGCCTCCCAAGTAGCTGGGACTACAGGCACGTGCCACCATGCCTGGCTAATTTTTGTATTTTTAGTAGAGATGGGGTTTCACCATGTTGGCCAGGCTGGTCTTGAACTCCTGACCTCAGGTGATCCACCTGCCTTGGCCTCCCAAAGTGCTGGGATTGCAGGTGTGAGCCACCGCACCTGGCCTTTTCTATTAACATATATTGACTAAAACTATTAGTAACTGACTTAATATCATATTTATAAGTGTTTATAAGTGTTTTTCCTTAAATGGTAACCAATATCATAAATTACTTTAACATGTTAATGTGATGTTACATTCTGTCTGAATATTTTTTATACTTTTTTTTTTTTTCATTGACATAGGTGTCCATCCTGGTCAGAAGATGAAACTCTTTGTGCCCGCAATGTTAACAATGAAGTTCACTTCTTTGAAAACAACAATTTTAGTATGGAAAGATTTATGACATAATTTTATTACTTACTGTAATCGTATACAGTTTCCATTAACTTTTATGACATCATAGGGTTTTCCTAAATACTGTTAATCTATTAATCAATAATTACTCTTACATACATTTGCATAATTCTTTATAAGTCTGAATTCAGTGAAAATCTGTAACACAAAGGTTTTCTTTTACAATAACTTTTTATTATCTGGTAATTGCTATTAAGACATTTGAATATCTTTTCCTGAATTTAATTGCTATTGAAATTCTGTGACACAAATTTTTTAGATATTTTATCGTGTAGAATTTTAAACTTCAGACACCTAGTTCTAGTAACCATCAGCTTGTGGCCAATCTTATCTCATCCATACATCTCTCCAGCTACCATCTCTTACTAAGTGAAAGCAAATCCCAGATATGGTTATACTTTTATATACTTGTTAAATATGTAATTGTAAATATTTCAGAGTAGATTTCTGAAGATTGGGGCCTTTCATTTTTTAAACTTAGCCACAAAACCATTATCACAAATTATTAAATATGTGTTCAAATTTCTACTAATTGCAAATGTTACAATTTTTTTTAAAACTCGGGATCCAAATAAGGTACTGCACATTGTGGTTGATTGATATATCTTTTATGTTTCTTTTGGTCCTATAAGTTCCCACTCTATCTGTTATTTTATTCTTCATAATTTATTGTTTAAGAAACAAGGTTATTTGTCTTTCACGTTTTCCCATAGTTTGAATTTTGCTTTTGTATCCCATGGTATAATTTAACATGTTCATCTGTCCCCTATAAATTGCAAGTTGGCTCTAGAGTTTCAGCTTCAGGTTCTTTTTTAGGTGAGTAAGGGTAAGACTACATTATAAGGTGATGTTCACTTCTTTTATCAAGAAGCACATAATGTCTGGTTGTCTTTAATTTTGTAGGCTTAGCTGACATTAATGTTTCATGCCTGGATGCATTATTTCATCAGTGGTTGCAAATTGTTGATACTCTGGTTTTTTCTCCCTCACTTATTTTTCAGCTGTACTGCTTCTATAAAGAAAAATTTCCCCTTCTACTATTTGGTTACCTAGTGCTGCATTTATATAGAAAAGGCGGGATAAATATTCTTGCTCTTATCAGTTTTAATATAATGTATTCCACCTCTAGCAACCTTCATTGTAACCAATTAGCTTTTTCCCCATTCTTGTTTTTCGAGAGTGGGCCTCATTCTTTTGTCCAAGCTGAGTGCAATCATGGCTCACTGCAATCTCGACTTCCTGGGCTCAAGCAATTCTCCTGCCTCAGCCTCCCAAGTAGCTGGGACTACAGGCTTGCACCACCATGCCCGGCTAATTTTTGATTATTTGTAGAGACAGGATCTCATTATGTTGCCCAGGCTGTTTTTTAGTTCCATTCTTTTTTTTTTTTTTTTTTTTTTTTGAGATGGAGTTTCGCTGTTGTTGCCCGGGCTGGAGTGCAATGGTGCGATCTCGGCTTACCGCAACCTCTGCCTCCCAGGTTCAAGCGATTCTCCTGCCTCAGCCTCCTGAGTAGCTGAGATTACAGGCATGTGCCAACATGCCCGGCCAATTTTGTATTTTTAGTAGAGATGGGGTTTCGCCATGTTGGTCAGGCTGGTCTCGAGCTCCCGACCTCAGGTGATCCACCTGCCTCACCCTCCCAAAGTGCTGGCATTACAGGCGTGAGCCACCACGCCTGGCCTTTTTAGTCCCATTCTTAATGAGCTGTGGATTTAAAAGGTATGTGTTTCAGTCCATTGTAGTTATTTTTCTTATTGATGCTCAAATTGTCTCATCTTTGATCAATTAATCCTTAGTGACTTCTTTGCTATATGGTAAGACAAGTCATTCTAGGATTAATTTGTACATTTCTAACCATTACACCTAGAACTGGCTAATTTTTCAGGAAACCCTGTCGCCTTTTTGGTGTGCTACTTTTGAATAGCTATTGATCTCTGAAATTGAACAAAGAAAAAGTATTAGCTCTTGATCTCATTGAAGGAAACATTAAAAGGTAATAGGGTTTCTTGAAAAATTGGCTGAGTCTAGCAAAAAAAAAGGTATTTAGGTTCTAGAGATTCTTATTTGCTGTTGCATTGATCATTGTTTCTAGGCCTTTTTTTTCTATTTAAAAGATGTAACAATCATAATTTTATTTAAATTAAAGTTTTATACGTATAGTTTTATTTAAATTGAAGACTACAAGGTTTTTATTTAACTTCTATCTTATTTGTATTGCCTTCTGTCACCACCAAGAATCTTGTTACTCTGGAATACCAGGGATGATAATTTGAGAATATCACATTCACATAAGTATTCATTTGGTTTGTTCCACATTATCCACAAGGTATTCTTACAATCTTAATACCAAAAAGTAACACTGTTACTGAAAATAATTTTTTAAAAAGGGTTTGCAGTTCTTTTGTCTTTAGAGCATCCCATTACTGATTGTACAGTTTTGAGTATATCATAGTTAGAATAGGAATTGGTAACTTTGTTCACACGTACCAAAGATGGCATGTAGGCTGATTTTGAGCAGCATCCAATCAGTATAGTTATGCATTTTATTTTCCTGTGTTTGAGGCGCACTGTCACCTCACTGTTTCTGGGTTAGCTTGCTTTCTTGTCTTATTCTCCTCTTTGTGAGCATGTCAAATGAAGAGGGATCACCACTTTGACAGTTTGGTGTGCTGCTTTTGAAAAGCCATTGATCTCTGAAATTGAACAAAGAAAGTATATTAGCTCTTGATCTAATTAACTAGAGTGGCAGTTTTATTAATAATAGCATGGCTCAGACTGCCTGGAATAGAGTAAGCTCTTAATATCAGCCATTGTTACTGTGGTTGTGATCATCATTATCATGCATCTGTTTATCACATTAAGTTACAGAATTTCCATATCCACATTCTGCAGTAGCAGGCCAAGGTTGATCTTTTCCTTCTAATAGGCTCTAAGACCACTTTATTTCAGCGATTGAAGAGAGGATAACTGACATTTATCAAATACCTACCATGTGCCTGGCACTCTTCTCTTAAAACCAATTACTGAGAGTTGGGTGGTATAATCCCATTACTTGCCTAAGCTCACACTGCAAGTAAATGACTGAGTAGAAATTGAAGCCTACATTTGTCTTGCTCCTACCCCATGCTTTTTCCACTGTGTTACTGTATCTCACCAGGAGGAGACTACAGTGAGTAGTATTGGTGTGTAGTTATAGTGATCTTTGATAATGTATTCAGAGTTTAACATGTTCCTTTTAGGTTCTCTCATCAATCTGATTTAATTTACTCTTTTTTTTAGACACAATTGCAAATAAATTGCATTTGCAAAAAATTAATGATTTTGTATTATCACCTGGACCCCAACCATACAAGGTAATTGCTGTTTTTGTTTATGTGTAATATTATGTGTTTAAACCTTTTCCTAGTTTTTTGTGATTGTAAAAACATGTCCATCTCAGTTTTTATTCTTCAAAAAATTAAGTAATGATTTATGTCTATGTATCTTAGGTGGCTGTCTATGTTCCAGGAAGTAAAGGTGCACCTTCATTTGTTAGATTATATCAGTACCCCAACTTTGCTGGACCTCATGCAGCTTTAGCTAATAAAAGTTTCTTTAAGGCAGATAAAGTTACAATGCTGTGGAATAAAAAAGGTATGTTAAGTATATTTTATCCCTCCCTTTGTTTATCAGTTGTTAATTTAGGCTATATTCCTATGTGTATAACAGAAGAATCAATGCCCATTTGTGTTTTAAATCTAATTAAAGTTTTTACTGTTATAGCTACTGCTGTGTTGGTAATAGCTAGCACAGATGTTGACAAGACAGGAGCTTCCTACTATGGAGAACAAACTCTACACTACATTGCAACAAATGGAGAAAGTGCTGTAGTGCAATTACGTGAGTATTCCAGCAGTCTTCCTTTGATTAGAAACAATGATAGTAAAAAATACTATGCCATAAAGATGATATAATCTAAATTCTTGATCAAAAGATAGAATTCATATGCCTTAATAACCTTTAAGATAAAATTTTTCTTAATTAAGAAACTTAAAAATCATCCTCCAACATACCTTATTTTGGCAGAATACAATTAGTTATTTGAGTTACGCCATCGTTTTAGAAGTGAACTTCCTGAGTAAGGTAATTCCATTGTAGTAGCTCTTTTGGAACTTACTTAGCTAATTATGACGGCAAATTGCTTAATACTGTCTTTAGAATTGTTAGTAATATGCAAGAGGCCAGGCATGGTGGCTCGTGCCAGTAATTCCAACACATTTTGGGAGTCTGAGATGGGAGGATCATTTGAACTCAGGAGTTCAAGACCAGCCTGATCAACATAGTGAGACCCTACCTCTACAAAAAATAGAAAAAGTTAGCCAGGCATGGTGGCGTATGCCTGTAGTCCCAGCTCCTCAGGAGACTGAGGCAGGAGGATCACTTGAGCCCAGAAGTTCAAGGCTGCAGTGAGCTATGATCATGTCACTGTACTTCAGCCTGGGTGAAAGAGCGAGACCCTGTCTCAAAATAATAATATCCAAGAATGTTACCACTTCATCTGTTGTTTTAATGAACTAAAACTTTAAAATAATAGTTTTAAAATACTGATAGCGTCCTAATTTTCTCATTTTGAATTGAACATGTGTAAGTAGGGTAATCTATGTTTTAAAAAAACTATTTCCATTGAAGTCAGAGAAAAAACAAGGATGGCTCCCCTTTTCACTTTATTTTAATAACATTCTGAAATACCTAGTCACTATAATCAGCAGAAGTAAAATATATACAGTTTTGAAAGAAAACAAAATCATCTCTGCTCATGTAGATGAAGTCACACTATAACAGCTACTTTAAAAAAATGAAAGATTCCATATATAGCAAAAATAATAAGAACAAATATATAGGGCCAATGAGAAGAAAACTTTAAAACTCTTCAGAGAGACAAACTATGACCTTTACTAAGAAGAATTATTTTTATAAAGATGTCATTTCTCTCTTGTCAGTCTAAAACTAAATTTAAATGCTAACTGATTTTTTTTTTTTAACTAAATAAACTGGCTGTAAGGTTGGTGTTGAAAAATGAACACACAAGAATATTTTGGAAACTTGTGTAAAAGAAGAGCAGGGCAGGGGAAGTTATCTGGAGTTCTGACACTACCAGATATTAAAATGTACCCAGCACTTTGGGAGGTTGAGGCGGGCAGATCATGAGGTCAGGAGATCAAGACCATCCTGGCTAACATGGTGAAACCCCATCTTTACTAAAAATACAAAAATTAGTTGGGTGTGGTGGTACATGCCTGTAATCCTAGCTACTCGGGAGGCTGAGGCATGAGAATTGCTTGAACCCAGGAGTGGGAGGTTGCAATGAGCCAAGATCGTGCCACCGCACTCCAGCCCGCTGACAGGGTGAGACTCTGTCACAAAAAAAAAAAAAGTAAGCCAATTGTAATTAAGACAGTTTGGTTGTGGTATATGGATATACTGGTAAAACTGATAAATCAGTGGAAGAGAACAGAGTCCAGAAGTAGATCCATACTTTTGTAGACATTAATATATAATAAAGTCAGCATTTGAATCAATGGAGGAGAAAATATTGATCATTTAATATGTGGTTTGGGATAACTGGCTAGCCATTCGAAACAAAAGGTTATTATCTTCTTCACAAAATAAATTCTGGTTGGGTCAAAAACTTATACATAAGACTGCAGAGGAATTAGAAGAATATATGGGAGAATTTTTTTTCTAATCTTAAGAGTAGAAAAAGACTTTTTAAACAAGATAGAAGTACTAAGGGGAAAAAATAATGAATTTGACTAGAGAAGAATAATGGATTATTACAATGAGAGAAGAAAAGAGTCCATAAATTAAGCAAAATGAACAAAAAGTTGGGGAAAATATGTTTTTTAAATAGTCAAGTGATAAGTATGAGGAAGGTCAAATTTTCTTAATATATCAAGTAAGCCAAGTAAAAGACCAATAATTGGAGAAAAATAAAATAGGCATAGGATAGTAAAAATTAGTCCTCAGAGCCGGTGCAGTGGCTCATGCATATAATCCCAACTATCTAGGAGGCTGAGGTGGGAGGATTGTATGAGCCGAGAAATTTGAGGCTGCAGCAAGCTAAGATCCTACGGCTGTACTGCAGTCTTGGTGACAAAATGAGACCATCTCTTTAAAAAAAAAAAGAAGAAGAAAAAAAATCAGCCCATAGAAAAAGAAATAAAATTACTTACAGTAAAAGATGCTTAACTTATAATTTAAAAAATACAAATGAAAACAAGATAGACATTTTCACTTAGTAGGCTGATGAAGATAAAAATATGAAACTACACAGTATAGTTGAAGGATAGTGAGGGGGAAGCCTGCATCATCAAAAACTGCTGACAGAGGCTGGGCACGGTGGCTCATGCCTGTAATCAATCCCAGCACTTTGGGAGGCTGAGGCAGGTGGATCACCTGACGTTAGGAGTTCAAAACCAGCCTGACCAACATGGCGAAACCCCATCTCTACTAAAAATACAAAATTAGCCCGGCGTGGTGGCTCATGCCTGTAATCCCAGCTACTCAGGAGGCTGAGGCAGGAGACTTGTTTGAACCTGGGAGGCAGAGGTTGCATTGAGCCGAGACCGTGCCACTAAACTCCAGACCGGGCAACAAGAGTGAAACTCCATCTCAAAAACAAAAAAAAATTCTGAAAGGATATCCAAGAAATATAACAGAGGGTTGCCTTTGTGTAAAATGACCTGTGTTTGTGGCTTTTTTTTTGAGATGGAGTCTCGCTTTGTCACCGAGGCTGGAGTGCAGTGGCACGATCTTGGCTCACTGCAACCTCTGCCTCCCAGGTTCAAGCGCTTCTCCTGCCTCAGCCTCCTGAGTAGCTGGGATTACAGGTGCATGCCACTGTGCCCAACTAATTTTTCTAGTTTTAGTAGAGGTGGGGTTTCATCATGTTGGCCAGGCTGGTCTCAAACTCCTGACCTCAGGTGATCTGCCCACCTTGGCCTCCCAAAGTCCTGGGATTACAGGCGTGAGCCATCGCACCTGGTCTTATGTGGCATTTTTAAAAATATAGGGCCCAGTGGCTCATGCCTATAATCCTAGCACTTTGGAATGCCAAGGCAGGAGGATCCCTTTAGCCCAGGAAGTCGAGGCAGCAGTAAGCTGTGATCATGCCACTGCACTCCAGCCTGGGCCACAAAGTAAGATCCCATTTCTATAAATAAATAAATAAACAAATAAATAAATAAATTAGTTTGTATTTTGATTACCATCTGCACGTATTACCCCTTCCAAAAACAAATTTATTAATAGTAACAAACTATTACTATAAGGCCATATTACCAAAATGTTTAAAAGAAATTAAGATTCAATAGGGGTTCTTAAATAAATTTATGATTATACATTAATCCCCCTAGTATATAATGTAAGAGTATTTTAATGTTAACATTCCTTGAAATTTTTTTATCTGTTTGATGTGTTTGTGAGTACTATATGATGGTAACTTTTGCTAACAAATATTTATATAGTTCTTTATTGCTAATTTGGGCTTTATATTCTTTTTCTAGCAAAAAATGGCCCCATTTATGATGTAGTTTGGAATTCTAGTTCTACTGAGTTTTGTGCTGTATATGGTTTTATGCCTGCCAAAGCGACAATTTTCAACTTGAAATGTGATCCTGTATTTGACTTTGGAACTGGTCCTCGTAATGCAGCCTACTATAGCCCTCATGGACATATATTAGTATTAGCTGGATTTGGAAATCTGAGGGGACAAATGGAAGTGTGGGATGTGAAAAACTACAAACTTATTTCTAAACCGGTGGCTTCTGATTCTACATATTTTGCTTGGTGCCCGGATGGTGAGCATATTTTAACAGCTACATGTGCTCCCAGGTTACGGGTTAATAATGGATACAAAATTTGGCATTATACTGGCTCTATCTTGCACAAGTATGATGTGCCATCAAATGCAGAATTATGGCAGGTTTCTTGGCAGCCATTTTTGGATGGAATATTTCCAGCAAAAACAATAACTTACCAAGCAGTTCCAAGTGAAGTACCCAATGAGGAACCTAAAGTTGCAACAGCTTATAGACCCCCAGCTTTAAGAAATAAACCAATCACCAATTCCAAATTGGTAAGTAAAGTTTTACTACTTTTATAGAAAAAAGTTTATTTTGGGCCAGGAGTGGTGGTTCACATCCGTAATCCCAGCACTTCGGGAGGCCGAGGCGGGAGGATCACTTGAGGTCAGGAGTTTGAGACCAGACTGGCTAACATGCTGAAACCCCGTCCCTACTAAAAATAACAAAAATTAGCTGGGCATGGTGGCGCATGCCCGTAGTCCCGGCTACTCGGGAAGCTGAGGCAGGAGACTCACTTGAACCCGGGAGGTGGAGGTTGCAGTGAGCCGAGATCGCACCACTGCACTCCAGCCTGAGCAACAGAGTGAGACTCCGTCTCAAAAAAAAAAAAAAAAACAACCTTTCTCTTGGACTAAACAAAACGTATGACTGGTCTGAAACTTCTTAATTTCCATCGAAATGTTCTATTTAACCAGTATTGTTTTATTTATGTAAAATTATATAAAGACATAACATGATATTTATTTGTATTTATCATATTTATTTAGATTTAAAAAGAAAGTATATAGTAGACTTCAGATTTTTCCTATTTCTGTATTGGAATTTTCCTTACCTCAGATAAAAACAAAAGTAACTCCAACCCATCCTGCTTTCTGAATCTGTGCATGATGGCACAATTCTTTGATCCATAAAAGTAGTAGGTTTATTTTGGTGAGGGGGAGAAATTGATACAGAAAATAATACTTTGAAAATGGTGATGAAATTAGGTAAGAACTTAAAATCAGGATTTTTTTGAGACAGAGTCTCACTCTGTCATCGAGGCTGGAGTGCAGTGGCGCGATCTCTGCTCACTGCAACCTCCACCTCCCGGGTTCAAGCAATTCTCCTGCCTCAGCCTTTTGAGTAGCTGGGATTACAGTGCCTGCCACCACGTCCAGCTAATTTTTTTATTTTTAGTAGAGATGGGGTTTTGCCCTGTTGGCCAGGCTGGTCTGGAACTCCCGACCTTAGGTGATCCACCCGCCTTGGCCTCCCAAAGTGCTGGAATTACAGGCATGAGCCACTGTACCCGGCCAGGATTTTTTTGTTAACATTTAAGATTTCTACTAAATTGTTGCTTTTTTATGTGGCGTGATGATTGTGTGGTCCTGTCAAATCATTTTAGTTGAAGTAGCTATATGCCCAGTAATTAGAAATGTTTACGTGTATCTAATTCCAGAAATGAGCTAAATTACAAAGAAAATACTGTCAAGAAATTACTAGAAACAAAGACAGTGTAGTAGATAACTTCACAAAGGAGGAGAGTTACACAGCAGTAGGGGAAAAAAGGTGTTGGGGTTCGTCCCTCACAGAAAAAAGTTTTTTATAAGTAAAAATTTATATATAAATTATACTTAAAGAATATTTATTAGCTTTCCAAAAAAACCTTCACCTTTTAAAATGCGTTCGTTGGTCCGGTGTGGGGGTTTCGATCTGTAATCTCAGCACTTTGGGAGACCGAGGCGGGTGGATCGCCTGAGCTCAGGAGTTTGAGACCAGCCAGGGCAACATGGTGAGACCCCATCACTACTAAAAATGCAAAACAAATAGTTGGGCATGGTGGTGTCTGCCTGTGATCCCAGCAACTCGGGAGTGTTGAGGTGGGAAATTCACTTGAGCCCAGAAGGAGGAGGTTGCAGTGAGCTGAGAAATTAAAATGTGTTCATCAAAAACAGTCCCATAATAATTGATATAACTGAATAAACAAAGTTTATTAATGAGAATGAAATTATGCGTAATGAGCACATAGTACCAAAACCAGAAAAAACTCATGATTTATAGTAGTTGTGTGGATTTTTTTCGTCTCAAGTGAAAGGCTCTCAGTGGCTACATGATGCTCATAAGCGTGGAAGAGACTTGTAACTTATCTTTTCTTCTTGTATCATTTTTCATCAAAGTTCTGAGCAGAAACTTTTCGGCCAAAGTAAACTACTACAGAAGAGCCCACTATTGAAAGAATTTTCATATTATGTATAAAACAAATGTTCAGCAAATATTGTATAACTTAAGTAGCATTTTATGCAACATGGATAAAAATGAAATGAAAGAGCCTTGCACTCCAAATTTGTCTGCTGTTCTACAAATGTGGGTTCTCATAATATTCAGTTTGTTTCAAGTAGAATATGAACATACCCAGAACTTTGATGACCTGAAATAGTTAATGCATTTGCTAAGATAAGGTCACTTTATGGTTTCTTATTTATTACTCTGCATCTTAAGTGTTTGAGCTCTGCTCATTTCCATATAGAACTTATAAGTAAAATGCGGATCTGAGACCTAGTACTCAAGAAACTTCATGGAGAGCTGGTACTTTTGATGTGCTGAGTTATGGTACAGTCTAAGAGACAGTTAACATTAAAATAATAGCAATATAGATAGAAATCAGTAAGTACCTGAATCTGATAGAGAGTTGTAGTGCCATCACTTATACTGTATGTTGTCTAAAACTGTTCTGGAGATACATTGAATCTATAATTCACCATCTTTTCTATTGTGGAATATAGTTGTTACATGGTTACATGAATATCTGATGTTGGAAATGATTGTCTTCATTGTGTAATCTGACAAGCCATGTAATTTTTTTTTGGTCTCTTCATATGTCAATCCCAGATTTGTAATTATCTAGTTAATTACTCCTTTCTATTTCATTTATTTTCTTATAATCTATTCTTGTTTTTTCATTTGCTTTTATTTTTAATCTTCTAATTTCTGATTTTACAAGTAAAGATCTAGCAAGTAATTCTTTGTGTGAAGAAAACAAGCGAGGCAACTGGGTTTCTGTTGACAATAGTTAGAACCAAAAAGGCCTCAGAAGAAGCTGTTGTTGGTATCTAGTTTTCATAAGAATCATGTGTCTGTAGTAGTGCTAAGAAAAATTCTGTTTGAACAAAACTAAAGTGAATTTTGCCAGCTCTGATATGATTGAAAGATATAGGAACTAATAGGAAGACCCTAATTAAATCCATCCTGACAGTTGGAGTGTGCCACTACCAATGAGTTTCAAAATAATCTTTGCTAATGATCTTAAATTTGATAAAATAAGTTTATCCTATATTAGCAGAAGTGTATAATTTGTTGTTGTAGGTGTTTACAACATGGACTCCATTTCAAAATTATTTTACATTTTCCATAGCATGAAGAGGAACCACCTCAGAATATGAAACCACAATCAGGAAACGATAAGCCATTATCAAAAACAGCTCTTAAAAATCAAAGGAAGCATGAAGCTAAGAAAGCTGCAAAGCAGGTATTTGGGGCACTAATCTCATAACAAAACAAATAGTCAGTTATGGCCGGGCGCAGTGGCTCACGCCCGTAATCCCAGCACTTTGGGAGGCTGAGGCGAGTGGATCACTTGAGGTTAGAAGTTCAAGACCAGACTGGCCAACGTGGTGAAACCCTGTCTCTACTAAAAATTCAAAAATTAGTTGGCCATGGCTTATAATCTCAGCTACTCAGGAGGCTGAGGCAGGAGAATTACTTGAACCTGGGAGGTGGAGGTTGCAGTGAGCCATGATCGCATCACTGCACTCTAGCCTTCCAGCCTGTGCGACAGAGAGAGACTCCATCTCCAAAAAAAAAGGCAGTTAAGTTAGCTTTAAGCCTTAAAGTTTAAAGAATTGTGGTCCTAAATACTTGACTGTGACCAGGTGTGGTGGCTCATGCCTGTAACCCAGCACTTTGGGAGGCCAACGTGGGAGAATTGCTTGAGCCCAGTTCGAGACCAGCCTGGGCAACATAGTGAGACCCCCATCTCTATGAAAAATTTTTTGCTGGGCACAATGGCGTGTACCCCGTAGTCCCAGCTGCTTGGGAAGCTGAGATGGTAGGATCACTTGAGCTTGGGAGGTTGAGGCTGCAGTGAGCTGTGATTGTACCACTTCAGCCTGAGTAACAGAGCAAGACCATGACTCGAAAAAAAAAGAAAAAAAGCACAAAAAACCTTGGCTCTTACGTTATAAAATGTAGTTGGAGTTAGACTTAAATAGGCAGAATATCTTTCTTTTGTCTTTGCCTATGAATTTCTAAGTAATCCTGTCTATATGATGGGTGACAAAAGAAACTGGACTTGACATCATAACCTGAGACACTAATGGTATTATGTAAGCATGTTACTTGCTGTAGACCCTTTTGGTGGCACTTGTGTGAAGTGGTGTAGTTTGCTTTCCTTGAAGCATGTATTTACTAAGAGAAGCTGGAAATTACATGACTAGAAAGCCATTTGGGCACTCAGTATTATAGTACTATATGAAATTATTTAACTGGGAATCGAAATACCAGAAGTACCCAAATAATGGGATATTTCCAAAATAGTTTCTTACTTGATTACGTAGTTGAAAAGCCACACCAGTGTAAATAATTGACAAATTGTGATATTGTATAGCTCATGGTGATAATGTGATTGGCTGGGCTGGGGATGTCTGGTTAGTGAAGTTATGGTGATCACATTTTTGCAATTCAGGTAGAGTACATGTCTCAATCCATTCAGGCTGCTACCTTATACTAGGTAATTCATAAACAAATTTATTGCTCACAGTTCTAGAAGCTGGGGCGCTGGCAGATTTGGTATCTGGTGAGAACCCGTTCATCATAGATGGCACCTTCTTTCTGTGTGTCCTCCCATGGTGGAAGGGGCAGTGGAGCTCTCTTTGGTCTCTTTTATAAAGCTACTAATCTCATTCTTGAGTGTGGAATCCTCATGACTTAATCATTTTCCAAATGCCCCACCTTTTAATACTATTACATTGGGTATTAGGTCCCAAACTATGAATTTGAGGGAAACACCAATATGTCAGACTGTAGCAGTGGGGTAGGGTTTTTGGATGTTTTGTTTTTGTTTCTTTTGAGACACTCTGTCTCACTCTGTTATCTAGGCTGGAGTGCAGAGGCATGATCACGGCTCACTGCAACCCCAGACCCTGAGCTCAACTAATCCTGCCTCAGCTTCCCAAGTAACTAGGACTGTACATGTACACCACCATTCCCAACTAATTTTTTTATTTTTGTAAAGATAGGTTATCGCTATGTTTTTCAAGCAGGAAATGGGAGTAGGTTTTTTTGGTTTGGTTTTGGCTTGGTTTTTTTTTTTGAGACCGAGTTTTGCCATGTTGCCCAGGCTAGTCGCAAACTCCTGAGCTCAAGCAGTCTTTCCACCTCAGCCTCCCAAAGTGCTTGGATTACAGGCGTGAGCCACTGTGCCCATCCTAGAAAGGGCAGATTTTTAACAGCTGGTTGCTATATCAGTATAGTCTTGCTGATAATTCTTGAATTTTGACAGGTCTAGGCTGGTTATGTGTTTTGGGAGGCAGTTACTATTTTAAGGTATAGAATTGTATTATGCAACCATATTCTGCTAAAATCTGGACTTTTAGAAAAACCATTCTGTTCATTTGTAGTTAATATGTTTCATCCCCAGAAGTATCTTAATTGGTCAGCTTTAGGTTATTCCAAGTAAAAATGATCTATTCCATGCATTTGATATTAGATTTGTATAAAAGCAAGTCTTGTCCCTTCATCAGTACAAGTAGGGACCTCTACTGGCCCTGGATATTACAACTCATTAGTAGTATCCTTAACAACTTGATAACTAAGATGCCCTTTGAGTTTTAGGGCCTCTCTGAAACGCACTCAACTTAGAATTCTATTTTTATAAGCAAAGTTTCTTCCACTTTATCAAAAGATATTTTTAATATGACCATTGGTGATACTGGACTAAGATTCCTTTATACTTATTATATAAATAATTACTTACATAATTACATATGATTATAATTATTAATAATTATAACCATTAATTAATATACTAAATTATAATTGTATTAATTATATAAATAATATACAAATTCTATTAGTTTATACATTTTATAATATAAATTATGTGATAATTTCACATTTAATTAATATAATGAAATTATTATTATAAATAATAGTTATTTGTAACTCTGTTATAAATGTGTAACTCTTTATAGCTCATGGTAATAGTGTGATCAGCTGGGCTGATCAGTTATAAATTTACAACTCTCAGTTATATGTTTATACCTGTCAGTTTTTTTTAAAAGAGCCAATACAGTCATCAAGCACCTACACACGTTTTTTACTAAAGATGATACCAAAGGTGATACCAGTAATCCCTCATTGTGGAATTGCTTTTTGAGTTGTTTTTCCAGTAATAGCAAAGGTTTTCAACTTGCAAGATAAACTATTCAGTATGTATTTTGGGGACGACTGGCTGAAGTTAGTAAAAGTTGTGGCTGTGTGATGGAACAAAGCTAAATGGCCCTTGACAGAATCTCACCTTATCCAGACCTTCTTAGTCCTGACTCTGAAGTAAATAGTCAAAGATAGAGCAGTCAGATATATGTAATCTAACTAGTATTTTTGTAAACTGGTGATAATTTTATAAGTTTGTTGACTTTACCAAAAAAGAGTTGAAACATAAGAATTTAATCTTACCATATATACGTCCTTTCTAGAGAATGGCTAGAATTTAAGTATAATAATGCAGACATTTCAACTTGTTCTTGGTTAGTTTGTGGGGAAAAATAAATTTTATATATCACTTAATTTTAATGGTTTTTCACATGATAAGATTAACCTTTCTTCCTAGAGAGCTATATTCTTAGCTCATTACAAACAACTAAAATTTTATATTTTTAAAATCTGATATCAAAAGTGAATTTTGATAGGCAGAATATCCCCTCTTCTTTTATTTACTCTTCTACTTTAATTTTATATTGTGAAAAATATAAAACTGCCTATTACCAGAACTTACAGGCTCCTTAAGAGGAGAAACTTAATATTTTCTTTCGAATTCTCAAAGTGCCCAGTAATTTGTTTTCATGTAGAAGGTAAATAATTGTTTATTAAATAGTACCAAAAAGTGAAACCAACATGACTTTAAAAAGAAAAATTGGCTGGATGCAGTGGCTCACACCTGTAATCCCAGCACTTTGGGAGGCCGAGGTGGGTGGATCACCTGAGGTCTGGAGTTCGAGATCAGCCTGTCTAACATGGTGAAACCCCATCTCTACTAAAAATACAAAATTAGCTGGGTGTGGTAGCAGGTGCCTGTAACTGTAATCCCATCTACTTGGGAGGCTGAGGCAGGAAAATCGCTTGAACCCGGGAGGTGGAGGTTGCAATGAGCTGGAATCGTGCCACTGCACTCCAGCCTAGACTCTGTCTCCAAAAAAAAAAAAAAAGAGAAAAATTGACTTCAATTCTGTATTTTCTAAAAACTCTTAGGCAGACTTTTAGAGTTGAATATCTAGAAGTGATACCCTATTCTATGTTCCCTGAGGATCTGAGGATGCTTTAAAAGTTCAGAGTATCCTACCCAGAACTCTGAGTAAAAGGTTATGGAGACCTGGAGCATTATATATATATTCCACTGGAAATTCTATAAGAAGTAGAAACCCTACGTTGGAGCCAATAAATACTTACATAATTTTTTCCCCTCTTACCAAAATATATATCTTGTCATAATTATAAAGGAAGAGTCATTCCTTTATTTTTTATTTATTTAGCCTGTGCAACGAAGCAAGTATTATGCTAGAGGCTCAGTTCTAATGGGGAATGGTAGAATATGGTGTTACCGTAGGGAAAAATACTGGGCATTATGAGAGCCTGGGAAAGGTGCGACTATCCAGTCTTAAGGTGGGGAGATTTTCCAGAAGACTTAAAGGATAAGTAGGGTTCAGCCAGGTGACTTGTGGGGGAAGGTGTTCTAGGCACAAGGAACAATATATAGTAGTCTCCCTTTATCCTGGAGGGGCAGAGCTATGCCTGAAACCACAGATAGTACCGAACCCTATAGAGACTGTGATACACAGTAAGAGATTAACAGTAACTCATAAGAAAATAGAGCAATTATAATAATATACTGTAATAAAAGATATGTGAATATGGTCTCTCAAAATATCTAATGGTGTTGTATTCACCCTTTTTGCGACAATGTGAGATGGTACAATGCTTGTGTGGTAAGTTGAATGACCACGGCTATAACTTGCAGTTCAAGGCGCAACTGCAAAACTAGCACTAATCTCTTTTTTCTTCTTCCCAAGTTCATGGATAGGTTTAATCTTACTGTAAATCATAGCAAATCAGCATACAATATTTTTTATTCCTTATTAAGAACTTTCACCTTTTCACTTAAAGGGAGCACTTTACGGCTTCTCTTTGGCATATCCGAATTGCCAGCATCACTACTCTGCACTTTGGGACCATTATTAAGTAAAATAAGGGTTACTTAAACACAACTACTGTTGATACTGTGACAGTCGATCTGATAACCAACACAGCTACTAGTGAAAAATAGGTGGGGAGCGAATACACTGTGGATACACTGGATAAAAGAATGATTCTCGTTCTAGGCAGGATGCTGAGAGATTTCATCACACAGCTTAAAACTTATGAATTGTTTATTTCTGGGATTTTCCATGTAATATTTTTGGGCTGCAGTTGACGCTTGGTTACTGAAACCATGGTTAAGGGAGACTGCTGTACACAAAGGCCAGGGGCAAGAGTATACAGCACCTTAGCGGAAATAAAAGTGATTCAGAATCAGTGAGGAGGGACAAGAAAAGTTATCAGAGGTCTGATCATATTGGAAGCATTATGGCATCCCTTTAAGGGGAAAAAAGTTTTGTGGTACTTTGTTGCAGAGCTGAATTGATCTGATTATAAATTAATATCTGTAGGATTCTTATTCTTGTAGCATAATCCATTACAGGTACTTGATCATACATATTCTTTATAGTTTTGGAGAGAGCCTTGTAAGAGTGAAACTTTAAACACCTTAAATAGAAAAGCCCTCTCATATGTTCAAACCATCTATCTACTGGCACATCTCAGAATATGCAAAAGTTTGGAATGCTTGTTGGCTGGTACAGAAACTTCCTGGTTTACTCTGATAAGGTCATTTTATTTCTAACATGGGAGTATGTAGCATACTTCATGAGACCTTTAATTCAGATTCTTTATATAAAATGTAGATAAAATCACATATTTAGTTTCTGTATTTCATATGCCAAAGCTATGTTGATTTAAATACTGTAATGTTTTTGGCTTTTAAAATTGAATTTAAAAAAATATTTCCTGCAGGAAGCAAGAAGTGACAAGAGTCCAGATTTGGCACCTACTCCTGCCCCACAGAGCACACCACGAAACACTGTCTCTCAGTCAATTTCTGGGGACCCTGAGATAGACAAAAAAATCAAGAACCTAAAGAAGGTGAGAGACTTAAAAACAGATGTGCATATTGAAAGGTATACATGAAAATTATATAAGTAAGAGAGTACTTAGATGCCTAAAGACAGGTATCTAAGAAGTTGGTATCAGCAGTTCTCATTGTTGTTTTCTCACTATGAAGCACTGTTCACTTAGGAATGGTATTGATTTTAGTTCTATTCATAAATGTCTGAAGACTCTTAGTACTTTGATTTTTGGAGTAATAAAATTCAGTGTGCATCAGCATAGAAATATACTGAACACTTTTTTTTTTTGAGACGGAGTCTTGCCCTGTTGCCCAGGCCGGAGTACAGTGCCACAACCTTGGCTCACTGCAACCTCCGCCTCCCAGGTTCAAGCGATTCTCCTGCCTCAGCCTCCCGAGTAGCTGGGACTACAGGTGTGCGCCACCACGCCTGGCTAATTTTTATATTTTTAGTAGAGACAGGGTTTCACCATGTTGGCCAGGCTGGTCTCAAACTCCTGCCCTCAGGTAATCCACCCGCCTCGACCTCCCAAAATGCTGGGATTTGTGAGCCTCCTCGCCTGGCCACTGAACACTTTTTAATTTAATTTAATTTTTTTTTTTGAGACAGAGTCTTGCTCTGTCGACCAGGTTGGAATGCAGTGGCGCGATCTCGGCTCACTGCAAGCTCCGCCTCCCGGGTTCAGGCCATTCTCCTGCCTCAGCCTCCCGAGTAGCTGGGACTACAGGCGCCTGCCACCACACCTGGCTAATTTTTTGTATTTTTAGTAGAGACGGGGTTTCACCGTGTTAGCCAGGATGGTTTCAATCTCCTGACCTCATGATCTGCCTGTCTCAGCCTCCCAAAGTGCTGGGATTACAGGTGTGAGCCACTGCACCTGGTCACTCAATACTTTTATACTCAGTATTTCATTAGATACCTTGTGATAATTAGGGGCAGATATTTATCCTAGTTTTGAAGATGAAGAGACAGAGACAAAAAAGAAGTGTATTGATTTGTGATATTGCAGCCAGTGTGCTGGGGTGGCCCTGGGGATAAAAAAAGGTCTCTAGAGCCCTTCACAGCTGCATTATGAGGTTTCTCTTTCATTCACTTTTTATCGGGCAGGACTTTGGACCAACAATCTTTCAGAATGCTCTCATTGAGATTTCTCTCAAAGCCAGAAACATCACCCAGGTCCAATGGGGCATTGAAATGTGCCATTACTGATACATTTATATATACACATGCATACACGATAACATTAATTAAAAGCCTGAGAATAATATTTTGCCAAATCTCATGTTTTTAACATTTACAATTTTGCATTTAACTTTAAAAAACAATTTATCCTAGCATTTTAACAGACCATTGTTGATACAAATCTAAGATAATTAATCTCCTTACTTGAGTTTCACATTCTTAATAAGGAAATTTGCATTTGAAGTGACTTTTCTTCCATGCTCTTGACTCATATTTGATGTTTGCAGAAACTGAAAGCAATCGAACAACTGAAAGAACAAGCAGCAACTGGAAAACAGCTAGAAAAAAATCAGGTACTTTCTGCATTTTTCATTTAGGCTTGTGGTGACCACCAGCCTTCCCCCTTTTATTATAAACAAGTATTTAGTCAGGTAAAAGAGCACATGGAGTTTAAAAACTTATTTTGAAAACCATATGCCATATTCTTTTTAATGTTTTTACTTTTAAATAGCTTTACTCTTAAATAGAAGAGATATGGTATTGATCATGTGAATGAAAAAGTCAATATTCCTAAGAGGCATACTATGTTATTACTGCTGAAAATAATAGCAATTTGTTATATTAGACAAATATAAGATTCTCTCAAGTTGTACTGCCCTGTTTGCCTTTTCCCTCCTCCTGTCAACATGTTTAAGCCCGAATATAGAATTGAAAATTTTTGGGGCCCAAAGGGATGCAGTAAGACAGTGTCTGTTCTTTTCACCCTCGATTCATACCAGATAACAAATTAGAATTTGTTTCTAACCTGTATTTTAAAATCTGTGTTTACTAGTGAACATAATAAATTGTCAGAAATACCATTTTTTCTGTATTATTTTGGTTACATATCCAGTAATTATTTCATAATAACTTCATTGTTTCAAACTTTTCTAGTTGGAGAAAATTCAGAAAGAAACAGCCCTTCTCCAGGAGCTGGAAGATTTGGAATTGGGTATTTAAAGATTCACGGAAAGCAAGTTGATGACCAGAAATCAGTGCAAACACATCTTCTGTTAAACCCATTGGTATACACAGAATATTCCTGTGCCCACACTTAATGTCAATCTATAATTTTAACCATTTATCCAAGATTCTACTAAGTGTAAAATTATTTAATAATGTCTATTAAATTGATATTTATATCTTGCATCCTATATCATGTCAATATGTGATATAGAAAAGAGATACGTGAATTTTTTAGCTAAGCTTGACAGATTGAAAGACAAGTGTCATTTTTTTTTGTAGAGGGTGATATATACCATGTAAATGAACAAAGACATTTTAAATTTAATCACTGTTTTTATTATAAGTTCCTTAGTTCAGATATCCTTTATTAATTTATAAGATGTGTAAAACTACTTAATTCTCACAAGACTCTATGAAGTAATTCTTTTAATCTCTATTTTATAAATGAAAAAACTAAGGCCATAAATTTAAGAAATTTGTCAGTGTCTCAAAGCTAGGAAATGGCCATCTAATCCCAGAGCCTATGCTTTAGGTCACTATGATATATACTACTCCTGTATCCTCAAGTAATGTATCATTTAGTAACACTAAGCACCCTGCTTAGTTTTCATGGATACTGCCAAATTGCCCTATCTCAAGCTTTATACTTGCACCATTTAAAGTTTTCCACACTGTTGGCAATATCAGAAGTGATAAGGCTTTGAAATGTTCGCCACTTTGATAAAGAGGAAATGATTGTTTGTTACTGTTATATACATGTATTTTTATCAGAGATGGGTTATGTACTTTTCCACGTTTGATAGTTGGTTGTATTTCTTTAGTGAATTGATTTTTCTTTTCCTTTGCCCATTTTTCTGTTTGGATGTTTGACTTTCTTCTTAATTTGTAAGAGTATCCTATGTAGTAACAAAATCCTTTTTTAAAAATTTTTAAAGAAAAAGTATACACACAGGACTTTTTTTTTTCTAATTCAAAAAATACAAAGGCATGCAATGAAAATTAAGTCTGTTCCACTACCACATTTTCCAGTTTTTTGTGTATCTTTCTAATGATAGATACCATATGAGTATTCAAATATACATACACATACACTTAAAAAAAAAAGATGGCATATACTAACTGTTCTGTTTGGGGCTTTTTGGTGGTGGTGTTTGTTTGACAGGGTCTCACTCTGCCTCCCAGGTTGGAGTGCACCTTGAACTCCTGGACTCAAGTGATCCTTCACCTCCTCCTTCCAAGTATCTGACACTACAGGCTTGCATCACTATGCCCAGCTTATACTCACCATAGTGGTTCTGTACTCCCTTAAAATATTCTGGAGGCCAGGCATGCTGGCTCACACCTGTAATCCCAGCACCTTGGGAGGCCAAGGTGGGTGGATCACCTGAGGTCAGGAGTTCAAGACCAGCCTGATCAACATGGTGAAACCCCATCTCTACTAAAAATACAAAAGTATCCAGGCGTGGTAGCACATACCTGTAATCCCAGCTACTTGGGAGGCTGAGGTAGGAAAATTGTTTGAACCCGGCAGACAGAGGTTGCAGTGAGCCGACATCGTGCCATTGCACTCCAAGCCTGGGCAACAAGAGTGAAACCGTCTCACACACACACAAAAAAAAATATTTTGGAGCTCCTTCTATATGAGTCTCTCTCTCTTATCTCTCTCAGGATGTGTGTATGTGTTTGTTTCTCTGGAAAACCCTGACTAATACAGATTAGCTATGTATTAGGTAATACATAATGCCTAATACATAACTAATATATGGACAGGAAGTTAATAGACTGACTGTGCCACCTTAAAACTCGTATGTTGAAGCCCTAACCTCCAACGTGGTGGTATTGGGAGATGGGCCTTTTGGAAGGTAAGTGTGTTTGAATGAGGTGAAGAGGTTGGGGACTTCGTGATGGGATTATTGTCCTTACAAGAAAAGACACCAGAGAGCTTGTTCTGTCTCTTTGGGCCATGTGAAGACATGGTGAGAAAGCAGCCAGCTGTAAGCCAGAGAGTCCTCACCAGAACCTAACCATGCTGGTGATATCCTCATCTCAGACTTCTAACCTCCAGAACTGTGAGAAAATAAACTTCTTTGTTTAAACCACCTAGTCTGGTATTTTGTTACGGCAGCCTGAGCAGACCAATATAGATTGTATAAATTTCAGTTTGTTTAAAAGGACAGGCCGGGTGTGGTGGCTCACGCCTATAATCCCAGCACTTTGGGAGGCAGAGGCGGGCGGATCACAAGGTCAGGAGATCGAGACCATCCTGGCTAACACAGTGAAACCCCGTCTCTACTAAAAATACAAAAAATTAGCCGGGCGTGGTGGCGGGTGCCTGTAGTCCCAGCTACTCGGGAGGCTGAGGCAGGAGAATGGCCTGAACCCGGGAGGCGGAGCTTGCAGTGAGCCGAGATCGTGCCACTGCACTCCAGCCTGGGCAACAGAGCGAGACTCCGTCTCAAGAAAAAAAAAAAAAAAAAAAAAAAGTAAAGGACAACTAATGAATCAAGGAAGACTTTATGGGAAAAAGTAAGATTTAACATGCTCTAAATAGAAAAATGGTTTGCTTTTTTTTTTTAAGGTTTAACGTGTTTATCATGGTTGGCAGCTAAGTAGAGGAAGAGCCAAGTCCAGAATCTAACATTTGGACTTCCCCTCATTTAAACAGTGGCGTTTTGCCACGTTGCCCAGACTGGTCTCAAACTCCTCAGCTCAAACAATCTGCCCACCTCGTCCTCCCAAGATGCTGGGATTACAGTCATGAGCCACTGCAGCCAGCCTACATTTTTAAATGGTTGGAAAATCAAAAGATTATTTGATGACATGTGAAAATGGTATAAAACTGTGAAATCTATTGTCCATAAGTAAAGTTTTCTTTGAACACATCCATGCTCACTCGTTAACTTATTTTCCATGGCTGCTTTCATGCTGCAACTGCAGAGTTGAGTATTTCCAACAGGTCATGTTTTTGCAATGCCTAAAACATATACTCTCTGGCATTTTACAGAAAAATATTGCTAATTCCTTTGTATTCTGTAGAAGAATACAAAATAACATGGAAATAACCACATAATTATGTTGCTTCTTGTATTCTCCACTATATAAACTCCTAGAAGTGGAATTCTTGAGTCATGTCACATTAGAAAATTTAGGCCAGGCACTAATTTAGGCTCATGCCTGTAATCCCAGCACTTTATAAGACTGAGGCTGGAGGATCACTTGAGCCCAGAAGATTGAGGCTGCAGAGAGCCATGATCATGCCACTACACTCCAGCCTGGGTGACAGAGAAAGACCCTGCCTCCAAAACAACAACAAAATGTAAATACTTTTTGTTGTTACTATTATCATCATCATCTTTATTTTACTTGCTGATTTTCTCCTTCACTATGTTTGGGGTTTTTTTACTCAATTTATTTTCACATTTGGTACTGTTATTACTCTGAGACTGTTGTTTTTATTTAGTGGAAGCATAATCAAGTTAAGTGAATCAGATGTGACTCCGCAATTGGCATTTTAACATCTAAATTTGGGACAGAGTCTTGCTCTGTTACCCAGGCTGGAGTGCAGTGGCTCGATCTCAGCTCACTGCAACCTCTGCCTCCTGGGCTCAAGCAATTCTCGCGCCTCAGCCTCCGAGTAGCTGAGATTACGGGCATGCACCACCACGCCTGGCTAATTTTTGTATTTTTAGTAGTAGAGACGGGATTTCACCATGTTGGCCAGGCTGGTCTCCAACTTCTGGCCTCAAGTGATCCGCCTGCCTCGGCCTCCCAAGCTTTGGGATTACAGGCATGAGCCACTGCTCCTGGCCTTAAACTTTGTTTAAAAAAAGAAATAAAGCAATGGGCCAGATTGGTTTTGACACAGATTGAACAATTTAAACATTTATTGCTCAAAAGATTAATGAAGATCATGGGCCACTAATCTGCTTCAGACAAACTGTTAAACCAGTTTTTAAAAAACTAAATTGAACATTTTCTGAATTTATACCCCTTGCCAAGTAAAAAATAATACACATACATTCCAAAATAAATTTAATATCAGAAATTCTGTGATGTTTATGTTGCAATCCAAAAAGGTGAAAAGGTAAGATGTTGAGTTTTCCAAAAGTAAATTATAAGGTGAGCATTTTATCCTTGGCTTTTCAGCTCTCTATGGAAAGATACAATCCATTAATAGTCATAGACCTGCTGACTGTCTGTAACCCCTGCGTCAGATCAGTGGTAAGTCATAGGCCCAGCCATAACATTACACCTCTTCAGGGACAGCTTAGCCCTGTAGAGTCGATGAGGTTAAGTGGCAGGCGTGGACACGGCGGCAGTTGTGAAGAGCTGCTTACACCAAAGCCTTGCCCGGAATGCAGGGCTGATTGCCTGCTCACAGTTGGTCTTGTGACTGACAAGTGTCCTGTTAGTGTCGTTGTAGGATGACAGGGGCCTCACAATTTCCAAAAAAAATTATTCTGTAGGGGAGGAGCATTTTTCTACTCTTCAGGACTTTGAGGAGGTCTACATCATCTGAGGCTCAGTACTGTCTTTGGAAAGCAGTTTGCAGGACTGCAACCAGAGGAAATGCTTCAACCATTTGTTCTCTGCACCTGGGGGAAGAAAGTCTTTGCCCTGAAGTGTGATAGCCAGTGATCTAATCAGCTACAGTTATGTGCCACATAAAGACGTTTTTGTCACTGACAAACTGCAAATATGATAGTGGTCCCATAAGCTTATAATGGAGCCGAAAAATTCCTATCTCCCAGTGGCATGATAGCCTTGTAATGCCCTAGCACAACATATTACTCACTTGTTTGTAGTGATGCTGTTTGTAAACAAACCTGTGCTGCCAGTCCTATAAAAGTCTAGCACTTACAATTATGTACAGTACATAATACTGGATAATTATAAATGACTGTTCCTGGTTTATGTATTTACTATACTATACTTGTTATTTTAGAGTGTACCCCTACTTTAGAAAGTTAACTGTAAAACAGCCTCAGGCATGCCCTTCAGGAGGAGTTCCAGAAGGCACTGTTACTGTAGGATATGACAGCTCCATGTGTGTTATTGCCCCTGAACACCTTCCAGTGAGACAAGATGTGGAAGTGAAGACAGTGATATTGATGATCCTGATCAATAGCCCCTACATGGCTGGGGCTAATGTATGGGTTTGTGTCTTTAAAAGTTAAAAAAAAAAAAATTAGAGGAAAGCTTTTAGAGCAAGGATATAAAGAAAAAATATTTTCGTACAGCTGTATAATGTGTGTGAATGTGTTTTTTGGTTTTTGTTTTGAAACAGGGTCTCATTCTGTCACCCAGACTGGAGGGCAGTGGCACAATCTTGGCTCACTGCAACCTCTGCCTCCCAAGCTCAAGGGATCCTCCCAACTCAGGCTCCCAAGTACCTGGGACTACAGGCATGCACCACCGCACTCAGCTAATTTTTTTACTTTTTGTAGAGACGAGGTCTCACTATGTTGCTCAGGCTGGTCTTGAACTCCTGGGCTCAAGGGATCATCCCACCTCAGCCCCCCAAAATGTTGGGATTATAGGCTTGTTCTGGCCAACGTATGTTTTAAGCTAAGTGATATTGTGAGTCAAAAAGTTATATAAAATTAAAAGTTTATAAATTTAAAAAGTTACAGTAAGCTAAGGTTAATTGATTATTAAAACAAGAAAAATATTTTTAGCATAGCCTAAGTGTACAGTGTTTATAAAGTCCATAGTAGTGTACACTAATGCCCCTGGCCTTCATGTTCACTGACCACTCACTCACTGACTTGCCCAGAGCAACTTCCAGTCCCACAAACTCCATTCAAGTTAAGTACCCTATATGGGTGTACCATTTTTTATCTTTTATGCCATATTTTTACTGTACCTTTTCTACGTTTACATATGTTTAGATAGACAAATATTTACCACTGCTTACAGTATCAATACAGTAACATATTGTATTGCTTAGGAGCAATAGGCTATACCATCTAAGTTTATGTAAGTACACTGTATGTTCACACAGTGAGGAAATCGCCTAGTGACACATTTCTCAGAACCTATCCCTGTTAAGTGACACACGGCTGTTCTTGAGCTGCTGCTTCATAGGCCACTCCCTCCCTCTGTAATGCTCTGTTTTGTTCTTGGAATCTCTCGAGTACTTCACATCTCCAAACTTCATTTCACCGCGGGTATATTGTGGAAATTATAGGTAAACCAATTAGTATGAATCCATCTACTTTCTGTTTTCTAGAGTTTTTAATACAGTTTCTGAACCACTGGTCCTTCTTTCCTGGAGGTATTGCAGTTTCTGGACCACTGGTCCTTCTTTCTTTTCAGTGTTGCCACAAAATTATTGCTTGTACCACTTTCCTGTCATGTCACTCAGATCCTAAGAAGGGGGAGGCAGATGCATGTGCTTAGTCTGTTGTCTTAAATTGGAAGTCAGACAAGCACACTTCTAAAGGTTTTTTGTATTTGATAATATATGTATACATTTTGAGACTGGGTCTTGCCTTGTTGCCTAGGCTGGAGTGCAGTGACATGATCACGGCTCACTGCTCAAGTGATCCCCCACCTCAGCCTCCCCAGTAGCTGGGACTACAGGCATGCACCACCATGCCCAGCTAATTTTTGTATTTTTTGTAGAGACAGGATTTCGCCATGTTGCCCAAGCTGGTGTCAAACTCCTGGGCTCAAGCAATCCACCGATCTCAGCCTCCTGAAGTGCTAGGAGTACAGGCATGAGTCACTACATCCAGCATATATATATACACACGTATATGTGTGTATATATATGTATATGTATATATATGTGTATATATATGTGTATGTATATGTGTGTGTGTATATATATATATATATATATATATATATATTAAAAACATGAATGTAAAAATTAAAAGCATTTTACTTGGTTCACCTAAACCAATTCCTCATACGGACACTAGAGGGTTCTAAGGATCTGGAGTATGGGGAAATTAATGAGGAATTCAAAATTTTAGAACATAACTGGAAAATATGTTCACTCACTTAAAACTTGCCATTTTAGTAGCCTGGATTACTGCTATTTATTTATTTATTTGGAGACAGGGTCTTACTCTGCTGTCTAGTCTGTCTTTTCTCATTGTCAAACTTAACCCTCTTTAGACTTTTGCCATCAGACTTATTCCCACCCTCCTGCTAAACTTGTTCTGTAATAGTGGTCTCTTATTGGTGCAAATGAATCATATTCCAACAGTTTGTTTAGAAGTCAACCATTTGCAGAGAGGACTATGTTTTCCCATTGAAAGAATATTATAAATTGTCATTGGTGTTGAGGTGAGCATTGGTGAAAACCTTAAATGCAAAAACTGGGTATAGGCTCATTAAAAAAAAAAAAAAGTTGAAAATCACTTAAATTTTCAAGAGAATGAGAAGCCACAGAAAATATTTGCAAAAGATGTATCTGATAAAGAGGTATTATCCAAAATATACAAAGAAATCTTAAAACTCCACAGTAAGCAAACAACTTTGTATATTAAAGTTGAAAATTCATTTAAAAATATATAAAAGTTGTTTAATATATAAAAGTTTGATTAAAAATGGGCCAAAGACCTTAACAGACATCTCATCAAAGATGATATACAGATGGAAAATAACCACATGAAAAGATGCTCCACATCATACATCATCAGAGAAATGCAAATTAAAACGATAGTCAAATACCTCTTTACACCTATTAGAATGACCAAAACCAAAAACACTGACAACATCAAATGCTAATGAGGATGGGGAGCAGCAGGAACTCTAATTTATTGCTGGTGGGAATGCAAAATGGTACAGCCACTTTGGAAGACAGTTTGGCAGTTTCTTACTAAACTAAGTATAGTTTATTACTATACTTTTAACATACAATACAGCATGTCACTCCTTGGTATTTACCTAACGGAGTGGAAAACTTAAGTCTACACAAAAACCTGCATACATCGATAGCAAACGTATTTATAATTGCCAAAACTTGGAAGCAACCAAGATGTCCTTCAATGAGTGAATAAACTGAGATACATCCAGACAATGGAATATATTTAGGACTAAAAAGAAATGCGCTAACAAGCCATGAAAAGACAGAAGAAACTTAAATACATATTACTAACTGAAAGAAGCCAATCTGAAAAGGCTTCATACTGTATGATTTCAACTACATAATATTCTCAAAAAGACAAAACTATGGAGACAATGAAAAGATCAGTAGCTGCCAGGTATTAGTGGGGAGGGTAAATATTTAGGACAGGGAAAATATTCTGTATGATGCTGTAATGATGGATACATGTCATTAAACATGTTTCCAAATCCACAGACTATACAACACCAAGAGTGAACCCTAATGTAACCTATGGACTTCGATTATGATGTGTCAAGGCCGGTTCATCCTTTATAACAAATGACACATTCTGGTGGGGGATATTGATAGTAAGGGAGGCTATGCATGCAGGGGGTATGTGTGAAATGTGTACTTTCTGCTCAGTTTTGCTGTGAACCTACAACTCCCAAAAAATTGTCTTTAAAAAATTATTTAATATTTAAAAATTAATGCCACAATAAGAAATAAGAAAATAGAATGAAAATTCTTGTTGAAAGTTTGAATACTTTTTTATTTTAGAAGAAACATTAAAATGAAGGAAAAAGTATGGGAAAATAATTTGTAGGAGATTCCCAAGGATGCTTTTTGTGCTTTAGATACTGATTCTTTAGGACAAACATATAAGCTTATCTTCTCTTTTCCCTGGTATAAATTTCACCATTCTCGAGCTTAACCATCATTGAGGTAATCCAGCATTTACAAACAAAATGACGGAAGGGAAAGAAAACATATTTTTCTAAGATCATTAAGCAAAAATTGGAAATGAGGAGAGAAAGAGAGAAAGGCATTATGGAGAAAGAGATATACATAAGAGGGACAAAGAAAGAGAGAAGGAAAGGGGGCAGTGAGGGAGAGATACTGCAATTAAGTGGGAGCCATCACCCAGGACACCACCTCAGTTTCTTGTCTGAGGATTTAATGGGAGAGCTGGGAATGAGTACTCTTGGAACTGAGAGGAACTGGTAACCAGGAATGGATAACCCAGGGATTTACCCCAGAAGTAGTTGCAAATCAGGCACTATACGATTGGGAATACATCCACAAACCTTCTAGGACTTAAATTCCTTTTTAAAGTAAAGTCAGCTGTATTTTTTTAGAGTCTCAGGCCTGGCAAAGCAGAGGTTTTTGCCTTTACACTATTGGGCAAAATTACTTCCAGGCACAGTTTTGTTTGACTATGTTCATTGAAGCTAAAGAGCAAATCCTAGAATTGTGATTTCACTGGAGAGAATCTTTGTGCCTACTCTGTTTTGTTTTTGCATCTTCTTCCCTCTTCCCAGCAGGGACATCTAGTCCCCATTTAGGGAAACTGAAGTCCCTAGCTTGTGGCGCTTCTCTCACTCCCCTAGTCATATCTGAGACAATACACTCATACTTTTTTTTTTGAAACAGGGTCTTAGTTTGTCATCTAGGCTAGAGTACAGTGACATGATCATGGCTCACTACAGCCTCAACCTCCTGAGTTCAAGCGATTCTCCCACCTCAGCGTCCTGAGTAGCTGGACTACAAGTACATGCCACCATGCCTGGCTAAATTAACAAAAAAAAAAAATTGTACACCAGGTGTGGTGGTTCATGCCTGTAATCCCAGCATTTTGTGAGGCCAGGGGAGGTGGATCACTTGAGGCCAGCAGTTGGAGACCAGCTTGGCCAACATGACGAAACTCTCTCTCTCCTACAAAACACAAAAAAAATAGCTAGGCATGGTGGTGCGGATCTGTAATCCCAGCTATTTGGGAGGCTGAGGCAGGAAAATCACTTCAACCTAGGAAGCAGAGGTTGCAGTGAGCTGAGATCGTGCCACTGCACTCCGCCCTGGGCAACGGGCAAGACTGTCTCAAAAAATAACTTTGTGTTGTTGTTGTTGTTGTCTGTAGACACAGGGTCTCATCATGTTGCCCAGGCTGCTCTTAAACTCCTTGGCTCAAGTGATCCTCCCTTCTCTGGCTCCCAAAGTGCTGGGATTACAGGTGTGAGCCACCATGCCTAGCTTATAGTTTATTGATTGAAATAATACATTTAGATCACAAAGTTCAAGCAGACATTTGGATTTTAAACACTGGCAGTGAAAAACTTTTTCATGGAATTTCAAATGGACAGTTTGGTAATACTAACAGTGGTAGAGAAGCGATCAGCCTTGGACATAGAAGTAGGACCGGCTTCATAATTTGCAGCGCCCAATGCAAAATGAAAATGTGAAGTTCTTTATTCAAAATTATTAAGAATTTCAAAGCTGTGACAACAGAGCATTAAACCAACTACAGGGTCCTGTGTGACTGCATAGGTCACATACCCATAAAGCCAACCCTGCATAGAAGCTACTGAAACTCCACCTCCCTCTGACCTATAAGAAGTTCTTTAGTTTGTTTCTGGACATCCCCCTGTTCCCTAGAAGAGGAAGAGGTAGTGGCCAATCACACCAAGACTGCTGGCTCTGGATTGGTAGCTGCTAAGAACTGAGGAGATTTTCGTTTTCTACTTCTCTATTTTTTCTTTGTAAATTTTTATTTATTATTTTTTAAAATTCGTGGGTTTTGTTGTTGTTGTTGTTGTTGTTTTTGAGACAGGGTCTTGCGCTGTCACCCAGGCTGGAGTGCAGTGGTGTGATCATGGCTCACTGCAGCTTCGAACTCCCTGACTCAAATGATCCTCCTGCCTCAACCTCCTCAGTAGCTAGGATTACAGGTGTGCACCACCATGACTGAATACTTTTTGTATTTTTTGTAGAGACAGGGTTTCATCATGTTGCCCAAGCTGGTCTTGAACTCCTAGACTCAAGTGATCCTCCCCTCCTCGGTATCCCAAAGCGCTGGGATTACAGGCATGAGCTACCGCTCCTGGCCTATTTGGTACTTTTTTTAAAGATGGGGTCTTGCTCTGTCACCCAGGCTTGAGTGCAGTGGTACAGTCATGGCTCACTGTGGCCTCAACCACCTGGGCTCAAGCAATCCTCCCACCTCAGCCTCCCGAGTAGCTGGGACCACAGGTGCGTGCCGCCATGCTCAGCTATCTTTTTTTCTTATTACCAAAATAACATATGTTTAACAGGAAATATAGCCAAGCAAAACATTTTGATCCATATCTTCCTATTTATGTACTTTAAAAAATACATAAATAATAATGTGATAACACTTTACTGTTTCGTAATCCAATTTTAACATTCTATGTTGAGCACTTTATTTTTCATTGAATTCTAAAACATATATTTACTTTTTGAATAAGTATTACAAGACAACAGCACACAACTTTAAAATACAAAAGTTACTTATGCAATAAGAATAACTTCTCTCCCATCTTTGTTCCCTAGTCACTCTGTTCCCTGTTCTCCTCTCAGGAATCAACCACTTTTTGGTTCCTTGTATATTATTCTTTTTTTCTGAAACAGAGTCTCACTCTATCATCCAGGCTGGAGTGCAGTGGTGCAATCTCAGCTCACTGCAACCTCTGCCTCCCAGGTTCAAGGGATTCTCCTGCCTCAGCCTCCCGAGTAGCTGGGACTACAGGTGCCTGCCACCACGCCCAGCTAATTTTTTGTATTTTCAGTAGAGACAGGGTTTCACCATATTGGCCAGGCTGGTATTCTGCATGTAACTTATACACATATAAAAATTTATAAGTCATTTTTAATGGTTGTTAAAATGCCACTAAATTAATATACCATGATTTATTTAATGCAGTGTTGGACACTGAAATTGTTTCTGATTTATAAATTTATAAAATAACATTGTGATGAATATTTTTGTAATTAAAATCTTGAGCTATACATTATTATTTCTCTAGGTTAGATTTAGAAGTGGAATTGCTGGGTCAAGGTTCATGTACATTTTAAGGCTTTGGGTTTATGTTGACAGATTGTAGTTCCAAAAAACTGGACTTACTTATTTTCCCAAGTTAGTATAATGGAGTGCCCATTTTCCTACAAAATCACAAAAACTGAGTATAGTTTTTTTTTCCTGTCCCACAATTATTACAACTTGATTTTGTTGTAATCAATATATTTTGTTTTCCTGATCAGCTTCTTCCAAGGCCCTAGGCTCACCAGGTCCTCCTCTATCCTGTACTCCCTGAACTCCTCCCATGCCTTCTGTTTCGGCGGTCCCATGACCCAAGTTCAGTGATTAGGTAGAAAGACTCACAAGATGGAATAGCAAGTAATATTCGTGGTAAGGCTTATTACAGCAAAGGTTACAGAGCAAAAGCAGTGGGAAAAAGATATGCATCAAGGGAGTTCAGAGAGGCCAGGCACAGGCTTCCTAAGCATTTCCCATTGGGTACTACATAGGAGTTCCCTCGCTCTCACTTTCTCTCTCTGGCAGTGAATTTGGGATATGTCTCTGCCCAGGGAAGCCCCTTTGAGTTTTAGGATCTGAGACTTTTATGGAGGGGCTGGTGACTTAAGCATATCCTACTATCCCTCCAGCACAGTAACCAAAACTTAAAACTCCAAAAATAAAACCAGGTATATACATCATTAGTCTTTTTTATTTTGATTTTTAGTAAGTCGAAAATAATATCATACATCATTAGTTTTTATGCTTGTGCAAAGCAACCTGATGATAGTTATGATTCTGTTTGTTCTTACATTTGAGCCCTGTGTTTTTTAGATAACTAGACTTCAAAAGTCCTTGTTTCAGAATTTTATCATAGGCCTCTTACTCTAGCCCTTTCCTCATACAGAGGTCTGGCCCTTGCTTTTTAAGCTTGCTGGCCTAAACAACTTGCTGGCTATGGTTCTTGCCTCTGTGTAATGGCCTCCCAGACATGGACAGTCTACTATCTGAACTTGCAAGTATTGCCTTGTCTATAATTCTCTTTAGGAGTTGGAGGTGGGAATGGCAACAGTTAGAAAACCTAAGCAAGGCTGGGCACAGTGGCTCATGCCTATAATTTCAGCACTTTGGGAGGCTGAGGTGGGTGGATCACTTGAGATCAGGAGTTCAAGACCACCCTGGGCAACATGGTGAAACCCAGTCTCTACTAAAAATACAAAAATTAGCTGGTCATGGTGGCACATGCCTGTGGTCCCAGGTACTCGGGAGGCTGAGGCAGGAGAATTGCTTGATCCCAGGAGGCAGAAGTTGCAGTGAGCTGAGATCATGCCACTGTACTCCAGCCTGGGCAACAGAGTGATACTCTGTCTCCAAAAAAAACAAAAAAACAAAAAAACAAAACAAAAAAAAAAAACTAAGCAAGACTCAAAGAAGGAAAGATAAAGATAATACAGGGCTCTAAGTTAGGGTTCTTGGTTTGCAAACAAAATGTGTGGTAACTCATAGAGTCAAAGGAAAAGATGAAGAATGAGGCCCTGGAGAAGACAATACCCAGAGTAGTTTGGGGTCTAGAACTTTCCTTAGGGTTCTTCTATTAGAATTAATCAGCTTCAATACCTTTTGGCTTTGGACACAGGCACACCTCTGGTGGGAATGTTTTGAATACCTTTGGCTTTGGACACAGGCACACCTCTGGTGGGAATGTTTTGAGTACCTCAAGTAGTAGTCCCAAGACTGTGTGCAATGGGGTCTTTCTGGTCCCCTGAAGAGAAACTGAGGTACCATTACCAGAAGAAGGAATAGATGCTGAGAAAAACATGTATCCACTTTTTTATTATTATTATTATTTTATTTTTATTATAAGGAAGCCACCACAAGATAATTGAGCTTGCTAATCAATTTTTGTATGGGGTATTTTATTTCTTACTTTTGATATTGAAATGGATACACTCGGCCTCCCAAAGTGCTGGGTTTACAGGCCTGAGCCACCGCTCCCAGCCACTTTCACTATTTTCTGACTTGTTGAATTCCTTCCCGAGATGGTATCAAGGGCCTGGACACCAGCCAGGGTCAGGGTCCCACCAGCGTTTGGAGATCTTCCCTAGCTCACCAGTATCAATACTACCATGCCATCTTAGTGCCAGAGTTTTGCTTTTTGTTTATAATTATGTTGGTACCAATTTACCATCTGTTATTTGCAAGGGTTATGTTAAATGGCAATAATCTTTCTATGTCTGTTCTTTTACCCATATCTAATTTTTAAAATAAATTATGAAGATAAAACACCTTTTTTATAGTCTTGCTGGAAGAATTTAAACTTAAAAGTGTCCAGTCCTCTAGCTGTAACTACTAATTTACAGAGAACACACAGGACACAGATATATATTAAAGTACACCCTGGCAGGGCACAGTGGCTCATGCCTGTATTCCTAGAACTTTGGGAGGCCAAGGTGGGAGGATCACTTGAGACCAAAAATTTGAGAACAGCCTGAGCAACATAGTGAGACTCCATCTCTATTTAAAAAAAAAAAGGCAGGCCATGGTGGTCCCAGCTACTTGGGTGGCTAAGGTGGGAGAATCGCTTGAGCCCAGGTGGTAGAGGTTGCAGTGAGCCAAGATGGTGCCACTGCACTCTAGCCTGGGCAACAGGGCAAGACCCTGTCTCAAAAAAAAAAAAAAAAAAAAAAAGGGCAGTGTATGGGTTTGTAATCAGCAGCAAAACCCATAAACACATGGTTTCTTCGGCAAGTAAGTCACAAGGGAAAAAGAGACAAAGAGGCAGGGCAGGTTGGGAGATACATAAATAAAATAAATTGCAAAAGAAAAAAAGATATTTAATTTTGTTTAAGCACAGACCAAAAAAAGGTCACTGAGCTACCCACAAAACACCAAACATTCCTTTCCTTGGCCACGAAGAGGGACTGCTGCTGCTTTAACAATTAGACCTGAGGAAAGGAAAATAGCTGAGTAGCCTGAGCTATATCAGGTATGCAAATTTTTTTTTTTTCTTTTTTTTTTAGAGACAGAGTCTCACTCTGTCACCCAGGCTGGAGTGCAGTGGCACAATCTCGGCTCACTGCAAGCTCCGCCTCCCGGGTTCACACCATTCTCCTGCCTCAGCCTCCTGGGACTATAGGCGCCCGCCACCACACCCAGCTAATTTTTTGTATTTTTAGTAGAGATGGGGTTTCAGCATGTTAGCCTGGATGGTCTCGATTTCCTGACCTTGTGATGCGTGCGCCTCGGCCTCCCAAGTACTGGGATTACAGGCCTGAGCCACTGTGCCTGGCAATGTATGTAAAATTTATCAGGTCCAGGGAAACAGGAGTATGGAACTTCAGTCGCACCAACCCCATTGTTTAAAGACATTTTATGGCTAGCTGTATCACCCATTATCTTATTTTTTTTGAGACGAGGTCTCACTCTGTCACTCAGGCTGGAGTGCAGTGGCACCATCAGGGCTCACTGCAGACTCGACCTTCCTGGCTCAGGTGATCCTCCCACCGCAGTCTCCTGAGTAACTGGGGCGATAGGTGTGTGCCACCATGCCTAGCTAATTTTAAAATTTTTTGTAGAGGCAGGGTTTCATCATGTTGCCCAGGCTGGTCTCCTAGGCAGAGTGAGACTATGTCTCAAAAAAAAAAATCTAATTTTACTGGAAAGGGGTTCTGATCCAGACCCCAAGAGTCAATTTTTGGATCTCACTCAAGAAAGGACTGGGGGCAAGTCCATGGAGTAAAGTGAAAGCAAGTTTATTAAGAAAGTAAAGGAATAAAAGAATGGCTACTGCATATACAGAGCAGCCCTGAGGGCTGCTGGTTGGCTATTTTTATGGTTATTTCTTGATTATATGCCAAACAAGGGGTGAATTATTCATGAGTTTTCTGGGGAAAAGGGCAAGAATTCCCCAGAATAAAGAGTTCCTCTTTCTTTTCAACCATATAGGGTAGTTTCCAGGTGTTGCCATGGCATTTGTAAACTTTCACTGCACTGGTGGGGGTGTCCTTTAGCATGCTAGTGTGTTAAATTAGCATACAATAAGCAGTAAAGGAGATAGCATGTGAATATATTATAATTAGCAAGAAGTCACTTTTGTCTCTATCTTGGTTTTGGCTTCTTTACCGTATCCTGTTTTATCAGCTGGGTCTTTGTGACTTGAATCTTGTGCTGACCTCCTATCTCATCCTGTGACTAAGAATGCCTAACCTCCTGGGAATGCAGCCCAGCAGGTCTCCAACTCATTTTACTCAGTCCCTACTCAAGATGAAGTCACTCTGGTTTGAACATCTCTGATAATAGAACCGCTCAGCACCCCAGCTCCATTTTCCAAATCATCCAATCAAGCCCCAGATCCTAACACCTCCTAATTGAGTCTTCTCATGGTTTCCCATGGTGTGCGTTCCCCCGTCTTAGTCCATCTTGGGCTGCTATAACAGAATAACTGAGATTGGGTAATTAATAAAGACAGAGATTTATTTCTTATAGTTCTGGAAGCTGAAAATTCCAAGATCAAGGGCTCCACATCTTATGGGGGCTTTGTGTTGTTATCCAATGGAGGAAGGTAAATGTGCAGGAGAGTGCAAGAGTGAAAGAGCAACAGATAGAAATCGAAGCCTTAAGCCCTTTCATAATTGGCATTAATCCATTCATGAGGGTGGAGCCCTCCCATTAGGCCCCATCTCCCAACACTGTTACATTGGGCATTAAGTTTCCAACATATGCTTTTTGGGGGACATATTCAAACCATAGCATCCCTCTTGCTGCAATTAATGATAAACAAAATTTTTCAATTACTGGTGTGTTCCTGGTCTTAAAAGTCTTTGACTTGTCCTAAAAGACACATCAACCAATGACAATGTATAAATTTCATTTTGATTCTGATTTTAACAAATGAACAGTAGGAAAATAAGTAGTTATTGAGACCACAGGATATTTGAACACTGACTAATATTACGCAATTACTATTTTTTAAAGGTGAGACAATGATACTGTGTGTCAGGCCTCTGAGCAAGGCCGTACTTCCAAAGGAAGTGGAGTCTCACTGCAACAGCCATCACAAGGCATCAGATCTCACTGCTCAAGGCAACGCTTATGCTGATAAGGTAGCTAAAAAGCAGCTAGCATTCTAACTTCTATCCTTCATGGCAGTTTTTCTCCTTCTCATCTGGTCACTCCCACCTACTCCCCCACTGAAACTTCCGCCTATCAATCTCTTCCCACACAAGGCAAATGGTTCTTGGACCAAGGAAAATATCTCCTTCCAGCCTCACAGGCCCATTCTATTCTGTCGTCATTTCATAACCACTTCCATGTAGGTTACAAGCTGCTAACCCGTCTCTTAGAACCTCTCATTTCCTTTCCATCGTGGAAATCTATCCTCAAGGAAATCACTTCTCAATGTTCCATCTGCTATTCTACTACCCTGCAGGGATTGTTCAGGCCCCCTCCCTTCCCTACACATCAAGCTCGGGGATTTGCCCCGCCGAGGACTGGCAAATTGACTTTACTCACATGCTTCAAGTCAGGAAACTAAAATACCTCTTGGTTTGGGTAGACATTTCACTGGGTGGGTAGAGGCCTTTCCCACAGGGTCTAAGAAGGCCACCGCGGTCATTTCTTCCCTTCTGTCAGACATAATTCCTCAGTTTGGCCTTCCCACCTCCTCTCTTTCCTTGAAAATCACTGAAGCCTCGACTTACTCACTGCTGAAAAAGGAGGACTTTGTATATTTTTAAATGAAGAGTGTTGTTTTTACCTAAATCAATCTGGCCTGGTATATGACAACATAAAAAAACTTAAGGATAGAGATAGAGCCCAAAAACTCTCCAACCAAGCAGACAACAACGTTGAACCCCCTTGGACACTCTCTAATTGGATGTCCTGGGTACTCCCAATTCTTAGTCCTTTAATACCTATTTTTCTCCTTCTTTTATTCGGACCTTGTGTCTTTCATTTAGTTTCTCAATTCATACAAAACTGCATCCAGGCCATCTCCAATAATTCTATACGACAAATGCTCCTTCTAACAACCCCACAATATCACCCCTTACCCCCAAATCTTTCTTCAGTTGAATCTCTCCCACTGTGGGTTCCCACGCCGCCCCTAATCTCGCTCGAAGCAGCCCTGAGAAACATCGCCTATTATCTCTCCATACCACCCCCAAAAATTTTCGCTGCCCCAACACTTTACCACTATTTTGTTTTATTTTTCTTATTAATATAAGAAGACAGGAATGTCAGGCCTCTGAGCCTAAGCTAAGCCATCATATCCCCAGTGACCTGCACATATACATCCAGATGGCCTGAAGCAACTGAAGATCCACAGAAGTGAAAATAGCCTTAACTGATAACATTCCACCATTGTGATTTGTTTCTGCCCCACCCTAACTGATCAATGTACTTTGTTGATCAGTAATCTCCCCCACCCTTAAGAAGGTTCTTTGTAATTCTCCCCACCCTTGAGAATGTACTTTGTGAGATCCAACCCCTGCCCCCAAAATATTGCTCTTAACTCCACCGCCTATCCCAAAACCTATAAGAACCAATGATAATCCCACCACCCTTTGCTGACTCCCTTTTCGGACTCGGCCCGCTTGCACCCAGGTGAAATAAACAGCTGTGTTGCTCACACAAAGCCTGTTTGGTAGTCTCTTCACACGGACATGTGAAACACTGTGGTCAATTTTTTTTCTTTTTAATAATAATTCTTTTTTAGAAATATGTGCTTAAATAATTGTAAGCCAGGCATAGTTGCCTGTGCCTGTATTCCTAACCACTTGGGAAGCTGAGGCAGGACTGCTTGAGCCCAGGGGTGTGAGGCTGCAGTAAGCTATGATCACGCCACTGAACTCCAGCCTGGGTGACAGTGAGACCGTGTTTAAAAATATATATATACAGATGAAATGATATGATGTCTGAGATTTGCTTCCAAATATGCCTAGGAAGGGAAGAAGTGTTTAGAGATATAGACAAATCAAGATTGTCAAAATGTATAGTAACTGTTAAAGCTTGCTAAGGTAGTTATTCTATTTTTGGATATGTTTGGAATTGTCCAAAGGTTTCCTAAAACTTATGTTTAATATTCTTTCAGGAGAAAGCAATATTGTAAGATCAAAGAAAAGGCCATAACAGCGCACCCAAAAAATTTCAGCATTACCATTCTGAGGGTCAGGAGTCTCCTCCCTTCCATCCGCCAACACTTGAATCAGGACTATAAAGTAGGTGTTTCCAAGTCTCAGGCAGGTAAATGGATAAATTGCAAAACTGGATGCAGAACTCACATCTGCCTCATACATAGGCCCTGTGACACCCCACCAGCTCCTTTGCTCCCTTTCTGCCTTTCTCATGCCGTCCCAGAGTCTTGCACACTACCAAGATGGTGGTGAGTCAGGACAGTGAAACAGGTCGGCTCTTCACTCCAGGAGTGTGCGCGGGCGCCGGGCCGCGCAGGCGCATTACTGCTCCCCTCCCCCGACCTTGGCTGATCGCGCCTGCGCAGTGGGGAGCAGCTCGCTCCTGGGCTTTGGGCTGGCTGCAGTCTGTCTGAGGGCGGCCGAAGTGGCTGGCTCATTTAAGATGAGGCTTCTGCTGCTTCTCCTAGTGGCGGCGTCTGCGATGGTCCGGAGCGAGGCCTCGGCCAATCTGGGCGGCGTGCCCAGCAAGAGATTAAAGATGCAGTACGCCACGGGGCCGCTGCTCAAGTTCCAGATTTGGTGAGTATGTGCACTGGGCCCCGGCCACCCCGCCGCGCCTCTGCTCGGCGCCATTGGCTACGCGAGGCCCCGGCTTCGCGGCCTAAATGGCCGCATCTTCGCTGGCCTCGTAGAACTGTGCCGGCGCCCTTCCACAGCCAGCCTTCTCGCGGCCCCTTAGCGCGGTCAGGCCGCCCTCCTTTTCCAGGTATAACTGCTCACTTGTTTTTTGCCTCCTAGAACAGTGGGAATGGGGAAGGAGGGCGCGAGAAGGTTAAACGCTGAAAGGCGAAGACTGGGGGACACCTGTTAGTACGGAGGACTGGTTGGCGGCGTCACGCCATAGCCACCCCGGCTGCCTGCGGAGATGGGGATGAGTAGGCGCCGCGTCGGCGGAGGAGCGCCAACCGTTTGTCAGTTCACTTTTTCTGCCCTCTTTTCCGGGGTAATGCCGGGCGGCTTCGCTGCCTGGCTAGATGAAGGTTAATTCGGGTCATTGGAGAGGATCCGGGAGTGACAGACGCCGTTTTTCTCCTGAACTTGCTGGGGGGACTGTTGAGTTTGCGAATGGGGCGTCTGACAGCTGGAGGGGGTGGAAGGAAGGTCTGGGGATGCTGGTTCTGTTTGCCATTTCCAAAGTGTCAGAAAAGGAGCACGTTGTTCTTCTAAACATTGACAGTTCGCTCGCATTCCCTCCTCACCTGCCTCCCAGGAGTTGCCTGCTCTGGCATCTCTTTCTACCTTTCAGTTGTCTTGTGTATCCAGCAGATCTCGGCAGTTTTCGACAGTGTTCTTTAAATGATTTTGTTTTTAACCTAATCGTTAGAAGCAGGGCAATGATGCATTTTATACGGTAAGTGGGGTTGCGGGTGGGGATTGAAAGGCTCTGAAGATGGGGGAAAAAACACCAAAATTGTAAAATTATAGAAATGAGAATCTTACACCTCCAAAGATGACATTTTCTCAGGATAAACCGACCATCCCAGAATAGCCAGATTAGTAAATCATCAGAGTCCGGATACATTGGAATGTTGGTGTTGGACATCATTCATTTAAAACCTTCTTTTAAGAACTTCATGTATTAGTATATTAAAGTTTTGATTTTCTACTTCTCCAACTAGCTTTTTACTTACTCACTGAAGACCAAGCAAACCTTTAAAATAATTTTTAAAAATCGGCTTAAGGTGATGTTTGAGTTAGAAAATAAGATGGTGAGACTTTATTTTTTTGAGTGAAAACTAAAACATTGCAATTTCTCCTGATTAAAAACAAACAAGGCCGGGCTCGCTGGCTCACGCCTGTAATCCCAGCACTTTGGAGGCCGAGGCTAGCGGATCACCTGAGGTCGGGAGTTCGAGACCAGCCTGACCAACATGGAGAAACCCCCATCTCTACTAAAAATACAAAAATTAGCCTGGCGTGGTGGCGCATGCCTGT
Organism: Homo sapiens; assembly: GCF_000001405.40. Taxonomy (NCBI): domain Eukaryota; kingdom Metazoa; phylum Chordata; class Mammalia; order Primates; family Hominidae; genus Homo; species Homo sapiens. Next base: position 150,604,916 of record NC_000003.12, read on the forward strand.
AATCCCAACTACTTGGGAGGCTGAGGCAGGAGAATCGCTTGAACCCGGGAAGCGGAGGTTGCGGTGAGCCGAGAACGCGCCATTGCACTCCAGCCTGGGCAACAAGAGCGAAACTCCGTCTCAAAAAAAAAAAAAAAAACCTCCCTGTACAATGTACTATGTTTCTGGAATATATCATCTTTCATGTAATACTGCAAATGGGAGAATGGTTTATCCATTAACTTTTTTCCTTAATTTTTAAATTAGAAGGTGGTAATCATCTTACTAACCTAAAGATTGTTAAGGGTTGTGATACTTACGGATTTAAGTGTTAAAAAATTGCAGTTTTCAAATTATTTAATTTTTCTGTATCCTACTTTTATCTCTTGGTTGTATTTTTGCTTTTCCAAAATACCCCTTTTACGTTTGCTTTTTTTGGAACACTTGTCACAATAATTTACCAGGTGTATCTTCCACCAAGGCTATTCATAGCAAGGTTTTCAAAATGTGTAAACAAACGTAGGGAAGGGCATTCAGTCCTTCAAATTAAACTTAAAAAAAAAGTAGTAAGTACTTCAGTTAAACTTTTGATACTTTGTTTTTCTTTGTTTTTAAGTACAGACCTGTCCCAAAAGTCTAATAATTTTCTTTTACAGTCACTCTGAGCATGTTATATAACAAAAATGCTTCCATTTAAAAAATTATTTTTATTTTTATTTTTCTGACACTATCCACCGGAGATCATTTTTTGTTTAATCTGTAGATGGGAAATAACGTTATTAATAAGACCCACCAAATACAGATCAACTTAGCTTGTTGTTTGTTGCTTTTCCCCCCAGAGATTAATCTGTTTATGGTAAAGTGAATATTGGGTTTCTGGTTTTGCTAGAATCTTGTGGACATTAATTTGCAAGTTTGTTTGAGAAAGGACAGGAAGCTAATACGTTTGAGGATAAACATGAGAATTTTAAAATTCCATTTGAAGTCAGTATTATAAAATGCAGCTTTTCATTAATTACCACTGCTAACAATCAAAAGAGAACTATTTTACCTTCATTTCCACTGACTTTTTCCCCTTATAGTGATCATGAGTATTTTATCAAAAATAACTATACCTCAATATATCACCTGGTAATTGTACCACTTTTGCAATTGTTAGTCAACACAATAGCAACATAGTGCTGAGAGATCAAGCTTGTAGAGTAGCTTACGACAGAGTTTCCTATTCTCGTTTTTTTTTTTCCTTTCTTTCTTCCTTTTTTTTTTTTTTTGCTGAGACAGAGTCCCGCTGTGTCACCCAGTTTGGAGTGCAATGGCATGATCACGGAGCCTTGACTTCCTGAGTTCCGATAATCCTCCCACCACAGCCTCCCAAGTAGCTGGGACTGCAGACGCGCACCACCACGCCTGGCTAATTTTCATATTTTTTGTAGAGACCTGGTCTTGCCTTGTTGCCCAGGCTGTGTGTAATACCTGCTGTATGCCAGGAATTAAGCATGCTAAAGATGTGACCATCTCAAGAAGTCTACCAGACTGGCACAGTATTACTTGTGTATCTGAGTCTGTGGTTTATTATGTTGATTGAGCAATATAATTAGATACTTTTGATTATATTGGCTTCATACTTGGAAAAAAATTTATTCTGCTTATTTGGACGTTTAACACTTAACATAGAAAAAGGAAGTTCTCTAATCAGAGCTTAAAATTCCATTGTTTTTGAGACAGTGTTGCTTTGTTGCCCAAGCTAGAGTGCAGTGGTGTGATCTCAGCTCACTGCAACCTCTGCCTCCTGGGCTCAAGAGATTCTCATGCCTCAGCCTCCTGAGTAGCTGGGACTGCAGGTGTGCACCACCACGCCTGGCTAATTTTTGTATTTTTAGTAGAGACGGGGTTTCACCATGTTGGCCAGGCTGATTTTGAACTCCTGACCTCAAAGTGACCTACCCACCTTGGCGTCCCAAAGTGCTAGGATTACAGGTTTGAGCCACTGCCCCCGGCTGAAATTCCCTTTTTGTGTTTTCCTTTTATTGATTTTTATAAATTTGTATTGATAGTTACTCTTAGGCATGATGTTTGTCATACATACTTTCTCCGTATATGCGATTTAACATGTAATCAGATCTACAGCATTTAATTAGTTGCAGTTTAAAGAGATTATTGGCTACAACCCTTTACAGTTAATATTTACTTGAACATTTGACAACTGAATTGCTGAGAATAGTAGATTAAATGAAATTGAGATTTCAAAACATAAGTAGAATATGGCGGGATTTTCAAAGTTTTGTTAGTTTGAGAATCTACTGCTGTAATTTTAGGACAGCCAACTTCTAAATGTAGTTTTAAGAGGTAAATGAAACAACTGTACCAAAACAGATTTTTATTTAAATTTACAACTATTCAGCCTTGGCTTTCATAGTGTGACAGCAAGAAAATAAAGACCTAAGGTTGATTTGGATGTTGATACTCATCAAGATTAGTAGTAAAATGCTGAATTGGAGAAATTGTGAGTTACAGAGATCATGTTGGTTACTGTAGACTTGATATTTGCATATTCAACAGATATTGGAGCACTTACTCTGTGCAGGCACTTTGCTTCCTGCGGAGAATTCAATTCAGTGCTCTCGTGGACTTCACAGGCAAGAGCAGATGCAGACATTAATCCATGGACTGACCACACAGATAAAATTCAATTGGTGTTAAGTGCTGTGAAGAAAGATTATGTGGTGGTATGAGAGATGCCTAGTCGGGATCAGGGAAGGTTTCCATGAGGAAATGAACTTTGAACTGAGATTCGAAGGATAAGATTTATTTGGCGAGAACTTTCCAGGCAATGGGAATAACATGTTCAGTGTACTTATAGTAGGAAAGACCACAGTTTTACCAGAGAAGCCTAAGCCTACTGACCTCAGAGACCTAAAAGAAGGTGCCGTTAAGAGCTTGAGGGTCTGGCAGGCCATGCTTAACAAAGACCGTTTGGTTTTCTTGTGGAAAAGACATTCCAGGAGACAAAGAATTGATGGGAAACCATTTAGGGCGGCTTTTGGAGTTGTCCAGGCAAGAGATAATGGAACTTGGAAAAGTAAGGAGGTGGTAGAAATAGAAAGAGATGTATTTGAGAGATCTTTATGTGGTAAATTTAACAGCTCTTAATGATGAATTGTATGTTTGTGGGGAAAGAGAGGTGGCATGAAGTGAGAGATGTCAAAGATGATTCCTGAGTTCTGTGGTGATGCTATACCATTCACTGGAATGATAATTAAAATAAACAAGTATTATGAATGTTTTTGGTGGGAGGGAAGGAATCCTGATTTTTGAAGACTAAGGACATAGTAGCCAGGGGAAAACCCCCACAAAGAAATTTTTATCTCCAAAATAGCCATGATAACTGAAACTAAGAAACTTAAATTAACAGTTACTTTATTACATCAAACCTAAAATACATAATGGATTGTAAGATGTACCATGATTTTATATGCCATTTAGAAGAAAAAAATACTGCCATTTAAACGGACACACTAATGATTATAAGATAAATCCTGTGGCTTTTTTTGTTTGTTATTGTTTTTTTAATTTATAGAGATGCTACATGTAGCCACGTTTAGTGGCTTACACCTGTAAATTCCAGCTACTCAGGAGGCTGAGGTGGGAGGATTGCTTGCGGCCAGGAGTTCAAGACCAGCCTGGGCAACATAGCGAGACTTTGTCTCTAATTTTAAAAAAAGGAAAAGTAGAGATGCTAAATATGGAAAAGTATGCTTATTGGTATCAATGAAATAAAGGAGTAGTAAGAAGTTGGTGTAGATAGCAGGTTAGTAGTAGTAGAGTGTTACCATTAAAAAAATAGCTGCAGCATGTAATTGAACTCCTTGCACATAATAGTTGTTTCCACTTAATAATGAATTAAGTACTTAGTTCAAAGCTTTTAGATATAGGTAAACATGACTGAATGATCTTAAAGGTTTTATAACCTTTTACAAAAAATTGAAACATAATTTCCTAACAGTTTGCCATTAAGGCAAGTGCTGGACAATTGAGTTGAATATATTATTTAGAAATACCAAGATAACCCCTAAATTTTGATTAGTACAGTTTCTTTCTCTCGCCTGATTGTTCTGCCTAGGACTTCTAGTATTATGTTGAATAGGAGTGGTGAGAGTAGACATCCTTGTTTTGTTCCAGTTCTTAGGGGGAATGCTTTCAACTTTTGCCCATTCAGTATGATATTGGTTATGGGTTTGTCAGAGATGGCTCTTACTATTTTGAGGTATGTTCCTTTGTTTAAGTTGTTGAGGGTAAAACTTAAGTTTTGAATACACTGCGCCATCAGTAACTTTTCGGCCTGGCCTCCGTGCCTCTACAGGTGGGACTATAAACTTCCAGAATTCTCTGTGCTACTGCTAGTCCTTTTCCTGCTGCCCTGAAACTGACACACCCTTGCTACTTATTCTGTTGATGTTTTCTTTTTCTTTTTTTGAGACTGGGTCTCACTCTGTCACCCAGGCTGGAGTGCAGTGGTGCAGTCATTGCTCATTGTAGCCTCGACTGCCGAGGCTCAAGTCATTCTCCCACCTCAGCCTCCCAAGTAGCTGAGATTACAGGCGCGCACTACATGCCTGGCCAATTTTTGTATTTTTTTGTAGAGAGGAGGTTTCACCATGTTGGCAAAGCTGGTCTTGAACTCCTGGGCTCAAGCAGTCCTGCCTCAGCCTTCCAAAGTGTCGAGATTACAGGCAGGAGCCCCCTTGCCCAGCCTTGGTGTTTTCTTTCTTTTTAACACATCCTCTGTCAGGATATAGAAAGTTGGGAATGGGAGCATGGATAGTATCTTACTTCACTGAAGTTGACCAGCTATTTGGTTCTCCCTTTGGGATGAGCCTTAGATCTGTGAGCTTTCAGATAGGAATTTTCCTGAAGCAGAGTTTAGGTAATTTTTCTTAATCTTGACCTTTCTGTCTACCTTATAATTAATATAATTTTCTCCTAGATTTTGTCATTAGGTTGTTGGTTAAAGTGTCAGTGTTTGGTATGATTTATTTTTGTGAATTTTTGTGATTTCAGAATTTGAGTAAGAATTTGATAGGGGCTATGTACCAAAATTACATTACATTAGAGAATTTCATTAGTTTAATGTTTTAAAAGGTAATTTTGGCTGGTAGAAAAAAATGAGGAACAGAGTGAATGATATCAAAGATTCCTAGTAGTTATGTGAATGAAAATGAAACCCAACTGTTTTACTTATGATTGGTCTCTATTGTCACATTACAGTGCTTACTTTTGAAGGTAGCTTAACTAATTTTGTTATAGTTTGGCATTACGAAACCTAGCATTTGTACCACAAGCAAGACAGTCTTTTCATTAGGTATAAAGGTACCCTTTTCTTTTCATTTTGACAAAGGTGTTCATTTGATAAGTAGTTGTGTCATTAAGCAGAACTACTTATGGTTGATTTGATTTGGTTATCTCAGCACTTCAAATTCAGGATGGCACTGTGTTTGGTTTTTCTTCAAGTTTGCATCTTAGTAACCAAAAACAGTCTTAACATTTCAATCAGTCTATTAGACTGGGTTCATGTTTCATTATTTTCAATTTTGCTGGTAGAGAGAAGGAAAGGATAGAATATACATAATTGATGACCTAAGAGAAGTGTGATAGAAAGATACACCAGTGAAATTATTGTTCTTTCTCTCCTTGCTCTTTAATTTGTGTTTGTAATTTGTGCACTGCTTTCTGGGCTTGCTTCTGCATTACCTTATAATTGTTCCCCAGGGTTTGCTGTGTATTTGTCTCTCTGAAATTAGATTGTGAACTCTTTCAGGAAAAGAGACTAAAAAATGTTTTACTAACATTTAAAGTATCCAAATGCTGTTAACATTTTTCTAATAATGGTGATAACCTACCTACATACATGTGTCACTTTTACATGCCTTATCTCTTGAGTACTCTGAGAACTACCTGTGTATTGCAGGTGTCATCCTACTCATTGTACAGGTGTGGATACTGTGACAAAAGCAGGTTAATGGACTTGACCATTGTCTTGTTGGTCAGTGAGAGAGCTGATTTCCTGACTCTGTATTTAATGGTCTTGCCACAGTACTATTGCATCATGAGTCGTGTGTGTGTGTGTGTGTGTGTGTGTGTGTGTATTTGTTTTTGTTTTCTTTTTTAATAGTAATAACCTTTATTTAAAATAGTTTTTAATTTAGGAAAGCTCATTTTACATGAGTTTCCAACTAATTATTAGAGTCAGAAACAAAGAAAATAAAATCAGAAAATCTTTTGCAGAAAAAATACACAAAGAACATTTCTACATGTGAAAAAGCGGTAAACAGTGTTAACATCCAAGTTTTTAGTCTCAATTCCACATCTAGTGAACACCACTATCAACCTTGAGATCTGATTTGTTCTTGTCATTCTTCACTGATTAGATGAAATATGTTAAGGTGTCTTTTTCACTCACTGGAATAGACCTAAAGTGGCAACCAACTATCTCAACAAGTTGTGCTTTATTAAGTCCTGGTCTGGTTGGTGGCTTTAAGTGTCTTTTGTATCTCCTAAGTGTATTTACTTGTAATTGGTATAAATCAACCTCTGGGGTATCGAAATCTTGAACAGGTGAATCACCTCCATCATCATCACTCCCTTTTCTCTTTCTTCTGTTTCGAATACTCTGAATTAAGTTTTTATGATAATCACATATGTAAAGATGCCTGCGCTCTTATCCAGCTCGATCTTCACCTTCTGGGATATGCTCTTCTGGATCCTCTTGCTGAAGCTGGCGTTGCCTGCTGCCCGACCGCACCGCTCACCATCCTCCGCAGGCAGCACAGTTGCCAGGAGCCCGGCCTGGCCGCCCCCAGGGGCCCAGCCGCTGAGACCGCCCCTGCGCCCGGCCCCTCAGCCCCGATTTCCCGGACGAGGCACTGGCGACCACAGCGGCCACTGCGGCTGCCGCCTCCCCACTGCCCAGGCGTGAAGCCGTTCATGTCTCCGAGCTCCGGGGTACCGGCGCTGACAGAAATCCCCACTCTCCTGGCCGCTCCGTCGGCGGCAGTTCACTCTGCACACCAAGTTAGCTGCATGGCAGAACACCAACTGGGCCTGCTGCTGCTGGCGCCGAAACAGTGGACAGTGCCGAGGGCCGGGACTCAGAGTCGAGCGTCTCCTGGAATGGAGACCCAGCTCACTGTTACATGGGGTCTTCAGCTTTTTTTTTTTTTGAGACAGAATCTCGCTCTGTCGCCCAGGCTGGAGTGCGGTGGCGCAATCTTGGCTCACCGTAACCTCCGCCTCCCGGCTCAAGCTATTCTCCTGCCTCAGTCTCCTGAGTAGCTGGGATTACAGGCGCCCGCCACCGCACCCAGCTAATTTTTGTATTTTTAGTAGAGACAGGGTTTCGGCATGTTTATCAGGCTGGTCTCAAACTCCTGACCCTAAGTGATTGGCCCTCCTCGGCCTCCCAAAGTGCTGGGATTACAGGTGTGAGCCACCATGCCCGGCTATATATATATATTTTTAATGTTGGTCATTCTTTCTAATGTTAAGACATATCCTTTGAGGATAATTAGATTTTGGTGTCATGTAATTTGGGTGGTATCACATAATTTCGTTCATATTCTGGATCTGCCACCTATTAGTTATATGACTAAAACAAGTTAACCTATCTGAGTCTATTTGCTCAATTATAAAGTGGGCATGATAGAACTTCACAGGATTGTCTTGAGGGTTTAATAAGAATATAGCTAGCTAGCTAGTTTGTTCAAGGACATAAGTATCTGATAAATCTTAATGTTTCCCCTGTTGGTGAGTCAGAACAGAAATAAGAGTTGAAACTGCTGGTAAGCCTATTTTATCCATCTTCTTATTTTGCCCATAGTTAAAAAGCCACTTTTGTTATATTCTGCACTAACTTCCAAAGTTCATTTTGTTTTAGCTTTTATTCTTTTAATTAGACATATTGTCTAAAACCAAAAAGTCATGTTTCTGAAGCAGAGTTTTTAAAAGATACTTTATATTTCTCATTAAGATTGTGACTAGACAGAATCCTTCCCCACACACAAACTCCAGCTTATCTATTTTTCAATATCTAAGTTAGAGTTCTTGGCACTATTCACATTTTTACTGTACCTTCTTGAAGATGAAAGAGTCCGAAAGATTTAAAGATTTTTGAGCAGAATTAGACATAAAAAACTGTCATAGTTTGGTGTTGCTATAATAGAATATCACAGACAAGGTAATTTATAAAGAAAAATTTCTTTCTCATAGTTCTGGAGGCTGGGAAGTCCACTGTCAAGGTGCTGGCATTTGGTGAGGGCCTTCTTGCTGAGTCAGCTCATGGTGGAAGGTCAAAGAGAGGGCAAGCGAAAGCAGGTGATTGAACTTGCAGCCTCACCTCCCATTAGACCCTGCCTCCCAACAGTGTTGCATTAGGATTATTTTCATCCTATGCTTTTTGTAGGACATATTCAAACCATACATAGCACAACATACTTGTTAAAATTTTAAATCACTGTTAAAGCATGTTTCTTTGTTATATGTGGAAAGCATTGCCTAGTAATAACTTACTAGTCTTAAGGTAGTTTTCTGAAAAAAAATATGAGTGGACGTAGTACAAACATCTTAATACATTTTTTGATTTGTTTCGTGGAGTGTTATGTGATATAAATTGCAGTTGCACAAAAGTGAATAAAGGAAGATAATTGTAAAATCTGATGCAGCAAAGGTTAAATACTTTAGGGACATTCTCTTCACTAAATTATGCAGAAGATGGGAACTTTTTTTTTTTTTTTTTTTTTTTTTTTTAGAGAAAAAGACCCAGAGATGATTGAGAGGTTCAGGTTAATTAACATGACGGTGCATTCATCTCATTAGGTTCCCTAAGATTCTCAACACATGGTGTGTTGGCCACTTGATTGATTCACAGGTTTTTTGGAGAGAGGATCTTTGCAAGATAGCTCTTCTGCTCTTGAAGACTGGCAGTAGTTACAGGTAGAGATAGATATGTTACTGGTTTTGTACAAGATGCAAAAGATAAGTGGTAGTGAAGCCACCCTGGCCACAGGAGAAAGCACATGCAGGAGAAAGCACATTCATCAAGAGACAGTACATTTTAGGTTTATTTTTTTTTTTAATCCAAGGCTTTGGGATCAAGAGAAGGTAAGGTGCTATTGAACAGTTTTGAGTAGTGGCACCACAGTGCCAGAAAAAGATAAACTGGGCTTATAGACGCTGTTATAATAAACATTATAAAATGAAAATGCTAACAAGTACAAAGAAAATGGATACATAAAACTTTTATTCAAGTTAGCTGGCTATTCTGTTGGAGATTCTTAGGAGCTGTGAATGGAGGCAGGTAGGGGATGACTAGTGAGAGGAAGCTCAAGTGAGGCACATCCTTCCTATTAGTAATTCTTAGAAGCTACAGATTAGCTTGTCAGATTTAAAATGTTAGTCAAAATAAATATACCTGAGGTTTCTTGATTGGAAAAGCAGGTCAGATGTGACTAGAAATGGAGGTGGGTTTTTTTTTTTTTTAATGGAGGATTTTAGAAGGCAATAGTGTAGAATTTAGAGCTAGAAAGGATCTTACACATGAAAATACGAAAAGTAGACTTTGTAGGTTTATCTAAGATTTTTATTTAGTGACAGAGCTAGAACTAGGATCCAGGGTTTCTCTTTCATGGTTAGTTCAGCTAGGAAGAATATTTAAAGAAGCCAGGGTAATTAAGATGAACCTTGATAGGTATAGGAAAGAGGTAAGAGAACAAAAATCCAGTAGGTAAGAAGATGGAAGAACTTTAAAATCATTTTTATAAGAAATAGATATTATTTATTTAGAATTTATGAGATGTTTCACAGAGGGCTTGAAGTGGGAAAATAATTGAAATTATATAGACCATATAAATACTTCTATAAAACATTTGTTAAAATTGATTCTATAATTCATTGTCATTTTATTTATTTATTTATTATTATTTTTTATTATTATTATACTTTAAGTTTTAGGGTACATGTGCACATTGTGCAGGTTAGTTACATACGTATACATGTGCCATGCTGGTGTGCTGCACCCACTAACTCGTCATCTAGCATTAGGTATATCTCCCAATGCTATCCCTCCCCCCTCCCCCCACCCCACAATGGTCCCCAGAGTGTGATGTTCCCCTTCCTGTGTCCATGTGATCTCATTGTTCAATTCCCACCTATGAGTGAGAATATGCGGTGTTTGGTTTTTTGTTCTTGCAATAGTTTACTGAGAATGATGGTTTCCAATTTCATCCATGTCCCTACAAAGGACATGAATGCATCATTTTTTATGGCTGCATAGTATTCCAAGGTGTATATGTGCCACATTTTCTTACTCCAGTCTATCATTGTTGGACATTTGGGTTGGTTCCAAGTCTTTGCTATTGTGAATAATGCCGCAATAAACATACGTGTGCATGTGTCTTTATAGCAGCATGATTTATAGTCCTTTGGGTATATACCCAGTAATGGGATGGCTGGGTCAAATGGTATTTCTAGTTCTAGATCCCTGAGGAATCGCCACACTGACTTCCACAATGGTTGAACTAGTTTACAGTCCCACCAACAGTGTAAAAGTGTTCTTATTTCTCCACATCCTCTCCAGCACCTGTTGTTTCAGATTTCCTATACACCAACAACAGACAAACAGAGAGCCAAATCATGAGTGAACTCCCATTCACAATTGCTTCAAAGAGAATAAAATACCTAGGAATCCAACTTACAAGGGATGTGAAGAACCTCTTCAAGGAGAACTACAAACCACTGCTCAAGGAAATAAAAGAGGATACAAACAAATGGAAGAACATTCCATGCTCATGGGTAGGAAGAATAAATATCGTGAAAATGGCCATACTGCCCAAGGTAATTTACAGATTCAATGCCATCCCCATCAAGCTACCAATGCCTTTCTTCACAGAATTGGAAAAAACTACTTTAAAGTTCATATGGAACCAAAAAAGAGCCCGCATCACCAAGTCAATCCTAAGCCAAAAGAACAAAGCTGGAGGCATCACACTGCCTGACTTCAAACTATACTACAAGGCTACAGTAACCAAAACAGCATGGTACTGGTACCAAAACAGAGATATAGATCAATGGAACAGAACAGAGCCCTCAGAAATGATGCCGCATATCTACAACTATCTGATCTTTGACAAACCTGAGAAAAACAAGCAATGGGGAAAGGATTCCCTATTTAATAAATGGTGCTGGGAAAATTGGCTAGCCATATGTAGAAAGCTGAAACTGGATCCCTTCCTTACACCTTATACAAAAATCAATTCAAGATGGATTAAAGACTTAAACATTAGACCTAAAACCATAAAAACCCTAGAAGAAAACCTAGGCATTACCATTCAGGACATAGGCATGGGCAAGGACTTCATGTCTAAAACACCAAAAGCAATGGCAACAAAAGCCAAAATTGACAAATGGGATCTAATTAAACTAAAGAGCTTCTGCACAGCAAAAGAAACTACCATCAGAGTGAACAGGCAACCTACAAAATGGGAGAAAATTTTCACAACCTACTCATCTGACAAAGGGCTAATATCCAGAATCTACAATGAACTCAAACAAATTTACAAGAAAAAAACAAACAACCCCATCAAAAAGTGGGCAAAGGACATGAACAGACACTTCTCAAAAGAAGACATTTATGTAGCCAAAAAACACATGAAAAAATGCTTACCATCACTGGCCATCAGAGAAATGCAAATCAAAACCACAATGAGATACCATCTCACACCAGTTAGAATGGCAGTCATTAAAAAGTCAGAAATTCATTGTCATTTAAATAAAGTGGGCCTGTGTCAATATTAATCAAGTGCTATTTGAATGTCTACTTTCAAGTAGCTGGGACTACAGGTGCATGCCACCATGCCCAGCTAATTTTTGTATTTCTTGTAGAGACGAGGTTTTACCGTGTTACTCAGGCTGGTTTCAAACTCCTGAGCTCAAGCAATACACCTCCTGCCTTGGCCTCCCAAAGTGCTGGGATTACAGGCGTAAGCCACTGCACCCAGCCAAAGTGAGAAATGGTTTTACACAGGTGAATACTATGATGGAATCTACACTCAGGCAGCTGAACTGATTGGAGGAAGGATAGGTAGAAAGCAGCATACCAATTATTATAATAGTTGAAAGGCAGCTATGGGCATGTGGTGGTAAGCCCAGTTGTAATAGAAAAAGCAAATAACAGCTGAGTTGGAGGACTGTTTTAAGAGAAGCAGGCTGGATATGTAAGGAAAATTATATTCAGAGTGCATTTGTTTCTCTCAGTCTGTGTTCCTTTTTTTCTCATCTCTTGCCAACCTGTGTTTCTTATAACTAGTCTTAAATCTTTTCTCTTATTTAGTAATGATGGAAATGCTAAAAAAAAATTTTTGTTTTAACAAATTGAGGAAAGGCATGGTAACTCATGCCTATAATCCTAGCACTTTGGGAGGCCGAAGCGGGAGGATCACTTGAGGCCAGGAGTTTGAAACCACCCTGGGCAACATAGTGAGATCTCATCTCAACAAAAAATTTAAAAATAGCTGGGCATGGTGGCACATGCCTATAGTACCAGTTATTGAGGAGACTGAGGCAGAAGGATTGCTTATTTCCTGTTTATCTTGTACTTTTACCTGTTGGTTGTAGATTGATTTCAGGTGACATTTGAATAAACCCAATAAAGAAGCCAGGACCCTCCACGTCTTAGAAGCCACGTTAGGCTCATTTTGTGTGTATTTCTACACTGGTAGACACTGTAATGCTCTAAGAGTGCTGCAGCTGTAAGAGAAATCACCTGGTCTCATATAATATAGTTCCTTAACCTGATAAGCTACTACTTGTGTAGTGTTGTTTATGCAACTTAAAAAAAAACAAAAAAAAACTGAGCACGCTTTTTATCTTCATTCAAAGTGTTTGCAACTGTTTTTGTTTGGTTTGGTTTGGTTTGGTTTTTGACAGTCTCACTGTCTCCCAGGCTGGAGTGCTGGAGTGCAGGAGTGCAGTGGTGCGGTATTGGCTCACTGCAACCCCCGCCTCCTGGGTTGAAGTGATTCTCATGCCTCAGCCTCCCAAGTAGCTGGGACTACAGGCACGCGCCACCATGCCCTGCTAATTTTTATATTTTTAGTAGAGACAGAGTTTCACCATGTTGGCCAGGCTGGTCTCAAACTCCTGACCTCAGGTGATCCACCCGCCTCAGCCTCCCAAAGTGCTAGGATTACAGCACTGCACTGGCCGATAGTCACTTTTTAAAATCCCAGTTCTTCATTTCTAGAGAAGGAACTCTGTTTGGATCTTCTTGTTACAGGTTTGTATTTCTGGAACATCAGCTATGACAAGGAATTAGGCCTCGTTGTGTAAATGGGACCCAATGCTATGCGTGGATGGCTATTGTGAATCAAACGAGAGAGTGAATTGGAGAGATTGTGAAAATAGAAAACCACAAACAAGTATTTATTTTGTAACAATAAATATCTGAGATCTTGTTCATGTTGTCTTTTAATGAGGATGCGAGAGATTGGGGTTTATGATGGGCCTAGGTTTGATATAAGTAGGCATTTGACTCCAATTAGCAGCAAATGTAATAGAGAAGGTGAAAGTGGAATGGTTGGCACTATGAATTAGGACACTGAACACATACTGCTCTGTCATCCAGGCTGGAATGCAGTAGTGTGATCTCGGCTCTCTGTAGCCTTGACTTCTTAGACTCAAATGATCCTCCCACCTCAGCCTCCCCAGTAGCTGGTACTTCAGATACGTGGTACCATACCTGGCTAATTTTTTCTTTTTTTTTGTAGAGATGGAGTCTCACTGTATTGCCTAGGCTGGTCTTGAACTCCTGGGATCAAGTGAACCTCCTGCCTCAGCCTCCCAAAGTGCTGGGATTACAGATGTGAGCCACGATGCCCAGCCTATGATAGACTTTAAAAAGCACAAAACCAATTTGAAATAGCATGGACAAGAGATTTTGCTGTATTTTCGAAATTTCCTTTCTGTTCTGCATAGATCATCTAATATGTAAGCAAGATCTTCTTTTAGAAAAGTACTGTTTCCAAAATATTTTAAATCAAGCAATTGCAACAGTTGATTCCGTATAGTAAGGTATATCTGTGTTACTAGAAAGGGATTTGCAAAGTGATAGCACTTAAACTTAAGATTTCTTAGCCGGGTGTGGTGGTGGGCGCCTGTAGTCTCAGCTACTGGGGAAGCTGAGGCAGGAGAATGGCGTGAACCCGGGAGGCGGAGCTTGCAGTGAGCCGAGATCGCGCCACTGCACTCCAGCCTGGGCGACAGAGCGAGACTCCGTCTCAAAAAAAAAAAAAAAAAAGATTTCTTTTTGGCTAGGCATGGTGGCTCACGCCTGTAATCCCAGCACTTTGGGAAGCCGAGGCGGGTGGATCATGAGGTCAGGAATTCGAGACCAGCCTCGCCAACATGGTGAAACCCCATCTCTACTAAAAATACAAAAAAAAAAATTAGCTGGGCACGGCGGCGGGCGCCTGTAATCCCAGCTATTCAGGAGACTGAGGCAGGTGAATCGCTTGAATGCGGGAGGCGGAGTTTGCAGTGAGCCGAGATCGCGCCACTGCACGCTAGCCTGGGCAACAGAGTGAGACTGTCTCAAAAAAAAGAAAGATTTCTTTTCAGGAGTTAGGTTTAATTCCTGAGGACATTTAGTCCGGAGCAGAAGGATAGGCAGCTGATGCAGCATTTTTAGTGTGTTCATATACTTATTTGGAGGTGTACTGAGAGAGGCAGTTTTAACTCATTGACCCAAAAAGAGTGGAATAATTTGAAAGAAATGGGTGAGATGGTAGAGGTGATGGTTACTAGCTCTTTACCATGTATACCTTTAACATTTGTCCACCTTGGTATGTTACATTTTGGAAGACATCTGTTAGCAGTAGTGATTGCTGCTTCACAACAGAAAAATTATTTTAGGGAAAGCAATTATATAGGAAAAAGGGTTCCTTGGTTTTCACAAGTCTGGAAGCAAATATAAGGAGGAATATGCATAAGTAAACTTGTCTAAAAGTATGATGTGGCTATCTTATAAACTGCTTTATTTTTCAGAAGTAAGGAAAGTTCAGTTTTAAAGTCCTTTTTGGAATCAGATTATTAGCTAAATTCTATTTGGAGTTTCACACAAAGGTCTAAGACTTAACTGAAGATTTAGGGCCTGATGAACCAAGTAGATTTATGCTTCTAAACACATTAGCCAGAAAAGTGGGTAACTATAGGGGGAATCTGACTGTTAGTTCAGCCTGCGCATATGCACATCTCTAGTTGAGTCTCTTAGGGTTTCCCTTAAGGGACTTCTTGGGGCTCATAAGCTTGGTCTTCTCAGAAGAATCTCTATATCTTCATCATGGAAAAACCCAGGAGGCCAATTGTATAGGTACCCGATGGTGGCATTGTGGACAAAGGGAACTTACTTCCTGGACATATGAAGGATAGCTCTTGAATCATCTAATTGTTAAATTTGGGGTCTAGTGGAAAGGGCCTAGGACCCCAAATCACAAAGACTGTGTTCTGGTCCCATCCCTGGCACTCAGTGAGGACAGGACCGTATCTGTGTTACTCACCACTAAATACTCACTGCCTGCTACAGTGCTTACCATGTAATAAATAGGCGTTCAGTAAATATTTGAGTGAGTGAAATAATACATTGGATGCATAACTTCGGAAAAGTCACGTTATCTCTCTGGGTTTCATTTTTCCCCCGTTCATCTATAAAATACAAGTTTTGACTAACCAAGTCTCTAGTTCTCAAATTACTGCATTAAAAGTTAGAAAGATACAATTATTTTAGATAATCAACTCCATTGTAAACACCAGTGCAAACTTGGGCATTGATATCAGGTGGCATTTCTTGGTTTTAAGGTAGTTAGGCTTATAGGTTATCTAGATTATTTTTGTAAAACAAAAGCAATATTAAACATTTTTTTATATTTGCCTTTGCTTTTTTGGTATAAAGAAAAGATTAATACATTTTTTTGCAGAGAAAGCAATTGTGGCAGAATATTAATATGTGATGAATCTAGATGAAGTGTTTATGTAAGATCTTTATACTAATATTACAACTTTTCTGTAAATTTGAAATTATATTAAATTAGTAATTTGAACTCAGAAAAGCCCAGCATGTAGTGAGAAAGAATAAAAAGTACAACAATGGTAATAATAAAACATTAGGTGGATGTTAAGGATAGTATTTGGAGATTCATAAGTTCACTTAAGTATAGAGATTTGTATCTCTTTGCGAAATATTTAGACTTGTAAGGGACATTCATTCTAAATGTAAAGGAAATATTCACTGTAAAGAAAGACTGGTGAATTTCTCACTTACCGTTCCCTCACACCCCCCCCAAAAAACACAGGTTTTCTTAAATTGAGATCTACTAACATTTTTTACCATTTTACCGTGTCAGATAGAAACTCCATGCTGTTCCTTTGGCTTGGTAGTAGTGGTTATCATTTTTTTTTTCCTTGATTGACAAAGCTGGCACCTCAGATTTTACTGTAACTTAATTACTGACCCTGCTTCCTCTGTACCAAGTGGTACCTTATGATATTATCTGTTCCTTAACTTAGAATTTAGTGAACTTTAGTGTTTAACAATATTACCTGAATTTGTAAGTTCTTCTGTTGATATAAATGTACCATCTTCTTTTTTATCTCATATGCACTCTGGTGGCATATTTCCTTTTTTTTTTTTTTTTTTTTTTGCTGGGGCAGCATCTATCTGAAAGTGAGTTGCTTAGAGACTTTAGAGACTTTAATCTCCAGAGTAATTATAAGGATTTTCTGTCCATATTATTGAAAATTATGTTCCCAATCTTCGTTTTCCTTGGCAAAGTAGAATCAAATTTTAGAGTTAGAAGGGTTCTAAGTCTAAGTTCCTTTTCTTGTGCTTGGGCAAACAAGTTTGCCTGGTTAAGGGCAGAATGGGAATAAGAACCAGAGTTTCATTCTCTCATGCCTTGATTTTTTTTGTTTGTTTGTTTTTTGTTTTTGAAGTCTTGTGTCCCAAATTTGAAAGTCTGTAGTTCAGATGAATAAGAATTGTTTTCATTTCACTGTTTATACAAGTAATTGATACTCCCCCAAAAAGGCCAAATCTGTGTGAGAGCTCAAAGTATGCTGAATGTGAATAGGTATTTGCTGTTGTCCAACAGTAACCCAAATCTATAAAGTTTAATGTTCTTTTTTTTTTTTAAACAAAAAAATCAGGCCGCATTACTGGCATATATAAAGTTTAATGTCTTAATGGAAGGATTTGAGGGGGTGGTAACTGAAATATGTGAAATGTATTTAAAAAACTCAATGTATTTGTCATCCTGGTTCAATTATTATGAATTTGTGACTGATTTTGAGAAAAATTTGTAATCTTGATAATTTTTAGGCTTTAACTAACTACAAAATAAATCTAGATGTATGCTAAATGACTTAATGGAAACACTTATTTTTCTGCAGTGTTTCCTGAGGTTATAGGCGGGTGTTTGAGGAGTACATGCGGGTTATTAGCCAGCGGTACCCAGACATCCGCATTGAAGGAGAGAATTACCTCCCTCAACCAATATATAGGTAAGAAATTTTAATAACTTAAAAGGAAAACAATGTATTTGACTTTATAAGTGTTTGTGAATTGGTTTAATTAGCTGTCCTTAGTTATTGTAATTACTTAGTTGGTTATAATAATATACAGAGAATGCTGTTTTATATATAACAAGTTTATTTGACCCAATATAGAAGGCTTTTTCTGTAAGAAGGAAGAGGGTCGTTTCAGAGATGGCAACCCTTCTAAAGATGTGTTTTCATATGTATTTTTAATTGTGGAAATAGAATAACAATCCTAAATTTTTATAGAAAGTGGTATTAAATTCTGTATTTCATAAAATAATAGTATTTTTAAAGACCAATTCTGTATAAATTTGTAGGTTAATTTTTCAGGTGATTTTAAATATATTAAACATTTTTGTTTTAACACTGCACAATAAACTTTAATTGCTTTTTCTATAAGTAACTTTTAGATTTGGTGTCTAGAAAATCTTTACATACACTTGAATTACTAAATTTTAAAGTAGATTGGAAATTGTGGCTTCTGATGATTTTCTTTCTTTTCTTTTGATAGACACATAGCATCTTTCCTGTCAGTCTTCAAACTAGTATTAATAGGCTTAATAATTGTTGGCAAGGATCCTTTTGCTTTCTTTGGCATGCAAGCTCCTAGCATCTGGCAGTGGGGCCAAGAAAATAAGGTATGTAACTTAATAGCTTTGGTAACTGTAGGTTTTTATGTTGTCAGTGAAATATTCTAATAGATTTTCTTATTTTGAATACTTGTTATTGATTCACCTGTTAACATGTATTATTTTAATTTATACCAGTTTTATCTCTGGGGAAGTCACTTAGCCTCCCTTCACCTTCATTTCCATATTGATATATTAAGAATGATTAGGTCTTAATCTTTTTATTTTGGGGGGATAGGGAGGTGTTAATTTAGTATAACCTGGGCACAAAATAATTTGTTATCTGATTTTGATTATATTACTTAGGTCAAATCATATCCAGCAAAACATAATATATACATAATGCAGGCCTTTTAAACCAATTAATGTCATATTAGTGGGTTGATTCACATTAAAAAGGGGATTCCCATTAACTTGTTCTTATCAAAACTCCTCTCTCTTTTTAAATTATTTGTCCTTTGCCTCTTCTGTTTATGGATCTGTTTGACTAATTGCCTGAAAGAAACAATGTAAATATACTTAAGAACTTTGTGCTGTTTCTCTTTTCCTTTTGTAGGGTCTTATTGCCACATACATTCTTTCTAGATTACTCTGATTTTAATTTATTTTACTTTTAAGTAAAATATTTTAATATTAAAAATGATTTTAATCATTGTTTCTGGAGGGCTTACTGTCCTGTCTAAAATGGGTCTAATTTTTATTTTTCTCATGGATTAGATTTTTCTAGGCTTCCTTTTATGAAGTCTTCCTTTTTGGAGTCTTCTATCTGATCTTGTCCTTTAATTCTAGGCTGAATACCTTTAGCAGACTCCTGCATAGCTGTGCTTCTTTTTCTTTGGGAACCATTTCTTTCCAGTAACAGGCAGGACTTCTTAATATAAATATCTTCAAGTGGTATCTCTAATTGAAATATATCTCTACCCTGTAGGTTTTATGACATTTCCTTGTATATTGTTCCCATGAAAATAGACTTAACATTCCCAAATGGTAGAGTAATTCCTATAAAAACAAACCCCACCTAGCTCCTGTGGGGCAGTAGGGAAAGCTCTTTCTCATCTGCTGTGAACATTTGATTTATTTTTCTGAAACAGCTTGCTGTGAATTGGCATTCTCACTGCATCCTACTTTTAGTCCTGTGATTTTGTTAAAGTAAAATTTTCTGTCCAACAAGAAACACTTAGCCGCTTTTGGGAGAGAGTATAGATTTGCCTTTGAAAGGTGAATGAATGTACTTTAATATGCCTATGCTTTCTAACCTACTTCTTTCTTAGTTTGACTTAAAATGATTTGTTTGAAACATATACAGGTTGTATTGAATATTATATGGAGTTACTAATTTTGCATCACAAGTCTCTTATGAATTCATATATTATAAAAATGGTAAAGTGAACTCTTATGCTTGTATTCTTTTGTTTAACTTATTAAGGCTATTATGAAATCTCTCAAATTCTGTGTACATTATGAATATCATCTATAAGTGCTTCAGCATGTATGGAGCTGCAAATTAATATTGGTTTACTTTTGCTCTATGTATGTTATCTGAACATATGGAATAGCAGTAATAGTTTTTATGGGAACTTTTAAAGTAGATTAAAAAGAGCATTTACCAAACATGACTTTGCCTGTTGTGCTTAATTATATTTTCTTTTAGGTTTATGCATGTATGATGGTTTTCTTCTTGAGCAACATGATTGAGAACCAGTGTATGTCAACAGGTGCATTTGAGATAACTTTAAATGGTAGGTTCTGAATAGTTTGCATTTTGTGATTGATTTTAAATGATTTATAATGAGTATCAAGCTTTTATCTTTTATAATAAGATAAACTTCTTTAGTGTTTGTATAAAAGTAAGTTTATTTGAAAGAAATTGAAAATTCAGGAGATAGAAGAATTTAGAAAATTTTAACTTTTTTTTTTTTAATTTGCTCCCTCAACTTAATCTCTTTATCTCTGCTTGAACTTCACACCTTCGAATTCCTTGAGGAGTTGGCCCTATTCTTTTATCAGATTGTCTCTGTGAACTTTATCTACTCCCATGGCTTTAAAATAACATCTGTATGATGATCCCTGAATGTATATCTCTCGATCTCTCTCCTAAAATGCTATGCTGAAGAATCTTAAACATAACCTACTCTAAAATAAACTCTTGCTTACTTCTCCTTCCTATAATGTCTGTAAACTCTTTTGCTCCTCCTTTGACATTTCTCATTTATTTAGTGATACCATCATTTGTCTACTCAGTTGCCCATGCCAGAAACCTATGATAATATCACCGTCTTCCCTAGTCCCCCTATTTTATGGATTACCAAGTCTTCTCAGTTCCACCTCCTAAATTTCAAAAATCTACCTTCTGTTCATCTTAACTGCCACCACCCTAGTCCAGGACACAATTAACTTGTTACCCTCTTCTGCATTCTCTAAACCAAGGGTTGGCAAATACGGCCTATGAGCTAATAATGTTTTTTACACTTTTTGGTTAAAAAAAAAACTAATGTTTTATGACACATGGAAACTATATGAAATTCCAACTTCTGTGCTTATAACTAAAGTTTTGCTTTGCATCAGTGAAAAATTTGTAGAAATTTATCTTTATATTATATAAGTACCTACATAATGTTCTTGATTTTTATCTCTTGGTCCATAAAGTGTAAAATATTTACCATCTGCCTTCTTACAGAAAAATTGACCAATATCTGTTCTAAACAATAACTTTTTTTTTTTTTTTTTGAGACGGAGTCTCGCTGTGTCGCCCAGGCTGGAGTGCCGTGGCGCGATCTCGATTCACTGCAAGCTCTGCCTCCCAGGTTCACGCCATTCTCCTGCCTCAGCCTCCTGCGTAGCTGGGACTACAGGCGCCTGCCACCACGCCTGGCTAATTTTTTGTATTTTTAGTAGAGACAGAGTTTCACCCTGTTAGCCAGGATGGTCTTGATCTCCTGACCCTGTGATCCGCCCGCCTCCACCTCCGCCTCCCAAAGTGCTGGAATTACAGGCGTGAGCCACCTCGCCCAGCCTAAACAATAACTTTTTTAATGCAAATTTTATCTTGCTGCTTGAGTGTTCCCAATTCATTAAATGACTTGACTTTGTTCTCAAGATAAAGACCAGAACATTTAATCTGGCCAAAAGGCTCTGCATGATCTATTTCAGTGGTTAGCAAGCTGTGGTCCTATGGACCATATCCTCTGCTGCTTGTTTTGTAAGTAAAGCTTTATTAGAACACAACCATGTCCATTTGCTTGTGTATTGTTACAGCTGCATTTAGGCTACAAGAGTTGAATAGCTGTGGCAGAGACTATGTATCTTCCCTAGCCCAAAATGTTTACTTTCTGTCCCTTTACAGTTTATTGACCCCAGTCTAATCCTTTCCACCTTCCCATCCTCCCTTATATCACTCCTCTTCTATATTTCCCTCAGCTATGCTGATTTTCTCTTATTTTCAGTGCCAAGCTACTTTCTGGTCTTTACATTTCTGTTCTCTCCCTCAAAGGTTTTCTACTCTCATGAATCCCCACTCTGTCTTGGTAATTTTTCTTTATCTTTTAGATCTCAATTTAAATGATACTATTTCTCTGACTAGACAGGGAGAGCCTTGTGTATATGTCCCTCCTAGTACAGTAGTGCCTTTTAGTTTTAGTTCTAAGTACACAATTGTAATTTTGTAGCCATTTGTGTAGTTCTTTTGACATTTCCCCTACTGGAATGTAAAGTCCCTGAGAGCAAGCAGTGTACTTTTTTGCCTACTTTTGTATCCCAGTTGTGTACATAGATGATAAATATTAGTGGGATGAATGCATATTATAAAATCATCTTTAATTTTTTGGGGGGCGGTGCCATTTATTTTTATAGATGTACCTGTGTGGTCTAAGCTGGAATCTGGTCACCTTCCATCCATGCAACAACTTGTTCAAATTCTTGACAATGAAATGAAGCTCAATGTGCATATGGATTCAATCCCACACCATCGATCATAGCACCACCTATCAGCACTGAAAACTCTTTTGTAAGTTGTTTAAAATATAGCTAATGTATAGGTTTCTGTTGATTCTTATGACTCAGCAAGTTAGTAAATATTACATATATTATCACTTGAGTTTCCAATTTAAGATTAAACAGAGGGATGTATTCTTCATTAAAATGTTGAAGTGTATGAAGAGAGTTCGGCCCTGCCAAAATAAAGTCAGGTTGTTAGTAATTTTATCTTCAAGGCTTAATGATTGGGTCTGTAACCTTATTTTCTTTACTCTAAATTCCTAATGGCCAGAGTTGATATATTATGCTAGAGGTGTGTATACTTCCTGTCCTTACCTTCAAGTAATTAGTTCCTGGGAGTATGCAAATTCTTTGAACATACTCAAGATAAAAAATTTATAGGCAAATGTGTGAACACAGAGAGGTATTAGTTAACTTTTTCTTTGTGATCAATGAATTCACTTTCTAAAGAGTTTTTATGAGTGATTTTTGCAATAAAATATTCTTTTTTCTGTATATCTTTCAGGCATTAAGGGATCATTGCAAGAGCAGCGTGACTGACATTATGAAGGCCTGTACTGAAGACAGCAAGCTGTTAGTACAGACCAGATGCTTTCTTGGCAGGCTCGTTGTACCTCTTGGAAAACCTCAATGCAAGATAGTGTTTCAGTGCTGGCATATTTTGGAATTCTGCACATTCATGGAGTGCAATAATACTGTATAGCTTTCCCCACCTCCCACAAAATCACCCAGTTAATGTGTGTGTGTGTTTTTTTTTTAAGGTAAACATTACTACTTGTAACTTTTTTTCTTAGTCATATTTGAAAAAGTAGAAAATTGAGTTACAATTTGATTTTTTTTCCAAAGATGTCTGTTAAATCTGTTGTGCTTTTATATGAATATTTGTTTTTTATAGTTTAAAATTGATCCTTTGGGAATCCAGTTGAAGTTCCCAAATACTTTATAAGAGTTTATCAGACATCTCTAATTTGGCCATGTCCAGTTTATACAGTTTACAAAATATAGCAGATGCAAGATTATGGGGGAAATCCTATATTCAGAGTACTCTATAAATTTTTGTGTATGTGTGTATGTGCGTGTGATTACCAGAGAACTACTAAAAAAACCAACTGCTTTTTAAATCCTATTGTGTAGTTAAAGTGTCATGCCTTGACCAATCTAATGAATTGATTAATTAACTGGGCCTTTATACTTAACTAAATAAAAAACTAAGCAGATATGAGTTAAATTTAAAAGTTTCAATTTATTGCTCAGTGTACCTGTTAACATTATATTTAACAATTGCTTAAATTTTTGTTTTTGATTTATGGATAATTTCTTAAGAGTACACACTTTAGATACACAAATAATCGTTCATTTACCATCTTTAGGATCATTGAAACTCATCTCACTAAAGAAAGTTCACTTGAACCTCTTTATAGCATTGATACTAGGTGAACAGAAATTACCTGACTAATAATTTGTCTAACATCATATATCAGAATTTTATTGTATATGATGAACAAAACTTAAAATTTTTTAAATTTAATTTTTAAATACTGTTTCAGAGTTCTAAAAAGGCAGTTTTTTAAAAAACTTAAGTTGATAAAAACTGTAAGAATAATTTAGCAGAAATAGAACCAGAATGTAGAAGAGTAGTCATGTAACAGCAGTAATAACATACTTCAGCTTCCATATAGGAATAGAAGTGGTAGAGCCAAAAGTGATTTAGGAAAAGTTATAAGGTACAGGTTGAGTATCCCTTTTCCAAAAATGCTTGGGACAAGAAGTATTTCAGATTTCATAATTTTTTTCAAAGTTTGGAATATTTGCATTATACTTACCAGTTGGGCATCCCAAATCTGAAATCTGAAATGTTCCATGAGCATTTCCTTTGAGTGTCATGTTGGCACTCAAAAAGGTTCAACATTGAGTCCACTTAACACTTAGGTGTTAGAAGACCTAACTTTCTGTAACAATTAACCTTATACTTTGTTTGTCATCGAATATTTGTTGAATGCATGTCAGGTAATGGTCTTGATTGTGATAGCTTCAAGGTGGAACATACTGTAATCTCCAGATGCTAGGAAGTTAGTCTAATAATTCACTGCAGAAAATTGATTAAGTGGCTGTCCTTTTAATTAAGAGTGTGGAGTCATAAACTTAAGTTCTTCATATAGTGACAAGAGTCCTTAGAGATTGTTATTCAAGTTCCTTAGAAATTGTTATTTAGGTATAATATCATCTTGTCTTTGACTAGAGCTTGAAACCTTGTTATCTGATTGTGTACCACTCCAAATTCCCTGCCTTCTGCAAGTTGAATGTCTTGCTGAATGTGTCTAGGGGTTCATCTTCAGTAATCGACATTCCACTAGTGCCATAGTTAACTTCATGACATGTAGACATTCAAAACTTGAGCCTTGGATGTTCCTGTGGACCTGACAGTTAAAAATATAAAGAACCTAGGATTCAATTCCAACTTTCTCTGTTTGCCTTGGGTTGAATAACTTATCTTTTGGAGAATAGCTTTAAGTGGCTTAGACACTGATAAAATTCAGCTGTGTTGTTGACGCTCATCTCTTTTGTCTTACGCTTAGCCATATTTAAATCTTGAATTTAATAGAGTCTAGTGAAAAAAATGAGTGGGAAGAATGAATATAAAAGTAATAATATAAGGAAAAAGGGAAAGTAAACTATTTAGAATGTAGTTTTGTTATATTCCCAGCATTTCAATATTTATTAGTTACTTGTAAATTACTGTGGCTGTGTAGTTTATAAATGTCTGTGCACTATATTAATTAGAAGACCATAGAACATGCCAGCAGGTTGGCTAATGCTATGGGGGTTTTTACCACAGTTGCCATTGTGGAAGAAATTATTTGGTACATTAATAAAAAAAGTTGGTAAAACATGGTTTTATACCTCAGTGTATAAGATGTGCAAGACAAATATGCTTATTTCCTTTTCTAGAATATAAGTGATATTATTTGCTTATGACACTAACACTATTAATGACAGGAGTCAATCAGCCTTTACAGCTATCAAAATATAATGAGATCCCAATGATGATTCTTTTTTACTTTGAATGTTAATTAGTTTGGGACTTTGATTGGCTGGCAAACATTTTATCATTGTCAGAATTTAATTTAGATTTCAAAAATAGCTTACAGGATTTTAAACATGGTGTGGTATTCTAAAGCCTTTTTTTTAAAAAAAGAGATCTTTTTGAGAGAAACAAATGAGGATTGTAAAGTTTGGGGACTTACCTCTGTAGCATTGTGAAAATAAACTTTGATTAAGCTGATTTGAAAGGAACTCCTACTTTGTGGAATTAAATCTACATTAGAGCACTTTATATGGTAACTATACTCACAAAATTTTGCATTATAAAAGTTATTATCATTACTTTTTAATGGCTTCTTAACCCGACCAGTGTTTATGACTCACTATCAGTCTGGCACTCAAGTCTTACCATACTCTTGGACCTTATGCTACTTCTCAAGCCTTACGGTCTACTTGTGCTTCAGTGCTGCTGAACTGTCAATAGCTCTGTGATGTATTCTGTGCTGGAGTGGAGCAAAGTGGAACAGTTTACATCACTGTCTGTCTTTACCCCCAACCTGCAGAATTCCTGAAACATTCACACTAACATCCTTAAATCTGGAGAGAAACAAAATGAATGTTTTTCCTCTATTGACTGGTATAGACAATTTAACAATCTCAGAAGAAAGAGCAAATATCAGATTTTTTTTTTTTAATTCAGCTGGCTCCTTTTCCCCTAGGCTTCAGAAAAGCAAATAGAAACAAATAGATCCACAGCCCAGGTGCAGTGGCTCATGGCTGGGAGACCAAGATGGGTGGATTGCTTGAGCCGAGGAATTCAAGACCAGCCTAGGCAACAAGGTGAAACTCCATCTCTACAAAAAAAAAATTAGCCAGGCATGGTAGCATGCACCTGTAGGCCCAGCTACTTGGGATGCTGAGACAGCAGGATCGCTTGAGCCCAGGAGGTTGAGGCTGCAGTGAGTCAAGATTGCACCACTGCAGGTGACAGGGCAAGACCCTGCCTCAAAAAAAAAAAAAAAAAAAAAAAACCCAGCTCCAAACTGTATCTTGAAGAAAAATATAAACTGGTTTCAGATACAGTAGAAAGCTGTAAAGTCATCCATTCTATAAGACTAACAGAATGTTTTCTTTTGCCAATGTTAAGCATGAGCAAAATAAAAAAGCATGCAGACAAACAGTAGTGGTTTTAAAATTTTAATGTGCTTAAAAATCACTGGGACAAATTTCTGGATCCCACTCCTAATGGTTCTGATTTAGTTGATCTGAAATGGTACCAGGTAATTTGCATTTCAAACAAGCTTCAAAATAATTCTAATACTGTTAGTCTGTGGTGTATACCAGGAGTCCCCAGTCCTTGGGCCATGGACTGGTGGTGGTCTGTGGCCTCTTAGAAAACCAGCCGCACACCAGCAGGTGAGTGTCAGGCAAGCAAGCATTACCTCCTGAGCTTTGCCTCCTGTCAGACCAGTGCATTAGATTCTCATAGGAGCCAGAATCCTATTGTGAACAGTGCCTGCGAGGGATCTAGGTTGTGCGCTCCTTATGAGAATCCTAATACCTGATGATCTGAGGTGGAACCTAATACCTGATGATCTGAGTTTCATCCCAAAACCATCCCCCCAACCCCCTGTCCGTTTATGGAAAATTTGTCTTCCACAAAAGCAGTCCCTGGTGCCAGAAAAGGTTGGGGACCGCTGGTCTACACTGAGTAGCACCATACCACAGAGCAGAATGCAGAAGATTCATCCTAGATGCATCCTAGATGCGTCACGTGTAGAATGACTTAACACAAATTCAGCAAAATGGGAGCTCAGGAGATAAAAAGAATGATATGAGAGGGAGATTATGTTTCTAAGAAAACACTGACTTAATTGTCCCAGTCTTATCAATGCAACACATCCTTTCTTGTTATCACTTTACAACCTTTTGCATGAATTTCTTTTAGAAGGAAGTATTAAATCTTTGAGTATAATATAAAATAACTGGTTTGAATTGCCAGATTTTCTCAGAGCAAACCAGGCAATAGCATACCTACATTATCCTTAATTTACAGTGACAACTGATTTTGATTTTCACATTAAGCAAAAATCTATGTAAATTCTTGTAATTCTGAGTAGAGAAAAATTTACATATTTAGCTTTATTAGAGTAATTAACCATAATAGAACTGTTTAAATTGCCAGGGAAACCCAATCTACTATTTTATCCCCACCAACCCCCCCAGAAGGATTAATTAGTTCATGTAACTGAGAAAGTCCAATGTAGAATTGGCTTCAGGGATTCAAATGAGAGAATCAGAACTCTCCTCTAAATCGGCCTCATTTTCTCCTTGAGAGAAATTATAATTAGGGAAGAGAGTTGGGGTAGGGGGTGAGAAGGGGGGATGATGAGGAGGGGAAAGGAAGAAGGAGAGCATGGATTAAAGTCCCAGAAAAGTACTCTGGTCCAACTTGTGTGTCACATTTCCTATCTTGGAACTTTCTCACTTGATATCTACTCCCTGATCATTTTGTCATCTGTTAATCCCTTTTTCCTTTATTGACCCCTTCCACCCAACCTCCTCCTCATTCAGGGTTATAATTGTTTAAGACAAGCCTATTGCTTTGTGGTTATAGGCTGCTCAGATCAAGTACTGCTCAGATCAGGTAGCTATTTAACCTGTTTGAGAGTTGTCTAGAATGGATGGAGCCAGCACTTGATTGCTTGGTTAAGAAACAAAAATATTAAGGCCTCGGGAGGTTGCTACCAACACTCCCTTGGGCCACTGGCCATACTCATCTGTTTTGTGTACTAACAACTCTTACAAGAGGAAAAAAACCATTACAGCTCCTTTGTTACTCTGGAGTTGCTAAGAGCAGATCTGTTTGAAAGAAAGTGTGCCATTGACATTTTTCCCTAAACGTTTTAAAAAATAGTATTAGAAAATGCTGCTGAATTTTGTCTTTTAACAGCTCATAAAATCTAGGAATAAAATTATTTTTTAATATATTAAAATACATAGTGTATATAAGCAACAGGTGACTCATAAATGTGATTCTTCCAGTAAAATTGTGTTTTATACAGATGTATAGAAATTTGGTGTTGAGATCTACTTCAGTACTTGAATTTTCAAATTAAAAAAAAGGCCAAGAGAGGTTAAATGTCTTGCCCTGGTTATATAGCTTATGGCAACGAAACAAAACCAAACAAACCCTACACCCTTGGCGGGGCTTGGGGAAAGCAGAATAACAGCAGAGGACTTTGTCAGAAATTAGGTGGGAAGAGAGAAGACAGTAACAAGGCAATTTTACAAATTTAATCTCAATTTCACTTCACATTTACGCTTTAGCTAAGATGGGCTGAAATTTTTCAAATAAACTAAAAAAGGCAGGTGTATGTGTGTGCAAGATACATCAGAGGAAGGCAAGTTTACATAATAATTTCTTATCCTAATATAATGAAATTCAGGTTTCAGATTGACTGGATCTATTTCCCCACTTGGAAAGATCCTTCCCCGAAAGCAGGTTTATAAATTGCAGTTCTTCAGACGACTCATCCTATTCACTGATTACATGATGAGAATTGAAAACACACAGAGATTACTAGCTATGTGTCCCAGGCAAGATGGCTACCTCACGTGTAAGGTAAGTTTAAAAACAGCACACCTGGCCGGGCTCAGTGGCTCACGTCTGTAATCCCAGCACTTTGGGAGGCTGAGGTGGGTGGATCACCTGAGGTCAGGAGTTCGAGACCAGCCTGGCCAACAAGGTGAAACCCCATCTCTACTAAAAATACAAAAATTAGCCAGGCGTGGGAGCGCATGCCTTGTAGTCCCAGCTGAGGCTGAGGCAGGAGAATCGCTTGAACCAGGAGGCAGAGGTTGCAGTGAGCCAAGATCGTGCCACTGCACTCCAGCCTGGGCGACAGAGCAAGACTCCATCTCAAAAAAAAAAAAAAAAAAAACAGCACACCTGCTTCTCAGGTGCAGTTTGGATCACATGTTCTCTCAACGCTCTTGCCATTTTAATTTGGTGAAATGCTGTGTTCAACTAGATCTCAACTTTGCTGAAGCACTGGCCTGCCTGGGACCATGGCCTAATGTGGCCCATTGCAAAACACAATTTTGTTGATGTCTCATTTTAAAATTCATGCCAAAAATCATTTTATTTCAAATTGTTCATTGCTGGGTTTAATATAAAAATGTTGTTTTATTGTTCTTAACTCCCTAAATCTTTAAGCAAAATGGATGCTCGGGAAATTTGTTTCTCCTGAGGCTGCGTGTAACCCCGGCATCTTATTCCCCATGGGTTTGGAGGAATGCGTGGAGGAATGTGTGTGTGTATGTGTGGACAGCATCTTAAGAAATAAGGTGATCATTATAGAGTCATCTTCTTCAAATTTGTATAAGTTTTCTAGATAATGTGTAGTACAGCCTTCTGCTTAAGGATTATTGCAGTAACATAAGCCAGGCACAGTGGCTCACGCCTGTAATCCCAGCACTTTGGGAGGCCGAGGCAGGCGGATCATGAGGTCAGGAGATCGAGACCATCCTGGCTAACACGGTGAAACCCCGTCTCTACCAAAAATACAAAAAATTAGCCGGACGTGGTGGCAGGCGCCTGTAGTCCCAGCTACTCAGGAGGCTGAGGCAGGAGAATGGCATGAACCCAGGAGGCAGAGCTTGCAGTGAGCCGAGATCGTGCCATTGCACTCCAGCCTGGGCGACAGGGCAAGACTCCGTCTCAAAAAAAAAAAAAAAAGGATTATTGCAGTAACAGAAGAAGATGTGTTTCCGGAGCTTTGTATCCAGAAAATGCATGTGGGAAGATTATATGGAAAATGAAGATAATGAGTTTTAAAATAATACACAAAGTTACGGTACCAGAAAAGCAGTTAAATACCGTACAAAGTAATGAGAAACATGCTGAAAACAGTCTTGAGGAAGGCTAAAATTGTGGTTCCATACGTTGACTGACTGAATGAATATGGTTAAGGCAGTTGTTCTCAACCGGGGTTTTACTCTCCAGGCTCATGCAGAGTGGCCTCTTTGGGTCCTGTAATGGTCCTGTTCTTAACCACCACCGCTAGCTGGGGCCTGGGGTGGAAGAGTCTTATCCTAATCGGTCCCCAGACGGGGAGAGGGCAGTGCTTGTTTCCTAGCCACTCTGAAAGGCTGAAAGCTGTTAAGGAGGCTTAGTGTCATTTCAAGCAGTCTTCCTTGCCTCTGTGAGTAGTTTTTCCATATTTATGCTTAAAACAAACAGAGGAAGCTTTTCATTCCAATAATGAAATAAAAGGCTAAATTCAAGGTAACAAACGTTTTAGTGGGAAAGATTGTCAAGGATAACAAACCAACAAAGGGAAATATCTCTTATTAGCTCTTTTCTTCTTTTGATTAGAGAAAAAAGCCAAAGAACTACTTTTGGGGCTTTAAGTGGCTAGTGGACTACCCCAGAGGACACAAAGAAAGAGGGTTCTCAGTGTTTCTAGGGCACTTCCTGTTTTCTTTGAACTTGTGTGAGAATGTGAACTGTGGTGAGAGGCAGCTTTGAAATGTGACCAAAAAAAAAAAAAAAAAGACTGGTTTTAGTGTAGTTTATTTATTTTCTTTCAAAGCATTTGTGTTAATGAGTTGGATGGTAAGAGGTGATTAACATTCCAGATCAGTAGATTTCAGAAATGTCTTCCAACAGTGAAAATAACTTGTGTTAATCCTCCGAGCTTTCACCTTCACTTAGGCTGACTGAGGGGTGGGAAACAGCTTTGGAATCTTTACTGAGGACCAAGCAAATTTACAGTTTGAAAGTCAATCCTATTTAATTTTCCAACTTCTCCAGAATATTGTTTCCATTTAGCTTCTTGAGAGCATTTCTGGAGGGATTGCTATGTGCTAGGTACCGTGGGGGGTAACAGTTGTGAAGATGTGTGGCACAATTCCTGCATTCAAAGTGCATATGGTATAGCAGAGGAGAGAATCATAAAAATCTTACAGCAAAACGATAAGAAGCCTCATGAGGCCTATAGGAGCAGAAGGGAGCATTGGTTCTAGATGCTTGAGTATATAATTTTCCATAAATGGGGACAGTGCACAGGAGGAGCAGCACTTCAGGGATGAGAAAGCAGAAGCACAGGGTTTCTG
This sequence comes from Homo sapiens, assembly GCF_000001405.40. Lineage (NCBI taxonomy): Eukaryota > Metazoa > Chordata > Mammalia > Primates > Hominidae > Homo > Homo sapiens. The sequence continues at coordinate 150,636,316 of NC_000003.12, forward strand.
TGATAATTCCTATAGGGAAGGGGGCTGGACCGTAGTATATATTGGTGCGGGTGGAGGGAGATGTGCTGGGAAACAGCCTGCGGGCATTGACAGCTGAGGTGAGGAATTGGACTACTTTCTATAGATGATAGCCAAGGAGAGTTTCTGAGTTGATGAGCCATCAGATCAGATCTGGCTTTTAGGGGTGAATCTGTCTGCACTGAGGCTATGGTGGGCGGAGAGGAGGATGAAGAGGTAGAGGTTCTAACAAAAGCATTGTGGGCACTTTCAGCATCGCACTCCAGACATCTTTGGCCTTGGATTAATAATTTATAAGTAATATATTCAATTTAAAAATTAATGTCAACTTTTGTGGTTACATTCCCCTTCTATCCTCTGAGTTTTCTTTTGTCATGCTGAAACCTATACTCCATTAGAATTATCCTTCTTAAATCTAGTCTCATCTTCCCAATTTAGCTTTTAAACTTTGGGTAACATTTACATTTTTTTGTCGTCTATTTTCTGCTCATTGGCTAAGGAGCCTTTTTCCTGCCCTGAGAATATAAGATTCATTGCAATTAAAGAGCCTAGTGGTTTAATGTGATTATTCTTTCTTGTTTTTCTGAGAAGTATCCTTGTGTTTTGTGGACCAGTCAATCCTGACTTTGATCTCTAGGGACAATACACTGTGAGTATTTATTTCAGGAAGGACACTGATCCTAGATATTCACTTAGAGGATGAATTTTCCTTATACCAAGGAAAATTGTAAGGTAGAATTTTTTTTTTTTTTTTTTTTTGAGACGGAGTTTCACTCTTGTTGCCCAGGCTGAAGTACAATGGCGCGATCTCGGCTCACTGCAACCTCCGGCTCCCAGGTTCAAGCGATTCTCCTGCCTCAGCCTCCCGAGTAGTTGGGATTACAAGCATGCACCACCATGCCCGGCTAATTTTTTGTATTTTTAGTAGAGATGGGGGTTTCTCCATATTGGTCAGGCTGGGCTCGAACTCCTAACCTCAGGTGATCTGCCAAGCCCAGTCTCCCAAAGTGCTGGGATTACAAGTGTGAGCCACAGCGCCCAGCCTGTATGATAGAAATTAAACTGATTACCCTTGTGAACTGAATGAGAACCTCCAAATTCTCATTCAATACAAGCATGAGTAGGACCTAGACATCTTATCTTGCTGAAATCTGGCAAGGCATACGGGCTGCCTGGTATACAATATATAGGATGCTCCCTCCCACCCCAGCCAAGATGGCATGATGCACTTACTTGTCCTTCTCTGGGAAGATAATGAACAGTGACGGCAGATTTCTCAAGGGTCCCTTATGATGGAGTTGCAATTCCCCATTCTTTTCCCCTTCTCAGAAATTTCTGAAACTCATTTAGTTAAAAGATTAAAGAAACACATTGCAAAGGGACTTGAAGTAATTGGGACCCGACTCACCTTCCTGATATAAATAACTAGAAGTAGACAAAATATGTGAAACAACTACTCTCAGAAATTGGACAACAGACAGTGCAGGGCCTTGATCCCCAAGAGAAAGATAAATAGCAAGGAACTGCACAAAATGTTTCGAGGAAGCTGTATTAATTAGGTAGGGCTATCATAACAAAATACCACCGATTGGGTGGCTTAAACAACAGAAACTTATTTTCTCATAGTTCTGACAGCCAGAAGCCCAAGATCAAGGTGTTGTCAGGGTTCGTTTCTTTTTAATTTTTTAATTTTTAAAAATTTTTGTGACAGAGTCTTGCTCTATCGCCCAGGCTGGAGTGCAGTGGTGTGATCATAGCTCATTGTAGCCTTAATCTCCTGAGCTCAAGTGATCCTCCTGCCTCAGCCTCCCAAGTAGTAGGGACTACAGGTGTGTGCCACCACCTGCCTAATTTTTTTGATTTTTAATAGAGGCGAGGTCTTGCTATGTTGCCTAGGCTGGTCTTGAGCTCCTAAGATCAAGCATTCCTCCTGCCTTGGCCTTCCAAAGTGCTGGGATTGTAGGTGTGAGCCACTGCACCTGGCCAGAGTTGGTTTCTGGTATGGCCTCTCTAATTTTTGTAGAGACGGGGTCTTGCTATGTTGCCCAGACTAGCCTCAAACTCCTGGCCTCAGGTGATCTGTTTTGGCTTCCTGAAGTGCTGGGATTACAGGTGTGAGTGACTGAGCCTGGCCAAGGGACACTTTTTAGACTAAGGTACAGAGAGGGGGATCCCAAGCACAATACAGTCATCTCACTATTGGAGTTCAAGAAGGTGATTTGGAATTGGCAGGGCAGACAACTGTAGAGAACAGAGCTATGCAGAGAAGGAACTCCAGAAGTCCACACAGGAGTTTGCGTATTGCTGAAATTCCATGAGCTAGGCACACTTTGCCCTATGCATCTCTTCCACCTGGCTGTTCCTGAGTTGTATACTTTATAATAAACCAGAACATTTTAAGTAAAGTGTATCCCTGAGTTTGTGAGCCATTCTAGAAAATTATTGAACTTGAGGGTTGTGGGAACCCCCGATTTATGTCTGATTGGTCAAAAGTATGGGTGGTCCAGGACCTGCAACTGGTGTCTGAAGTGGTAACAGACTTGTGGAACCGAACACTTAACTTGTGGGATCTGACACTAACTCCAGGTAGATAGTGTTATTAATAGAAATGAATGGAATGTCAGGACACTCAGCTGGTTAGTGTGGGAATCTTTCCCCCCTCAATATACACATTTGATATCAGAAGTATAGTGTGAGTAGGGAAACAATTTTTAAAAATTTTAAAAAGTATTTTTTACTTTTTTATTTTTATTTTTTGATTAGAAATAGAGATGAGCTCTTGCTGTGTTGCTCAGACTAGTCTCCAGCTCCTGAGCTCAAACGATCCTCTTGCCTTAGCCTTCCAAAGCGCTGGGATTACAGGTGTGAGCCATGCCCAGCCAAGAAAGTTTTCTTTTATGGTTTTAAAACTTTTTCACTTTGAAAGCCTCATGGTGATCCGAGAAGTAACCCAACAGCCTCACAGCACAAAGTCTTAGATCCATTGACAAAAATAACAGAATTCAACACTCCTCAATGTAGAATTTGCAGTGTTAATCCAGTAAAAAATTACTACACACAAAAGCAGGAAATACGAACTTTAGACAGAAGAAAAATCAGTAAATAGAAACCAACCCAGAGGCCAGATGGTGACTCATGCCTGTAATCCCAGTACTTTGGGAGGCCAAGGTAGGCTGAACACTTGAGCCCAGGAGTTCGAGACCAGCTGGGCAACATGGCGAACCCCGCCTCTATTTTAAAAAGTTTTTTTAATTTAATTTAATTTAAAAAAGAAACCAACTGGAAATGACAAAGATGATGGAATTAGCAGACAAGGATTTTAAAATAATTTATGTGTATGTGGTCAGATATTTAAAGAAAAACATGAATAGAACAAGAGAAATTGAAGATATTAAAAAAGAACCAAGTGAAACTTCTAGTATTTAAAATACAATATTTTATATGAATAATTCACTGAGACTTAACAGAAGATTAGACACTGATAAAGAAAAAGATTCGTGAACTTGAAAAGAACAAAAGAAACTATGAAAACGAAGAAAGAGTACAAAGACTGAAGAATCAAGACAGTATCAGTGACCTGTAGACAACATTATGAGCTATAACTTACAGGTAATTAGAATCTTAGAGGAGGCAGGGATCAGAAAAAAATATTTAAAAATAATAGTGAAAAATATTCTGAAATTTTTAAAAATAGAGACAGGGTCTCACTATGTTGCCTAAGCTGTTCTTAAACTCCAGTGATCCTCTTGCCTCAGCCTCCTGAAGTGTTGGGATTAGAGGTGTGAGCCACTATGCCTGATCATTTAAAAAAAATTTTTTTGTTTTGAAATGGAGTCTTGCTCTGTCACCCAGGCTGGAGTACAATGGCGCAATCTTGGCTCACTGCAATCCCTGCCTCCCAGGTTCAAGTGATTCTCCTGCCTCAGCCTCCCAGGTAGCTGGAACTACAGGCGCGTGCCACCACCTTCCGCTGATTTTTTGTAATTTTAGTAGAGGTGGGGTTTCACTGTGTTAGCCAGGATGGTCTCCATCTCCTGACCTCGTGATCCGCCCACCTCCGCCTCCCGAAGTGCTGGGATTACAGGCGTAAGGCACCGCGCCTGGCCAAAATTTTTTCATTGAGACGTAATTCACATGCCTCACATGCTAATTCACCCATTTAAAATCCACAGTTTGATGTTTTTAAGTGTATTCACAGGTTTGTGCAACCATCGCTACCACCTAATTTTAGAACATTTTTGTCCTGCCTAAAACAAGCTTCTCCAATTACCACAGTCAATTTTAGAATATGTTTATTAACTCAAAAATGAAAGCCTGTGCCCTTTGGCTATCATTTCCCTATCCTGGCATCCTGTAGACTTAAGAAACCTCTAATCTATGTTCTGTATCTACACATTTGCCTATTCTGAACAATTCATATAAATTAAATCATATAATACGTAATATTTTGTGGCTGGCTTCTTCCACTTTAGTGTGGTATTTTCAAGGTTCATCAATGCTGTTTAATTTATTAACACTTCATTTTTTAATTGCAAAATAATATTTCCATATATGAGTATATCACATTTTATTTCATTAATTGGTGGGCACTTGGGTTGTTTATTTTTATTTTTATTTATTTATTTTTTTAGAGACAGGGTCTTCCTGTGTTGCCCAGGCTGGTCTCAAACTCCTGGGTTCAAGCAATCCTTCCACCTTAGCCTCCCAATGTGCTGTGATTATAGGTATGAGACACTGTGACCACTCAGGTTGTTTCTTTTGGGCTGCAAGAATAGTGCTCCCATCAGGTGTGGTGGCTCACATCTGTAATCCCAACACTTTGGGAGGCCAAGGTGAGTAGATCGCTTGAGCCCAGGAGTTTGAGACCAGCGTGGGCAACAAGGTGAAACTCTGTCTCTACTAAAAATATAAAAAATTAGCCAGGCATGGTGGCACACACCTGTAGTCCCAGCCACTCGGGGTTGGGGTGGGGGCTGAGGCAGGAGGACCGCTTGAGCCCAGGAGGCTGAGGCTGCAGTGAGCCCTGATTGTGCCACTGCACTCCAGCCTGGGTGACAGAGTGAGACCCTGTCTCAAAAAAAAAAAAAAAAAAAAAAAAAAGAATAGTGCTCCCAAGAACCATAGAATGTACATTCTCATTGCACAAAGAACATACTCTAAGATTAACCACATGCTCAGTCACAAAGCAAATCACAATAAATTCAAAAAAATCAAAATCATACCAAGCATCTTCTTGGACCACAGTGAAATAAAAATAGAAATCAATACCAAGAAGAACTCTCAAAACCACACAAATACATGGAAACTAAACAATTTGCTACTGAAAGACTTTTGGGTAACAACAAAATTAAGGCAGAAATCAAAAATTATTTGAAACAAATGAAAATAGAGACACAACGTACTAAAACTTCTGGAATGCAGCAAAGGCAGTGTTAAGAGGGAAGTTTATAGCACTAAATTCCTACATCAAGATAATAGAAAGATTAAAATTAAAAGCCTAATTTCACACCTAAAGGAACTAGAAAAACAAGAACAAACTAAACCCAAAGCTAGCAGAAGAAAAATAATAACTAAAATCAGAGCAGAACTAAATGAAATTGAGAACCCCCCAAAAAATACAAAGATTAACAAAATGAAAAGTTGGTTTTTGGAAAGGATAAATGAGATTGATAGACCACTAGCTAGATTATCAAAGAAAAAAACAAAAAGAGAGAAGATACAAATAAGCAAGTCAGAAGTGACAGAGGTAACAGACATAACAACCAATCCCACAGGAATATGAAAGATTCTCAGAGACTACTATGTACATCTCTATGTGCACAAACCAGAAAATCTAGAGGAAATGGATAATTCTCTGGAAACACGCAACCTCCCAAGATTGAACCAGAAAGAAATTGAAACACTGAACAGACTAATAATGAGTTACAAAATTGAATCAGTAACACAAAATCTACCAACCAAAAATGGCCCTCAGCCAGATGTAGTCATGGCCGAATTCTACCAGATATACAGAAAGCTGGTACCAATCCTATTGCAGCTATGAGAAAAAAGGAGGAGGGACTCCTCCCTAACTCGTTTTGTGAAACAAGTATCTTTTTCTTTTTTTTCTTTTTTCTTTTTTTTTTTTTTTACCAGCGTCATCTTGATACCAAAAATCTCCCAAAGACACAACAAAAAAGAAAACTGCAGGCAATATTCCTGATAAACATAGACACAAAAATCCTCAACAAAATACTAGTAAACTGAATCCAGCAGCACATCAAAAAGATAATTCACTACATTCAAGTGGGCTTTATCCTTGGGATGCAAGGATATTTCAACACGTGCAATTCAGGCCAAGCACAGTAGGTCACACTTGTAATCCCAGCACTTTGGGAGGCTGAGGACAGTGGATTGCTTGAGTTCAGGAGTTTAAGACCAGCCTGGGCAATATGGTGAAACCCCATTTCCACTAAAAATACAAAAACTTAGCTGGGCATGGTGGCATATGCCTGTAGTCCAGCTACTGGGGAGGCTGAGGTGGGAAGATTGTTTGAGCCTGGGAGGCAAAGTTCGCAGTGAGCCGAGATCAGCCACTGCATGCCAGCCTGGGTGAGAGTGAGACATCATACCAAGTGGGCAAAAGTTGGATGTATTTCCTCTAAGAACTGGAACAAGGTAAGGATGCCCATATCACTACTCCTATTTAACATAGTACTAGAAGTCCTAGACAGAGCAATCAAGCACGAGAAAGATATAAAAGACATCCAAACAGGAAAAGAGGAAGTCAAATTATCTCTCTTTGTTGATGATATGATTCTATACATAGAAAATTCTAATGATTCCATGAAAAGACACCTAGACCTGATAAATGACTTCAGTAAAGTTTCAGGATATAAAAAAAATCAACGTGCAAAAATGAGTGGCATTTCTATACACCAATAACGTTCTAGCTGATAATCAGATCAAGAATGCAATTCTATTTGCAATAGCTACACACACACACACACACACATACACACACACACACACACACACACACAAAACCACACAAAAATACCTAGGAATACATCTAACTAAGGAGAGGAAAGATCTCTACAAGAACTCAAAAACACAGCTGAAAGAAATAGATGACACAAACAAATGGAAAAAATATTTCATGCTTATGGATTTATCATTAAAATGTCCATACTGTCTAAAGCAATCAACAGATTCAATGTAATTCCTATCAAATTACCAAAGTCATTTTTCACAGAATTAGAAAAAACTATTCTAAAATTTATATGGAACAAAAAATAGCCCAAATAGCCTAAGCAATCCTAAATAAAAAGAACAAAGCCACACAGGCATCACATTACTTGAGATTATTGTCTTTTTTAATATAGGTCTTTACATCTACAAATTTTCTATTGAGCACTGCTTTAGCTGCATCCTGTGTTTTGGTATATTGTGTTTTGTTTTCATTTATCTGAAATGTATTTTCTACTTTCCCTTGTGATTTCTTCTTTGGCCCATGTGTTATTTAGGAATGTATTTTTTAATTTACCATTTACAATAGCATCAAAAACAATAAAATAGGAATAATTTAACCAAGGAGATGAAAAATCTGAAAACTACATGATATTGATGAAAGAAATTGACGCATTAGCTGGGTGTGGTGACTGGCACCTGTAATCCCAGCTACTCGGGAGGCTGAGGCAGAGAATTGCTTGAACCTGGGAGGCAGAGTTTGCAGTGAGCCGAGATGGCACCACTGCATTCCAGCCTGGGTGACAGAGCGAGACTCCGTCTCAAAAAAAAAAAAAAAAAAATGAAAGAGAGAAACTGAGGAAGACACACATAAATGGAAAGATGTCCCATGTTTATGGATTGGAAGAATTAATATTCTTAAAATGTTCATGCTATCCGAAGAGATCTATAGATTCAATATTATCAAAATTCTGATGGTATTTTCCACAGAAATATAAAAAAGCAGTTCTAAAATTCATAAGGAACCAAAAAAGACTCTGAATATCTAAAGCAAACTTGAGGAAGAAGAACAAAGCTGAGGCATCATACTTCCTGGTATACAAGCAGGAAGCTATAGTAATCAAAATGGTATGGTACTCATATAAAAAGAGACACATAGGCCAATGGAACAGAATCAAGCACCTGGAAATAAGGTCATTCATATACAGTCAACTGATATTTGAAAAGAGCATTAAGAATACACAATGGGCCGGCCGGGCGCGGTGGCTCATGCCTGTAATCCCAGCACTTTGGGATGCCGAGACGGGCGGATCACGAGGTCAGGAGATCGAGACCACCCTGGCTAACACGGTGAAACCCAAGTCTCTACTAAAAATACAAAAAATTAGCCGGCCTGGTGGCGGGCGCCTGTAGTCCCAGCTACTCGCAAGGCTGAGGCAGGAGAATGGCGTGAACCCGGGAGGCGGAGGTTGCAGTGAGCCGAGATCGCGCCACTGCACTCCAGCCTGGGCGACAGAGCGAGACTCCGTCTCAAAAAAAAAAAATAAAAGTATACAATGGGCCAAGTGTGGTGGCTCACGCCTGTAATCCCAGCACTGTGGCAGGCCAAGGTGGGTGGATTGCTTGAGGCCAGCAGTTTGAGACCACCCTGGCCAACATGGCAAAACCCCGTCTCTACTAAAAATACAAAAATTAGCCGGGCATGGTGGCACATGCTTGTAATCCCAACTACATAGGAGGCTGACACAGGAGAATTGCTTCAATCGGGGAGGTGGAAGTTGCAGTGAGCCAAGATCGCACCACTGCACTCTGGCCTGGGTGACAAGAACAAGACTCTGTCTCAAAAGAAAAAAATATATATATATACAACGAAGAAAGGATAATCTCTTCAATAAATGGTGTTGGGAAACTGGATATCCACATGCAAAACTATGAAATAGGATCCCTGTCTTACACCACTCACAAAAAATTAACTTGAAATACATTAAAGATTTTAATGTAAGACCTGAAAATGTCAAACTCCTATAAGAAAACATAGGGAAAAAATCTCCTTGACATTGATTTTGGCAATGATTTTTGGATATGACACCAATAGCACAGACAACAAAAGCAAAAATAAACAAGTGGAACTACATTAAACTAAAATGTTTCCGCACAGCAAAGGAAACAACCAAAAAGGCAAGCTACAGAATGGGAGAAATATCTGCAAACCATATATTTGATGAGAGGCAAGCATCTAAAACGTATGAGAACTCATACAACTCAATAACAGCAGCAACAACAACAAACCCAAAACAAATAATCTCATTAAAAATGGGCAAAGAACCTTAACAGACGTTTTTCCAGAGAAGACATACAAATAGCCAAGTACAGAAAAATAGTGCTCCACATCACTAAACGTTAAGGAACTGCAAATCAAAACCACGATGAGATGTCACCCCACTCATTATGATGGGTATTAACAAAATAACAAAAGATAGCTATTGATGAGGATGTGGAGAAAAGGGAACCCTTGTGCACTGTTGGTAGAAATGTAAATTGGTACAGCCATTATGGCAAAGGGTATTGAGGGTCTTCAAAAAATTAAATTAAAACTGTCATATAATCCAGCAATCCCACTTCTAGGTATGTATCAAAAGGAAATAAAATCAGTATCCTGAAGAGATATCTGCACCCCCATGTTCATTGCAGCATTATGCACAATAACCAAGATATGAAATCAACTTGTGTCCTTTGACAGATGAACAGATAAAGACAATGTGGTATATACTTATACAGTGGAATATTACTCAGCCATTAAAAAAGGAAAATCTTGCCATTTGTGACAATATGGATGAATTTTGAAGGCATTATGCTAAATGAAGTGGGTCAGACAGGAAAGACAAATACTGTATGATCTGAAATCTGATCATATATTTGTGCAATCTGAAAAAGTCGAAGTCATAGAAACAGAGAATGGAATGGTAGTTGCCAGGAGTTTAGGGGTGGGTGAAATGAGAAAGATGTTGGTCAAAGAGTACAAACTTTCAGTTACAAGATAAATAAATTATAGGGATCTAATGCACACATGGTAACTGTAGTTAATAATATGGTATTAAATACTTGAAATCTGCTAAGAGAGTAGATCTTCAATGTTCTCACCACATAAAAAATTGTTAACTGTGAAGTGATGTACATATTAACTAACTTGATTGTGGTAATCGTTTCACTATATATATATATATAAAATTATCAGGTCGTATACTATAAATACATACAATTTTATTCATTATACCTTAATAAACTTGGGGGATGAGGAATGACTGAAATCCATCTCCACCCCAACCAATTTATTTTTATTTTTTTAGAGACAGGGTTTGTCTGTGTTGCACAGGCTGGTCTTGAACTCCTGACCTTAAGTGATCCTCCTGCCTTGGCCTCTCAAGTGCTGGTATTACAGATGTGATGCACTGCGATCGCCCCAACCAATTTAAATTTGGAATCTCTGGTAGTAGAACCAGGCCGTGTGTGTGTGTGTGTGTGTGTGTGTGTGTGTGTGTGTGTGTGTATAAAATTGTGTGCATATATAAAAATTGGAAATATATGTATGTGTTTTTAACTTACATGGAAATTTAAAAATACATATCAAAATGGAGAGAATTGTATAAGGAATCCTCATGTACCACTTACCTAGCTTGAAAGATGATCAATTCATGATCATTCTTGTTCCATTGATACTTTCTTCCTCCTTCCTCTCCTGCTGAATTATTCAGAAGCAATTCTTAAATACCATATTCTATTCATACATCGGTATGTGTATCGAAAAGAATGACCCCTTACAAAAATAACCACAAAAGCATGATCACATTTTAAAATTTAATATTAATTTTATCAGTGACCTGGGGAGACTTCCAATTTCCCAGGCAGAGGGATTTGAAAGGCTCCCAGGGTGATTCTAATGTACAGCCAGAGCTGAGAACTACTAGATGCTGATCCATGCTCCTCAAACTCACAGCAAGCACACACAAATCTACTGGATAACTTGTTAACATGCAGTTTCTGATTCGGGGGTCTGAGATTCCACATTTCTTTCTTTCTTTTGTTTTTGTTTTTGTTTTGTTTTGTTTTTTGAGGCGGAGTCTCGCTCTGTCGCCCAGGCTGGAGTGCAGTGGCGCGATCTCGGCTCACTGCAAGCTCCGCCTCCTGGATTCACGCCATTCTCCTGCCTGAGCCTCCCAAGTAGCTGGGACTACAGGTGCCTGCTACCATGCCCGGCTAATTTTTTTGTATTTTTAGTAGAGACGGGGTTTCACCATGTTAGCCAGGATGGTCTCGATCTCTTGACCTCGTGATCCACCCGCCTCGGCCTCCCAAAGTGCTGGGATTACAGGCATGAGCCACCGCGCCCGGCCGAGATTCCACATTTCTAACGAGCTCTTGCATGATGTCCATGCTGCTGGTTCAAGGGCTACCCTGAGTGGCGAGGCTATAGACCACAGGGTCTTTGGGGGAGTGGTGTGGGTGTGTGTTGATAGGACTAACATGCTACCAAAATGGCATAAAGGTTATTTTAAACTGAAAATTTTTTAGTTACAGCAGATGCAGAAATAAATCTTGTCTGCATGTCCCATATCTGACTAAAGCAAAGCTCCCTGAGAATTCAGTTGCCATAACCCACTGCCTACCCTCTCCAAGAGAATCTTCAAACAGAGAAGCAACTGACCTTTAACACAGTGGCATTCCAAGAATATTGTGTAAATGAGCCTCGCAGAATCTTCCATATATTCCCACTGAAGCCCATTTTCACCTAAATCCTTACCCTTAGCTGTTTGGGAAGTCTGTCCTTCATTCCCGCCCTCTCTCCTGCTCTCTCTCAGGTGCTTGCACATGTGTAATACACTTTTCTCCAGGTTCCATGCTCTAGGACATAAGGTGGTAGGGAAGAAAGTTTTCCTCCCTACAGTGTGTGCAGTGTGTGTGTGTGTGTGTGTGTATAATAGTCTTCGCTTTATGACCAGAAAGAACCTCCATTTTGCACCTCGCAAGGGTAGGAAAATTGGTTATACTATATGTGGGGTGTCAACTTTTCTCTGGATGTTCAGCCAATGCTTTCCCCTCAGGGGGTGGTCTAATTTAGTAATCTTCAAACGGGATCTGAGGACCTTCAGGGGTAAAGGCTTCTTAGGGTATCAGTTCCCATGGGCTCAGTATCATGCCTTCGCTAAATGGGAATGGACAGAGATTGTGTGTGTAATGAAGCTGTAGGCTCTTTCTTCGTCTCCCATTTACGACGAATGGCAGACCCCTCACCATGGTGTCTCACTGAGGGAGTGTACCAGGTGCACAACCCTCCAAGTCTCCACCCAAGGGATCCATGTTGAGAAAATCAGTGACCCTAGTGATTGGCAAACATACATGTTAAGCAGTTTGTAATTCTTTGAGTTTAACCAAATTTAAGGAGAGTGAATCATACATTTCCACTGAAACTTTACTTTCATCAAAATTTGCTATGTTGTTTTGATCAGTTATGTGCTAACAATAATTGTAATGTTAATCAAAGGATTTTTTTGAACGCAGAGCCTTAAGGTCATAGAAAATAAACTTTTACATTTTTAAATTTTAATATATTATTTTTGTAGTCAAGAAATATGAGAAGATGATCAGTAATAGATTTTCAAGCATAAAAATATATCACAGCCCAAATAAACTTCTTTGGAGGAAGTAGGATGAAACTGTAAGTTCAAAAGAAAATTAAAGGAATGTTGCAGAATTTCTGGCTGTTAAAAAAGAGCTAGTTCATATATTTTTTAAATGGATAATGTCAAGTATTATATTACTGTGGTATTTAGATTCCATTGGATTCATTTTGGAAGGTAATGTTTCTTTCAAAATGTCAAGATTTATAATACATTGAAAATGACATTTTTTGCAACCGCCTAAATTTATGATGAATCATTATAGATGTCAACTGAAAAATGTGCAAGGGGGAACATGCATTAAAATGTTTTCTTAAGGGCATAAAATGGGAAAAGTTTGAAGATCACTGATCTGGACTGATTGGTTCCTTCTGAGGGGGCTAAGTGCCATTCACTAGAATGTAATTTATTTTAAACCATGTCTGTTTTACATATGCTATTGTAAAGAGAAAATTTAATGAAATAGAAATTCATCCATACTTTACAATGTCCTTTGTTTTAAGATTGGTAAACAACGCTACAAAAACTTAAATGTGTGCTTAAGGAAATTGTGTGGGTACATTTTATGTAGCACTTTCTGTTTATTCTCTGTGGGTAAAGGAGAAACAAATATGTTTGTATGGTACAAAGTTACTTCTATTATTGTTAGTACTTATTAACATCATTTATTTTAATACTAATAATTAAATAATTCCTTTCTGATGTGAGCTTTCAGTTCCTACTAATTCTCTCATCTAACATAACTCTGTAATTATTTCTTTTTTTTATATTATAAACTAGAGATGAGGTCTCACTATGTTGCCCAGGCTGGTCTGGAACTCCTGAGCTCCAAGTGACCCTCCCACCTTGGCCTCCCAAAGTGCTAGGATTTTAGGCATGAGTCACCACACTCAGACTCTACAATTATTTCTAATTCTTTGAAGCCCCAGAAAAAAGATGAGTTAATTCCTTGGTTTGGTTAGAAGGACTCTGTCAGTGAGAGGCTGGGGTCTCTGTAATTATTACCGTAGTTTCCATCACTAAGCACAACTACAGCAGGCCAGGCACTGCACACATATTCTCTCTAGTGGTCAGACATACATGTTAAGGTCTGAATGTTTGTGTTCCTCCCCAAATTCCTATGTTGAAATCTCAACCCTCATGATGGTATTTGGAGGTGGGGTCTTTGGGAGGTGATTAGGTCATGAGGATGCGGCCTTCATGAATGGGATTAGTGCCTTTACAAACAGGAAACCCAGAGAGGTCTATAGCTCTCTTTCCACCATGTAAGGATACAGTGAGAAATTGGGAGTCTGCAACCCAGAAGAAGGTCCTCACCAGAACCTGATCATGCTGGCACCCTGATCTCAAACTTCCAGCCTCCAGACTTGTAAAAGATGTTTATTGACTAAACATTTATCCAGTTACCCAAACCACCCAGTTTATGGTAGTTTGTTATAGTAGCCCAAACTGAATGAGACACTACAACCATGAGAAGTTGATTTTATCTTTTTCAGTTTACAGCTGAGAGAACTGAGGTTAAGGAAGTTCAGTAACTTGCCCAAGGGCACACAATTAGTTGATGGAGAGCTGGGACTTGCCCTGGGATAGTCTGAGTGATATACTCTTTGGACCCCTCTGGGATTTGGTCCTTGGCAAAGTGAGCCCTGGTGAGGAACAGAGGGAAGAATATTTGATGGGGTCAGATGACCTGGGATCACTTTCTAACTCCACTTGCTGCTTAGCTGTGAGACCTAAGAAGTCACTTGCCATCTTTCAGTCTTAATATCTTTGCTGAAAATTTGCAGTATTGTGAGACTCAAAGTATAAGCAATATATGAGTATGAAGGAGGATTATTTTATCCTATCCTCTGGCTCAGATTTTGTTATAAAATTGACAAAAAAAAAATGTTATCACCTTTTGATCCCAGAGGAGTTCCCAAAACCTCATCTGAGTTTGTGGAATTGGGAATTGGGTTATGTTTTTCCATCTTTGTTGAATGCAAAATGATTGTATCCATCAGCAAATGGATTGTCAAAACTTAGAAGTGCATGGAAGTGTGTAGTATCCCTGCCTGATTTGGGCACTGGGAAAAGAAATCAGGTAGTGCAAACACAGGAAAATGTAACACATCTTTTTAGATAGAGACACATTACCTGTGTGCATTCTAGGTAATCCATGAATTGAATGAACTCAGGTAGAGAATTTCTAGGTTGTGTTAAGTTCTAAATCTGGTCTCCATCTCTAGAGAATTATGTAAGCGTAGAGTTAAAAAAAAGTAAAGATATACTTTGTATTAAAGAAAGTTCATCTGTTCTCTGGATAAGATGAAATGTCTAAGTTCCAGCCTTGGTGGCCTGATTCCCTAATCTACTTTGAAGAATTCAACTAAAGCCTCTGCTGACTCACAGAATTGTTTGCTTCTCCCCAGTAATTGCTTCCAGTCTCCTTTTTATATTTACTTGCTTGCTTCTGGCTAGTCTTTTAAATATAAAAAGAGAAATTTCAGATATTAAAAAAAATAAAGAATAGTTAATGAAGACCTCCTGAACTTACCATGTTGCTTAAGAAATAGTCACAGCCCGCTGTATACCTCTCGACATCACATATAGCTCCAGTGGTAAGCGCCGTCCCAAAACTTGACATCAAGCATTCCCGTGCATTTCTTTAAACTTTTCCTACACAAGTATGTCCTACACAAGTATGTCTACCTAAATGATACATGGGATCATTTTGCATATTTTAAAACTTCATATAAATAGAATAATACTGAATGTGTTCCTTTGCCCTCTTGCTTTTTTCATTCAAAGTGAAAATGTTTTTCAGATTTGTTCATATTGATGCAGGTATTCCTAGTTCATTCGTTTTCAGTACTGTGTGGAATTCCACTGTGTGAATACACTACAATTTACCTATTCTGTTGATGGACGTTTTGTTGTTGCTGTTGTTTTTCTATTACAAACAATGCTTCAGTGAACAAGCTTGTTTTTGTTTCACTGAGTAAACGTGAGTGATATGGTTTGGATCCGTGTTCCCACACAAAGCTGATGTTGAATTGTAATCCCCAGTGCTGGAGGTGAGACCTGGTGGAAGGTGATTGTATCATGGGGATGGTTTCTCATGAATGGTTTGGCACCACCCCCCACCTTGGTACAGTGTAGTGAGTGAGTTCTCATGTGATCTGGTTGTTTAAAACTGTGTAGCATCGCCCCCAAGCCCTCTCTCTCTTCTTCCTGCTCCTAGCCATGTGAAGTGCCTGCTCCCCCATCATGCTTCCTGTCCAGCCTGCAGAACTGTGAGCCAATTAAACCTCTTTTCTTTCTAAATTACCCAGTCGCAGGTATTTCTTTATAGCAGTGCGATAATGGACTGATACAGTGAGTTTCTTTAGGATATCTCTATTTAGGAACGGAACCTCCATGTGTTGGGTAGGCACATCCTCAGCTTTATTGGCTAATGCAATTTGCTCTCCAAATGATGATACCAATTTTCATTTTCTCCAAAGGTATTTGAGTGTTCCCATTGTTTTTCCATCCTTGCTCCTGGATCATCATTATTGGGTAGGATAGAGAAAAAACGCATAGTTTGATCAACTCTGCAGGTTTTAAAAATTGGCACCCCTTCAAGAAAAAGACAAGCGTCTGTGGATTAAAATCCCAACTCCTTACCCTAGTGCACACAGCTGCCTTCACTGGCTCCTCCTACCTCACCAGCCTCACCTTGCACCACGCTCCCTGTCATGCACAGTGGCCTCCTTTCTAGCCCTGGAGTGTGCAGCCAAGCTCATTCCCATCTCAGAACTTGATGTTCTTTCTTTCTGGAACACTCTTGTCTCAGCTCACTGTGCAACTAGTTTCTTCTCCATTTTTACATATTGGCTCCTCAGAGAGGCCTTCTCTTACTACATATGTAAAGTAGTCCCCTGCTTACCTGATTACTTACTCCTAACACATTCTGAAATTATTTCCCACTGGAATATTAACACCACAAGGGCCATGTACAGTGCCTGGCATGTGCTAAATTTGTATTGAATGAATGAATGTACACACTGATGCCTTCTCTACCATGCAAACCTGTTACCCTTTCCTATCACTTCATTCTTCATCCTTCCTGCATTTTGCTGATCACTGGCATATAGATTAGGGAGAATGCAGAGGAACCTGGTAGTGTCCTAAACAGAGGCTCTAGCCAGTGTTGCCTTTCCTTCTGAATGTCCCAACGTCTCATGCGTTGGTTTCATCCACCACTGAACCTTTCACTTTGCGTTGGTTTCATCCACCACTGAACCTTTCACTTTGGATCAAAGCCAGGCCATCTCCTTCTACCCTCAGTGCCTGAGATGAAGCTTGTGACTCCTTCTTTTGCTCTCTACCTTTCCAGAGGTCATTGTGGCCTCCTTCAGTACTTGGTCAAGGACAGGATTTGCCTGAATCATTTCTGGCCCTTTCTTGCTAATCTGATGGTGTGGGCAAGTCCTCAAGGGGTTGAGCACATACTTATTATCATCTGGGTATTTGTGACTTTCTCGTCATCATTTGAGTCACCTGTGATTCTGACTTCCAGTCAACATACTCATGGGTTAATTATTGCTTCTGGAAAAAATTCTATGATCATTCTGAGATGGGTCATTTGATTCCTTTGCCTTCTTTGCTCCCTCCTCCCTCCACCCGCACATGACATCTACTTCCTGAGCTGAGACATATGCTCTCCTTTTAGTGCTCTCTGTACTTCTTTTTGTCACTGAGCATACCTCATTGTTTTGTCATGGCCTCTTCTTGTGTCCTGTTTTTCCTGAGGACAGGAAACTATGAGTTCTAAGTTTGTATCACCAGTACTTGGTATGAAATAAGCAATGAATAAATGTTTATTAAACAGATGAACAAATGAATGGATGGAGTAAACTCTGAACCTGGAATTAAAACTTTTATTAACACATTCGGTTTATATAGAGACAGTGCCAGTGCCAGCCATGTTTCTGAGAAATTTGTTACCAGTGGCAGCTCAACTCCAGAGAAAGCCAGGTTTTTCATAAAAGGATTGAAGTGGGAACTAGGCTTTGATATGAATCTATTTTAATCTACTTTCAACCCACTCTGTCAAGCACTGAATAGAGCAGCAAAGAGACAGTAAGAATTTTCCTCCATGGCCATGTATATCTCTTGTAGAGATTTCACTTTACTTGTTCATTCATTCATTCAACATTTGTCAGGTGCTAATACGCATTCATACAAACAAGAGATCAAGGGGTTGATTATGTTTCCAGCGTGTTGCCCCTTTGCTTAATAGTTTAACAGAGGGAAGCCTCTGTGTTATTTTGAAAATGACACAATTGGGCATCGTCTCTGAAGAGTCTGGATGGATGTTACACTGTGGTTTTTCATTTCCCGGTGTCAGTCCTATAGAGCAAGTATGTGAAAAGTGGATCCCTGGACTTTTCTGTGCATTGTCTAATGCTGGGTCACACGACAAGGTGTACTATAGATGCTCTAGTGATTTTCTTGCGTGACTGTGAACACACACAGTCCTCTCATTACCTGCTTTACACTTGCCAGTTTGGCTCAAATCAAGGTATTCCTAACTCCGGGATTTCACTCTGTGTTATACGGGAGAAACTGAAACAACACTCTTTCTAAGGAAACGTGTAACTTGAGGAGGCCGTAATCATTTATTGATTATCTTCTCATTACAGATTGTATTATCCCAACCTAGCAAGGGTATTAGGTCTTGTGACTTTTTTTTTTTTTCTTCTTGAGACAGGGTTTTGCTCTGTCCAGCCCCTTACGGCATTTTGAAAACAGTCTTACTCCTCATTTCATATCTCATTTCATATTATTTTCTACTTGCCTCACTGATATTCACCTATTTTTAAAGTATTTTATTTTCCTATGTTGGATATATTCCTAAAAGACACCTTATATCATTTCTGGAATAAGACAGAGATAAGAAAAAAAAAGCATAATATTTGTTGTTTCACAGGGAAATGGAACAATAGAATGACAGAATGATCAGGACAAAATTACTTGGTTTGAAGTAAAATCTATTGTTTACTTGCCCTTGGTGTACCCTCTAACATAGTTGAAGAAAAATACAGTTCATTTCTGTTTTTTTGTTTGTTTCTTTTTGCTTTTTTGAGACAGAGCCTCACTCTGTTGCCCAGGCTGGAGTGCAGTGGTGTGATTATAGCTCACTGCAGGCTCAACCTCCCAGGCTCAGCCTCTCTAGTAGCTAGGACTACATGCCTGGCTAATTTTTTTGATTTTTAGTAGAGATGAGGTCTCACTATGTTGCCCATGCTGGTTTCAAACTCCTGAGCTCAAGTGATCCTCCTGCCGCAGCCTCCCAAAGTGCTGGGATTACAGGTGTGAGCCACCATGCCCAGCCAGAAATTCTGTGTTTCTAAGAAATTTTTATTATTATAGTATAACATTTGCTTCTGAATGTTATTGGCCATCCAAATCCTATTAATTTTATTTAAATACATCTATTAAAACAAAGTAGACTCCAATAGCCTTTGCTTAATTATTTTTTTAATAAACTAGTAGTAAATTTACTGTGAAAATGAAAATCCTAACAGTTTCACAAGATATTTATTTCCAGTTTACTAACAAACAATGTGCATTTAATTTTGTTGGCTTATTTTGCAGTTCTATAATAGAGTTTTTCTGTGGCTTTCTTTTGGGAACAAAAATTCCATTTACTTTCTATCTTTCAAAATTCTTATTGGCAATGACTAATTCCCCTGTGTGAAATTTCACACACACACGCGCACACACACACACACACACACACAGAGAGAAAGGACTGGAATGAAATTGAGCACAATATTAAAGATGGCTATCTGGCCCAGTGCTGTGGCTCACACCTGTAATCCTACCACTTTGGGAGGCCCAGTTGGGTGTATCACTTAAGGCCAGGAGTTCGAGACCAGTCTGGGAAACATGGTGAAACTCTGTCTCCACTAAAAATACAAAAATTAGCCAGGTGTGGTGACATGTGCCTGTAATCCCAGCTACTCGGGAGGCTGAGGCACAAGAACCACTTGAACACGGGAGGCAGAAGTTGCAGTGAGCCGAGATTGTGTCACTGTACTCCAGCTTGTGTGACAGAGTGACACTCTGTCTCAAATATAAAAAAAGGTTTATCACTATTGTTATTTTGAATTATTCAGTTCCCTTAAATAAGTCTAACTGCCTTGAAATATGAGACTGATAGATAGATAGATGTTTTCCACTTGGGAATATTTTCACTTTTAATAATTTTTAAAATAAGTAATGTAAATTTCTTATAAATCAAAGAAAATGTAAATCAAATTAAATGACTGAAATGAGTCTCAATCATTTTAGAGGTTTATTTTCCCAAGATTGAGGATGCACCCGGGAGAAAGGAGCACAAAACCACAGGAACATCAATGACCCATTATTTTTCGAAATAAGGTTTGAGATTTCAATATTTATTTATTTGAGAAAAGTCTGGCTGTGTCACCCAGGCTGGATCCGCCTGCCTCAGCCTCCCAAAGTGCTGGGATTACAAGCATGAGCCACTGCACCTGAGCTGAGATTTCAATATTTAAAGGGGAAAGAGTGGGTAGTAAGGGAAAGAGGAAGGAAAAAAAGGGGGAGGAAAAAAAGAGGAAGGAATAAAAGGGGCAAGCAGTTGCATCTTTTGCGTCTTTGATCAGCATTCACTGAATCCACATTTTACACGGGAAAGGAGGGGATATAGGAAAAATTATGCATTCATCTCATGCTGGTGGATCTGCATTTTTATATAAGATAAACATAGAGTAGAGGAAGTAGTCAAATATGCATTTGTCTCAGGTGAGCAGAGGGATGACTTTTCCCTATGCCTGTGACGAGAAGCTGTTAATTTACATTGTCAGGTTAACATTCAATGAAGCTGTTTCAGGGTAAGATTTTGGGGCCCCCCAAAAGAATTTCCTTTTGAGTAAATTGTGAAGGAAGTATGTAGCCTTTTCTCTTTGTAGCTATCTAATTAGGAACAAAATAGCAGTTTTGCGTGACTTAGTTCTCAAGCTTGACTCTTTCCTTTGGCATAGTGAGTTTGGAGTCCTGAGATTTTTATTTTCTTTCACATCCTTATTACATGTCATTAATTATCATTTAGTAAAGTAAATAACATTCTGGCATTAGACATGAAGCAACATGGTAAAAGACGCTGTCCCATTATCCTGCTAATCTCAGCAAATCAAGGCCTTTGGGGCTCAGCACCCCAAAAGTGGTTTTTAATGATGTACAAAAACAGATTTCAATTAGGGCTTTGTTGCAATTTGCCCTTATGTGCAAATTTTTAGTGTTATTCTGATACATTTTAGCTCAATTATTTTAATATCTCACTTGATAGAAGCTAAAAGTTTACTCATCAATGAAAAGGAAGAGGCTAAAGGCAAAATGAAAAAAGAAAAAGAGAGAGACTTTAATGTAGATTAAAATGTGAATCTAGGAACCTCTTTTTCACAACGATAGCAGTGGAGAATGGCAAAAGTGAAAATAAAAAATAAAATAAAACAGAATCCTCAGTATTAACAAAATTCCTAGAAAGAAGGCTAACTAAAGGCAGGAAAAGAAAAAAAGGGAAGTTAATGGATTAATAGCAAGAACCAGGCCCCCAATCTCCCAGTCACTCAGTTTCCCTGGAATACTCTATGCTTCCACTTACTCCATTCCTTTCCATTCCCTCTTGTATTTCCTCAGGTAGCTCTTAGCAGGGAAACGATATAATTTGACACTAAGTCGTGAATGGTGGGTAGGCCTAATCTCTCTTGTTCCACACTAGCACCAAATTTGGAATTCAGTGTAAGGAGTGTCCCCTGAAACTACATTTCACCCTCTCCCAAAGAACAAAGAGTTGAGAAGTAAGTCCCAGGAAGTGCAGGAGCTGCAGAATTCTGGCGCCCTTCTATGTCTTGAGGCTCCTCCACCTCCAACTCTCAACTTTGCTTTCTGTTCTAAAGCAACCCTATCATTGAACTGGCTGAGGTGGTAGGATCACTTGAGCTTAGGAAGGTCGAAGCTGCAGTGAACTGAGATTGAGCCACTGCACTCCAGTCTGGGTGCCACAGCAAATCCCGTTCTCAAAATAATAATAATAATAATAATAATAATAATAACAAGAGGCATTCTTGCGTTATTAGGCTGGGGTGGCTCATCTGTAATTTCAGCACTTTGGGAGGCCACATTGGGAGGATAGCTTGAGCCCAGGAGTTCAAGACCAGCCTGGGCAACACAGTGATATAAGAGTTAAAAAGGAATTACTTAGGCAAATAATGAGGGTAAGGATGTCCTCAGTAAGGTTTTCCTTTTAATGAAAAGCAGCCCCCAAATGATTTTCTTTTCTAACAAAGAGCAGCCTGTAAAATTGAGCTGCAAACATAGACAAGCAAACTGAAAGCTTGTATGGGTGAATGCTGGCAGCTGTGCCAATAGGAAAAGGCTACAGGGACTAGGCATGTTCAAAATGGTGGCTCCATCTTCCCTTCTCTTTGCCAGCCACGTGTACAGTAAGAAGCAGGCAACATGGTGCCTACCAGGCAAAGACTCCATTTGCATAATAAGATTAGGGTGGGGCAGCCAGTTTCCCTGTGCATTATGTAAACAACACACCTAGTCCAACCAAACTATGGGCCCTATGTAAATCAGACACCGACTCCTCAAGCCTGTCTATAAAATCCGGTGCCAGAAGTCCCATTTGGGCTCCTCTGTCTCTCCCAGGAGAGAGCTATTCTCCCTTCTCTTTCTTTTGCCTATTAAACCTCTGCCTTTTTTTTTTTTTTTTTTTTTTGACATGGAGTCTCGCTCTGTCACTCAGGCTGGAGTGCAGTGGCGCGATCTCAGCTCATTGCAAGCTCTGCCTCCTGGGTTCAAGCAATTCTCCTGCCTCAGCCTCCTGATTAGCTGGGATTACAGGCATGTGCCACCACGCCTGGCTAATTTTTGTATTTTTAGTAGAGATGGGGTTTCACCATATTGGTCAGGCTGATCTAGAACTCTTGACCTTGTGATCTTCCCGCCTTGGCCTCCTAAAGTGCTGGGATTACAGGTGTGAGCCACCGTGCCCGGCCTAAACCTCTGCTCTTAAACTCACTCCTTGTGTGTGTGTGTCTGTGTGCTTAATTTTCCTGGCATGAGGCAATGAACCTTGGGTATCACCCCAGAAAATGACACCACTTCAACAGTGAGACCTCATCTCTTAAAAAAAAAAAAGTAAACCAGTGAATGCTCAGAATTTGTTCTAAATTGATAATATAGCATATTTCTTGGTATTTTAGTCATTTTGTACACTTTTTTTGAATCCTCCCTGTATTATTCTGGGGTCTCTAGAGGGAAAGAACTACTAGGATAGATGTATATATGAAGGGGAGCTTATTAAAGAGTACTGACTTACACCATCACAAGATGAAGTCCCAAACTAGGCCTTCTGCAAGGTGAGGAGCAAGGAAGACAGTCTGAGTCCCAAAATCTCAAAACTAGGGAAGCCAACAGTGCAGCCTTCAGTCTGTGACCAAAGGCCTGAGAGCCCCTGGCAAACCACTGGTGTAAGTCCAAGAGTCCAAAAGCTGAGGAACTTGGAGTCTGATGTTCGAGGTCAGGAAGCAGCCAGAACAGGAGAAAGTTGAAAGCTGGAAGACTCAGCAAGTCTGCTCGTTCCACCTTCCTCTGCCTGCTTTATCCTAGCTGCGCTGGCTGCTGATTAGATGGTGCCCATCCAGGTTGAGGGTGAGTCTGCCTCTCCCAGTCCACTGACTCAAATGTTAATCTCCTTTGGCAACACCCACACTGACAACACCCAGGAACAATACTTTGCGTCCTTCAATCCAATCAAGCTGACCCTTGATTGATACTAGCCATCACACTCCTGATCCTCCCACCCCAAAAAAACTTCAACCAAAAAAACCCAAAAAAATTCAACAAAACAAATGAAAGCACCATCATTCTTAGTTAAATTTCTTCATTTATTATATTTCTTATTGTCTTCATTATATCTTGCTTTATACCAGAACTGTGACAAAGGGCAATTAGTTTTAGAGAAAGTGAAGAAAGGTAGGAAGGTTGCTTTAATTTTTCCCAAACCTGGCTTGAGGGAAAATTCACACATCCTTCAAGTTTATGAAACAGGCGACGGATCTTTATTAAACTGGCCAGCAGAAGAAGGTCATCTCCACTTACGTATCGGAGGATTGGAATCTCCTCAGGGTTTGGTAGCTTTTCAGCAAAGAGAAAGAGAAGGAAACTCAGAGTCCAGAAGTGGAACTGGGGAGGTGGGAGGAGCTGAGTCATGGCACTTATGTGGGGTTGGATTCCCTGATGAGGGTCCACTCTAATTCATCCGTAAGCAGGGGCGGTGGTGTTATTCTACTCTGAATGAAGAAAGAGCTGAAACACTGTGGAGACTTGAGAGACCAAATGGAATCTGGATACCTTCAAAAGCCTATAATTTATTCAAGTAATTTAACCAGCACCTACTGAGGGGATCACAAAGATGCCTCAGACACAGTCCCTTGCCTGGAAAGTACCCAGTGGGGGAGGTAGGGTGAGTGCTGGTCTGAAGGCTGGGTGCTCACTGGGAAGGCACTGAGAAGGGCAATTTTCCGCAGAGAAGGTAGGACTGGGAAAAACTAAAACTCCCTTTCCTGCTCCTAAATGTGCCCCAACCTCCAGGAGGCCATTCCAAATTAACCTCTCCCTTACTCTTCTTTGGCCTCTGCTCTCCCCACTCTCTCACAGCTTTTGACGATTCAAGGCTGGTGTTGTCTTCTTGCAGCTGCAGAAGCCTAAATGGATTTGCCAGGACAGTCTTGCCTGAAGTGTTTTCAGTCTGTAGCTTCAAAGCCAGCCTAGAAGGGGCATTTAGCCTCTCTGGGGCAGGTTAAATGCAAGCAGAACTACTACCCTCTGCAAGCTAAGTGACCACTTACCTGCAAAGGTGATACTTACAGTATCATTTCTGTATTTCACTCCTCCTTCCATAGAAAGGAAGGAATAGAGGAAGGAAAGAGTATGAGATGGACAAATAACAAAGAATAGTTCAGAATCTTTTACCCCAAATATCACACCATGACAGAAAACTTTTTTACAGATTAAGTCAATGATGGCTCTAATAAGAAAGATTTATCCCCCTGCCCCCACCTTGTTTCCAGCGGGGTTGGAATAAGAAAGATTTCATCGGCAGGATAATTTTAAGGAATTCCTGAAAAATCAAAAAGCAGATGAGACCATATGCATATAGAGAGAAATGACGAAATGAAACCACTAACCAAAAACACATATACTCTGAGCTCAAACTCAACAGAAATGGGAAGCAGGATGGAGTCTGAGGTAAACATTAGGCTGATCAATTGGGAGGCAGGCCCCTCACCTTTTCCTTTTTGTGTTGAGCACTGATGCCCACAGGCTGAGGCTGGCAGCGGGCACTAGCGCTAGCCTTCTACCCCTTAGCATCTGAAGCAAACTTTAGTAAGCAGAACAGGGAAACAGGAATTCTCAAATTCAAATTGAACACACAACTGAGAATCACCGAATATTTGACGCCACTAAAGAGAGGCACCAGATTTACCTATCAGAGAAACTTATACTCAAGGAAAAATAATTAGGAGATAGAGGAAGACTTTAGGAAATATATCCATATTTATATAGTTAATATTTTCCGAGGGACTTGAGAGAATATTGTTAAGGAAGAAAAACAACTAGAGGATTTGGAAGTTAATTCTATGCATATTATAAAAGATATGTTAATTTTAAACTAACCATTAAAATATAGTGTATTAAAAGACTGAGTCTGTTAGCTGGGCATGGTGGTGCATGCCTGTAGTCCTAGCTACTTGGGAGGCTGAGGCAGGATGATGGCTTGAACCCAGGAGTTTTCAGTTACAGTGAGCTATGGTCACGCCACTACACTCCAGCCTGGGTGACAGAGCAAAACCCTGTCTCTAAAAACAAACAAACAAAAAAACCACTGAGTCTGCTAGGTTGAGGAAAGGAACACAATCCAACTATATGTGGTTTGCCCGAGAACATATAACTCAAAACTACATTAAAAAGGTTGAAAATCAAAGGATGAAAAAATATCAAACAAACGCTAACAAAGAGAAAGCAAGTGTAAGAATTTAACATCAGATGGAATAGCACTTAAGGTAAAGGCCACTAAAAGGGAAATTAGGAATAACACATGTTGATAACATTACTACCTTTATTGTCAAAATAAAAACAAAACCCTCACTAATACACTAGGGCGCGTAATGGGAACAACTGAAGAGCGAATGAGTGAGGGGAAAGAATGGGCTGGCCCTGGCGAAAGGTACAACTCACAAAGAAGAGAGTCAGCATCTTTAATTTCCTGATCACAGAGCTTCAAAATATATACGGCAAAAGTTGATTGAAATACTAGAAACAATGAACAAGTTCACAACCATTTTGGGAAACTTTCATACATTTCTCAGAAGTAAACCCAATGACACAAAAATAAAAGGATAGAGAGGGAGGTGTGGCTAGAACAACTGGACATAGAATTTTGTACCAATAAACTGTACAACTTTTTTGGTTAAATATACATGGAACACTTATAAAAATTATGTAACCAACCACAAAGAAAATATCAATATATTCTAAACAGGAAGGAAAAAACTGCAAGTCATATTTCCTGACCATTTTGAAATTAACAAGAGAGGGGTAAATCTTTCTATCTATTTGAAAATTCAGTGACTACTGCATTGAAGTCAAAATGGGTATTCTAAATTATTTAGAAGTGAAAGAAAATGACAGCACTATATATTAAAACGTGTGGCAAATGACCAAAGAGGCACTCAGAGTGCTAGGGAGAAGGTGGGGGTGGGTGTGGCTGGTTTTGATGGGTTGCTCAGAAAAGGACGCTGCGCAGAAGCCTGAAGGAAGTGAGGGAACAGCCACATGCTAAATGGGGATAAAACATTTTAGGTTGAGGCGACAGCAAATGCAAAGACTCTGTGACAGGAACATGCCTGATATTTTCAAGGAATAGCAAAAAGGCCAGTATGGCTGGAACAGAATGAGTGAGATAAGATAATACAGAGAGATTATTCAGAGAAAGAGGTCCAGATTGTGTACAGCATTGCAAGTCTTTATAGGGCCTTGGCTTTTACTCGAGTAAAATTAGAAGTCCCCGGAGAGTTCTGACCAGACTTACGTTTTCAAAGTATCATTCTAAGTATTGTGTTAGAATAGACTTTGGGAAGGCCAGAAGCAGGGAGACTTATTAGGAGGCTATTGCAATAATCAAGCAAGAGATGGATCAGGTAAAGAGGCAGACAAGAATGATAGCACTGGAAAATGTGAGAAGTGTGAGACTCTGGAGGTATTTTGGAGGTAGAGTTTACAGATGAGTTGGTATGGGACTGTGAAACAGCGTTTAGAGTTGTGAAACTACTCCCGAGTTTTTGTCCTGAATAAGTGAAAGAATGTAGTTGCCATTTTCTGAGATGGAGAGGACTGAGACTGGATCAAGTGTTGAAATCAAGTTCTGCTGTGTTAAGTTTTTTCTTTTTTTCCTAACAGGGTCTTGCTCTGTTGCCCAGGCTGGAGTGCAGCAGCACAATCACGGCTCATGCAGCCTTGAACCCCCTGCCCCCACCCCGCCAATGGTGGGCTCAAGTTATCCTTTCACCTCAGCCTCCCAGATAGCTGAGACCACAGGCATGCGCCACCATGTCTGGAGAATTTAAAAAACGACTTTCATAGAGATCGGGTCTCACTATGTTGCCCAAGCTGGTCTCACACTCCTGGGCTCAAGTAATGCTCCCGTCACAGCCTCCCAAAGTGCTGGGATTACAGGCATAAGCCACCGCGCCTGGCCTGTGTTTTTTTTCATGCCCCCTTAGAAATCCAGATGGGTATGTTGAATTGGAATCAGAGACTTGCAAGTCTCAAGTTCATAGGAGATCTACCTGAAGATACAAATTAAAGGGCTATCAGCATGCAGATGATATTTAAGGAAGTGAGACTCAATGAGATAATCTGATAATATAATCAGATAATGAGATTATCTGAGATAATCTGAGGAGTGAATATAGAGAAAAGACCACCCAAGGACAAGCTCTGGGTTCCTCCAATATTTAGAAAAAGGGGAGATGAAGAGTAATCAGGCCAGAAAAATGAGAAGAAACAGCCTGTGAGGTACAGGGAAAATCAGGGGAGAATAGTCTTGGAAGCAAGGGAAGAAATGATTCCAGGAAGAAGAGATCATCAGTGTTTAATGCCACTGAGAAGTCATTAAATTTCATATAAATTTAATATTTATATTGAATTCAATATTCTTCAAAATGTAGACACAAATAAATCTTCAATACTTACTAAGTGGGAAACAAAAACAAATAGGAACCCCCATCAACAATATAATCTGTATATTATCTAATTTTTATGTTTTAAAAAAGATGTATAAAATAGGCTGGGCACGGTGGCTCACGCCTATAATCTCGGCATTTTGGGAGGCCCAGGTAGGCAGATCACCTGAGGTCAGGAGTTCGACACCAGCCTGGCCAACATGGTGAAACCCCGCCTCTACTAAAAATACAAAATTAACTGAGTGTGGTGGTGCACGCCTGAGCCCCAGCTACTCAGGAGGCTGAGGCATGAGAATCGCTTGAACCCGGGAGGTGGAGGTTGCAGTGAGCCAAGATCACTCCACTGCACTCCAGTCTGGGCAACAGAGCGAGACTCCATCTGAAAAAAAAAAAAGATGTATAAAATAATTTATAAATACATAGTAAGAAGGAAGGTACACACTAAATTTTGTGTGGTGCTTACTTTGGGGAAGGGAGTTAGAATAGAAGAAGAAATAAAGGGAATCTCATTTTTTAAAAAATTATCTTTATTTCTGTATTGTTTGAATCTTTAAATCTTTAAATATAAAAATATATTCACAAGTTGCTTGTAATTAAAAAAAAAACCTAAAGGGTGATTATGAGAACAATGAGAAAAGTAAAAAACTTTAATAATGAACTCTTCCTTTTGCATCAAAATGACTCTTTTTTGATTAAAATTAATTTCTAAGTGGGGAGAGGAAGGGAGGTGCAGGGGTGGGGGAAGGAAGTAGAGGGAGAGAGAGAGGGGAGAAAGAAGTATTTTTATATTTTGTGTAAGAATGTATTTACTATGGATGTAATGTAACAAAAGGAGGGGATACTGCAGATTTCTAACCAAGAAAGAAGTTTGTCTGGAGCCTAAAAATTTGACTGCAGTTTCCAGACTTACTGAAAGGAACTGGAAAAGTGCTTAGCACATTGTAGACCCTCGCTCTATGTTGCCTGAATTTGAAATCTCCCCTTTGTTTGGTGGTCATGAGATATTCCTTCCTGTGTTGAATATTGAGATTCTATTTCCACATACTTAAAAGTTGAAGGCACTTTTGAAGTTTGGAGCTATGTCTTCCTTTAAAAATCAATGAAACAGGCCTTACATGGTGGTGTGCCTGTAGTCCCAGCTATTTGGGAGGCTGAGACAGGAGAATCGCTTGAACCCGGGAGGCGGAGGTTGCAGTGAGCCAAGCTCGCACCACTGCACTCCAGCCTGGCGACGGAGAGAGACTCCATCTCAAAAAAAAAAAAAAAAAATCGACGAAACAGGCCGGGAGTGGTGGCTCATGCCTGGAATCTCTGCACTTTCAGAGGTTGAGGCAGGTGGATTACCTGAGGTCAGGAGTTCGAGACCAGCCTGGCCAACATGGTGAAACCCTGTCTCTACTAAAAATACAAAAATTAGCCGGGCATGGTGGTGGGCGCCTGTAGTCCCAGCTACTCAGGACGGTGAGGCAGGAAGAATTGCTTGAACCTGGGAGGTGGAGGTTGCAGTGAGCTGAGATCGCGCCACTGTACTCCAGCCTGGAAGACAGAGCAAGGCTCCATCTCAAAAAAAAAAAAAAAAAAAAATCAATGACACAAAGGTCCTTAAAGTTTAAGGGACCTGTTCAAAGTCACACACTATATGTGTTATTTATGTATATAGCTATACATCCATCTCTATTTGTATCCATCTCTATGTCTATATTATTTTATTTAGTGCCAAGTACCACCCTTAGTACTTTGCATTCTCATCAAATCTTCACAGCAATCTGTAAGGTCGGAATCATTATTCCATTTTATGGATAAGGAAACTGAAGTTCAAGCTCACTCAGTCAAGTGGCAGAGCTGAGGTTTGAAACTACAGAGAATCTGCAACCTGAATTCCACGTTCTTAACCATCGTGCATTATTGCCGGTCACTGAGAGTGTACTCAGGGCTGTGCCCTGGGAGAGGCACTGGAGTTACAGAAGTCAACAAGATAGAGATTCTTCCTGTCAGGAGCTTGCCATCCAGTAGGAACGGCAGCACTGTTCAACAAGCACGGGGATGGTGGCAAGTACACAGAAAACCCACAGAAGGATGTGGTTGAGGCTGACTGGGTGAAGGACTAGGAGGTCTGGGAAGTGTCTCTAAGGAGACAGGGCTTATGATTGGTCTTGAACATGATTCAAACTCAGGTCTCCTGACCCAACCCAAGTCTCTCTACCATGGCGGGGAGAAAAACAAACACAATACGAAATCTTTAAACTAAACCCCCAGAGCAGCACTACTCTGGCACAGAGCAAACACTCAATAAGTGTTACTTGGATCTGAGTCTGAACTAAAAGGAATTTCAGAGTAAGAAACAGTAAAGCCACCTCAATTCCATATGAAGCTTTCATTACATGTTTTTCCATTGAATTCCAAAATCCTAGTGGACAGTAGATTATGCACTAGTGTAATCTATCAGTAATAATACTAACAAAAGTTAGTTTACTCTTATTATTATTCTAAATGCTTTAAACTGTTTTTAAAAATGTACCTACCTTCACTTTGGTTCCAACACTGATTCTTGCCTGTTGGCCCATTGCTAGAAAAGTTATAGAAATCTTGTCTTGTTCTAAGATGCGGACTCCAATATAACGGTTCAAAGCCAGAAAGACAGGTTTAAATGAAACAAAGGGTGAGGAAGTGATGGAATTTGACCAATTCCAAGCCCTTATTCTGTTGCCGGCTTGATCTGAATATTGACCTCCCAAGATATTGATGTATACCCTGGTCAGGAAGGAAATGTAAATATCATAAACAGTAACACTGTAATTAAATACTGGAATTATCCCTGTCACTTGCTAACCAAGGGGAGTAACGGTTTATGCCAGCGATTAGCAGGAGTGGTGGAAACTTCAGGTAATCTTAGGAGTGATAATACTATGACTAAATTCTACACGAATCTGAAGTACTGTATCCTGTTTGAGTTCATACTGATAAACTAAAATGGGTCCAAAGGATCAGCCTGGGATGAAGGAGTCTGGAAGGTTGAAGAGGGAGCAGGGAAGGCTTAGTCTGGAGAAAATGAGATACAGAAGAGTAGATTAATCCTGAAAGAGGAGGAAAGACCAGTGCTTAGATTTTCACCACACCGAAATAAAGACCTGTGGCTGTAAATTCTGGGGAAGGCTGTGTTGACCTCAGTACAAGAGAGCTGTTTTCTGGCAATTCCCAACTAGGAGCTAGGAGTCCTTCCAGGAGTCCTCCCATCATGGCTGAATGTGGGGGCAGAGGCTCAGGGAACACCTCTGTGATCACTGCAGTGGAGAAGAGGTCTGTGACAGAGCAAAGGTGGACCTTAGACCCACGAGGCGACCCCATCTCTTCAGACCATGAATGCCTTACATTTTACTACATCACGTTTAGCCCCTCACCATCTGAGATCTGGCAGCACTAATCGCTGTGCCATTCTATTCAGTTATCTCCTTCTCATACCCTCTTACCATCCCCACCTTGAGGAGAGACAGTAGATATAGTGTTCTGGGTACTCAGAAAGTTGGCTTAATTTGATAATAAATTATTTTTTGAAAACTAGATGACTTGGCCATGGGGACCCCTAGCTAACATCTCATGTTAGAGATGTTATTGTTATACCTGTATATAACTTAAAGGAAAAGACCTCTTTCTAAAAAGTTCAAAAAGTTTAAATTGTATTTGAAGTTAGAACCCAAATTTCACTTTGTCAGGCTAAATGAAATAATATGAAGTTACAGAGTATATACATAGTAGGTTAAATTGGACCCAGTATTGATCAGTGGTAGTAATCTAATAACAAAAGCACAAATGAGAAACTGAGGTGATTATCTGATTGTGTCTAGGAAGGGAAGATTTAGTTTTATCTTGAAATCTGGGTGAAAATAATATCCAGCTAAAATTATCTGGCTAAATCAGTCCCTTGTTTATTTAGTAAACATTCTTTGAGTCTACACTATGTACAGATGTGCTGCTATGTAGTAGCAAAGATTCAGGATGTGCCCTCAAGGAATGTCTGTCAAGTAAGGGAAATGGACTCACTACACAAGAGGCAGAGAGGGCTATGAGAGTATCAAGGAGCCATCTCAGGGTGCCTCGGAGTTCAGTTTATGGGGCAGGGGCTTCATAAAACCAATCTGGAAGAACCGATTGGTTTCCAGTCTAGAAACCAACGAATATTGGTGACAGTATAGCACTGCATCAAAGGTAACATAGAATTGCTGTAGAATCCTGAAAGATAAGTAGAAAGTTTCCAATATACATGGTGGTAATGAATTGACTACTGCTGTGGACGAAAAACACAAATAGCTCGGTATCCTAACTTTCTGAAGGACTAGCAGTATATAAACTTCACCAATTACTGGCAGAGGTTCCCGAGATGAGATTGTTATACCTGTATATAACTTAAAGGAAAAGACCTCTTTCTGAAAAGTTCAAAAAGTTTAAATTGTATTGGAAGTTAGAACCCAAATTTCACTTTGTCAGGCTAAATGAAGTCACAGAGTATATACATAGTAGGTTAAATTGGGACCAGGATCTTAATTTCTCTGGAGATTTTGTGTGTATGTTACTCTTCTTGCTTGTGGCTATAGGAAGCTTACTAGTTAGGAATGTATCTCAAACAATAACAACATAGTGTATCAACTGTCTATTGACAAGTTGTTTACATAGATGAAGCAGAATAACATCATCAGGGCACAGGCTCTAGAGACTGCCTCAGTTACATCCCAAATCCCTAGAGTTACCATATCATTTATCAAGTTTTTTTGTATGTTGTAATTATATAGTTCATATATTCTTACTATGTATAGAAATAATATGATGAGCTTTATTTTTATAATTGCTTGGGATTTTTCCACTGAAAAGCATACGGAATGGTGTAAACCAAAAATGTCTCTGAGTTGAACATTACCATCTAAAGAACACTAACTTAAATAAATCTTCTGAAACCCATTCTTATCATTTAAAAAGAAAAAACAAAATTTCCCAGAACAAAAGCCACAAAATGGCAGCAGCAGGAACCTAGAAGCTTACCAGACATTTCCATTGGGATGATAGCAGGAACTTCTGCCAGAGGAATCCAGCACTGCTAGGATAGCAGGGTTAGTGGGCATATCTTCTTGGACTATACAAGTAAAACCATTTACCTTGTTGGGCACTCGAATGATGGCTAGGTTTCCAGATGGATAGCTGAGATCAGATAAGGTCATATAAATTGTTCTAATGCTCCTTGACTATTCTGGGAACAAATTCAATTTATGAGAGAGCACTCTGAAATCATAAAGCATTCTGAAAATGGGAGGTACTATATTAATACAAAAGATTTTATGCTTTTTATGTGGATCAGAATATACTCATGAGATGCAAAAATCCTCAACAAAATCTTGCAAATGAACTGTCACAATATAAAAAGGATTACGCACCATGATGAAGTAGGGTTTACCCCAGATATGCAAGGTTGGTTTAACATCTGAAAATAACTTAATATACCATATTAATAAAGAGCAAAAAACACAAGGTCATCTCAACAGACACAGAAAAAGCATTTGACAAGTTTCAGCCCTCTTAATAATAAGAAAACTCAATGGATTTCAAATAGGAATGAATGTCCTCAACCTGATAAAGAGTATCTACAAAAAGCCCACAGCTGGGCTGGGCATGGTGGCTCATGCCCATAATCCCAGCACTTACGGAGGCCAAGGCAGGAGGATTGTTGAAGCCCAGGAGTTCCAGACCAGCCTGGGCAATATGGTAAGACCCTGTCTCTACAAAACAATTTTTTTCATCTTCAGAATTTTGATTTTTTTAATTTAAAAAAACCCACAATTAAAACTATACTTAATGGTGAAAGATTTAGTGCTTTCTTCCTAAGATCAGAAACTAAACAAAAATGTCCACTCTTACTACTTCTATTCAACATCGCACTATTAATAGATGTTCTGGCTGGGCGTGGTGGCTCACACCTGTAATCTCAGCACTTGGGGAGGCTGAGGCGGGTGGATCATGAGGTCAGGAGATTGAGATCATCCTTGCCAACATGGTGAAACCCCATCTCTACTAAAATTACAAAAATAGCCAGGCATGGTGGTGTGCACCTGTAGTCCCAGCTACTCAGGAGGCTGAGGCAGGAGAATTGCTTGAACCTGGGAGGCGGAGGTTGCAGTGAGCCAAGATCGTGCCACTGCACTCTAGCCTGGGTGACAGGGCAAGACTCCATCTCAAAAAAAAAAAAAAAAAAAAAGTTCTAGCCATGGAAGTTTAGGGAAAAAAAAAAGGAAATGAAAAGCATCCAGATTGGAAAGGGAAGTAAAACTGTACCTATTAGCAGATGACATGTTCTTGTATATAGAAAATCCTAAGGAATTCATAAGATAATGTATTAAACCCGATAAATGAGTTCAGCAGGGTTGTAAGCTACAAGATCAATATACAAAAATAAATTGTATTTCT
Source organism: Homo sapiens (assembly GCF_000001405.40). Lineage (NCBI taxonomy): Eukaryota > Metazoa > Chordata > Mammalia > Primates > Hominidae > Homo > Homo sapiens. The sequence continues at coordinate 150,670,712 of NC_000003.12, forward strand.
ATACACTAACAGTAGACATTCTAAAAATGAGATTAAGAAAGCAATTCTATTTTCAATAGCATCAAAAGCAATAAAATATACTGAAGATAATTCACTAACTCTTAATACTCATTTCCATATCCAGGCTGGTTAGAAGTCCAGAAATAAACACAAGATTGATTCTAAATCATTTTGCAAATCAACCACAGCCTTCAAGAAAGTTAAGAGGAATAAAGTCAGGGCATGAAATGATTAATAATAAAAGTTGGAAAACTGTATATTTTTATATGGTTTTTATACAGACACAGCCTGTAGTCCCAGCTGCTTGGGAGACTGAGGTGGGAGGGTCACCTGAGCCCAGGAGTTTGAGGCCAGCCTAGGCAACATAATAGGATTCTGTCTCTAAAAACTTTAAAAAAATTTTTAGGTCAGGTAAATTATTTAAAATTTATTGATGTAATTAAAACAAAACCTACACACTCTCATAAGGTCTAGGGAACTAAAACTTCATTATGCTTCCTATTCTGTGAAAGTCATTTTTCTGGCTTACTATTGGGGTTTAAGTAAACACTTACGAAACGATGACCAAAAATGACTTTCTTCTACAGGGGGAGGCTCTCAGTTCATGAAAAGCCTCCTCATTTTTTTGCTTCTTGTTTTTACTTTCCTCAGATATTATGAGGATCTGAAAAGCTCAAAAAGTTTAAATATTAAATGAATGACCTGGCCATCAGGCAGAAAGTCCAAGTGATCAATAACTTGGTGTTCCATGAAATGGATATTTAATTTTGGTATTAAAAATTGTCCACCACTCATGGGTGTGTAAACTGGTATATATTTTCTGGGGTGGAGGGATGGCAAAATCTATCAAAGCTTTAAAATGTCCAAATTATTCTTCCAGAATTTCTAGCCCTATATGTTTATTTATTTATTTACTTATTTATTTAATTTTTTGAGATAGGGTCTTGCTGTGTTGCCCAGGTCAGAGTGCAATGGCACGATCACAGCTCACTGCAGCCTCCACCTCTCTGGCTCAGAAAAATCCTCCCACCTCAGCCTTCCAGGTAGCTGTAACTACAGGTGTGCACCACAACACCTGGCTAATTTTTTGTATTTTGTTGTAGACACAGGCTTTCACCATGTTGCCCAGGCTGATCTCAAATTGCTGAGCTCATGCGATCTGCCCACTGTGGCCTCTCAAAGGGCTGGGATTATAGGCATGGGTCACCATGCCCAGCCTCAACCCCTAGGTATTTAATTCAAGAAAATAAGTGGTAACTATGCCACAAAGTATGCACAAAGCTGTTTATTTAGCTGTTGTGTATAATAGCAAAAATTGTGAAACCACTTTTGTTCAGTAATAGGGGATAGGTTAAATGAATTATAGTACATCTATATAATAAAGTACTATGTGGTTATAAAACGGTGTTGCTACCTGTGGATGGTTTTTTGGGGAAAAAATGTGTTGTATCTTTATATTTATTGCATATCATATATTTATAACATTATTGTATAATTTCATTATGTAAAGGAGTCAGAAAATATGAATAAACAAAGAATCCATTTATATATACATATATATATATATGCTCATACACAGAAAAAACATTTTAAAAAACCCCATAGGCCGGGTGTGGTGGCTCATGCCTGTAATCCCAGCACTTTGGGAGGCCAAGGTGAGCAGGTTACCTGAATTCAAGAGTTCAAGACCAGCCTTGGCAACATAGCGAAACCCTGTCTCTACTAAAAATACAAAAATTAGCTGGGCGTGGTGGCATGTGCCTGTAATCCCAGCTACTCGGGAGGCTGAGGCAGGAAAATTGCTTGAACCTGGGAGGTGGAGGTTGCAGTGAGCCAAGATCCCACTACTGCACTACAGCCTAGGTGAGACTATGTCTCAAAAAACAAACAAACAAACAAAAACCATATATTTTTCTTTTTCTTTTTTTATTTTTCTCTTTTCTTTTTTTTTTTAATTGCTCTTCGTGGAGCAGGGCTACTCCATAGGAATTGTGTTCAGAATAGCCAAAAAAACATATATTTTTAAATGCTGGCCAGACACAGTGGCTCACACCTGTAATCTCAGCCATTTGGGAGACTGGGGTGGGAGGATCGCTTGCACCCAGGAGTTCAAGACCAGCCTGGGCAACATAGAGAGACCCCATCTCTACCAAAATTTAAAAAATTAGCCAGGTGTAGTGGTGCATGCCTGTGGTCCCAGCTACTTAGGATGCTGAGTTGGGGGGACTGCTTGAACCCAGGAGGTTGAGGTTGCAGTGGGTCATAATTGTGCCACTGCACTCTAACCCGGGCCTCACAGTGAGACCCTGTCTTAAAAAAACAATAGTAATAAAATGCTAACATCTTTTCTTTGGGTGGTAGAATTTGAGGGTAGTCTCTCCTTCCTTCCTTCCTTCCTTTTTCCTTCCTTCCTTCCTTCTTCCTTCCTTCCTTCCTTCCTCCCTCCCTTCCATCCGTCTTTCTCTTTCTTCCTCTCTTTCCTCTCTCTTTCTTTCTTTCTTGGTCTTGCTCTGTCATTTAGGCTGGAGTGCAGTGGCATGATGATGGCTCACTGCAGCCTTGACCCCTCGGGCTCAAGCAATCCTTTCACCTCAGCCTCCTGAGTAGCCAGGACTTCAAGGTGTGTACCACCACACCTGGCTAATTTTCTTATTTTTTGTAGAGATGAGCTCTCACTATGCTGCTCAGGCTGATCTCAAACCCCTGGGCTCAAGTAATCCTCCTGCCTCAGCCTCCCAAAGTGCTGGGATTATAAGCGTAAGCCACCACACTAAGTTCCTTTATAGTTTTGTTTTATCTTTCTATTTATGTCTTTTTAGTTAAAATTTCTATTTTTCAATTACACTGGATCTTTATCTTTTTCTGTGTTTTGTTTGTTTGTTTGTTTGTTTTTCTGAGACACGGTCCCACTTCGTTGCCCATGCTGGAGTGCAGTGGCACAATCTCAGTTCACTGCAGCCTCTACCTCCTGAGCCCAGATGATCCTTCTACTTCAGTCTCCCGAGTAGCTGAGACTACAGGCATGTGCCATCACGCCCAGCTAACACTTTGTGGAGACGGAGTTTTGCCATGTTGCCCAGGCTGGTCTCAACCTTCTGAGCTCAAGTGATCTGCCCACCTCAGCCTCCCAAAGTGCTGGCATTACAGGTGTGAGCCACTGCACCCAACCATGTATTTCCTTCCTTGAGCTTTCTTTTTTTTGAAGTAATAAAGCTAATAAAAATAACTTGTTGAAAGAGGATACAATATTTGTGTTGTCCCATCTGGAAATGAAGTCAGAAACTTGCTCCCATGTTTGTAGTGCTTCTCTAAGAGCTCATTCCTGACAACCTATACACCACAGAAAAGAAAAGACACTTAATTGTTTCGGACATAAAGTAGTAAGTACGACAACAATGGACATCAGCTGGTTACTAGACAGTCATACAAATCAATTATTAATTTAAATGTTGGCCCTGCTTCAACAACAGGAGACAACCCTTAGCAATTATTAACAGATTGTCCCTAATCCTTGCAAGTATAACTTGATAAAAATCCTTCTGGTAGAAATCTGACATTACATATCTATTTTAATTTTTTTTTTTTTTTACTTTATACACGTTACTAAAAGAACAAAACAAAAGCAGATAAAAACCAGCCCCAGCACAATGTGCAGTGCCATTGCTATCATAAATCAGATATTCATGCATGCATGAGTCTGTTTCTGAACTCTATTATGCATATGGATTTCCTTGTTTATCCTGCCCCAATACTATACTGCCTTAATTACTATATTTTGTAATAGATCTTAATTTCTGGTAGAACACATCCTCCTTTCCTCAGCCTCTTCTTCTTCAAGAGTGTTTTGGTTACTCTAGGTTCTTTATATTTCCACATACATTTTAGAATCAACTTGTCAAGACTTCCCTTCCCCCAATACACACACATATGCAATCTTGCTGGAATCTGAGATTATACTGGATCTATGGATCACTCTGGAAAGAATGATCAAAGAGTGTCATCTTTAAAATATTTCCTCTGCCTATCCATGAACATTAGGTCAAATTTGGTAAATGGATTGCTCATATTTTCTATAGCATTACTGCCCCCCAACCTTTTTTTTTTTTCTTGGTCTAGTAGTCAATTATTGAAAGAGGTAGTGCTGGGCGCAGTGGCTCACACCCATAATCCCAGTACTTTGGGAGGCTGAGGCAGGTGGATCACCTGAGGTCAGAAGTTCGAGACCAGCCTGGCCAACATGGTGAAACCCTGTCTTCACTAAACATAGAAAAATTAGTTGGGCGTGGTGGCACACGCCTGTAATCCCAGATACTTGGGAGGCTGAGGCAAGTGAATTGCTTGAACCTGGGAAGCAGAGGTTGCAGTGAGCCGAGATCATGCTACTGAACTCCAGCCTGGGCAACAGAGCAAGACTGTCTCAAAAAAAATAAGAGGTAGGCTAAAATATCTCATTATGAATATGGTTTTCTTTATTTCTCCTTTTACTTCTGTGAAATTTTGCTTCACATATTTTTGAGGCTGTGCTAATATGGACAATGTATTTTGTAATGCTATATCTTACTGGTGGATTGAAATTTTGTCAATTAAAAAGTGATCATCTTTATCTTTATTTTATAAAGTGATCCTCTTATCTTTATCTCACACTTTTTTTTTTGAGACAAGAGTCTTGCTCTGTTGCCCAGGCTGCTGTGCAGTGGTAAGATCTCAGCTCACTGCAACTTCCACCCCCTGGGTTCAAGTGATTTTCCTGCCTCAGCCTCCTGAGTAGCTGGGATTACAGGCATGTGCCACCACGCCTGGCTAATCTTTGTATTTTTAGTAGAGATGGGGTTTCACCATGTTGGCCAGGCTGGTCTCAAACTCCCTACCTTAGGTGGTCTGCCTGCTTTGGTCTCCTAGAGGGCTGGGATTACAGGTGTAAGCCACTGCACCTGACCTAGCTTACACTTTCTTGAAATATATTTTAACTGGGTATAGAATTCTAGATTGGCCATTGTTTTTTTTTTTTACCACACTGAAGACATTCCATTGCCTTTGAGCCTCTATTGTTGCTGTTGGGAGGTCATCTGCTAATCTAATTGTTTTCTTTTAAATGTAACCTGAACTTTTTTTCCTCTGCTACTTCTAATAATTCTTTCTTTCTTTCCTTTTTTTTTTTTTTGGTCTTTGGTTTTCTGCAGTTTCACTATGATGTGTCTAGAATTTTTTTTTTTTCTCATACTGCTTGAGATCACTGGGATTCTTAAACCTGTTGATTGGTCTCTTTTATCAGTTTTGAAAAATTATCATCCATTATCTTTTAAAATATTACCTCTACCTGATTATCTTTTTTTCTCTTCTTCTGGGATTTTGAACAAATGCACGTTAGACCTTTCTTTTTATTTTTGTTCCATACACTCTCTCTTGTGTTTCTTGCCTTTTTTAATCCCCATAATGAGTTTTGATATTTTTTCTTTTCAACCTTTCTTCCTGGGCAGTAGTTCTTTCTTTAGTGGAGTCTAACCTGCTCTCAGCTTTCATCTTTTAAGTTTTTAATTTTGATTGTTGTATTTTTCATTTCAGCTGTTGCAGTTTTCATTTTCATTTCAGTTCATTTTTTTCCATTTCAAATTTGCTATGTCAGTTTATAGTTTTCTGTTCCCTTCATATATCTTCAAGCTGATCTTTTATTTTCATGATCACGGTTAGACTTCCTCATTTTCCAAAGTCTTTTCAGGTCTCTTCTTATTAGATATTATTCCTCTAGATTTTTAGTTGTATTGTTAAGTTTTCTTGTGTTCTTGGTTATTTTTCACTGTGTGCTGGTAACTGAACTTGAAAAATAATTTGTAGGTGTGATTTGAAGGTGGAATTAGTGACCGTCCTCCAAAGATAGTTTGGATTTACTTCTGCCAGTCACCTGGGTTTACTGACAGCCCTTACATTCTTTTGGTTTGTTTGTTTGTTTTGAGATGGGGGTCTTGATCTGTCACCCAGGCTGGAGTGCATGATCATAGCTCACTGCTATCTCAAACCCCTCAGCTCAGGTGATTCTCCTGCCTCAACCTCCCAAGTAAGTGAGCCTACAGGCATGTGCTGCCATGCCCAGCTAATTAATTAAAAAAAAATTTTTTTTTTTTTGAGACAGAGTCCTGCTCTGTTGCCCAGGCTGGAGTGCAATGGCGCGATCTTGGCTCACTGCAACCTCTGTCTCCCAGGTTCAAGCAATTCTCTGCCTCAGCCTCCCAAGTAGCTGGGATTACGGGTGCCTGCCACCTTACCTGGCTAATTTTTGTATTTTAGTAGAGATGGGATTTCACCATGTTGCCCAGGCTGGTCTCGAACTCCTGAGCTCACACATTCCACCCATCTTGGCCTCCCAAAGTGCTAGGATTACAGGCGTGAGCCAACACACCCAGCCAAAAACATTTTTTTAGAGATGGGATTTTGCTATGTTGCTCAGGCTGGTTTCAAACTCCTGGCCTCAAATGATCCTCCCACCTTAGCCTCCTGAGTAGCTGGGATTACAGGTGCAAGCCAGTTTGCCTGGTTCACCCCTTAAATTCTATATCTCCCAAGTTAAACAAACCAGGTCTCAGTAATTTAATTACGAGAGGTCTATTCTGAGGGACTATACTTACATAGAAATGTACTTACATACACGGATATTTAAGGAAATGGTATTTAGTATAGCAAAAAAATTGTTAAGAATCAGTATGTCCGAGAACAGAAAAATGGGTTAAACTACATGATAAATTATATAGCTATGAAAATAATATTAATGTAAACTATATAATATCATGAAAAAAAAATTTTTTTTTTTTGAGACAGAGTTTTGCTCTGTCACCCAGGCTGGAGTGCAGTGGCACAATCTCGGTTCACTGCAACCTCCACCCCCAGGCTCAAGGGATCCTCCTGCCTCAGCCCCCCCAAGTGGCTGGGACTACAGGTGCATGTCAACATGCATGGCTAATTTTTCTTTATTTTGTAGAGATGGGGTTTTGTCTTGTTGTCCAGGCTGGTCTTGAATTCCTGGATTCCAGCAATCCGCCTGCTTTGGCTTCCCAAAGTGCTGGGATTAAAGGTGTGAGCCACTGTACCTGGTCTTGGAAAATTTGTTTTTATAATTAAGTTAAAAAAGAGATAAAAATTATATATATGATACAATTATAAGTATGTTAACAAAAACCCATGCAAGGAAAACCATCTAGAACAGTGCTAATATAACTTTTGATTACAAGAAAAATGTTCTATATCATCACTGCAGTACAGTAGCCATTAGTTACATGTAGCTGTCTAGGACTTGTGGAATGGCTAGCGTGACTGAGAAATTACACTCTTAATTTAATTTAAGTCTAAATAGCCAAATGTAGTATTGCTACCATATTGGGCAGTGCAAGTCTAGAAAATATTGAAATATTAATGTTTTGGGAGAAGTGATTGGGACTTTTGGTAATTTTCTTCCCTTCCTTTTAATTTTCTAAGGGTTCCAAATGTTCTCTAATATGCAACTCTTACATTTTAAAGTAAACAGCCTTTAACCCAAACATATGACATTGTTATAAAGTCTAGCAGAAGTTAAAAGACCAAGTCTGTACCAATTCTTTTTGACAACTAGTTAAATGCATCATGTAGCCAAGCTTCATGAAAGACTTTATAATTTTAGGTAAAACTGGTTTTTTTTAAAATAGCAAGTAAAAAAATTACAAGTTCATTACCTTTCCACATGCTATCCGAGAATCACAACAAATGATAGACATGTTACTGTTTCTTAGTTGAAAATCAAATACAATGTCATCAATTATCTGTTTTTCTGGAATATCCACAGAAAGTTGATAAGAAATTGTTTTTAAGCGCTTTGAATCTAGTGGGAAAAGAATCACATAGAAATACATATATGTTTTAAATTTTCTAAAGCCTCTTTTCTAAAATGAAATTTCAAACCCCAATATAAATGCACTGATTCATAAGACATTTTTATATTCAAATTTTTCATCATCTTTAAAAATTTTATTATTCCCCCTTGTCAAAAAATGAGAACATTCCTTTGTTAAAAGAAGAAAAATGAGACTGGGCACAGTGGCTCACACCTGTAATCCCAGAACTTTGGGAGGTCGAGGCGGGTGGATTACTTGAGGTCAGGAGTTTGAGACCAGCCTGACCAACATGGTGAAGCCCCATCTCTGCCAAAAATACAAACATTAACTGGGCGTGGTGGCGTGTGCCTGTAATCCCAGCTGCTTGTGAGGCTAAGGCAGGAAAATTGAACCGGGAGGCAGAGGTTGCAGTGAGCCAAGATTGTGCCACTGCATTACAGCCTGGGTGACAGAGCAAGACTCTGTCTCAAAAAAAAAAAAAAAAAAAAAAAGACAATTTTCATTAAGTGAAACTTTCTGGCCTTAGTTCTAGCAGAACTGATACTCTAACAGTTGGATATCAGGAAACTTTGTATTAGGGATTTAGTTACAAAAATAAATAAAAATATATCTTCTCTAAGTATCTTTTTTTTTGGCAGTTCAACTTTTATTTTTATTTATTTTTATTTTATTATTTCAATAGGTTTTTGGGGAACAGGTGGTGTTTGGTTACATGAATAAGTTCTCTAGTGGCAATTTCTGAGATTTAGGTGCACTTACTACCTGAGCAGTGATGTGAAGTCTTTTATCCCTCACTACCCTCCCACCCTTTCCCCCTGAATCCCTAAAGTCCATTGTATCATTCTTATGCTTTTGCGTCCTCATAGCTTAGCTCCCATCTAAGTATCTTTTCAGTAGCTCTGGGTGGTAGAGGAGGAGGCTTATGCCCAGAAAGATTAAGTCATTTACCCCGAATCAGACAGCCTGTAAGGAGAAAAGCAAGGATATAAATCCAGGACTTCTGATTCTAAACTCAGTGTTTCTTCAACTGTACCAGTACTACAGTGATACTGGTGAGCCAACTTATACGACAACTAATATATGAAGAAAATAAGCTGACTTTTTTTTTTTGAGACAGTTTTTCTTTTGTTGCCCAGGCTGGAGTCAATGGCACGATCCTGGCTTACTGCTACCTCTGTCTCCCAGGTTCAGGTGATTCTCCTGCCTCAGCCTCCCGAGTAGCTGAGATTACAGGCGCCTGCCACCATGCCCAGCTAATTTTTGTATTTTTAGTAGAGATGGGGTTTCACTATGTTGGCCAGGCTGATCTCGAACTCCTGACCTCAGGCGATCCACCCGCCTCAGCCTCCCAAAGTGCTGGGATCACAGGCGTGAGCCACCGCGCCCAGCCAAGTTGACTTATTTTTGACAGATTTTCCATATCCAAGCTTGAAAACAAAATGGAAAGTATGCTTAATAAAATATGAGACAATGAACTTGAAAGCTCTTTGCAGTTATCTGTAAAGTGCTCTGTAGGTGTTGCTAATTTATTTCAATGAATAATAACAATGAGATGAAGACTGAAAACTCCAAAAACCAGATGGCTGGAAACACTAGCTTTTCTGGGCCATTTTGACAGATGTAGGCTATACTGAACTTAGAAATAAAAATTTTTCAATACTACTACTTATTATTATTTTTCATAGAGACAGGATCTCACTATGTTACCCAGACTGGTCTCAAACTTCTGGGCTCAAGCGATTCTCCCACCTTGGCTTCCCAAAGTGTTGGGATTACAGGCGTGAGCCACTGCACCTGGCCAATACTATTTTTTAAATACACCCATTTCATCTTTTGGTTAAACATCTGAGCTTTCTGACGTTGTACAGCTGGTCTATAAGATCAGCACTAATGAACTCACCATCTTCAGAGAAATGAGTCTGTTCCCTTGATATTATTGCAAAATGTCTGGCCATTCGTTGCTCCTGTTTCCTACAAAATCAGAAAACATCAGGCATAAATCTGAAATGTGGTTGAAGCTTAAAACAGTCTACTACAAAATTCAGCTGCTTAAATGCCATCCTTGTCTGTTTGATCTGTTATTACTTGTGAATCTAGGAAATACATCTTCAAAGTTATATATCTTGAAAAAATGAGGTTCATTTACAAAACGAGCTCCGATTAAGCCGGCCTGTATGAGTTTCAGTATCGAAGTCTCAATGTTACCTTTGCAGGGCTTTTTCTTTTGCCTTGAGTCTGTCGACCTCACTACCATGGGCTGCATGAGGGTCAATAGCAATTAATTCAGCTTTAGGGGGTTTGGTTTTTATTTGCTCCTCATAGATATAGTCAATCAGATTTTGGAAAGCAATACAACAGGAGGCCTGGAAAACACAGAAGTTACTCTCATCTCATTAGTCCTAGATGAGGAGGATTAGAGGGGATAAAAATGACTAACAAGGTTTGGATAACAATCCATCATAAGTTTTTATTCTGGTAATAGCTTTATTAAGATATAATTCACATACCATACAATTCACCCATTTAAAAAGTACAATTCATTTGTTTTAGTATATTCACAGAGTTGTACAGTCATCATCACAATCAATTTTAGAATCTGAAACCTGTCCTCACTAACAGTCACTTCCTCTCCTTTCTTCTTCACAGCCCCTGGCAACCACTAATTTACATTCTGTCTCTCTAAATTTGCCTGTTCCGTACAGTTTATAAAGTGGAACCATACAACATGTGGCACTCTTTATGTCTGGCCTCTTTCACTTAGCATAATGTTTTCAGGATTTGTCCATATGGTGACATGTTTCAGTACTTCACATTTCTTTTTATGGCTGAATAATAGTTCGTGGTATGGATATACCACATTTTATTCATCCATTCATCCATTGATGGACAGTCGGGTTGTTTCTATATTTTGGCTATTACGAATCATGCTGCTGTCAACATTTTTGTACAAGTTTTTGTGTGGACATATGTTGCCATTTTCTTGGGTATAAACCTAGGAATAGAACTGATGGGTCATATGGTTACTGTATGTTGAACCTTTCAAGGAACTACTAGAGTGTTTTCCAAAGTGATGCACCATTTTATATTCCACCTCAGCAGTACATGTGGGTTCTAATTTCTCTACATCTTTATCAACACTTGTTATTATCTGTCTTTTAAATTATACCCATCCTAATGGGTGTGAAGTGGTATCCCACTGTGCTTGTGATTTGCGTTTCCCTGACAGCTAACACATAACTCTTTTTTTTTTTTTTTTTTTTTTTTGGAGACAGAGTCTCACTCTGTTGCCCAGGCTGGAGTGCAGTGGCACGATCTTGGCTCACTGCGACCTCCGTCTCCCGGGTTCAAGCAATTCTCCTGCCACAGCCTCCCAAGTAGCTGGGACTACAGGTGCACACCGCCATGCCCGGCTAATTTTTTGTATTTTAGTAGACACAGGGTTTCACCGTGTTGCCCAGGCTGGTCTCGAACTCCTGAGCTCAGGCAATCCACCCACCTCGGCCTCCCGAAGTGCTAGGATTACAGGTGTGAGCCATCAAGCCCGGCCTAACTCTTTTAAAAATGGCAATGCAGGGGAAAGATGCAAGAGAAAATACTACATATGTTTAAAGATAATACTATTTCCACAGTAAACCTGACTTAGAACTTACATGCCCTTTTGGTTCAGAGGAAACATCCACATTAGAAAAAAATGCTCTTAGATCGCTGCCACAAAATTCACATTTGGGTGATGTCTCCTCCTCTTCATCCTTCAGAGAGAGAGGAAAAAAATTAAAGAAGTCCCCACAAAGAGGCCCAGAGGCTCTGAGAGCAGCAGGAGCACGACCCTGGGCATGGTCAGTGAATGGAACAGCAGTGGTGATGAGATGTGCCAGTAAGTGATATCACTTCCATTTAAGGGCTGGTGAGGCTTCAGGAGCCTGAGGTGGTGTTTTGCAGGTCTCTGTCTGGTGCAATTCCCCAGAGCAGAGTTGAGCCTATCAGGAAGTGTGTGGTCTTCAGAATGCCTTCCTGGTATAAGAAGAAAGTTGCAGAAATGAATTCACTGTGGATACCAGAGTCCCTTGTTGGGGAGGGGAATGTGTAGTGTGTACCTAGATGCAAGAGATAAGGATAACACACACTGGATTTTATACAAATGATCTAAGTATTTGAACATCATTAACTCTTTCAAGAAATGCCAAGTAAGAAAAAGCCTTGACATTACTGTGTAGGCCAACATGTACAATGACCAACTTTCTAAAATAAATGAGAATCCTTTCTCTGGGGAGCCTAGGTTGGAGCTCTGAATTTTGTCTGTATTGTGAAGGTAATTCAGGACAGGGAGGAGGAGGGGACACAAAACAAGGGAGAGATTGGGAGTTAGGGGCTCAGCTGACTCAATGTGGAGTGGCCATGTCAATGACCTGAGGTCATGTCTGTGATTGCACAGGCTCCTGAGCAGGTGAGCAGCCAAGCCTCAGGACAGGCCTCCAGGAAGAGACCCAGATCATGACTTGCAGATCATTAACAACACCAGGGCATCTGTATATGCCATGGTAACCATTCTCTGAGACTGGCAAAAATGCCTGACATAGGGCTAAAAAGTGACTAAGGTGGCCAGTGCAGCCAGGGATTCACTACCCCAGAGTAATGTCCAACATATTTAGGCCACTGAAACTACCCAATAGTAAGTACTGCACATTGCTAAAAGCAGAATGCTTGGAGAGTGAAGTCTCGCACTAGAGAGATGATGGAGGAAAATCTAGGATAGCTATCAAATGATGGAGTAGGACAGAAAGAGAGCTGGGCAATACCAAGCCATTCACAACCTGCTCCATACAAGGGACTTGGTTGTGAACTTCTCAGCCCGTTGTCCTTTCACCCTCAGCTAGGGGTGAAGCAAGATGGAGATACTTCAAAAGACCATGAGGGAGGCCGGGCATGGTGGCTCACACCTGTAATCCCGCACTTTGGGAGGCCGAGGCAGGCCGATCACCTGAGGTCAGGAATTGGAGACCAGCCTGGTAAACCCTGTCTCTGCTAAAAATTCAAAAATTAGCCAGGCACGGTGGTGTGTGCCTGTAGTCCCAGCTACTAGGGAGGCTAAGGTAAGAGGATTGCTTGAACCCGGGAGGCAGAGGTTGCAGTGAGCTAAGATCATGCCACTGCACTCCAGCACTCCAGCTTGGGTGACAGAGTGAGACTCCATCTCAAAACAAAACAAAAACAAAAACACAAAGACCATGAGGGGAGTTTGGATCTTCACCTGAAGAGGGTGTGGCTAGAGAGAAGAGCTGGGCAAGCCAGCCACTGCTACCCCTGAACTAGATTGGCATCATCACTAGACCTGAAAGACCTGCTGAGGAGCAGGAGGAGCCAGCCTCGTCCAAGTGCCAGTTCAGGGACGTCTTGGGGGAGAAGCCGCAAGGCCTTCCCCATGGTAAGACCCATCTCTGGGTGTTGCGGGAGGCGAGTATAACCTCAGAGACATCCCTAGATACAAGCCTTTGTGGTGCAGAAAAAGGAAGGTGCTACATTTAAATAAAGAATTTCAGGGCTGGAAGTGATGGCTCATGCCTGTAATCCCAGAACTTTGGGAGGCCAGGGTAGGGATATTGCTTGAGCCCAGGAGTTCAGCCCACCCTGGGCAATATAGTGAGACCACATCTTTTCAATAAATAAATAAAAAAACAAAAGAATTTCAGCCCGAAGAGTCTGTTGAGTGACCGTAAAGTTTAGAAACCTGGGTAAATATAAAGAGTAAATGTTTATAGATATTATATTACATGATATACTTAATGTTTCCCCTCACTAGATTGCATAGCTCAAAGTGCTGTACAAAATAGCAATGAACACCACCTCAGTGCATCCATACGGCATTTCCATTCATCTCTACATGTGCATCCATGACATGTTGCCTTGCATGATTCGTGCCCCTTATTGTTAATGAATAAACCTCCACCTTTACTATGCCCAAGAAGAAGTCATCAAGGGTTCTCAGATCTGGGGAGTAAGCAGTTCTCTCCACATGGCCATGGCATCCAGCCCAGGTTTGGAAACAAGCATTCCACCAGTCAGTCCCTCACCACTCTAGCGGCAGTGTGGTGGTGCACCATCTTATTGGAATACTTGAGGTAAACTTTCTCTTGCCCTTCAAATACAGGCATTAATCGGTCACTTCACATGACCAAATATAGCAAATATTCACCCATGTTTCCAGGTTTTGTTCTTTTTCTTTCTTTCTTTTTTTTTTAATAATAAGCCTGGGAAACATAGTGAGACCCATCTCTGCAAAATATTTAAAAAATTATCTAGGCATAGTGGTTCACACCTGTGGTCCCAGCTACTTGGGAGACAGAGGTGAGGATTGCTTGAGCCCAGGAGGTTGAGACTGTAGTGAACCATAATCGTGCCACTTACACTGTAGCCTGGGTGACACAGCAAGACCTTGTCTCAAAAAAAAAAAATAATAATAATTTTTTTAAAAAAGACAGGGTCTCTCTCTGTCACCCAGGCTGCTCTCAAGTGATCTGTCTCAGCCTCCCAAAGTGCTGGGATTACAGGTGTGAGCCACCGTGTCTGGCCTGTTTCCAGGCTTTGCGGCCACTCTTACAGGTTGAATTGTGTCTCCCAAAAAGACATATTGAAGTCCTAACTCCTGGTACCTGTGAATGTGACCTTATTGAGAAATACAGTCTGTGCAAATGTAATCAAGTTAAGATGAGGTCATGAGAGTGGGCCCAAATCCAACTGGACTTGGTGTCCTTAGAAAAGGGGGACATTTGGACCCAGACACACAGAGAGAATGCTGTGACAACTGAGGCAGAGATTGGAGTGATGCAGCTGCAAGCCAAGGAATGCCAAAACTGCTGCCACCACCACAAGCTAGGAAGAGGGAAGGGAGGATTTTCCCCTATATGTTGGCCCTGCCAAAACACTGATTTCGAACTTCTAGTCTCCATAACTACAAGACAGTAAGTTTCTGTTGTTTTAAGCCACCCAGTTTGTGGTACCTGTTATAGCAGCCCTAGGCAACTAACACAGACACTCTAAGTGCTATTCTAAGTAATTGAGCTCTTTGGCTTTTTTTTTTTTTCCTTTTAGAGTATTTTCACTGTCTATTGTGCAAATCATTATGTTTTCTTATGTCATTTTTTTAAGAGTAATAATAAGAAACATGAATTAAAGTCACCTTGAAGTTAATGCCTAAATTGGAGCTCTCTTCTTTGTATGCCAGAATGGATGGTGGTCCGATGCTGGGTAACGTTCTTAGAGAAGGCTCGAACAGTGTTATGAAGTCTTCCTTAAACTAAATTTAAAAAGAGAAAGGGGTGGTGAGGGGAAATAATTGAAGATTTGATAAGCCATTTTTACTATGAGAACAGTGTACTAGTTAGTATGATAAACATTTCTTACCTCCAGCTCATATAAAATATTTAGTTTCGACTCTTCTGGATTAATTACCCATTTTTCTGGAGAGAAAGAATAGATTCATAAGAAATGTTTAAAGCCTTTGTGCAGTGCATTCCACTTCTGTAATTTGGAGATTCACACCCACCATCATCCTCCTTGCCCAGCACGCACACACTGTTCAGATGCCCTGATCCCTGACGTTTTCGCCACCTTCTCACACCTGTTCTTAGGTGAGTCCTTTTTCAAAGCAGATGGGCTCTGTGCGAGTTAAGGTGATTCCCTTCTGGTAGTTTACCTTTGCCAGCAAAAGGAGATGATGCCAAACATGTATTTACCTCTTAACTTAGATGCCAGACATTCAGGTTCAGCTTTCTCTTTAGAGGCTTTCTTCCCTGTGAAAACAGGGTACATGTGTCATCAATCTGACAAAGTAGAAAAGAAGCTGAATATAAAAGAAAATACATCTCTCAGAAAAATAACTACCCTTACTATGTTTCTTTTATCTTTTAATCTTTTGTCTCTTTTTCCAAATAACATTTTGCCGACAATAAGGAATAAACAAAGGAAAGTTAGCATTCTATATATCACATTTTAAAATGTTTCCCCTTCCTTTCTAGTCCTAGAATACAGTAGTCCCCCTTGATCTGCAGGGGATATATTCCAAAATCCTGAGTGGATGCCTGAAACTGCAGGTATACCAAACCCTACTATGCACAAATTTCTTTTTCCTTCACAATTTTACAGATAGAAGGTTCATTCTTAGCATGTATCTTAGCAACCTCAGCATACTATTTTTTTCTTTTTTAAATGAAGTCAATAACTTTTACCTTTTCACTTAAAGGATACACTTTATGGATGCTCTTTGGCATATCCAAATTGCCAACATCACTTCTCTTGAGCTCTGGGGCCATTATTAAGAAACTGAGGGCTAGGTGCAGTGGCTCACACCTGTATTCCCAGCACTTTGGGAGGCCAAGGCGGGTGGATCACTTGAGGTCAGGAGTTCCAGACCAGCCTAGCCAACATGGCAAAACCCTGTCTCTACTAAAAATACAAAAATTAGCCAGGTGTGCTGACAGGCACCTGTAGAACCTGGGAGGCAGAGGCTGCAGTGGGCCAAGATTGTGTCATTGTACTCCAACGTGGGCTACCAAGCAAATGTGTGTCTCAAAATAAATAAAAGAAATTAAGGGTTATTTGAACATAAGCACTGCAATACCACTACAGTCGATCTGATAATCACAACGCTGCTAAGTGAATCCAACGACAAAGAGATAATTCATGTCCCAGGCAGGACAGAGTGGGATAGTGAGAGATTTCGTCACTCAATCAGAATATCATGCAATTTACGACTTACGTGTTGATTATTTCAGAAATTTCCCACTAACATTTTCAGACTGCAGGCAGCTGAAACCACAGAAGATAAAACTGTAGATAAGAGGGGACTATTATGCTACACAGATCAATATTTTCCTTGGTTATAATCATGCTTTGCATACCCTTTTGTTTTCTGCTTCTTTTAAGTACCATCAATCTACTTTATGTCTGTTATTCTTCATGAGATTTTTCAGGTAGGAGGGTGCTGAGGGTTCTATTTCAAGACAGTGAAGTAAACCACCAGGATTATTCTATCTAGATTCCAGAGCAGCACTGGAAATGGGGAAGAAGCCATCCACAAATCAGCAACTTTGAGTAAATGTCTAGAAGCTTTAAAGCACATAGGATTGGAATGATGAAAAACCAATCAGAGCAACCTATAATGGGACAGAGGCAAAGGAAAGAGGCTATTAAAATGCAAGGGACTCATTTTCTTAGCAAAGCCAGGAGAGCAAGGGCTGCTGTTGGAGACAGATAGGCTTCAGAAGTTGATTTGGGCTGGGTGTGGTAGCTCATGCCTGTAATCCCAGAACTCTGGGAGGCCAAGGTGGGGAGATTACTTGAGTACATGAGTTTGAGAACAGCCTGAGCAAAATACTGAGACCTGGTCTCTATGAAAAACTTTAAAAAAAATTAGCTGGTTGTGGTGGTGCATGCCTGTGGTCCCAGTTAGTGGGGGCTAAGGTGGGAGGATTGCTGGAGCAGGAGGTTGAGGCTGTAGTGAGCTGAGATCACGCCACTGCACTGAAGCCTGGGTGACAGAGCAAGACCTTGTCTCAAAAAGTAAATAAACAAATAAATAAATTTTTTTAAAAAAGAAGTTGATCTATTTTGGGGAGGTTGGGGGGCAATGTGGATCATCTGAAAAAATTTTAAAGATGTTTTAGGCATCTTTCTCTATAGAAATGCCAGCACAGGTATGTAAAAAAATTAATGCACAAAGGTTTTTATTAATACATTATTTGTTATAGGGAAGAGCTCAAAAAAAGCAAAAAAGCAAAACAAGACAAGAACAACCCCGATATGTCTAGCATTACATAAGTCACAATAACTGTATATGACGAAATATTATGCAGTAACTTCAAAGAATTAGGTCAATCATTCCTGACATGGAGAGATGTCCGTGATACATTGCTGTCTTAGTTCATTTGGGCTGCTATAACAAAATGCCTTAAACTGGGTAGTTTATGGGAAAGGAAAATATATTGGGGCCCCAAAATCACTAAGTTGAAAGGAAAAGTCAACCTGGGAACTGCTTAGGGCAAACCTGCCTCCCATTCTATTCAATGTCACGCCTCTGCTCACTGAGATTAATGCATATCTGATTGCCTCCTTTGGAGAGGCTAATCAGAAACTCAAAAGAATGCAATCATTTGTCTCTTCTCTACCTACGACCTGGGAGCCCCCTCCCGGCTTTGAGTTGTCCCGCCTTTGAGTTGTCCCGCCTTTCCAGACGAAACCAATATCCATCTTACATATGTTGATTGATGTCTCATGTCTTCCTAAAATGTATAAAACCAAACTGTGCTCTGACCACCTTGGGCACATGTCACCAGGACCTCCTGAGGCTGTGTCACAGGTGCGCATCCTCAACCTTGGTAAAATAAACTTTCTAAATTAACCGAGGCCTGTCTCAGATTTTCGGGGTTCACATTTTAGTAACCACAGAGGAATTCTGAGTGGAGGTACCCCTGATATTTGACAAATCTTCTATCGGTGCTTGGTACTAGCTTGAGCTATCTGTATGGCTCAAACCAATAGGACAATTTGCTGAGGCTTGGAAGCACCCCCTCCAGAGAATCCCTGATCTCCTCAAATTTGGTCACGATCTAAACTTTATTTTGCTGTACAACTTCTCTTTTTTTGAAGTTTTACTTGCTTCCAACTCAAGGAAGTCATTTTTTTCCTGCTTCCATGACAATAGAAGGCAGGTAACTATTTTATATAACATATATTTTGTATCTTTACATAACAAGGCCACCTTTTTGCTAGCCAGGCCAAACTGAAACAGTGGTTGTTGCCTCATGCTGCCGTTCCATAGCTAAGGTTTTGCCTTCTTTTTTCCACCACAACAGCCTGGGTTTTGTTCCTAAATCAAGCCCTTTCTGGTTTGATACTTGGTACTTCTGAAATAGCAGCAATTTTTTCTAGCTGAAATATGCTAATGAGATTTTAAAAGATTTTTTTAAAAGAAGCTCAATGGTTAAAATTAGCTTAATTAAAAGCTAACATCCAAGATGTGTGTGTGTGTATGTGTGCATGTGTGTGTTTGTATTTAAAAGGCCTTCATGTTATCTTTTTTCCTCCTAGAATCTTGTCCCTTTTTTTGAGCAAAAGTTTTTTTCTTCTCAGTTGACTGAATTCTGTTTTCTTCATTTACTTCTGCTGTCTCTCCTTTCTCTTGTACCCTCTGCTGCATGAGGAGCCTAAAATAGTTTATAATAGCCTGGGGTTCCTTAAAGAAAACAGAGAAGGTACCAGAGTCCCTTTGCGGGAGAACGCTGTTTTTCCTTATGGGAACTCCAAGAGTGTAAACAGACAAGTTCAGCTCAGCTTTTAAACTGCTTTCCTCGGTATTGTGTTACCTGATTTATTAACTGATATAGTTACTGCAACAGAGGTTACTCTTGGGTTTTTTAAGACAGGTGTAGTTTAGGCACTTATAAATGTCTTTGTTTAAAAAAAATTTTTTTTTACATGCACTGTAAAAATATGATGTGGTCTAGCCTCATAATAATTCTCCCTCTTTGGAAACCTAGGATTCGGCATGGGCTTTGCCCAGAGCTCAGCGATCCAGTTAAAAGATAGGTAGTCCCTGTCTAAATGAAACTGGTCTCC
This sequence comes from Homo sapiens, assembly GCF_000001405.40. Classification (NCBI taxonomy): domain Eukaryota; kingdom Metazoa; phylum Chordata; class Mammalia; order Primates; family Hominidae; genus Homo; species Homo sapiens. Next base: position 150,690,178 of record NC_000003.12, read on the forward strand.
TTATACAAAACTATGAAAGATTTTTATAATTTTATGTTTGATTTGGCATCCATCTTTAATCTCCCTCTAGCACACCAGACTTTTTCTCTCCACACGTTATGATATACATTTTGCTATTTGATTTTCACCTGAGTTGTTTCCTTTAATATGCAAATTTAAGTCTATTTAGCTGAAAACTGCCTAGCGTTGTGAAACAGGTTATCAAGAATCTGAATGTCTAAGATAGGGAAAAAAAAAAAGGTTTTCATTAATCTATAAGATGTACTTCTATTGGCATGCCTAATATATCTATGTATTTGCATGTTTTGTACACACTGTTTCATTACTGAAAAGATATAAAAGAACTCTAATTAATTGGCTTAAAGAAAAATAAAAACACTTTAATCAAATACTTTACCAGGAAAAAAGAAAAGACCAGTCAAGTGCTTTTTCAAGTTTATGTAACTTCAGTAAAATCTTTAATAAATAAACTAGCTTTTCAGTTATTGGTAAAGTAATATTAGAAATGTCTTAAGAATTGTCAGCATACATTTTTGTCTGCATTTATTAATCAAGCAATTTCATACTTATCCCTGCCAAATATGATAAGATGTCAAAATTTGACATAGGGGTTACAAAACTATAAACCCAGCCCAAGACAAAATGATCTTTGCTTGTATAATCTTTAATAGGTAAGACATTGATATTGATTTAATAAAAAATAGCTACATCTTAAATTTAGTAAGATTACCATAACTTCTAATCTTGTGGCTTTAGGCAGTCTGGTCCACAGGCAGTGAGGTTTGTTTTGGGAAAGGACCATTATCATCTTTGTTTCAAAGCTAAACTCTAAACTAATTTCCTCCCAAAGCTAGTTCAGCGTATGCCCAGGAATGAACAAGGACAGCTTGGAGGTTAAAAGCAAGATGGAATCAGTTGGGTCAAATCTTTTTCACTGTCTCAGTTATAATTTTGCAATGGCAGTTCCATAACTTTAAATGATGACTATCACAGTTTTCATAAATAATCCAGGTAAACAATTAAAATAATTAGGTAAATGTAATGGGATACATACTTGTAGATGAACTCATTATAATTTAGAATCTAAAGTTAAATTATAGATATTTCATTATTTGGGTATTTTGCATTAAAAATATATTTGTAGGAAAACATTCTTAAAAGAAAAGGGTGTCCTTTTAAAAAAGGTGAATAATTTTTGTCTAATTCAAAGATCATGTATTAAACGAGGTAAAAGGAACCAGGAAATAAGAGAGATGTAAAGAAAGTTACAAAAATAAAGAGGTTTATTTGTTTTTTGTAAGAAAGCTTAAAGAGAAATAATTTCAATGAGAAAGAAAGAATCTTGTATGGTAAATTTAGTCCTAGAGTAGAATGACTGGTTGTTTAAGAGAAAGGGATGTTCAGGACAAACCAGAAAGTCCAATCATGTCATGAATGGTCTGTGTAAGTCACAATAAGAGGATTTCTTTAAAAAAACTTATATAATCAAGTTGCCATATTATTATTAAGTTTTGGTTTGCTTAGGAAAAAAAGCTGAGATTATTTTTTTTTAAATTAAGGTTATTACATCTGTGTATCCTTCTGTATGCACTTTTAAAGTACTTGTGAGATTGAGTTACAGAGCTTTGACTATTGGGTCTAAAAAGGACACCAAGTCCGGCTGAATTTTAAACACTGACAGCAATTAAGGCCCCATCTTCAGGCCTGGTAGAAGATGTCAATCAAAATAAACTGCATTCCCGAGACACAGGGCCAGAAATTAAAACTATTCCACTCCTCAAGGCCCAGGGACTATCATGGAACAGATGGGCCTGTGAGATTGTAAGAGCCAATTTTGAGGGATAAAAAAAGTTCAGTTTCTCTTTAATCATCAATGTCAAAAGCACACTGATATAAGACTAGCATATAGGCGCTTGTGTCAGTTTAACAAGGTTTTCATGAAGCATTAACCAACTCCTTAATAAAGGTGATAAAGGTTATAAAAAGCTTATGGAAGTTATATCTTATCTTATATCAAGATTAAAATTTTATAGATTGTTTATAAAATTTTGAAAAACAAATTTAATTGGCTTCATGCTGTATTTATTAGGGCTTATAATTTGGGAAATTAAGTCTCCTCTCTCAAAGAATGAAGGTTTTTGCTCTTTTTTTGAAATCCTTGAGTTATCACTTTGGTTAAATGAAATGACTTATTTTACAATAACCTGTGATCCTATTTCATGATATCAAGTGTTTTAAACCTTTGATAATGGTCAAACTTTCCAAATCAAATTATAAATTATGTCTTTTCCTGATCTAATTAATCCTTTAAGATATTAGGTTCCTTAAAGTACAAAAATGACATATTTGGCTTATTTGGTATAAAAATTATACAGGAAGCACTGTCAAATATAAAATGATGTTTGGTTTTCTTTGGCCTGTATTTGTATAAATATGTTATTAGTATGTGTTCTAAAATTATGGGAAACTCCTATAATTTTGATATGAGTTAATGTACATTATCAGTAATAATTATAATTATGTTAAATTATTGTGTACCACAGAGGTAACAAATTTTCTTGTCAATTGTGTCTTTGACTATGGCTGCCCTAAAACTTTTTGTCGTCCCCAGACAATTGTTATCTTGTTTTGGTGCACTTTAGAAGGTGGATTTATAATCAGTTATAAAACTCTTAACAGGTGTTCTCAAATGCAGGTTTCTGATAACTTCAGAGACTATGACATCAGAATAGAGGAAAAGCTTTCAGGACTCATGGAGAGCTGAAATATTCAAGAATATCAAGCAGAACAGGAATTAACTGCATAGACTAAACTAATAGAAGTCTGAAGCAATGTTTTTAACTTTTTGCTTAAAACGTTGCTGATCCTTTGTTTTGTTTTTCAGACTCAAGAAAACTTTTAAGCTATTTACAGCTTTTAACAATTGAGTAAAGTGTACTCCTAAGAACAAAATTTGGAGTGTATTTGTTTTCTCTCTACCTGATTTCTCCAGAATTTAGAAACTATTTGTGAGTATTCTTAACTTATAGCAATACAGTTATTTGTATAAGTGCAATAAGAATCTGTTTTCATTCATGACAGAACACAATTGGAGAAAATGGTTATTTTATCAAGGCTTTGACTGGAATGGTGTGCTTTCCTTAAGGAATCAAATCTGACTTATGGATCCAATAAAAGCCCTTTGGGAAAACTGGCCTCATACTTGTCCATACAGTCCCTGTACAGGGTTCCTGACCTGTGGTAAGTAAAGAATGTCACTTTCTGACAGGCCTAGGAGCCCCAACTTTTATCTTGGAACTTCAAGAGGAGAGAGGATCACCCAACTCATAGGTATTTGATGGTACAAATCAATGGCTGGGCTCAACTTTAAAAAAGTCTTATCTGAGATTCTTTCTATAGAACAAAATTCCATCAAAGCCAATTTAAAAGCCTATGTAAAAATAATTACTTTTTTTTTACTGCACTGTATACAAATGATTAGGCCAAGTATAATAAAGCAAACCAGTCCTACCACAATTTGTCTTTAGTAAAAATGGGAAACTGGAGAGAGAAAAATTATGTTTCAAAACCTATAGTATACTTGTTGTTAGATTCTTGTCTTGACTAATGTTTTTCAATTTTTATTATTTTCTACAGTTTGGACTGAATTCTAATTTTTCTTGGTTACAAATCTTCAAAATAATGTTTTCAATTTTTTTTCCTTCTTTCTTCCCCCATTTTCCCCAATTTGGAGTCACTGAAAACTAAGCTGTGCTTTTGTAAAGCCCTGCAAACTGAAGCTAGAAAACTTAAACTTCAGAAGAAAATAACAACAACCTATTTACATACATAAGCCACTTTCATACCTGCCTAGTGATGTATGGACTTCAGAGTAATGTGGCCTATAGCAGTTTTCCAGGATTGTTCTTCTGTTTGCTGTTGTTTTTCTCCCTTCCTCCTCCTATTTTTTCTTCATAGGACATGAGACTTCACAAACTGCTAAAACCATTTTAGCCATGAAAGATCAGAAACAACCTGAGACCAGACTCATTATTTTCTAAAATGCTTTCTCTGAAAAATTTTATCTTTAAAATTTTATTTATTATTATTATTTGGTGTGTTTCAGAAAGATGAAACATCTTTAAAAGAAAAGGGAGAAGAAATGTGAATGAAAAATAAAAACTCAGGAACACAATTCACCATGCCACAAGGAAAAAATAAAGCTAAAATCTGAGTCATGCAAGAAACCACTTTTCCTTTTGTTCCTAAGCAGACAGCTACAGATAAAAGGTTAAATATCTCCATGGGTAGGTACTCTATGTTCGTTTTATCTTATTTAAAGTGCTGATTTACTGAGGGCCAGATGAATACAGAATTGACTATTCCCCTACCTGCTCGTTTTCTCCTGCAACACGTGGATTACCACTTCGTTCCTCCTTTCCTTCTGACCTGCTTTTCCCCTTTAAATACTGAAGCCCTCAAAATCATCTTTGGAGGAAGGCAAAGACCATTTCAGTGACTCTGTCTTACTTCTCTTCTGGGCATGTGCTTAACCATGGCAAAACAATTTTCTAAATTGATTGAAACCTGTCTCAGATACTTTTTGGTTTATCATCCCCACATCTTGGTACCAATTTTCTGTCTTAGGTTGTTTGGGTTGCTATAACAAATTATCATAAACTGAGTACCTTATATAAACAACAGAAATCTATGTGCACAGTTCTGGAAGCTGAGAAGTCCAAGATCAAGGTGCCGGTAGATTTGGTGTCTGGTAAGTGCCCATTTCCTGGTTCATAGATGGTGCCTTCTAGCTGTGTCCTCACATGGTAGAAGGAATGAACTAGCTTTCTGGGCCCTCTTTTACAAGGGCACTAATCCCATTCATGACAGCTGCATCCTCATGACCTAATTATCTCCAAAAGGCTCCATTTCTTAATACTATCACATTAGTGATCAGATTTCAATATGTGAACTTTGGGGGAACACAAATATTTAGACCATAACAACTGCTAAGTAAAAACAATAGAGAATAGATAAAACTGCCACTATTCACACGAAATGTAATTGTCCACTAGACCCTCAACTGACAAACTACTATGATGAATAAGGAAGTACGGCAAGGGGGTCAGATACAAGATTGATACATAGAAATCAATAGTTTTCCTACTGATTGACAATAACCAATTAGAAAATACAATAGAAAAAAAGATTCTCGCCGGCTGTAGTGGCTCACGCCTGGAATCCCAGGACTTTGGGAGGCCGAGGCGGGCAGATCATGAGGTCAGGAAAGGTCAGGAGACTGAGACCATCCTGGCCAACGTGGTGAAACCCCATCTCTACTAAAAAAAAAAAAATACAAAAATTAGCTGGGCATGGTGGCTCATGCCTGTAATCCCAGCTACTCGGGAAGCTGAGGCAAGAGAATCGCTTGAACCTGGGAGGCGGAGGTTACAGTGGGCCGAGATCGCGCCACTCCACTCCAGCCTGGCGACAGAGCGAGACTTCGTCTCAAAAAGAGAAAGAAAAAAAGACCCCAATGGTTGGCTACATCAATGAAAGACTATAAAACACCTAGCATAGACTAATAAGAACTTTATGAGGCTCATATATATAGTATATACTATATATATATATATGAAGATCAGAAACAAAATGGAGAGGTACACTAGGTTCCTGAAAAACAAGACTTAATATTAAAAGATTTAATATTAAAAAGGTATCAATTATTCACAAATTAATCTACATAGTCAATGTAGTTTTGGTGGGAGTTTTCAATGGAATTTTGATTCTAAAATACTTTTGGAAGAACAAGTGCCCAAGAATAACTGGGAATAATATTTTGAAAAAGAATAAGGAGGGGAGAAATTCATTTATCATATATTAAATATGTAAAACCATAGAAATTAAGATAGTGTGATATTGGTATAGGAAAATACCAATAGTTCAGTGGAACAGAATATTCACATGTGTGTATGTACACACATGAAATATATACACAATATATATTTGATAATTTAGTATAGGATAAAGACACCATTTCAAAGCAGAGTGGAAAGGTTGGACTGGTTAAGGAGTAGTATAGAGACAAAATTTGGGGGAAAAGGATGGTTATTTTCTTAAGCCATTCACAAAAATAAAGTCCATATTGATTTAGGTGCTAAAGATAAATAGTAAAATTCTAGAAGTTTTAGAAGAAAATGTAGGAAAATATACATATATTATTGAATTAGGGAAATACTTTTTAAACCACAAAATGTGAGAATCACAAGGAAAAGATTTACTTACATCAAATTTAAAATTATATTTAACAAAAATGACCACAAGCAAATGTAAAAGACAAACTGGGAGGAGCAATCTGCAACATATACAACATTCAAAGAAGTATTACAGATATGTAAAAAGCTGCCAAAAAATAAACATCAAGAAAGAAAAGACAACTCAATGGAAAAATGGGAAAAAGATATGAACACTGTTTGCTGAATTCAAAGAAGATAATCGAGTGACCAAAAAAACATATTATTGGTATCAAGTTGCTCAACCTCGGCAATAATCTTAATAATTAAGAAATAAAATAATAATCATTTCCACCTAACAGACTGTCAAAAATTTAAAAGAATGACAATATCAAATATAGGAAAGAGTAGGAAAAGGGTGGTCTCAACAACCCTTTTGATGGACGCATACTTTGGGTCAGCTCTTTAGGAAGGTGATGATTAAAATGTGTAACTTTTCACTCAACAATACCACTTTCTTGGCATTTGTCTTACAGCAATACTCGGTGTGTACACAAAGAGGAGGCGGCTTACTGTAACACTGTGGAAATAAATATCTAGGAACAATTTTATGCATCAGTTGGGGAATCTTTAAATAAATAATTGTACATCTGTACTATGTGCTATTATGCAACAATTACAAAGAATTTTTACCTGTATTTACTGGTAAAAATTTTCAAGGCCTATTAAGCGAAAAAGCAAGTGGAACAACAGATTCGGTGTGATACCATTCATGTAAATAACAACAGCAAACAAAAGGGGCCACACTACTACACTTTTATATGGATACAAAAGCTTAGGAAAAGATTTGGAAAGATACAAACCAACATGATAATAGTGGTGACATCTGAAATTGAGGGTAATAGTCAAAAGAAACTATTGTTTGATTTGTATCTTTTGACCTTAAAAAATAAGACTGTTGATGTTTTAGTTACACCACTGTACCATTAAAAGCTTAGCAATAAAATGGGACTGTGGAGTATGATTCCATTTCTATTCTACACTTATTTCACTCTCCTTTGAGCCCACTCCAATATGGCTTTTATCCCCAGAGTTACACTGAAGCTGGTCCTATCCACATCACCAATGACTTCCACATGCTAGATCTAGTAGTCAGTTCTCAGTCCTCATCTTCCTAACCTCTGAGTATCATTTGAGCCTGTTGATCATTCCTGCCTCCTTGAAACTTTATTGGTATCTAGGACACTTCCTGGTTTTTCTTCTACATCACTGGATGCTTTTCCTTAGTTTCTTCCTCATGTCCCCAACTTAACAATGGAGTTCTGCAGGGCTCAATCTCTGGGCTCTTGCCCTCATATTTTCTCAGCAGCCAGCAGTCATTAAAAATACCAGTTGGATTATATCACTTCTCTGCACAAATTCTCCAGCAACTTCCCACCTCACTCCCAGTGAGAAAGATCTGGTCCTCAGATCTCTGTGATCTCATCCCCTAAGATTCTCCTCCCTGCTTACTCCACTGCAGCCACACTGGCCTCTTGTTCTAGAAGGAGGCACTTGCTGTTCCCTTGCCTGGAACACCTTTCCTGTGAGATTGTCCTGGCTCATTCTCTCACCTCCTGTAGGTCTTTTCTCAAATACCTCAGATTCTCAGGAAAGATTTCTCTGGGCACCCTGTGTAAACTTGCACCCTACCTCCAACCCCCGACACTTTCCAACCCCTTCCCTGCTTTACTTTTCTTCTTAGCACTTACATCATCTAATGTTTTATATATTAACTGATTTATTCTCTATATTGTTGCCATCACCTTCACTTCCCACACTTTAATATCACTGAGACAGGGGATTTGCTTGTTTTTTTCACTGCTGATACCCTATTATAGGCTAGACCTATGATAGGTGTTTGGCAAATGTTAGGTGCTTGGCAAATGGTAGGTGCTCAGTAAGCAGTCGATGAATAAATGACATAAAATAAAATGTGAATATAAAAGCTGAAGGGAAATATACTGGAAAAGTTAAAGTTTTAATTATTACATTATCCACTTCTTAGTGGTTTGACATTTAAAAAGTGTGCATATGTTACTTGTATAATAAAAAAATAAAGATATGTATCAAAAATATAATGGCAGATTATTTCTTGATGTGAACATAATTGCTACCATTTATTGAATACTGAAAATATTTAATCTTATTTTGATCTTCATAAGAATCCTGTGACAATATGACTATTTCCAAGAGATGAAGAAAGTAAGACTCAAAGAGGGTAAGCAACTTGCCCAACATCACAAGGTTAGTATGTGTTGGGGCTGGGATTCAAATCTAGCTGTACTGGCCTTCTACACCTGTGATATTTCCAACATGCAATCCCTCCTCCCAGGAAAAGCTAAGAAATCAAACTACTCACTCGATTGCACTTTATCAGACAAATCTTGGAGCCAACTTTCTTCTGTTTGTACTGATACTGGAATTCCTGGAGACAAATTGCGATGAATATTTCTGAAATTTCGACAAAAATGTTTTGAGTATACCTATATAGTTGTTAGCAGGTCTTCTAAACATCGAACATTTAATAATCAATTAATTAATGCACGTAGAAAATATTTTGTTTTCTTTGAAATATTTTCTTCCATTTTTATCTTTTCAGTAAAGTTAACTCAGTGTGTTTGCATCAAATCTTTTTTTGGGGGGATAAGCTGGGAGGATACCTTGAGCCCAGGAGTTCAAGACCAGCCTAGGCAGCATGGTGAGACCCTATCTCTATAAAACATAAAAAAATTAGCCAGATGTTCTGTTCCATGCCTGTAGCCCCAGCTACTTGGGAGGCTGAAGCAGGAGGATGGCTTGAGCCCAGGAAGTGGAGGCTGCAGTGAGCCGTGATTGTGCCACTGCACTCCAGCTTGGGAGACAGAGCAAGGCTCTATCTCAAAAACAAACAAACAAACAAATAAACCATGACCATACACTGAAGTGTCCTTGCCCTAACTCTAGTAATAGTAGGATTTCCCAGCTTCACTCCTCCCTGCCTAGACACTCCACAGGAAATGACTCTAACATGCCCCACCCATCTGCACAGGGATCATAGCAGACTCTCCTATGCAAGCTCTGTCAGAAAACAGAACTACTAAAGCTAGGGAAGGATTCCTTTCTAGCTATTTATCAGCCATTCATTTATAAATAAAAATGGGCAACGAAGGATTACCACTTAAGAAAAATCAATAGCATTGAAGAGAAAAAGCAAGAGAAATAAACAGAACAATTGACTTTGAAAGGAAAAATAATACGAAGAACAAAGGAGAACTTTAATATATTAGAACAAAGCCCTCAAAGAGATAAAAACAAAAAAAAAAAACACAAAAAACAAACCAAATAATTTTGAACAGCAACAATCAGAGAACAAGCACTGGTTCTTCGAAATTTCAAATATGAATCCTCCAATAAAAAAATTCTGTACAAGGGCTGTATAGTAGCATGTAAACAAACATCAAAAATCCTGAAGATACTGAAAATACAAAGGAAATGTTATTAAAGATGGAGAATCTACCTAAGAGGTCCAACAGCATCTAGGAGGAGTTCTGAAGAAAAGAAGAAAAGGGGAGGAAGTAATTATATATCAGAATGGTCTGAGGATAAGACTGGTGAGGCAGTATTGGCTACTAGGAGGCAAAGAAGCAATGTCTTCAGATCTCTGAGGGAAATTTTTTTTTTTGAGATGGAGTCCCGCTCTGTTGCCCAGGCTGGAGTGCAGTGGTGCGATCTTGGCTCACTGCAAGCACTTCCTCCAAGGTTCACACCATTCTCCTGCCTCAGCCTCCAGAGTAGCTGGGACTATAGGCGTCCGCCACCATGCCCGGCTAATTTTTTTTTTTTTTTTTTTTTTTTTGTATTTTTAGTAGAGACGAGGTTTCACCATGTGAAATGGTTTTAAATCTCTTCTTTTTGGCAGGTTTTTATTTATTTTTTTATTAACAAGTCAAGTACAAGGGCAAAATGAAGAAATTTCAAAGCAGGCAAGAACTCAGAAATTTGACTATCCGTGAGACCTATATAAAAAATTCACCTGAGGAGTTTCTCCAGCAAAAGGAAAAGCAACAAAAGAAAGAAGACAATATGGGAACCAATAAAGTGTGGCTGGTGAGCCAACCCAGAAAAACTGTAGACAGAACAACAGAGAGTCAAAAAGTTTATTTTATTATTATTATTTTTTATTTATTTTTTGAGATGAAGTCTCACTCTATTGCCCAAGCTGGAGTGCAGTGGTATGATCTCGGCTCACTGCAACCTCCACCTCCTGGGTTCAAGCGATTCTCCTGCCTCAGCCTCCCAAGTAGCTGGGAATACAGGCACACGCCACCATGCCCGGCTAATTTTTGTATTTTTAGTAGAGACAGGGCTTCACTATGTTGGCCAGGCTGGTCTTGAACTCCTGACCTCGTGATCTGCCCACCTCAGCCTCCCAAAGTGCTGGGATTACAGGTGTGAGCCACTGCATCTGGCAAAAACTTTACTTTTTAAGAGACAAGTTTTATAGACATAGGATTATATTTTCTTGTCCATAGATTCAATCATATTACTGGTTTGTCAACATAGAAGTGTTAGTATTGTTTGTTGGTTTTCAATTTTTAGAAACAACCCCAGAGCACTTTAATTATAATTAACAAACCATAATACAAGCATAATAAAGCTTGGAAAAGTAATATAACTTTATGTAAATATACACTGCATTTTAATATAATTTATCATTTCATATAGTTTGTTGTTAATTGGGAAAAAAGAGGAGAGAAGAAAGATGGAAGGAGGAAGTGCATTAACATGTTAATTTTTCATTATAGTCAATAGATACTAAAATTGATGAATCAAGAAGTAGAGGTTTAAATACCTCGAAGTCCTAAATGTTAGAAAAACTAAAAATAATATAACTACCAAAGTGGAGAGGTGGGAATTCAATACACATGTCAGAAATTGATAAACCAAGAAATGAAAATGTCATTTTAAATAATGGAAACAAAACTGAAGGTGAGTGGGAGTGGGGGTGAAGAAGGGCATGAGATTTTCATTTTTATACCTTTGTGTAGTTTGATTTTTTTAACCACATGTATACATTATCTTTATTACAAATTGAATTAAAAGGATAACTAAAAACATGTAAGTGAGACAGAACAATTCTCCTTAGACTTAAGAATTCAAAAGTTGCTTACAAAAGCAAAGTTAGGGTAACTAATAATTCAAGATCATTGACTCAGGTTTGGTGTGAGATTTCAGGGAATATTTACAAAGATGTTCCAGAAGGCATTTCACTGGTATCTTCTTACTATAGTTAAAGTGCCTGAAGGCTAATAGCAATAACAAGAAAAAGAAGAGAGAGAGAGGAAAAAGGAAAAGCTATTATTTCCACTCTCTTCCACAAAAGGCGTCCCTGGTCACTCTTGCATTTAGCCAATAAAAGCTATATTCAAAATTCTCAAGCACTTACAATTGCACACATGGCATATATAGTTATTCTTTCATGTTACATTGATAAGTGGACATGTAATCTCTAGAGCTAGGTAATAAGCTGGGGATAAGTGGGAACCTTTATCTCTTTCAAAGTGTCTACCAGTGTATATTTAAAAAAAACTTTTTAAAATAAGTAAGTCACAAATGCCCTGGATTATTTTACTCTACTTCCTAACATGTTTATCCAAAAGGTAAACATTATTGGGTTCAAAAAATGTGAAATTTGAAAACATTTTCTTACCTATCTATACTCATTTCAGACATGTCTTTCCTAAATGTCTGAAATATTTTAGGGAAACCTGTTGAATGAAACATTTAAAAATCAGCTATTCCCTCTAAATCAAAAGGTCAATTCTACCCCCCCCAGGAACACATGGCAATGTCTGGAGACTTTTTTTTTTTTTTTTTTTTTTTTGAGACGGAGTCTCGCTCTGTCGCCTAGGCTGGAGTGCAATGGCGCGATCTTGGCTCACTGCAAGCTCCACCTCCCGGGTTCACGCTATTCTCCTGCCTCAGCCTCCCAAGTAGCTGGGACTACAGGCGCACGCCGCCACGCCCGGCTAATTTTTTGTATTTTTAGTAGAGACGGGGTTTCACCATGTTAGCCAGAATGGTCTCGATCTCCCGACCTCGTGATCTGCCCGCCTAGGCCTCCCAAAGTGCTGGGATCACAGGCGTGAGCCACCGCGCCCGGCCTGGAGACATTTTTGATCATCGCAAGGATGTGTGCTTCTAGCACAGCCACGGGTAGAGGACAGGGATGCTGCCAAATATCCTGTAATTCACAGGACAGTCCCCAATCCTCCCCAACAAAGAATTATCCAGACCAAAATGTCAACACTAGAGCTTGAGAAGCCTACTCTAGAAGACTTCTCTGCTTCTTTTTTCAAGGAAGTGACTGGAGTGGCTTCAGCACAGGATGTTAAACACAAAAGAGAGTTGTTTTTTTTTTTTGCAGGACTGTTTCAGTAGTACAGCACCCTTAAGGCACTTCTCTGGAAATAATATGAGTGTGTGTGTGTGTGTGTGTGTGTGTCTGTGAGAGAGAGAGAGAGGGAGAGAGAAAGAGAGGGGGAGGGGAGAGGGAGGGGAGGAAGAGGGAGGGGAGGGGGAACAGAGAGAGAGAGAGAGAGAGATGTCACGGTGTGAATGCACGCAAAAATGTTATAAAAATGAGCACTCCCAGCAGCCTGGGCAACATAGTGAGACGCCAGATTAGCTGGGTGTGGTGGCGTGTGCCTGTAGTTCCAGTTACTCGAGAGGCTGCGGTGGGAGGCTTGAGCCCAGGAGGTCGAGGCTGCAGCCACTGCACTCCAGCCTGGGCGACAGAGCGAGACTCTTGTCTAAAAAAAAAAAAGCACTTCATACAGCCATGCCCAAGTTCAACTTTTATGGTGTTTCGCCTATATCCTAAATCGTGCCTCATCACAACAGCTCAGCCAAGGGTTCAGTGTCTCTGACAAGGGCGTGAGAGAGATTAGGTGTGTGGAATGGTGCATGCATTTAGAAATCAGGCACGACGCGCAGGTCGACGAAGGCACCACCCAGGAGTGGGTGGACCAGGTGCCCCCTGGAGACGAGAAACCCTCGAGGAAGGGGTGGGTCGGGGGCGGTACTTTTATGCGAGGAGGTGCTGGAGGGTGGGCTTGCGCTCGGCGTTTCAGTGCTGGTCGCGCTCTGGCTGGGCACGAACGTAGAGGTCAGGCTAGGGCTGACGATGCTGGCTAAGCGGGGGCGCACGTCTGGGAAGTCGTCGTCGTAGTCACCGATGTCCGTGACCTTCCAGAGGTACTCTTCGCTGAACGTCTCAGGGGCCTCCAACTCCTGCTCTTCCCCCACCAACTCCTCCTCCACCACCTCCTCCTCCTCCTCCTCCACCTCTTCCTCCTCCTCCTCCACCTCTTCCTCCTCCTCCTCCACCTCTTCCTCCTCCTCCTCCTCCTCTAACTCCTCCTCTGACTCCTTCTGGTCCTTCTTCCCCGGGTCTCCGAAGCCGCTAGGCGAGCGCAAGTGGGCCATGGCTGGCGGGAGGCGGGATTACAGCCAGCTCTTTGGCCGCGGCCCCGGTCGGCTCTCGCGAGCGCGAGCCTCTGTTGTGCGTTGGTCTCCCCGGGCAACTGCTTGCCCTGCGCCACCGAGCCTCCCGGATTTAAAGCGGCAGGAGCTGGTTAGCCGGATAGAATGTGGGTGCCGAGGGCCGGTGGGGGCCACCGCAGACTTCTTTCTGTCCCTGCTCTTCAGCGTCTCTGAAACCCCTGGCAGCCTGCGGAGAAACGATCTTTTCTTCGTCTCTCAGCTTATTTGGGGCCTTTTTTTTTTTTTTTAACTTGGGTGGAGGAAGTGGCTTCTAGCGACGGACACACACGGTGCCATTTGGTATTGCGGATGCTGGAGTCTGGTTATTGAGTAGACAGATGCTTGCTGGAACGTCCAGTGAAACTTTATTTACAAAATCAGGCGCCAGCCCTTGGGCCCTCGTTTGCGGATATTTTTAAAATAGCTTTAAATATTAATAAGCGTATTAAAATTGCCTTAAATGTTAGTTATCTTAAATATTGTTAGATTAATATTAATTAATCTTGATTGGCGACATTTTTAGCGTCCCATAAATTTTGCTCCTTGCTGTGATCTGGGTCCTGCTTCTTACTTGGCCCATCTATCCATCCTGGAGTAGAAAAGTCCTGAAGCATCTGGCCACCTAGGTACCACCTGCGTCCTTCTGGGACTTTGTATTTACTTACATTTTTGTAAAATATATACATTTTTTATTTTTGAGAGACAGGATGTCACTCTGTCACCCAGGCTGGAGTGCAGTGGCGGCATCATGGTTCACTTCAGCCCTGAACTCTTGGGCTCCAGTGATCCTCCCACCTCGGTCTCCCAAGTGGCAAGGACAACAAATGTGTGTCACCACGCCTGGCCAATTTTATATATTATATTATATTATATTATATTATATTATATTATATTATATTATATTATATTTATTTTGAGACGGAGTCTCGCTCTGTCACCCAGGCTGGAGTGCAGTGGCACCATATCGGCTCCCTGCAACCTCAGCCTCCTGGGTTCAAGCAATTCTCCTGCCTCAGCCTCCCGAGTAGCTGGGACTACAGGCACGTGCCACCACGCCTGGCTAATTTTTTGCATTTTCAGTAGAGATGGGGTTTCACCGTGTTAGCCAGGATGGTCTCGATCTCCTGACCTCGTGATCTGCCTGCCTCAGCCTCCCAAAGTGCTGGGATTACAGGCGTGAGCCACAGTGCCTGGCCTGTATTATATTTATTTTGAGACAGGGTCTTACCCTGTCGCTCAGGCTGGAGTGCAGTGGTGCTATCTCAGCTCACCGCAACCTCCTCCTCCCGGCTCAAGCTGATCCTCCCGCCTCAGCCTCCCGAGTATCTGGGACTACTTTTTGTAGAGATGGCGTCTTGCTATGTTGCCCAGGCTGGTCTCAAACTCTCGGTCTCAAGCTCCTGGGCTCAAGAGATCCTCCCATCTGGGCCTCCCAAAGTTCTTAGGATTACAGACGTGAGCTACTGTGCCTGGCTAGGGAATATTTTTGAAAGTAGAGTTCTTGCAGGCTAAAGGAGCAGGCAGCACAGATGAGAGGAGACATCTGAGTTGCTTTAAAAGGAAGGGCAAAATGTGGTGACCAGAGAGGAAAGTGAAAAGCTTTCCAGCAGGCTCACGGCAGGAAAGGAGGGTCAGGACAGGGAACTATGTGTACAGATATTGAGGTACAAATAAGGTAAGTGTAATTTAAAAAGAGAAAATAAGAAAAAGCTCATTTCTTTTCTGGACAATACTAACAGTTTGATGCTGGAAGCTATCTTAGAAGTTAGGAAATTCAACCAGGGTCCTCAGAGAGCAGACTGGAAGTCAGGATGTGGGGATGAGACACGGGGCTGGCAGACAGCAAGGGTGACAGTGCTTGTGCTTACTCCGCTTGTGCCTGCTGTAGCTCAGTTCTGTGACTGCCCTGGCATTTTCTCAATTGTGTGGTGAATTAATTTGTTTAAGTACTCCTTGTTTAGACCCTCTATTTAAGACCTTTTTTGAACATTTTATGGAATCTCCTTCCCTTGGATCTACTTACTACGGAAAGAACAGTCCCTTATTTTCTCATGAGTTGATGCCACTCTTGTTTTGGCCGTTCAGAGATAATATGATGCTGGGTCAGTTTATATTTTCCCCTTCTCCATTCCTGGTGTCTAGCTTGACTCAGGAACTTGAGATTTGAGAACCAGGCACCAGCCCTGACTAACTGTGACTTTGGGGTTACTGAGCCTCAGTTTCTTGGTGTGTTAAATGGAAATATCAGTACCTTTCCACTTAATTTATGGGGCTATTTTGAGATAAAATTTAATTATTGTTTATTTTCTTCTTCTTTTTTTTTTTTCCTAAGATGGCATCTCAATGTGTTACCCAGGCTGGTCTTGAACTCCTGGACTCAATCCTCCTACCTTGGCCTCCCAAAGTGCTGGGATTATAGGTGTGAGTCATCCTGTCTGGCCTATTTTCTGAGGACTGATTTTGTATTTTATTATTATTATTTTAGGACCACATAACTCTGTTTAGAAAATGTTTCTAATGTATTGAGTGCTTCAAAGGTATATTAGTTCGATTTCACACTGCTATAAGGAATTGCCTGAGGCTGAGTAATATATAAAATAAACAGGTTTAATTGACTCAGTTCCATATAACTGGGGAGGCCGCAGGAAACTTACAATCATGGCTGAAGGTGAAGGGGAAGCAAGGCACATCTTACTTGTTGGCAGGAGAGAGAGAGTGCAGGGGAAACTGCCACTTTTTCTTTTTTTTTTTTGGAGACAGAGTCTCACTCTGTTGCCCAGGCTGGAGTGCAGTGGCGCAATCTTGGCTCACTGCAAGCTTGGCCTCCCGGGTTCACGTCATTCTCCTGCCTCAGCATCCCGAGTAGCTGGGACTACAGGCGCCCGCCACTACGCCTGGCTAATTTTTTGTATTTTTAGTAGAGACGAGGTTTCACGTGTTAGTCAGGATGGTCTCGATCTTCTGCCCTCAGGTAATCCACCCGCCTTGGCCTCCCAAAGTGCTGGGATTACAGGTGTGAGCCACCATGCCCAGCCAGAAACTGCCACTTTTAAACCATCAGATCTCATTGAGAACTCCCTCACTATCACGAGAACCGCATGAGGGAAACCACCCCCATGATCTGATCACCTCCCACCAGGTCCTGCCCTCAACATGTGGGGATTACAATTCAAGATGAGATTTGGGTCAGGAAACAGAGCCAAACCATATCAAGAGGTAATGGATTTTTAAAAAATTTCCTATCTCAAGTATATAATGTTATGTAATTGTT
The DNA here is from genome assembly GCF_000001405.40 of Homo sapiens. Taxonomy (NCBI): domain Eukaryota; kingdom Metazoa; phylum Chordata; class Mammalia; order Primates; family Hominidae; genus Homo; species Homo sapiens. The sequence goes on from NC_000003.12 coordinate 150,707,227, forward strand.
CCCTATTGTCATCATTTGATATTTTGTTTGCCTTTCTTTAATTTTGTTTTTAATTGGCACATCATAATTGTACATATTCATGGGATACAGTGTGATGTTTCAATATGTGATACATTGTGTGAAAATCAAATCAGGATATTTAGCATATCCATCATCTCTTACATTTATCGTTTGTATTAGTTCCTTCTCACACTGCTAATAAAGACATACTTGAGGCTGGGTAACTTATAAAGGAAAAAGCTTTAATTAGGCCTCAGGAGACTTACAATCATGGCAGAAGGGAAAGCAAACACATTCTTCTTCACATGATGGCAGGAAGGAGAAGTGCCGAGCAAAAGTGGGGAAAGCCCCTTATAAAACCATCGGATCTCGTAAGAACTCACTCACTATCATAAGAACAGCAGCATGGGGGTAATTGCCCCCACGATTCAATTACCTTCTATGGGTTTCTCCCACGACACGGGATTATGGGAACTACAATTCAAGATGAGATTTGGGTGGGGACACAGCCAAACTATATAATCATTTCTTTGTGATGAGAACATTCAAAATTATCTCTTCTAGCTATTTTGAAATATGTAATATTGTTAACCATAGTCAGCCTAGTGTGCAGTAGAATACCAGACTTTATTCCTCCTATCTAACTGTAACTTTGTACTCGTTGACCAATTTCTCTTTATTTTCTCTCCATCCTCCCCTCCGCAGCCTCTGGTAACCACTGTTCTACTCAATACTTCTATGAGGTGAACTTCTTTGGATTCCACATATGATCAAGATCATGAGGTATTTGTCTTTCTATAGCCTGGCTTATTTCACATTACATAATATCCTCCAGGTTCATCCACATTGTTGTATATGACAGGATTTCATTCCTTTTTATGGCTGAATAGTATTCCATTGTATCTATACACGACTTTTTCTTTGTTTGAGACAGATTCTTGCTCTATTGTCTAGGCTAGAGTGCAGTGGTGCAATCATGGCTCACTGCAGCCTCAAACTCCTAGGTTCAAGCGATTCTTCCACCTCAGCCTCCCCAGTAGCTAAGACTACAGGTGTGCACTATCATGCCTGGCTAATTTTTAGTTTTCTGTAGAGACAGAGTCTTGCTATTTTGCACAGGCTGGTCTTGAACTCCTGGCCTCAAGTGAGTCTCCCACCTTGGCCTCCCAAAGTTCTGGCAATACAGCTGTGAGCCACCATACTCTGGCAGATTATTATCATTATTATTATTTAGCTTTTGAGTATTCTGAGTTCCTCATATATTCTGAATATGAACCCCTTGTCAGATGTATGATTTGCAAATATTTTCTCCTGTTCTGCAACTTGTCTCTTCACTCCGTTGATTGTTTCCTTTGCTGTGCGGAAGCTTTTTAGTTTGAAATAATTCTATTTGTCTATTTTTCTTTTTGTTTCTTGTGCTTTTGGGGTCTTATTTTAAAAATCCTTGCTCAGAACAATGTCATGAAGCATTTCCCTTGTGTTTTCTTCCACTAGTTTTATTGTTTCAGGTCTTACACTTAAGTCTTTAATCCATTTTGATTTGATTTTTATATATGGTAAAAGATAGGGATCTAGCTTTATTCTTCTGCATGTGGATATCCAGTTTCCAGCACTATGTATTGATGAGACTGTCTTTTCTCCATTGTGTGTTCTTGGAACCTTTGTCGAAAATCAGTTGGCTCTAAGTATGTGAATTTATTTTTGTGTTCTCCGTTCTGTCCCATTGGTCTGTGTGTCTGGTTTTTTGTCAGTATCATGTTGTTTTAGTTACTACAGCTTTGTAGTATATTTTGAAGTCAGGTAGTGTGATGCCTCCAGCTTTGTTCTTTTTGTTTCCTTTTCTGTTTTCCATTTTTCCTCAAAGACTGCCATGAATACCACCACTTTGAGAAAGGCAGGAAAGTGAATTTTTGTCCGGCTTAAACTTCTTATTTGCATATAGAATATTTTGAATGGGCTATAGATAGCTCCCTAGCACATCCATGAAGAAAGCACAGTATCTCTTCAGAATGCCTTAGTTAAGCATTGTTCTGATTCATGGTGGAAGAACAACTTTAAAGAACTGTAGCCTTGATGATGGCTAATTAAAAATGTTCCTAAAGCTGGGCGCGGTGGCTCACACCTGTAATCCTAGCACTTTGGGAGGCCAAGGTGGGAGAATCGTTTGAGCCCAGGAGGTTGAGGCTGCAGTGAGCTGTGATTGCACCCCTGCACTCCAGCCTGGGCAACAGAAAAAAAGAAAAGTGCCTGGTTGCATTAGCTATGAGGGGCATCTTTCTAAACATCATATTCTTTTCTCCCGACAAGCTCTTTTCAGAAGGTGATTTCTGAATGCCCATTTCTCTCTCTTAATTAGCAGTGACATCCACTTTATCCTTGCTCTTAATATTTTGTTATTGTTATTACTATTCATGTAGTCTTGTCTCCTTAAATACTTGGTTATTTTTTATCCTATGCCAGATGTTATTTGAAAAAAAAATGGTGGAAAAATTTGAGGTTCAGGATTAAGTTCCTCCGGAAAGAATTATATTTGCTTTAGGAAGGCACCTAGGAGGCTTCATAATCCAGGATCATCTTAATCCAATTTCAGTGATTACCATGATTCAAAACTAGACTGTGTCCCTACAAGGATATTCTATTTCTACTTAGCCTTTATGCTTAAAATATGCTTAAAATGCAGCCCTTCAGAACCCCAGTCTCAAGTGGGGAGTTACCAGCACCTCTCTTCCACCCTTGGTTGGCTTTGACTCTCATTTTTCCATTTTCTTAGCCAGTCAAGATCATCAGAAATCTTATTCAGACTCTCAGTTACCTGTTCTAGAATTGGCAAATGCTTCAGGGAAAAAGCAAGCCCAAAACACCTCTCTGGATTCTCCTCTTCTTTATTATCTTAGCCTAGTTATTTTAAAGTGCCTTGCTAGTTCTTCTGTGCCTTTATGAGTTTTCACCAAATACATTTGTCTGGCTTGTGTAGATGTCCTCAGTGGGAAAATTAGTCAGACTTACATAGCTCATCATTACTGGAAGTAGAAGTGGCAACTGTCTTTGATGGGGAAATATATAAAAGGTGATGCTGTGGTCTGAATGTGCCGCAGAGTTCATGTGTTGAAACTTAGTCATCAATGTGAGAGTATTAAGAGATGGAGGCCTTTAGGGAGTGATTCAGTCATGCGGGCAGAGCCCTCAGGAATGGGATTAATGACCTTACAAAAGGGCTTGAGAGAACTAGCATCTCTTTTACACATCTGCCATGTGAGGACACAGTGTTTGTCACCTCTGGACACAGCAACAAGGCACCATCTTGGTAGCAGAGAGACTGGGCCCTCATCAGGCACTAAACCTGCTGGCACCTTGGTCTTGGACTTCCCAGTCCTCAGAACTGTGTAACGTTTCCGTTGTTTATAAATTACCCAGTCTGTGGTATTTTGTTTTTGAAGCACAAATGGACTAAGACAGGTAGGTTTATGGGAATGAGTGCATGAAATCTCAACCTTAGGAAAGGATATAGGGTTGAAGTTCTAGGAAGGAACCTTCATCTTATAAAGAAGATGTCTTCTAAAGAAGGTATAGGCTAGATTGTTGTAACAAAGAAAAATACATTAGTTCCAACAAGATTGCAGTGCATTGATTTCTCTCCCATAGTAGTCCAGAAGAAGATAGTTTATGTTATTGGGGCAGCTCTGATCTACAAGCATCCAGGGACTTAGGTTTCATCTATCTTGTTGCACCACCATCCCCTAAGATGAGGTTCTCACCCTCACACTAAATACCATATCAATATTCCAGTTGGGAAGGAAAGAGGAAGAGGAGGGCAGCCAGATTTTTGCTGGCTTGCTTGTGTGTTTTTAAGAATATAATCTGGAAGTTGAATGCATCTCTTCCATTCACACATTCTTGGTCCAAACCAATTATTTGCATAGCCATAGCTAGAGGCCAGAGAGGATTGGACATGTCACTTCTTGCTGGGAAACTGTATGACTTGCTAAAAGTTGTGACAGCGTGTAGGGGTGGCCAGTGACTGTAATGGTAGGAAGAAGAGTAGAATAGACCCTGGGGAACAATTTGCAGTCTCCATCATGGACCCTGGTTAAGAGAGGTAGAGAATTATATCTAATTCCCACAATGGGCTAATGGGACAAGCCCAGCCCAGGAGAGACATCAATATGGCTTCATACATGAGGAGGGACACCTGATACTTCTGTGTGTTAAGGGAGGATGAATTCAAGTGGTGGCTGTCAAACTAGAGCATGCATCAGAATTATGTGGAAGGTTTATTAAAATACAGATTGCTGGCCAGGCGCAGTGGCTCACGCCTGTAATCCTAGCACTTTGGGAGGCCGAGGCAAGTGGATTGCCTGAGTTCAGAGTTTGCAACCAGCCTGGGCAATACAGTGAAACCCTGTATCTACTAAAATTAAAAAACAATTAGCTGGGCATGGCAGCATGCACTTGTAGTCCCAGCTACTTGGGAGGCTGAGGCAGAAGAATTACTTGAACTTGGGAGGCGGAGGTTGCACTGAGCTGAGATTGCGCCACTGCATTGCAGCCTACCTGACAGAGCAAGACTCCATCACACACAAAAAAATAAAAAAATAAAAAAATAAAAATGATTGCTGGCAAGATGGCTGAATAGGAACAGCTCCAGTCTGCAGCTCCAAGGGAGATCAACACAGAAGGTGGGTGATTTCTGCATTTCCAACTGAGGTACCCAGTTCATCTCATTGAGACTGGTTAAACAGTGGGTGCAGCCCACGGAGGGTGAGCTGAAGCAGGGTGGGGCATTGCCTCACCCGAGAAGTATAAGGGGTCAGGGAACTCCCTCCCCTAGCCAAGGGAAGCTGTGAGGGACTGTGCTGTGAGGAACGGTGCACTCTGGCCCAGATTCTATGCTTTTCCCATGATCTTCGCAACCCGCACAGCAGGAGATTCCCTCCAGTGACTAGGCCACCAGAGCCCTGGGTTTCAAGCATAAAACTAGGCAGTCATTTGGGCAGACACTGAGCTAGCTGCAAGAGTTTTTTTTTTTTTTCATACCCCAGTGGCGCCTGGAACGCCAGCAAGAGAGAACCGTTCACTCCCCTGGACAGGGGGCTGAAGCCGTGGAGCCAAGTGGACTAGCTCAGCGGATCCCACCCCCACAGAGCCCAGCAAGCTAAGATCCACTGGCTTGAAATTCTTGCTGCCAGCACAACAGTCTGAAGTCAACCTGGGATGCTGGAGCTTGGTGAGGGGAGGAGCGTCCACCATTACTGAGGCTTGAGTAGGCGGTTTTCCCCTCACAGTGTAAACAAAGCCACCAGGAAATTTGGACTGGGTGGAGCCCACCGCAGCTCAGCAAAGCCGCTGTAGCCAGGCTGCCTCTCTAGATTCCTCTTCTCTGGGCAGGGCATCTCTGAAAAAAAGGCAGCAGCCCCAGTCAGGTACTTATAGATAAAACCCCCACCTCCCTGGGACAGAGCACCTTGGGTAAGGGGCAGCTGTGGGCACAGCTTTAGCAGACTTCAACGTCCCTGCCTGACGGCTCCGAAGAGAGCAGCTGATCTCCCAGCACAGTGTTCAAGCTCTGCTAAGGGTCAGACTGCCTCCTCAAGTGGTTCCCTGACCCCTGTGTCTCCTGACTGGTAGACACCTCCCAGCAGGGGCTGACAGACACCTCATACAGGAGAGCTCTGGCTGGCATCTGGCGGGTGCCCCTCTGGGACGAAGCTTCCAGAGGAAGGAACAGTCAGCAATCTTTGCTGTTCTGCAGCCTCCGCTGATGATATCCAGGGAAACAGGGTCTGGAGTGGATCTCCAGCAAACTCCAGCAGACCTGCAGCAGAGGGGCCTGACTGTTATAAGGAAAACTAACAAACAGAAAGGAATAGCATCAACATCAACAAAAAGGATGTCCACTCAGGGACCTCATCCAAATGTCACCAACATCAAAGACCAAAGGTAGATAAATCCATGAAGATGGGGAGAAACCAGTGCAAAAAGGCTGAAAATTCCAAAACCCAGAACGCCTCTTCTCCTCCAAAGGATCACAACTCCTTGCCAGCATGGGAACAAAACTGGATGGAGAATGAGTTTGATTAATTGACAGAAGTAGGCTTCAGAAGGTGGGTAATAACAAACTCTTCCGAGCTAAAGGAGCATATTCCAACCCAATGCAAGGAAGCTAAGAGCCTTAAAAAAAGGTTAGAGGAATTGCTAACTAGAATAACCGGTTTAGAGAAGAACATAAATGACCTGATGGAGCTGAAAAACACAGCACGAGAACTTCGTGAAACATACGTAAGTATTAATAGCCAGATTGATCAAACGGAAGAAAGGATATCAGAGACTGAAGATCAGCTTAATGAAATCAAGTGAGAAAACAAGATTAGAGAAAAAAGAATGAAAAGGAATATGGGACTATGAAATCCAAGAAATATAGGACTATGTGAAAAGACCAAATCTACATTGATTGGTATACCTGAAAGTGACGGGGGAGAATGGAACCAAGTTGGAAAACACTCTTCAGGATATTATCCAGGAGAACTTCCCCAACCTAGCAAGATGACCAACAATCAAATTCAGGAAATACAGAGAACACCACAAAGATACTCCTCGAGAAGAGCAACCCCAAGACACATAATCATCAGATTCACCAAGGTTGAAATGAAGGAAAAAATGTTAAGGGTAGCCAGAGAGAAAGGTCAGGTTACCCACAAAGGGAAGCCCATCAGACTAACAGCAGATCTCTCTGCAGAAATCCTACAAGCCAGAAGAGGGGGGGCCAATATTCAACATGCTTAAATAAAAGAATCCTTAGAGAAAAGAATTTTCAACCCAGCATTTCACATCCAGCCAAACTAAGCTTCATAAGTGAAGGAGAAATAAAATCCTTTACAGACAAGCAAATGCTGAGAGATTTTGTCACCACCATGCCTGCCTTACAAGAGCTCCTGAAGGAAGCACTAAACATGGAAAGGAACAACCAGTACCAGCCACTGCAAAAACATACCAAGTAAAGAACATCAACACTATGAAGAAACTGCATCAACTAACGTCAAAATAACCAGCTAGCATCATAATGACAGGATCAAATTCACACATAACAATATTAACCTTAAATGTAAACAGGCAAAGTGCCCCAATTAAAAGACACAGACTGGCAAATTGGATAAAGAGTCAAGACCCATCAGTGTGCTGCATTGAGGAGACCCATCTCATGTGCAAAGACACACATAGGCTCAAAATAAAGGGATGGAGGAATATTTGCCAAGCAAATGGAAAGCAAAAAAAAAAGCAGGGGTTGCAATCCTAGTCTCTGATGAAACAAATTTTAAACCCACAAAGATCAAAAGAGACAAAGAAGGGCATTACATAACGGTAAAGGGATCAATGCAACAAGAAGAGCTAACTATCCCAAATATATATGCACCCAATACAGGAGCACCCAGATTCATAAAGCAAGTTATTAGAGACCTAAAAAGAGACTTAGACTCCCACACAATAATAGCAGGAGACTTCAACACCCCACTGTCAATATTAGATCAACGACACAGAAAATTAACAAGGAATATTCAAGACTTGAACTCAGCTCTGGACCAAGTGGACCTAAGAGACATCTGCAGAAGTCTCCACTCCAACTCAACGTAATATACGTTCTTCTCAGTACCACATCACACTTATTCTAAAATTGACCACATAATTGGAAGTAAAACACTCCTCAGCAAATGCAAAAGAATGGAAATCATAACAAACAGTCTCTCAGACCACAGTGCAATCAAATTAGAACTCAGGATTAAGAAACTCACTAAAAACTGCACAACTACATGGAAACTGAACAACCTGCTCCTGAATGACTACTGGGTAAATGATGAAATTAAGGCAGAAATAAATAAGTTCTTTGAAGCCAATGAGAACAAAGACACAATGTACTAGAATCTCTGGGACACATTTAACGCAGTGTTTAGAGGGAAATTTGTAGCACTAAATGCCCACAAGAGAAAGCAGGAAAGATCTAAAATTGACACTGTAACATCACAATTAAAAGAACTAGAGAAGCAAGAGCAAAAAAATTCAAAAGCTAGCAGAAGACAAGAAATAACTAAGATCAGAGAAGAACTGAAGGAGATAGAGACATGAAAAACCCTTCAAAAAATCAATGAATCCAGGAGCTGGTTTTTTAAAAAGATCAACAAAATAGATAGACAGTTAGCCAGACTAATAAAGAAGAAAAGAGAGAAGAATCAAATAGACGCAATAAAAAATGATAAAGAGGATATCACCACTGGTCCCACAGAAATACAAACTACCATCAGAGAATACTATAAACACCTCTATGCAAATAAACTAGAAAATCTAGAAGAAATGGATACATTCTTGGACACATACACCCTCCCAAGTCTAAAACAGGAAGAAGTCGAATCCCTGAATAGACCAATAACAAGTTCTGAAATTGAGGTGGTAATTAATAGCCTACCAACCAAAAAAAGTCCAGGACTAGATGGATTCACAGCCAAATTCTACCAGAGGTACAAAGAGGAGCTGGTACCATTCCTTCTGAAACTATTTCAAACAATAGAAAAAGGGAGAATCCTCCCTAACTCATTTTATGAGGCCAGCATCATCCTGATACCAAAACCTGGCAGACACAACAAAAAAAGAAAACTTTAACAGGCTTCAGGGATCAAACTTTAAGAACACTGAATCTTGTGCTCAATTAGCTTGTATTGGATTTGCTTCTATCAGTTGATGAAAAGGAATGTGTATAACAATAATATAATTGAACTCCACATTTTCAGCTGCAGGATTCTAGAATCCTTCACTATTGTATTATTGAGGGGATCATTGAAGTCTAGGCCAATATCCCTGATGAACATTAATGTGAAAATCCTCAAAAAAATTATTGGTAAACAGAATCCAGCAGCACATCAAAAAGCTTATTCACCATGACCAAGTTGGCTTCATCCCTGGGATGCAAGGCTGGTTCAACATATGCAAATCAATAAATGTAATCCATCACATAAACAGAACCAGTGACAAAAACCACATGATTATCTCAATAGATGCAGAAAAGGCCTTCGACAAAATTCAACAGCCCTTCATGCTAAAAATTCTCAATAAACTAGGTACTGATGGAACATATCTCAAAATAATAAGAGCTATTTATGACAAACCCACAGCCAATATCATACTGAATGGGCAAAACCTGGAAGCATTCCCTTTGAAAACTGGCACAAGACAAGGATGCCCTCTCTCACCACTCCTATTCAACATAGTATTGGAAGTTCTGGCCAGGGCAATCAGGCAAGAGAAAGAAATAAAGGGTATTAAAATAGGAAGAAAGGAAGTCAAATTGTCTCTGTTTGCAGATGACATGATTGTATATTTAGAAAACCCCATTGTTAGAATGGTGATCATTAAAAAGTCAGGAAACAACAGATGCTGGAGAGGACGTGGAGAAATAGGAACACTTTTACACTGTTGGTGGGAGTGTAAATTAGTTCAACCATTGTGGAAGACAGTGTGGCGATTCCTCAAGGATCTAGAATCAGAAATACCGTTTGACCTAGCAATCCCATTACTGGGTATATATCCAAAGGATTAGAAATCATTCTGCTATAAAGACACATGCCCACGTATGTTTATTGCAGCACTGTTCACAATAGCAAAGACTTGGAACCAACCCAAATGCCCATCAATGATAGACTGGATAAAGAAAATGCGGCACATATACACCATGGAATACTATGCAGCCATAAAAAGGATGAGTTCATCTCCTTTGCAGGGACATGGATGAAGCTGCAAACCATCATTCTCAGAAAACTAACACAAGAACAGAAAACCATAGATAGGTATGGTTTTCTATCTATCTATAGATATAGATAGATAGTATATAGTATATAGATAGATAGATACACACACACACACACACAAACACACACACACACACACACACACACACACACACACACACACACACATAGATAGATAGATTGCTGAGTGTTATCCCCCTGGACTTTTTTTTTTGAGACTGGGTCTTGCTCCGTTGCCCATGCTGGAGTGCAGTGGCACTTTCATAGCTCACTATAACCTTGAACTCCTGGGCTCAAGTGATTCTCCTACCTCAGTCTCCTGAGTAGCTAGGACTACAGGTGCATACCACCATGCCTGGCTAATTTTTTTTTTTTTTTTTGAGAGATGGGGTCTTCCTATGTTGTTGCCCAGGTTAGCCTCAAACTGTTGGCCTCAACTGATTCTCCTGTCGTGGCCTTCAATGTGCTGGATTACAGGTGTGAGTCACTGCACCTGGGCTCCCCTGGATTTTTGATTCAGTAGGTCTGGGACAGATCTGAGAATTTTTATTTCTTTTTCTTTTTTTTTTTTTTTTAGACGGAGTCTTGCTCTGTTGCCCAGGCTGGAACGCAGTGGTGCGATCTCGGCTCACTGCAAGCTCCGCCTCCCTGGTTCATGCCATTCTCCTGCCTCAGCCTCCCAAGTAGCTGGGACTACAGGCACACGCCACCACACCTGGCTAATTTTTTTTTTTTGTATTTTTAGTACAGATGGGGTTTCACCATGTTAGCCAGGATGGTCTCGATCTCCTGACCTCGTGATCCGCCCACCTCAGCCTCCCAAAGTGCTGGGATTACAGGCATGAGCCACCGCGCCCGGCCTGAAAATTTTTATTTCTAACAATTTTCCAAATGATGCTGATACAACTGCTTCAGGGATCAAACTTTAAGAACACCGTATCTTGTGCTCAATTAGCTTGTATTGGATTTGCTTCTACGAGTTGATGAAAAGGAATGTGTATAACAATAATATAATCGAATTCTACATTTTCAGCTGTGGGATTCTAGAATCCTTCACCACTGTATTATTGAGGGGATCATTGAAGTCTAGGTAAACTCCTTAACATGGATGAACATAATCACTTCGCTTCTTGATTTCTTAATACCTGCTTTCTTTCTCCCTTGTTAATCCCAATAGAATATCCTGCAAAGCCAGTTAAAGCTCCTCACTTGAAGAATCACTGATTAGCAGATTTCACTGTGTGCTTACTTCAGAAAGATGTGTGCAGCATATTATTTTTATAGCTTTTAATTCATACTTTAATGAGAATTTTATGAATATAGGTAGGTCTTGGTTCTTCAGGACAAGATAGAGCATAATTTGTTTAATTGATTCCCTTTTTTAATTATTATTATTTTTTTTTCGAGACGGAGTCTCGCTCTGTCACCCAGGCTGGAGTGCAGTGGCGCGATCTCGGCTCACTGCAAGCTCTGCCTCCTGGCTTCATGCCATTCTCCTGCTTCAGCCTCTCGAGTAGCTGGGACTACAGGCGCCCGCCACCACGCCCGGCTAATTTTTTTGTATATTTAGTACAGACGGGGTTTCACCATGTTAGCCAGGATGGTCTCAATCTCCTGACCTCATGATCCACCTGCCTCGGCCTTCCAAAGTGCTGGGATTACAGGCGTGTGCCACCGCTCCCGGCCCCCTTTTTTAATTTTAAGAGACTGAATTTTTTAAGTAACCGAATACCTGTATTAGCTATAGAATGGAATTAAAAACAAGGACAGATCAATTTGAAAGTGATTATGTCAGGCCAGGCTTGGTGGCTCATGCCTGTAATCCCAGCACTTTGGGAGGCTGAGGTGGGTGGATCAGCTGATGTTGGGAGTTCGAGACCAGTCTGACTAACATGGAGAAACCCCGTCTCTACTAAAAATACAAAATTAGCCGGGCATGGTGGTGCATTCCTGTAGTCCCAGCTACTCGGGAAGTGGAGGCAGAAGAATCGCTTGAACCCGAAAGGCAGAGGTTGTGGTGAGCCGAGATCTCGCCATTGAACTCCAGCCTGGGCAACAAGAGTGAAACTCCATCTCAAAAAAAAATAAAAAAAATAAAAAAAATTATGTCTTCTGAGGAAATTACTAAAGTTCAGACACTGATAAATGGATAATTAAAATGTAGTGTGTCCTTACAATGGAATATTACTTGGTGATAAAAATAAATGAATTACTTATATATGCTACAACGTGGATGAACCTTGAAAACATTATGTTAAAGAAAAGCAGCCAGTCACAAAGGACCATGTATGTATTGTGTGATCCTATTTGTATGAAATATACAATAGGCAAAACAGGCAAATCTGTAAAGAAAGTAGAGTCATGATTTTCTAGAATCGGTGGAGTTTGGGGAAATGGGCGGTGACTGCTGATGGGTGTGTGATTTCTTTTAGGGGTGATGAACATGATCTAGAATTGATTGTGGTGTTCTTACACATCTCTGTGAACATACTAAACACCACTGAATGGTACACTTCAAGTGGGTGAATTGTATGGTATGTGAACTATATCCTAAAAAAGTTGTTTTTTAAAAAGGAAAGGAAATGGTTTACTTTTGAGGGTAAATTGAAAGCTCCCCACCCAGATATTATTAACAACAGTTAATGTAACAGCAGTATAGAGCACTGACCCTGCCATCTGCGTGTATCTTCATTCTGATATTCCTTTCTCTGTCCATCATATGCCCCTTGATTTTGCTTTTCTTTTTTTTAACTGATAGAGTCGATAATTTTATTTTCACATTTCACAATACAAATGAAAACTGCACTTTTTCTGGTCCCACTTCTCCCGTCTAATACTATTCTCTCTTTGATAGGAAGGAGGAGCAAGTCTTCTTTGTCATGCTATTAAGAAAATACCCAGAGTCACAGCACCATGATCTCCTTGTGAAGCAGAACAAGTAATATAAAACTGATCTAAAGAGGCCTCCCCTCTACTCTTATCTGTCTGGTCGAGTCATTTGGGTCCAAGTGGGCACCATTGTGGGAGGGTGGGAGGACTCATCACTGGGGGCCCAGGCATCATTGGCATGTGGCCTCCTGTGTTAGTTTGTTCTCATGCTGCAAATAAAGACAACTTGAGACTGGATAATTTATAAAGGAAAGAGGTTTAATGGACTCACAGTTCCACATGGCTAAGGAGTACTCACAATCATGGCGGAAGACAAAGGAAGAGCAAAGGGACATCTTACATGGCAGCAGGCAAGAGAGCGTGTGCAGGGGAAGTCCCCTTTATAAAACCATCAGATCTCATGAGACTTATTCACTATCGCGAGAACAGCATGAGAAAAACCCACCCCCATGATTCAATTACCTCCCACCGTGTCCCTCCCATGTCATGTGAAGATTATTACAACTCAAGGTGAGATCTGAGTGGGGACACAGAGCCAAATGATATCACCTCCAATGGGCAGCCTCATTCCAGGAGCACATCCCATTGGCATCATCCAGGAGGAGGGGGGGGCCATCATTGGCATCATGGGAGGGCCCCCCAGCTGGGGTGCTGGCATCATACCTGGTGAGGAACAGGAAGAGACTGGGGGGAGGTTGGATCATCGCTCCTGCAGGAGGAGGAACAGAGAACAGAGTAGGAGGTGTTCTTCCTTGTTGAGATGCAGTCTTTGTTCTGTCAGCCAGGCTCCGAGCCTGCTCTTCTATCCATTTCTGGTAGTAGTCTTTCACATTCTCTTTGTGTTTCCTTCCACTGCAATGGTAGGTTCTCACAGATGGAGAGTCGTGGGTGAGGTATGTATTGCAGAAGTCACAACAAAACTTAGGCATGTTGCTCTGTAGCCCGTTAACCACTCTCTTCCCTGATTTTGCTTTGTTTTGATGTGACATTGAAGCACTGCACATGCGCAGAGCAGCTAATAGTTCTTCCCTCTTTGGATTGTTGGATGAAATTTTTTTGAATTTTATTTTTTATTGATACATAATAGATATATGTGTTTTGGGGGTACATATGATAATTTAATATATTTATATAACTTGTTAAGAACAAATCAGTGTAATTGGGACAGCCACCACCTTAAATACTTGTCCTTCCTTTTTGCTGGAAACATTTGTATTATTCTCTTAGCTATTTTGAAATATACAATAGGTTATTCTAAACTATAATCACCCTAGTGATCTATGAAACACTACGTCTTATTTCTTCTATTGGATTAAATGATTTAATACCTGCAATGCTCTTAGCATTGTGCCTGGCACATGATAAATAAATATTAGCTGTCGTTATTCCGACCCAAAACAAGAACATTTTTTATTGTTACAGAAAAAATTGGACCATTGATTATGTTTCACCATTTAAGTGGCTATTGTTTGCATGCTTTCGACAGTTCTATCCCATGCCCTATACATTTACTTTCCCCCAGACCTCCCTCCCCTCCATCTTCAACCTATTACAACAGGGTGTAATAATATAGACGAACACTAGAGGGAAGCATGCAATTGCAATGAAGAAAATCGGCATCAGCACACTTGAAATTCAGACAAGAAGATAGAAGATGTCTAGTATCAAAGGAAAGTGAAATGTCTTCCTTTAATATAGTGTCTTGTAGTATTCTCCTATAGGAGGGAAGTATTATTACTCTATCGGATGAGTATTCCTACTGGAAGGATAGCTGCGGCATTTTAAAAAATCCTGCCTGTATGTGCCTGCCATAAAGATGTCACATAACCATTTCCTCACGTGCTGTTCACTCCACACCCCAGCTCTCCTGAGAGCACTTAGCTTCTCCCGTGAGCCGGTTCCTCCGATGGGAGGCATTTGGAAGCCTACATTAGTATAGTGCTGCCTTACAACGCACTTTAATGTAATATCTAGTCTCTGGGAGGCCCAGGAGTGCTTCAAATTCTAGGCTTCCCTGAGATGTCCAGTGCATTTCTGTTGAGGTGTATATGGGCTCACTCGGCCTGAGTCCCTCAGGGGCAGGAAACGTACCCCATCTTCACCTTTGCATCCCCAGCAGTTTGCAGTGCTGGGCATGCCCTAGAGAAGCTGGATAATGTCTGTTGGACTAAACTGCTTCATGAGCTGCAGACAGAAAAAGAGGGAAATTTATGCTCACTTTATGCCTGAGCAATGGGACTCTAAACTGCACCCCTAACCAGTGAATATTTTTCATTATTTTTCTGGATTATAAAAGTTCATGCTCATAATGTGAAAATCATGCAAAAAGAACATCTAAAATATTCATAATCCCATCCATCCAATATTAACCTGGGGAATACTACAGATTCTTTTAACCTTATGTCAGAGTATAATATATAAATATATGTGTGTGTGTACATATATATAGTGTTTACATTTATGGCAGCATGGAACACCTATCTTTTAAAAATTTTTTTTGAGATGGTGTCTATACTCTGTCACCCAGGTTGGAGTGCAGTGGCGTGATCTGACTCGCTGCAACCTTGGCCTCATCCTCCCACCTCAGCCTCCTGAGTAGCTGGTACCACAAGCGTGCACTACCATGCCCAGCTAATTTTTTGTATTTTTGGTACAGACAGGGTTTTGCCATGTTGCCCAGGCTGGTCTTGAACTCCTGAGCTCAAGTGATCCACCTGCCTTGGAATCCCAAAGTTCTGGGATTACAGGTGTGAGCCACCATGCCCAGCCCTACATCTATCTTTTTTTTTTTTTTAAAACTAATCCCTTTCTTTTGGGAATTTAAGCTGTTTCTCAATTTTTGCTTTTTTTAAAGAGCAGTCTGGTGAATATTCGTGTAGCTAAGTGTAAGCCCACATTCTTTATTAGTGTCTTAGGATAAATTCCCAGAGGCAGAATTTCTGGGTGATGGGTAATTTACATTGTCACCAACAGTGACAGTGCCCTTGATCAGATGAAGAGTTTTAATTAAACGTCACACCAGAACTCCATAATCTTGTCTCAGTCATGTCATCGCTGCTCAAAACATTTGGTGAACTCTGTTTGGTGATCCAGGCTATGACTCATATAAGAAAATAAATCTTAATCTCTCATCTTGCCTTTGATCTTTGACTGTTCAAGAAAATCTAATTTACCACAAAAGGACAAAGACAGCAACCATGGCAGATTTTCATATAGGTGTGCCACCAGAGTCAGGAGGAGATAGGGAAATGCTTCCCAGACTGTTCTGAATAGTGGCAAATCAGAGAATAATTCCTCTAAGTCTTTTTGGAAATTAGAATGGAACTTCCCTATCATCTGAAGACTCCTTATGGATTGAACAAGGAGGGCCCTCTTGACTGGTTTGTCTTTCTTTCTTTTTCTTTCTTTCTCTTTCTTTCTTTCTTTCTTTCTTTCTTTCTTTCTTTCTTTCTTTCTTTCTTTCTTTCTTTCTTTCTTTCCTTCTCTCCTTCCTTCTTTCCTTCCTTCCTTTCTTCCTTCCTTCCTTCCTATCTTCTTTCTCTTTCTCTCTCTCTCTCCCCCTGCTTCCTTTTCTTTTCTTTTCTCTTCTCTTTTTTCTTTCTCTTTTCTTTTCTTTCCAGGGTCTATGCTATGCTGCCTAGGCTGGTCTCAAATTTCTGGACTCAAGCAATCCTCCTGCCTTGGTTTCCCAAAGTGCTAGGATTACAGGCATGAGCCACCTTGACTGGTTTCTTCCTTAAAGGTTCCTAAGCTTCGCCTTTTTTTTTTTTATCTTAAAGATGGACACAGAGATCTAAACATTAAAACAATTTATTTATTGGAGTTTCCTCATAGAAGGGTAAGAGAGACAGTTGCACCTGACTGGGTGCTTAGTATTTCTATAGAGTGGCTTAAGCATGGCAACTGATTAATGAGAGGAGCAGGAGGTGACTTGCATTGTTTTTACTAAGATAATATTTTGTTTTGTTTTGTTTTGTTTTTTTTGGAGAATGGCAGATTGGGTTTATTGAGGGAGGCGACTGAAAGGAACTCAAATCACCCCCTTGGTACTGCTATTTATATTACTGCATTGTGTGGAAATCCTTAGTGGCAAATAAAGCTTTGGGCTGATGTTTAAGGCCCTCTACAATATAATCTTAACGCGACTTTTCTAGCTTTAACTTCGCCTACTCTTACACAGACCTGAATGGATGCTGCACATCCTGTTGGCCCAGCTGCAACTTCAGCCACTGCTGTAGCAACCAGTTTTGTGCAGGTGTGGCTGATGGCTCTGGCTTTGGCTGCCTGACGTTTCCTGGATCCTGCAGCGTGGCACAGGACACATTTGCCTCCTGGTTGCCTTCTGGACTTGCAGGGTACTTACCGTGATAGGGGGTACCCTTTGATGAGCTGGGGATGGGAACTGGAGGGTGAAGACCTCCCTCTTCTCTCTCTCAGTGGACAATTCTGAGGTCCTTCTACACAGTGCCTCAGAAGCCCCTAGCGGGATTGAGCCTCAGTTACCTAAGGCAGTGACCGGCGGATAATGCACCTGTGCTGGCTTTCTTTCCTCCCCTACTCCCCTCTTCAGTCCTTCAGTCTGTTGCCTGGAATCACTTTCCTAAATAAATGTCTTTTTTTTTTTTTTTTTTTTTTTTTTTTAGAGGGAGCCTCGCTCTGTTGCCCAGGCTGGAGTGCAGTGGTGTGATCTCGGCTCCCTGCAACCTCTGCCTCCTGGGTTCAAGCGATTCTCCTGCCTCAGCCTCCTGAGTAGCTGGGATTACAGGCACATGTCACCTCGCCTGGCTAATTTTTGTATTTTTAGTAGAGATGGGGGTTTCACCATGTAGTATACACCATAAGAATGTGTATAACTTTGCCAGGCTGGTCTCGAGCTCCTGACCTCAGGTGATCTGCCCACCTTGGCCTCTGAAAGTGCTGGGATTACAGGTGAGAGCCACCATGCCCAGCATTTCCTAAATAAACTTCATATAAGCTTTGTCTCAGGCTCTGCTTGCTTTGGGGAAACAACAGTCACCACCCTATTTGCTGTTTTTTGATGATGTTCCTTGCTCTTCATCTATTCAGTTCTTTAATACTTGCCTGGGGAACATCTAGTGTGCTCCTGGTCTGGGAAAGGGCCCTAAAATATAAAACGGAATCAGTCACAGGCCTTGCTCTTGAGGAGTTCTTGGTTTAAGAGAGAGAGAGAACAGACAGCTTAAAAAAAAAAAAAGTCAGTGTATCACAAGGTGAATGCTGTTCCAGAGAACCAGGAAGGAAGAACACAGGAGACAGGACAGCTGATCTGGCTTGGGGTATCTGAGGAGGTTTTCTCAGGAGCGTCTTTTAAAGGATGAACAGGAAGTAGTTTACAGGAACAAGGTGGGAAAAGACCTTCTGGGCTGAGAGACTAGTCTGGGCAGAGACACAGAGTCGTGAAAGAACTCGGTATGTTTGTGAACTGTGGGAAGTTCAGGGAGACTGGAGCGGAGGGTGCCTTAGGAATGTGCTATAGAGGAGTCTGTCAAGACCTGGGTGCCTGCTACACTCCGAGAGGTCAGCGAACGGGCCCTCACTGGCTTCTTTTGCGTTGATGGCCTGGTCTGTATTTCTGCACTAGGTGGCCCTCTCATTGTCGCCATGACTGCTGGCCAGTGGACACCTGCAGGAATGGACTTGGGGTAGGCCTGAGGCCCCAGTCTGCTGGGGTGCTCCTGGGAAACTGAGTCTCGCCTCGCCTAGTCTCATGGTAATGTGCAAGGGTTGTTTTGCATCAGCTTCTTGCCACTGGGGCGAGCCAGCAAGCAGCCAGAGCTTCCAGCACAGCCGGAAGGGGCTGGGAGGGTGTATCCACTTCCCCACCCACTAGAAGAATGTGTCTACCTTTGCCTGGGAGCAGGCTGTGCAATCTCCTGCTCGTGTGTGTCTCTGTTTACTTTGCCATGAAACAATCCTGTGTGGGTCTGCTGGTGTCTTCCCTCCCATTGACCCCTATATCTCGTCGGGTAACCATGCATCTCCTGACTCAGGGAAAAGACAGTGACTTTTTAAATATTTATTAATTAATTAATTAATTTTTTTTTTTTTTTAGAGACAGGTTCTTGCTCTGTCACCCAGGCTGGAAGTTCAGTGGCATGATCATAGCTCACCGCAGCCTTGGACTCCTGGACACAGTGATCCTTCCACCTCCTGAGTAGCTGGGACTATAGGCACACACCACTATGCCCAGTTACTTTTGTTTTGTAGAGACAGGGTCTCGCTATATTGCCCAGGCTGGTCTTGAACTCCTGGCCTCAAGTGATCCCTGCCTCAGCCTCCCAAAATGTTGGGATGACAGGTGGGAGCCACTGCACCCTGCTGAGACCAGTGACTTTTAAAGTCGACTAGTGGCTGTCCGAATCAAGTGGTCCCCTCTTTGGCAGTAGTTGGTAAGGAGTAGAAATCAAAGGATACACAGAGAAGATGCTAGGCAGAAGTAGTGAGGATTGGAGGAGAGCAGAGAGAAGCAGGGTGCTGGCAGCAGGAGAAGCAGACTGAATGTGGCTGAGTAACACCGATGTGCCAACACCAGCGGCTAGGAGATAGTGAGGCTTCAGACCCCAGTGGGGCCTGGTGAGATTTCCATTTCTGAACTACACTCCAGAGTGCCAGAAACCTGCTGGTGTGGCTGGTCCTGTGCTCCAGGAAGTGAAAATAGACACGCACTTTCCTATTCCTGTACATATCCTAACACGGAGTAGCGTCAGCAGAGACACTGCCTGGCCATGCTACTTCCCACCATGTAAACTTGAGTAAGTAACTGAGCACTCTTTCTCAGGTTCCTCACTTGTAAACTGGGCTGTTACTGGTGTCTGCTTCATAGGGTTGTTTTGATGCTTGAATGAGTTAATGGGCATAAGATGTGGAGAAGGGCCTGCTGGTGCATATGAAGTACTCAGTAAGCAGGTAGCGGTCTGGGTCTGGGCAGGACACCCAAATTGGGTAACTGAGGAGAGGCTGAGAGACTATTTACAAAAGTATAGGTCAGATGAAGGGACAAAGGATGGTGGAACACCATGGGCTATAACTGGCTGAGAAGTCTTTAGTACTCCTAGGCCTGATGAGGCGAAGGGAGGAAGTAGTTATCAGACACCCAGCAGCCTCAAAACAGGGTGACAGGGCAGGAACTGTGGGGGTCTGGACAAGAGTGCAGCTGGGCCAACCTGGCCCTACAGGGCAGGAGTGGAAAGCATGCATACTCTTAAGACTTCTCCCTAACTCTGATCTCCTGCCCATGATACCCAAAGGCCAATCTGATTGGAGGCCAAAGGATGAGGCTGTTAGGTGGTTACAAAACGCAGTGGTCAGCCTGCCAGGCCCAGAGCAGTTGGTGAGGCATGGAGCAGGGATCTAGGAGCCACTGCAGCCTCTCTAGCACAAATGTCGCCAGTGTTGGCTGCAGTATTGTTATTACAATAGAGGCCTTTCACTTGAGGCCTTGACCGAGTTGCCATTCCTTGCAAACAAAAGAGCCTTACAGAGGCCGGGCACGGTGGCTCATGCCCGAAATCCCAGCTCTTTTGGAGGCCGAGGTGGGTGGATCACATGAGGTCAGGAGTTCGAGACCAGCCTGGCCAACATGGTGAGACCTCGTCTGTACTAAAAATACAAAAATTAGCCAGGCGTTGTCGCAGGCACCTGTAATCCCAGCTACTAGGGAAGCTGAGGCAGGAGAATCACTTGAACCCAGGAGGCGGAGGTTGCAGTGAGCTAATGCCACTGCACTCCAGCGTGGGCGACAAGAGCAAGGCTTCATCACCCCCCCGCCCCGAAAAAAAAAAGACTAACAGAGAAGAGCAACGGGAGCTCTGCAGGGAGACCTAGGGGACCACGCCATTCCCGTGGTCATCATCAGGTACTCTGTTTACCAGCTCTACTCTGTTTACCAGTCTCCCGCACTAGCTGGGAAAAGCTCTCTGGGGCAGGGCAGAAGTCTTTTCCTCTTTATAACCAGAGTGTCCAGCAGAACCAGGGACTTGTCACTGAGGGCTCTGTTGAGGTTTAAGGAACCCCTAAGAACCTGCTGCTCCAGCAGATAGGAGAGGGAAGCACTTAGGGCCTTAGGGGAGAACGCTGAGTCAGGGAACAGTGTGTGCTGCTGTTGCGTGTGTGTGCTTGTGAACATTCACATTTTATACACGTCAGAGAGAAAGTTGAAGGCATTGCCTGTTTTGGGCTGAGGAGGCCAGGCCCCAGATGAGGCTTCTCCCTGGAGCCCCTCTTTTGTCAGCTCCCATTTGTGCCAGGCCCTGGGCTTCCCTGGATCTCACAACTCATTGCAACCCTGTGGAGTTGGCAGCGTGCCTGTTTTATGGACAAGGACGCTGAGGCCAATGAATTCACAAAGGTAGCGGTAATTAGAAGTGTCTGAATTTGAGCCCAGATATGGCTTGAAAGCCTGAGTTCTTTTATTTTTTGAGGGGAAGTCTTGCTCTGTCGCCCAGGCTGGAGTACAGTGGCATGTTCTCGGCTCACTGCAACCTCCGCCTCCTGGGTTCAAGCAATTCTCCTGCCTCAGCGTCCTGGGTAGCTGGGATTACAGGTGCCTGCCACCACGCCCAGCTAATTTTTGTATTTTTAGTAGAGATGGGGTTTTGCCATGTTGGTCAGGCTGGTCTCAAACTCCTGACCTCAAGTGATCTGCCCACCTCTGCCTCCCAAAGTGTTGGGATTACAGGCGTGAGCCACCGTGCCTAGCCAGCCTGAGTTCTTAATCATTGAGCTAGTGTTTCCCAGTGGAGATACTGCAGGTCATCATTTGAATTTTTGTCACTTCTGTGTATTTCCTGTTTATCATTTACTTAACATTTTTCTCGAAATTGTCTTTTTTGGTACTTTAAACAAGTTTACTTGAAAAGGAAACTGTATCACTACCATAAATGGAGAGCTAGAATCACCTACTGTAAATAGAAGGTATCATAAATATAAACACAAAGGAATTCTTGGTCTCCAGCGTGGCCAACTCCAAATTCTAGAGCAGAATGATTTTGAAGTAACTCCATTCCTTTTAATTGCTTCGTTGCCTTGAGAGGCCTCTCTCTCCTCTATCTGTCTGGGCTCTAAGATGTGTAAAATTGGATTTGATCAGATTGTAGCCAGAGGTGTGCTGGTAAATGTTTAACAACTGGTGCTCCAGAAATTAAATTTTTTTTTAACACATGCAAGTGTCAGATAAATCTTACTGATATAAAGGAATTGTAGCACCCAATGTACAAATAATAAGAAATTATACAGTATTCTAAACTGTAAATTCCATATAGCTTATTGATTCCCTCAGAATGTTTTCATTGCTTTTTGCTGAACCGTTGTATCTGAACCTTGTATTTTGCTGAACCCTTGGCATATATTGTATGCCAACCTGTGGTTGATATTGACAAACAAGCAATTATGACATAAATGCTGGTTGGTACCAGTAAGATTAAAATGAAGAAGCCTTAACTTTCAGATGTTTGTCAAAATTTCACTGGTTCATCAGTGTCATCAATGATGTGAGTGACTTCTTTATTGATTTGGGCAGTAGTTTTTGACTGCTAGAAAAATATTTCTTCAACTTTTTTTTCTATTTGCAATGTAATGGTTCCAAGTATGACATAATTCTAAGTTAAAGCTCTATTATTAACATTTTCGTCATCATTTTCTTAAGTCTAGACAACAACTAATAAATCAAGCCCCAATTTGTTGCTTTTGCCACTTTCTAAGTACTAAATACTGCTACTGTTAAATATATACTGTTAAATATAATACTGTTAAATATAACTTATTTAATTATAAATCTAGAATTTAATTTTTAATAATAGCTGTGTTTATCAACTGGCTCTCAAGATTCCTAAACATTTGACTGTTGCAAGTTGGTATGTGCCGGCTCCTGTGTGCCACTGATTATGGCCCTTATCTTGAAACCAGGCAAGCTGCATATGTTCCCCTTGTGGAGTCACCATCCAGAATAATTTCTACTCTTTTTAGACATGAACACGCCGCTGTGCTCTGCTCCAATAAAATAGCAAAGTTTTTCTCTCCTCGCACTTTCTCACCTCAGCTCCTACTTTCCTTCCCCGGACTCCGCTCCCTGGATATTCCTTGAACACACGAGACATGCACACCTCAGGGCCTTTGGACTTGTTATTTCCCCTGCCTAGAATGTTTTTCCTCCAATTAGCTGCATGTTTCATTCCCTCACCTCCGTCAAGCATTTGCTCAAATATCACTCTGTTTATAACTGCGATCCCTCCTCTCCCCTACTCCCCTACTGACCATCCCTTCTACCTGCTTTATTTTTCTCCATAGCATTGACTATCTTCAATGTATTATACTGTATAAAATCTTTGCATATATTTTGTTTATTGCCTTCTTCTCTCCATGACAATGTAAGCAACACAAAGGCTAGAGGTTTTTTGCTTGTTTGTTTTATTTTGTTTTGAAGACAGGGTCTCACTCTGTCACCCAGGCTGGAGTTGCAGTGGTGAAATCTCAGCTCATTGCAACCTCCACCTCCTGGGTTCAAGCAATTCTTGTGCCTCAGCCTCCTGAGTAGCTGGGACTACAGGCTTGTACCACCACGCTTGGCTAATTTTTTTTTGTAGTTTTAGTTGAGACTGGGTTTCACCATGTTGGCCAGTCTGGTCTCAAACTCCTGGCTTCAAGTGACCTGCCAGCCTTGGCCTGCCAGAATGCTGTGATTACAGGTATGAGCCACCATGCCCAGCCAAGGGCTAGAGTTTTTGTACATTTTGCTGGATCCTTTGTGTATGGAACAGTACCTGGCATAGTGTAGGGAAGCAGTATGTATATATGTGTGTTGGATAAATGAATGAATATATAATATGTAATATATAATAGAAACATTCTTACATTGCCTCTGATGAAATGCTTATGTCTCTTTTAATCTATAGATTCTCCTTCTATCTCTTTTGCTTTCTTGAAATTATTTATTGAAGAACCCAGGTTCCCCATAGCAGAGTTTCCTATAGTCTCATTGCAGCCCAAGAATATAATCTGCTCAGATTCAGATTTGATTTTCCTTTTTACAAGACTGCTTCAAACCAACCAGGGAACTATTGGGGAAAAAACCCTGATGGCTTCATAGTTGATGGTGGTGATGGGTACATCTATAACACAAAGGACAGTGTCTGTCTGTCATGTAAATTTTTATATATATATACACACACACACACATGCATGAGGCAGGGATCCAACTTCATTCTTTTGCATGTGAATATCCAGTTGTCCCATTTGTTGAAACAATTATTCTTTCTCCATTGAATTATCTTGACACTCTTGTCTAAAAAAGGGAAGATTTTAAATTAGATTTGTGTGACCAGATTTGCTTCTTTCATAACTTATTTTGGTGGAAACATTGAGAATTCTAGTCAACATCTATTCAGCTCCAGGGTAGAAAATCCATTCAAACTGGCTCAAGTTTGAATAACGGGGGCTCCTACTGCCTAGACTGTGGTCTTGAATCATTGTTTCACACTAAAGAAATCAAGGTTCCTTGAAGACATCGTTGATTACATGTTGAGTGCAGGAAAAGAACAAGATGAGCCTGGAACATCAGAGGCTATTTGTGATCATGTCAAAAGCACTCAGGAACCAAGCTGAATATGCATTTGTCAGGCCAAGATGGAATGATATGAGTATCAACAAGGATAATAATGGCAATGAATTGAAATACATAAAAAAGTTAAAATCCATGAATTCATAATGATATTCTTTTTTTTAAGAGACATAATGATTTTTAGTTTTTGAGACAGGGTCTTGCTCTGTCATCCAGGCTGGAGTGCAGTGGTGTGATCTCGGCTCACTGCAACCTCTGTCTCCCAGGTTCAAATGATTCTCCTGCCTCAGCCTCCCAAGTAGCTGGGACTACAGGCATGCACCACCACACCTGGCTAACTTTTGTATTTTTAGTGGAGACGAGGTTTCACCATTTTGGCCAGGCTGGTCTCGAACTCCTGACCTCAGATGATCTGCCTGCCTTGGCCTCCCAAAGTGCTGGGATTACAGGCATGAGCCACCATGCCTGGCCTGCCTGATATATTTTTAAAATGTTACTTCATTGGTTTTATTTTTGGAGGATGCTAGAAAACTACCTCATTGTTTTGAAAACTGATAAAGGAAAATAATCAGGCATTTATGTTATCTTTCCCTTGTAAAATGTACCTTACGGTAAACCAATAGTTGAAAAGAGGAAGTTTGTCACTATAGAAGTTTTCCAGTTCATAAAAAAGGAATGATTTGAAAGATCATTCTGTAATGCCTCACAAGTGAATATGAGCCATCAATGGCCGATAATATCACTAAAAGAGACAGACAGAGTTAGAGGAAGAGAGCAACAGCCATTGTCCTTTGTGTTATAGACATACACATCACTACCATCACCTATGAAGCAGTCTTCTTTTTTTTCCTCCCCAACAGTTCCCTGGTTGGTTTGAAGCAGTCTTATAAAAAGAAAAATCAAATCTGAATCTGATAAAATGATATTCTGGGGTTGCAATGAGACTATAGGAAACTCTGCTATAGGAACCCTGGGTTTTTCAATAAATAACTTCAAGAAAGGAGAAGAGATGGAGGGAGAATCTGTAGATTAAAAAAGACATAAGCATTTTATCAGTAGCAATGTAAGGATCTTATATATGTATCCCAGTTCAAACAGACTGTATATCAACCAGAGAAATGTGACCTCTGACTGGATATTTGATTATATTAAAATTTATAATTTTTATAGATATAAAAACAGTATTGTGAGTATGTTTCAAAGTCCTAATCTTTAGATATTCTATACTGAAACATATACAGATGAAATGATATGATGCCTGGGATTTGATTCAAAGAAATCCACACGTGGATGTAGGTGAGGGTATAGATGCAGGACAGCTGGCCAAGAGTTGATAATGGTTGAAGTTGGTGATAACACATCGAATTCGTTATATTATTCTCCTTCCTTTTGAAAATTTACTAATAAAATGTTTTTTTAAAAGTTATACATCTTGGCTGGGTGCAGTGGTTCACGCCTGTAATCTCAGCAGTTTGGGAGGCTGAGGCGGGTGGATTGCTTGAGGTCAGGAGTTCAAGATCACCCTGGCCAACATGGTGAAACCCTGTATTTACTAAAAATACAAAAATTAGCCGGGCATGGTGGCAGGTGCCTGTAATTCCAGCTACTCGGAGGCTGAGGCAGGAGAATCGCTTGAACCCGGGAGGCGGAGGTTGCAGTGAGCTAAGATGGCACCACTGCACCCCAGCCTGGGCAACAGAGAGAGACTCCATCTCAAAAAAAAAAAAAAAGTTATACATCTTGACAGCAATAATCATAAAATTAAGCAAAATTAGAAGGAGGGAGAAACTTTGTGTGTTACTTTCTTCAATTTTGGTGGTGGGAGTGAATAAATATGGTCTAAAATTGAAAAAAAAAGTGATAAGAAGAATTAATTGTGAAGGCACAGCAGGCTGTCTCCAAGATGCCTCAAAGCAGGAAATGGAGTGTTTCTGGGCTCCCTGGGGAGGGATTAGGACCTGGCAGGGTGGGCGGCAGTGGCTGCTCCCTCCACCCCTAGGGGCCTCTTGCTATCAAGGCTTTTCCTTTGCTAGTGTGCTGACTTTCCAGGGCTGTGTGACTCTGGTGCACACCACTGACTGTCTTTGACTCTCTCAAGAGAATCTGACTGGTGGCTGCTCAGCCAATGAACCGCTGGCCTGGGTAAGGTCTTATCAGCTGTGGCCTGCATTACAAGTTTGTGGGTGTGTGAATTAGTGGGGGGTTTGCATGGGGTGTTCCAGGAACTATGGGCAGGGCAAATTCTCTAGAAGAAGTAGTTTTTATTGTGGACAGGGTTCGTCCTGAAATTTAGCTAGTATGAGGATGGGTTAAAGGATAGATTAGAATTAGGGACCAGACAAGACACTGCTGAACTTTGATATTCACTCGGCACGTTCTACGTGTCTGACCTTGTGTGGGTGTCAGGAACGCGGGAACAAAGGAAGTGTGAGAGAAGAATAGCCCTGAGAAGTGGATGGGAGGTGGACAAGGCTGGACTTAGGCATTGAGTGGTTTGGTCTTGATCCAGGAGAGGCTGATCTCTTGGCACATCCTCCTAACTACCTCAGCCTTGCAAAAACCTACCCAACACCCAAGGCCCAATGCACGCGCTGCTTTCTCCCGGAAGCCTTTTCCAATCCTCTTTTGAACTCCATAGCAATTTGTACGTCCTTGTCTTAACTTGCTTTGCAAACATAGTTGATGTAGTTGTGGTTGCATATTTCATGCTACTGTAAGTTGCCTCTTTGTTTGATGCTTTCAGACTTCTGCTAGACTGTAAAGTCCATATCTGAGTCACTTTTGCAGGCAGCAGGGCTGTTGGAAGGGCTACATTCCTGAGTGTAAATCCCATTTTCACTGCTTACAAGCTGTGTGACTTTGGGCAAGTTACTTAGCCTCTCTGAGCCCCCACCTTCTTGTTTGTTAATGGGAGTGATAATACCCACCTCAAGGTGTTTTGTTTTGAAAATTAAACCATATCAAGGATATAAAGTACAGGACCAAGCACAGGGCAGTTGATTGGTGTGTATTGAATTGAGGAGGAATAACTCGGATCTTGAGGGATGAGCAGCATTAGCATAGTGGGCGAGATAAGGGAAAGGGAAGGGCATGCTCCAAGCTGTTCTCTTCAGTCCCTCCAGGGGAGGGGGCAGCGTGCGGGGCCACACTCTGGACAGGGCAGCTACTCCTCACATTGTCAGCAGAAGCCACTGCAGTTCTAGGACTCAGGCAGCCACACTCTTGTCCAGTGTAATGGAAACTGCCTTCTGAGCTGCATGCACCCTTACTTGATATCAATGTACCAGGGACTCGGATCTGTAACTAGAACAGCACTTACAGCTTGTCTCTCAGGGAAATGGTGTTGGATGGTCCTCAGGAATATTTCTTCCAGGTTTTCATGGAACCTAGAAAAACACCACAGCTTGCTAAGGTGTAAACCTCTCAGATGCCTGGGATGTTCTAGACTGAGCTGCAGCCAGTGCCTTTCTCCTGTTCAGGGCTGGATATGCACAGACGCCCTCACCAGGGCCTTCTAAACATAATTTGCTTCAACCCTTGCTTGTTGGCACAATTTTTTTCCCACCTCTCTCTATTTCAATAATGGCTGCTTCCTGACCATCTCTACTGCATAAGTAAGTAATCTGCCCTGGAAACTTGTCTTTCTGATTACTTTGCCCCCGCTGTGATTGCCTCCTTCTCCACATCATCCATTTCGCTCTCTCTTTTGGATCCTTCCCATTGGCACAGTGCCATGCTCTAGTGGCTCCAATTTTTAAAACACAAAAAAATCTTTCATTGATCCCACTATTCTCCTGCAGCAACTGCTTCATTTCTCTACGTCTTCTCTGCGGAACTTCTTAAAAGCCTTGTCTATAGCAACTTGTCTATAGCTCTATAGCTATAGCTCCTGCCTCCTCTCCTCACCCATGCCCTGTTCTCTCCCTCACCTGCTCTCCTCTGGGCTTCTGTCTTCTCCACTCCATGAGACTGCTCTTGACATCTTGCCATGACCTCGATTGTCTTCTCAGTGGCTAACTCCTCTGTTCTACTTGAGCCAGATTTTTTTCCTGGGGTTCTGTGATGCCGTACTGTCTAGGAGTTCCCCTCATCTTGATGGCCACTTCTTCTATCCACCCTCATTTCCAGGCTCTGGCTCCTCATGTGACCTCTAAAAGGTTGGCAGTCCCAGGAGATAGGCCTGAGTCCCACCCTCTTTTCTGCCTGTATGCACCTCCCTCCATTGCCCAAACCCCGGGGTCTTCTCACTTCCACCCCACAGCTTAAACACCATACATATAGTGATGGTGCACACATTTTGGTATTTCCATCCTGGCCTTTCCTCAGAGCTCCAAGCTCATACAAACAACTGTCTGGTTGATGTCTTCAGCCATGTGTCTCTCTAGATTTCTGCCCTATGCTGGCTCCTTCACTAGTCTCTGCCCCAATACATGGAACTTCTTACCCATTTACTCAGGATGAGAGCCTAGGAGTGATCATCCTTGATTCTCTCTTTTCCTTATTCCTATAATCATCACCCCTCTCCCACCCATCCAACTTTTTAGCAACTCCTGTTAACTCTACCTTGAAAACATAGCCCAAATATGCCCATTTCTGTTAATCTCTACCTTTGCTCACTCTGTCCAAGCCATAATTATCTTTCACTGGGTGAAATGCAATAGCTTCCAAAATGCTTCCATTCCTGCCCTTTATAATCATTGTTTTTGTTGTTTTGTTTTGTTTTAATTGAACAGCTACAGCTCTTTTTAAAAACCCGAATCCCATCATCCATGCTCCTTGAAACTTTCCAGTGGCCTCCCATTGTACCTGGAAAGAAAGCCAGACCCCTAGCTGGCCTCACAGGGCAAGGCTCTAGCTCCTTACCTGCCTCACCTCAAAGCATTTTCCCTGCTGGTTCTGCCTCAGGCCTCTGCACTTGCTGTTCCTTTCTTGCTGCAATGCTTCCCTCCAGGTGGTTTTTACATTCACTTGCATTCCTCAGCCTTCCCTGGTTATTCAATCTACAGTATTGGCAGGTGACATCACTTGTCTCAGCGGCTGTATGAGAAATACAAGAGAAAATGAGGCAGTGAGGTTGGACTGGGTCAGAGGTTCTCAACCCTGACTGTGTGCTGGTCCCTTCTGGGAAGCTTTAAAAAGCACACAGAAGCTCAGCCTTACTGCCAAGAATTCTAACTTAGGTCCTGGCATTCTTTAAAGTTCCCCACATGATTCCAAAGGACGTGTGGGGTGATAACCTTTGATCCAACCAGTGCTTCCCAAACTTGAACATGCATCCACATCACCTGCATACTGTGTTAAAATGCGGATTCTGGTCAGGAGGTCTGGGGTGGAGGCTGAGATGCTGCATTTCTGACAAGTTCCCAGGTGATGCTGATGCCGCTGGTGCACGGACCACACTTTAACTAGTGAGGGTCTGAACGATTTCTAGGTCTCCATCCCCTTCTAGCATGCCATGACAGTGGGGAAGGCAGTTCCAAAGCACAGGTGGTATGTTCTGTATTCACCAAGCATCCTGCACCCCTCCATCTTGTTCATCTTTATCTGTTACAAGTAAGCAATATTTCTGCTGATGGTCAAAATATGTGAAAGCCAAATAAGAATAATGATGGATCACGTGATATGGTGAAGGGGCATGGACTCCACGATGGGTTCATATTCCAATTCTGTTTCTTACCAGCTGTGTGAGTGTAGGCAAATTACTTAATCTCTCTGAGCCTTCATTTCCTCGACTCCAAAATGGGGATAATAAACACTGCTTATTTTATTGAGAGGATTAAATGGGTTAATACAGACAAAGCACTTTGCACACGATAGGTACCTAATGGATGGCAACTGCTGTGATCTTGGTGTACTTTGCAAATTGATCTAATCTTGTAATCCAATTGCTGCAGGTCACAGGAACCTTGATCTGTGCTTGCTGCAAGGATCATCAAACATAGAGCGGAGTCGGCCTTTGATCTGAATGTCAGGTGACTCCATGACATAAGAAATTTCAAGGCACAGAAACTTCAAACCAGCCTTAGTGACCTTGCCTGGAGGATGACAGGGGCAGAGAAACCCTTTGTTTCTTCCCTTCTCTGGATTGTTAGATTATCTCCCCATCTCTGTTCCCTGCCTACTTGCGTAATTTCCCCAGGGACTTTTGGTACAAAACCAGAAAACCTTAACTCTTAAAGTGTTGACTTCAATGCTGCTCTCACACTAGCCTGTTAGTAGTTATTTATTCATTCAGATATTAATTGGGTGCCTAGGTGCCAGGGACTTCATTGTCTCTATTACCCTGCAGGTTGTCAAGGGGAGGCAGGCGCTGAACAATAAAAAAAAATATGTAATCACAATTGTGGTGCCATGAAGGAAAAGAAATAGGGTGCACCGCAAGAGAATATTGAAGAGCTGTGATGCCAATGATTTTCATGTCAAAAGAGCCTCTGCCTATGTGTAGAATACATTGGAGCAGGCAGGAAGAAGGAGGACAAACAGTTAGGAGCCCCAACAGTGGTCCTGGCCCAGATGGTGGCAATGGAAATGGGGAATCAAGACTGGGAGCCACTTCCCTTAGTCATGGTAAAATGTTGGCTTGTACTTTAAGCTGTTTTGTAATTTTTTCCCTTTTACTCAATACAGAAGACACCATGTCATCATCACAGAAAATTCTAATCAGCAGTGTGGTTTGGGGCCAGTGTGTTTCCCTCTGTAGGTCTTACTTGTTTATTCTGTAAAATGGTAGTGGTGGTGGGTGTTGGTGTCAATGGGATCAAGGTTCTTTCTGCTTGTCATTTGAAGACTCCAAGACACATTAACGGTATTCACAAATAAGAGATTTTAAGCTTCAAATTAGAAGAAGGTTTAACAATATGGGGAATTAGATTTCTCCCTTTAAGCACTCTTGCCTCCCTTTCACAGGTCAGTGAAATTATAATCATACTTTCAAGCACAGCCTGCATGAATCAGGAAGGTTCAAGGCCACAGGCCTCTCAAGCCAGAGCCACAAAGCAAAACTGGTCTCTCTACCCAGGCACCACCCCTAGCTCTAAACCATGGGAATCTGAGAGGTAGCTGGAGCATGACTCACCTGCCAACACTGATAGACAGACACATGCTGGGCCACAGTGATACCAGAACCACCTCGTACAAAGGCTGGCAGGAATGATTTACATACCTCAACCTAACATTGAATAGCTTGATTGTCTCACAGAAATTAGTACTAAAGTAAAAACGTTTAGAAAATAAACCTTCAAATGTTGCAGATTAGGAAACTTAAGACCAGAGATGTCAACTGACCAAGTTAAGGTCACATTGCTGGCTATTTGGCAAGCCCCAAGAACCTGAATGAAGTTAGATACAAGGAGAATTTCTTCAGGAAAATTACTTTGGGTGGTATTGTAAAGGAGTTGCTTGATGCTGCTAAAAAAGACACTCAGCCATTAGTTTGGATGTGTCAGTTGAGGCCGAGGTTCTAGTTGGCAGAGTTCCAAGATAGTTGATGCTTCGGTGCCTCTTCTCCGAAGTATTTCCCATAATCCCCTGGACAGTTCCCTCTAAGAACTCCACTGTCTCAATCCTTTAAGTCTTCTGGATTCAGGGAAACCAAGACCAGTTCCTCCTTACAAGAACGCTGGGAACCCCTAATCTCAAGGTTGGTTGGTTTTTTGAAAAAAATTAAAAACGTAGAACAATGCAATTAATAATATACCATATACCCAGGTTCTAGGCACCCAGAATTAATGACTGTTAACATTTTCTCCCAAGGTATTTTGAGAACCCTTTTTTCTTTAGAATGACTCATGCGTCATAAGACACAGGCTTAATCTACCATCGTTTAATCGCCAGATTACCAAATTAGAATATTGAACTAGGACAGGAAAGATAAAATATTCTTATTTTATTTTTTAAAATATGGTACTTAAGTGGACCACGTGATGAGTTTTGACAAATGCCTATCATTACTTTTCTTTTTTTTTCTCACTTTTTTTAAAAGCAACAAGTCAAGGAATATACTCATCATGTTTTAAATTGCATTTGCAATTGGAACTGCATAAAAAGGCATTTTAATTTACATAATCTTTTTCTGCTGTTTTCACTTCCTGTTAAAACGGAATAACCTGGGGATTTTTATTTTCTGGTAGAAAATGCACAGTTTCAAGAAAGTCAAGAGTAAAGGTTAAGTTTACAGATTTCCAGTGACAGAGATGAAAGGGAACTACGTAACTCTGGAAAATAAAAGTTCAGAGTTGCGTTGCTTACAACTTTTTCATTTGTTAAGTTCTAGGAGCAAGTTTGAATGGGGAATCAAGAAGCCTGAATTATAGAACCAGTGCTGCCAGTAATGCACTGTGTGGCTGCTGGCCCATCACTTTACCTTTTTGGGCTAAAACTCTTTTTGTGCTTTTGGAATAACTTGTGTCCACTTTCTCCTTCTTTATGTCTTTTGTTTATAGGTTTGCGTTTTATGCACTGTTAACCAATCAGTCCTGATTCCTCTACCACACGTAGTAAGAGGGTAAGCCGTGGACATGAAGTGATGCTGCCAAGCTTGGCTAGTGTATGCACACTGCACCTTGCATGGGTGCCGTGAGGGCCCTGGAGGCCATATCTGGACTGGCTCTGGTCCTGAGGGTCAGAGTTCATCTGCTCCTGGATCCTAGTTTCACCTTCATAGGTTCCTCTGTATATGGACTTGAAATGTGACTTTCTTAGTGATAAGAGTTGTGGTTTTTATTCATTCACCACAGATGTTGTAAACCCCTACTTTTGTGTAGGGCACCGTTTTTCACTTTTACAGAAGAGGTTACTTTAGCAATTCTTTAAATGTCAGAGCCCTGTGCTGGCTAAAAACTCAACGCTGTATCTCACTTAAAAAACAAAATCAACTCCAAAGCCATCACCTCCATTTGGTAGTATGCTAATGAAATTGGGACACTGAGGGCTGGGTGTGGTGGCTCATGCCTTAATCCCAGCACTTTGGGAGGCCGAGGCAAGTGGATCACTTGAGGTCAGGAGTTCGAGACCAGTCTGGCCTCATCTCTACTAAAAATACAAAGATTAGCTGGGTGTGGTGGCATAGGCCTCTAGTCCCACTTACTTGGGAGGCTGAGGCAGGAGAATTGTTTGAACCTAGAGGCAGAGATTGCAGTGAGTGCCATTGCACTCCAGCCTCTGTCTCAAAAAAAAAAAAAAAAAAAAAGAAAGAAATTGGGACACTGAGGTAAGCAGCCTTCAATCCTTGCTGAGCATTTGGCCCTAATCCTCTAAATTCTTTTGAGAGTTTAGGGTTGGGACTGAGGGAGTGGGTCAGCTTGGATCAACGCCAGCACTCTGGATGTCAGCAGTGGCCAAGCGTCTTCCTTCTGACTCTGTAAAGCTGGAGCAATCCTCTTATTGCAC
Source organism: Homo sapiens (assembly GCF_000001405.40). Classification (NCBI taxonomy): domain Eukaryota; kingdom Metazoa; phylum Chordata; class Mammalia; order Primates; family Hominidae; genus Homo; species Homo sapiens. The sequence continues at coordinate 150,740,866 of NC_000003.12, forward strand.
AGGTACTGGCACTGTCAGATAGAAACGACAGCCCTGGGAGGAGACCTGCAGCACTGACAGTCAGTGGTTCAGACACATGAGCCCGGACCCCAGTGCTGTCATGGACCCGTGCCATGACCTTGGCCCAATGACTGTTTCCACAGTGGAAACAAACAGTGAAAGTTCCAACCCCAGATGTAGTGACGAAGGTTCATTGCACTTGCACACAGTAGATGCTCAATAAATACCCATTACTCAATTAGGGAAATGAAGCACAATATCCATTTTTGGAAAATATTTATTAAAAAACTAGTGAATGTGGCAGAAAAACAAAACCAACACACAGCTTTAAATAGCAAGCATATGACACACCGGTTATAAAGCTTTTCCAACTCTACTGATTTAGTCTTTCACACCAGCTACTGTTGAGGAGGGCTTCCGAGGGAAGCCACGTGTAAACGGGTCATCTGTACTAGTGGTGAGCAAAACTAATTACATGAGAACTATCAATGGCCATATGACTTGCTTTCCTAGGCAATCCACCCAAAACATAGGTGAGTGGCCAAATCTCAGGCGTGCGTTCATGTGGATCTATAGTTCTAGTTTTAATTTGAGGGTTGGGGGAAGTTAGGGGATGAAACAGTAGAAAGACAAACAGTATCGGCAGAGGGCAACCTTAAAGCACCTTTAAAATCTGGACCCTTTCCCACAATTTAACCCAGTAATTCTCAAACATTACTGTTGAAAAGAATCACCTGATGAGACTGTTAAATTGGCAGGCTCCCTAAATCTGCAATTTTAAGATAAGCACTCCGGGTGATTCAGTGTCTATTAGCCAGCCATCCAATTTCAGAAACACTGTTTAAAATGCATTAAAACAATTCCTACCTCCCACAAACAAAAGTAAAGGAATCTGCTGACAGTCACTGTGCTTTTGTCAATGTCAAGGGACCAATATGGGAAGGCAGGCAGGAAGGGGCCTCCCATTCCTAACACACTGATCTATAGAAGCCCTGTGCAACAGCCTGTCAAGTGTTGTTTAGGGAGTAAATACAATTCAATAAGAGTTGTTTTAGATCACAGAACAGCATCCAAATCACCAACAGGCCAACCCCATTCATCCCAGGTTAATGAACTTTGTTGGGTCGAAGCCAGATGGGACACTGCTGTTCAAACAAAACACGGGTAATTGTGGGTCCTGACTTGTGAAGACATATGGAATAAAACATCTATAAAAACCTTTATTAAACATAGAGCACTATGCCCAAATAATTTTGAAGGTTTACGAAAGTCACATCATGGACAACATGTAGAAATAGTAACATTGATTCCAAGGTTCCCATTATCTGCAAAAAGATGTGCTATGGCTGTGTCGAAAACAAGGCAGTCGCTGTTCATGATGGCCGCAGCCACACCGTCATGAATCGAACGGGGCGTGGCCTCCCAGGTCAATCTCCGCCGGTTCCCATTCAACTCCAGTCTGTAGGCAAAGTTCTCGGCTTGCTTGCGGGTGCCAATGAGCAGGACGATGGCAAAAAACTGCTGGTGGCCTTCGTACTTCTCTTGTTTCTCCAGCACCAGCATGAAGTGATGGCCAAAACATGACTGCATCATCACCCAGTCGACAGCCCCTGGCAAGTTAATGTCTGTAGCTAGAAAGACGATGTCTTCTCCCTGAAGGGTGGTAATGCTCTTGTGGGCGTGCATGAGATGGGACATCACAGCTTCCAGGGACCCCTGCCACTTGCAGGAAGCACCAGGACATGGGCAGGAGTAGGGACGGTATTCACATATGTCTTCATGTTCTGGTTTCTCCGTATGGTGCAGGGTCAGGGAACAGCCCGTGGTGGCATACTGCAAAGAAAGAAATGCATTGAGCCATTGGGCCTTCTCAAAACTTCTATTGCTTCAACCCTCTATGAGTACTTAACTACTCCATTTTCCTGGGCTTAAACTGTGTTCTTAACTACTTTTGCTCAAAGCAAGTGAAATATTCAAGACTAAAAGTCTCCGTCTCTATTCATCATCAATGCTGTCATGCATAAAATGAAGGGTATTTCCTGAACCAGAAATACGCTGTTTTCCATGCCCCCTGTTCCGCTGTCAAAGGGATCAGAACTAAAGTTCTCTTACTGTGCACATCTCAAAATTGTTGAGCAAGCCCTATAAAAGCTGGTCTTCCCCATATTTTCTGTGAAGCTGTTTTTTAAAGAATTCAATTGCTTGGGTGGTGGGGATGGGGTTGGGCAAGGAATATTATATTATCCCAAGATTAGTTTTCACATATAGACAATATTAACAACAGTATAATTCTGTCGTCCCCCTCCACTGCTTTCTGGCTCAAACTGGTGACTGGCAGGCAGGCCGTGGGGAAGGCTGCCCTTTGGTTCCTTGCTCTTTGCTGCTGGCATCACCAGGCTAGGGCAGCGGAGGCCTGGAGACCCCTTCATACAGCTAGAAATATTACCCCACTGCATCCTTTTGACCTTCCCTCTGGGGGGCTTTGCCCATATTTTTTGGGTGGAAGGAAATCACATCCAAGAGCTACTTAACTAACTCAGAAGACTACTGGTCAGTCTGGTTCTGGCCAGTAGAGGTTAACATGAGAAGGGCCTAACCCTCCTCTCAAAGCTTGCTGACCCCCAACACTTCCTCAGATTCAAGAGCACATCATTTCATGGTCAGGTATGTCAGGTCCTCACAACAGGCCCGGGAGGAAGCAGAACTAGACAAGTTTGCTGACATGATCAGTCTGCCCCTCAGACACTGCCTTAATAGGGTAGGAGAACAAAATCATTTTCTCCCTTGCACTTGGGATGACATTCCTAATGGATAAATCATACCTGCCGTGGCAAAAGACCACACCAAGAGGAACTGAACTTCTACTCCAGACTCTCACAAGGATGACAGTGTTAATTCCTAGATACCAGATGGAGATCAGCCCACAAGTAGACACCTGCCCTGAGTACTAAGCTGTTCTGTAAAGAATTAAGAAACCTGAATCACCTTTTCAGGTGAAACTAGGTGTCAGCCTTAGACCCCTGGAGCACAGAATGGCAGGGGAACTGTCTGGCTAACTACACTTGGATTCCCCTGCTCCACTGAGACATGAAGGCACCAAATAAGGGCAAGGCCAGGTCATTTTTCTAAGATGCTATGTCCAGTTGCTAAAAAAAAAAAAAAGCACCACTGCTGTTTTTGCTTCTCTCTACCCTGCTTTATAGAATAATCCCCCTTTTAAACTTGAAGTCGGTCAAATTCTAACCTTCATAGATGAATTTATCACTAGCAACAAGCAGATGGTATGCACTATGTGACTTCTCCATACAAGACGCTAAGTTACAGTCACTCAGAGGATTCCGAAGCAAGGATGACAGCCTCCACTCTCAGGGGGATTAGTCTCCCCTAATCGGAAAGGAGAGTGGCTTAAAGAAAGAAATGTAGCTCATCCTCCAACCCCCACTTCCCCATACCTAAGCGGATTATAATATTTAACAGAAATTGGCAGAAATATTTCAGTTACTTATTTGCCCATAGGAATTGTTTGTTCATCTTTTAAAACTCTGAACTAATTTCTAAAGCCTGGCTGTAAAAAAACTCACTCAGGAGAAACAAATTTATTTATCCATGTGTATTCATACTTTGTGTTCCTTACTTTATAAGGCCTGAAAAACAAATCCCTATTAACTGTGTTTTAAATCTAGGGTGTGGCTAGGAATACAGAGCCTCCTCATGTTCTTCTGTGAGTGATGGGTGAGACATTTCTGTCCAGTTTAAAAAAACACACACACACAATAAAAATAGCAAGAAATAGCCCAGAGCCTGGCAGAGTCTCGAAACAAGCTCTCAATATCTGAAGATGTTTCAAGACGAACTTTTCCCCATAGCTGCCCAGGAATGAGATGAACTTTGGCCAATGGCACCCAGAAAGGTACCAGCTGCACCTCTGCCCAAAGTCCCAAACCACTCCTCATTCATGACGAACTCAACATTTACAGCAAATATTTATCACTTGGCAATCATTTTATAACTTTCCCCACTCAAGTAGGAGTATTTATACTCTGAATTATTTGATTTGCCTTACAAATCACATATTCAACACTTCTTTCCACCCAAATATACAGAACAGGGAACCTCCCCAAACTGCACAAATAGAAAAGGCATTACTTTGCATTTGTGTGGACAACGATCTCATGTTTTTTCATAAGGATCTTGCTACATCCTCTATTAACTTAAATAAATAGTTTTAAAGCCTTAGGTGCTTACTCTGCTTTTACTGAACAAGCAGAACTTTCATGGCAATCTATCCCTTCTCTTTCCATCATGGGTAAGGTTCATGTCTTCATAACAACTGGTGCCACTTTTATGATGACTAAAGTCTAAATTTTAACCCCCTACACACACACACACACACACACACACACACACACACACCCCACATTTCATACTTCAAGCAGTTTTGGCATTGTTCTGGAATGGCATGTCAGAGCACCATGGGTGTTTTGTCACTTTCATCAGGGGCTCTCATCCAGGGATCCGAGGGAGGACTTTAGTAGTTTGTGAATTCCCCAAGACTGTATGTAAAACTGTCTAGGTGCTTCTGAGCAGCAAAGCCAAGTCTCACTGGCCCCTGGCCTTGGGCTTGTGTTTTCTTTTCTTTTTTTTTTTTGAGATGGAGTCTTGCTCTGTCACCCAAGCTGGAGTGCAGTGGCGCGATCTCGGTTCACTGCAAGCTCCGCCTCCCGGGTTCATGCCATTCTCCTGCCTCAGCCTCCCAAGTAGCTGGGACTACAGGTGCCTGCCACCACACCCAGCTAATTTTTTGTATTTTTAGTAGAGACGGGGTCTCACCGTGTTAGCCAGGATGGTCTCGATCTCCTGACCTCGTGATCCACCCGCCACGGCCTCCCAAAGTGCTGGGATTGCAGGCTTGAGCCACTGTGCCCAGCCTGGGCTTGTGTTTTCTTGAAGAGCTCCAAGGGTTTCTAAGAGTTTCCAGGGCTGAGAACCTCTATCCTAGAGCACACAGAAGGAATCAGCTGTGGATCCTGCCCTTGTGGTGTTTCCAGTTGAGAAAGACCATATAATAAATTTAACAACTATGTAAAGGAAGACCAGGAGGGCAACAGGTGATTTCAAGGTGGGACAGGGTGAGGAGGACATGGTAAGGAAAGCTTTATTGTAGACAAGTGGATTGTGGATGGAGTTGTTCCATCTGGTTCTAGCACAGGGTGAGTGGAGGAAACAGTGGGGATAAAACCTCAAGGAGGCCAGGCGCGCTGCTCACACCTGTAATCTCAGCACTTGGGTAGGCTGCGGCAGGTGGATCACTTGAGGTCAGGAGTTCAAGACCAGCCTGGCCAATATGGTGAAACCCTGTCACTACCAAAAAATATAAAAAATTAGCTGGGTGTGGTGGCATGCACCTGTAATCCCAGCTACTAGGAAGGCTGAGACAGGAGAATAACTTGAACCCAGGAGGAGGAGGTTGCAGTGAGCTGAGATCGTGCCACTGCATTGCAGCCTGGGCAACAGACTGAGACTCTGTCTCAAAAAACAAACAAACAAACAAACAAACAACCTAAAGGAGAAGGCAGGTGAGGGACCTTCCTGACAATGGAGTTTATTTTGAGTTTCTCGACAGTGGTGCTATTGACATTTTGGACCTGATAATTCGTTGTTGTGGGGGCTGTGCTGTGTACCGCAGGATGTTTAGCAGCATCCGTGGTCTCTATTCATTAGATGCCAATAGCAACCACCCCCTGCCCCTCAGTTGTGACAACCAGAAATGTCTCCAGCTCTCCAGGCATGGCCAAATGTCACGTAGGGGGCAAAATGGCCCCAGTTGAGAACCACTGACTCTGATAAGAACTACTCATTCCAATTCTCAAGAATGACAAAACCTGGCTTCCAAGCAGCCACTATCACAGTTGCAAGGAGCGGCCCATGCCAGCAAGCAGGTCCAGTAGGTCACTGGCCCACCCAATGAGCACTACCAGGGCAACTCAGGAATGCCAGCCTTGCCACACAATCAGAACATGATCGCTAGCAAAGCACGGAGTTAGACCAGGGAGTCCATTCTACCCGTTTTATTCACTAGAAGCTGGATGCTCCCAGAGTGTGGCTGACTGGTCAGGGCCCTGTGGTCATTTGTGGCTTCACAAGGAGCAGAGCCCTGCATTCCCAGGCTGCCCCGCCAGGGTTCTTTCACTGCACACAACAGCTCAGGAGTCAAAGAATCAATATTTTGGGAAAAATAAACAAATAATTTACATCTGCCTTCACCCCTGGCCACCAACCCAACACACATAAAACTCAGAGTCCACAGATACACTGCTTTTGGAAGCAGGTTCTAATATTAACTTCTTTGGTTTGCAAGGAGAGAAAAACAGCCCTGAAAGTGCCACTCCCTGAGGAATAACGCAGCAGCATCTCAAATCAGTAACCAGCCATTAGGCCCTCCCAGCCTTCTCTGGGATCTGGCAAGAAAGTCCTGAGGTTTCACTTCATACTCCAGCTAGGGCTTGCCCCACAAAATGTGAAAAGGTCAAGGACTTGTGCGTTTAAGCTGGGGAGGGCTTTCCTTTAGATGTCTGGTTCTTAGCTGTACCCTTTTGTTACTGAGAGAAGGCACCTGGGCTGGTTCGCAGAGGGCTGCCTGTGTCTCCTGGGACAAGCCCACAGCTATAAATGAGATTTCTCCTTAGGGAAATATCTGCTCATTTCCCCAGGGGGAATTAGTTTTAAGTAAACATCTCTAAAGAACACACACACACACACACTCTGAAAACTAAAGAAGAAAATAGGGAGGTAGGACCGGGCGCGATGGCTCACTTCTGTAATCCCAGAACTTTGGGAGGTTGAGTCGGGTGGATCACCTGAGGTCAGGAGTTCGAGACCAGCCTGGCCAACATGGTGAAACCCCATCTCTACTAAAAATACAAAAAACAAAAACAAAAACAAAAAAAAATTAGCCGGTTGTGGTGGTGGGCACCTGTAATCCCAGCTACCCGGGAGGCTAAGGCAGGAGAATCACTTGAACCTGGGAGGCAGAGGTTGCAGTGAGCCATGATTGTGCCACTGCACTCCAGTCTGGGCAACAGGAGCGAAACGCCATCTCAAAAAAAAAAAAAAAAAAAAAAATTGGGAGGTAGATGATGTCCCAGCAGAATGAGAAACAAAGAGATGTTGAAATCCCATTTCTAACTTCTCTTTACAAACTTTTCATGTTGCAGTGACTCAAAAGTCTTGTGCAGATGTGTTCTGCCATTGAGATGTGATGTGTAATCCGGACCCTCATTCTTAGATCTTTGCAGAAAGCAGCTAATAGTTCCCATTCTTTTCCTGGGTGTGGGGTTTGAAGGTTGTATTTAAGTTGGAATTTAGGCAGGGTTTTTCCCTTTTCAGCATAGAAACCCCTTCATACACAAATACACACAACAAGATACAGCAACACACAGTCAAACACAAGACACCTGTTATTTACCTAATAAACACAGTCACATTATGTTTACTTATGAAATGAGTATGCAAGCAAAATAAGCCTTCTTAGCCATGGTGCTAGTGAAGGTCATGGATGCTGTCACTGGTTTAGAACAAGTCACTTAACCTATTTAATTAAATCTGATTCCATGCAATTCAAGAATGATTTACTGAACCCAGCAATCAACAATCTACTCAATGGGAGCAGCATGTGCTCCACAGCAGAAGCATGGCTCTTTAGGGAACTGTGAGGTAACCACACTGCCTAGACCGGCTTACGTCCTAGGAAACAGCTGAAATTTATAGCAAAATACCTGCTAGCACCTCAAATGAGAATGTCTTAAGAAAAACAAACCACAATCGATATTTTGTTGTTGATGCTCATAAACTTTTGAATTAAATCTAAGAAATGACCTTGTCTTGGAGTTAAAAAAAGCAAATGGCACTTTCTTTCAACCTAAGTAAGTTGTAATGATCACAGAATGCATACTGATGGCTAAGTGCAATGCATAACTCTAGAATGAGAAACCAAAATTCCTATAAAGGACATTCATTACTGGGGCAAAAGCTGTAATTTGAATGTGCACTGTGGATTAGATAATAGGATCTGCTGTGTGTCAAATTTCCTGATTTTGATAACTGTGCTATGATTATATAAGAAAATGATTTTAGATGAAACACAATGAGGTATTTAGGGGTAAAGGGACAAGATGCCTGCAATTTACATTCAAATGGTTAAAAAAAAGTACGAGCAAAGACAGCACAAATGATAAAGCAACTGGAGCAAAAAGGAAATAACTGGTGAATCTGGATAAAGGCTATAAGGGAATTTTTAAATGCTATTATTGCAACTGCTGTGTAAGTATGAAATCATATCAAAATAAAAACATGGTCAGGCAAGGTGGCTCAAGCCTGTAATCCAAGCACTCTGGGAGGCCGAGATGAAGGGACTGCTTGAGCCCAGGAGTTCAAGACTAGCCTGGGCAACATAGGGAGACCCCTGTCTCTATAAAAAGTTAAAAAAAAAAAATAGCCAGGCCTTGTGGTGCACACGTGTAGTCCCGGCTACTAGGAGGGCAAAGGTGAGAGGATTGCTTGAGCCTGGGAGGTCAAGGCTCAGTGAGCCGTGATTGTACCACCGCCCTCCAGCCTGGGCAACAGACTGACAGACACCCTGTCTCAAAAATACATACATAAAAACATACTAAAGAATCCAGGGACCGAGTTAGCATATTTATCCTTTATGGGACAGAAATGGTTTATGCAGAATTGGTTGAATGAATTAAGTTTTATCATAATAGTGTTTGTTTTAAAAGAATATATACCTTTAACTACATAACTACATGTAAATGCAACTGAAGTTGGTAGTTTTTCTTTTACTAGAGGCTATTTGAGACTGTAGTGAACCAATACAATTTTGCAATGAGAAATGAATTGTCATAATAACCAACACTTCTTTGGCCCCTATAGAAGACAATGCATTCTCCATTGTCCTCTGATCCTTCTAAAGGTTTGCGGGTGCCTGACAAGTCTGTGGCCTTGGCATGTAGTTTCATTATTCACCACTCTCAGTGGTCCAAGGTAAACTCCACTTTGTTCTAGACCCATTTGAAAGATGAGCTCCAGGAATAAAATTTACTTAAGCCCCCTTTTTCTTTTGGGAGGTGAACCTGGAAGTGGGAAGAAGAGATATAGGAGCTCAACTGGAAGGATGAATTTCTGACAGTATAATTTATTATGTATGATTAGCAGATAATTAGGACTTGTGCAAATGGGAGTTGGCAGCTAAGCCTAGTATAGATCCACATCATGGTAAAAGTTACATTTTAACCATCAGTCAAACTTTTAAAAGGACTTCTAGCAATTCAAGCTAGCTGTTTTGTGATTTAAAATGTTTACCTGCCCCACAAAGACCACTGAATGATCACAGGTTATTTTCTAGTTAATTTACAGGTTTGTTAATTTTGCTTATTGGTTCACTGATTCATTGCCTGCTTCTTGCCCACCTAATATTTGTTGATGAATGAATAAATGTTAGATGTATCTGCCGAAGATGGAATGTTTTCCACCATGTTAATTTTACTTTAATTAGAAGTTTTACTGTGGGACTTAGAATTTAAAAAAAAATCAATAGATTTTGAGATCATGTAAGAAGAAATGTTTGTTTTAGATTTCAGGCACTATGGTTTTGTCATTTTTGATGAAAGTGTTTCACATATTTTATTTACATAACTATTTGGAGTGAGAAGATTTAAAAATTTTTTTTTTTATTGAAATGACGGGGTCTCACTTTGTTAGCCAGGGTAGTCATGAATTCCCGGCGTCAAGCAATCCTCTCACCTCAGTCTCCTAAAATGCTGGGATTAAAGATGTGAGCCACCATGCCTGGCAGTGAGAAGGTTTATAGCCTTTCTGAGATCTTACCTAGACTGGAAAACATGAGCACAGTTGTCCTTTTGATGGCTGTATGTTCCTCTTGCTTAAAATATGTTTACAACAATGGTAGAGTAGCTGTGATTGGAACTCAAGTAGCCAGTGTCCTGTGTGACCTGGAGCCTACCAAATCACCTATGAGTGGGTCTATAAAACTGTCTATGACTTCCTCCTTGACTATTATTAACAGTGGAAGAGTTGTAGACTCTTCAAGTTAATCATGTTAAGGCTTGGGAAACAGGAGAAAGTGAAATCTGTTCTTGTGACTTATTTATAATATTCAACCTGCATCTGTCTAGCATCCTTCCTCTAAGAACCTTAGCGTATTTTCCCTTAACTTGAATGGTAAATTCCTGAACTCTGCTGTGAGGCAGTGTGAAGAGATAATCAGGCCTGACACGGTGGCTCATGCCTGTAATCCTAGCACTTTGGCAGGCTGAGGCAGGCGGATTCCCTGAGCTCAGGAGTTCGAGACCAGCCTGGGCAACATGGTGAAACCCCATCTCTACTACAATACAAAAGAAATTAGCCGGGCGTGGCAGCATGTGCCTGTAGTCAGGAGGCTGAGGCAGGAGAATTGCTTGAACCCGGGAGGTGGAGGTTACAGTGAGCCGAGATTACGCCACTGAACTCCAGCCTGGGTGACAGAGAGAGACTCTGTCTCTTAAGAAAAAAAAAAGAGAGAGATATCATCAACCAATAGTGCAGTAACAGTTTTACAGACAGTGATAGGAGAAGACACTATTACTCAGCACTAGAACTGTCAAGTCAAACAGTGTCACCAAACAGTGGTGAGAGTAAGGAAACACTTACTGTTCACTTTACTAAATTTCTTCTGGGGAAGACAATTCTAATTAAAATCTTGGGCCCAAAAATCTGTCCTTTTTGCCTAAGAGAAAGTCAACAAACCACCTTTTAGCTTTCTTACTAAGAGGTGTCTTGGGAAGACTTTGGCATAAATTTCTTTTCTTTCTTTTTAAAAAGAGACAGGGTCCTGCTGTGTTGCCCAGGCTGATCTCAAACTCCTAGCCTCACGTGATCCTCCCATGTCAGCCTCTCGAAGTGTTGGGATTATAGGCATGAGCCACCACAACTGGCCTGGCATAATTATTACTGCAGAAATCTGAGAACACCCTGCTATCAAGGGAGGGTGTGTTTAGCCTTACAGAGACTCCCAGGGCTGGCAGGGGTTTATTTTTAATCTTAGAAACTTTAAACAAAGGTTGACTTTTGACCATGTATGTTTCTCATCTGTCCATAGCCAGAGTTAGCAGGTAACCACACATTGTCATGGAGAACCAGTTTTGTGAGGTCCTTTCAAAGTGCATGTTCAAGCAAACAAAACACTTAAAAGCTGAGTTAAAGGCTCTATGCCATGTGACCAGTACCACACCCACCCTTTCAGTATGCCCTCACTCTTCCATGCCAGGTTCCCACCTGCACAACCACATAACTGCCCTGACAGTTCTTCAAACAGCTCTATTCCCCTCAGCAGTCTTTATTTCTCAACGAAAGCAACTGAATTCACCAAAAGACTTAAGTGGTAGGGTTGTAAAATTATTAAATAGGCCAGGTGCAGTGGCTCACGCCTGTAATCCCAGCATTTTGGGAGGCCGAGGCAGGCGGATCACCTGAGGTCAGGAGTTCGAGAACAGTCTGGCCAACATGGCGAAGTCATGTCTTTACTGAAAATACAAAAATTATCCGGGCGTGATGGCATGAGCCTGAAATGCCAGCTAATCGGGAGGCTGAGGCATGAGAATCACTTGAACCCGGGCGGCAGAGGTTGCAGTGAGCCAAGATCGCACCACTGCACTCCAGCCTGGGCGACAGAGCGAGACTCCATCTCAGTATTAAAAAAAAAAAATTATCAAATAAAAATACAAGATGTCTCTCAGGCAATGTTTGGAATATACTTATTATTCTTCTCCGGCCCCGCAAGTTATTTGTTGTTTATCTGAAATTCAAATTTAACTGGGCACTCTGTATTTATCTGGCAACCCTAATAAGAGGACCTGCTGGTACCACTGCCATCCCTGCAAAAGCCACTCCTTGGGTCTAGAATGGGAAGAGGGATCACTGTTCCTCAGAAGGGTAGAGTGGGCACAGAAAAAGCAAGAGGTTGTAGTGAAAAAGACACTGTATATGTAATTAGTCCAGACTGGAGTTTCTGCCCCCAAACTTAAAAACTGCACGAGCATGGGTGCCTAGCTCGGGCCATCTATAAGCAAGGCAAGCAACATCCTTCACAAGCAACTTTGCTGGCCTCCCACACAGCCTCCTTATGAGCTTCCATCCCTTCTTTCTTCACAGGCAAACCGCTGCGCACCTTCAACATGCAGCTGGTGCCACCATGGCAGCAAGGTCTTCGGACTCCTTTCGGCTCCTAGTACTTCAGACGGGCTCTGCCCTATTGGCACATCTGTCTCCACCAGTAGACTTAGGAGAGTTTCAGAAAGACGAGAGGGGTGAGCAGAGGCAAGAACTGGCTAGGCAGATGGGTTGTGGGAAGGAGAGGGCCTGGAACTGCAGGAGATTCCAAGGCAAGAGTGAGTATGATGTAAAGTTGGTGGGGTCAGCAGCGGCCAACTCTGGCCTGACACTGCACCAGGGAGAAAAAGCAGGCTGTGGCATTAAGAAAACCAAAAGGTAACACCCAATGTCGGTGCTGCTGGGAAGAAATGGACATTCAACTGTAAACCATTCTAAGGGAGAAAACAATTTGGTTCTACTATCAAAAAGCTTCAATTTCTCAGGCCGGGTGTGGCGGCTCATGCCTGTAATCCTGCCACTTCAGGAAGCTGAAGCCGAATCACTTGAGCTCAGGTGTTCAAGACCAGCCTGGGCAACATGGTGAAACCCTGTTCCTACAAAAAATACAAACATTAGCCAAGCCTGATGGTGTGTGCCTGTAATCCCAGCCACTCAAGAGGCTAAGGTGGGAGGATCCCCTGAGCCCAGGAGGTTGAGGCTGCAGTGAGCTGTGATTATGCCACTGCACTCCAGCTTGGATGACAGAACTAGACCCTGTCTCGAAACAAAAAACAAAAAAAAAACACTGAGATTTCTGCATATACCCTTGGGCTCTACCATCCAACTTCAAGGAATTTAACTTTAGGAAATAACTATATTTTTGTGTACAAAGATTTGGTTATAGCAGTGCTTTAAAAAAAAAATCTCAGTAAGAAAAGAGAATTTAAATGACCACAAATAGGAGCCTGATTAAATAACTCTGGTACTGTTATAGAACTGCAATATGTGGCCATTAAATATGATCCTAAAGAATATTTATCACTGTAGAAAAGCAGTCACGATGTGTTAGATAAAGAATGTGTTAGATAAAGAAGCAGATTATGAAACAGTGTAGACAATAGGATTCCTCACCTGTATTGTTCTATTCTCAAATTGCTACAAAGAAATACTTGAGACTGAGTAAGTTATAAAGAAAAGAGGTTTAATTGGCTCACGGTTCTGCAAGCTGTACAGGAAGCATAGTGGCTTCTGCTTCTAGGGAGGCCTCAGAAAGCTTCCAATCATGGTGGAAGGCAAAGGGGGAGTGAGGCATCTCACATGGCAAGAGCAGGAGCAAGGGTGGGAGAGGTGCTTCACACTTCTTAAATAACCAGATCTCATAAGACTCACTATCATGAGAACAGCACCAAGAGGATAGTGCTAAGCCATTCATGAGAAATCCACCCCCAAGATCCAACCACCTGCCCCAGGCCCCACCTCCAACATTGGGGATTACAATTGAACATGAGACTTGATGGGGACATAGACCCAAACCATATCACCATCTCACTTGTTTTGTTTTTGTTTTTGTTTTTAAAGAAAAACTCCACCGATGTAGAAATAAGTTTGCAAGGATGTATGCAAAATGGTATAGTGGTTATCTTTAGGTGAGGGAGATTATAGGAGATTTTAATTTTATACTATTTTCTATATGTTCTACATTTAAAAATAATCATAACTTTAGAAAACATAATATGTAAAAATACACAAAATATAATACATATAATTTAAAATGCTGCTTAATCTAACCAGTTTTCCCTCTCAAAAAATTTAAAGAAATGAAAAAAAATCCTCATCACTGAAAAACCAATACAAGGGCCAACTTACACAGCTCTATGAAAATGCTATATGATTAAGAGTAGGGAAGGGAAGCTCATTGGGAAAATCTATGGGAAAAAATAGGAATGATTCCTTTTTTTCAAGTTTATGCATGAACCTGACCTCAGACATCGGCCATTTAGTTTCTGTTAGCTTCTAACTGAGCACATTTATTTAGTGCCTGGGCTGTGTCAGGCACTTTGCATGAATTATTAGTGTGTTTGGTCCTCAAGGCAACCTTGAGGCTTGGAGAGGTCACCAGCCAGTCACAGTGGGGCTGGAGTTGGGATTTGGACCAGGCCAGATGAGGGGCTGCCCTCAAAACTGCCAGAGTTAGAGGGATCCTGGGGGTAAAAGGGACCCAAAGATACTATCTTTGCTGATTCAAAATTTTAAAGCAGTGCATAGGCCGGCGCATTAGCAAAAGAATATTTTTCTTTTTCTTTTCTTCCCTTTTTTTTTTTTTTTTTTTTTTTTTTGAGACAGGGTCTCACTCTGTCACCCAGGCTGGAGGGTATTGGCAAGATCTCAGCTCACTGCAGCCTGGACCTCCTGGGCTCAAGCGATCCTCCCACCTCAGCCCTCTGAGTAGCTGGGAGTATAGACACGAGCCACCATGCCCAGCTAATTTTTGTATTTATTTATTTATTTTTTTTATTTTTTGAGACGGAGTTTCACTCTTGTTGCCCAGGCTGGAGTGCAATGGTGCGATCTCAGCTCACCACAACCTCCGCCTCCTGGGTTCAAGTGATTCTCCTGCCTCTCAGCCTCCCAAGTAGCTGGGATTACAGGCATGCGCCACCACGCCTGGCTAATTTTTTATTTTTAGTAGAGACAGGGTTACTCCATGTTGGTCAGGCTGGTCTCGAACTCCCAATCTCAGGTGATCTGCCCGCCTCGGCCTCCCAAGTGTTGGGATTACAGGTGTGAGCCACTGTGCCTGGCACAAATTTTGTATTTTTAGTAGAGACGGGGTTTCACCATGGTGGTCAGGCTGGTCTTGAACTCCTGACCTCATGATCTGCCCTCCTCAGCCTCCCAAAATGCTGGGATTACAGGCATGAGCCACCACACCTGACCAGGAATATTTTTCATCCATCTGTATATCACCTGTGGGCAAAAACTGAGAACAGGAAAACCCTTTTATTCCATAGATGCTACACAGTCTAAAAATCATTACATAAAATCTTTACCAAACTGGAAATGAGGAAAACAACAGTTTTGCAATCTAGGGCAAAGCTGATGAAATTCTGTAGAGCATTTCAGTATCCTTCATCAGCCTTAAAAGGATACCCCGAATCTTAAAATAAAGATACATTTGATCAGGAAGACTTTCTTATTTTCCTTTTCAGGATGTCCAGCGTGGAACCACATTCAAATACCCTGTGTATGATCATGTCCTGAAAAACTCGCCAGCAATACACAGTGGCTCCAAATGCTGGCACTGGTACACAGTTTAGCAAATGTGTATCTGCTACGTGCCCCTTTCAAGGAGTGAGGACCTTATGGGTTTGAATAAGAACGGCCATGTCTCACAAATTTTGTCAGAAGCAAAATCTGATGCTTAAGACATTTTACAGTGAAGCCTCACTATATTCATGTATACAGTACTTTTTAATGGGGCTTCAAAAAACAGCTCTACCACAGAACGGGAGAGTCTATCCCAATCTTGGGCTGGTATTTTATAGGCCAGACCTGCTGTAACTTTTGGTAAGCCTCTGTTCTGGTTATACTAAGGCTCAACTTTCACTGATAACTATTTACTCTAGTTCCAGGTCATGGTGACCTGTGAAAAATCTTTGGCCAGTTATGTGTGGAATTACCATTAAGCTTAAGTACTGCCATATAGTATTCTAATGCTTCTGCTTTATACAAAAAGTAAACTACAACGAAAGGTGTATTATCAATTTTGTTCTTTAAAATCTTGAGCCCCGGAGTTAATGTATGTGGACTCTGGTCCTTGCCAGTTCACTCTGTGCTTTTATGGGCCAACCTTGCCCATGTCAGGCAGTAGTGAGGACTTCAGGGACAACTTCCAAAGTAAATAGTTTTGTGTTAGGAGAATTCTGGGGGTTAGGAAGAAATTTTTGAAAGTATTTTTGGCTAATCGGCTTGTGCTTCCTGCTTCCAGGTGATCCCCCATTGCAACCTTCCAACCACCCCAATACCCCCCATATTCCATTCCATATGGTGAAGCAAAAGCCCTCAACAGCACTTCTAATCTGATTTCCAAGCACCCACTAACTAGGCGTCATCTCCGTTCTTTCTAATGGATGAACAAACAGGGTCAGGGAAGTATGTGACTGGACCAAAGTCACACAAAGCCAGGACGAGAACCCAGGTCTTCTGTTTCCTGGCTCACGTTCTTTTCACTGGGACCGCTTACTATATTTTAAAATTTTAGGGTAAGAAAGAACCTTGGGATAATCATTTAGTCCAATCCCTTCTCTTAAAGACCCTCAGGTGCAAAAAAGAAACTGACCTGTATAGAGTCAAACATCTAGTCACAAGGCCATCATCTGAGGGTTCCTGATGGCCAGAAAATAATATTCTCTTGGCAAAATGAAGATGAAAAGAAAACAAGCTACAAAATCACCAACAGTTAGGGCCTAACAGAGTTCCAAAGTTCATGTATGGCAAGAGTTAAATGAGAACTTCCAGGCTCAAGGAATGCTTCTACAAGAGAATCAGATCAGAGGCTGCATGCTGGCAGCTGGAATTTGGCCTGGAGACGTGGTGGTTCGCTTTGTCTGCAAGTGGTGGTTATACATGTGAAGTCAGCCAATGCTAGAAAAAAAATCGAGATATTTAACATAAAAAAAAAATCCAGGCTGGGCACGGTGGCTCACACTTGTAATCCCAGCACTTTGGGGGGCCGAGATAGGAGGATTGCTTGAGCTCAGGAGTATCAAGACCAGCCTGGGCAACATAGTGAGATGACATCTCTTAAAGGAAAAAAAAAAGATCCAGATTTCTGGCTTTTCTTGAAAAAAATCTAAAGGTCTGATATGCCTGTACCCACATCCCCAACCCCACCAATCAGCCAGAGGTGAGTAAAGGCTGCCTCTTGGGAGGTGGCACCTGTTCTCTGGCTCTCCACCATCTCCACTGCTCCTCCAGGTCTCCCTGACCCTGAGGCCATGAGTGCATCAAATACTTCTCTCCTCTCCTCTCCTCTCATTACATGGCCCTCCTCCCATTTAGAAAGTTTGTCTCCACTGAACTAGATGAGGCCAAGGGATTTTAAACTTTCAACTGTTTTGTCTAACCTTACTTGGTTTTATGTTATTTTTTATTTTTTTAAGGAACACAGACATTGTCACAATTCAACCACAGAGAAGACTTGTCCAGCTGAGGCTTTCAAATTCAATAATTATTTGGAGATATGCTACTAGAAACTTTCAGAGAGGACAAAGAAAAGGTATCATTACAGTGTAAGAAGGCTGGAGTGGATTAGCATTGCTCACAGTTGTAGAGAGAAATACTTGGCTGATATCAAAATACATCGTTGGATGGTAAAGTAGACTATGTTGTTGATATGAATGTGTCAACCTTCACTTCTCCCCCTAAACCCACACACTGAAGGGGTGAGTTTAAGTCTGGGCACAGGATGTCAAAAGTTCTCAGGCATGGAACAAGCCACAGAATGGATTAAAAAATACCCCAAGCGGAAGAAAGCCATACACTATTAGACATTCCATTTTTTTTTTTTTTTTTTTGACACAGAGTCTTGCTCTGTCACCCAGGCTGGAGTGCAGTGGCACAATCTCAGCTCACTGCAACCTCCACCTCCTGGGTTCAAGCGATTCTCCTGCCGCAGCCTCCTGAGTAGCTGGGATTACAGGTGCCTGCCACCACACCTGGCTATTTTTTTTTTTTTTTTTTTTAATGAGACTGAGTTTCACTCTTGTTGCCCAGGCTGGAATGCAATGACGTGATCTTGGCTCACTGCAACCTCTGCCTCCCGGGTTCAAGCAATTCTCCTGCCTCAGTCTCCTGAGTAGCTGATATTACAGGCATGTGCCACCATGCCCAGCTAACTTTTTTGTATTTTTAGTAGAAACGGGGTTTCTCCATGTTGGTCAGGCTGGTCTCAAACTCCTGACCTCAGGTGATCCACCCACCTCAGCCTCCCAAAGTGCTGGGATTACAGACGTGAGCCACTGCGCCTGGCCCTAATTTTTGTATTTTTAGTAGAGACAGGGTTTCACTATGTTGTCCAGGCTGGTCTCGAACTCCTGACCTCAGGTGATCTGCTCACCTCTGCCTCCCAAAGTGCTGGGATTACAGGCATGAGTCACCACACCCAAAGATCTGAGCTAATAATGCATCCGGTTCCCCATATCAAAGGTGCTGGCAACACTCTAGCCTTTAATTAATTACCCTAAACCTAAGTGGGATAGTTATTTGGCAATACATCCATTTTTTTGCCAACTGAAGCAGTCCAGAGCTGTGATGATACCCCACAAAATACTAGGTTTGTAGGTTTCCCCCACCCTCCCATCTTCCTACCCTACATGCCCTACAAAATTCCTGCCAATGAATTTCATAGTGAGTATGTATGTTGTCATTTTGGGATGGTCCCATAAGAGGCCCATCTGGTGAACTCATCCAACCAGACGGTTTTGTTACTGGTGTCAACCTTGAGTTATGATTCAGAATCTTGAGTATACACTCAGATTCGAAATCCCTACGTAGTAAGGTGTAGGACAAAACATCTGTGCCTTTGAGATGCAGGTGCTTGGACTGGTCCTCTTACTAGCTGTGTGATTTGACAAGTCACTTCACATTTAACCACTCTGTAGGCATGAGTTTCCTCATCTGAAAAAAAAAAAAGGCAAACTAGTAAAAGCTGACCCCTGCAAAGTAACTGGCAGATAGAGGGCATCCAATAACATTCCAGATAGCCTCCCTTCTTTTCATAGAATGCTAGAAGCTACAGGTCCTTAGAAGTCAAGCAGATTCATCTCTCATTTGTATAGATGAGGAAATCAAGGCCCTGGGAGGTGGTCTTTCAGGCAAACAGTGGCAGCTCTTGAGATGTGGGCTCTGGTACTTTATTCAACGTTGGTTTTTTTCACATGAGCCAGCCCATGAGAGATTCTGAGAGCAGGTGGGGACAGTAAAAAGGCAGTCCCATAATTTCTAGGAGCCTCAAACTGTAGGCCAAAGGGCTAGGTAAACAGATCTGCCTTGTTTTAAGTTTGATACAGGCCTTACGGCTCTCTGTTGTTTCTCATCCTCTACAACTAACACATCTTGGTTGGTCGCTGGGCCTATGTATACATTCAAGTTTGGTTTATCCAGACTAACTGGCTGAGCTGCCCTGCCAATAGTTTGGATTATTGATCAACCAAAGGTGAGGGACACACACCCCAGCTTTATACAACTCACACACATGCACACACAAAAGCATCCCCAAGATCACATCCTAAGCTTGGTTCTTGGTCTGCAGGGGAATAATTGGCCCTTTTAAATTTCAGCTTGCAAAGTAATAGCTTTACCCCACTGCATTCTTATAGAATAGAGACTCAGAAAACCACTGACATGTACAGAAAGGCTGAGAACCCCTGATTCCCAGAACTACTCTTCAAGGTTGATTTCAGTAGCCTGTTTCACGTTAGGAAAGAACGTATGCTTTCATAGGAACCAGAGTTCTAGATCCTGAAAGTGAAACTTCATGCTCCATATAGCATAACTGTTTCCTTCCCTTTCTCTTGGGAACAACACAATTCTATTATGGTTACATTTTAAAAACAAATTATGGATTACTGACTAATATCAAATGCTCATTTGTGAACTAAAACTCACCTAAAAGCCATTTCTTTTGTTAGCCGCTGCGCGTTTAAGGGAAAGTAAAGGGGTGAGAAAATGGCTCCCCAGAAATCCTATGGGGCATCCCCCACCCCTGCAATATATCTCAAGCATCAAATAGCCACTCTATGTTAACTACCACCAAACCTTTTCCAACCACTAGGTTGTCACCTTTTTCACAACCCTAAGACAACTATGCAAATACTTTATCTAAATTTTGAGAAACTGGGCTGAGTGAATTAGTAAGCACTATATGAGGAGGGGTTAACAGCAATTTATTAAGGTTGCCTGAAACACCCTAGTCCAAACACCGATTCAAACTCTTATTTAAATATGCTATTTTAAACCTGATTTGCAGCAGGGCAGCAGACCAAATTAAAGCACTCATTTTACTGACCTGAGTCCCAAGCCTGAATTCTCTGGTGGATTATTTTTAATTTAAAAATGAGCTCTTGTCCTATAAAATAAGCAGCACCAAGGAGAAATGCAAGACAGCTTAAATGGCCCAAGAGGCAGCGCAAGTTACTTTTACAAAAAAACTGGAAAGTATTAGTGACATTATCTCCACTTCTAATTTCAGAAAATGACTTTACAGTATACTTCTAGGTTATAACGTAGACAAGTATGTCTGTGAAACTGCTCCTGAAGGTTTCCACGTAATAGCTGCAGGTAAACAAATGTTATAATATGACCACACAATGCAATACTATGCAGCCATTTAAAATACAATGAAGTCGACTAGGTTTCAGGCATAGAGAAATATGTGTGATAATATGAATTTAAGAACAGCAAGTTGCAGATGCCATTTTTGGAGAAAAACTTACATCTATGTGTGGGTATTAAAAAACCTCCCTGACATACACTGACATCTATGATTCTATATTTAGCTGCGAGGGTGTATGTATATATAGTTTAAAAAGATACACACTAAACCTAACAATGGTGGGAAAGGAGGGGAGAGATCTTGGTCTTTCATTTTACTTCTTGTCTTGGTGGCTTGCATTTTTCGCAAGGGCATTGAAAACTTTTTACATTAAATAAAAAATGAAGTGATGAGCTTTAAACAACTGTAACAACAGCTCTTGAGTGCCCTTGTTAATTTCTTGATTGACTGTTTTCACCCCACTTAGTACAACAACGCAGCCACAACTCCTCAGTCCTTCCCAGTCTTTGGAAGGCTAGGAGAGAAAAAGGCGTGGCTTGCAGGGTTTTCTTCTAGCTAGAGGAAAACAGGCTGTAGGCGCCCTTTTTTTAGCTACAATCCCGAGAGCTCCCACGTGTCAGGGGTGCGCAGACGGTAGGCGCGGGGTGCAGGACTCCAATTATCAATTCAGCCGAGCCCAGCGCTGGTAAAGGGGGCGTTTAGCTCGCCCGTTTCCTCCCTCCTCAATCCCCACACAGTCAGTTTCTCGGTCCAAGTTTTACTGGTGCGGCCCAGCCCTACCGAGAGTACCCGAATACACGTCTGCAGAGGACGCGGGCATTGGGCCGGGTGAGCTACGATGTTCTAACGATCAGCAAATGCCAATTAATCTGTTAATTGTCTATTAACAATTATTACTCGGTAAATGTCAACCCAGACCTACACCCAAAGTGGGCTTGAGGGAGGGTGGACGAAGTGTAAACATTTTTTCTTTTTTTTTTTTAAATGAGAGATGCCGCCCGCCTCTCCGGGCCTGCGAGTGGGCTGGCGGATACCGGAGTCCCTGAGGTCACCGGCGGAGGTACGTGGGCTGTCCCTGGGCTTACCTTACAGGGAAACAGGACTGCCGAGGCCACCTTCTCCATAGCCAGGTTCCTGATGCTGGGCGTCAGGGCGCCCCTGCACGTCGGGCAGCAGCTCAACTTCTGGCGGCATTGGTTACACACCAGGTGCCCGGCCTGGCACTGCAGAATAGGAGGCAGGACATAGTCAAAGCAGACCGGACACTCGAAGAGCGAGGTCAGCTCGTGGTGCTGCGGGGACACCGGGCCGGCCCCGCCGCCGCCGCCGGGGCCCGAGATCACCGCCGCCGCGGCGGGCACCGCGGACGAGCCGGGGCCCGCAGCCGAGATGGTGGCGGCGGCCGGGGGCGCAGCCGGGGACGGAGTGTGCTGGGGCTGCGGCGGCGGCTGCTTGCTGCAGGGTTTATTAGCGCTGGGGCCGGTGGAGGACGGGCGGCTCATCGCGCTCCGAACCAACCATGGAACTGCGGGCGCCTGCCTGCCGCGGGGCCGCCCGGGTCAAGGCGGTGCGCGCCCCGCGGGCAGCGAGCTCCGAGGCAACGCCACGGCGCCCAGCCCAGGTCCGGGCGGCGGAGACGCTCGGCGCCCGGCAGGCGGAGGGCTGGACCGCGCTGATGCACTCCGCAGCCCCCGGCGTTCCGAGCACGCCTCCGCGTCGGACCCCGCGCGGTGCCCTCCTCCCGGCGGCGTCCCGGGCCCCGAACCCCAGCGGTGCGCAGAGCCCTGGCCCACCCGCTTCTGGAACAGCCGCTGACGCAAGCCCCGGGGGCGCGCGCGGACGTGACGCCTGGACACGTGTGCGGCCGCCCAGGCGCGCGGGGACTGGCAGAGCCACCCTGCGCCGGGGCGCTGGCTCCGCCCGGCTCCAGCTGGCAGCGCAGGGGGCCGCCTAGCGCCGGCGCTTCCTGCTCGGGCTGCGGGCCGGGCCTGCGCCAGTGAGCATGCCTGGCTCGCTGCAGCCCCGCGGGGTTGTCTTTTCTGGGTTGAGGAGGGGGGCTACTCTCGGGGAAGCGTCGCCGAAGTCCTCTGGCCACACCCCGGGGTGCCTGGCTGACGCGTCCCTCAGCTCAAACGAGAAAGGCAACTTCAGGCGGGGCGGGAGCGTGGACGGTGGGTGGGACCGGACGCGGGCGGGCAGGGGCGGGGCGCGGGCGCCCCTGCACTAGTCGGAAAAAACCGAGAGGTTTCTCTTCTCAGGGCTGAGTCACCAGCACGCAGGAGAAGAGGGCGAAGCGGCCACCCGCGTTCTGTGTTCGGAGTCAGGACGAGAAGCATTGGGTGGGAGCAGGGCGAGGGGCTCGAGTTGGGTCTGCAGCGGGCACAGGACCTAGTTTTGTACAGTTAACGGTGGGGTTGAGTAAAGAGGGGGGCGGTGGGGAGGATGTAAGCTCCCTTTATTCCTTTCCCAGCGGACCAGGAGGAAGCTTCGTTGAATTGAGCGCCCCTGGCTCGTATAGCAGGCCGAGGAGGGAGCTCATGGGCAGCGTTGGCTAAGAGTTCGAGATCATCTAGAAATGTCAGAAACGTAGGTTGGGTCGTGAGGTCTCTGAAGACAGTGGGTGAAACTCCAGTGTAAGGCGCTGCGTCCGCTTGGTAGAGAGCCGGCCGAAGTCCGAGTCTTTGTTGCGAGGCGTAGGGCCACCCTGCGCGCCCAGCAGAAGCGCTAGAGGGCACGGTTGCCCGGGGTGAACCGCATGTCCAAATGTAACTGTGTGCTCCGAGTTAAAATTGTTTTTCTGCAGACTTTGCTTGAGCCAACGATTCCGGAATTGGGGAAAGGGTTACCTTAGGTAGAAATCGGAAATTTATAGGAGACACAGAGGTAAGGACCAACTGTTAGGACTGAGTGAAAAATGGTTCCCTCCAACTGTAAAAGTGGAAAAAAAAATACCTATCTTATAGGTGGGGCAGTGAGGAGTAAATGAGTTTAATATATTTCAAGCTTTTAAAACAACCTCGCCCATCATAAGCACTGTTTAAACATTAGCTCTTATCTTTTAAAAATATTAGTGGATGTTTAAAATGAATGAATACAATTTGTCCAAGAAATATGGCGTAAGAGCCCAGAAGAAATAAAGTTTAATCTTACAAAGGGCTTCTGTAGAAAGAATACATGCATGGAATTGATGGAATTTGGTATAAATCTTGAAAAAACTTAATAGGTGTATTCAATCGTTCAGTAAATGTTTCCTGAGCATTTATCATGTGTCAGCTACTGTTGGAGCTCTGAGAATGGTTCTCATGCAGTTTACATTCTAGTAAGAGAGCAAGGCCCAATAACCAAGCACTCGTGGGAGAAGAAGGATTTCAGATACCACGGGGTGGGCAGGCATTATAGCAGGAGCTAAAAAGCACAGAGTGAAAGCATGTATTCTGGGATTGCATTGGGACTTGGAGGGGATATAACGGGAGTGTAGGGGTGTGGCGTTAGCACAAGGGGAGCCTCAACTGGCTTAATAAGACATTTACCTCAATGATAGGGGTAAACCACTGTAGGGTTTTGTTTGTTTTTTTAAGAACACACAACAACACTAGGTTTTGTAGGTTTTTGGAAGCTCTTTAGTAACATGGCTGAACCTGAGTTTTTGGATAGGTAGGGAGCATAAAATAATAACTAATGTTAATTGAGTGCCCACTGTATGTTGGGCATGGATAGTTTTAAGTATTTATCATAACTCTCTGTGATGAATACTACTGTTATCTCCATTTTACAGTTGAGGAAACCGAGACATAGGTTACTTTGCTCAAGATCACACAGCTGAGAATGTGGGAACACGCTAGGAGCCCTTCTTAACTACTAGTCTGTATGCCTCTAAATTATGCCTGATTCCTACTTACAGTCTTGTTAAACAGTTAAGATTAGCACACTCAACAGAGTCAGAAAACAGTTGTTCAGCCTATAATAAAGCACTAAATTTTGTGGGCAAACTTTACATAAACTCTTTCCTTAGCTGGTCTAGAGAGAAAAATTAAATCATGTTCTATTTATTTCATTTTCACCTTTTTATGACACAAAATATAAGTGATAACACAAAAATCACCTACTGTTTTACTGTTATTGGAGGAAATGTAATATTTTTCATTCTTAATTTAAAATCAAAGCATTTGGAATTTATTAATGGAACACATTTTCTTTCCTTCCACTTCTAGCCTCTCTGTGTGATGACCTCCATCCCCACGGCTTCTTACTAGCTCTCATTAGGAGACTGGAGTCCTCACCCTTGCCCCATTGACACGAGCTTTAAGTGTTCCAGCTAGATAGGCCCTGGTCATTCAGAAAACAATTTGGTTTGGGAGGTGTTGAAAGAAATAACAGGAAAAGCAATTCTCTGCAGAGAGAATTTGGTTTATTTTTCTAAAAATACAGCGAACCCATCCACTCTTACCCTGGCAGATGCCTCCCCTGGTATAGAGAAATTTCTTCTTTCTTCCTCCTTCACATCATTGCACACCTGATTAAGTCAACCAGGGTAATTAAAATACAAAAGCAAAACAAAAAAACTCTGGGCAGTTGCTGAAGGTAGGCAGGGGGAGAGTGGATAGGTCTGCTATGTGAGCCACATCAATGACCAGGCTGGTCTTCCCAGTCGCCTTTCTTCTTCCTCCTTCCTTGGTGACTTTTGAAACAAAGAAAGGTGACCTTTGCATACCGGGCACTATGAGCTAGAGCCTCCTCTTCCAGCGGGCAGTCCGCTCAGAGGTCGAATTTAGCGTGTACTCAAAATGTGTGCTGAGTTGAGTTGTTGGGAGGTTTATTTACCCTTTGGAGTGTCGCTGCTGCTTCTTGGCCTGTTTAGTGAGTGACTTTGTGGTCTGGGGGAGCAGGGTCCAGCCTTTTGTTATCTCCTGATTCATGACTCATTTACCACATCTACTGTATGAGAGGTTGGTCTCATTCGCCCACCTACTGAGTCCCAGATTGCATATGTCAAGCAGGACACCTCTCCTTAACCCATCTGCTCTATGCTAAGCTTGAAAGACTAGGGGTGTACTGAGTAGCCTTTTCTTTCCTTAAAATAGCAGGGTGAGTCTTAAAAAAAACACCTCACAGGTGAGTTCCTAATTTCACTAAACTGCTGAGCACAGTGAGAAATGCTCCAGCTAGGCAGACAAGCTCTTGCCCTTTTTTCTGTAACTTACAAATTGTGTGGTTTTGCAAATCAGGCAACTTCTGCCATCAGGCAAATGTGCATTTGCAGAGCAAATTGTGGTTGGCTTTTTAGAGATGACTCAGGTATGCATTGGAGCTTGCTGCATGGAAATTCCTCATCAGGGGAAGCTTGTGGGAAATCTGGAGGTGATGTAAGGCCCCCTGGTAATTATAGTAGGAACTTTTAACTTCATCTGTTTCTGGGGTAATTTCCAAATGCTCAAACTTCTTTTGAATAATTGTAGGTCTCTTAATTCAAATCTTTTTTTTTTTTTTTGAGACAGGGTCTCACTCTGTCACCTAGGCTTAATGCAGTGGCTGGATCATGGCTGACTGCAGCCTCAACCTCCCAGGCTCAAAGGATCCTCCTGAGTAGCTGGGACTACAGGCACGTGCCATCACGCCCTGCTAGTTTTTTAGTTTTTGTAGAGAAGAGGTCTCACTGTGTTGCCGAGGCTGGCCTCAAACTCCTATACTCAAGTACTCCTAATTCAAGCATTTTTTTGAACAACCATCATGGACTTAGCACTGTGTACTAAGAGCAGTTCTATGTATTTGCATTATTTTTGTATCCACACTTAGCTAATTAGTGCTCACCCTGTACCAGGGAGTGTTCCAAGTACTTTACATATTTTAATTCTCTTAATTCTCACAATGTCTTTTATAGGGTAGATCTTTATAGATGACAAAACAGGTACAGAGAGGCCAAGAGAGTTGTAGGAAGTCATCATTAAGAAGGCTCCCAGGGATCCCTCCTCCTGGTGTCGCCCAATATGTAACACCTTTCCTGTGAATGAGGGCTGATCCTGCTTTAAGTGAACAGAATATGGTCAAAGTGATAGAATGTCACTTCTGAGATTAGGTTAAAAAAGACTATGAATTCTGTCTTACTGTCCCTCCGTTCCTCTCGCTTGCTGTCTTAGCTCGAGCTGCTATAATAAAATATCATAAACTGGGTGGTTTAAATAACAAACATTTATTTCTCACAGTTGTGGAGGACGGGGAGACCAAGGTCAAGGTGCCACAGGTGTCTAGCGATGGCTTGCTTCCTGGTTTGTAGATGGCAGCCTTCTCACTGTGTCCTTACGTAGCAGAGATAGGAAGGAAGCTCCCTCAGGACTCTTCTAAGGATACCAACCCTCTCCATGAGGGCTACACCCTTAGCACCTCCTGTAATCCTGATTACCTCCCAAAGACCCTGCCTGCTAATATCATCACATTAGGGAGTACAGTTTCAATATGTGAATTTTGAGGGGACACAAGTATTCAGTCTGTAACACTCTCTGAGCCCTCTCTGTGGATGAAGCCAGCTACCATGTTGGGAGTAGCTCTGCTAAACGGTCCACGTGGCAAGGAACTGATGTCTCTGGCCAACAGCTAGTGAGAACCCTGGGCTTGCCAACAGTGAGTGAGTTTGGAAGTGGATTCTCTCAGCCGAGCCTTGTGATGATTGCAACCCTGGCTCACAAGTGATTGTGCCTGTGACACCTTGAACTAGAGGACTCAGCTGAGTTGAACACAGAAACTGTGAGATAATGAATATGTGCTGTTTTTATTTTTATCTTTATTTTTAGAGATAGGGTCTTACTATGTTGCCCAGGCTGGAGTGCGGTGGCCATTCTCAGACACAATCATAGTGCATTACAGCCTGGAACTCCCAGGCTGAAGCAATCCTCCTGCCTCCGCCTCCCAAGTTGCTGGGACTACAGGTGTGTGCCACTGCACCTGGCTTCAGTGTTTGTTGTTTTAAGCCATGAAGTTTTGGGATCATTTGTTACTCAGCAATATATAACTAATACACCTGTCCCAGGTCACAAGGCTTATATGTAAAATGATTTTTTATTATAATGCTATTTAAATATAAGGAAACAAATATAGGAATATTATTTTTGTTATTTACAGCTATAGAAACAAAAAAATTGAACACCAACAAAACCAGAATTAATGTTCTTATTTCTTATTTTTATGTAAATCCATATTTTTCAGATGATAATTTGATGTGATAGAAGATGTGCGAAAATGAAATCATCATTTAGTTTGGAAACAACCTCAGTGTCCATCAATAAGAAAAAGAACTATGGAAAGCCATCCTATAAAACCCTCTGCAATTTAGAAAAGTTCTCCAAGACAATTTGTTACATGAAAAAAGCACACTGTGGCTGGGCACAGTGGCTCACGCCTGAAATCCCAGCACTTAGCGAGGCTGAAGCGGGCAGATCGCTTGAGGTCAGGAGTTTGAGACCAACCTGGCCAACATGGTGAAACCCTGTCTCTACTAAAATTACAAAAATCAGCTGGGCCTAGTGGTGGGCACTTGTAGTCCCAGCTACTTGGGAGGCTGAGGCAAGGAGAATCACTTGAAGCCAGGAGGCAGAAGTTGCAGTGAGCCTAGATTGTGCCACAGCACTCCAGCCTGGGCGACAGAGCGAGAGTCCGTCTCAAAAAACAAACAAACAAACAAAAAACACTGAAGCCAAAAAACCCAAAATGATTCCATTTCTGTAGAAAATACCGTGCAAGGCAAAATGACTATATGTTTACAAGGGCATAGAAAGGTCTGGAAGAAGACAGTGAACTGACGGCAGCAGCTGCCTCCAGGGAGGGGGAATGTGAATGGATATGCAGTATGGAAAACATACATACTTCCTATATTTCTGGAGTTTATTTCTTTTTTCTTCTCTTGTTCTTTTTTGTTTGTACAATGAGAATTTATTCATGTGTTTCGTGTGTTATTTTTTAAAAAGTGTGTTGTCCTTGCCTTTCTGGGGGTTATTTTAGTGAAGGATTTATTTAGCTGCAGGGTTGGTGCCAAAATGGGTGATAAAGACTAGCCAGCCAGAAAAGGTGGGCATTATACTGCTGAGAAAGGAACTAGGAGCTTCAGTCAGGTCTTTGGGTCTGAGAGGTGACTTGCTGAAATTAATATTAAATTTAAATTAATATTAAATATTAAATTTAAGAAGAGTAACCCAAAGGCAGTATGTGAGTATAACTTGGAGATCCCAGAAAGAAGGAAATAGGTTGGAGGATCTAGTGCTCCAAGAGGGGCTTCCTGGGTCGAGTAGAGATGAAGGTTATGAGCCAGGTTGTGGCCACTGGTCAGCTGGCTAAGTGCAAAGATTTATTCAGTCAATAGTGTCATATTTGGAGGCCATGGATAATATCAAGCCCAGGCTTGATTTTTGGAGAGATAGTAGCCTGGTAGGGGAATAACATTAATTATAAAACCCTTACACAATGCTCACTGGATATCAGACACTCTTTTTTTTTTCTTTTCTTTTTTTTTTTTTTTTTGAGATGGAGTTTCACTCTTGTTGCCCAGGCTGGAGTGCAATGGTGTGATCTAGGCTCACCACAACCTCCACCTCTCGAGTTCAAGCGATTCTCCTGCCTCAGCCTCCTGAGTAGCTGGGATTACAGGCATGAGCCACCATGCGCTGCTAATTTTTTATCTTTAGTAGAGACAGGGTTTCTCCATGTTGATCAGGCTGGTCTCAAACTCCTAACATCAGGTGATCCACCCACCTCGGCCTCCCAAAGTGCTGGGATTACAGGCGTGAGCCACTGTGCCCGGCCCCCAGACACTCTTTTAAGCACATGGCATTTAATCCTTATTAGAACGCTCTAAGGCATGTAGTCTATTAATCCCCTTTAAGCGATGAACAAACCTCCAAGAGGAGGTTTAATCCCTTGTCCTAGGTCACATGCTGATAAGTGACAGAAACATGATTTGGATCCAGGCTGTTTTAACTCCAGTGACTGTGCTCTTAACCATTTGGCTGTCCTGCCAGACATCATATGGAAAATCTAATACAGTGTGATACGTGTATTATGGAGATGGGAAAGGAGAGGAGGGTGAAGTTCAGCACTTCCTGGGCAAGTGTGAGGAAGACATCAAGAAAAAGCAAGAGTAGGAATGTGACAACCAAAGAAGAGGGTAAAGACTGCAGTCCAGAGAGAGGGCAGCGTATACCCGAAGGTACAGAGCTCCTGAAACTTTCCTACCTTGGGGAGTCTTCTGTCCTCTCTCCTCTAGGAACCATCCTTGGATCCCTGCTGGCCTCCTTTCTGAACCCGCTGTTGAGGCAGAGTTGCATATACAGCATTTCTCCTAGGACTGTTTGTTCTTAGATCTCTATCCCTTAGTGAGAAGTGAAGAAAGGCAGAGGGGAGAGAGTCCGGAATAATCTCCTTATTCTCCATCCCCACATCCCTAAGTCTGATCTGAGATTCCCCCAAAGAGCCTCGTCCACGCCAGCCTAACCCAACAGACAGTGTGGATCACTGAGAACCAGCAAAATTGACATAACCTTGAGGCCTCAAATAATACATTCCTTTCCTTTGACATCAGTTTTGTCAGATTAAAAATCCAATAACAGACTGTCATTGAGTCCAAGAAAAGAGATGGTAATAAAAGGGAGAATCTGACTCCATAATGGAAAGCAGGTGATTTTTAAAATTGGTTCCTCCAGCTGTCTATGCTACAGAAATTCCAAGAAAAAGTAGAAAAGCTGCTCCTTCCCCTTCTGTCTTCTCCGACTTGGTTGTGGCCCCGTTACTGCCCTGTTTGTCTTGCTTCGACTCCAGGAGGTGTCCTTATGTCTCCCTCCCTCCAGCTTAGCCAAATTCTGTGCGTCCTGCACACCTAGCTCACCACGCCATCCCTGCTGCCCCTGCCTTCACCAAGGGCCTACACAAGTCACCTAGGGACTCTGCCTTCCACCACCTCACCAGCCTCTCCCTCCTCCAGCCCCTGTTTCACTGTCTCCACAGCATAAACATAAATAATTCTGGCAAATGAATAGCTGATCTACCGTGTAATGAGTGCTATAGCATTGAGTAATAAGATGCAAACCATTTACCTTATTGGTGCATTCATCAAGTGTGAAAATATTTACTGTATGCCCAGCCTTGGGCTAGGTCCATTGTAAATTCCTTCGAATAAGATGAAACTTATTTCAGACTACTTCAGGGGGTCTCATGGAAAACAGGGGTGGGCAGTGTCCACAGGCCTGAGACCCCTAGAATCAGGAGCTGCAAACCTCCAGTAAACAGGCAACTTGTGCTCTCCAATTATTTGTCATAGAGTTTATTTAACCCTTCCCCTTTCTGCAAACTGGCTCTTACTGCTTTCCAGAGCCCAAGGTCAAAGGTAGCCAGCCTGCAGATTTTGAGTTTATCATCCTGTGTTCCAGCTGCCTCTCCTGAGGGATGAGGCACTGCCAGATCTCAGATTTAAGCCAAATCTCAGAAGAGAGAATCTGACTGGACAGCTTAGGTCACGTGACCATTCCCAGTCCATTAAGCTAAGGCCACACAGACAGGCTCACTGGGTGGAAACATGGCTGCCACTCGTCTGCCCTTGTGGGTGGGTGGGAGGAATTCTGACAAGAGCAGTTTGGGGCTGGCCAGATACTCCAAAAGTTGTCTGTTATGTGTGGTTGGTTGGTTGGTTTTTTAAGACTGGGTTTCACTCAGTTGCCCAGTCTGGAGTGCAGTGGCATGATATGTAGCTTACTGTAACTCGAACTCCTGGACTTAAGTGATTCTCCGGCCTCTGTCTCTTGAGTAGCTGGTACCATGGGCACCCGCCACCACACTAGGCTGATTTTTTATTTTTTGTAGAGACAAGGTCTGGCTATGTTGCCCACATTAGTGTCGAACTCCTGGGCTCAAGTGATCCTCCTGCTTCAGCCTCCCAAAATGCTGGGATTACAGGCATAAGCCATGGCACCCAGCCTATTATGTGTTTTAAGGAAAGACATGACCTCTGGCTTCTCAGCACTTAAGCCCCGTTGGGGAAATTAAATGGTAAGTTGAGGTTATTTCAAATGAATGCAAAATCTTTGATTTTGTGGGAAGAATTTAGAGTTTATGATGGACGTATTGATCTTGACTTTAAGGGATCATACGCCTTTGAGTTTTAGAGAGAATGCTTATTTCAAATAAGAATAGAAGGATCATAGGTTCCTAAAAGGAATGCATGAGGGCAGGAGACGGTCTTCAAAGTGGATTCCATTTTGAGTGCTGAGAGGTGAGATTAGGTGGAAAAGTGGGAACATTCATCAAAAGGATTTGAACAACAAAGACCTAAGTTTAGACTTGGCCTTAACAACAGGGAATTCGGATGGCTAAAATGGAAAATGGGTGTGTTCAGGAGTCACCCAGACTTGGTGATTGTTATTTTTGAGACAGGATCTTGTTGTGTTTTTCAGGCTGGAGTGCAGTGGCCCAATCAGGGCTCACTGTTGGCTTGATATACTGAGCTCAAGCGATCCTCCTGCTTCAGCCTCCCAAGTAGCTCGGACTATAGCCATGCACCACCCCACCTGGCTAATTTACAGACTTGGGTTTGAGTCTGTCCCTTTCTGTAGTTTATGGGAGTGGGCAATTTTCTTAACTGCAGAATCTCAGTATCTTCATCTGGAAAATGGCAATAATCATACTGGTGGGTAATGGGCATCTGTGGTTTTGTCTTTCCAGCATCCATATCCATTCCGACTCTTTAAAAAAAAAAAAAACAGAAAAACAGAGTCTTGCTCTTTTGCCTAAGCTGGAGTACCGTGGCATGATCTTGGCTCACCATAACCACTGCCTTCCAGGTTCAAGTGATTCTCATGCCTCAGCCACCCAAGTAACTGGGACTACAGGCACATGCCACCACACCCGGCTAATTTTTGTAGTTTTGGTAGAGATGGGGCTTCACCATGTTGGCCAGGCTGGTCTTAACTCCTGGCCTCAAGTGATCTGCCCACCTTGGCCTCCCAAAGTGCTGGGATTACAGGCATGAGCCACTGTGTCTGGCCCATTCCCACTCTTGATAAACATTCCTTGGTGTCACTTTGGGGAACTACATTGTGTGGTTTGGGTAGGATTGACTTCACCTCACAGCTAGAAAACGGACACATGACACTGGCCAGGGCCACCCATGCAGCACCTTCCTCAGGACCCTTTCCCTTCATCCATTGGAAATTGTTTTATTTCATATACAGATTTATGATATATATGGTGTGAATGGTGCCTCTTTACATGTGGTGCTGTGTATATTACACAACCTGTCCAGCCATACAAAGCTGCTCTGACCCTGGCTAACTAGAGCAGTCTACCCTTGGCCACAGATCAGGGAAAGGGAAGTGACCCAGGCCAATGGGAGATAATTGCTTGCTAGAAAAGTGGTGATGGATTTCCTAAGCTCAGTGTTCTTTGGTTGCAATGTAAATGTAACCGTGTGCAAAGTATCCATCTGAGCCATGCTGTGTCACCGTGGAAGGACATGGTGTCTCGGGATCCTTGGGCTGTCACCTTGCCAGCTGGAAACCTTGTGTGCGACAGTGCCTCCTGCCTGAGTATTGCTAATGCCCTCTGGGCTCATTCTACCCACTCGGCCTGGCAGGCTGTGCTCAGCTTGCGCTACCAGCCCAGATCCCATACCTGCCAAGGGCAAGCTGGACACGGAGCAGTGATGGGTGTGTGGGTGAGCGAGTGTGGGTTCAAGCTACTACGCACAGCTAGGCATGCCGGCTGCTGTGATGGGGCGGGCACTTCCAGGCACCAGCACAGGTGCCAGCTCTGTGGAAGGCTGCTGCTGGACCAGATGTACCACATACGGCTTCGGCTGCGGGCACCTGCATCTGGATGAGGGGAACTTGGTGCCCAATAGCTTGGAGATGCCAGGAACCACAGAGCCCCCAAAGAAGGTGTCAAAGCCCTGGCGTGGGGACGCCCTAAATCTGGATTCCCCGAAGGGCTACTGGTCTTTTCTCCTTCTCGTCGCCCACAATGTGGCAAGCAGGGGGTCATGTTTCAGCCCTGTTTTTGTTACGGCACTTTGAGTCCTGCCATTTGGCAGGTCCTGAGTTCTTGTCCCATGTCTGGGGAGAATGAGGTACCAGACAACTGGAGGGTGAGGAAGGTGGAGAGGAGCTTCACTGAGCAACAGAACAGCTCTCAGGAGACCTGCAGTGAGTAGCTCCTTTCCGCAGCTGGTAGTCCTGATGTCTGTGTGAGTCTGGCTTTTTATGGGCTCAAATGGGAGGAAGTGCATGCTGATTGGTCCATGGGCTGCCATGGGCAGCCCGGAAAAACCACAAGTTCTCACTCTGGGCCTTGGACTCCACCTGGAAGTGGCAGCCCAGCCCCCAGGCTTCAGGCTGTCCTGGCTTGAAGGTGGGGTTTCACCAGGGATCCGTCCCTTTCCTGCCCAGTAACCTGCCTCCTGCCATCAACATGCCATCCATGGTGCCCAGGATGTTTGTGCCAAGGAGTATCTGCAGGCCCACGTGGAGCCGCCCTCAGCACCCCCCAGTCTCCCTCCCTGAGCTCGTGCATGTCCAAAGTTTCAGAGGGAGCCAAGGTGATGGGAGGGGGAGGGGGATGCTATCATATCAGTGCTGCCTCCAGTGCATGCACACCCAGGTGGGTCACAACAGCGCCTGGGCTCAGCTTCAACTTTGCTCCAAAATTGGAGCAGGCACCAGGAGGGGGGAGAGGCCAGGGAGAAGAAGCAGGCCCTTCCAACCCAGCAGGGGCAGAGGGGCTTCCTGGGCCCCCGAGAGCGCAGGGATGCATGGGTTCACAGCCGCGGCTGGGCGGCTGCAGCTGTGCCCAGGAATGTGGGGTTCCTGCCCTACCAACTCAGTAGGGGATGGGGCTTCCACCTGTTCCCAGCTCCTGCTGGCCTCACAGAGCACACAACCTTGGCTGTGCCTCCCCTGCCACAGGCAGCGTCTTCCCAGGGGCCACTCCGGACAGTCCAATGCTGCCATCAGTGGGTTCAAGGGAATCCATGTAAATATGTTAATGCTCCTCATGTTACACCATCATTGTTGTACCATGAGTAACACAGTTCCTTGTATCTGATTCAGAAGTTTTGTATCCTCTGGCAGCATCTGTGAAATAGTTGCAGGCTAACTTATTAGCTCATAAGACCAGACCTGAAAATAATCCTCCATTTTGGTTTCTCAGGCCAGAAAGAATTGGGGTCTGTCACTTACACACTTACATATGTTGTAACAAATTATCTTCCTCATTAATTGAAATAATACACGTGAAAACTTCTTATCCTTACTAG
The DNA here is from genome assembly GCF_000001405.40 of Homo sapiens. Taxonomy (NCBI): domain Eukaryota; kingdom Metazoa; phylum Chordata; class Mammalia; order Primates; family Hominidae; genus Homo; species Homo sapiens. The sequence goes on from NC_000003.12 coordinate 150,775,629, forward strand.
GTTCCCAAGTATGTGCGGTCCTATAATAGATTGTTTTATTAAACAGCTTTATTCAGGTTTAATTGACATACAACAAGTGACACATAAAGTGTACAGTTTGATAGGTTTTGAGATATGTATACACCAGTGAAACTTTACCACAATTAAGAGAATAAACAAAAAGATGGATTGTTTTTACTCTTATCACACTTATTTTTAAGCTTTTTATTATGGAAATATTCAAACAAACACAATAGTAAGGAAAAAAGTATCATATACTCCTGGGTACCCATCGCCTATCAATTATCAACATTCTCCCATTTTTGTTTTACCTTTCTCCTTCCTACTTTTTTTTTTTTGCTGAAATATTTTAAAGCAAATTTCAGATATGATTTTCTTACATATAAATATTTCAGCATATATCTTCAACGGATAAGGACTTTTTGCTTTAATATAACTACAACAACATTATCACATCCAACAATACAACAATAATTTTTAAAATCATCTAAAAGACAGTGTCTGGTATCCAGTTTCTCCAACTGACTATAAAAATATCTTTTTACAGTTTGTGTTTTCAAATCAAGATTCAAACAGGGTCCACAGATTGCATTTGGTTAATATGACCCTAAAGAACCTTTTAATCTATAAAGGCTTCTTTTTCCTTTTATTCTCCCTTATTTATTTGTTGAAGAAACTAAGTCCTTCATGTAGACCTTCACAGATTTTAGATTAAGCTAATTGTATCCTTTGATGGACATAGGTGTTCCTCTATCTCTCATATTTCTACGAAACTGGGAGTTAGATGTGGATCCGTACTGTTTATATGGTAGCCACTAGTCACATGTGGCTACTGAGCATTTTAAATGTGAGTTAGTATGAATCGAAATGTGCTGTGAGTGTAAAATGCACAACCAGAATTCAGACTTATTACGAAAAGAATAGAATGTTGTAATAATATTTTTATATTGATTATATATTAAAATATTTTGGATGTATTACCTGAAATATATTTTAAAATTAATTTCACCTCTTCATTTTTACTTTTTTTTTTTTTTGAGACAGAGTCTCACCGTTACCCAGGCTGGAGGGCAGTGTCGTGATCTCAGCTCACTGCAACCTCTGCCTCCCGGGTTCAAGCGATTCTCCTGCCTCAGTCTCCTGAGTAGCTGAGATTACAGGTGCGCGCCACCACGCCTGGCTAATTTTTTGTATCTTTAGTAGAGATGGGGTTTCACCATGTTGGCCAGGCTGGTCTTGAACTCCTGACCTTGTGATCCTCCTGCCTCGGCCTCCCAAAGTGCTAGGATTACAGGCATGAGCCACCGCACCCGGCCCATTTTGACTTTTTAAATGTGCTTACTGGAAAATTTTAAATTACATATGTAGCTTATATTTCTGTTGGACAGTGCTGAAGTTTTCATTAGATTCAGATGGAATTTTTTTCTTTTTTAACAAGGGTTCTTCCATAGTGATGTGGCATACTTCTCCTTGCAACCCATCTGGGGGTGCATAATATCCAGTTGCCTTACTGGTAGGGTTGTTAAGATTGCCCCATGGTAAGAAAGAGAAGAGCTGGCCTGGAACTCACAGCTAAAACCTTGGTGTTCTCCTGTTGAACATCACCAGCTTCACAGAATACCAGCATAATGCAGGACCAATCTGTGACTCTAATGGAGCAAGATAAAACAAGACAATACCATAATCATATCTGAGTGCATATAAAAAGAAGTACATTGTCCAAACCACAAAACACCTGTCTTTCTTGGCTAATATAAATGGCTATTGCTTCTTTACCATTTACAGGTTTAGCTTTACTTTGTTCCTTCTGCCTTTTAGATGAGAATTACTAAAATATCCAATAATAGACTCACCCGTGCTTCCTGGCAGCATCCAATTAAGAGCAAAGCTCTGTTTCCTTAAATTTCCCCCAAATCATCCCCACAAGCCCAGACCTTATAAATCCTTTCTAACACCTTGTTGAGGCTGCATGGCTCCCTTTGGCATACATTTTCTTTTGTTGCAGTGAGGCAGTGAACACAACATTTGACTAAAGATGTGTTTGGGGCGTTGACAGTGCGGTCAGGTAGTGTTGGCCTCATCCTTCCATTCTAAAGTATGTTGGATAGATTTTTAAGGACAGGTACAACTTTATGCAACTAAATGTTTTGGGAATTACACAGTTGGTACCTATTTGTGACTATTGTGATACTGGACATATCGGTTCAAACAATTATTGAAGCTATTTTACAAACAGACCTCAGCCCATTTGGTTATTATATTAGTTTGCTAGGGATACCGTAAAAAAGTACCACAAAATGGGTGGACTTAAAACAGCAGTGCCAGGCTGGGTGCGGCGGCTCACACCTGTAATCCCAGCACTTTGGGAGGCCGAGGTGGGTGGATCATGAGGTTAGGAGTTCAAGACCAGCTCGGCCAACATGGTGAAACCCCGTCTCTACTAAAAATACAAAAATTAGCTGGGCATGGTGGCATGTGCCTGTAATCCCAGCTACTCAGGAGGCTGAGGCAGGAGAATTGCTTAAACAGGGACCCAGGAGGCGGAGGTTGCCGTGAGCCGAGATTGCACCACTGCACTCCAGCCTGGGCTACAGAGCGAGACTCCGTCTCAAACTTTGCATCCTTCAATCTAATCAAGTTGACACTCAATATTAACCATCACAGCGGCTAAAGAAACCAGACCCATCAGAAGGACTGGCTGTCCCCAAACCAGCAAACAGCATGCTTTCAAAGGGGAGAAAGCATTACCAAAAAAAAAAAAAAAAAAAAAAGCCTTACGAGAAACACCGTTACAAAGACAGGAGTAAAATCAAACTGTCACATATGCTTAAAGCAGTAAGTAAAAATACAGCATTAAAAAAAAAAACTTAGAATTTAGAGTAAAAACTTCAAGACGCTTTCATGTCATGGGCCATGGGGGTCTCCCCGCTCGGTCTTTGGGGACCCATGTGGCGGAGAGGTGAGCATCCACTGTGCCTGCCCACCATGCTGCCTGGGCTCAAATGTAACAGTACATGGTACCCGTACATGGTGCCCGAGGGCTCACTCCCCGCAGGGACTCATGGCAAGTGGCCACTCAATGGCCTGCTCCCTTCATGAGCTTTGGCCAGTAACACCCATGGGTGGTTGGAGGCAAGGATACCCCTCTCTTCTGGGGCCCTCGAACACGGCGGCAGGGTGTGGCTTGCCCGCAGGAAGCTGGAGGGATACGCCTGGAAGGCACTGGCCAAGGCTTTTGGTCTCTCCTATCATGTCCCGGGCTCCCCGACGCCCCCAGTTCAAACCGGAAGGAGCTCTCCTAGAATCCAGCCTCCCTGTCCCACACCCGGAATTGTGCCAGGCTGCATCTGTCCTCCAAGAGCCAGGCCCAGGGCTAGGTGTGGCGCGTGGGCGGCTCCTCCGCGCAGGCCTGGTCAGAGTAGGGGGCAGCGGTGACTGCCCCTCTTGCAGCCTGTAGGCCAGGTGGCTGCGGCTGCGCTTGACCTCCGTCACGCAGAGCTCCAGCAGGACCTTAGCGGGCTGTTTCTCCACCTTTTCCCTGGGCACACCGCGGCTCAGCAGCGGCCCTTGAGGTCCCTGCGCATCGAGTTGGGCCCCAGCGTGAGCTTGGCGCTGCCCCGCTGGCCCTGGCGCCCTAGCAGGCCGCTGTCGGGGAGGCCTGGATCTCCACAACGGCCTCCATCACCGTCACGCCCTTCACCAGCAGGCTGGCCAGCAGGAGACGCAGCTCCGAGGGCGCCGCCATCGGCGTCGGCAAGCGCCTGTGCAGGCTCTGTGTGAAGAGCATGTCCTCGGGCGGCACTGGCTCAGGAGCAGAGGGCGCTGGAGGGGCCGAGGGTGGCTGGCAGGAGCTCCAGTCGATGCCCACCTCCATGGTGGTCCAGGGCCGGAAGGGCAGCTCGGTGGCCTCGAAGTGAAAGGAAGACAGTGCTGGCGCAGGCCGTCAGCAGCCCGGCCAGCATTGTCAGGCATCCGTTGCCCAGGAGGGCCTTGCAGTGGTTGTTGAAGACGGCGTCGTGGCTCAGGTTGCCCAGCAGCACCAGCTCTCCAGAGTTCAGAGACAGGGCAGGGTCCCCCTGGTGGAAGACCCGCAGGATTCAGGAGAACATGAGCTCTATGGAGTTCTGCTTGAAGCACCGAGAGGTGGCCAGGAGGTGGGTGTACGTGTAGTACGAGCAGAACCGATCCCCCGACCCTTGTGGGTGGTCGCTGGTGCTTTCTTAGCCATGAGCGTGGCAACTCCTAGGCAGGGAACAGCAGAGAGCCCGGAGGGACGCGAGAGCAATGGCCGGGCCCTTCAGCACCTGGAGGAACCACCTTTGGAAGGCAGGAATCGTCCTTGCCCCATACAGCTGTAGAGGATTTGGGCCATCTGCTCTGTGACTGCTTTACAGACAAAGCAACTGAGGTGCAGGAGAACAATCGCTTGATGAACATCTCCAAGCCCACGAACAGCAGAGCTGGGATTTGGACACAGGCCTGTCTGACTAGTTTTCCACAGCTACGAGATGGGTTTTGTATGTAAATCCTGAGTGCCATTGTTGGCATATAAATTAATTCCAAGAGATATCTAATATGAAGCCAACCTAGATAGTGAGATATTTTAGACTTGGATGGGTCAGGGAGTGGAAGCAAGGTTCTTACCACAATGGGGGTGGTGGGTGGCCCTCAGCTTGAAGCTGCACCCAGCTCTTACTCTCTCCAAGGCCTAGATGTGGCTTCTCAATTAAATTTATTCACCAGCCTCTCCCCATCCTGGTTCTTGCAAACCAGAGAGGAGTTTTTATTACTTGAACAAATTTTGTTTTCCTTTTTGGAATAGACTATGATCCCCCTCAAGCTAAGAGGAAGTTTGGGGACTTGATCCATAATCATCTTAATCTAACAGACCCTCCCCATCCCACCACTACTCTACACTCACCTTATTAAGAATGGGAGTCTCCGAGTTTGGGTAGGGAGGGTGACAGAGCAGAAGAGAGAAACACAGGATGGGGAGTGGAGGCTAAAAGTCCTTACATTTGGTTGTCTTTGTTTTGTCTTTGGGTTGTTGTCAAGAAAGATTTATGTAATCATCTTGATTTATAAGACTTTTAGTATCACCGAGCAGTCTTTTTTATTACTTCCGTCTTCTACTGGCCTTTTCTGGGCCTCTTATATTTTCATCAAGCTATTGGCATTTTGTCCAAATCAATAGCAGTCAAAGATCTCTTCCTTCCATATGCAGGCACAGTGTATTTTACCTGGGATTGGAGATGAAGAATTATAGTCATTTAGAATCAAGAGAGAATTTGAGAGATAGCCTCTAGCCCAATCTTATTTTCATCTTGGCCTACAGACGTTGTAATGTAGCTGGTTAATGGCAGAGTTGAGACAAAGACCTAGGTCATCTCTTACTGAGTCCATTATTTTTTGCCATATTCTATACTGCATCACGCATTCTTTCATTCAATAGTTATATTTTAGACACATTGCTATGCACTGGGGGAAGAGCAACACAGACATGTTTCCTGTTCTTTTGATCCATAATGAAGGAGACACATAATTAAACATTCAGTGCAGTACAAAGTGAGGCACCTGATCCCATTAGTGGGAAGATCAGGGAGGACGTCTTGGGGGAAATGATGGTTAAACTAAGAATTGAATAGAAAGTAAGAGTGGGGGGAAGGGCAAAGAGCATCTCAGTAAGTGCAAAGAGCACATAGAAAGGCCCCAGACAGAAGAAAGTGGTGCATTTAAAGTATTGAAAAGAAATTCAGAGTTGTGGGGGTAAGCAGGGCTAGTTGAAGGAGGTCCTTGTAAGCCTTACTGAAGAGTGCCTGCTTTATTCTAAGGGCAGTGGGGAGCTGCTGAAAAGTTTAAGCAAGATTTTAACATGGACCAGAATTGCGTTTGAGAAGGTTCACTCTGACTGCCACATGGAGAATGGGTTGGAGGTGGGCAAGACCCAGGAAGAGAGACAAATTAGGAGGCCCTTGTGCTAACCCAGAGGAGATTGGATGGTGGCTTTGACCAAGTTTGTTGCGGAGGGGATGGAGATAAATGATCATATTTCAGAGGCATGGTATGCCTGTGATGGATTGACCATGGGAAGTGGTAAGCCACATGGGTGCCATACCCTGGGAAGGGCCCAAAGGCAGAGGATAAGGTCTGAGAGTGAGGAAGGAGATGATCATGGACATATTAATGCTGAAGTGCCTTTGGGACTCACACACACATCTGAAGTTGACATGCCAAGTAGATGCTTGTTGTGGGCTGAATTATGTCCTCTCAAATTCATATGTTGAAGCCTAACTCTCATCCCTCAGAATGTGACTATATTTAGAGATAGGGCCTTTAAAGAGGTGTTTAAGATAAAATGAGGCTGTTAGAGTGAGCCCTAATCTAATCTGACTGGTATCCTTATGAGTAGAGGAAATTTGGACACACAGAGAGACATCAGAGATGTGTGCACACAAAACAAAGACCACTGAGCACATATCCAGAAGGCAGCCATCTGCAAGCCAAGGAGAGAGGCCTCAGAAGAAACCAAACCTGTCAACACCTTGATCTTGGATTTCTAACCTCTGAAATGTGAGAAAATAAATTTCTGTTACGTAAACCACCCAGACTCTGGTATTGTGTTATGATAGCCCTAGCAAACTAATATAATGCCTCAGACAAATTAATAGCTTGCCTATTAATTTAACTAATTCTAACTAATTCTCCTTAAGTGGAGATACTCATAGACAGTGGGATATAGGGGTCTGCAGGAGGGCCTGAAGTTAGAACTTTGACATCCTTGGTGTATAGACATAATTGAGAGAGGATGGGATCATCCACAGTGCCTGGGTAGAAAAGAAAGGAGAGCCTAGGACTGAATTCTGAGAAGGGCCATCATTTCAGGGCCAGTCAGAGAGGTAGGGGGAAATCCAGATCCCCCAGGCCATGGGAACCCAGGGAAGGGAGTAATCAAGGGTGTCAGAGGCTGAGGGGCCAGGGAGAGCAAGGCCAGTGCTATGAACTGATTGTTTATGCCACCCCCCAACCCCCGCTAAATTTAAATTTATATGTCGAAGCCCTAACCCCCAATGTGATAGTATTTGGAGGTGGGGCTTTTGGGAGATAATTTGGTTTAGATGAGGTCATGAGGGCAGAGTCCCCATGATAGGATTAGTGTCCTTATAAGAAGAGAAAGAGAGGCCAGAGTTCTCTCTCTGCCATGTTGAGGACACAGGGAGAAGGCAGCTGTCTGCAAGCCAGGAAGAGAGACCTCACCAGACACTGAATAGGCCAACACCTTGACCTTGGACTTTCCAGCCTCCAGAATTGTGAAAAATTAAAGTCTGTTATTTAAGTCTATGGTATTTTGTTACAGTAGCCCAAGCAGACTAAGACAAAAGTCACCTTGGAGAGCACTTTCAGGGGAGTAGTAGTTTGGAAGTCAGACTGCTGGGGTTGAAGGACAGGAGGTGAAGAATTGGCAATGGTGGGATAGACATGGCTTCCACGAAGTTTAGCTAGGTAGAAAGATTGATATACAGAGCAGAACCCAGAGAGGGGCTGAGGAAGAATTTTATTTATTTATTTTTAACATGAGACCCTTGGGCAAGCCTATAGTCTGATGGGCAAGGGGCAGATTCACTGTTTCACTGGGAGGGGATAATCAGTGGATCCCCATTGCTGAGAAGGTCAGAGTTGAGGGCCCCACAGCACTGGTCAAGAGAGATAGACCTCGTCCAGAAGGAGGGCATGTGGAAGACCAGGTACAGATGCAGGGAGGCTGGTTAATGTGACAACAGGGGCTGGTGGAGCTGCCTTGTGGCTGCTCCCTTTCTCTCTCAGAATAAGGAGAGGTCTGCAGAGAGTAGGAGGGTGCTGGTCAGCAGGGACATCTTGCTACAGATTTGAGGAATATGCTGTCAGTCTTCTTGAGTAATGCAAGCTATGGAGGGAATGCACATCCAACTATCAGCCAGACCATTGCAATTGCTTAACAAACACAATAGAAAAGAATCTGATGAATAAAATTATTCTTATTTTTACAGATGGGAAATTTGGGAACCCAGAGGTCAAGATTCTACTGAAAGTTAAATAATTTGTAAGTACCTCAGGCTGGATTTAAGCCCAGGATCCTTAAAGCCTTAGCCCTTTGCCCTCAACACAGTGCCCTCCTTGGCCTGGAATGGATCTAACTAGTGGATGCCTCTGGCAGGTGAATAATTTGTCTATCCTTCAAACCTATGTGTGTTTGAAATTTATTCTGGGTTTATTTGGAGGAAGCATTGAGTTCTGTGTGCAGGAGGGGCAGAGTAGAAGGACCCTATAGTCCCAGACCTTCATAGCCATCTCAGTATAGTTAAAGGCCTTGGGTTAATTGAACTCACACTTCTTGAGAAGGCACTTCACAGGACCACCTCTGGAGTTTGCTGCCTGGCTGGGGGATGGGGAGTGGGTGTTTCCACACCCTGTCAACCTGGTGGCTTATCAATTACAGATGCTTCCTTATTTACAGATAGTCTAAGTTTGAAAGGTAGTTCCTAAGAACATTTGTGTATAAGTCCAACTAGGCATTTGTTAGACAAGCCACTGCCACACCATCTGTGGGATGGTTGTCCTCTCATGTGTAGCTTTGTTTCTGTCTAGGAAAGATTTAGAGTTGAGTAACATTTGTATTCCTTTCAGCCATGTTCATTGACCTCCCTAGGAGGAGTATGAAAAATTATTTTTTTCCCTACCTTATGTTTCCACCAACATTTTAGTGCTTTTGTGGCAGTTTAGCATTATGGATCAGCGTCCTGGGCAGTTGTCCAGTTGAACCATCCCCAAGTCAGCTTTGGCCTTATTGTGCCTCAGTTTCCCATAGGATGTCAGATAGTAGAGCTGACTTGTTTTGTGTACGCAGTTGATTCATTGCTGAAATCCTGTAATGCCTCATGCTGTAAGGACGCATCAAAGCTGTCATAACCATGTTTCTATGAATTACTCATGCTTTGTCACGCTACAGGACTATTCGTATGGAAAATGTTGAGGTGCTATCTTGATTATGTCTGAGAAAGTTTTCTTTTCTCCTCATGGATATTTCCACTACAATGAAATACCCACTTTTTGTGCCTAGCTGTTTTTAGGTCAGTTATGGGAAATGGCAATGGCAAATGCTCTAGGCCTGAAATAAATTAGGCAACAAATAATCAAAATCACAGAAAGGGAAAGCTAGGATAGTTTATTAATACATTCTTAGTGTCTCCCAGGGATCTCTGTTGGTAGAGGGGGACTGAATATCATAGGATGACCAGCCATCCTGTTTTGCCTTGACTGAAGGGTTTCCTGGGATGCCAGACTGTCAGTGCCAAAACCCAGAACATCCTGGGCAAATCAGGAAGTTACTCATCCTACTTTTAAATAAACTTTTAATTGTAGAATAGTTTTTGATTTACAGAAAAAGTGCAAAGATACAATAGAGAGTTTCCATGTACTCCACACCTAGCTTCTCCTATTATTAGTATCTTACATTAGTATGGTACGTTTGTCACAATTAATAAACCAATATTAACACATTATTATTAACTTATGTCCATACTTTATTCAGGTTTTCTTAGTTTTTATGCAATGTCCTTTTTCTGTTCCAGGATTCCATCAAGGATACCACATTATAATTAGTTGTAATGTTTCCTTAGGCTCCTCTTGGCCATGACAGTGTCTTAGACCTTCCTTGTTTTTGATGACCCTGACAGTTTTGAGTAGAACTGGTCAGGTATTTTGCAGAATGTCCCTCAGTTGGAATTTGTCTGATGTTTTTCTCATGATTAGACTGGGGTTATTGGTTTTGGAGAGGAAGACCACAGAGTAAGGTATCACCATGCTTATCATTGCTAATGTTAGCCTTGATCACATGGCTGATTAATGTTTGTTAGGTTTCTCCATTGTAACGTTACTTTTTTTTTTTTTTTTTTTTTTGAGACAGGGTATCAGTCTGTCACTCAGGCTAGAGTCCAGTGGCATGATCTTGACTCACTGCAGCCTTGACTTCCCGGGCTCCAGCAATCCTCCTCTCTCAGCCTCCCGAGTAGCCGGGACCACAGGCATACGCCACCAAGCCTGGCTAATTTTTGTATTTTTGGTAGAGACAAGGTTTCTCTGTGTTGCCCGGGCTGGTCTTAAACTCCTGAGCTCAAGCTATCTACCCACCTCGGCCTCCCAAAGTGTTGGGATTACAGTCGTCAGCCACTGTGCCCCGCCTAATATTACTCTCCCCTTCACTGCCCCCTGCCTTTTTTACACTCTACACTTTGAAAGGAAGTCACTATGTTACAGCCCACACTTAAGGAGTGGGAAGCTGTGCTCTACTTCTCTAACGAGAAGCATCTATGTAATAAATTATTTGGAATTTATTCTGCATGGGAGATTTGTCTATTCTTCCAAATTTATTTATTTATTCAATCATTTATTTATATCAGTATAGGCTCATGAATATTGATTGTCCAATAAAGTTGACCAATACAACTTTTATTTATTACGTTGCAGTTCCCTAATGGCAAATGATGTGGAACATCTTTTCATAAGCAGTAGTTTCCCCCTTATCCACAGTTTCACTTTCTGCAGCCTCAGTTACCCATAGTTGACCAAAGTCTGAAAATATTAAGTGAAAAATTCCAGAAATAAACAATTCATAAGTTTTAAATTGCGTGTTGTCCTGAGTAGTGTGACAAAATCTCATTCTGTCCTGCTCTGTCCCACCCAAGATGTGAATCATCCCTTCGTCCAGTGTCTTCACATCGTATATACCACCCGCCCATTAGTCACTTTGGAGCTATGTTGATTATTAGATAGAAAAAACATAGTATAATAGGGTTCCATACTATCCGTGGCTTCAGATATCCACTGGGGGTCTTGGAACATATGTTCCGTAGTTGAGGTGGGACCACTGTATTTATTTGTCATCTGTATACTTTCTTTGGTGAGGTGTCTGTTCAGATCTTTTGCCCTTTTTAAAAGTAGGGGTCAGCCGGGCGCAGTGGCTCATACCTGTAATCCCAGCACTTTGGGAGGCCGAGGCAGGCAGATCACGAGGTCAAGAGATTGAGACCATCCTGGCCAACATGGTGAAACCCCATCTCTACTAAAACTAGAAAAACTAGTTGGGCGCAGTGGCATGCATCTGTAATCCCAGCTACTCAGGAGGCTGAGGCAGGAGAATTGCTTAAACCTGAGAGGGGGAGGTTGCAGTGAGCCAAGATCATGCCATTGCATTCCAGCCTGGCAACAGACAGAGATTCCATCTCAAAGAAAAAAAGTAGGAGTTACCCTACTTTTGAGAGCAAACTGGACCTGAGACCAGTTTGGGGCATGTGGGAGGGGGACCTGGGAAACCTTGCCAACCCTAGATTCCTTCAACTGTGGCTTCTGAGACTTTCACCTTGGAAGCTCAGTCAACCCAAGTCTGAGTCATTCTGACAAGGGCAGGGTGGGGTTTGCAGGCAAATTCTGGATAGACCAAGATTGTGGCTCATTTAAGATCATTTGTCTCAGTTTCAACTTCTTTTCATACATTACTTAATGCTTCATGAAATAAACTAAAATATTTCACAAATGCATTTTTTCCCTATTGCCTTTGGCCATCATTTAGAACTAATTTTCATGGCATCAGTTTAAGGCACATGAATTTTATAGGACTGTGAATGTCTAGTTTCTAGGCTTTTCTACTTCATGAAGTCTTGAGCAAGGTGGGTTTGGATGAATGTGTAGACACGTGGAGACTTCCTTATCTTGGATGCAATTCTTTACTCCTTTTTTTTTTAAAAAAAAAAATAATAAAAAAGAAAAATTTGAGCAGGACCAGAGGATTTTTACTCATTTTTAAAGATAGGCCTGGCTGGGTGCAGTGGTTCATATCTGTAATCCCAGCACTTTGGGAGGCTGAGTCAGGAGGATTGCTTGAGCCCAGGAGTTCAAGACCAGCCTGGGCAACATAGGGAGACCTCTGTCTGTACAAAAAAGATAAAAAATAAAAAAATTAGCTGTTTGTGGTGGAGGCGCACACCTGTAGTCTCAGCTACTCAGGAGGCAGAGGCAGGAGGATCATTTGAGCCTGGGAGATCGAGGCTGTTACTGATCCAGGAAAAATGTCATGTATTGCTGTCATATGACAAAGATTGCTGTGTTCTTTGGTGTTTAGGCATCTCTGTTAATTTCTCTGCAGTTTACCTTTCTGAAGATCTTCTTAAAGTCAGAGACCCATTTTCTACTGTGGTAATGTACAAACATTAGTTTTTCTAAGGAAATGCTGCTACCTGTCAGCAAATTAGAATTTTGACAAGCTTATCTGGTGCAGCTGCAGGCGGTGCCACCACTAGGGGTCAGGCGACGTCCTGATAAAGGAAGCGCAGTCACGGGGAGGCGTGAGGCGGCGGAGAAGTGCCTGGCCAACTCACATTTTGGGAGAGAAAATGTGCACCATTCCTGGATGGAGCTGAAATGCAGGCATTCTAAGCTTTGGCACTGAGAGCTTTTTGTTTGTTTTGTTTTGTCTTTTGTGATTTGAATGCTAATTCTCTGAAGAGAGCCAGAGATTTTATGTCTGTCATTTTGCCTACAATTTCTCTTGTCTGTAGATTTTCAAATGTCATTTAATTTCTCCCTTACCAGCCCTGTCTGTCCATTCCTAGTGGATTTAGGGTGTAGAAAATTTCTGTATTCTCTCCGTTTTCAATAACGTTTTTATTCAGATGAATTCTGGATAAAATGAAACAGAGTCAAAGAATGGGAGGTCTGGGGAAGAGAGAGGAGGACACCCCTGGTCCTGTGTGGTCTCAGGAGGAGGTGATGGCAGGGATGGGGAATGAGTCTTTCCTCCTACCCAGATCAAAGAGCTCCGGGCACCTTTGAGCCCAGGTATCAATTCCAATTGGGGACAATATCAGGGCTCTCACCTGAGATATTGCTCCTTTATATTCGTATGCACCCAACGCACATTGCTACTCCATCTCTTTTTCTGCTGAGCCCTGATCAGCCTCGGAATGCTTCTCAACCAAGTGCTTCAGGAAGTCACTATTAGCTTTGCCATCATTCCTGGTTTGGCAATGCCTTGGTGTCAAAGACAAGTTTATGTTGAACTTGGCATCCATTACTCCTGCCTCTGTGGTGGTGATCATCGTTTGCAATTTAGACTTCTCCAGAAGTTTTTTGAAGATCTTCCTTAAAATGGGGTTGAGGTGTTATACAACAGCCAAGCTACAGACTGCTTTCAGGTACTGATTGGTTTCTGGCTAAACTGGTATTCCAGATAACAGTTACGGTGATTTTGCTAGAGATTTAGTCCAAAATATGCCTCCATTTTTCTCATAAGAATAGTGTCTGTACAGAGTAAAAACCTAAATTAGCAACTAAAGTTTACTAAGAAATGAGATGAACAACCTTACTAGCATTCAAAATTGCAAATTAAACAACACAAGATACCATTTTTTCCTTATCAAGTGGCAAAAACTAAAAAGATTAATGACATACAGTGCTAATAGAGGGAAAACAGGCCTTCTCATATACTGAAGGTAGGACTGAAAATTATTACTGCTCTTGGGGAGATAGTATAGTAATATTTATTAAAATTTTTAAAAATATTTTTTGCCCCAAATCTCATTTTGAGGAGTATATTTTTCAGATATGAAAGCTGTAGAACATAGAAATACGTAATTGAGATGATTTTTGCACATTTTTTAGTAGCAAAACAAAACAAAATTGAGATACAACTGAACTGTACTTCAATAGGATATATTTTGGTATAAATGTAATTTGGTATATTCATAATTCCAATTTAAATTAGTGTGTAGGAATGAATTAGATCTATATGAATTGTTCTAGAGGATCACCATAGTAAGTTGAATGAAAAAAAAAAAGAAATTGTGGAGTCTTAAACATAGTATGATTCAGTTTTTGTAAGAACAAAAAATTCAAACTCTTTAGGAATATCTGCTTGCATGCGAGCATGGAGAAAGGTATCGAGGGGATACTCACTAGACGTTCCACCCTTGGAGGGTGGAATAAGAGGAAGTAGGGGTGTGTGTGTGTGTGTGTGTGTGTGTGTGCATATGTGTGTGTTATGTGGTGGAAGTATTATGAATTTTTTCTTTAATGCATCTTAAAAAATGCATGTCAATATTTTTAAAATTTTTTAAAAAAGGACAAGGAAACATGGTCCCCAGAAGGTTAAGGCATTTGACCAAAGTCTTAACAACTAGTTAATGTCCCAGCGGGGCTACAATCCAGGTCTGCTGAGCACTGATTCCTTATGTTCATTCTCGGCACTGCTCACTATTGAAAAAAAAGGTAGCTGGCAAAATTCATTACTGCTTCTTCTATTTGATGTTTTCACACTTCCCTTTCCTTTTCTATTGAGTAGCCAAGCTAGGAGAGCAAGAGTTTTTAGTTGTAGCCAGATCCTCTGTGTTCATCCTTAGGCAGACAATTTCCTTTTGACTGGATAAGTTAATTTCCATGACTGAGTTAGCTATTCAATGGCAATCCCCAGAGTTAAAAGGATCGAGGAGGTGACTGAAGAGTTATAAATTTTCTCATTGTCCAGTCAAGATGTTCTCCTTGATCTGATGAATTTTCAGAAGCCAGCATTTTATTTCATTTCCAGTTTGACATAAAAGTTATTGTGTCCTTGGGGTTATAAGAAATACAATATCACCTGTGACCTTCCTTTTATACAGAAAACTCTCCAGAGACCTCAGGGAATTTACGCAGTTTAATTTGGGCTTTGTTCAGCCCTCTTTTAGCTAACATTAGCCTGTAGGACCTTTTCAACAGTTATTATTTAATCCAGGGAGAGACTGTTACCCATCAAATGGAACACATTGCTGAATCCACTTAGTTTTTTTCTTTTTATTCTTGTGGAAATGCTTTTTTCCTGACTTTCTTGACCTCTATCTAGAGTTTGGAAATATATAACTACAAAGTGTGGATCTGAGCCTGAAGGAACTATGAGGTGGTATGGTAGGCAGAATAACACCCGCCCAAAGCTGTCTAAGTCCTAAGTCTCTGAAATTTGTGAATACATTATCTTACTGGCAAAGGAACTTTGCAGATGTGATTTGGTTAAGGGCTTTGAGATAGGGACAGTATTCATTATTGGTGTGAGTTCAATCTAATCACATGGATCTTTAAAAGAAGAAATCCTTTCCCAGTTGTAGTCAGAAGGAGATGTGATTATGAAAGAATGTTCAGAGTTGCAACATTGCCAGCTCTGAAGATGGAGAAAGAGGCCACAAGCTAAGGAATGCAGAGGGCCTTTAGAAGCTGAGAAAGGAAATAAAACAAATCTTTTCCTAGAGCCTCTAGATGGAACACATCTTGATCATAGCACATGTTGCACTTGGAGAGACAGGGGGAGCCAGATGTGCTTCAGTGAGGGGTCTAGCTCTATTTCCCACTCCTCTTTCAGCTTTCCTCTCCTCCACATGGAGCGTCCTCAAGCTGACTTACCCCTATGGTTGCAAGATGATGGGCAGCAGTGACTGGGGCAATAAGTGTTCTTGTTTACATCCACAGGAAGGAAAAGAAAACCTCTCCTCCACCCATGAAATAAGGCATTCCCTGAAGTCTGATTAGGCCAAATTGGATCATACGCCCATCCCTAGACCAGCCCTGGGAATACCAGCTACTGATGGTTTAAGCCTATGTTCCTAAATCAGTTACTATCAGATGGTAGTGATGGGCTGTTCACATGGAGGAGGGGAAAATTGAAAGAAGAGTGGGAAATAGAGCTAGAACCTTCACCACAGCACATCTGGCTCATCCTGCCTCTCTCAAAGACTTATTAGGTAAAATAATGCAGTTCTATATTATTCAAACCAGTTGACTTGGGTTTTTCTATCACTTTCTGCCAAAAATATTCTACTAGCCATGTGCCCTCCACACACAGAGGCAACCCCTTCCCCTGGGGCTGCTTTGTTCTTTCATGGTACCTGCTTGGCTCCTGCAAGCCTTTCCGCTGATGACTTTCTGAACCTGACTGTATCCGATAAGACACTGCTTTCCTCCTGAGAGCCAGCTTCCAGGCCCAGGGCCAGGAGGCACTGCATGCCCTGTGCCTCTCCTCACTCCTACACCCACAGCTGGCATTGCTAATTGATCCTGGCGCTCCTTTTGCTGGGTTCACATGTGACCTCATGATACTCCACATTACACTCCAGGTAGCCACGACTGGTCAATTGGAGCTGGCACAGGTGATGATCCCTATTTGCCATATGAGTGTAACTACACATCATCTTTTTAAATTTTTCCTTTTTTAGTAGTTGCTTTGCCTGGTCAGTTCGTATTGAGATAATGACCAATTACAACTCTCAGGCCTCTCCTGCTCTCTCCATATTTCCCTAAGTCTGAGCTTGGTATAGCCTGTAGATAGCCAGCCAGAGGTGCCAGGACCTTGATGGCTAGTGTTAAAGCTTTAACCTCCACTACTCTGCCATTTCACTTTAAAATATTCTTTAGGGGTAATTTCCTTACTCTTCGCCTCTTAAATACTATATTTTTATGATGTCATTTACATTTTATAAAGGGAATTTAATTCACTAGAATTCCAGATTGAGGGAGTATTGCATCTTGGAGAAAAGTCACCAGAATAGGAGACATGGGACAGGTCCCAGAGGGAAGACAGTCACTTGTAAGGCTGTATGGCTTTTGGAAGGAGTCAGCGCATGAGCAGTATACCTCGGAGAGGGAGGAGTGGGAAAGCAGCGTGGTGGGCAGGGAACCATGTGGAGAAGAAGGTGATGAAATCTCTGACAGCTGCTCAGAAGCAGGACTCCGGTGAGGACAAACATCCAAGGAGGGCTTTTGGAGAATAGTCCTTCTGTGCATGCACTGTAATTCCCCTGATCTTGCCTTCTCACAAGACCCATTGAAAAGACCTCTGTTTTTTTTCTTATTTTATCTGGAAGCAAACTTGAGTTTCTTCCGGATACAATTCCACACTGTGACTCTAAGGTGGGAGCATGGAGGCCCAATTTTACTTAAGCTATTTTTGTAGCTTCTTTTATGGTATTATCTTTTAAATATATGAGCCCTCTTACTCTGTTTGTGTCTTCATAATCATGACTTGTTTTTAAAATTTTGTGCTACTCACTTTTAGCTCATGTCCACATTTTTCTTAGTTGTCTTAGTCCCTTTGGGCTTCTGTCACAAAGTACCATAGACTAGCTGGCTTATAAATAACAGAAATGTATTTCTTGCCATTCTGGAGGCTGGAAGTCCAAGATCAAGGTGCCAGCAGATTCAGTGTCGATGAGAGCCTGCTTCCTGCTTCATAGATGATAGAAGTGCAAAGCCAGCTGTCTGGGCCTTTTTTATGATACTGATCCCATTCATGAATGCTCTGCCCTCATGATCATTTCAATTCCCAAAGGCCCCACCTCCTAATATTATCACAGTGATAATTGGGTTTTCAACACATGAATTTGAGAGAAACACATTCAGTTCCTAGCATTAGCTTGCTTATATTTATTTCATCTCATTCTCTCTCATAGCTTTTATTTTTGTTTCCCCTGTCCAATTTATTATAGTTTTTTGTCTTTTTATAACTTTTAACCATCTTTTAAATTTCTCTTATTTATTTCTCTTTTTACTGTTGAGTTACAACTCTCGGCTTATTCAGTGGCAAAGCAGGAAGAGATGGCACTGAGGCATCTTGATCCTGAAGGATCTTTTAATTCCTCTTAGCAGTCTTAACATTTTTTCCATCAGCCCCTGCTATAGTTTGAATGTTTGTGTTCTCTTTAAAATCCATGTTGAAACTTGATCTCCAATATGACAGTGGTAAGAGGTAGGGCCTTATATTTGAGAGCACTACAGGGTGAGTACACTCAATAATAATGTATTGTATATTTAAAATAACTAAAATAGTATAATTGAAATGTTCCTAACACAAAGAAATGATAAATGCTTGGGGTGATGGATACCCCAATTACCCTTATGTGATTATTACATATTATATGTCTGTATCAAAACATCACACATACCCCACATAAATGTATGTACTTACTACATACCCATAAAAAAAAAAAAGACGTGGGGCCTTTAGGAGATGATTAAGTCATCAGGGCTCTGCCCTCATGGGATTCATGACCTTGTAAACAAGCTGGAGAGAATGCTAGGCCCCTTTTTTGCCCTCTGCCCTTCTACCATGTGAGGACACAGCATTTGTCGACTCTGAAGGATGCAGCAACAAGGCACCATCTTGTGGCAGAGACCAGGGCCGTACATTAGAGCAGTCCAGGTGAACTGCTATAACATTAAACCTTCGATCTGAGAATTCAGGAAACTCACTAACTCTTCCCTAATGCTGATCATGAAGACTGGTGTAAATAAATGTATGTCAAATTCTGGAATGGGGTTTCCTTCTTAGTTCAAACACTCTACTATCACTTTTTGTGGAATTAACTTAGGTATTTGGAAGAAGGTTGCAGTCACAGGTAGGAAATCAAGTCATAAGTAAGGAAACAAAAGGCAGAAGCTGAGCTGTGGAACTGGCCAGCTCACTGGAAGAAGAAAACAGCTAGGAGGTTACCCCTGGGCACAGGGCAAATCCTGGTGATACTGGACATTAGCTTTATGCCCCTGTGACCAACAGGCCCCATATGACAATGTTCCTGGAGCTGCTGGCTATTTCTGCTCAGACAAGGATTAGTTCAGGGGCTGGGCTGAGTTTAGCCACCACAGGGAAGGACACTTGCCCCCTGATCCCCACTAAGAGAGGGGAACACTTCCAGCAGGATTCTGCTTTGCCCTTTTCTGCCTTGTCATGGGCAGTGAGTACCTGATGTGTGACAAGAAGGGAATACAATATGGCTGCTTACAAGTAAGATTTTTGTAAATAGGAGGAATGCCTGCATTTATAAAGCTGACCTCTTACAGAGATTTAATAGAATTCAAAATAGGAAAAAATATCATTCCTTGAGAATGTACTATTTTTGTTAAAAAAAAAACTTTAAAAAGATTTTTCTTCTCTCTGAAGTCTTGACTAATATTAATTGGCACCTTCTAACTTGGTCAGCCAACAGCTGCTCTCCTTCTTCCCACTCTGGATAACAGGCATTTCACTGCCTTTTACATTTTAATCTTGGGAAGACGGATATAGGCCAAATGATTCTTCTTCAGCCTTTGATGCCAAGTATTTATTTAAAATATGAGGTCATCAAGATTAAATGCAAAACCTTACTGTACTTCTTTACCTCCATAAGGATGGCTAAATTTAAGTGGCTTTGTGCTTGGAGCCACTAACAATGAAACTCGCAGGGACTTATTCCCTCTGTCCTTGTCTTTAAGAGATTGGCAATATATTGTAAATACCTGTGTCACTATGAACTAACGAGAATGAAATTCTGGAACCACTGCAGGGTGGCTGGCTGTTTCCCCCACCACCATCAGATTCCTGTCCCAGGGATTCACCCAGTCCTCCCTTAAAGTCAGTTGGCCTTTTTCTGTTATCACTGTTGTGAGGTTCATGGAACTAGGAAGATGAATTTAATGCAGTGGCTCTTGATCATTTAGGAGGTAATGCACATTCTGAGGATTTGATGAAAACTAGATTTTCCTCCAGGAAAATTTACAAAACGTACAAACATTTCAAATGCTGTATACAGTTTCAGGCTTTTTCCAATCCTTGAAGCCCATCCCATGACCTCAGATTAAAAATAATCAATAAAGGAAGATACTATTGGCATAATGTTAATTTTCATAGGTATTGTATCAATCACGTTTTAATCAGAGAAACAGAACAAGTAGGAGAATAAGGAAATATATTACAAGGAATTGGTATATGTGATTATGGGGGCTGGCTAGGCAAGTGTGAAATCCACAGGGCTGGCTGTCATGAAGGGTAGGCTGGAACTCTTGGGCACAGGGTGAAGCTGCTGTCTACAGGTGGAATTTCTTGTTCTTTCAGGAAGTCTTAGCTCTGTTCTTATGCCTTTCAACTGAGTGAATCGGGCCCACTCAGATTATCTGGGATAGATTATCTAGGATAATCTCCCTTAAAATCTAGTGACTATGGACTTAAATTACCCCTACAGATTAGACGTGATTAAAGTCCACCTAAATTAGTGTTTGAATAACAGGACCGTGGTGTAGCCAAGCTGACACACAAAACTGACATTCACAAGTATAGTGGTATTATGCTTATGTAAAAATTATTTTTGTTCTTAGAAGATAAATATTGAAGGTAAAGTGTTATAACGTCTGCAATTTATGCTCACTGAGTTTACCAACGTACATATGGTGAGAGCAAACATGGCAAAATGTTAGTAACTGCAACACAGATGGAGGTATCTGAGGTTTCCCTGTATTATTCTTTCAATTTTTCTGTATGCTTGAAGGTTTTCATAGTAAAATTTGTGAACTAAAGTAGCCCCAGTCTCCTGCCTGACACAGCGTCTGTTAGCTCATAGCATACATTCAGTAAGCGTTTCATGAATTAAACAGAATAAGGGGCAGCATTTCACTCACAACCAAAGAGCTCAGCAGGATAATATTGTCACAGTTGTAACAATAAGAGATCTCCAGCTGCCTGTCCTCTATACTTGTTCAAATAATTCCATTGATAAATAAGAATAGTAAGGCATTTTTATTTATTTTTTTTATGTATTTTGAGATGAAGTCTCGCTCTGTCACCCAGGCTGGAGTGCAGTGGCGTCATCTCGGGACACTCCAACCTCCACCTCCCAGGTTCAAGCAATTCTTGTGCCTCAGCCTCCCAAGTAGCTGGGATTAGAGGGGTGTGCAACCAAGCCCAGCTAATTTCTGTATTTCTAGTAGAGATGGGGTTTTGTCATGTTGCCCAGTCTGATCTCGAACTCCTGACCTCAAGTGATCCACCTGCCTCGGCCTCCCAAAGTGCTGGGATTACAGGCATGCACCCCCGTGCCTGGCCAGGAAGGCATTTTTAAATATTATTTTTAAATATTCTTTTTCTTCTTCTTCTTCTTCTTCTTCTTCCTCTTCCTCTTCTTCTTTCTTCTTCTTCTTCCTCTTCTTCTGTTCTTCTTCTTCCTCTTCTTCCTCTTCCTCCTCTTCCTCTTATTCCTCTTCCTCTTCTTCCTCTTCTTCCTCTTCCTCCTCTTCTTCCTCTTCCTCTTCCTCTCCGTCTCCTTCTCCTCCTCCTTCTCCTTCTCCTCCTTCTCCTTCTTCTTCTTCTTCTTCCTCTTCTTCTCTTTTCTCTTCTCTTCTGTTTTTTCTTCTCCTTCTTCTCCTTCTCCTCCTCCTCCTCCTCTTCCTCCTCCTCCTCCTTCTTCTTCTTCTCGCTCTGTCACAACAGCTGGAGTGGAGTGGAGTGGTGCAATCTTGGCTCACTGCAACCTCTGGCTCCCAGGTTCAAACGATTCTTCTGCCTCAGCCTTCGGAGTAGCTGCGACTACAGGCATGGGCCACCACGCCCCGCTGATTTTTGTATTTGTAGTAGAAACAGGGTTTCACTGTGTTGGTCAGGCTGGTCTCGAACTTCTGACCTCAAGTGATCCACTGTTCTCAGCCTCCCAAACTGCTGGGATCACAGGCATGAGCCATAGTGCCCAGACATTTCTTTATTTAATAGGAGATGAGGGCTCCCTATGTTGACCAGGCTGGTCTTGAACTCCCGGCCTCAAGCATCACTCTCTCCTTGCCCTGGCCTCCCAAAGTGTTAAGATTACAAGTGTGAGCCACCATGCCCCAGCCACTTAAGACATTTCTTAAGGTTAGGGGAGGCTGCATGATGTAGGAATTGCTGTCTTAGGTGTCAGAATTTCCGTGTTTGAGTCATGAGTGCATGTAAGCTCTGTGACTGGGCAAATTGCTTACCTACTCTGAACCTATTTCCTCACCTAAAAATGGGATAATTATGCCTGCTTTATAACTTACAAGGTTTTTCTGAGGAAGAAATTTGACAATTACTGTGGAAATGCACTGTAAACAGCAGAGTAGTTCTACCACTTACAACTGCATGTCAGAACCTAAGACCCATACTTTTTCACATTTAATGCCTCTGACTTGGGAGTTGTCTTGCACTTGATAGTACATCACAGTTTAATCAGCAGCATGTTTTTCTTTTTTAATGGTATATGAAATAATGGTGGCATCTTAGATTTGATGAAATACTGTGGCTGAGTGGTCTTAGGCAAATGACCTAAACCCTTTAAATCTCAGCTTTTTCCTCATTGAGTTAGGAATAAAAATACTTTATACAATTGCGATGAAGATTTAAAAATATCAAGTATGCAAAGCACTTAATAAATGCTCAATAAATACTAGTATGCCATTGCATTATTGCACAAATGAAAGTTATTATTAGTGTAGAATTTGTGCGGTCTCTACAGGTCCTGCTCACACAATCCACCTTTGCCACCCTATTCTTGAAGAAGAAAATAGAGCCTTAGCAGATTTGCTTTGGAAAAACTGACCCCAAATTAAAACTGCATGATTGCTTGGAGTGTTAAGGCTAAAGAAATAGACCAGAATACAAGGTGTCAGAGTGGTAAACTTTTAAAAACTGTTGTTCCTACCACCTGGATGCTGACATTATTTTCACAGCAACCCTCCTGGGGACTCCCTTAGACTCTTTTAGATTAGGACCTCAGGTTGCACAATCTCTGTGAACATGGAGAACTTTTTGAGAATGTTGAGGCGGCAGCCTGAAAGCAAGCAGGAGATTGTTTGCTTTGGGCGAGCTGCACCTCAGGCTTCCCTCAATAAACTTCCCAGCAATTTCTCCCACACTGTGGTAACTAGACTCTGAGGCTCTGGTTTCCAGGAATTGGGGGTGGTAAACACATTACCCACAGTAAAGGCTTTTATTTTTGTTGACCTGCAGTGTGAGGATTTAATTTGCATGCTTTCCCCTGTGAAGGGAAGTGTGTGAATACTGCCAGTCGCTGCAGCTTGTGGTTAGTCCTTTCAACTGAAAGGGCACAAATCAAATCGCTCTGGATTTACCTTCTGAGCCTGTGCCCCTGCACAGTGTGGGGAGCATGGGGGAGGGAGGAAAAGCATCCAGCAGGAAGCAGTGCTTGGAAGGCATCCTGTCCCAGGATGATGTCAAGAACCACTGATTTGTCTGTAGTAGTGGAATCTTCTTTACATTAATAACAATCTGGGGAGAAGTCCACGGGACCCTTGAAAATGGGTCTAGGATGCCAGCTTTTCTTTTCTTTATTATTATTTTTTAATTAGTCCTTTTCTGATTTTCTTAGCCACTTCCCTTTCTACTGTCCTGTCCCCACATCCCCTTTGCTATTTCCTCTCTTATTAAGTAAATATTTGATATTTAGATTATTTTTATGTCTTTTATTTGTTCCCCTTCTAACACTATCTCTAAGTTTTATTTTAAAAAATCTTTTCAAACTTTTTATTTGGAAATAATTTTACTTATAACAACGTTGCAAAAAACAGTACAGAGAATTTTCATAGACCCTTTACACAAATATTGCAAATAGTAACATCTTACATAACCAAATTTTTTAAAAGATGAAAAACATTGATAGGTAATGCGTTCCATCTGGCTACAAATGAAAACAATGTAGGGTATTTGTTGAGAGCTTTTATTCCTATACCTGTCCTCATTCGTCCTGTCTTCACCGTCTTCCTCCTTTTTTACTGGCAACTATAAGAGTTGCTTTTGTGATCTTTCAGTGTTTTATGGGTAAATATTAGCAAATAAGCACCTTTTCCCTTTCTTACAGAAATGGCAACATTATGTATACTGTTCTACAACTTATTTTTCTCACCTAACATTACGTCCTAGAGGTGTTTCCATGTCAGTATGTAGCATCCCCATGCCTTTTATCAGCTAAGTAATTTTCCATTATGTGGATGTACTTCTATTTTATTTTACTTATTTATTTATTTTTGAGATGGAGTCCTGCTCTGTCACCCAGGCTGGAGTGCAGTGGCACGATCTCAACTCACTGCAACCTCCACCTCCTGGGTTCAAGTGAGTCTCCTGCCTCAGCCTCCCAAGTAGCTGGGATTACAGGCATGTACCACCATGCCTTGCTAATTTTTGTATGTTTAGTAGAGATGGGGTTTCACCATGTTGGCCAGGCTGGTCTTGAATGCCTGACCTCAGGTGGTCCACCCGCCTCAGCCTCCCACAGTGCTGGGATTATAGGTGTAAGCCACCGTGCCCAGCCACCTCTATTTAACCACTTCCCTATTGATTGATGCTGCTGTTTGGCAGGGTTTTTTTCTTTATTACTTGCAGTTGAATGCATCCTAAGTGATAACACCACTCGGCAAAGGGCAGAGAGTGAGTGGGGAGCCCTGGGAGGCCCCTTTAGTAATACAATGAATTTCACCAAGCATACGCATTGAATAGCTTTCAGTGATCTTGGTTCTAATTGTCGGATTTAACTGTTGTGGATTGGAAGTCAGATGAAGGCAAGGTACTGGATGCATGAAAAAAAGGGGGTAGACTTTATTGTTGATTCATTAGAATTGGATTACAAAGAAATGAGTTAATATTTTCTCATAATGAAGAGTCTTAAATTCCTATGAAAGGTACCCAGATATGGAGTGAGAGGAGTTGGATCTAACCCTGTGGAATAACCGATTTCTCAGGAAAAACGTATTGCCCCCTACTGCTTCCAGATTGGAGTAACAGAATACTGAGTGGGGCTTTTCCTTGGCCTAGGAATTGGTGTCCAGGACCCAAAGCTGAAGACAAAGGAGTCTTATATTCCTCACGTTCTACAGTGAAAGATGCCGAGGAGCCTCTAAAAATTGAGACCAGTCACCTTCCTCTGGGCCTAGTAAAATGTGGATTGGCTTAGCCAATCCCAGCCGCCACCCCCATACTCTTCCCCATCTGTATAGGCCAAAGGTAGCTTGCAGAAGGGATGGGGATGGGGGCGGCCATGGGGGGTCAGCAGAGAAAGCAGTTTTGGAGTTGTGAGCCATCAGCTGATGGGGGTGAGAGTGCTGTAGCTCTTCCTACCCAACTCCAAAGTTAAGGGAAGGGATTCCGGTGGGGTCACATGGCCTTCTCCTAACTTTGACCCTCTTTCTTCCCTCTCTTAATGACCTGTGTGTTTACACTGGGCCTACCCAGATAATCTCCCAATCTCAAAATCCTTAATTTAACACATCTGTAAAATCTTTTTTTACCATGTAAAGTAACATATTCACAGGTTTCAGAGATTAGGACCTGGGCATCTTGAGGGGCCATTGTTCAGCCCATTGCAGTCATATTTCCCTGATTGGACATGGACTTGGGCAATTGACTTGTTGAACTGCCCTCCACCTACATGAGCAGGGCAGGGAGAACTGGAGAGAGATGATGGAACTGAGAGGGGATGGTGGTGGAGCAGACACCACTGATTGGTGATATACGGATGTGAGAGTTCCTAGAAGGTTCAGAGAGCTGCCCACTAGGTGAGGGGGACCCCAGAAGCAAGAGGCTCTGGGCAGGACTGCTAAGGATAGGAGCTGGGGGCTGGACTAGGTCGCCAGGTGCCAGATCTCCCAAGTCAGGAATAGGAGAGAGAGCAGAACACCACTTTTCCCTGTGTCAAGCCCCACAGTCATAGCCTGGCTGGATCTACCTCACACAGTTGTCACCAAAGTATTAAATTATGAGAAAAGCTTAATACAGTGGTGAGCAGTAAGAGCTCAGAAAGTGTCAATTGACATTGTTACTTTTTGCTTGGCTACACCTAAGCAAACATTTTTTGAAAACTGTGTACCTACTGAACACCTTTCAGTTGACATCTAAAATTTTTGTTACAGATTTATATAGTATAATAGTAAAGGATGTAATTTCTGGCATGTAGTAGTTATTAACATTTTAAATTAAAACTGCTATACTGGGACCAGTGCAGTGGCTCATGCCTGTAATCCCAGCATTTTGGAATGCTGAGGTGGGTGGACTGCATGAGTCCAGGAGTTCAAGACCATGTGGGCAACATGGTGAAACCCCATCT
This sequence comes from Homo sapiens, assembly GCF_000001405.40. Classification (NCBI taxonomy): domain Eukaryota; kingdom Metazoa; phylum Chordata; class Mammalia; order Primates; family Hominidae; genus Homo; species Homo sapiens. The sequence goes on from NC_000003.12 coordinate 150,801,548, forward strand.
CTATAAAAAATAAAAACAAACAAATGAAAAACACCTGATATATTGATCTTTTAAATATATCCAATAGAATGTAAATACCACAATGATTTTATGCTAGCTATCCTTATTTTAAAAGCACATGAAGAAGTTTTTCTTTAATATAAATGCCCTTCTATAATATTCAAACTAGGACATTTATTTACTTTTTCTCCTTGAACTCATATTTTCATTCCACTACCCCACAGAATTTTATTCTAACTTAATACATTTTTAGGCTTGGAAGTCTTTTGATTGTCCTATTGTATTTTCTGCAACAAATGTATGTGTGTAAATAAAAGTTTTAGTTTTATTTCCTGTGACCATAAGGCTCTGTTAAAATCATAATTTAGATAGGTTTTGTGTACAACTGATCAAAATAACAAATATACTACAAATCTTGATAAACACGTACTAAAACATTAACCTTGTACTGGAAATAAATTTTTAGTAATATAATTTTTTTAACCCATTTAGTTATCTGGGTGAATATTATTTATAGAATGAGACAAGGCTGAACAATTACTTTCCCATTTTTATTTTTGTTGATATAAGAAACAAGCATATTTACTCACATATAGAAGTAGATGGAAGTGGAAGGAGTTTTGCCACAGTGATGGTACTCAACTCTTTGAACTCTACACATTTCAAGGGATATTATAAAAAACACTGGGAAATAAACTGCAAGCCAGATTACAAAAGCAGCAATGTTATTATTTAAATTACCTGGACCTGTTAGAATTGGTTTATCTACTCCACCTGGTAAGGAACCTGGATTAGCTGAGGCATGTGCTGAGGGCAACTCAGCTATGAAAGGTGAGAACTATAAGCACATGCCCAGTTGCAAAATATTAACAGAATATGTTTGAGTTTTTTCCTCCCTTATTATCCTTTTGTCATCGAACACAAAATGTGTTCAAAGTATTTAATTTCTTAGTACTTAAGTTACAGGATAGCAAAGGGGAAGTGTGAATCTGCCATGAGAAAAAGGAACATTACCCAAGAAAAACAAAAAGATTTTGCATCCACTCCTGGATTTGTGTGTTTTGGTTGTGTGTCAGGTATGTAGGCAAACTATGGCTTTGCTTTTGTCTTTCTTTGGAGATGTATGGCTTAAGGACACGAGTATGGTGCCATGCTGGACCCCTATTAGCTTCAACAGAGATGACACCATGTTCAAGAGGCTCATGAAGAGACCCGGAGGCAGCAAATGAGACATAGGGCTTTATTAGTGGGGAAACGTACATATAGAGCAAACCAGTGGTGACAGGATGGGCAAGAGAACTGCAGCCGCTTGTAGAAAGCATGTAGCTTATATAGCATTTTCACTTAGCACTCCCCCCAACAATCTCCACCTGGCAACCTTACTGTTAACCCAAAAGAAAAGGCCTTGATTCTCCCATACAGCAGGTGTTCCACAGGACCATCCAGGGGCTCAGGTGTTTCTTATAGATAAGAATGAAGCTCCTGGTTGGCCATTCCTGAATTCCTTAGCTCAGAATTCTGAACAAATATTCAGATGCACCTATCATACAGGGTCATTCTCAGGGTCTATGCTGTCAAGTGCACTGAAAAGGTTTGGCTCTGTGTCCCCACCCAAATCTCATGTCGAATTGTAATCCCCATATGTTGAAGGACGGTCCTTATGGGAAGTGATTGGATTATGGGAGTGGCCTTCCCCCTTGCTGTTCTCACGATAGAGTTCTCATGAGATCTGATGGTTTAAAAGTGTGGCGCTTCCCGCCTTGTGAAGAAAGGGCTTGCTTCTCCTTTGCCTTCCACCGTGATTGTAAGTTTCCTGAGGCCTCCCAGCCATGTGGAACTGTGAGTCAATTAAATCTCTTTTCTTTGTAAATTACCCAGTTTCAAGTAGTTCTTTTTAGCAGTGTGAAAATGAACTAATATATGCATCTACCATACATATGGGTGCCAAGTTGACAAGAGGTAGACTGCCGTGGCTTCGATATATGTCAAATCGGCTAGGCTGAAATACAGTGCCTAGACTTCCCTTTCCTATGTTTCTGTTCATGTGCACCACAAGAGAGAGTCTTGGGGGATTTGGAGGCTGAAAATGAAGCAGCAGCCATTTTGTAGTTCACGTGCGTTGTCATTTACCTGCCAGCTCACCTCGTGGTGAGAGGCAGCAGCTGGATCTGCAATTGCAGCACCTTTCCCTGGATCCTTCTTTAGTTTTTCTGACTCCTAGGCATGTATGTGTGTTTAGCTACACGACAAAGGAACCTGGCTTCTCCAGGACACCCATACCATTACGGTCAGAGGCAGCAGGAACTGACACAGGTTTTAGCTGGCTTTGTGAGCTGCGGATGTGCTTGTGGGTTCCAGCTTGTTCTTGCTGTCCCTCACTTTCCACCTGCCTTTCCCTCTTGATTGCCTCTCCAGCATCAGACTGGAAGAGAAGAGCCTCACAGAAACTGTTAATCAGCTCCCATAATTGTAGGAGGTCCAATTCCTGTAACAAATCACATCTTAGTGGTTCTGTTTCTTTGATAGAATCCTAATACAGTAAATTATAAAAACAAATTTAATATGCTATTTTAAAAATTTATAATAATACAGTGCAATTTGTAGCTCACATTGTAAGCTATTTTACTGTGGAAACTACTTGTTTGATAAAGGCCTGGTACTCCTATAATTAAATGTGGGAGCACACAGAAACCCTGGTATTCTGTCTTGAAGAGTAATTATATTTGAATTTAGCATAATAATTCGAAATAATTTTATTTCTTTGGACATTCTAATCAAACCTTTTCAATTTAATAAAAGAGAAAGGTAAATATGGCTAAAAACTAATTGCTACAATAGCATGTAATTTTTTTATTAAAATAAAATATCAAACATTTTAAGATGAAGTAAATGATTTTACTTTAATTAAAATCTTTCATAATAAGATCTGTTTTAACAAAACTCTTAACTATTAAATCTGAGAATACATTATGCATAAGTTAATTTCAGCGTGTCTTAAAAATCTGATTGATCGGGAAAATATTCTTATGTTTAAAAGAATTAGCATCACTAACTTCTACCTTGGTTGCTCAAGTTTGCTTTTCTTTCCAGCTAATGACAAATTCTAGGGATGAGTATTGAGAATGGCAGGAAATATTTGCTGGTGTTTAAATATAGGGAAAAAATTATTTTTAGCTTTCAGAATTTCTGATTGATGTTCTCTGCTTTGCTATTGCAAAATTCTCCCCTGAATAATTCACCCTTTGAAAATAAACAGGTTGATTTTAAAAATGGACAAGACATACAAACGAAGAATTCACAGAAAAAGAATTGCAAATAGCTTACACTAATAAATAAAATGCTTAGTTTAATTCAAAACGTGAGAAATGCAAGGCAAAATTACACTGAGAGAAGCTGAACTCACAGAGGTGAGAGGGAAAGACCTGGGGTTTGCTATGGGTTAGTAGATAATGGAGACTGATTATACATGAGATTTGGAGCTGGGGATTCAGGAGAGAGGGGCACAATGGCCTCAAAGTGGCAAAGATGAATGAAAAGGACACCTCCTCCAAGCGTTAGTGATGAGGGAGACAAAACAGCCCCCTAAGATGGCTAAAAACAAAACTCAAGACAGGAAAAAAATAATAAAAACTACTCTGCTGAGGTGTAAAACTAGCAAAAATTCAAAAGTTAGATCACTGTTGACAAGACTGGGGAAATTGAAGCTCTCTTACATTGCTGGTGGGAAGGCAAAATGGTAGAATGCCTATGGAGGAGATTTGACAAAGATCTAGTGATATTACTTATATATTTACCTATCGTCTGCTCTGAAGCAGAGGATGGCAGTTTGTGCCATGTACAGAGATGCCAGAGTGCAGGACGGAGCAGAAAGTCAGTCTGGCAAGGAAGGGGCCTTATGAAACTCATCTGTAATTTGCATAATTTTCTGTAATTTGCATAGAGGCTCCATATGTGCTAGTCCCAGGTTGTACATGCCTACCATTCTTCTCCCAGTTCATCACCTTCCCAGTAGCAGGGCTTTGGGGATCTGCTGACAGGAACCCAGAGTCATCTGTAGCTGTGGGCCCCAGGGGCTTTGTGATGATTGTGGAAGTGGGAAGTCTTTCCCATACGGTCTATTCAGTCATGTTCAGAGGGCAGCAAATCTTGGAGACTCAGGAAACACAGAATGTAATAATCTCCATCTTATTCTCCCTTTTCTCCTTTATAAACTCTTAAGCACTCACTGCAAACTTAGATGCTCTCAGCAACTTGGAAATTATGCCTGAGTCCGTTTAACAATTTAGATATACAACCTTACTACAGAAATATTTTTAGAAATATTTTCCTGACTGTAAAAATGATACATGTTCATTTTTTAAAGACTTCAAATTTTTGTGAATTAAAAAAACCGATTCTACCACTCAGAATGAGTATCATTAACATTCTGGTGTTATCTACCTATCTCCTTTGTATGCATCAATATCTACATAGCTATATTTGAAAATATTGGGCACAATCTGTATTGACAATTGTACATCTTGCTTTTGTTAAATCTTTGAAAACTTTTTTTTGTTTTTGATGGTTAAGAGTGCTACTCAACTAAAGTTATTACAATAATAGGAAAGGTTCTGTGCTAGGCTTTGGACATACAGTGTGAGTGTGTGTATGCATGGTTATACTCTTCAGCTTGTTCCTAGAAGTAAAGAAACAATAAGTATTTTCTCTGCCCTCTCAGACTTTCCCAATCTAGTAAAAGAGATAATGCACGTATGTAATTAACTTCAATACAGAGGCAGTATTGTATAATAAATCATGAATTCCTCAGAGATAACTGTGAGATGGGATGAATTTACATATGCATATTTTGGGCGTTTTTTCTGTTCTAGTTGTTGACACTGAACAATAATCTTGAAGCTTCCTCCAGTCTGCAAATAAACAATTTCTGCTTTTCAAATGCAGAAATCATTGAAAGGTTTGGTAAGCTCATGACAAAGGGGTGTTGGAATCAACAGAATTTGTCTCATTTTCATTGTTCCTCACCTCTGAAAGGCTAATCTTCTAATGGTCTCTTTTGTCAGAAGCAATTAGCATCCTGGGTAGCTAGGCTACCTGTCTCTGGAATGTTTCAAGGATGAGGAATAGATGAGATGTTCAAAGAGAGAGAAGAGGCTTTGCTCCTCCATTTTGATGTGCCATGGGAAAACACTAATTTAGAATAATTAGAGCTAAGTAACGGAGAAGCCATAATGGGACGTTAGCCATGCCTGTGACACAACAGGAGGTTGCCCCGATAATAAGCAGACAAGACCCAGTCTCCAGGAATTCAGAGTCTTAACTGTGAATTCCCATATGAAAAGTTAGACTTTCAGATACGAGGGGACTAGGAGATTGGAGGTGGACCTACAATAGGTGAATGTACCCTCTTCAGAGACAGAATTCTAAGGTTGTGTGTGTCTCCTGGTGTGTTTCATGTAATTTTCTTCTGTGCCTGATTGTTATTTTTTAAATGTATAATCCAAAGAGAATTTGGGGCACATACACTCATTTTTATTGAATGCCCAAATAGTAAGAAGGCTCCTTGCCATTCAGCATCATGTTGTTTTGGCTACATTTTAAAAATAGATAACACTGTTATTCTACTAGACTGAGCATTAAGGCCTCTTTCTTTTAGGGTCCTTGCTATGCCGGAAGGTTGGTGTCTCTCCAAAATTCATATTTGAAACTTAACCCTCAAGGTGATAATATTAAGAGATGGGGCCTTTGGGAAATGATTAGGTCATGAGGACTCTGCCCTCATGAATGGGATTCATGCTCTTACAGAAGGCTTGAGGGAATGAGTTCATCCCATTTTTTGTCTTTTTGCCACTTGAGGACACAGAGTTAATGCCTTTCTTCTATGTGAGGACATGGGGAGATTGTGGATTTATTATTTTTTATTTAGTTATTTATTTTAGATGGAGTTTTGCTCTCGTCGCCCAGGCTGGAGTGCAATGGTGTGATCTCAGCTCACTGCAACCTCCGCCTCCTGGGTTCAAGCGATTCTCCTGCCTCAGCCTACCAAGTAGCTGGGATTACAGGCATCCGCCACCACGCCTGGCCAATTTTTGTATTTTTAGTAGAGACAGGGTTTCACCACAGTGGCCAGGATGGTCTCGAACTCCTGACCTCAGGTGATCCACCGGCCTTGGCCTCCCAAAATCCTGGGATTACAGGCTAAAAGCAGAAAGTGAAACTTTACCAAACACTGAATCTGCTGTCACTTTGATCTTGGACTTTCTGGCCTCCAGAGTTGTGAGAAATAAGTTTCTATTTATAAATTACCTAGTCTAAGTTATTTTGTTATAGCAGGAGAAGAGACTGAGACAGTCCTGTAAAGGAATTTTACACTGAGTGAGTGAGACCTCTGCTCCCACGGCTTCAGCCAGTGATGTCAGACCCAAAGATTCCTCAAGGCCCAGGCTGCCATGGAGTGGGAGAGGAGTCCTGCTTAGTGCTGGGACTTCTCTACATGAGACAGGGATTTGGTTCAGCGTGCTTATTGTGTACCCAAGCATCTGCCAGTAGATGTGGGTGGAAGGCTGTTTCTGTGAGGCCCTGTTTGTGACCCCACAGAAGCAAACCAATTACATTCTCATCTTTGTCAAGATGCAGCATCTCATGACAATTCATAATCTTTAGAGTATATTCTTGGACCATTCCTACTTGACATCCAAATCCAGCCCTGTCTCTGTCTAGACCTCCTCTCCTCCATTTCATCCTTCCACATCCCTGTTGACTTCAGATAGCTTTAGTCATCTTCTGGTTACTTTTTTTTCTGGCCTCAGATATACCTTCCACTGTGCAGATGCTGTGTCTTGCCCTCTGGATTGAGGTTCTTCAGGATGGTTGCTGCTGTTTACTATTTTTCCTTGACCACAACTCTCTTAGGAGTGGTGACCCCAGTAGAGAGTTTCCAGATCTAGCCTTGTCCTAGCCCCTGGACCTAGGATGTGGGGAGCAGCTGCTCCCCACACTTCCTCATACCGCCCCCCACCCAGGAACTAGAGCTACTTATGATTTGCCATTTAATCATAACAGAACATACATTGTTGGACATCAAGAGACAAAGACAGGCCAAAGGGTTTTGCATATCAAATGTAGTATCTCAAGAATATTCAGATATTACCAGCCCCATTTCCATTCCCTGCTTGAAGATGAGACTTAATTGTCTGAAGGGGGTGAGGCCTTGAAGGCTGGTTTTGCTCCCTTGGTGATTTGGGCAGACAACCAAGGAGTCATTTATACCTTTATAGCTGAGCCTCTGCAGACCCGACTGGCTACCCTTTCAGAAAATGGAGGTGGTACTCTAGTGCTTTTTGTCTTCCCCAGGAGAGCTTTCAGACTTTTGGTAAATTTGCTTACACTCACGACCCGTGAAGAAATGAACTCTTGGTTCATAGTGATTTTTATTTTACTTTATTTGGGAAGGAAAGCCCTCCCCTAACCTTCCAGCAAGGATTTGCATATATTATTTATTTTCCCTCAGCACAGATACGCAGACATTTTACAGGGGAGTATCCAAGCCTTACTTGGTATTCCTTAAGCAAAAGGATCACAATTGTACTGGTTTCCCCCATTCCTGAAAGAAGGAAGATCATGTCATGGAAAGGGCTGGTCAGTCCAACTCCAGGTGGAGATTTTCTGGAGGATCCCCCCAGCAGCATCTGCTCCCAGTGTTCTGTTCAATACTCTTGGGTCTTCCAAAGGATGTCAACAAATGGGCAAAGTCCTGAGGATTTTCCTGATACACTCGCGTGGAAAAACCAGACTAAGATAGATCAGGTTTCATCCTGAGAAGAGCTTTAGTGAATTTATACCGTTCATGGGGCACCGTTCTGTAATAGCTTAATCCTATGTGGAAAATGATACTCTTGGTCTTATGACCAAGGACTTTTTTTTTCATAGCAACTTAGGTTATTATAGATTTATAATGACAAAAGCAATAATATGCTTTCCTTCCTACACAGAGACAAGGCAGCGAGCCCCCATCAGACAGTTGTGAATTGTCATTATCAGGTAGATAATCTGTTTACACTACTTGGTCTACCCCATTTTCACCTCTAGATTTCACGAAACGTATTTAGGGGGTGCAATGTGTGGAATGTTTTTGTGCAAAGTTACTGTGGTCCATTTGGAGAGAGGGCCTGACTCTTTTGATCCATGTGCTACTCTGCTGCCAGATTGAGCACTCTAAGGGAGAAATCTATCTGACTCATGTCAGCCTCCTGCTTAAATTTTTTTTTGGAGTTTCCCTTAGGCTTTAGGATGAAATCCCAAAATCTTTGATTTGCTCATAGACTATCCCTTCCAGCCTACTTACTCTCTGATAACTCTTCAGATTGCCCTCTGGGTTCTAGTCATACCTACTTTTTTTTTTTTAAGTTAACATTTATTGAGCATGTTTGGTACCATTTGATAACATTGAGCATTCACCCTTTCCCTTTAAGAACCCAGCTTGGTATTTGCACTGCTAGCTTCTTCTCACATACAGTTGGGCCAGGACTGAGTTATGTAGCTACATCTGGCTGCACAGGAGCCTGGGAAATGTATTCTGGGAGGCTGTGTGTCCAGATGAAAACTTTTAATACTACTGTAGTAATATAGAAGAAGGGAAATGAATATTTGGGCGTAATTTTCATTCTTTCACAGTGAATGAGAATTTTAAAATCACTATAGAGTCTATTTTATATTTATACTGGGTTAAGTAAAATCAACATATGGAGTGTTAAATATTTAGTTTATTAAATAGTGATTTATTTTACAGACTCTAAAATCTTTACATTAAGAAGTATCCAGGCTGGCCAACACAGTGAAACCCCGTCTCTACTAAAAATACAAAAATTAGCCCGGCATAGTGGTGCGTGCCTGTAATCCCAGCTACTCAGGAGGCTGAGGCAGGAGAATCGCTTGATCCTGGGAGGTGGAGGTTGCAGTGAGCTGAGATTGCGCCATTGTACTCCAGCCTGAGTGGCAGAGTGAGACTCCATCTCAAAAAAAAAAAAAAAATGTGGATGGAATAATCTGTCATTGTATGTATTATTGAATCAGTTTGGTGGAACAATAGGAGAATGGTTTGTCAGAGAAGGGTTTCTGGAAGAGGAGGCATCTGACCTGATTTTTGAAGCATGTGTAGGAATAAGTCGGCAAAGATGAGCAAAGGCATGTCAGAGCATTTTAATTTCTTCAACTAAAGAAAGAAAGGAGCAGAATTTCAGTCAGGGGTTCTTCTACTGTGCAGAAATTCCTGTGGAGTAGGACAACAAAAAGATGAAAGGACTGAGGGAAGAGCTCTGGTGTCAGGATGGTTCTGCAGTGTTCAGTGGGCAAATGGACAGGATGACTCCAATGAGGTCTAACCCCTCTGGAGTCTGCACTACCCAGCATGCCCTGGATTTGGATGCCATCTTGATTTCATAAAACCTAAGCTTTTTCTCTCCAATGGACACATCTCCTATTTTATAGTGAATATGAGAAAGGAGGAGTTGTTTTGCAGCAACTTTTCTGATACTCATCTATTCTGTGATACAAGGGAAATCTGTTTAGACTTTATGGGGAATTCTTGATTTTAATTTCAAGATTCTTCTACAGATGCATATGATCTATTAGTGTATAAGTTTATTTTAAATCAAAATGGAAAATAAAAAATGCTTTTTGAAAATAGTCTAATTGTTTTCAAATAATGTTAAGCTCAATTGATTTTTCCTGTCAAGTTCTTGTCTATTGAATGACTCCTTTTATAACTGTCGGAAAAAATGCAATGTGCTGAAGGAAAGAAAGAATTTCATAATTATATAGGTCATAAAATAAAATTTTCCATTCCCAAGAGACTCCTGGATGAGCATATTTACATCTAGAAATCAAAGGTCAGAAAGTTTCATTAAATATATTCCTAAATATTTTTAAATTATAACAAAGGGAATTTGGTTAGAATTCTTCTGTCCTGCAGTATCTGACAGGTAGAGAGTATGGGTAGGGAAAACCCTGTGCTGTTCACTGCGTTAAAATGCCTTATGAATTTTAACTTCTCTTTCTAGAGAGTGCAAAATAAGTGGGTGGAGGTGAGGGAGGGGAGCAGTATGTACAATCTTGAGATGGAAAACCAGTTGAGCCCAGTTAGAAAGCTGTCGTCTTATAAACAGTTGTAGCAAACATATGCTCTGTATTTTCATGGTCAGTTTTTATTTCACAGTATGTTTTTCAATAAAGATCACACATGTGGGCTGGGCACAGTGGCTCACACCTGTAATCCTAGCACTTTGGGAGGCCGAGGCGGACAGATCACCTGAGGTCAGGAGTTCGAGATCAGCCTGGCCAGCATGGTGAAATCCCGTCCCTACTAAAAATACAAAAATTAGCTGGATGTGGTAGTGCGTACCTGTAGTAGTCCCAGCTACTTGGGAGGCTGAGGAAGGAGAATTGTTTGAGCCCAGGAGGCGGAGATTGCAGTGAGCCGATATTGTGCCACTGTACTCCAGCCTGGGCAACAAAGCCAGGCTCTGTCTCAAAAACAAACAAACAAACAAAAAACAACACACATGCAGGTTTGTTCTTAACCTTCCACTCCATGGTACACTCCAGGATTATGACACTCCCACCAGTCACATAGCTCGCTGTGGTGGTAAAACTGGATTTGGGGCTATAGAGAGGTAGCTGACTCAAGTCTGGCTGTTTACCACTCAGAAGTCAAAGCACAAGAAGCGAGGTGTGGTGAAAAGAAAGCAGCTTTTATTCAAATGCTAGCAGACGGGAGAATGATTGGGTACCAGCCTCAAAGGAATCATCTCTGCTGTTTGGACTGAATGAAGGAAAACTTGGTATGAGAAACATGGATGAGTGATGCAGGAGGGTACAGGTCTGTGTGCCTTTTCCTGATGGTCATCTTGAGGAATTGCCCATCTGGAGGTCTGGTTGGCTCATCTTGACTTTGGCCTGGTGGTGGTGAATTCATTGTTCATAACTCCCCTAAGCGGGAGGATTCTGCAGTCAAGTCTCTGTCTGATTTGCTTTAAAATTAGCCCCTAGAATTTCTAAGCAAGCACATAATTAGATAAGCAAGCACTGTACACAGGAGTGCCTGGTGGGAAAGGAGGGAAGCGAAGAGTTTTAAAGTACATTTCAAGGCTGTACTTCGAGATTAGGAAGGAAAGGGAAAAAACCTTAACATGTAATTTGAGGCTTAGATACTTGGTTACAGCTCCCCACTGTGAAATTATATTCCGTTTTTATGGAAAGTGGGAGATGTCAATTTGACTACTTCCTACTGAAAAGGGGGCACAGCTAGGGGGCAACAGAAGAAAACCTGTCCACTTGTAATTGAAAACTTTTCTGAGTCTCTGACCTTGAAAAATTTTTGAAAACTTCTGAAAAATACAGAAGATATTTATTGGAGTGTGAGTGGTGAGTGTGTAATAGCAATAGAGTCCACAGTAGAAGAATAAACTTATTTTTAAAATCATGGCTGAAATTATGAGCAACTTCTTTTACTAGGAGGGGCCTGATCTGAATTATGAGGAGAACCCTTGATTTAAGGACATGACAGGATTAGACATAGCACTAGTTTGCTTGTGCACGTCTTGTAGGGCTGAGGGTGTATTTCCAGAGTTGTGCAGGAAGTATACACAGCATTTAGTCTTAATTACGGTGGACAGTTCCCATTGTCAGTTGTACCTGGAGTTCCTGTGGGGATATGACAACAGGTTGGCTAAATATACATATTTAACAGGTTATAGGAGGGGCTATGAATATTCATAAAGTTGGTCTTGACACATGTGTATTAAATATGTATGTAACATATGACCCATGTTTATTTTGGGATGGAGACTTAAAATATAAATGTACTATAATTAGACCCTGTATGTACAAAAATACACGTTGAGTGTGCAATTTCTGTATACCAGCCAACATTTGTCCATGGTCAGTGACCTTTTTATCAGGAGAAATGTACTGAAATCAGACTCTTGTCTAATTAAAGCTGTAGTTATGCCTGGTGAACAGGGAGTAGGGGTCAGTCAGCTTATCTTGAATCCAGTACTCATTTGGCTGCTCGTGAAAAAGAAACACCTTGTGGCAGCTAGAACATAACTTTTGAAGTGTAGGAGTGCGCGACTTCACTGTTGCCTGGCATGGTCCTGGGTCCTGTTTATAATTTGGTATCTTATTGTTACAAAGAGTCTGTTTTGTCAGTTTTATGATCTATATTTTAACGTTAATGTTGGTCAGTTGCATCTGAATTCCAAAGTGGGGAGGGTATAATGAGGTGTGTCCAGCCCCCTGCTTTCTGTAAAAACCTAAATTAGTTTTTCAGGTTTTTGGGGGGGATCTCCTTTGGCCAAGAAGGGGTTCCATTTAGTATGTTGGAGGGCTTAGAACTTCTTGTTTGTTTGTATTTCCCCTTTTATTTGGTCAAGATATGCCAGAGGCAGTATAGATGGCCAGTCTTTTATTTTGTCCCATATTGATGCCAGGGTGGTCATCATGGCATCATCAGCAGGGTGGACCTGCTGTTCATCATGTCCCTTGGTGGGACTCCTATGGCCAAGGGACTTAGAGTCAAAAGACATAGCCAATTAAACATTTTGGGCAAGATGGGAATGGACACAGGCAGGCACATACTAACCCTTAAGACCTCTTTTAAGCAACATAAGAGCCAAAGACAAAAGATAAAAAACAAGGTTATAAAATTGGCTTATCTATAAATTTTATGCAGTGAGCTACCATAATCTTTGCTTGTAGCAATCAGTTATATAAAACACAAGCATTTTGTTTAGCTGTTTAGGCATCTGTGTGTCCATCCTTGATTTGGAAGGTCTGAATTAATTGTGTTCCTCAAAACCCAGTCCTTACAATCTCATATGCCCATGTCTTCTGTAATAGTCCCTGGGCCTAGAGGGATTGAATAGTTTCAAATTCTGGAGGTAAAACAAAACATAAAGAATTAGCAACATTTGGCCAGGTGCGGTGGCTCACGGCTATAATCCCAGCACTTCGGGAGGCTGAGGCAGGCAGATCACAAGGTCAGGAGATCGAGACCATCCTGGCTAACATGGTGAAACCTCGTCTGTACTAAAAATACAAAAAATTACCTGGGCGTGGTGGCGGGCGCCTGTAGTCCCAGCTACTCGGGAGGCTGAGGCAGGAGAATGGCGTGAACCCGGGAGGCGGAGCTTGCAGTGAGCTGAGATCGCGCCACTGCACTCCAGCCTGGGCGACAGAGCGAGACTCTGTCTCAAAAAAAAAAAAGAATTGGCAACATTTCAAACAAAAAGGTCATAAGCCTTGCTTAGTTCTGAGAATGACAGGAAAGGAAGCTCACAGGTAGCTAAACAAATAAATTATTTAGTATCAAGGTATAGAATACATTCTACTAATTTAGACAGAGGCAAAATTATTAAATAAATATTAATGTTTTTGAATATAGGTCTGTCCCTGTGTCTCATGAAAGCAGCTTACTTTGTCACCTTTGCCTGAGTCTAAAGATGAGGCTTTGGTTAACTTGAGTTTGATGTCAGATATTGGCAAGAATATCGTGCCTTCTTTAGATGAGATATTTGTACTCAGAAGTCAAAAACCCTGTAACTTATCAGCACAAGGATTAGTTAATAGTACCGGATAACAACCTTTTCAAGGGGCTGTAGATGGGGACACTGGAGTCCATGACCTGACTAGAAGCTTTAAAAACATTTTACAACCTTTCACTGATTAATTTTATTTTTCTTTTTGAGGCAGGGTCTTGCTCTGTCACCCAGGCTGGAGTGCAGTAATGCAATCGTGGTTCACCACAGCCTTGACCTCTGGGACTCAAGCCGTCCTTCTGCCTCAGCCTCTCAGATAGCTAGGACTATAGGCACAGGCCACCACACCCAGCTAATTTTTGTACTTTGTTTTTGTAGAGACAGGATCTCACTTTGTTGCCCAGGATGGTCTCAAAATCCTGGGCTCAAGTGATCCTCCTTCCTTGGCCTCCCAAAGTGCTGGGAATACAGGAGTAAGCCACCATGCCTGGCCAGTGGTGATTAATTTTTATAGCTTTGATAAATCCCAGCAATAAGTCAGAGATTTAAGATGTGATTTTGAGGGCATTTGTCAAAGATGTTAAAGGATGCAAAACATTTGATCAAAACAGAACCGTAGGTCATTGTGAAACAATAGTTACTCATTTAACCAAAGTGATTATCAAAAGACTTTAAAGGAAATATAGGTTATATGGATGTAAAAACCTTAAGCCTTTTAAATCTGTTTTTCTAAGCAATAAAAAACCTAATAAAGACAACATAGGAATTATCTTAATTAAATATAAAATGTTGTTTCTTAAGCTAGTTACCAAAAAGGCAAAGAAAAACCTTTTGCGGTGTGACTGCTTTTTCTTATGAGAAGCCCACTGAGATTACCTGGAAGCCAAACTTGATGAAAAAAGTGCTTGAATTTAATCAGACACAGGAAGTGTGTATTCAAAGTTATGAGTATAGCAGGGAAATACATGACTCTTTTTTTTTTAAATTTTATTATTATTATACTTTAAGTTTTAGGGTACATGTGCACAACGTGCAGGTTTGTTACATATGTATACATGTGCCATGTTGGTGTGCTGCACCCATTAACTCGTCATTTAGCATTAGGTATATCTCCTAATGCTATCCTTCCCCCCTCCCCCCACCCCACAACAGTCCCCAGTGTGTGATGTTCCCCTTCCTGTGTCCATGTGTTCTCATCGTTCAATTCCCACCTATGAGTGAGAACATGCGGTGTTTGGTTTTTTTGTCCTTGCGATAGTTTGCTGAGAATGATGGTTTCCAGCTTCATCCATGTCCCTACAAAGGACATGAACTCATCATTTTTTATGGCTGCATAGTATTCCATGGTGTATATGTGCCACATTTTCTTAATCCAGTCTATCATTGTTGGACATTTGGGTTGGTTCCAAGTCTTTGCTATTGTGAATAGTACCGCTATAAACATATGTATGCATGTGTCTTTATAGCAGCATGATTTATAATCCTTTGGGTATATACCCAGTAATGGGATGGCTGGGTCAAATGGTATTTCTAGTTCTAGATCTCTGAGGAATCGCCACACTGACTTCTACAATGGTTGAACTAGTTTACAGTCCCACCAACAGTGTAAAAGTGTTCCTATTTCTCCACATCCTCTCCAGCACCTGTTGTTTCCTGACTTTTTAATGATTGTCATTCTAACTGGTGTGAGATGCTATCTCATTATGGTTTTAATTTGCATTTCTCTGATGGCCAGTAATGATGAGCATTTCTTCATGTGTTTTTTGGCTGCATAAATGTCTTCTTTTGAGAAGTGTCTGTTCATATCCTTTGCCCACTTTTTGATGGGGTTGTTTGTTTTTCTTGTAAATTTGTTTGAGTTCACTGTAGATTCTGGATATTAGCCCTTTGTCAGATGAGTAGATTGCAAAAATTTTTTCCCATTCTGTAGGTTGCCTGTTCATTCTGATGGTAGTTTCTTTTGCTGTGCAGAAGCTCTTTAGTTTAATTAGACCCCATTTGTCAATTTTGGCTTTTGTTGCCATTGCTTTTGGTGTTTTAGACATGAAGTCCTTGCCCATGCCTATGTCCTGAATGGTATTGCCTAGGTTTTCTTCTAGGGTTTTTATGGTTTTAGGTGTAACATGTAAGTCTTTAATCCATCTTGAATTAATTTTTGTATAAGGTGTAAGGAAGTGATCCAGTTTCAGCTTTCTACATATGGCTAGCCAGTGTTCCCAGCACCATTTATTAAATAGGGAATCCTTTCCCCATTGCTTGTTTTTGTCAGGTTTGTCAAAGATCAGATAGTTGTAGATACATGGCATTATTTCTGAGGGCTCTGTTCTGTTCCATTGATCTATATCTCTGTTTTGGTACCAGTATCATGCTGTTTTGGTTACTGTAGCCTTGTAGTATAGTTTGAAGTCAGGTAGCATGATGCCTCCAGCTTTATTCTTTTGGCTTAGGATTGACCTGGTGATGAGGGCTCTTTTTTGATTCCGTATGAACTTTAAAGTAGTTTTTTTCCAATTCTGTGAAGAAAGTCATTGGTAGCTTAATGGGGATGGCATTGAACCTATAAATTCCCTTGGGCAGTATGGCCATTTTCACGATATTGTTTCTTCCTACCCATGAGCATGGAATGTTCTTCCATTTGTTTGTATCCTCTTTTATTTCATTGAGCAGTGGTTTGTAGTTCTCCTTGAAGAGGTCCTTCACGTCCCTTATAAGTTGGATTCCTAGGTATTTTATTCTCTTTGACGCAATTGTGAATGGGCGTTCACTCATGATTTGGCTCTCTGTTTGTCTGTTATTGGTGTATAAGAATACTTGTGATTTTTGCACATTGATTTTGTATCCTGAGACTTTGCTGAAGTTGCCTATCAGCTTAAGGAGATTTTGGGCTGAGACGATGGGGTTTTCTAGATATACAATCGTGTCATCTGCAAACAGGGACAATTTGACTTCCTCTTTTCCTAATTGAATACCCTTTATTTCCTTCTCCTGCCTGATTGCCCTGGCCAGAACTTCCAACACTGTGTTGAATAGGAGTGGTGAGAGAGGGCATCCCTGTCTTGTGCCAGTTTTCAAAGGGAATGCAGGAAGCAAGAAATCTTGAATTGTTTTTCAGATGTTAGGATTTTATAGATAAAACCATGCCATGATTTTTAGAAATGTTTCCCCATATCATAATCCTTTCTTAATTGTAAATATCTCAGACATCCAATGTGCATTTACTATTCAATTTAAAACAACTAAATTTTTAATTGCACAAAAAGTTCACCTACAAGCATTTATCCCATTTACATGTATTCAACCCTTTCATTTTTAATAGTTTACTTCTGAAAACTGAAATATTACACAAAGCTAGTCATAATTTAAAGTTATTTCCTTATTAACCATTTTTTAAAGTCTGCAAACATCAGGTGTTCACCTAAGTAAGAACCTTAAGCACACGAATGTTTTGCCGATAACTTAGAATATTTAGCTGTTTTTATTGAACCAACAACATTAAATTAGTCTTTGTTTAAAAAAGTTACACAAAGATTACTCTGTTTTTGTCTAGGTTTATAGTTTCACAACCTTTGTGTCAAACCCTGACACCTTAAAATATCCAACAGGCATATATAAAACTTTCCTACCTAAACAAAAATGAATGCTGATGATTCTGAAGATATTTTTATTTTTATTTTACCAGTGACTTTAAAGCCAGTTTATTTATTAAAGATTGATAAATTCATGTGAACTTGAAATGCATTTTGACTTAATTTATGAGTATTTATTTATTATGAGCCATTTGACAGCATGCAAGACACAACACAAAACATAATACATGTACATCACATAAATATATCTAAACATGAATACATATCCACAAAGATCCAATAGTTTCACCTTAGAATTCTAGCTGTAAGATAGCAATATAAACTTAAGATTTTATATAAGATCACTGGATAAGAATTATTTTTCTGTCAAAATTGAAATCTGTTTACATGGCTAAATTTTGTTTGCCCTATTGGGTAATGTAAGGAAAGCTGTAGACCAAAATTTGGGTAGAGCATCTTTAGGACAGTTTGGTATTTTTTTTTTTTTTTTTTTTTTCCACTGGGTACAAATATCCATAGAAATTTTATTGTAAGTAAATACTTCAACATTTTAATATCGGTTGCCTTTGGAAGATGGATTATTGATTACCTTTTCTTGCTCTTTCTAATTTTTTGAATTTTCTAAAGTTTCAACCACAATAATAGTATTTATTGAATATTATTGAATACTTACTGCTCTATGTATTTATGGGTGTATAAATACATTTCATCTTTTTTTTTTTTTTTAATTTTTTTATTTTTATTTTTTTTTTTTTATTGATCATTCTTGGGTGTTTCTCGCAGAGGGGGATTTGGCAGGGTCATAGGACAATAGTGGAGGGAAGGTCAGCAGATAAACAAGTGAACAAAGGTCTCTGGTTTTCCTAGGCAGAGGACCCTGCGGCCTTCCGCAGTGTTTGTGTCCCTGGGTACTTAAGATTAGGGAGTGGTGATGACTCTTAACGAGCATGCTGCCTTCAAGCATCTGTTTAACAAAGCACATCTTGCACCGCCCTTAATCCATTTAACCCTGAGTGGACACAGCACATGTTTCAGAGAGCACAGGGTTGGGGATAAGGTCACAGATCAACAGGATCCCAAGGCAGAAGAATTTTTCTTAGTACAGAACAAAATGAAAAGTCTCCCATGTCTACTTCTATCCACACAGACCCGGCAACCATCTGATTTCTCAATTTTTTCCCCACCCTTCCCGCCTTTCTATTCCACAAAACCGCCATTGTCATCATGGCCCATCCCCAATGAGCCGCTGGGCACACCTCCCAGACGGGGTCGTGGCCGGGCAGAGGGGCTCCTCACTTCCCAGTAGGGGCGGCCGGGCAGAAGCGCCCCTCACCTCCCGGATGGGGCGGCTGGCCGGGCGGGGGGCTGACCCCCCCACCATCCTCCCGGACGGGGCGGCTGGCCAGGCAGAGGGGCTCCTCACTTCCCAGTAGGGGCGGCCGGGCAGAGGCGCCCCTCACCTCCCGGACGGGGCGGCTGGCCGGGCGGGGGGCTGACCCCCCCACCTCCCTCCCGGACAGGGCGGCTGGCCGACCCCCCCCCCCGCCTCCCTCCCGGACGGGGCGGCTGGCCGGGCAGAGGGGCTCCTCACTTCCCAGTAGGGGCGGCCGGGCAGAGGCGCCCCTCACCTCCCGGACGGGGCGGCTGGCCAGGCGGGGGGCTGATCCCCCCACCTCCCTCCCGGACGGGGCGGCTGGTCGGGCGGGGGGCTGACCCCCCCCACCTCCCTCCCGGACGGGGCGGCTGGCCGGGCGGGGGCTGACCCCCCCACCTCCCTCCCGGACGGGGCGGCTGGCCAGGCGGGGGGCTGACCCCCCCACCTCCCTCCCGGACGGGGCGGCTGGCCGGGCAGAGGGGCTCCTCACTTCCCAGTAGGGGCGGCCGGGCAGAGGCGCCCCTCACCTCCCAGACGGGGCGGCTGGCCAAGCGGGGGGCTGATCCCCCCACCTCCCTCCCGGACGGGGCGGCTGGCCGGGCGGGGGGCTGACCCCCCCCACCTCCCTCCCGGACGGGGCGGCTGGCCAGGTGGGGGGCTGACCCCCCACCTCCCTCCCGGATGGGGCGGCTGGCCAGGCGGGGGGCTGATCCCCCCACCTCCCTCCCGGACGGGGCGGCTGGCCGGGCGGGGGGCTGATCCCCCCACCTCCCTCCCGGACGGGGCGGCTGGCCGGGCAGGGGGCTGACCCCCCCTCCCCCCTCCCGGACGGGGCGGCTGGCCGGGCAGAGGGGCTCCTCACTTCCCAGTAGGGGCGGCCGGGCAGAGGAGCCCCTCACCTCCCGGACGGGGCGGCTGGCCGGGCGGGGGGCTGACCCCCCCCCACCTCCCTCCCGGACGGGGTGGCTGCCGGGCGGAGACGCTCCTCACTTCCCAGACGGGGTGGCTGCCGGACGGAGGGGCTCCTCACTTCTCAGACGGGGCGGTTGCCAGGCAGAGGGTTTCCTCACTTCTCAGACGGGGCGGCCGGGCAGAGACGCTCCTCACCTCCCAGACAGGGTTGCGGCCAGCAGAGGCGCTCCTCACATCCCAGACAGGGCGGCGGGGCAGAGGTGCTCCCCACATCTCAGACGATGGGCGGCCGGGCAGAGACGCTCCTCACTTCCTAGATGGGATGGCGGCGGGGAAGAGGCGCTCCTCGCTTCCTAGATGGGATGGCGGCCGGGCAGAGACGCTCCTCACTTTCCAGACCGGGCAGCCAGGCAGAGAGGCTCCTCATATCCCAGACGATGGGTGGCCAAGCAGAGACGCTCCTCACTTCCCAGACGGGGTGGCGGCTGGGCAGAGGCTGCAATCTCGGCACTTTGGGGGGCCAAGGCAGGCGGCTGGGAGGTGGAGGCTGTAGCGAGCCGAGATCACGCCACTGCACTCCAGCCTGGGCACCACTGAGCACTGAGTGAACGAGACTCCGTCCGCAATCCCGGCACCCCGGGAGGCCGAGGCTGGCGGATCACTCGCGGCTAGGAGCTGGAGACCAGCCCGGCCAACACAGCAAAACCCCGTCTCCACCAAAAAAAAAACGAAAACCAGTCAGGCGTGGCGGCGTGCGCCTGCAATCGCAGGCACTCAGCAGGCTGAGGCAGGAGAATCAGGCAGGGAGGCTGCAGTGAGCCGAGATGGCAGCAGCACCGTCCAGCCTTGGCTCGGCATCAGAGGGAGACCGTGGACGGAGAGGGAGAGGGAGAGGGAGAGGGAGAGGGAGAGGGAGAGGGAGAGGGAGAGGGAGAGGGAGAGGGAGAGGGAGAGGGAGAGGGAGAGGGAGAGGGAGAGGGAGAGGGAGAGGGAGAGGGAGAGGGAGAGGGAGAGGGAGAGGGAGAGGGAGAGGGAGAGGGAGAGGGAGAGGGAGAGGGAGAGGGAGAGGGAGAGGGAGAGGGAGAGGGAGAGGGAGAGGGAGAGGGAGAGGGAGAGGGAGAGGGGAGAGGGAGAGGGAGAGGGAGAGGGAGAGGGAGAGGGAGAGGGAGAGGGAGAGGGAGAGGGAGAGGGAGAGGGAGAGGGAGAGGGAGAGGGAGAGGGAGAGGGAGAGGGAGAGGGAGAGGGAGAGGGAGAGGGAGAGGGAGAGGGAGAGGGAGAGGGAGAGGGAGAGGGAGAGGGAGAGGGAGCAGTTTGGTATTTTTTTTAAAAAGCCTTTTTTAATGCATTTTTAATAGTTTTTTTCTTTTGTAGCTTGACACCATCCATGCCACATCAGTGATTTTTTGTTTTGTTTTTGTTTTGTTTTGTTTTGTTTTAGATGGGGTCTCACTCTGTCTCTTAGATGGGGTCTCACTCTGTCTCATAGGCTGGAGTGCAGTGGGGTGTTCATGGCTCACTGTAGCCTCAACCTCCTGGGCTCAAGAGATCCTCCCACCTCAGCCCCCTAAGTAGCTGGGACCAAAGGCATGCACCACCACTCTGCTAATTTTTTTATTTTGTAGTGATGGGGTCTCCTTATGTTGTCCAGGCTGGTCTTGAACTCTTGGGCTCAAGCGATCCTCCCACCCTGGCCTTTTCTTTTCAGTTTTAAAGAAATTTCAAATGTTTACATTTCAGTTAGACAATAAATAATGAGTCTTATCTCAGCACCAGCAGTTTAGTAACAGCAGATTCAAAGCAGGCAGAAAAGAAAAGAAAGAGCTTCAGAAGATTCTGCTTAACTTTATAGTTGCAGGTTAAATGAGCTGTGAATTTGAGCTCTGAACTTTTCTTGCTGTAATTTGCCCATCAGTTTAAAATGTACACAAAAACAGCCTATAATATGTAACCAGCTGGAGTCCCATATAGTCTAGAAAAGAGTTCACATGCGCTTTCCCCCTACAAAGCTTAACCCAGATACAGAGAGTACTCTGGAATCCCAAAGAGGATAACAAAATCAGGGCCAGGGTGTTGGAAAGTGTTTCTTCCTTAGTGAGGAGAGAAGCAGCCTACCTTGCTCCTTCTGACAATCAGATGAACCTGGTGCTATGAAGACCATCCCAGAGCACCCTCAGAGGGAGGGGTAACACTAAACAGAGACACAAACAGACGGATCCAAGGCAGATGGAGCACTCTGAACTGGTCCCTGAAAGGGGAAACTGGATAAAATCCTGAAGTCTTGTCTGAAACCCAGAAGGCACCGCAAAAGGATCTCCTGTACTAGGTCCAGATGGCACAAAGGCCCATATGGCACCACAGTTGACCTGTGCTAGGTCCAGATGGCACAAAGTCCCAAAAGGAAGAGACAGAGGAGCCCCATTCACACTCCAGTCGACTTACCTAGTCCAAGTGCCTCGGCTTCCCAAATGCCACTTTCCTTGCACCAGCAAAGCATTGTGGGCAGTTGATGCTGTGATGGGGATGGGAGGGAAATCCTAGGGGCAGAAGTGTCCTTGGCATCTGCTGGGAGGTCCCTGAAGTCCCCAGCCATGGAGTCAGCTAGCTGTGAATTGCTGGCACTTTTGAGCAGCTGTTGCCTCCTCCAGTAGAAACCAGGCGGACAGTCTAGGCTACATGAAACACACAGCTCCTCACATGGGGCACCAAATTTGTAATTGACTCAAGTTCAGTTGCTCACCACTTGGAAGTCAAAGCAGGAGAAGTGAGGTGTGGTAAAAGGAAAGCAGCATTTATTCAAATGTTAGCAGATGGGAGTATGGCTGGGCTT
The DNA here is from genome assembly GCF_000001405.40 of Homo sapiens. Classification (NCBI taxonomy): domain Eukaryota; kingdom Metazoa; phylum Chordata; class Mammalia; order Primates; family Hominidae; genus Homo; species Homo sapiens. The sequence goes on from NC_000003.12 coordinate 150,823,781, forward strand.
GAGCCTCAAAGGAACTATCTCAACTTTTGGACTGAGGGAAGTGGTTTAAGAAGGAAAACTTGGTATGGAAAATGTGCGGGAGTGGTGCAGGAGGGTACAGGTCTATGTGTCTTTTTCTAATGGTTGAGTAATCACCCATATGGAGGTCCAGTGGGCATCATCTTGATTTGGGCCTGGTGAGGTGGTGGACTAATTGTAACTTCTCCTAAGCAGGAGGATTCCACAGCTGAATCTCTGCATCTGCTTTGTTTCAAAATTAGCTCCTGGAATTTCTAAGCAAGCACATAATTAGAGAAGCAAGCACTGTGCATGGGAATGCCTGGTGGGAAAGGGAAGGAAACAAAGAGTTTTAAACTATATTTCAGGCCATATTCTGAGATTAGGAAGGAAAGGTGGGGAAAACCCCTTTAAAATGCATTTCAAGGCTGGGGTACAAGATTACAGAGAGACTGTAATCCCAGCACTTTGGGAGGCCGAGGCGGGCGGATCACGAGGTCAGGAGATCGAGACCATCCCGGCTAAAACGGTGAAACCCCGTCTCTACTAAAAATACAAAAAAATTAGCCGGGCGTAGTGGCGGGCGCCTGTAGTCCCAGCTACTTGGGAGGCTGAGGCAGGAGAATGGCGTGAACCCGGGAGGCGGAGCTTGCAGTGAGCCGAGATCCCGCCACTGCACTCCAGCCTGGGTGACAGAGCGAGACTCCGTCTCAGAAAAAAAAAAAAAAAAAAAAGATTACAGAGAGACATACTCTTTGAGGCATCTTTCGGAATTTCTATGGGATACACATATAGTGGATACGGTTTCAGGTGATTTTAAAAATAGAATTCCATATGTCTCTCCAAACCCAACTGAAGATTACTACACATTTATAATTTATTTATAGTAAAGAATGATTATAAAAGAGTGTAATTTTTGTTTAAAAAATCAAATCACACCAAATAAAAACCCAGAATATACATGTGTAGAAAGGCTTATAGAGCTTTGGTAATCAGCTTGGTTTTTCTGGGTCCTGGGATTGTAGGAGTTTTACTTCTTTCCCTCTCTCCTTTCCTTCCCTCCCTCCCTTCCCTTTTATTTTATTTTTTTTCTAGTTTTCCTTAGACTAAAAAATGAATTGTTTGTCTAATTTAAAAATTAATACATGCTTAAATACTCTCACATTTTTTTTTGTAAGAAATCCAATGTTCCTGATATTTCTTTCTTTACTCCATATACGCATTTGTTAGTCTTCAAACAGTTTGCTGGTAAACTGGTCACGGTAGCTCACACCTGTAATCCCAGCACTTTGGGAGGCTGAGAAGCAGGAGGATCACTTGAGCTTAGGAGTTTGAGAACAGTATTTCCAACATAGTGAAGCCCCATCTCTACTGAAAATACAAAAATTAGCTGGTCATGGTGGCACATGCCTGTAATCCCGGCTGCTCAGGAGGCTGAGGCATGAGACTTGCTTGAACCCAGGAGGTGGGGCTGCAGTGAGCCAAGATTGTGCCACTGCACTCCAGCCTAGATGACAGAGCAAGACTCTGTCTCAGAAAACAAAATAAAACAAAACAAAGAACACCTGATGTCAGGTCCAGGGCCATGATTCTGCCAAATGTCACACTCAGGGTTAAGGTCCAGCCCATGCTGAGGTCCAAGGGAAGTGGGTGGATGGGCAGATAGCTGAAAGAACATTCAGAGGGCCATAGGCAGGTGAGATGTAGTTTTATTCAGCAGCTCTCTCATCAGCAGCTTACTCACACTGTCCATCTTTATCTTGGCTGTCTGCTCTGGCTATGTGGCTCCTCTCAGCAGCCTGCTCCCATGCATGGCTGCATAGCTGGCCTGCAAGGCCAACTCTCCCTTACAGTGTTAGCAGCTTAACTCTTTCCCTCTAGGCACAAGCCAGTTCCTGGCTTCCCCCTGCCTGCCTTCAAGATAACCAGCTCTCCCTTACATACAGCTCTGCAGCAATACTGTGAAAGTCCATCGCCACCCTTCCACGAAGGCAAGCTGTTCCTGGCTCTCGGTAGACTGTCCCAGTTCCGTTGTCAAGTGGTCTGGCAAGTCCGTGACAGATGATACAGCTGCCAAACTGTGCAAAACATCCACCCCCCCCCTCAGAATGTTTTCAAGCATGGGAGAGGCATACATAATGCACAAGTGGAGAGCCAAACGACTGATGCCAAGATACAGAGACACAGGTTTTAGTTTCACTGACCAGCTTTCATAGCTATCTATGCAGCCTTGCCTGAAAACTTACCCAGGTGCAGGGACTGGTGGATTGCCAAGTCCACATGTGGCTCTGGTCGTCCGGTGACCCTAGAAGCTGGGCATCTTGGTCAGTCTCTTATCAAACAGAAAAGGCTTTACACTTCTCTCTGACTGCAGCTGGCAATCTGTGAACTGGAACACTCGAGCAGGACTGGATTGAGCAGTAATGTCCTTCTCCCGAATGACTTGCGCTAAGTCTGTATGTGACTGCCAACATTACTTGCTTGACTCCCGCAACTTAGAGGGGACAGAGGCACCATAGGAAATGTGTTCCACTGTGATAGGGGGTCCCTGCATTCACCCTTGGGGCCCAACAGCTGTTCATGCTCTGTTTTCTGGTGGATCACTGGGTAAACCTGCAGCAAAGGTTCTTTCTCCTTCCTGCACTGTGTCCCGCAAGGACTGGACATGCACTTCCCACAGCACAGTCATGAATGCCCATCTGACTCTGCCAGCAAAGGCATGCTTTTCCTCAGTGCTGTGCACTTCCAGGTGCTTCAGTGCCTTCTCCACACTCATGGGAGACCCGTCCACTTCCTCCTACGTTTCCACTGGGGCCCATCCAAGCAGCACCACTGCCGCTGGGTGCCACAGCCCATGCTGCGGCCACAAAGCTGACCCGGGAGCCTTTGCGGGCTGAAGACCCATTCACCTCATCCTGCCAACTATGCCAATTGTCAGGTCCAGGGCCATGACTACACCAAATGTCATACTCAGCATAGGGTCTAGGTCTGAGGTCTGAGGGAAGTGGGTGGATGGGCAGATAGCTGAAAGAAGCCTTGTGGGGCCGTAGGCAGGTGAAATGTAGTTTTATTCAGCAGCTCTTTCATCAGCAGCTTACCCACACTGTCTATCTTTATCTTGGTTGTCTGCTCCAGCTCTGCGGCTCCTCTCAGCAGCTGGCTCCCATGCACAGCTGCACGGTTGGCCTGCAAGGCCAACTCTCCCTTACAGTGTTAGCAGCTTAACTCATTCCCTCTGGGCACAAGCCGGTTCCTGGCTTCCCCCTGCCTGCCTTCAAGGCAACTGGCTCTCCCTTAGTGGTCAGTAGCATTACTCTCTCTCTCTGGACACCAGCGGTGTGCCATGTTGAGCCATGCTGAACGCTGGCTCCCCTCTGTTTGTCTGCAAGATGGATAGCTCTGGTTCTCTCCATCTTTCTCTGGGTACCAGTGTGCCCTTACAGCTTCAGCAGGGCAGTTATACCTTCTACAGACAATAGTGGCTCAGAGCCAAGTATGAACTTAAACAGGTTATATAACAAGTGGAGGTGTGTGCCTGCACACCATTCCCACTGAGTCACTGTGGCCTGGATGTCCGCCTCAGCCTATTCCTTGACTAAAGCACATCTATGTACCTTACACCTGTCTGGTGAGTTTAAGTGTAATATTACATCACCTGGAGTGTTTTCTCCCATCTTCACTCTATAAAACCATATACTCTTCCTTTTTAATAAATGTTGCTCAAAAGACTTTCTAAAGAAATCTTTCCAGATGAATCACACGTGCTGTATTTTTGTGTGTGTGTGTGTGTGTGCTTTCCTGATATAATTGGTGTCATTTCACTTTGTTTCATGTGTCTATACTATTTTCTGTGCACTTTCTGATCTCAGAAACTGGATAGTTGTAAATTTTCTGAGGTCAAGAACCACAGCTCCTCTTTCCTTGGTTTCTGACTCTTCTTGCCATTATGATGCCCAAAATTTATAATGACCAGTGGATAAATCTGATTGGAAAAGAGCCAGCCTGGTAAATTTTTGAGAGGTGGGATCATTTCACACACCTGCCGTGGTTTAGATTTGCTTTGAGGGTGAAACATGAACTCTAAGCTGAATTTTAAAAATGAATCCAGCCAGTAAGATCACAGAATCCTAACAAGCACATCTTGGTTAGACTCACCTTGAACCCTTTCAATGTGGATGATTTTTTAATATGGTCATTACGTATTAAGTGACCATTGAGGCAAATCTGAGCCTAAATTGGTATTTCTATATGGAAACAGGATGTGGATATTTGACTTGCCACAAATTTCTTATTTTTGTACCCTCCTTCCTAAAGTGCTGACTGCCTTCATGTGGCTTGGAATTAAACCACCAACTCCCTGGACATTGCTTCACACAATGGGTCCCAACCATGGATCGGACATATTTCTTCATAATGACAAAGAATTCACTCTCCACCAATCCTTACACTTCTCTACTAATCTTATTTGCCATTTACATCTGTGACTTTTTCATACTTCTCTAGCAGACACCTTTTATGTCTATTTCAGCTCCTGTCTCCGGTTGCAGGGGCTGCAGTGGTGACTGGCTATGCATGGGCTGGAACCAACCTCACCATCAGACAGCACCTAGCTTCCTGCCTGTGCCTCAGACCTCTTGCCTTCTGTCCTGGGGCTTCCCTGTTGATGTTGAGACACAGGAAGCTGGGGAGCCCCACTTAGTGCCCACATACATGCCCAGAAGTACAGGGCAAGCAACACCCAGAGTGGGTCTTATAGACAGGAGCTGATGGGGAAGTTCCTTCTCTTCTGGATGAATTGTCCTGAGGCAGATTGTAAATGGCTTACAGCCATTTACAATGACTGTAGAGGAGTATCCTAAGGTGGAGCTGTCAGGTGCACTCCCCCTGACTGCTGGGGTATTAGGTTACAGAGAGACATACCCCTTGAGGCATATTTCTGAATTTCTGTGGGACACCCATGTAGTTGATACAGTTTCAGGTGTACCCTGCCACTGCCTCTCTCTCCTTCCTCACTTCACTCCACTGTTCACTTCTTCTCCACAGAGTTGCTCTCCCTATTAAAGGAGAAATACATAAGTCTTTGCCTCTCAGATTCCACTTTCTGTATCATATCCTGTTTCCTCAAATCCCATTTCCTATCCATCAGCAACAGAAATCCATTCTCCTCTGAGTTATTACTGTGAAAAAGGAGAGGTGGACAATAGCCATCCACAAGAGTACATTTTCCCGCCTTTCTCTGAAGGAGGTTTTAACTTCTGCAGAGACTTAGAGGTACAGGACATTTTCAGAAAGCCATTCAACCACAGATTTCAATTTAGATTTCACTGATCCTATGCTAGCATGTAGAGAGAATTATTAAAGTCTGCAGTTCAGTAGTTCCTGCTCTTGCCTCTGTCACAAAGGAGCTAGTCATTGGCATGGGGGAGTGGGACAGAGAGGCGGAGCCACAGGTGTCAGACATTCCTCATGGCTTTCAGGAGTTGGAGACATGGCTCCCTAGAGTCAACTTGATGTTAGGAGAAATGTCCTCCTCCCCCACCTCATTCCCACAAAAAATTCCCCTTCAGAAGCCAAACAAGAAAAATCAGCACAAAAGTCACCTTCACTGAAAAATCCCAACTTTGAATAATAGTCAGGGGAAATGTTCTCTATACCTGTTGACCAATCTTGTTTTTGCTTTTTACGTTTTAAATTGTAAAAGCACAACGTTAAAGAAATTTGAGAAACAGATAAAAGATCAGCTACAGTCACACTCACCTGATGCAGTTCCAGGGACTTGCTGGAAGCAGCTGGGGTCGGTGACCTTCATGTGCTGTCTGCATCTGTCTGAGGATCTTGTCTGTGATTGTGTTTCTCTTCCCCATTCTACTGAACCTGGTGACATTCAAGCTATCACCTTCCTGAGCCCCGGGGTCTGTGCACAGCAGAACCCCAGACCTGCCATTCTCTAGTGAGCCTTGAGTGGAACAGGCCCTGGACACAGGCAAGAGAATGGTCTGGATTCAAGGGCAGGGTCCACTCGCCCTAACGGGGAAAACCTCTGGCTCTGGGAGCAACCCCCTTCCTGCCATTGGGAGGAACTTGAATGTTTTTGATATTTTATATATATGCTTAGGCTTTACTTTTTAAAAATTACTGTAGCAAATAATCATAAATAAGAAACTCATCCATAATACCACCATCCAGTGATAAGCATTCTTAATACTTGAATATAGTTTTTTCCATATATACATATAAAATGTTCTCTGTGTATCATGTAATTACTCGAGTAACCAAAACTCCCTTGTTAGCAATAACCCCAGTCTTTCCCTCTTGAATTATGTTCTACAAGATGCCCCTCACCTCCTATATTTGTTGAAAAACTCCAGGGGCTTACTTGAATTAGAGTGGTTTGGTCCTGCTTTTATATGCCAAGCCGGAGCAGCACCAGAACTAGGGTTGTTCCTTTACTATCCATTGCTTGTTGTTGCATCTCAGTGTTGCTCTTGAAGACCACTCTGCTATGGAACGCATGACTTTGGTGCCCTCTGAAGTATTACAGAGGTGCTTCATGCTTCGGCTTCGAGTTTACAGTCATAGATTCCCAAAACATGAAATGACTGAGGCATGGCACAGCAGGGACATCTGTAGCCCCTCGCAAATCCTCAAGGACTTAGTGTTGTCTGTGCCAGAGCAAGACCTTAGAGTAATTTTATGTTGTGACCTCGCTGTGAGTTGAACCAGCTCCAGAACACCACTGCCTCAAGTGGCCAGATGTGACAGAGGTCTGCTCTGAGGGGACCTTAGGTCTTTGCCTACAAGGGAAATGCTGAAAGCATTTTCTAAGTAAGTAAATAAACTACACCACACTATGTACTTAAAAACTGGATCATACTGAACAGTATATTTTCTAAATGTTAGTAATATAAAGCTTCTGATATCAAGATTTTGTAGTTATCAAACACCTTTGAAAGCTGAATTGATTCTTTTGTGTTTAAATATTAGGTAAACAAAAACCAAAAGTACTGTGCCCATCACTTACAGCACCTCCTTCCCAACCCCATCATCTCTGCCCTTCCTTCCCTCCCTCCATTTCCCCCTCCTTGCTTCCTTCCTTCCTTCTGTCCTCCTTTCCTTCCTTCCTTCCTTCCTCCCGTCCTTCCTTCCTTCCTCCTGTCTGTCCTTCCTTCCTCCTGTCTGTCCTTCCTTCCTTCCTTCCTTTCTTCCTTCCTTCCTCCCTCCGTCCCATCCGTCCTTCCTTCCTTCCTTCTATCCGTCCTTCCCTCCATCCTTCCTTCCGTCCGTGCTTCCTTCCTTCCGTCCTTCTGTCCTTCCTTCCTTCTTTCCCTCCCTCCCTTCCTTCCTTTGCAGCTGCTGGGAAAATTGAGATACTGAGGAGCCAAATCCTGTGTGCAGGCAGCACCAGACTCCATTCCCAGATCCCCAAGACTTGGGTTTTATTTGTTTAAAGCTGTGCAATATTTCAATGGAGAACTTCTTGTTGTGTACTAAGCATTTAGACCAGCTGTTGTAATCAGTATCTGTAGTTTGTTTCCTTTAGGGATTTCAGTTATAAAATATGATACACATTTGCTTTAATATCAAAATTGACAGTTTTGTCTCAATGGACTAGGGACTTAAAAAAAAACAAATACTAAGTTATACTATAATCAACCCTCCACCTTTTTCAGTGGTTATTTTGAAAGATGATTGTTGGTACCAAGCTACTGTTTCCCCATATCTCAGTAAGGCCCCTAGCACAGAGAGAACCTCCTTCTGGGCACCTCCTTGCCATCACATTTCCTTTTCTTCTGAGAATTTTGGCATGGCCATGTAAACACATGTGGTGGTGAGATATAATTTAGTCAAAATTGAGGAAGCTTATAGGATCTAGGTATTATTAAACATATTTTTATTCAGTGCTTACAAAGTGCTAGGCACTGTATTTAGCACTGAGATTTATCAGTGAAAAAAACAGACAAAATTCCTGCCCTCAAGGAGCTTATATCTTAGTGAAGAGGGACAATGAATGAACAAATGAATGAATAAATGAATGAATGAACGAATGTGATACAAGCAAGGGCCAAAGGCCTGCTGTTGCAGCATTCAGTTTTTCCTTGAGGAAACCAGAGAGCCCTGGAGTCTTTCAGAAAGCCTCTAAAACTGTTATTCTGCCTCAGACTCTTGAAAGGTGCCGTTTGGGGTCAGAGAGATGGCAGAATAGTGTTTGCCTTTGAAGTTACCCCTCCTGTCATCCCTCAAGACTCAGACTGAGTGGTTTGGGAACTTTGGCAACATCCTGATGATCTAAGGACCCTTAGAAAAGGCGGGCTGGCTTCTCCCAGCCCTCCCTTCCTCTCACCCTGCTGCTTTAGGCCTGTGAGCTGTATAACTCACACTAATGTAACATACAGGTGACAGCAGAGGGAAGGATGGAAGGAGCCCTGGATGGAACCAGAACTCCCAGCTTTGTACTTTCGTAGATACGACTTCAGGCAGCTTGTTTACCTTCTCTGAATCTCTTTCCTTACTAGAAAACAGGCTACTAAATCCACCTTGAGGATCACTGTAAAGCTTACAGTAGCTGATACGTGGAAAAACACGTTGCAAATCTAATGCACATTTAAATGCAATTGATTTAACGTTATTTTGATTATGAGCTAAAAAATATAGTGATGGAGGTGAGTCAGTTGGGAAATTTGTCATGTGATTTCTTTGGGATTCTTTCTTTGGCTATGTAAATTTCCATTACAATATTAGATACTGAAGCTGTTTTCAAGTGGGGTTTTAAATCAGTCATTAAAGAAGCATGTAAAGTACCTGACGCTAGTATGAGACTTTCTATGTTTAAGTCTTAACCTCCTCTGTCGTAGCAGAGGGATCCGGGGATTTTACTTAATATTAAGGTTTCAGTGAGTGCTTGCCAGTTTTTGGTTGCTGAAAGGAGGGGATGAAGGCTCCCAGGGTGTCGTGGGGCTCAGGTTGAGGTGGGATGAGCAGATGACAGAAGTGTTCAGGTGCAGGAGCACTGGGAGAAAGACTGCCTCAGTCAGTATGGACAGTGGCCTTTTTTTACAAGGCTGAACCTCTCTGATATCTTGCATTAAATTCCATTTTGTGAAATTTAAAAGAAAAGCCACTTCCTGCAGTTCTAAACTGCACACACAAGGTATATGACGTTGTAACTTAATAGTAAACTTAATTTTCAGTGATTATTTGCCTGTTAACACAATTCTACTATCATTTTATAGGCAGCCTTGTTGGATCACATTAAAAATATTTAATCTCTAAAAACTTCAAATTTATGGCAAGGTATTTGCATATATAGGATAATACCTTTTGAAATTTGATAATTAGAAAATCTTTACTGCTACAGAGATGAACATAAGGAGGAAAGATAAAGCAATTGGCAGAGCATGGACCTAAACTAACATTAGGAAACACTATCTGTACTTAGATAGTATGTCTTTCATGTGTGTAGACATATTATGCTTAAAAATATATGCCATATTCTCATCATTGGAAACACTGGTTATTTTACCAAGGCCTTAACTGGAATAATATATTATTTTCAAAATTGTCTTAAGAAAATGAGGCTGACTTATAGAGCCAATAAAATCCCCTTGGAAAAACTGGCCCCATACTTTGTCCTTTATAGAATCCTAACTTGTGGTAAGTAAAGAACGTCATGGACAGGCCTAGGAACCCCAAGTTTTTTTTTGGGACCTTGAAAAGAGGAATACACCCAGTTCACACAGGTATCTGCAGGCACAGATAAATCCTTGGCTGGGCTTGAAGCTTTTATGAAGGTCTAATCTTGGATTCCTTATGAAAAAGTTTCCAGCAAAGCCAATTTTTTTTTTAAAGAGCATATATGGCAAATGATTATTCTTGTTGCATTTATGCAATAATCAAGCCAAGTATAATAGGATTAAACTAAAACTTTTCTTTTTTAATTGTTTCTTCTTCTTCTTACTCTTCCTCTTCCTCTTCTTCCTCTTCTTTTACTTTTTTAATAGAGATGGGGTTTTGCCTGGAACTCACTCATGTGATCCAGCCACCTCAGCTTCCCAAAGTGCTGGGATTAAAGGTGTGAACCACTGTGCCCAGCCCTAGGACTAAAACTTATTCTACAAACAAATTGGTCCTACTATGATTTTTAATAAAATTTTAATAAAATTGGAGAATTGGAGAGAGAAAAATAATGTTTCAAAATAAACTATAATACATCTGTTATTAGAGTCTAGCCTTGTATAATGTTTTTCAATTTTTATTATTTTCCTCTTTTTGTTTTATTTAACTTTGTTTTATATGCAGGTTTGCTACATAGATAAACTTGTTTATCTAAGTGCAGGTTTGCTACATGTGCAGGTTTGCTACACGTGCAGGTTTGCTACATAGATAAACTTCTGTCACGGGGGTTTGTTGTACAGATTATTTTGTCACTTGGGTATTAAGCCTAGTACCCATAAGTTATTTTTCCTGATGCTCTCTTCCTCCCATCATCCACCCTCAAGAGGCCCCAGTGTGTGTTGCTTCCCTCTATGTGTCCATGTGTTTTCATCATTTAGCTCCCACTTATAAGTGAGAACATGTGGTATTTGGTTTTCTGTACCCGCATTGGTTTGCTAAGGATAACGGCCTCCAGCTCCAACCATGTTCCTGCAAAGGACATAATCTCATTCTTTTTTATGGCTGTGCAGTATTCTATGGTGCACATGTACCACATTTTCTTTATCCAGTCTACCAGTGATGAGCATTTAGGTTCATTTCATTGATGAGCATTAGTTAGATTGCTATTGTGAATAGTGCTGCAATGAACATACATACGCATGTGTCTTTATAAAATAATGATTTATATTCCTTTAGGTATATACCCAGTACTGGGATTGCTGGGTTGAATGGTATTTCTGTTTTTAGGTCTTTGAGGAATCATCACACTGCTTTTTACAATGGTTGAACTAACTTACACTCTCACCAACAGTGTATAAGTGTTCCCTTTTCTCTGCAACCTCTCCAGCATCTGCTATTTTTTGACTTGTTAATAATAGCCATTCTGACTGGTGTAAGATGGTATCTCATTGTGGTTTTGATTTGCATTTCTCCAGTGATCAGTGATGTTGAGCTTTTTGTCATATGCTTGTTGACTGCATGTATGTCTTCTTTTGAAAAGCGTATGTTCATGTCCTTTGCCCATTTTTTAATGGAGTTGTTTTATTCTTGTATATTTGTATAAATTCCTTATAGATGCTGGATATTAGACCTTTGTCAGATGCACAGTTTGCAAAAAGTTTCCCCCATTCTGTAGGTTGTCTGTTCACTCTGTTGATAGTTTCTTTTGCTGTGCAGAAGCTCTTTAGTTTAATTAAATCCCATCTGTCAATTCTTGCTTTTGTAGCAATTGCTTTTGGTGTCTTCACCATGAAATCTTTGTCTGTTCCTATGTCCAAAATGGTATTGTCTATGTATCTTCCAGAGTTTTTATAATTTGGGGTTTTTACATTTAAGTCTTTAATCCATCTTCAGTTAATTTTTGTATATGGTGTAAGGAAGGGATCCATTTTCAATCTTCTGCATATGGCTAGCCAGTTATCCCAGCACCATTTATTGAATAGGGAATCCTTTCCTTATTGCTCTTTTTTGTCAGGTTTGTCAAAGATCAGATAGTTGTAGGTGTGTGGCATTATTTCTGGGCTGTTTTGTACCAGTACCATGCTGTTTTGTTTACTGTAGCCCTGTAGTATATTTTGAAGTCAGGTGGTGTGATGCTGCCAGCTTTGTTCTTTTTGCTTAGGATTGCCTTGGCTATTTGGGCTCTTTTTTGGTTCCCTGTGAATTTTAAAATAGTTTTTTCTAGTTCCATGAAGAACGTCAATGGTAGTTTAATAAAAATAGCATTGAATCTATAAATTGTTTTAGGTAGTATAGCCATTTTAACAATATTGATTCTTCCTATCCATGAGCATGGAATGTTTTTGCATTTGTTTTTGTCATCTCAGATTTCTCTGAGTGGCATTTTGTAGCTCTCCTTGTAGAGATCTTTTACCTCTCTGGTTAGCTGCATTCCGTGTGTGTGTGTGTGTGTGTGTGTGTGTGTGTGTGTGTGTGTGTGAATTGTGAATAGGACTGCATTCTTGATTTGGCTCTTGGCTTGACTGTTACTGGTGTATAGGAGTGTTAGTGATTTTTTTTTTTTTTCCTTTTTTGAGACAGAGTTTGGCTCTTGCTGCCCAGGCTGGAGTGCAATGGCACAATCTTGGCTCACTGCAACCTCTGCATCCCGGTTTCAAGTGATTCTTCTACTTCAGCCTCCCGAATAGCTGGGATTACAGGCATGCGCCACCATGCCCAACTAATTTTTGAATTTTTAGTAGAGACAGGGTTTCACCATGTTGGCCAGGATGGTTTCAGTCTCTTGGCCTCGTGATCCGCCTGCCTTGGCCTCCCAAAGTGCTGGGATTACAGGCATGAGCACCGTGCCCGGCCTAGAGTGCTAGTGATTTTTGAATATTGATTTTGTATCCTGAGACTTTGCTGAAGTTGTTTATCAGCTTAAAGAGCTTTTGGGCTGAAACTATGGGGTTTTCTAGATTTAGGATCATGTCACCTAGAAACAGGGATAGTTTGACTTCCTCTTTTCCTATTTAAATGCCCTCTTTTTCTTTCTCTTGCCTGATTGCCCTTGCCAGGATATCCAACACTACGTTGAACAGGAGTGGAGAGAGAGGGCATTCTTGTCTTCTGCCAAGTTTCAAGGGGAAGGCTTCCAGCTTTTGCCTATTCAGTATGATGTTTGCTGTGTGTTTGTCATACATGGCTCTTATTATTTTGTGGTATGTTCCTTCAGTACCTAGTTTACTGAGTTTTTAATATGAAGCGGTGTTAAATTTTATCAAAAGCCTTTTCTGCATCTATTGAGATAATCATATGGTTTCTATCTTTAGTTCTCTTTATGTGATAAATCACAATTATTGATTTGCATGTGTTGAACCAACCTTGCATCCCAGGGATAAACTTGATTGTGGTAGATAAGAGTTTTGATGTGCTGCTGGATTCGGTTGGCCAGTATTTGTTGAGGATTTTTGCATCAATGTTCATCAAGGATATTGGCTCAAAGTTTTCTTTTTTGTTGTGTCTTTGCCAGGTTTTGGTATCTGAATGATGCTGACCTTATAGAATTAGTTAGGGAGGAGTCTCTCCTCCTCAATTTTTTGGAATAGATTCAGCAGGAATAGTAACAGCTCTTCTTTGTATATCTAGTAGAATTCAGCTGTGAATCTGTCTGGTCTTCCGTTTTTTGTTTTTGTTTTTGTTTTTGAGACAGAGCCTCACTCTGTCGCCCAGGCTGGAGTGCAGTGGTGTGATCTTGGCTGACTGCAACCTCTGCCTCCTGGGTTCAAGCGATTCTTATGCCTCAGCCTGGCGAGTAGCTGGAATTACAGGCATGTGCCACCGCATCCAGCTAATTTTTATATTTTTAGTAGAGGGGGGTTTCACCATATTGGCCAGGCTGGTCTCAAACTCCTGATTTCAAATGATCCACTTGCCTCTGATTTCAAATGATCCACTTGCCTTGGCCTCTCGAAGTGCTGGGATTATAGGCTTGAGCCATTGCATCCAGCCCCTGGCCTTTTTTTGGTAGGCTACTTATTATTGACTCAATTTCAGAGCTTGTTACTGGTCTATTCAGGGATTCAATTTCTTCCTGGTTCAGTCTTGGGATGGTGTATGTGTCTAGGGATTTGTCAGTTTCTTCTAGATTTTCTAGTTTATGCACATAATGTTCATAATATTCTCTGATGGCTATTTGTTTTTCTGTGGGGTCAGTGGTAATATCCCTCTTGACATTTCTGATTGTGTTTATTTGAATCTTCTCTCTAATCTTTTTTTTATTAGTCTAGCTAGCAGCCTACTTTATTAATTTTTTCAGAAAACCAGTTTCTGGATATTTTGAATGATTTTTTGTGTGTCTCAATCCTTCAGTTCAGCTCTGATTTCGATTATTTCTTGTCTTCTGCTAGCTTTGGGGTTTGTTTATTCTTGGTTCTCTAGTTCTTTTAGTTGTGATGTTAGTTTATTAACTTGATATCTTTCTAACTTTTTGATGTGGGCATTTAGTGTTATAAATGTCCCTCTTAACACTGTTTTAACTGTGTCTCAGAGATTCTGGTATGTTGTATCTTTGTTCTCATCAGTTTCAAAGAACTTCTTGATTTCTGCCTTTATTTCATTGTTTATCCAGCAGTCACTCAGGAGCAGGTTATTCAAATTTCCATGTAATTGTGTGGTTTTGAGTGAATTTCTTAGTCTTGGTTTGCCATTTGATTATGCTGTGGTCTGAGATTGTTTTGATTTCAGTTCTTTTGTATTTGCTGAGGAGTGTCTTACTTCCGATTATGTGATCGATTTTAGAGTACGTGCCATGTGGCAAAGAGAAAAACGCATATTCTGTCTTTGAGTGGAGAGCTGTGTAGATGTCTATCAGGCCCATTTGATCCAGTGCTGAGTTCAGGTCCTGAATATCTTTGTTAATTTTCTGTCTCAATTATCTGTCTAATGTTGTCTGTGGGGTGTTAAAGTCTCTCACTATTATTGTGTGGGAGTCTAAGTCTCTTTGAAGGTCTCTAAGAACTTGCTCTGTGAATCTGGGAGCTCCTGTGGTGATTGCATATGTATTTAGGATAGTTAGATCTTCTTGTTGAATTGAACCCTTTACCATTATGTAATGCCATTCTTTGTCTTTTTTGATCTTTGTTGGTTTAAAGTCTGTTTGAAACTAGGATTGCAACCCCTGTTTTATTAGTCAGTGTTCTCCAGAGGGACAGAACTAATAGGATATATGTATATATGAAAGGCAGTTTAGTAGGGAGAAGTGGCTCACACAAGATGAAGGCTTATGATAAGCCATCTGCAAGCTGGGGAAGAGAAAAGCCAGCAGTGGCTCAGTCTGAGTCTGAAAGCCTCAAATCCAGTGAAGCCAACAGTGCAGCCTTCAGTCTGTGGCTGAAGGCCCTAGAGCATCTGTCAAACTACTGGTGCAAATTCCTGAGTCCAACGGCCAAAGAACTTGCAGTCTGATGTTCAAGAGCAGGAGGAACAAAAGGAAACATCCAATACGGGAAAAAGAAGGAAGACAGAAGACTCAGAAAGCAATGTTATTCCACCTTTTCTCACCTGCTTTGTTCTAGTGGCACTGGTAGCTGATTGGATGGTCTCCATCCACATTGAGGGTGGGTCTTCTCTCCCAGCCCACTAACTCAAATGTCAATCTTTGGCAACACCCTCATAGACACACCCCAAAACAGTACTTTACCAGCCATCTAGGCATCCTTCAATGCAAGTGAGTTGACACCTAATATTGACCACCCCACCTCTTTTTTCTGTTTTCCATTTGCCTGGTAGATTTTTCTCAGTCCCTTTATTTTGAGCCTATGTGTGTCACTGCATGTGAGATGGGTCTCTTGAAGACAGCATACTAATGTGTCTTTGTTCTTTGTTCTTTATCCAGCTTGCCATTCTGTGCCTCTTAATTGGGGCATTTAGCCCATTTACATTCAAGGTTAGTATTGATATGTGTGGATTTGATTCTGTCATCATGATGTTAGCTGGTTATTTTGCAGACTTGTTTATGTGGTTGCTTTAGTGTCACTGGTCTGTGTACTTTGGTGTGTTTTTGTAGTGGCTGGTAATGGTAATAGTATTTTCCCCTTATATTTAGTGCTTCCTTCAGGAGCTCTTGTAAGGTAGGTGGTAATGAATTTCCTCAGCATTTGCTTGTCTGAAAAATATATTTCTCCTTCACTTATGAAGCTTAGTTTGGCCAGATATGAAATTCTAGGTTGGAATTTCTTTTCTTTAAGAATGTTGAATATTGGCCCCCCAATCCTTTCTGGCTTGTAGGGTTTCTGCTGAAAGTTCTACTGTTAGGCTGATGAGCTTCCCTTTGTAGGTGACTTGACCTTTCTCTCTAGCTGCCTTTAACATTTTTTCTTTCATTTTGACCTTGTAGAATCTGATGATTATGTGTCTTGGGGGTGAACTTCTTGTAAAATATCTTACTGGGGTTCTCTGCACTTCCTGAATTTGAATACTGGCCTTTCTAGCTATGTTGGGGAAGTTCTGATGGATGATATAATGAAATACATTTTCCAAGTTGGTTCCATTCTTATTGCTTTCAGGGACACCAATGGGTCATAGATTTGGTCTCTATATAATCCTATATTTCTCAGAGGTTGTTTGTTCCTTTTTATTTTTTCTCTATTCTTATCTGACTGTCTTGTTTCAGAAAGCCAGCCTTCAAGTTCTGAGATTCTTTCCTTTGCTCCTTCTATTCTGCTATTAATACTTGTGAGTGCATTATGAAATTCTTGTAGTGTGTATTTTAGCTCTCTTAGGTCAGTTTCCTTCTTTTCTATACTGGCTATTTTGTCTGTCATTTCCTACATTGTTTTATCATGATTTTTAGCTTCCTTGGATTGGGTTTCAACATACTTCTGTAGCTCAATGATCTTCATTTCTGTACCTATTCTGAATTCGATTTTCTGTCATTTGAGCCACCTCAGCCTGATTCAGAACCCTTGCTGGAGAGGTGATGCAGTCATTTGGAGGAAAGTAGGCACTCTGACTTTTTGAGTTGTCAGGGTTCTTGCACTGATTCTTTCTCATCTCTGTGGGCTTATCTTCCTACAATCTTTGAGGTTGCTGACCTTTGGATTTTTTTTTCTTTTCTTGTATTTGATGACCTTGAGGGTTTGATTGTGATATGAGGTAGGTTCAACTGGCTGGCTTCATTTCTGGAAGATTTTAGGGTGTCAGTGCTCAGCTCCCAACTCCTAGACTGTGTGCTCTAACTCTGGGGGACTTGTATTGGGCACCAACTTTGTTCTCTGGCTCCTCGAGGTTAGGAATCCACTGTACTGGTGGGAGGTGAGATGCAGGGGGTGGCACTGAGGTATTCCCAGACTGCTGGTCACTAAAATCTGATGAGTAGTGTCAGCTAAAGCATTTAATAGTGCAGTGACTATAGGATTTGTCCTTGTTCACACATGTCAGCAGCAGTGGTAGCAGCAGCTGTGGTAGAATGCCAGTGGGTGCCAGGGTACCTGCCTCCCTGCTGGCATTCACCACAGTGGTGGAGGCAATGCAGCTGGGAGGGGGGTGGGGGACCCCTGCTGGTGATTGAGTGCAGGATTATGCTGGAGGTGGTGTTGGCTTGGGGATGGAGCACTGGAGGGCGCAAGTCTGGATGCTTTCTCTGTGCCCAGCAACGAGGGGTGTCACTGAGGGTTGGGGAGGATTCACTGTTCTCTGCACAGTGTTAGCACAAGGGTGAGGCTGGCTGGCTCTGTGCCTGCCAAGGCTCCATCTGCAATGGCAGTTGACGGGGGGGAGGGGGGTGGGCTACATTCCCTCACCTGGCAGGGCAAGGCAAGCAAAACCCACTGGCATAGACACCTGCCAGCAAAGTAATGTGGGGACTTGCCATGGGCCTGGGGGAAACTGCAGTGTTGGGAGGGAGAATGTGGACTGGTGCGTGGGCACAGGGGCTGCCCCACTGGAGCTCTCTGCAGGTCAGGCATGATCCTGCCAGTGCAGAATCTATGGTGCAGGCCCCCAGGGCACCCAAGACTGCCCTGCAAGAAGGCATGCCAAGGCTGGGGCCCCAGTGAGACAGGAGAATAGGGTCTGGAGGCAGGGAACCTAAGGCTGATTCACATTGACTTTCTTGAACCAAGTCAAAAGGAAAACCCCAACTTTCCACACCCAAGTAACAAAAGGACCAGAGGCTACTCCCTTTGGAACCCCTGCCCCCAACTTTCTGCGTGGCAGATGAAAAGTTGAAAGTACCTCTTATTGGTCCTGTCCCACAACCAATCAGATTGGTCATAGTCCTAGTCTTTATTTGCATAGGAGTATAACTTCGTAACTTCACTTTAGTCTCTAATTGGTTCCCTCCTACAACCTATCAGATGTTTGCATGGGGTGTGACTTTGTAACTTTAGCCTCTGATTGATTGTCTTCTGCAACCGATCAGACTCATTGCAGGCCACTACTTCATTTACATAGGGCATAGCCCAAGTAACCAATGGGAAGCCTCTAGAGGGTATTTAAACACCAGAAAATTTTGTAACCTGCGCTTGAGCCACTTGCTCAAGCATACTCCCACTCTCTGGAGAGTACTTTTATTTCAATAAATCTCTGCTTTCATTGCTTCATTCTTCCCTGACTTTGTTTGTGCATTTTGTCCAATTCTTTGTTCAAAATGCCAAGAACCTGGATGACTTGTAGTCAAGACCCTCCACCAGTAACACTGGGTCTAGTTTGAAGCTGAGTGAGAGTTTTAGGGTTTTGATCCTTACTCAGTGTCAGTTTGAGATGATGGCCTCTTGACCTGTGCATATAAATATAGTTATGGGGATGAGACTAATGGTAAAGGCGTATGTGATAGATGACTTTATGTAATTGGGGTATAAAAGGCTGGCAGACCAAGGGATGTTCAGGTCGAATGAGCCCTGTCTGATGTGCAAAACCACTCTGCAGAGTTCAGGTCTGACAGTTCCCCTAGGCTGGAGTCTCCTCTGGGAGCAAGTCAAGCCTAGTACGATGGCCGTCCCCTGGCCATGCTCCACCACAGAAGCGCCAACACCAACCCTCTAGTCTCCACATCAGCTGTCTTGCTACCCTATCATTTCTCTAAGCAGCTCTCCCTGCCAACTTGAGTGTTCATGGTGGTCAAGGGGTCTCCTCTTGCCAGGGTTCCAGAGGCCCTTGGTGAGAGCAGGTTGCTTCTTGCCAGTTCAATTCACCCATTTCCCCAGAGTCACTGGGGGCCAGAATTGAGTCTGGGTGCACTGTAACCCCATGTAGGGTTCTCAACTTTCTCTCCCTTCAGCCCAGCTTCTGTGTCTTCCCTCTGTCCACTCTTGCTGTCTTCCCTTTGAAGATCTGTTAGGAGGACACCAGTCCTCTTTCCCTTGGTGGGAGCTGTTTCCTCCTGGCTGTGTCTAGTAGGCATCTTGCCCTCCCCCAAAATTTTTATTATTTTCTACAATTTGGACTGAATTTTAAAACTTTTCCTGGTTACAAGTCTCCAAAATAATGTTTTCATTTTTTTTCCTTCTTTCTTCTCCTTTTTTCTCCACTTTTCCTGATTTGAAATTACTAAAAATTAAGCTGTGCTTTTCTTAAAACCCTGCAAACTGAAGCTTGACAACTTAAACTTTGGAGGAAAATAAAAACAACCTATACATAAACCACTTTCATACCTGCCTACTGATGTATGGACTTCAGAGTATCATAGCCTATATCAGTTTTCCAGGATTGTTGCCTGTTTTTGTTTATTGTTTGTTTTTCTCTGTGCCTCCCCCTCTATTTTCCTCATAGGATATGAGACTTCACAACCTGCTAAAAATGAGCTTTCCTAACAACGTGGGACCTATTCTTCTACGCGTAAACTCTCTTAGCCATGAGAGATCAGACAAAATCCAAGGCCAGAGACTCATTTTCTTCCAAAATTGCTTACTCTGAAAGGTTTTAAAAATAAAAGTGGGAAGAAATGTGAAAAGAAAATAACTCGGGAACCCAATTCACTATGCCAAAAGGAAAAATAAAGCTGAAAGCTGAGTCATGCAAGAAACTGTCTTTCCTTTTGTTCCTAAGCAGATCTTTAACCTTTTACCTATAACCATCTCCACAGGTAACCACTCTATGTTCACCTTATCTTATGTAAAGTACGGAATTACTGAGCATGTTATGAATACATAATTGACTATTCTCCTACCTGCTCCATTTCTCTTGCAACATGTGGATTCAGTAATATGACCATACCCTCCCTCTTTCCCCTCTAGTCTGCTTTTCCCCTTTAAATATTGAAGCTCTCAAAATCGTCTTTGGAGAAAAGGCACAGACCTGTCTCCCAGGCATGTCCTTAACCTTGACAAAATAAACTTCTAAATTGATTGAAAAAAAAATACATGCCAAACTCTTAACCATTAGACTTCTACTAAAATTTGATCATTTTTTCTTTCTTTGATAATTATTTCATTATTGTCTGAAGGACATTAAAGTACTTAAAAAGTATTGCTATAGTTCTAACACTGTTTGCAAATAGATTGCAGCTGCAGTTATTTAAAAATGAGAAAGCTGAAGGCAGAGAGAAAATGTTATTTTCTTCTCACACAAAATCATAAGCCAGACTTATTACAAGAAGTCAACTTTTCTGACTGAACAGGTATCTGTTACGGGTTTCTATAAAATGTGTATATTTCCTAGGCTGCATTCTTCCCTGTCTTATCAGTTCAGCTCTCTGGGCAGCTTGCCCCTTACCAGTCTGTTTTGAGATACTTTGGAGGTTCTCTCTGTCTCTTTCTCTCTCTCTCTCTCTCTCTCTCACACACACACACCACACACACACCACACACACACACACACACACACACACCCCACCGCTATTCCCTATTCCCTATTCTTTCCATCAAAAAAGGGAACTGTTCAATTAGCTCACCAAAAGATACCTTTCTATCAACACCTAAGGACTGATTAAATTTGCTTCTTAGAACAAAGGATGGCTCACAAGGCAGTTTATGAAAAGGAGGAGCACAGAAAAATGGGAGAGACAGGATAGGTTTCAGAGTTATTTATGTAGTGGCAAACTCCATGTAAACAAAACTATCAAGAAGCTCTCTGAGTATTTATGGAGAAAAGAGCTGGGGGTGCGGGCAGTGGGGAGTGGGCAACAAAAAATAAACACAGCCTGGGCGTGGCCAGTAGATTAGAATGACTGCTGTTCATAAAATTTCTTTGATTGTTCTTGGAAAAGGGTATCACATTGAGGGCAGAACAAGGAGATTCGTCATACCTTACATACTTGGAACTATTAAATTCTTGGCTAACTCTTTCATCCTTACCCTTGTGCTAGCAGCCTCCACTTAAGCATTCAGGGCAAGGTGACCTGGGTCACTTCAAGGAACACAGTGTTTTCCATGGTGTACCATTTCCTTTTTAAAATGGAAAATTTTGTTCTATGGAAGAAATTACAAATTGGCTTTTAATTTTACATTTTACACGGGGCTGCTACAAATAACTTCAAGCAAAGATTATAGCCATGTGTACACAACAATTTTTTTTGTCTTTATTACCCTGAAAGTTCATGCCCTGGAGTATAGCATAACTGATGTTACTCTGCACTGGATTCACAATTTGAAAATGATGCATAGTGTGCACGTTTGCACATACCTCATTAGAGATCCAGTACTGCTTGTATTCTGAGACAATCCTGTGAACAACCAAATGAGAAGGCCTATCTTATATTTTACAGTGACAATTGAGTTTGCTTATCTACCTCATTTGCACACCTCTTGTCTCTCTGTTTGGTTTTAAATTGCTTAGTTAGTGAATCTGTCTTGCTTTTAAGTAGCAGTCAAGTCATTGCTTACCTGCCACCTTTGTTTTGTCCATCAGGGTTTCCCTGTCTTTCTGCCTGGCCGAGTCTGATTAGTTCTTGAATAATCTGGGCTTCTTGGGCTGCTGCTGAGGGGTAACCTGCATGCTTCCTGTAGCACATCTCATGCCCAAGATGGTCAACCACTAAGGAGAGGAAGGAGAAAGAGTATTGTGAATTTGAGTGTCCTCTGGGAGAGGGAGGGGCCAGTTGAACTAAACTAACTAAAATCGAGTAGATCAAAGAATGAGCCAGATGGGGGGTCTACCCATTTTGACCAAGCAGCCTGTCTGTTAATCCTATGCAACTGAGTCTCTCTAATACCTGATGTATTAATCCATGTGTAACAAGAAGTATCAGCAACTGCACAGATTTCTGCCTGTTCAGCCAGTAGGCAGTCTAAAGCAGTTCTATTATCTAGTACAATTTTAGCAAGATGATTTAAAGAAGTTTGTTGTGTAGCTGTAGCTTTGCAGTAGAATCTGCTATAGAGCCAATTATGAGGGAAAGAACCTAACAAATAATGTCCCTTCAGAATGGTTAATGTTTCCTGGCAATGTTCTCTTTAATCTATGACATAGGTTGAATAGTGGACCAATGTTCTGTTTTTGACTGATTATGGAGCAACAAGGGGACTATTAAAATTCCTAGCCCATTTTGGCCTTCATTTTCCATCCATCAAAGCACTAGATTGTCCACACATAAGGTTGGCCATGAAATTCTCCACAAATAAAACTATACCCCATGGGTGCACACAAGGTTCCTTTTCCAGTTCTCTTGTTCATGGACACATTATTTGGAATGGTGGAATGAGCAGTTTCTACCCAAGGGTCTGAATCTGCATTATTACAGATTAAAGCATGCTATAGTACCCTGGGACATATGTCAGTTTACAAGAAACTCCATTTGGGCTTTTGATGCAAACCTGTCTTGTGATATGCTCATGGGTTTTGTTTTTGTATTCCATTACTGAGTTAAATTAGAACAGGGAGTGAGAAAAAGTAGGCCTAGAAATCTTACCATTATTACAATTTGAACAGCAGTCATGTCAGGAATGTTGCTAAAGTTACCCACTAGGAGAACTAAAGGATCCCTTAGGTCATGTAAAGATCTGTGTTTGGCATGGCAGATATAACACTTCATCAAGTAACCCCCAGAAGAAACTAACTGTGAAATCTAAATTTCAGCATGATCCTGCCAGTGAAAGAGGCAGGCATAAGCAAGGAAAAATTAAGAGAAGTAAGAGTTTCATGGTGGTAGAGAAGTCTTGATCTGGGATCTTGGGAAGGCTGTCCACATCTAGGATGTCAACTGCTTCTAAGGGATAACTTTCCTGGTTAGCTTTACATTAAGGTTTCCAATGGGTGTTACAGTTCCAAGAAATTGGAGAAACCCTTCTGTGTTGTGAGATTAGGGACCCAAATTATAAGGTCCTGAAATTTTGCTGCAGTGTGGACTGTAAGAAGAACTTTGTATGATCCCTTTCAATGAGGTTCAAATGTAGTCTTTCTCTGAAGTTGTTTCCATAAGACCCAGTCTCCAGGTTCTAGGTTATGTAGGGTTTGATTGTCTTCAGTGGTGGATCACAAAAAGCCTCCCTTACTGAGTGAAAATATACTTTGGCATAATGCATTAGAGCCTTGCAGCATTTAGTCAGAATTTAGAAGAGCAGAAGATACATGAGGTTTTATTATTAGGGGTATAGGCCTTCCAGTGACTATTTCATAAGGGGTCAACTTATTTTTTTCAGTGGAAGTGGATCTTATTGCCATCAATCTGCAATGTCTTTGACCAAGCCAATCCAGTCAATTCAGTTAGCTTTCCCTAATGTTACTGTATCTATAATACCTTATTTAACTATTTTACAACTTGTCCAGTTATACAAGTACCTCTATTGTTGGAGATTTCTCCAGGAATGCCCCATGAGGGAAACAAACTTTCTAGTAACTTTTAAGCTACTGTTATCACATCAGCTTTCCTGCATGGGAATGCTTCTATATAACCAGAAAAACACGTGTTGAAAATGGCAATTGAATGAAATTTCTCTATAAATGGTCAAACAGCCCATTAGGTAGCAGAAACATACCTTCAGTTTTGATTGTCTCCCCAGGAATATGAGTTTGACAAACCAAACATTGGTCATAAGCCATTTTGGCAACCTTAGAGCAGTCACCACACCACATTTTTATAATTTTAATCATTTTATCTTTTCCATGATAAGTCATGGTGTGCAGAACTTTTAATGGGAGCTTGAAAGACTCAGGAAGGATAGGTGACCGTCTATGCTCTCCATGAGTTCATGTTTAACATTGCATTTACATTCTTCAAAATGTCAATTTTTTTTCTCCAATTCAGGTGCATAGCCCTGTTTATTAGATAGATTATCATATATAAGTTGAATTGGATTAACCTTACAAAGTTCATTCAAATTGCTGATGTCAGCAATTTCAGTACTGGCTGACTTAACCTAAAAATCTGCAAAGTGGCCATCAAAGATTTTAAAGGCAAATATAGAAGTTTACATCATTTTGGACAAAAAACTTAGCTCTTTTAATATTGAGAAGACTCAATTTTCTTAAGTAATCAAAGATCTAATAGAAGACAACATGAAGAACAGGAAATTATTTTAATAAAACACCCTACTTTTGTTTCACAGGCCAATTATCTAAAATACCTTTTACAACTTCCTATTAAAAGAAGAGGCTTACTCCAAGGAAATCCTGTTTCAATGGAGAGGACCAGATTCTACTTTTGCATCAGTGTACTTTTGATATTAATGCTCCATTTTTAAAAAAAAACTTATAATTCCCTTCTAATTTTAGCCACCCTGATCACACATAAAATTTATTTCCTAAGATTCATAAACTTTCTACATTTTATATCCTTTAAGTCATTTGTCCTATAGTTTTCTTCTTTCTTATTTTGGGACAATCAATCATTCTACTTTAGGAAAAAATTACTTTTTTTAAAAAAACAAAAACATACTTTTCATCTAAGCTTCACTTACAAAAACATGTCTTACTTTTTTTGTTTCTCTTATTTCTAATTTTAATTGCCATATATTAATTCGACTTTTTAAGTATTAGTAACCCCAATTTCTAGTGAAAACCTAGGAAGTGAGCAATTTTGAACTGTTTTGTATCAGCATTTAAAATAATTTTTAGAAACATTTTCTCAAAACACAATTTTTGTTTATTAACAGACCCACATATTAGCTTCTCTAGACTGTATAAAAACATGCCAAAGTTTGTAAAATTAAACTTTTGCTTAAAAATTAAAGTTTTAGCATTTTAACCTACTTAGAAATAACCCAGACATTTTATGAATCTCTCTTAATTTATTATGACTTTAAGACTTCACTGAAAAAGAATTTTGAAACTATGACAGGTTCACCTAAACAACTTTTATCCCATTCCATCAGGGGGTTATATCAAGGGACCTTTGGCCTTTTCTTTACTGACCTGTTTGATCATTACCCTAAGTAATTGTTAGCTAGGTTGTTCATTGTAATTTCTGCCTTCTGACTTTAAAAAATTTCTCCAAACTGGGGTAAAAAGAGTGAATTGATTTGGGATCTTGTAATGTTGGCAGACCGGCAGGTGTTCCTCTGTTTTGTCTAATCTTTGGTAGATTTACCTTTTGTTTTAACCCCATCACTATTTGCTTTACTTACCCCGTTTTTAATAACTATTAAAATTTTTTTAAATTAATTATTTTAAAAATAGAGACAAGGTCTTGCTATGTTGCCCAGGCTGGTCTTGAACTCCTGGGTTCAAACAATCCATCTGCCCTGGCCTCCCAAAGTGCTGGGATTCCAGACATCAGCCACTGTGCTGGGGCAACTATTAAAAAGTTTTAACCCAAATTTGCATTTCCAAAGGAATGGCTTAGTAAATAAGGTAGAAAATTTCCATCTCAAAAGCACAGAGCTGAGACTTTAGGTCTAAATACCATTATTTGCCCAAATCAAGGAAGGAGGATATAGATAAAGGCCCAGTTAAGACATAATGGCCAAGAATAAACACCTTAAACAGGTAAGGCTTGCTATACAGTTTGGGTTGTAACAGCATTCCCTGCCTGATATTTTCCTTCTGAGTATTTGGAATAAGGCCCATCCACAGAAAGTATTTATTCAGGATTATCCAGTGGAGTATCTTGTAAATCAACACGAGGGGCCACTGATTCTAATATTACATGTACATAGTTATAGTCTTCACTGTCAGACAGTAGAAGTAGTGGAGTCTCAAGGTTAAGTAAGTTGCAGTGTTTTATTTATTTTATTTTTAAGATAGGGTCTCACTCACCCAGGCTGGAGTGCAATGGCATGATCATACTCACTGCAGTCTTGAACTCCGTGGCTCAAGTGATCCTCCCACCTTAGCCTTCCGAATAGCTTGGACTACAGGCATGTGCCATCATGCCTGCTAATTATTTTTTTTTTTTTGGTAGAGACAGCATCTTGCTATGTTGCTCAGGCTGGTCTCGAACTCCCACCTTAGCCTCCCAACACATTGGGATTACAGGTGTGAACCATCATGCCCAGACTGCAGTGTTTTAGGTGGGGTTTGGAAGAAGACAAAAGAATTTAATAAGATGTTAGTCTACTTACTGACAGATGTTAAGTTTGACTAAAATTTAATGGGCTTTCCACAGCACGTGGAACTTGCAAGAAAAGTCTATTCTCTACTAACTTCCCCTTTTTCTATTATCCCCAGAATGAAACGGTAATTGAACAAGAAGGTTAATGGACTCAGAGTATTGAAGTAAAGATAGATGGAGAGAAAAAGCAGCAAGGGTTAGTTCAATGAGGGTATCGTCCTTTTTCGTTACATTCTTAGTTGTTGTTTAAGCTTTGTATATATGCCTTTTGCAAATTTTTTTAGGGAAGCAAATGTTGATTTATTTAATCTTTTAGATGCCTCTGCATACTGGTTAAAAAATGTATCTCCTTGTTTTTACACAGTTTTTGATTCCTTCTTTTCTAATGTCTCTTGCAAATAAACAACTGTATCCAAATTAAAACTTTCCCACTGTGGCCCAATATGGTCTGGCTCTGTGTCCCCACCCAAATCTCATCTTGACTTGTAATCCAAATTGTAATCCCCACATGTTGGGAGAGGGACCTTCTGGGAGGTGATTAGATCATGGGGGTGTTTCCCCCATGCTTTTCTCATGATAGTGAGTTTGTTATTATGAGATCTGATGATTTTCCAAGGGGCTTTCCCCCATTCACTTTGCACTTCTCCTTGCTGCTGCTATGGAAAGAAGGACATGTTTGCTTCCTCTTCTGCCATGATTGTAAGTTTTTTTGAGGCTCCCCCAGCCCCGCGGAACTGTGAGTCAGTTAAACCTCTTTTCTTTATAAATTACCGAGTCTCAGGCAGTTCTTTATAGCAGCAGGAGAATGGACTAATATATGGCCACTTTAATTTTGAGTTGCTTCTAGTGAAGTTAACACATTCTTCCAAAACGCACACAATTTGGGCTCATAATTTTGACACATAAAATTAGCTGGAGTCCCAAATGGTGTCATCTCAGACTCCTTGAATTGTGACAATCAATTTGACCCTCAACTCAATTTAGTTTCTCTCTAACCCAGTCAGTTACCCAAGGCCTCTTGAGTTCAATTCAGTTAACTATCAAATCTAATCCAACTCTGGATCTAGCACAGTTTTTCCAGTGACTTGTCAGTCACTGCAAATCCTGAAAGGTTATATGCCTTCTCATAGTACAAAACCCTGGATTCAAAAGCCGAAAATGAATTGAGTGCTTAATGAGAAAAGAACAGAGCTCAACCTGAGAGGAACTCACAACATTTGAGGCTCTATGAAGAAGACATGGGACCTCAAAAGAGATCAGCAGTGCCTCTCCTGCATTCCACAAGGGGTCTCAGAAGTTGGGTCTCATCTGGTTCGCCCAAACTGTTAAAAGACAAAATTCCAACAAATTTAACTTAAAGATTTGAATTGGCTTTTATTCATGATTCCAGAATCAACTTCCAAACAGTCTGGGTCAAAAATTTGCTCACACAAACTCAGATAGCTCAAAACACAAACCTGTGGAGCTTTGGAATCTGAGAACTTAACCACAATCCCCAGTTGGGCCTGGTGATGCCTCACTTGGTCACTTGCTGTTCCTGGGAGTCACTGAAAGCTCTACTTCAGATCCCACTTCTGACACCAATCCGTTAAAAGGAAAAGCTTTAGGCAAATTACATTTAACAGAGTTTAACTGAGCAAGAAATGATTCACAAACCAGACGGTCCCCATAACCAGAATAGGTTTAGATCAACTCCAGCTGCATGGTCAGATAACGTTTATGGACAGAAAAAGAATACTGATATACAGAAAACAAAAATTAGGTGTGGAAACAACTGGATTGGTTATGGCTCAGCATGTGCCATATTTAAAAATAGCTTAAGGCCGGGCGCGGTGGCTCATGCCTGTAATCCCAGCACTTTGGGAGGCCCAGGCGGGCAGATCACGAGGTCAGGAGATCGACACCATCCTGGCTAACGCATTGAAACCCCGTCCCTACTAAAAATGCAAAAAAATTAGCCAGATGTGGTGGCGGGCACCTGTGGTCCCAGCTACTCAGGAGGCTGAGGCAGGAGAATGGTGTGAACCTGGGATGCAGAGCTTGCAGTGAGCCAAGATCACACCACTGCATTCCAGCCTGGGTGACAGAGTGAGACTCCGTCTCCAAAAAGAAAAAAAAAAAAAATAGCTTAAACAGTTGGCCACTCATAATTGGGTGAAACTTGGCTGCTGTGATTGGCTGAGACTCAGCTACTTGCTACAAGAGTAGGTTACAGTCTGTTTACACATCAAGTTAGTTTACAGTTCACTGTGCATGGAGAAACTTTTAGTCCAGACTTAAACTACCTATGGAGGCAGGTTTAGGACAAACTTAATTCAATTAAACATGTCCTTTTGATTATAGTCATCTTAGAGGGCATGAATTGGTATCTCATGTGGTTTTGATTTGTAGTTCTTTAATGGCTGATGCTTGATGGTCTCTTGGCCAACCCAGCCTCTCCCCGTCTTCTTGCTTGTAGCTCTCAGAATAACTGGTGAATGCTCTGTGAATGCAACACCCTGAGATAGGGAAGGACTGCCTGAAATACCCTGGACTTTGTTCCTATCCTTACTAGGAAATGTAACATCTTGAGATAGGGAGAAACTGTCTGGGACAGCTTGGGCTCTTTTTCCCTCCCCTAGAAACAAGATGTCCTCATGATTCATATTCTTCTGAAGTATATAGCCCAGGGTGGACTGCTTCTCAAGGTAGCTCAGCTGGAGTGCAAGCTGGGAATGCAGTCAAGGCTTCATCCACCCCAGGCAGCTTTCCTGAGCCTTGGGAGACTGGCTCTCAATGAATCCAAGCTGCTTTTATCCTTTGCTGCCTATCTGTAAGTAATGAATCTGCTTCATATAACTTGTTGCATGTGAATGGGTTCTGTCTTACTGGACTTGGACAAGTAGGAAAACTTCAGCCCAGGATGCAGTGGGCAGAAGTGTTTGGACTGTTATTACTAATGGTTGGCTTA
This sequence comes from Homo sapiens, assembly GCF_000001405.40. Lineage (NCBI taxonomy): Eukaryota > Metazoa > Chordata > Mammalia > Primates > Hominidae > Homo > Homo sapiens. The sequence goes on from NC_000003.12 coordinate 150,852,745, forward strand.
GTAATGATCTTTGGTGTCCTCCATTCAGTGGCAATCATCCCTTGGGACTGATCATTATTAAACCTGTTTCACAGCTAATGTTAATCTTTTCATGTGCTTATTTATCCATTCGTGTATCTTCTTTGGAAAAAGGTATATTCAAACCATTTCAAATTTTTAAATTGGGTTGTCTTTTTATTATTGAGTTATCAGTTCTTTATATATTCTGGATACAAGTCTTATCAGATAAATGATTTGCAAATATTTTCTCTGAGTCTGTTGATTCTTTTTTTGGTAGCATCCTTTGAAGAACCTAAGTTATTTACTTTGATTAAATCTAACTTACCAATCTTCTTTTTTATTGCTTATGTTTTTGGTATTATATCTAAGAAATCATTGCCTAATCTCAAATTACAAAGATTTATTCCTGTATTTTCTTCTAAGGATTTTATAGTTTTAGCTTTTACCTTTAAGTCTATGATACACTTTGAGTTAGATTTTGTGTACGGTGCGAGGTAGGGGTCCAACTTGATTCTTTCGCATGCGAATATCCAGTTGTCCGCCGCCATTTGAAGAAAAGACTATTCTTTCCCCATTGAAGTGTCTTGGCTTATTTCTCTGAAGTAAACTGACCATAAATTTTAGTGCTTATTTCTGGATCCACAATGCCATCTAATTGATCCAAACACCCTATTTCAGGAAAATCTTTTTACTAACTAGAATACATATAGAAATAACAAATTTTAAATGTATCCTTTTGATTAATTTTTGCAAAGTGAACACAACTATGTAGCCAGCACCCAGACTTAGAAATGTAACATTACTAGCACCTCACAAAGTGCTTTGTACCTCTCCTAGTCATTATCCCCAAAGGTAATCACTCTCCTGACCCTTATCACCAGAAATTAGTTTTGCATTTTTTTGGATTATATATAAATGGCACCATATAGCATGTGCTACTTCTTGTCTAGCTTCTTACCCTTTGTATTTTGTTTGTAAGATCCATCCATGTTGTTGCATGTAGCAACAGTTCATGCATTCTCATTGCTGTATAGTATTCTATTATGTGGAATTCTAGTTTTTGTTTATATGTTTTACTACTTATGGACATTTGAGATGTTTCCAGTTTTTGGCTTTTGAGAGTAGTGTTGCCATATACATACTTAAACCTGTCTTTTAGTAAGCATAAATATGCATTTCGGCCAGGTAGATTCAGCCTAGGAGTGGAATTGCTGGGTCACAGAATGTATATATTCAGCAGTTTTTCAAAGAGGTTGCACAAATTTACATGGAAATAAGGACATCTGTTTTTCAAAAGATGCCATTAACAAAGTGAAAAGTCCACAGAGTGGAGGAAGATATTTGCAATATATGTATTTATATCAGAATAAGCAAATAACTCTTACAAATCAATAACAAAAAGACAAGACAGAGACTGAGACAGGAGGAGATTGCTTCAGCCTAGGAGTTTGAATCCAGTCTGGGCAACATAGTGAGGCCCTATCTCTATTGAAACAAAAAAAAAGGGGGGGGGCTACCCTTTTTGGGTCCCCTCCCTTTGTATGGGAGCTCTGTTTTCACTCTATTAAATCTTGCAACTCTCTTCTGGTCCATGTTTGTTATGGTTCAAGCTGAGCTTTTGCTCACCGTCTGCTACTGCTGTTTGCTGCTGTCACAGACCTGCCGCTGACTTCCATCCCTCTGGATCTGGCAGGGTGTCCGCTGTGCTCCTGACCCAGTGAGGGGCCCATTGCTGCTCCCAATTGGGCTAAAGGCTTGCCATTGTTCCTGCACGGCTAAGTGCCCGGGTTCGTCCTAATTGAGCTGAACACTAGTCACTGGGTTCTACGGTTCTCTTCCGTGACCCACGGCTTCTAGTAGAGCTATAATGCTCACCACATGGCCCAAGATTCCATTCCTTGGAATCCGTGAGGCCAAGAACCCCAGGTCAGAGAACACGAGGCTTGCTGCCATCTTGTAAGCAGCCCACCGCCATTTTGGAAGCAGCCCACCACCATCTTGGGAGCTCTGGGAGCAAGGACCCCCCAGTAACATTTTGGCAACCACAAAGGGACCTCCAAAGTGGTGAGTAATATTGGACCACTTTCACTTGCTCTTCTGTCCTATCCTTCCTTAGAATTGGAGGAAAATACCAGGGACCTGTCAGCCAGTTAAAAACAATTAGCATGGCCGCCAGACTTAAGACTCATGTGTGAAGCTATCTGGGGAAGGGCTTTCTAACAATCCCCAACCCTTCTGAGTTGGGAACATTGGTCTGCCTGGAGCCAGCTTCCACTTTCAGTTTTCCTGGGGAAGCCAAGGGCCGACTAGAGGCAGAAAGCAGTCATCCCAAACTCCCGGCATTAGCTGGTTGAGATCATGGCGCAGCCAGAAGTCTCTACTCAACAGTCGCCCATGCGGGCGCTCCTACCTTTCCTTCTGACCCATACCTCCTGGGTCCTGACCATGACTTTCTTGAAAGTGTAGTCCCAAAATTCTCCTTACCTCTGAATCTACTTCCTCTGATCCCTGCCTCCTAGGTACTAATGGTTCAGACTTTCCTTTCCTCTAGCAAGTTGTAACTCCAAAGGGATCTAAGGAAGCTCTACACTGTGTCCTTAGGCATCTAGGCTATAAACCCAGGGAGTCTTATCCCTGGTGTCCCTCCCAATTTAGGTATACAGCTCTCAACATGGGCTGTATACCTGCCCCAAGTTTGTAATGGCTAAGAGAGAGAGACAGAGAGGAGAGAGAGAGACAGAGAAGAGAGACAGAGAGAAAAAGAGGGAGTCAAAGAGAGAGAAATATAGAAATAGTAAAAAAAAAAAAAAAAAAAAAAAAAAGTGTGCCCTATTCCTTTAAAAGCCAGGGTAAATTTAAAACCTATAATTGATAATTGAAGGTCTTCTCCATGAGCCTATAACACTCCAACACTACCTTGTTGTCAGTGTAAACAAAGGCATAGCTTGAAAATACTGAGACCACTGACAACCCGTAGCCTTCCTATGACAAATCCTTAACCCAGTAACCCGCAGATGGCCCTGGCCCAAATGCATTCAATCTGTAGCGGCAACTGCTTTGCTAACAGAAGAAAGTAGAAAAGTAACTTTTAGAGGAAACCTCATGTGAGCACACCTCACCAGTTCAGAATTATTCTAAGCCAAAAAAAGCAAAAAGGTAGCTTACTAACTCAAAAATCTTAAAGTATAGGGTTAGTCTGTTAGAAAAAGGTAATATAACACTAACCACTGATAATTCCCTTAACCCAGCAGATTTCCTTACAGGTGATTTAAATCTTAATTACCATACAAAGGTCTGACCAGACCTAGGAAGAGCTCCCTTCAGGACAGGATGATAGATGGTTCCTCCCAGATGATTGAGGAAAAAACCACAATGGGTATTCAATAATTGATAGGGAGACTCTTGTGCAAGCAGAATTAGGAGAATTGCCTAATAATTGGTCTACTCAAACTTTCGAAATGTTTGCACTCAGCCAAGCCTTAAAGTACTTACAAAATCAAAAAGACTATCTCAATCCTGACTCAAAAGGTTACCTACACCCTCTCTGAAACGAATTTGCATAAGAACTGTTGTTTATGGGAGTGCATCTTGATGGGGCAGCTGGTTTGTTAGGAAATACTCAGGAACCCAGCCCAGCTCTAGAACTCACCCCTGAGCACAAAGGCAATGTTGGGCACGCTGTTAAAGGAGCACTAGAATCCAGTAGCCTGGACCCCTTTCTTTGCGGTCAAGAAAGGTGGGAAAAGGGGTGCAGGACTGCTACATCAGTGAGTGTAAATAATCCGATAAGCAGAGGTCCATGGGTGGTTACGCACCCTGGAAAGGAATAAGCATTAGGACCATAGAGGACACTCTATGACTAATGCTCATCGGAAAATGACTAGGGGTGCTGGCATCCCTATGTTCTTTTTCCCCACAAGGCAAAAACGCCCCTAAGATGTATTCTGGAGAATTGGGTCCAATTTGACCCTCAGACGCTAAGAAAGAAATGACTTATATTCTTCTGCAGTACCGCCTGGCCATGATATCCTCTTCAAGAGTGAGAAACCTGGCCTCCTGAGGGAAGTATGAATTATAACACCATCTTACAGCTAGACCTCCTTTGTAGAAAAGAAGGCAAATGGAGTGAAGTGCCATATGTACAAACTTTCTTTTCATTAAGAGACAACTCGCAATTATGTAAAAAGTGTGATTTATGCCCCACAGGAAGCCCTCAGACTCTACCTCCCTACCCCAGCATCCCCTCGACTCCTTCCCCAACTAATAAGGACCCCCCACTTCAACCCAAACGGTCCAAAAAGAGATAGACAAAGGGGTAAACAATGAATCAAAGAGTACCAATATTCCCCAATTATGCCCCCTCCAAGCAGTGGGAGGAGGAAAATTCAGCCCAGCCAGAATGAATGTAACTTTTTCTCTCTCAGACTTGAAGCAAATTAAAAGAGACCTAGGTAAATTCTCAGATAACCCTGACGTCTATACTGATGTTCTACAAGGGTTAGGACAATCCTTTGATCTGACATGGAGATATATAATGTTACTGCTAAATCAGACACTAACCCAAATGAGAAAAGTGCCGCTGTAACTGCAGCCCGAGAGATTGGCATTCTCTGGTATCTCAGTCAGGTCAATGGTAGGATGACAACAGAGGAAAGAGAACGATTCCCCACAGGCACGCAGGCAGTTCCCAGTGTAGACTCTCATTGGGACACAAAATCAGAACATGGAGATTGGTGCCGCAGACATTTGCTAACTTGCGTGCTAGAAGGACTAAGGAAAACTAGGAAGAAGCCTATGAATTACTCAATGATGTCCACTATAACACAGGGAAAGGAAGAAAATCCTACTGCCTTTCTGGAGAGACTAAGGGAGGCATTGAGAAAGCATACCTGTCTGTCACCTGACTCTGTTGAAGGCCAACTAATCTTAAAGGATAAGTTTATCACTCAGTCAGCTGCAGACATTAGAAAAAAACTTCAAAAGTTTGCCTTAGGCCCAGAACAAAACTTAGAAACCCTACTGAACTTGGCAACCTCGGTTTTTTATAATAGAGATCAGGAGGAGCAGGCGGAATGGGACAAACGGGATAAAAAAAAAGGCCACCACTTCAGTCATGGCCCTCAGGCAAGCAGACTTTGGAGGCTCTGGAAAAGGGAAAAGCTGGGCAAATCAAATGCCTAATAGGGCTTGCTTCCAGTGCAGTCTACAAGGACACTTTAAAAAAGATTGTCCAAATAGAAATAAGCCACCCCCTTGTCCATGACCCTTATGTCAAGGGAATCACTGGAAGGCCCACTGCCCCAGGGAATGAAGGTCCTCTGAGTCAGAAGCCACTAACCAGATGATCCAGCAGCAGGACTGAGGGTGCCCGGGGCAAGCGCCAGCCCATGCCATCGCCCTCACGGAGCCCCGGGTATGCTTGACCATTGAGGGCCACGAGGTTAACTGTCTCCTGGACACTGGTGCGGCCTTCTCAGTTTTACTCTCCTGTTCCGGACAACTGTCCTCCAGATCTGTCACTATCTGAGGGGTCCTAGGACAGCCAGTCACTAGATACTTCTCCCAGCCACTAAGTTGTGACTGGGGAACTTTACTCTTTTCACATGCTTTTCTAACTATGCCTAAAAGCCCCACTACCTTGTTAAGGAGAGACATTCTAGCAAAAGCAGGAGCCATTATACACCTGAACATAGGAGAAGGAACACCCGTTTGTTGTCCCCTGCTTGAGGAAGGAATTAATCCTGAAGTCTGGGCAACAGAAGGAAAATATGGACGAGCAAAGAATGGCCATCCCATTCAAATTAAACTAAAGGATTCTGCCTCCTTTCTCTACCAAGGCAGTACCCCCTTAGACCTGAGGCCCAACAAGGACTCCAAAAAATTGTTAAGGAACTAAAAGCCTAAGGCCTGGTAAAACCATGCAATAGCTCCTGCAATACTCCAATTTTAGGAGTACAGAAACCCAATGGACAGTGGAGGTTAGTGCAAGATCTCAGGATTATCAATGAGGCCATTGTTCCTCTATACCCAGCTGTACCTAACCCTTATACTCTGCTTTCCCAAATACCAGAGGAAGCAGAGTGGTTTACAGTCCTGGACCTTAAGGATGCCTTTTCCTGCATCCCTGTGCATCTTGACTCTCAATTCTTATTTGCCTTTGAAGATCCTTCGAACCCAATATCTCAACTCACCTGGACTGTTTTACCCCAAGGGTTCAGGGATAGCCCCCATCTATTTGGCCAGGCATTAGCCCAAGACTTGAGCCAGTTCTCATACCAGGACACTCTTGTCCTTCAGTACATGGATGATTTACTTTTAGCCGCCTGTTCAGAAACCTTGTGCCATCAAGCCACCCGAGCGCTCTTAAATTTCCTTGCCACCTGTGGTTTCCAAACCAAAGGCTCAGCTCTGCTCACAGCAGGTTAAATACTTAGGGCTAAAATTATCCAAAGGTACCAGGGCCCTCAGTGAGGAATGTATCCAGCCTATACTGGCTTATCCTCATCCCGAAACCCTAACGCGACTAAGAGGGTTCTTTGGCATAACAGGCTTCTGCTGAATATGGATTCCCAGGTATGGCAAAATAGCCAAGCCATTATATACACTAATTAAGGAAACTCAGAAAGCCAATACTCATTTAGTAAGATGGACACCTGAAGCAGAATCGGCTTTCTAGGCCCTAAAGAAGGTCCTAACCCAAGCCACAGTGTTAAGCTTGCCAATGGGGCAAGACTTTTCTTTATATGTCACAGAAAAAAACAGGAATAGCTCTAGGGGTCCTTACACAGGTCTGAGGGATGAGCTTGCAACCTGTGGCATACCTGAGTAAGGAAATCAATGTAGTGGCAAAAGGTTGGCCTCATTGTTTATGGGTAGTGGTGGCAGTAGCAGTCTTAGTATCTGAAGCAGTTAAAATAATACAGGGAAGAGATGTTACTGTGTGGACATCTCATGATGTGAACGGCATACTCACTGCTAAAGGAGACTTGTGGCTGTCAGACAACCATTTACTTAAATATCAGGCTCTATTACTTGAAAGGCCAGTGCTGCAACTGTGCACTTGTGCAACTCTTAACCCAGCCACATTTCTTCCAGACAATGAAGAAAAGATAGAACATAACTGTCAACAAGTAATTGCTCAAACCTACACCACTCGAGGGGACCTTCTAGAGATTCCCTTGACTGATCCAGACCTCAACTTGTATACTGATGGAAGTTCCTTTGTAGAAAAAGAACTTCGAAAAGCGGGGTATACAGTGGTCAGTGATAATGGAATACTTGAAAGTAATTCTCTCACTCCAGGAACTAGTGCTCAGCTGGCAGAACTAATAGCCCTCACTTGGGCACTAGAATTAGGAGAAGGAAAAAGGGTAAATATATATACAGACTCTACGTATGCTTGCCTACATGCCCATACAACAATATGGAAAGAAAGGGAATTCCTAACTTCTGAGGGAACATCTATCAAATATCAGGAAGCCATTAGGAGATTATTATTGGTGGTACAGAAATCTAAAGAGGTGACAGTCTTACACTGCCAGGGTCATCAGAAAGAAAAGGAAAGGGAAATAGAAGGGAACCGCCAAGTGGATATTGAAGCAACAAGAGCCACAAGACAGGACCCTCCATTAAAAATGCTTATAGAAGGACCCCTAGTATGAGGTAATCCCCTCTGGAAAACCAAGCCCCAGTACTCAGAAGAAGAAATAGAATGGGGAACCTCAGGAGCACATAGTTTCCTCCCCTCAGGATGGCTAGCCACCAAAGAAGGAAAAATACTTTTGCCTGCAGCTAACCAATGGAGATTACTTAAAACCCTTCCCCAAACCTTTTACTTAGGCATTGATAGCACCCATCAGATGGCCAAATCATTATTTACCGGGCCAGGCCTTTTCAAAACTATCAGGCAGATAGTCAGGGCCTGTAAAGTGTGCCAAAGAAATAATCCCCTGCACTGCAGGTCATACATTTCAATCCCTGTATCTTTAACGTCCTTGTTAAGTTTGACTCTTCCAGAATCAAAGCTGTAAAACTACAAATCGTTCTTCAAATGGAGCCCCAGATGCAGTCCATGACTAAGATCTACCGCAGACCCCTGGACCGGCTTGCTAGCCCATGCTCCAATGTTAATGACATCGAAGGCACCCCTCCCAAGGAAATCTCAACTGCACAACCCCTATTATACCCCAATTCAGCAGGAAGCAGTTAGAGTGGTCATTGGCCAACCTCCCCAACAGCACTTGGGTTTTCCTGTTGAGAGGGGGTACTGAGAGACAGGACTAGCTGGATTTCCTAGGTCGACTAAGAATCCCTAAGCCTAGCTGGGAAGGTGACTGCATCCACCTTTAAACACAGGGCTTGCAACTTAGCTCACACCTGACCAATCAGGTAGTAAAGGGAGCGCACTAAAATGCTAATTAGGCAAAAACAGGAGGTAAAGAAATAGCCAATCATCTATTGCCTGAGAGCACAGCAGGAGGGACAATGATCAGGATATAAACCCAGGCATTCGAGCTGGCAATGGCTACCCTCTTTGGGTCCCCTCCCTTTGTATGGGAGCTCTGTTTTCATTCTATTAAATCTTGAAACTGCAGGGAAAAAAAAAAGTCCAATAGAAAAACAAGCACACGACCTGAACAAACACTTTCACAAAGAAGAGAGCAAAATGACCAAAAACATATGAAAAGGTGCTCAAATTTATTAGTCACCAGAGAAATGCAAATTGAAGCCACAATGTATTGTATCACAATGTAATACAATATACCCACCAGAATAGCGAAGATGCAGGCAATAATGTGGAACAATGGAAAACCCTCACACACTTTCAGGTAGTTTAAATAGGTACAAATAGCCTTTCAACATGTGCTAATTTATGACCACAATATTTCTTCTCTATTCACTTTCACTAGATTGTGCAACCCTTCCTACCCCCATACGTATCAAGAATTTCAAGACAAATATCAGAGTGTTAAGTTCTATTCAGGTCTAAAATTGTATCCATGTGAGAGATGTTAATGGGTTAGGGAACTGGGGTTGTGTGGACACCTAGCCACTGCCTGGTGAGCATTCCCCCCCCCTTTTTTTTTTTTCCTGCTCTGTGATACATTTCTAAGAAAATCAGAGTCTGATTTTAATCCTGAGGCTGTGGTATTTTCTATAGTAGGAGCAAGCAATCTTAAAGCAAGTGGGTCTGCAAGCCAGCTGGGGCAGCACCACAAATCCAGGAACTTCTATGTGTGGCTTCAGACATCTCTATGGTTTCCACCTGGCTGGCTTCCTAGCCCTCTGTTTGCATGCGCTCCTGTGCCTCTTACAGCCTGCTTCTGGTTTGGGATTCGGGTCTTGGCTCTTGCAACTAGACTCTCACTTGCCTGCTGCCTGCTCCAGGCTCTGCCTCAGCCTTAGCTCTGCCTTGCAGGCATCATCATCATCTATGTGTAACTCCAAAGTACTGGGCATGGAAAATCAAAGCAGGACTAGGAGTGTTCACATTGAGGTGTGGTCAAATATTTCATGGGGTGGGAGGGCAGGAGGAGAGCTTAATCAGGGCACAGAGGTCCAGGTAGCTGAAGTGAACATTCTTGTCAGCCCAATATCCGGTCACTTTTCTTGTAACAACACACTGATTATCCTTAAGGAAATGTTGCTTCTGCTCTCTCAGTTAATATGATTTGGATAAAGCTAAATCCATCCCCAGTTCCAGGATGCTGAGGTGACTACAGACTGGCCAAACAGAACATTATGTTTCCCTGGCCACAGAAATGGATGCAGACATGGCCATGTGACTCAGAGCCTTGGTAATATAGTTGGGGGAGAATTGCTTTTTCTGCAGGGAAGTCTGAGAAGAGAGAATGAAAGTGTAGGATTTGGCTAGTAGACATGGCCATCTTGCTGGTAGGAATGGATACTCGCCTTAGAAAAAGACAAACTGCAGAACAGAGACAGAAGAGAGACCAGGCCCCAATGACAATGTTGGAACTCCTCAGTCCATCTGTGTGGAAAGGCAGGACTACCTCCAAACTTGTCAATTATGTGAGTCAACTAATGTTCTTTTTGTTTAAGCCAATTCAAATCGGGTTTCTGCTACCAAATAAGTCTAATTCCACAGGCAGGACTATCAGGGGTTTTCAAAAATAGTTTCTGTAGGGAGGCACAGATTCAAGGAAGGCATCTGAGGCAGCACCATGAGTGAGAAAGGAGATAAAGTGGGCAGAACCATGGGCCCCGACTCTGCTTTATCCACATCAGCTTTGTGTGTATCTGTTGTACATGTTGGGATTCCACATGAAATTTCATGTGAAAACTAGATTTTGCTGGTAAAAAATCTGCAAACCCACTGGGTGAGATAACTGAGGAACAAGAAGAAGAAACACCAGAATGTGATTTTTTTCCCAGAAAGAAGTTTATTTTTATTTACCTGTTGTGTAACATATTTTAATGATAGCTTCCCAATACTTAAAGGCTTTTCTGATGTGATTGGTGGTGATAGTAACTACTGTGAGTTTTTTGATATTATAAAATATGATGATTTAATTTTCATAATACATTGAATCAATATACTTCAAATGACTAATGCATGGGGAAGATCCATTCAAAGTGTAAGATACACCAATGGATTTTAATGAAACAGATTTGAAAAGTTCACTGATACAGTTTCAGGTTCTACTTTGCGACTAACCCTTAATACATTACCCCTTGTAGAGTTTTGGTGTAGTATCAAAGAAGAATAGCCACAAAGCTATTAAAATTCTTCCTCCCTTTTTCAACTAAATATATATGTGAAGTCAACTTTTCTTCATATATTTCAGCCTAAACAATGTATCACAGCAGATTGACTGCAGAGGCAGATATGAGAATACAGCTGTCTCATATTAAGCTGGCCATTAAACAAATGTACAGAAATGTAAAATAATGCCACTCTTTTTACTATTTTTTTCTTGGAAAATATAATTGTTTTCCATAAAATACTATTTCAGGTAAATATATAATAGGTTTTGTTGTTATTTTAAATAAATAGATAAATACTTAACAATTTTTCAGTTTTAATTTCTAATAGGATAAATATTAACAGGTGTGACCCAGATAAACCAAAGTACTTTGACGTCCTTAATTTTTAGGTGCATAAAGGGGTCCTGAGATAAAAAAGTTTAAGAACCACTAGACTAGTGGATAGTTAGGTATTTAACACATAAGCATACAAATAAGGATGTAATTGTAAACCTGGGTGTATTAGTCCATTTTCATACTACTATGAAGAAATACCTGAGTCTGAGTAATTTATAAAGAAAAAGAGGTATAATGGATTCAGTTACACGTGTCTGAGGAGGTCTCACAATCATGGCATAAGGCAAAGGAGGGGAAATGACACATCTTATGTGGTGGTAGCAGGCAAGACAGCGTGTGCAGAAGTGCCCTTTGTAAAACCATCAGATTGGCTGGGTGCATTGGCTCATGCCTGTAATCCCAGCACTTTGGGAGACCGAGGCAGGCAGATCACTTGAGGTCAGGAGTTCGAGACCAGCCTGACCAACATGGAGAAACCCCAACTCAACTAAAAATACAAACTTAGCCGGGTGTGGTGGCACATGCCTGTAATCCCAGCTACTCAGGAGGCTGAGGCAGGAGAATCGCTTGAACCCGGGAGGCAGAGGTTGCCGTGAGCCAAGATCATGCCTTTGCACTCCAGCCTGGGAAACAAGAGTGAAACTCCATCTCAAAAAATAAACCAAAAAAACCATCAGATTTTGTGAGACTTATTCACTATCACGAGAACAGCATGGGAAAACCCACCCCCATGATTCAATTACCTCCCGCCGGGTCCCTCCCACAACATGTGGGGATTATGGGAGCTATAATTCATGATGAGATTTGGGTGGGGACACAGCCAAACCATAACACTCAATGAGTGATATAAAGGAAAAGAACAAGGTGCTAAGAGAGATGAACCAGGAGACCTAATTTAGATGGGGGATGGTGTCAGAGATGGTGCTACTAAAGAAGTGGTTTTTAAGCTGTTCTGAAGCAGGAGATGGGGGTAAAGATTGTTGTGGGCAGTGGGAACAGCAGGAAAAAGCCCCCGAAGTGGGAACAAGCTTGGTTTGGGTGGAGCATGGTGGTGAGAGGAGAGTGGCATGAGAGGAGTCTGGCAGGATATGAAGCAGGGGCTAAACCTTGCAGGCTCTTGTAAATCATGTGAAGATTTTGGCATTTTTGTCCTAAGTGCATAGAAATGATCATAATATGGATTACTCTAACATAATTCATCAGGCTTGAATTTTTTAAAGATAATCAAGATTCAATTTTTTTTTTAAAAGATAATTGATTGCTGTGTGGTGCTGTGTGGAAAAGGGATTGGAAGGGGACAAGAGAGAAGGTGAGGAGAGCAGTCGGACGGCTATTGTAATAGTCCAGGTGAGAGATAGTGGTACCTGTATCATGGAGACAGCAGTGCAAATGGAGCTATTTCAGAGCTATTAATACCACTTACAGGTTTTGCTGCTGCATTGGAGTGGAAGAGGGGATGACTCCTAGGTCAGAGCAATCCTATACACTATGCTTAGTGACACCAATCCTAAGTATCACCAAAACTAAATACCCATTACATCAATCTGTATAAATATTTTAGGTTTGTAGGCGTGTGTGCCTATATATATGCATGTGATTAAATTGCCCACGTTTACTTTTAGTTATGTGGTTATGAAATTTAAAAAGTCACTCTCATAGCACCACCTTGTGGACAGTAATAAAAAGTGTGTGTGTGTGTGTGTGTGTGTGTGTGTGTGTGCGCGCGCGCGCACGCGCGCACGCATTGTTGGATTCAATCACTAGGAGAAAACACAATACAAGTTCTCCAGAAAGTTTACCAGTTATCAGCCACCCCAAGTCCTTCTTGGAAGGAGAGGGGATAGGAATACATTCGGAAGAGTTAAAGTTAAACTGGCTATTCTGAAAATAACAGGTTAAATTCATTCAGACTAGATCCTCTCTGGTTGATTTTAACATAGTCATTGACTAAAAGTATCATTTATTCAGATAGCCCCTGACAACCCATAATAATACTTTTTGTTTTTTTGCCGAAATATGTTTTTTTCAGTGCATTTACCACTTATCTTCATCAGATTACGGGAAGCATTTTTGTATAAATATCAAGCCTGATGGAAATGGATTTATCTTAATTCCTCACTTAAGTTCCGAACTCACCTAGAATTGCATCCTCTGAGACTGGGCTTTTCTTTTTTCTTTTTTTTTTTTTTTCCGAGACGGAGTCTCACTCTGTCGCCCAGGCTGGAGTGCAGTGGTGCGTTCTGGGCTCACTGCAACCTCCGCCTCCCGGGTTCAAGCAATTCTCTGCCTCAGCCTCCCGAGTAGCTGGGATTACAGGTGCCCACCACCACGCCTGGCTAATTTTTGTATTTTTAGCAGATACGGGGTTTCACCATCTTGGCCAGGCTGGTCTGGAACTCCTGACCTCATGATCCACCCGCCTCAGCCTCCCAAAGTGCTGGGATTACAGGTGTGAGCCACTGCGCCCAGCCCTTCTTTTTCCCTTTTTTTTTTTTTTTTGAGACTGGGCTTTTCTTGCCGCCATCTTGAATCTGATTTGGTTTTCTCTGTTGCGCTTTTTTGCTGGCGTCATTTTCCTCACACCTTAGCTCATCATTCTATCCTGTTCTATTGCTCTGGGCTTCTCAGGAGACCTCTTTCCTTCACAAGACTGGCTTCTCCAGGTGTTAGAAAGTGTCTCTACATGTGAAGCAGATCCCTCTCTTAATTTCCCAAACAAAGCACAGGGAATATCAGGCTAGAATGTTTAACATCTTAATTTAAACACAAAGGAATTACAATGCAGGAAAACCTAAAATGTTACTTCTCCTGATCGTGTCTCTGCTTTAAGAAGCCCCTTGGACTTCTGACAACTTGCCGTTCTCTGTCACTTGGCTGTGTTCCCTAAATGTTGGTCCAGGCCCTGTGCAAGGCTCCCAGCTCTGGCAGCAGCATTAGGGTGGGGAGAGCCTTTCTTCCCTCTCCTTAGGCGTCCTCCTTCCTGTTCCCACGATGATTGATGGAAGAAATGCCTGCCCTTACCTACAGGGCATGGTTTCTAGACACAGTTCAATTCTCATTTTTCTCCTCTGTCTCTGGCTATTTCTTCTGCGCCTGCTTTCCAGGCTCTTCGCACACTGCCTGACTGCTGACACGAGAATTCCTAAGGGCTCAGCATTAGGCCCAGCTATCTTCTTGCTTCATACTCTCCTTGGGCAGTCTTACCCCAGGCCACCATGTTACTTACCCTTAGTGACTCCCAGGTGTATTTATTTCTCTGGTCCAAACCTCTCCATTGATTTCCAGATCCTTATTTCTGATCCATTAATCTACCTTTCCACTTGAATGTTTCATGTCTAAGACTAGATGTGTGATTTCTTGCCCTCAAAATCTGGTATGTTTTGAGTGTTTCCAAGTTCTGTGAAGGTACAACCTTCCATCCAGTTATCAAATCAGAAACCTAGAAGTCATCCTTGATCCTTCTTTCTTTCTTCCTCATCTCCCTCCCCATGCAACCTATTTCAGCCTTCTCCATTTTACCTACCAAGAGGTGTCTCCTGAGAGGCCCACTTCAGTCTACTTTAATTGCCTCCATTCTGTTCTGACCATCTCTTGTCCACACCACTGCCTAACTAACTAGTCTCCGCATGCCTAACTGGTCTCTGCATGCACTTGGGGCTCTCTCCAATCCATGTTCTACTCTGAGGCATGTGTTCAAAATGCAAATCTTACCAGGCCACTTAAAACCTTTCCAAGGTTTCTCACACCTTATAGTCTACACTGCCTTGCGGTGGCCCCACCTTTTGCTCCAGCTGCTTCACAACCACTCTTTAGCCCCACAGGCTTTTCTGTTCCTCAGGCGCATTCACCACAGGGCTTCACATCTGCTTGCCCTTCTTCCCCTTACCCTGTTATCTCTATGCAGCCTTCTTACTTCAGCTAACCATCTCTTCCTCAGACATGCCTTTTCCTTTTCTTTCAGTTCTTTATTATAAGATTGACGCACCCAAAATCTCTTCCCTTAGTTTTCAAGTTTATCTTTATTAAAGTGCTTTTTGATTAATTGCCATCTCCTCAGAAGAGCCTAAGTTTCATAAGAAAAGAGGGTGTGCCACATCTGATTTTGCTCGCTGTGCTGATTTTCCCCAGCATCAAGCATAGTGCCTGGCACATAGGGCATGTTAAAAAACATTGAATGGCCAGGCATGGTAGCTCATGCCTGAATCCCAGCACTTCGGGAGGCCAAGCGGGCAGATCACTTGAGGTCATGAGTTAAAGACCAGCCTGGCCAACATGGTGAAACCCAATTTCTACCAAAAAATACAAACAAATTAGCCAGAGTGGTTGTGTGCACCTGTAGTCCCAGCTACTTGGGAGGCTGAGGCACAAGAATCGCTTGAACCCGGGAGGTGGAGGTTACAGTGAGCCAAGGTCACACCAGTGCACTCCAGCCTGGGCGACAGAGTGAGACTCCATCTCAAAAATAAAAATAAAAATAAAATAAAAAACATTGAATGAATGAATGAATGAATGATTATGTCTCTAAGGCCCTGACAAGGGAATTACAACCATTAACAGAAAATGCAGGCCCAGGTGTGGCTGAAGAGTGCCCACAGCCTGGACAGCTCAGGTCCAGTCTCAGCCAGTTGCTATTCAGGGTTATTTCCACAGTGTGAAGTGAAGGGAATCTTAGGCCTCCCCCAACCTGGCCTGCTCCTACGGGTCTTGTGACATTGGTGAGAATGTTCTTGGAAAAATGATTCACACATCTTGTCTAAGAGCAAACAATAATTCGGGGGAATGTTCCAGTCTAAGTTGATATTTGAAAGAGGAAAATAGTTGCCATCGCCTCAAGGGTTCATTCCCACTAAAGACACAGTCAGTTTAGATGACTAGTCAGAAAAATTAATATCCCCGTCTTCAAGCAAACAGCTTTCTTCTGCTTTGTATTTGAGAAGCTGAAAAAAAAGTCATTTTTCTCAAAACAAAGTTTAAAAGTGAACTAATGGCTCTGAGAAACTTCCAGTTATTTTTATTTTTTTATTTTATTTTATTTTATTTTTTTTGAGACGGAGTCTCGCTGTCGCCCAGGTTGGAGTGCAGTGGCGTGATCTCGGCTCACTGCAGGCTCCGCCTCCTGGGTTCACGCCATTCTCCTGCCTCAGCCTTTTGAGTAACTGGGACTACAGGTGCCCGCCACCTCGCCTGGCTAATTTTTTGTATTTTTAGTAGAGATGGGGTTTCACCGTGTTAGCCAGGATGGTCTCGATCTCCTGACCTCGTGATCCGCCCACCTCGGCCTTCCAAAGTGCTGGGATTACAGGCGTGAGCCACCGCGCCCAGCCACTTCCAGTTATTTTTAAATAACATGTCTCCACTCTGAAGAAAAAAATCAAGTATTACCGGGTACCCTGTTTATAAGATAAAATAACTTATTTTCACTGAACATTGATATACAAAGTAATTAATAGTTTTATATATCAAAATTATACTTTTACATCTAAAACGTAGGTACTTAATCTTTCCTCCATTATTTTACTTATTTATAGACTTGTTCCAGGAATAATTTAACCCAAATTACAATACCATATAAAATATGGCAAACTAACATAAATTATAAACAAATTAAAAATTCAAAGGAGGAATAAGGGAAGGAACATAAAATGGATACAAGAATGAGGTCAATTTAAAAGTTGGCTTTTGTAAGGACCGATACACTACCCGACAGTCATCCTGCTTTTCTTCCTTCTACAAAACCCTGATTTTGTTCTAATATCAAGTGCCCTGTTCTCAGACTCAGAGGATGAACCATGATGATCTGAGTCATGGATCCCCTAGCTAGACAGCTCTTGTTAAAAGGAATATCTTTATTGTTTGCGACTTTTCGTGAGATCTCTTACTTGCAGCTGAGCAGTTCCTTACTAATGCACTGGTGTGTTTTTTAATTCAGCTCTAAGCAGTCAACTCCAAAAGAGACATTCAGTAAGAAACAATGTAGTGTCCATAAAACAAAAAACAGGCCCGCACCTCAGGAAAAGCACAATGTAAGTAAGATTAAGACCACATAAGCCCAAAGTCTGTAGGGATCCACTTATTTGTCCAGTGTATTTAAAATCCCCAGTGAAAACACCAATGATAAAGATACTATAATCCGCAATTCAAGCCTAATTGCCTTTCTCTTCTGACATAATTTATTATTCACCTTGAAGTTTCATTTCCTACATGGTCCTTAAGTTAAAACATTATTCTTTGAGCCAAATGCAAATGCATTTAATAAATGAATTTGAATGAATGCAGAAAGATTGTTCTTTGGAAACTAACCTTGGGATTGTGAATACAGTGCCCTAAGTCTGTGAGGTGGCAGATTAGCGGGGTGGCTGGCGGTGTCTACATTATTCTCGTGTACTTCTTTTAGAAGGAATATGTGTTTACTCTGTGTATCTCTTCAGAAAGAACATAGGCATTTAACAGGACAGGGAAAGAGTATATTCTAAAAAGAATTGTTTTCCCCTTTGAATAATGACACAAGAGATTTTATTTTTATATATAATTTTATGTAGAAATCAGAATTTTTCTCAGTTTGTCTGTTTGTGTATTTATATCCAGCATTGAAGAAAAGAAACAAACATACTGCTAATAAAAAGAATGTCTCCTTGTGGCTACTGAAACCCACATGTCAACTGCTATAGCTGTCAGCCTACCAGGAATAACCCCTGCTTCAAACCCCAAGAAGCCCATTTACTATTTTAATGACAAGAACTTGCTAATGTGGGCATATGAACTGTATCCTTGGAAAGGAATGCCGTCCATACCAGGAAGTCCTTGAGAAGGCTTGAGTTCTTGCCATAACTAAAAATCCGATGATGCATTACCAATGACTTCATCCCCAAATGAAAGCTAGCAGCCTGCTTCCGTAATCCTCATGGAGAGTTATACCAAGAAAAGACAACTTTGGAAAAACATGCAAGAGAGAGGCTTCATTTTCTCTTTTGAATAAAAGAAAGAAACCAGTCTATGTGACTACGGAGGAGGCACCATGCAGGCCCTGGTGTGGGGGCCTGTGTTTCTCCTACAATGCTGACAGCTAGGGATTTACCAGAGACTTAAAAAATGAAAAAACTGCTAATGGTATATATATATATTTTTTGGTGGGGCTTGTGAATGAGAAATATGGAAACGATTGGTCTCCCCCACATTAGGCTTTTGCATCCCAGCAGTTCTGACACTTCAGACTTCATTGCACAGCCTAGTTTCCCTTTAGAAGAAGGGAACGGTCCCATTCCAGTTGATGGTGGCCTCGCTCCACTTGGTTCTGATTGCCATCTCCACTGGTGAAAACCGTCGTCTTGGTCCATGTTTCTCTTCCTGTTGGTCTCTTTCCCAGTGATGGGAGTGAGTATCTGAAGAAGGAATAGCCAGCATTTAGACCCAAGCCTATGAACACCATTCCAGAGGAAACCACTAAAGAAGGACAGAAGGGTGGGTGGGCAGGAGTCAGGCTTGGAAAATTGTGCTCCTACAACTGGTTAAGCAGATGGGGATTCAAGCAGGTAGTGTGTTGAAATGCCCCATACAGAATGAGTCAGTGGTAGCCTGGGTTGTTGTGCATATTAGGACGTAGTATGTGTGTTGAAACGCCCCATACAGAATGAGTCAGTGGTAACCTGGGTTGTTGTGCATAACTGTTGATAAGCTATGTAATACACCTTCCCGTACCATGATGTGACACCTAGAACCAGGTATAGGTTACTAAATATTGTCAGGAAAAAAAAAAAAAGAGGCCAGGCATGGTGGCTCACGCCTATGGTCCCAGTACTTTGGGGGGCTGAGGCAGGTGGATCATCTGAGGTCGGGAGTTCGAGACCAGCCTGGCCAGCATGGTGAAACCCTGTCTCTACTAAAAATACAGAAAATTAGCTGTGTGTGGTGGCGCGCGCCTGTAATCCCAGCAGGAGGCTGAAGCACAAGAATCACTTGAACCTGGGAGGTGGAATTTGCAGTAAGCCAGGATCACGCCACTGCACTCCAGCCTGGGCGACAGAGTGAGACTCCATCTCCAACCAACCAACCAACCGACCCCACTTCTCCATGCTTCTCAGAATACATTTGCATTTTTGGATGGAGGGCAAGGCTTTCTAGTGGGGTAAGCAAGAACTGGGTTTGGGGCTTGAGTTTATCTCATATTAGCCAGGTGACACTTAAGAAGGTACTTAGCATCTATTGCTAAACTTCATTTATTCAATTAGTAACTACTTGTTGGACACCATAGTTTCCACTTCATAAAAACAGAAATCCTAGTACTTACCTCATGTGACTATTGGGAATGTTACGGGTTAATGCCTGTGAGGCTTTCAACACAATGCCCAGAACAGAAAGCAAATGATTCTTGTGAGCTAATGAAAAATGTTGCTTTATGCAAAGAAGGAAGTTGAGGTAGAAACAACAATATATTTTAAGGAACATATTGTCAATGTTATACTAAATTAAGTGGGTTAAGATGTATTTCTCATAATTAAAGAAAAAGAATTAGGAGCTGCACAAATAAAATAGTCACTAGATGCTTTTCCACATGTAATAATGGAAGATTACTTAATGCCAGGCTTGTGGTGCAAAGTCAGACACAGTAATGCTCCATAAATACAGCTAAGGCTATGGATACAAACTCCCAGTTTGTCCAGTGTTAATACCTCGTCCGGGGGTCAATGTTTAAAGACATTTTAAGGTTGGTCTTTTTCCCTCAGGAGTTTATGACCGAAATGATCTGTTCGGTTGTCTGCTTCTCCTGTTGGATTTGAACCATGTTTGTGGAACTTTTTGGAATAAAAGAAACCAGTCTGTGTGACTACAGAGGAGCCACCAGGCAGACCTGTGCCGCATTCACCAGTTTTCCCAGTGTCTAGCCCCATGCCTGGCACAGAGTAGGCCCTCAAAAATGCGTTTTGTGCTCATTTGAACAGAAATTTACTATCAGTTTGGTTACTTATGTCACTGGATGATCATCTGATGTTTGGTTGTGAGATAGCATCAGCCAATTCTTCCCTGGGTTTTCCCAATTATTTCCTCAGGTATTAGCTACCTCATGCTCCAAAATCAAAGGCCCCGGAGAATGGTTTTTGGAAATTTGGCTCCATAACTTTTGTTTTTCTCTTACCTGAAAGTTATTGGTTCTTCTCTGCTATTTCTAACCCCCCTGCTCCTAGGTAAAGCAGATTTCAAATTCCCACATTGCAATACTTGGGTTTAGGGCCATGGGATTCATGTGTGGGTTTCATTTCAGAAACTGAGCCTAAGCATTTTCCTGTGGAGCTAGCATGAATATCCACACAGTTGTTAAACATTGGCAACCGCATCTCTTTGAGCACATTAAAATCCACAACACCTGGAGTCTGAAATGCTCACCTATTGTAAGACGCACAAGCTTTTTCTGTGAGGGTTGGCCACTGTAAAAGTACAGATCAAAGAGACGTTCCATTTTCCAGTCTGATAAGAGCTGCCTGTTTGTGCAAAAAAGGATGCTGTAATTTCCATTGATGTTGCACAGCCAAATAGGTAATTTGGGAGTCTTCAGCATGCTGCCCACCTGGAAAGGGGAAGGGGAATGCAGATAAATATATAGATTTTGCCACATTGTGACACATGCCGATACATGATCGCGACCAAAAAGCAGCTCTGAGGTTTCTTGTTGCACTTGTCGCGTGCAGGGCACTGTACATAGAGCAAGATTTGAAATCAAGGCTTCGTCATGAATAAATTTGCATTTATGAATGATCTGGTATAGTGGTGCTGCCATTTTTATCTTAATGGATTATATTAAAATTTTTTTGGTGGCCTCACAGAGGAGGCAAAACAACTTCAGTTTGGCTTTGAGGCGAAGTGAAGAATAAATATATAAACTAAAATAGGAATGTAGTGGTGGAATAAGAGAACTCTAATTCTGTGTTTGTCACTGACTAGCATATCTGCTCCCATTCCCAAGATAAGGCAATAATTCATTCAGCAGGTGGTGGTAAGACTTCTGGCAACATCAACTATTTAGAATATAGAAAAAATGATATTTAAGATATATAAAATAGCTTCTGGAAAATGAGGGAAACACATACACACATCACACATATACACATATATCTACAGGTTAACATGATCATTTGTGAAGATGTTCCTAGACAGCAGCTTGTTATCGGTTTTTTTCTAAGTACTTGTCAATCAATTTAGCCTTGATTTTTTTTTTTTTTTTTTTTTTTTTTTAAAGACAGGATCTTGCTCTGTCATCCAGGCTATAATGCAGTGGTGTGATCTCGGCTCACTGCAGCCTTGACTCCCTGGGCTCAAGTGATCCTCCCGCCTCAGCCCCTGGATTAGCTGGGACTACAGGTGGACACCATCATGCCCGACTAATTTTTGTGTTTTTTGTAGAGACAGCGTCTTGCCATGTGGCCCAGGCTGGTCTCAAACTCCTGAACACAAGCAATCTACCTGCCTTGGCCTCCCAACTATTGGAATTACTGTACCTGGCCTGGCCTTGAATTCTTATAGCTAGTGAATGAGATTTGCAAAAACCAGCACTGGGGGTAAGAGCAGGGAAGGGGATGTAGTAAAAGGGCAGTGGTCCTGCAAACTTCTAGTGCGTTTCTATCAGTGATAGCCATCAGTTTGTTTACACAGGCAGGGAAGCACATATTTTTAAAGGCTTTCCATCAAAATTTATTGAAACTGTTTTTAAAAATTTGTTAAATTTATTTCAACTTAAAGAGATAAACATATATATCTACATGGACAAACCCATGATTTCCATGTGACGCCAAGGAGAATTCCTGGGCCCCTTAGCTTGGCCTTTCTTCCTGTAACTGAAGAGACCAATGTTGCCATTCTATTTCTTTTCTTCTCAGTCCTCAGAGTTGTACTGTTTGTTCAGGAACAAATTCTATTTTGTGGAAATCCAGCTTTGAAAAATTATCACGTGCTTTATCAACCCAAGTATTAAAGGCTAATAACTTGACATTTTGATTTCTCAATAACTCTATTCAAATCTTTTTGTTTCCTTGAGTTTAAATTCTTCAGCTGTGGGTGAGTGGGTGAATCAGAGATGCTTTTGTCTGTAAGTGTTTCACTTTTAGCTACCACAGAAAAATTATATTGCTATGCTGAAAAGAAATGACCTCAGCTGGTAGTTTACAAAAAGTGGAAACCTAGCACCCCAATCAGGACATGTTCATAATGGGGGCAGGATTTACTCATCTGCATAGTAGGTACAGGATTTGTTGGAGTTATCTCCTCTGGGCTGAATATATTGTGAGCATTTCACATATCAAACACAGGGCCAGTCTGCCCACTGGTTACATCAGAAATAAAACAGTGAAGATGTACCATTGAAGCAGTAGCATATGTTTTAGTTCCAGATATCCACCACCAATTTCCAAGTAACTTTGTAACTATTCATTAGTTATAAAATAAGCACTTTCTTTCTTAGGCCTTCTTGCTATGGCACCCTTCTGTATTAAGATGATATGTAATCAAAATATGTTATACAGGAAGTCATGGAATTATCAAGGTTGAAAAACTTGAATAAAACTAGGAGATTGAGAGCTGTTTGTAGTAAAAGGTAATTCCATTGGAACTTCAAATGGACATTCTGGTCAGTTTTAATCTAGTGATATTCCCTGTAAATTAGTCTGGGTAGGTGTAATAGAATATACACATATATGATATTGTTTCACAGAATATTTGTAATGTAGGTGAAATTCACTTGGCACTCAGATAAACATACTCTGCCAGGTGCTGACTGACACACTATTGTTGCTTTATGCAGCAATACAACAGTTTTCTTTCCTGAGCTCAAAGCTACTCAAGATTTTGTTCTAGTAGGAAGAAAATGAAGTAGTCAAAATGCAACCACCTTCAACCCTCCAAAAGTGGCCTTACAGAGCTCTCATAGTGAGCAAGCAGAACCTTGCTTGCCCTGAGAGATTCTGATGAAACGGGAAATGTCATGCATGACTGTTGCTGCACTTTGAGTATTAAGAGGCGAGCCTTAAGATTACAGTTGAGAACACATCTGGTTTAAAGTGAGTCCTGCAAAAAACAAAACAAAGCACCTTCCAACTGAATCCAGCCAGAGATTACATCCCCCTTTCTTCTTGGCACACCATATAAGCAGTTTGACTGGCATTTTTTGTTTTAAGCATTTGTATTGCTTTTGGATAAAAACAGTTTACCAGCTACTCCCCAAAAGCAGGATTCTAAATATGTTTTATTGGTGAGATTCCATCAATGCTGAATTTGTGCATGTTGCTTCATGTTGCCATGGTAAAAAGGAAATTAAATTGTGATACAGTGGTGCTATAAATAAAATACCTTTCTCCTTAAGTTCACTCATTGTGTAATCAGCCCAGTATTTTCAGCATCACATGCAGCAATCAGGCTTTTCATAACACATATCATTTAAGCCAATGTAAAATTACAAGGACAGCAAGGAAGATGGACAAATTCTACACATCAGAGTGCAAGAATTGAGTCCATGTAATTCTTTTTTTTTATGCTGTCTAGAACAATGGCGCTTAGAACATGCCTTTGTATAATAAGCATGATATTGCAAGTCCCAAGGCCCCAGGCTGGTAATCTGAACAGGAGAAAGGTGTTTGAAACGTTGTGCTTTCTTCACTGATTCCTGGTGACAATTCCTGTGCATAACTGTTAATGGCCTGGCTCTCATCTCTGCCATCTGGAATACATACTTGATGTAACTTTTCTCACTGAGTTTGCAGGTATGTTGTAAAGACAAATTAGTTCATGTTTGCAGGGCGCTACCTCAGTGACTTAGTGGCAGGGTGCAGTGGGTACTGCTTCACTGGGTACTTCTATGGTTGGATTTCTTCCTATCAGACTCTCTAAAGGGAAAACGTAAAGGGGGAAGAAGGTATGACTGGGATAGTGATGTGTGCTGCCAGGGCTGCCGTAGGAGTAATTCTGGCAAGACCTAAATGGCTTCAGTCCCTGAAAAATCAGAGTGGATTTTTCTTCTCAGTGGCAGGTGTGAAGATAATGTGAACCTCCCAAGGCTTTCCAGATGGTGTTAGACTCAAACTGCTTTATGTTCTCACTTAGGTATTGGAACCTCACACTCAAATCTGTACCTTCAAATAGAAAAGTGACAGGGAGGCTTCAAAATAGTGCCTCATCTTATGGGTAGCTGGCTGCGTTCTGCAGGAACCATCAGTCTGGTGGGCTCTGGGGGGCTTGTCATGTCATCTAATGAGAATACCATCTTTTTTTTTTAAAGTCTCACCCACTGGGCTGTGACATTGGGACTGAAAGGCACATGTTTTTGCAATCTCTGCAATTTTATCGCAGAGTAATAAGAGATTTACTTAGAGAAGACGGAGGCAGCATTACAGGATGGGTTTCACCTTGACAGCAGAATCTACCTGTCAGGCAGCACGTTGGTTTTCTTCTGAACTAAGAAATCTTTCTTATATTAGGTTTTTATCATCAGTACATAAAAATAACCTTCAGATTTGTTGCACCTACCATAGGCAGGAGCTACTAAATATCCACAAAGCACTTGTATACCTAGTTGGCATTTTCACGGGTCTCATACAGAATCAGAAAGGAAAGGTAGTGGCTGCAGGGGTCTCCAATCCGGTCATACTTAGAGCACTGTCCCAGAAGCACATCATGTTCTTTCTTGAGTAAACTTCTGTTCTGCACTGTGTTTCAGTTCTATGCAGGATGTTGTGAAATATTAGACTTCTGGGGATAATACAGTCAAATGGTCTTCTGGTTAGCATGTCTCTAAGCACCACTGAGCTTGGTCTCCTAGGGCTAAGGATTTCCATACACCCGACAAGTGTGATTTGCCAAACCAGGAGGTAAAGTGGAGGCAGTTCACCATCAACACAAGCTCACACCACTCTAACCTAGAAGTCAGTGGATAGAGTTTCAGCTTGTTGAGCACAACTGTCATGCTGTGATTTGCTACCATTTAAATGTTACCAACACGAGTATACCTATAACAGATATTATAGACCATATATCTATATATAGATATAATAGATGATAAAAGTACTGATGATAGAGTATAATTCTAAGAACTGGCATTTCTATATTTATCACCTTCTCAGAAAATAATCAAAGATGATAATGGCAGGCAGCATGGTCCAGTGGACAGAATGTGATCATTGAATGTAGATAGAACTCGGTTCATATCCCTGGCTCTGACACTTGCCTAGCTGCTAGCTTTGGGTAAGTCCCCATACCTTTCTTATCTCTAAAATGAATGACCAAGCAATAGACCTTGGGCTTAAAGTAATACTGATTACAACTTGGAGTGGACGTGGGGATTCAATAAATAAATGAAATGACCCAGAAAGGGCCAGGCACACAATAGGTGCTATATGCACAAGGTTATTAGCACAATGAATAAATAAATTTCATATATACTTGAATATAAATATACTTAAGCATATAAGTATAAATAAACTTGACTATAAATATGCTTCATACATATTTCCTGTATAATGAGCTGATATGAAAAAGCACCTTCAGGTAAAATCACCTTGATACGTATGTTTCTAACATATTCATACATGCCAGGGGTTCAAGTAAGAAAACTAACTGCCAGCCTGTATTTGCTCTTTAATACCTTTTTTTAAAACCAAACTTCAAATGCATGACAGAGACAACATAATAAACATCCTCAGGGTTTCAAGCCATTAGTGTACAATTTCAGGCAATTTTCACTGAGGGCAGAATTCATAGGTATCTCTCTGGGGAGAGAACACTGAGTCCAAGAAAGAAGAATGAAAAGCCACATTAGTCACTTTTCAAAAAGATGGAAGCATTATAGATCTAATTTCTATGTAGATTTTAAAGCTAGCCTGGGCAGTTTCCATCCTTTGCCCCACTTCCAGTTTGTGAGCAGGCATTTGGGTGATGGTCCTGTGGTCTGGTATGTTTTGCCCTCTTCCCAGCAGGAAAGCTCTTATTTTTTTACCTTGTGCTGTGGCCTCTTGACTGACTTTAAGGTCCCAGTAAAAATCCACTTTATCATTGGTGGATATTTTAGGCTTTGCAGGTAATTTTCTTTAGAGCATGATTTAGCAGTTCTATTGGTCTGAGCAGACTTGTGTAGAAAGAAATGTGATCCAGAAAAAACAGCAGTGCTGGATCCCTGTGAATTCTTGACTCTGTTTCTGTGGTGGCATATTCTTTGATATAGTCCCTTTTCTCACAACAACTTAGTAGCTATTTCACAAACAGCTGTTTAATTTTAACTTAAGATAAAGCCTGCAACTTGTTTCCAAAGCCTTGCAACTGTTAAAAACGAACCGAAAGCTGTCAACCTTTCTAATACTGATTGAAAGAAGATATACTCTTTCTTGTAAGTTCAGTTGAAATAGCTAGTTGGCCAATTCTGCACACCATGGATTTAATCAGCTAAGCCTAAAGAGATTTTTTTTCTCCTTCCTCTAAAGCAGAGGTTCTCAACTAGGGTCAATTTTGCTCCCCAGGGGAGCATTTTTAAATGTCTGGAGACATTTTTATTGCCACACTGGGGCCAGTGCTGCTGGCATCTAGTGAGCAGAGGCCAGGAATGCTGCTCAATAGCCTGCAGTGGACAGGACAGCCCTCCACAGCAAACAATTAACCACTTCAAAATTTCAGTGCTGCAGAGGTTGAGAAGTCCTGCTCTGGAACAGAGGTTTCTAATCCTGGTTGCACTTTAGAATCATCTATGGGCTTTAAAAACTTCAGTTGCCCAGATGCTTCCCAGACCAAATGAAGCAGTCTTTGGGTAGTGTTGGCTACGTAATTTGTGGGGCCCAGTGCAAAATGAAAATGTGGGGGCCCTCGTTCAAACATTAACAATTTCAAGACAGTGATACCAGACACTAGAGCATTAAACAAAGTATAGGGCCTTCCAAGTGTGGGGTCCTGTTTGACTACACATGCTTATAAAGCTAACTCTGTTCTGGGGGATGACCTGGGCATTGATAGTTGTAAAAGATCTCCAGGTGACTTCAATGTGCAGTCAGGGTTGACATCACTGCTCTCTAGCATTTATTGCCTGTATCCTTCCTGTAGAAATCAGTGTATGTATGGTCAAGTATGGCCCATCTTTGGATCTGGACACAGAGCCTCCCAATTAGTATTCAGTTAGCATTTAGCTGTGCTGAATGAACATAGCTGAATAAAGCACTATAACATTATGCCTTGTTATCTTCTATTATAAAGTCTTATATGTCTATAGAATATTCTGGCCTTCCAATGAGCTTCAACATCCATGATTTCCTCTGCTCTTCACGTCAATCCTTAATCTGATCAGGTTGCAGGGCAGGCACATGTGGAATGAATGCACCTGTGTTGTAAGTGAGGAAACAGGCTCAGAGAGGGTAAAACTGGTACAAGTCACACACCTGTGAGTGGCATGGTAAGGCCTCCAGCCAAGCCTGCCGATTTCCAGGCCAGGGTTATTTTGCACATGCTACAGGAACTTCCTCACCTTTATGCCAGGTTCCCATCTGTGTGTGTGTGTGTGTGTGTGTGTGTGTGTGTGTGGATGCGCACACGCGCCCATTGGTGGCATGTGGCATGAAAGTGGATGGTACAAGGAGACTTCTACACAAGCAGACTTGTGTAGGAGAAGAAGTGGATGGCACAAAAAACAAATGTTTAATTAAATATGTATTAGGAAAAAAAATCAGCACATCAAGCCCATGGCATCTATTTCTGCTGCAGAAAAGGTTAGAACCACATTTTAAGTGAGTTGTTTGAAAGAAAAACATTAAGCAAATAATAGTAGTGGTAGCACAGAGACATGAAAAAGCTTCTGAATTACCTACTCAGATGACTGAAATATGAGAAACGCTGTTTTAAGTCTTTCTAGTTTATAGCGAGGATCCAGTGAAATAATCTTATGAAAGAGCTTTTGTAATAACAGACAAAATACTAAAATCATTATTGCATTTTTGTGTCGTCACCACTAGAACTTGTTTCCAGTATATCACCCCATTTTCAAACCAAGTCTTGGCATATTACTGGGTTCTTATAGCTATAGAATGTTAGACCACGGACACCAAGTGACCACACGTGGTTGAAAGAAAAGAAAAATATGTAAAATGAAATCTATAAATCCTCTATTTCTGGCTTAGTTTTACTCTTCATTATATGAGTCAATTTTAAGATGAATTCCCAAATTATCTGGAAAAAGTGATTAGGAGCTTTATAACGATAAACAATTCTCTGTCCAGGCTGTATTCAAAGTATAGTCTTTCACATCCACACAATAGAACTCTTTGCAGCCTCTAAATATAATGAGAGGCCAGGCAGTGGCTCACGCCTGTAATCCCAGCACTTTGGGAGGCTGAGGTGGGTGGATAAATTGAGATCAGGAGTTTGAGACCAGCCTGGCCAAAATGGCGAAAATCCTATCTCTACTAAAAATACAAAAATTAGCTAGCCATGGTGGTGTACATCTGTAATCCCAGCTACTCGTGAGGCTGAGGCAGGAGAATCGCTTGAACCCAGGAGGCGGAGGTTGCAGTGAGCTGAGATGGCACCACTGCACTCCAGCCTGGGTGACACAGCGAACTCTGTCTCAAAAATAAATAAATAGAGGGTTATATACTCATATTTGATATTAAATGAGATATTTGTGTTAAACGAGAAAAGCAGGTTTCGGAAGAGTAGAATAAGACATATTGATATGGCTGGGCACAGTGCCTCACACACCTGTAATCCCACCACTTTGGGAGGCTGAGGCAGGAGAATTGCTTGAACCCAGGAGTTCAAGACCAGCCTGGGCAACACAGTGAGACCCCTGTCTCTGTTTAAAAAAAAAAAAAAAAAAAGACACATTGATATGAGAAAGAAAGAGTATTTCTGAAAAATGTTCCTGAAAAGATTGACCCCTGGGTAATGAAATTTGTTTTACTTTTTTACTTTTACCTTGTCTATCACTTCACATTTTTCTATGATGAACAAAGAATACAAACTCAAGGAATAACATGCAAACTTGTAAAGCACACTTGTACACAAAATATGCCAATTCTGCTATAGTCAGACACTATTTTTTTGATGGCATCAGACATATGTATGTGTTGCAAGATGCTGGTTTCATGATAACATAGTAGCTGGAGACAATAGTAGAGGGACAGATGAAGCCCTATATACATGAAAGGCGTTTTGAGTGGGAACCAGGAGGGCTGGAGGACAGGACAGATGCTGAGCAGCGAGGCCTTGTTTGCTGTTGGCATTTGGGAGAGGTGGTTGGGAGGCTTGTGGGGGTTTACATCCTCCATCAAATTGAATGACATCTGAACTGGTTTCAAGGCCATTCCAGAAAAGTGTTGTTACAGAGTCTGCCTCATCTTCCCTGGGTTTTAGGATGAAATTTTTGTGAAATATCACAGAAGCAGCTTTGATTTGTGGTTTGGGATGGGTATATTTGCTTTGTCACTCTTCTTCTGTTTGTTTTCGCAGAATCACATCTTACTTAATTCCCTGGTTGTGCTTTTCAACAGGACATTTTACTTTCTGGTTGTCAGAAGTTATAAAACCCCTGAGCTGGAAAGCTTTTTGACAGGAGTTTCAAACGTAGGGGCCCCCTTTTTTTTCCAGTGGTTTTTTTTAAGCTTTGAGCAATATGTAGGCTGTGTGCATTCATTTGCATAAATGAAGGATTGGGAGGACACCCATCAACTGCTAACAGTATTTCTGTGAAGGGGTATGTAGCCGCATGGGGATGACAGAGGACTTTTCCTTTGTGTATGTGTATGTGTGTATATATATATATATATATATATATATATTTGTCAACCTCATTAAACAGGGATATCTGTATATTTCAAATATTGCTTTAAAAATGTATGTATTACTTTTATTACCTATTTTATATACATAAAAATATGTAAAATAAAATATGAAGCAAGTAGACTGGGATATTTCCATCTGTGGAAATTTCCCTGAATGTCTGTGTGTGGCAGGAGGGAGGTACACAGGCAGACAGTAAGGGAGAAAGTAGGCTCGGGTTTGAATTGCCTAAATAGACAGACTTTTAAACTGTTAAAATATTGACATTCTGGTTGTGTGGTTGAGGACTGGAACACACTCACCTGTGAGAGTCTGTCATCTTCCGAGGCATCCTTACCCCACTGCAAATAGCCAACATCACTGCGGGTCAGGACTCCATGTAGTGTTTCCTGAGACTTTCCTTCCTCACAGCCATTGAAGACATTGGGACTTGCTCTTCCAGTTAAAATCATGTTCAGAACTGCCTAGAGAGCATATTTTACAGATACTTATATTTTAGATAGCAATGAAACAATAACTTAATTTTTTCTCTTAAAAATCATTAAAAATTATTTTTAGTGAAAAGAATGAAATCACATGATACATATTTCAGGAAAAATATGTCCTAAATATTTGGTAGATTTAAAACAATCATTTATTAGCTTTTTTTCTTAAACCTTACCCCATAACTCCCTCTGTACCCCACTCTGATCTTACTGCCCGTCCTCCTTTTACAGTTCTTTTAAACGTTGTTTTCCATGGTTGTGATTTAAGAAGCATGAAGCTAAGATGTTTTTTAGCACTTTTTTTCAGTTATTAGGGATTCCTGGTGGGTCTTGTCAAGATATTTTCTACTGTTGCTAGGATCTCAGAGATGAAAGGCTCTCGGAGGTAAACTAAGGAGGACTGTTATGAAAATTAGACGGTAGATTTTGATGCAACCCAGGGTAGTGTCTTCATACTCTTTCAAAGATAACCGGATTGCTCTTTACTTAAGGAGAGAATATATTTAATTAGAAAACAATCCAAAATTCAGATTGCTTTTCTTTTTTTCTTTTTCAAACTCTGCATGTGGCATTCAACTAATTCAGATTCTACAATAGAAAGGCAGAGTCTTCCAGCTCACCTGCCTGCACAGAAAGCCTCCAGCATTTGGTTGTAGCAGCTGAGTGGTGGTGACATCTAGGTCCATTTGAAGCCTGCAGAGTGGGAGAAGCCATCAGCATCCAGTCAGAGACAGTGCACCGGGAGCCTGCAGCTTCTTTTCCCCCAAAACACAAAGCAGCAGTAACACGGGCTCTCCTAGTCACTGTTTCTCACTTGCACTTTTCCATCTCTCACAGGGAAAGCCTCTAGATCTGGGGTTGCAGAGGTGGATGCAATTGGGGAAAGTGAGTAATAAGTGGTAGGGGAGAAGGTACAGATGTCTCAAATGTTCGAATCCCTGTGTGTGTGCTCTGGGTGGATGCTGGACTCAGTAGAGAAGCTCTTTGTTCTATGTGACAAGGAATGCACTTGGCTCAGGGTGGTGACACATGACCACACTGCAGAGTGCTGGTTCAAGGCAGATCTCAACAGATTGTCCAAATGGAAAACACGGTTGTGGCCATTTCTTGGCTGAGCCCGTTTCTTGGCTGCAGAAGGGCAGCTTCCACTGTTATGTCAGGGGCCATGGTCTCACCCTTGACAATATAAGGTCAAGGTGGAATGTGGCTCCTGCTGTCACTTAGGGGGAATTGCCGCATACTAGTATGTGAACTGTATGTGTTCTTGAACAAATCTATTCATGGAACTGGAGCTTATGTCCTTCTGTGAATGAGACTTAAAGACTTGGGTCAAGCATGGTGAGTACCGTCGTGGCATCAGATACAACTCAGGATAATGCTTCTCAAAGGGTGGTATGATAGACTTGAACATTTTAGAATTTTAATAATGTTGTATTTATTTTAATACGTTTATCTTTAGCGTGGTACATGACTTAAAGGACATTAACGTTTAGGAAGAGCTTGATATTTAAATGTGTATTGATTTTATTTTTAATGTTAAGTGAATGATAACATACAGCATAAAATGTGATGGCGGTATATAAAAGACAAGCTTCAGGACCACTGCCGCAGGGTTGTAATCCTTCCCTCCTGAGAGACCTCTATTTCTGACTCTCCAAAGTTTACCTTTCTTTCAAGGTTCAGAAGAAAGTCCATTTCTTTCCTGAAGCCTTCCCTGACCACCCTGTCAGCAGAGGCCCCTTCCTCCTCTGGAGCCCACTGAGACTCATTCTCTTTACATCTCATTTGGCACATCAGATACCTCCTGGGACTTGCCCAGCATCTCTGTGTACACCCCTTGTCTTTCCCAGCCTGGACTCTGCAGGAGGACAGGGCCATATCTTCTCTTCTTTGTACTTTCCACTGTGCCAAGAACAGAGTTTTGCATATCATAGAGACAAAATACATATTTGAGGATATACCTTATCATGGATCTAAATAATAAAATGTATTTATTTATGAAACTTGTACAAACAAGCTTTGGTGTTGTCCACCAATATTTACAGCCACAAGAAGGAGGAACCTACTAGGGTATTGTAAGAACAGATTCAAACTTGACTGACGACATCCACTTGCCCATTAAGATGGCCAAACCAACTGTAGGAAAGGACGTGTCAACAAAAGAGAATCTACTAGAAAAAAACATTGCATTCATGTTTCCAATATGGAGATTTTTCAATACAAGAGTACATTGTTTATGTGATCCCAATCCTATAGAAAATACCTGTGTAAACATCTGTAGAATTTACCTTTCAAATGTTCTAGAGAAGATCAGGCTGTACAGAAACAGGATGACACCATGGCTTCCTTCCCCTCTGAACTGTTCGGAAAAGAAAAGAAAAGCATGTTGGTCTAAAAGCAACACAGACACGTGTATCTGTGGGTATGAATTCAAGGATTTACAGGCTGAGAGAATTTTTTCCCCCTGGCTGCTGAAAGGAATGAGCTCCTCTGCCTCCATAAGTCTTCCTACTCTAAAATTTGTTCTCTTTCCCTGCTTCATGCCTGTCAATGGTGCTGTCATTCTCTTGGCCCTCACCTTATCTTTTTGTCCTGCACTTCTACCATGTGATTCTCTTCAAACCTTGGCCAAGGTGTAGTATGTCCTTTCTAGCCCACTTCACTGCTGCTCTTTGCTGCCCTTGGCTGCCCTCTCCTTATCCAGCCTCTTCTCTCCTCATGTCCTTCCTCATTGCCCCGTTAAACTGAGGGAGATCAGAGAGGCTTTGTAGAACTCGCTTTGGAGTTATACACCTCGGTTCTACTGCTTTCTAACTCCTACTTACTAACTTCTTTGAGTTTCAATCCAATCCACAATCAAGGATAAAAAGAACTTTTCTCCAGGTTTATTGCAAAAGTTAAATGAAGTAATTAATTATTTGAACCTTCCTTGGTTCTTGGAATATGCTAGATCCACAGCAAAATTAATATGTGTCCCTCTCTAATGCACTTCTCCCCTGTCTTTTCTTGGACAGGTTTCTTTTCTGCTTAGAATTTTCTGAAGGTGCCTTGCAATCTCTAGGATCAAATCTAAACTACCTAATAAACATTCAGGGCTTCTCATCAGTTGGCTTTATTTAGCTTGATGACAACACTCTACTTGCTGACAAGTAGAATAGCTTCCCTGGCTGGCTTTCTAGGTGCAGAGTTAAAACATCTTCAAAGTCTTCTTTACGGAGACTTTTGCTAAAATGCATATGCTTTTCCCTTTATGGATTAATGTATCCGTTTTGCTATGTGTGACCTGACAGGGGCCAGGGCCCTCAGGTAGCAGAATAAATTCCAGTGCCATAGGAGCCAGATAGTTACTGAAATGAGTGAGAGAAATGGGGAGGGGTGAGGCCTGATGCAAACAGATGCTTTTATATATAGGTTTCCTATTGCTGCTGTAACAAAGTGCCACAGGCTTGGTGGCTTAAAACAACACGAATTTATTATCTCACCGTTCTGGAGGTTAAAAGTCCAATATGGGTCTCACTGTGCTAAAGTCAAAGTGCTCACAAACCAGTATTCCTTCTGGAAGCTTTTGGGGTAATTCTGTTTCCTTTCCTTTTCCAGCTTCTAGAAGTCACCCTCATTCCTTGGCTAGTGGCCCCACATCACATAACCCTCCTCCCTCTGCTTCCCTGGTCACATTTCTCTGACTCTCCTGCCTCCCGCTTTCCCTTATAAAGACCCTTTTGATTAATTGAGCCCATCTGGATAATCCAGGATAATGTCCCCCACCCACTCTCAAGATCTTTAACTTGATCATCTGCAAATCCCTTCAATCAGTTAGGTAACATAACAGTAGTCTCCCTTATCCATGGGTGATAAGTTCCATTATCCAGTGGATGCCTGAAACTACAGATAGTACCAAATCCTGTATATATGATGTTTCTTCCTATATATACATACCTATGAAAAAGTTTTACATTAGGCACAGTAATAGATTAACAACAATAATAATAGTGTAGAACATTTATAGCACTATACCAGGAGCACTATTCTTGTGTTTGGGTGTCATTATTAAGTAAAATAAGGGTTACGAAACACAGGCATTGCAGTACCACAACCTGACTGTCTGATAACAGAGAAGGCTACTGAGTGACTAATGGGTATGGAGCGTCTACAGTGTGGATCCACTGGACAAAGGGATTATTCACATCCCTGGTGGGATGGAGTGAGATGGTGAGATATTCCATCACACTGCTCAGAATAGCATGCAATTTAAAATGTATGAATTGCTTATTTCTGGAATTTTCTATTTAATATTTTTGGACCATAGTTGACCAGGGTAATGGAACCAGCAGAAAGCAAAACCAAGAATAAAGAGGGACTACTGTATTAATATGTTTCTGGGATTAGGATGTGGACATCATTCAGTCTATCAAAACTTGTCTAATGAGGGTAGCTGCCTCTTATGTCAGCTAATTGAGGACATTCAAGAATATAGGCCCTGTGTAGCCAGATTTTCTGATTTTTTGATAAAAGCCAAAAATCTAGGTTTTTATGTGGAATTTCCTGAATACTTCTGACATTCACTGATTCAAATTTGTAAAAAGCAACACTGTAGGCTAATGCTGCAGATCTCATATGACAGGTGTGTTTGTTTCCTGGGGTTGCCATAAAAGATTACAGAAAATCGAAAGGTTAAAACAATAGGAATGTATTCTCTCACAGTTTGGGAAGCTAGAAGTCTGAAATCAAGGTGTAAGAGTAGGGCCATTGCCAGGCGCGGTGGCTCACGCCTGTAATCCCAGCACTTTGGGAGGTTGAGGCGGGCGGATCACGAGGTCAGGAGATCGAGACCATCCTGGCTGACATGGTGAAACCCCGTCTCTACTAAAAATACAAAAAATTAGCCAGGCGTGGTGGCGGGCGCCTGTAGTCCCAGCTACTCGGAGGCTGAGGCAGGAGAATGGCATGAACCCGGGAGGCGGAGGTTGCAGTGAGCCGAGATCGCACCACTGTACTCCAGCCCGGGAGCCGGAGCAAGATTCCGTCTCAAAAAACAAAAGAGTAGGGCCATGCTCTCTCTGAAGGCCCTCGGGGAGAATCCTTCCTTGCATATTCCTGGTTTCTGGTGGTTGCCGCCATTCCTTGGCTTGGAGAAGCATCACTCTGGTCCCAGCTTCCATTATCACATGGTGTTCTTCCATGTGTTCAAATTTTTCCTTCTCTTGTAAAAGATACCAGCCACTGGATTAGGGCCCAACCTAACTGAGTCTGGCCTCATCTCAACTTGATTACATCTAAAAGACTTTATTTTCAATAAGATCCATATTCACAGGTACCAGGGGAGGGGGTCAGAACTTCAACATATCATTTTGGAGGGACACAGTTCAACCCATAACAAAAGATCTGCTGCTCACATGGAGCCCTCAGACCTCCATCTTGAGATCTCTGCCAAATGGAATGAGACACAGGATTGATGCATTTTGATAGTTGATGGGGGATTGGTAAAGTTCTGGATGGGGTGCTGATCACAATGTGCAACCCCGTCTCAGTGAGGTCCTTGAGAGGAATATATATACACCATCAAGCTCCCCTCACTCAGGAAATGGCACCAGCCCTTCCCTAGTGTGGCTAAGGTAATGTTTAGCTCTCATGCCAAGCCCACCTGTGTTGCAGAGTCCACTTCTGTGTAGGGCCTTGATTATTCCAGCTCAACCCTTAGTCTTTGACTGGGGAAGCCTGTGTATAGCTTCAGCTCTGATCCTCTGATCTCAACCGTGGCTACGTTTAAGAATTTCTTGCAGATATGGGTGGGTGGAGGGGGTTCTTCCTATGGCATAAGACTCTCCCAGATTTGAGTTGAGATGGAAGACAGGGAGGGGAGGGGTTTGCCTGTTTTTGCTGAAAGGGTCATTTCTTAAATGGATCCTCTATATCTGTGTAATCCCATTCAATGTCTCTTGCCCACAACAAAGAATCCCTAAGCAGGCTTCTAGCTCAACATTTCACGTCAGGTACTTAAAATCTATCATACAGGTTTTACTAGGCTCATATTGCTGCTGTAACAAATTACCATAAATTTAATAGCTTAAACACTACAGATTTATGATCTTACAGTTCTAGAAGTCAGAAGTCTGAAGTGGGTTTTAATGAGCTAAAATCAAGATGTCAGCAGGGCAGCTTCCCTTCTAGCAACGCGAGAGAAGAATCTGTTTCCTAGTCCTTACCAGTTTCTAAAGGCCCTGCCCACATTCCTTGGTTCATGGCTCTTCTCTTCCATCATCGAAGCGGATCCAAGCCCGCAAGGGCAGGGGGCACTCTTCTCCTATCACTTCTCTCTGACTTCCTCTTTTGCTTCCTCTTCCATATTAATGACCCTTGTGATTCCACCGGGCCCACCTGGGTCATCCAGGATCCTTCCCCTATTTTAAAGTCAGCTGACTAACAACCTTAATATCCCTTTGCCATATAGTGTAATATATTTACAAGTTCCGGGTATAGAGTTTGGACTTCTTTAGGGGGACTAGTCCTCTGCCTATCACACAAGTTAACAACAGACCTTGTTTAACTCATTCAACAGACATGAGATCACATTTCCCTGCTCCATGCAATGAACAGTTGTATCACTTCATGGTTATCCTGCTAATTTCCCTCTGCTTTCACATTGTAGGTTTCTGATTTTTCGGAAAATCAGCTTTTATTTCTTTCTACACAGAAGAGTCTTAAAAATGTCTTCCATTTTCTACCATCACTGCACCCTTCTTTGTCCCCTTTCCACCCTGGGGGTAGGGAAGAATCACTGCAGTGGAGGGCATTGTGTGGAAGGTGCTGATAGACAGGTGAAACAGGACCTTTTCAAGAAGCCAATTACTTGGAGTCAATGTGAATGGTCATTTTGGCAGCTTAGACAAGAACCTTATTTTATTTTATTTTTTCACCATTTTGTTTTTTATTCATTAGATGAGACAGGATTGCTTGCCACAAAAGAAATACTGGTATATACTCTCTAATGGATTATTCTCTGGTCTTGATTAACCAAAGAAAAAGATGCATTCGTGAGTGGGTCTGTGTGTGATCTGGCCTCTTTCTAGGTTGTGAGGAGGAAGAGGCAGATCTTTTTTGTTCTCTCATTCTGCCCTTTCTTAGCCCTCAAAATGACCTGGTTTTCTTAACAGGCATCATTAGAAATAGACTTTGTAAAAGGAAGAAGATCCCTGTAAGATCAGTCAACATAAAGGAATTATCTCAACACTTAAACACTTACACATAGTAAGTGATCGTAGATGAATTTCTCAGCGGCTTCTTTCTCTAAAAATTCAAACAGCTGGAGCTATAAATCAGGAACAGAAGATAAAAATGAAAAGGAAGATGAAAGTTACATCTAAGAGATGTCAACTCACTGTTATTACCACAAGTGGGTTTTTTGTTTCATTGCATAATCACATTACTAAAAACTGACATACTATCTTATGCAAGGCCATGCAAAACATAAACAGTGCAACTGGGTAGCTACCAGCATCACTTCTACATTCCTCAGTTTAAAATCATGTAATATCTTGAGCAGTAAAACTAGAAAGAGATTTTTTCCTAATAGGTGAAATTTAGCTGTCTTTCGGACAGTGGATATGGAAATATCATTTATGATTATTTCAGATGGGAGATATTCTTGGTCCTGGTGAATTCCATAGCAGGAATTTAAAACAGGACTCTTTGTTGTGTCTGCTTGGATCACTTACAGCCCTTGGTACCTGCCTCTTTGGAAGGCACCTCCGGTCACATCAGGAGCATGGATGGGGCCCCACCTGCATACACATGGTAAGTCTATTACATGCTCAGGCTTCACTGGCCTTTCATCTGCCAGGACAGGGAGAACTGCACTTACTCGCTCAGTGAAATTGTCCACAGAGTAGTCCGGAGTCGACGCAACGTAAATGTCCTCAGTGACAAGACAGATGGTGGCCTTCTGAGCTGCTCCTGCAGCCCACAGGATGCCAGCAAGCGCCGCGGCCAAGGCTTGCTCCTGCTCCTTCTTGCTTATTTCACATAAGCTATAATGCAGAAGGCAGGAGTAGGAAACCATTGGAATGAACATCACCTAGCCACAGAGATGGGAAGTAATTTGCTCCTGGTCATTGACCTTCAAAGTCAGAGAGCAGCGATTTACACCCAGCTCACCTGGCTCCAAAGTTCCTGCCCTTGACTTTTATACTGCATTGAATACACTCAGGGTCTGTCTAGCCTTCCCAAGAAGTGGGAGCCAGTCTTTACACAGTGGGAGACCTTTACTCTGCTTATTTCCCAAACATTTAACATTGAGAACTATAGTCTTTATAAAGAAACACGCGATAAAGATTTATTAATTAACTCAGCAATGATTTATACAATCCGTCTAGCTCTGTGGTGATACAGAAATGAGTAACAAAAGGTCAGGCACCGTGGCTCATGCCTGTAATCCCAGTACTTTAGGAGGCTGAGGCAGGTGGATAACTTGAGGTCAGGAGTTCAAGACCAGCTTGGCCAACATGGCGAAACCCCTTCTATACTTAAAATATAAAAATTAGCTGGGCATGGTGGCAGGCGCCTGTAGTCCCAGCTACTTGGGAGGCTGAGGCAGGAGAATGGTTTGAACCCGGGAGTCAGAGGTTGCAGTGAGCCGAGATCATGCCATTGTACTCCAGCCTGGGTGACAGAGTGAGACTCCATCTCAAAAAAAAAAAAAAAAAAAAAAAGTCAAGGAGCCTAATACTCCAAAACCATATGGCAAGATAGAATGAGAATAACAGAGTGCTATGAGAAAACACGGGAAATAGAGACACCTTGTGACTGGGGGGCTCAGGAAGGCTTCGTGCAGTGTGTCTACAGACGTAGTTACTTGTTCACATTTATTTAATATTTGCCATAGGCCAAGTACAGTGCTGTGCTAAGTGCCTTACCTTTATGTGGCAAATATATGTGTTCCATTTGAATTCCCTGTGATCCATTTTACTTAGGAGATGGACTCATCCTCCAGCTACTTTGGATACCGTGGCTCCCATTTTTCTACTTTCTCTGAAGGATTGAAGCCACCTTGCCCAGAAGTCACTGGGAGTTATGCCTCCTCCCTAAGGATGGCCCACAGCCAGTGCCTCATTGGAGCAAGAGGTACAGAAGCCCTGCTCCCTCATCTGAAGATGGGGCAGGCTCCGCAGTGCAATCCATGCACCCGAGCTCCCATGGCATCAGACTGACATTGCTGGAAGCCACAGTCTTCCTCAGCTTCTCCTTCCCTGTCCTGCTTCCCTCACTCCCTTATGGTTTTCTCCTGAGGGCACTCCCTTAATAAATCACTTGCGTCAAGAATCCACATCATGGGCTCTGCTTCTAGGGAAACTGGCAGTTCACAATCTTAGAATATATTATATATTTAGTTCCTCTTTGGGGGTAATAACTTTACCTGCCTGAGGGCAGAAGTATTTATATTTCCTCTAATATTTAGCACAGGGCTTTGCACATGATAGGGGTTTGTTAACTTCTAGGAATAAAGTAATTTGAATAAACTTGAGCTGATCTTTAAAAATAGGCAAAAACCAAACATCATACCTTATCAGCCTGGTTAAATAGGAGGATTGGCCGGGTGCAGTGGCTCACGCCTATAATCTCAGCACTTTGGGAGGCCGAGGTAGGCAAATCACCTGAGGTCAGGAGTTCGAGACCAGCCTGGCCAACATGGTGAAACCCTAGCTCTACTAAAAAAAAAAAAAAATACAAAAAATTAGCCGGGTGTAA
The DNA here is from genome assembly GCF_000001405.40 of Homo sapiens. Classification (NCBI taxonomy): domain Eukaryota; kingdom Metazoa; phylum Chordata; class Mammalia; order Primates; family Hominidae; genus Homo; species Homo sapiens. Next base: position 150,892,821 of record NC_000003.12, read on the forward strand.
TCCCAGCTACTCAGGAGGCCGAGGCAGGAGAATCACTTGAACCTGGGAGGCGGAGGTTGCAGTGAGCCGAGATCATGCCATTGCACTCCAGCCTTGGGGACAAGAGTGAGACTTTGTTGCAAAAAAAAAAAAAATGGAGGATTGATCATTTATGGGGTTTTTATATCACCCCTTTGTTCCTCCCTAATTATTAGGTTAGAGCTTTCCATCAAATATGGACAAGTAGGCCCACCTGAGACCTGCTGCTTAATTCTACCTGACAGAGTGGTCTGCAGTAGAGCATAAAACCTGTCAACATTATCCCTGCAAATGAACATTCAGAATGACTCCAGCAGAGCCCTTCCCAGTGGCAGAATCCAGCCTCTCTGGGACAGACAGGGCCATTTCTGTCTTAGGAGGTAGATTTCCTTTCTGAGACAACCTGAATTTTTCAGTTATGATTATTTAGCATATCAAGATTCTAGTGAAATGGGTAATTCAAGTACTTCTCACAGTCCTCTTACTTGCCAAGGTTACAGTCTTTTCCTTTCCTGGTAAACAACAAGTATTTGATGATGGATCCTTGCACAGCCATCTGAATGCTTCGGGCCCCTCCCTGAAATGAGGAGAATGAATGACGAGGTGAAGAACTCTTGGAAATTAATGTTATCTATTCTTCTCTGCAGGCTTTTCCCTCCTGGTATCCCCCAGAGCTTTGTGAAGGGACACCATGCTATATTTGTGCCACTCCTCCCTGCAGCCGTGGCTGGTGCTGTGGCTGGGCTGGATTCTGCAATGCCTAGCATCTTTGTGGAGACCTGTGGACTGGTGACTGGGGATGTATGGCTTCCTCCATCTTGCCTTCACCATGTCCCTGCTTCATAGTAGTTTTTTTTTGGGGGGGGGGGTGGGGTGCAGTCTTGCTCTGTCTCCCAGGCTGGAGTGCAGTGGCCTGCCCTCATCTCACTGCAACTTCCACCCCCTGGGTTCAAGCAATTCTCCTACCTTAGCCTCCCGAGTAGCTAGGATTACAGGTGTGCACCACCATACCCAGCTAATTTTTGTATTTTTAGAGGAGACAGGGTTTCACCATGTTGGCCAGGCTGATCTTGAACTCCTGACTTCAGGTGATCCACCTGCCTCAGCCTCCCAAACAGCTGGGATTACAGGTGTGAGCCACTGCACCCAGCCCATATCAGATTTTTAGATTTGTTACAAAGTAATTTTAAATAGTCTGTTATCATTTAAGGTTAAACTTTACATTATAAATATATTTCTACACATGATTATAATGAAGACATGCATTTACATGGATGTGGACAGGAAGGATATATGGATAAGGAACATGGGAATAAGGTTTTTTAAAAATTATAAACTGGCTATTACCTTTCCCACTTCCAGAGTGAAAGCTAGTTCAGAAGAAGGATCATGGAACCTGAAATAGGCCTTTTTCCAGTTATAGCTAAAGACATGGACTGTGTTTCCAAACAGGATCTGCCGCAGCTTCTGAAAAGAGGGGAAAGAAATGATTCAACAAAAGAGAATTCTTCCTAGACATATTCCTCATGGTGGCCTCATGGCCACCTCAAGGAGGTGGGCCTCGTTCCCTTCTACATTCAGGTTTACATATTACTCTAGTCCCTGATTTTAATTGTCTGAACTCCTGAGCAGAAGATGTCTAGACAACGTTTGTCCCTCGTGTCTCTCCTTCCTTTGCCAGGCATCTACTTTGCAGTTCACCGTGGCTGCTCTGTGTCTACAGCTCTTGCCCCATACCCATGACTTGTAACCCCTGCCTCTCCCATCTTTGAGCTTTTGTCTCTCACTCCAGAAAAAAGGAACAGTCAGGATCTCATGTTTCCAGCCTGGTACAGTAGCGATTTAAACAAGCATTCTCTCTGTCCCAGGGTCTTTGAGGTTTTCCTATACTCTGCAGCACGTTGAGATTCAAGAGGATGTTTTACAGCTTCCCAGAAAAATGGGAACAAGACTTTTTATAAACCAAATGTATGAAAAAAAGGGAATCTATTCAAAATCAAAGACTGATTGATCATTTAGCATGTACTCGATCTTGTGTGGGATATAGTTATGTAAAAAGTCTAACACCCCACAGCTATGTACAAGACAGAACATGTGACTTTCCATAAGATAAGTAAAAAGTACTATGAGAAAACAGAGGGAGGAGAGAGAACTTCTGACTGAAGTACTCAGGAAGGCTTCATGGAAGAACTGGCATTTGAATGAGGCTGGTCAATGGCATCTAGCATTTACTGAGCATTTTCTATGAACCAGGCTCTGGGATAAGTGCTTCCCATTTATTCCCTTCATTTAATTTTATGCAGTTGGTGCTATTATCCAGCTTTTATCCAGATGAGGGAACCGAGACCCAAATAAGTTAGAGTATTTGCCTTTGTTCACCCAGTTAGTAGACACAGCTGGGTTTTTACCCATTCTCTTAACACCTGCCCTACTTTAATCATGTAAGTATCATCCTTATGATTTCTATCATTTTTGTATACCAACCATTATCTAATTAATACTTCAGGAGGCTGAAGATAGGGCCCCAATCTGTTCTAGCTTGTAGGATTTCTGCTGAGAAATCTGCTGTTAATATGATAGGTTTTCCTTCATAGGTTACTTGGTGCTTTGGTCTCACAGCTCTTTTTTTTGTTTTGTTTTGTTTTGAGACAGAGTCTCGCTCTGCTGCCCAGGCTGGAGTACGCTGTCACGATCTTGGCTCACTGCAACCTCAGCCTCTGGGTTCAAGTGATTCTCCTGCCTCAGTCTCCTGAGTAGCTGGGATTATAGGTGTGTGCCACAACACCTGGCTCATTTTTGTGTTTTTAGTAGAGACAGGGTTTCACCCTGTTGGCCAGCCTGTTCTTGAACTACTGACCTCAGGTGATCTGCCGGTCTTGGCCTCCCAAAGTGCTGGGATTACAGGCATGAGCCACCACACCTGGCCTTGTCTCACAGCTCTTAAGATTCTTTCCTTCATCTTAACTTTAGATAACCTGATGACAGTGTTCCTAGGTGATGATTTTTTTGCAATGAATTTCCCAGGTGTTTGTGCTTCTTGTATTTTGATGTCTAGGTCTCTTGCAAGGCTGGGGAAGTTTTCCTCTATTATTCCCCCAAATATGTTTTCCAAACTTTTAGATTCCTCTTCTTTCTGATTATTCTTAGAATAATAGAAGAATGCTGATTATTCTTAGGCTTGGTCATTTAACATAATCCCAGACTTCTTGGAGGCTTTGTTCATATTTTCGGATTCTTTTTTCTTTGTCTTTGTTGAATTGGGTTAATTTGAAGACCTTGTCTTCGAGCTCCAAATTTCCTTCTTCTACTTGTTCAATTCTGTTGCTGAGACTTTCCAGAGCATTTTGCATTTCTAGAAGTGTGTCCACTGTTTCTTGAAGTTTTGATTGTTTTTTATTTATGTTATCTTTTTCCTTGAATATTTCTCCCTTCACTTCTTATATCCTTTTTTGGATTTCCTTACATTGGGCTTCACCTTTCCCTGGTGCCTCCCTGATTAGCTTAATAACCAACGTCCTGAATCCTTTTTCAGGTAAATCAGGGATTTATTCTCAGTTTGGGTCCATTGCTGGTGAGCTAGTGTAACTTTCTGGTGGGGGAAGGGGGGCATTAAAAAACCTTGTTTTGCCATATTACCAGAGTTGGTTTTCTTGTTCTTTCTCATTTGGGTAGGCTCTGTCAGAAGGAAAGTCTAGGGCTGAAGGCTGTTGTTCAGATTCTTTTGTCCCACGGGGCGTTCCCTTGATATAGTACTCTCCCCTTTTCCTATGGATGTGGCTTCCTGAGAGCTGCAGTGATTGTTATCTCTCTTCTGGATCTAGCCACCTAGCAAGCCTACCAGGCTCCTGGCCAGTACTGAGGGTTGCCTGCACAAAAGTCCTGTGATGTGAACCGTCTGTGAGTGTCTCAGCCATGGATACCAGCACCTGTTCTGGTGGAGGTGGCAGGGGGGTGAAATCTATCTAATTAATACTTTTCACCAGCTTGGGACACATTTTGTAACTTGGAATCTATTTATTTAAGAAGGACACTTTACATAACTTCCTTCAATGGAAATCAAAATCATTTGCCACACATGATAAAAATATAATGAAAATGAAACAATGCTACAAATTACAGCTAGAAACTGCTGCCTGTGAAAGCTCTGACTGGGCCTTAAAAGGGAGGTAAGAAGTATTAAAGAGGTGTGAATGTGTACTGCCCTTTACTGTACTGTCCTTTTCTCTGACCTGTCAGAGTGGACAAGGGGATCACTTTCTCACTAGGTAACTCAAGGATATGTAACACGTTACTTAATGCCATATCCCTAGAAGCACCCCTTGCTCCAGCACAGACACACATCTCACACTCTGGAACATGCCACACACCAGCCTGTTACCTGTAACAGAGGGGAGACTAGACAGAGAGAAAGATCTACAAACATGCACACATCAGTACCTGGGGTGTCCCTAGATGAGGAGTAAGTGTTCAATGTGACTGGAACTGTGTGTGTGTGTGTGTGTGTGTGTGTGTGTGTGTGTGTGTGTGTGTAGGCCAAGGGGTAGGAAGAAGAGTAGAAGCTCAGATTGCAAAGTACCCTGGGCCTGATCCTGGATAACTTTGAATATCATATTCAGGCACTTGCAGCCAGTCAAAGAGTGTGGACAAACGGAGCGTGGAGCTCAATGGGCCCAGAGCTGAGGTGCCTCTTCCCAGCTGTGCATGGAGCAGGCCCTGAGAGTAGGCTCTACTGGTTTCTAAAAAGGAAAGACGTGGGAGAAGCATGCATCTGTAATGTTCTTCCTATGTTGGCCCAGGGGCCGGTTTAAGGTTAGAATTTATTTCCCGGCCATCTCTACTTCCACCCTCAAAAGAAAAGGTTGTCTCTACTGAGAAAAGGGGGCAGGTGCACTTCAGGGTGAGCAAGGACCCACTTGAAGAAAAACTATGTGTTCTCTGTCTCAATGCAATAGCACTTCAAGGAGAGGCAGCGAACAGGCACAGAGGCTGCTCTGGAAGACACAGACTTGGTGTGTGCTATGGTCAAAGAGAGCCCTAGACCCAGAACATCCCCAGGACAGGCATTGAAAACTAATGGAAAATGTTTCCCTGACATTGAGATTGCACAGCACAGAAAGACTGCTCCCAACTCAAGGGCAAAGAAGCCCCAGTTCTGCTCCTTACCAACCATGTGAACTTGGACAAATTACTGAACCTCTCTAAGACTTAATTTACTTATCCAGAAATGGGGTAACCCCTGCTTGGTCCACATCCTGGCTATTGTTGAAAGAGAAGCATGGCAAAGGGCTTTGGGAACCATAAGTGCTAAGTAAATGTAGGGTGTTATTACCTTTGTGAAAACACAGCCTGTCTATGCAGGAACATCTTGTGCCGTATGGAAGAAAGTCCCAACACAGATGGAAAAAGACCAGAGACTGGCAGCAATAAGAGAGGAAAAGCTGTGTATAAATGTGGAAGATTAAGACCGTTGAGACTAAGAAGGCTTAGAATTTAAATTCAATTTTAAAAGTTCTGCAAGCCAAACCACACTCTTATTTCTGTTGCCAGTTCCCACCTCCAACTTAGAAGCTTCTCTCTCCAGCTGTCCCTCTGAGGAGGTCTAAAAACAGAGGGGCTGCAGTTCTCTCTGGCCAGGCCCCGTTGGCCAGTGTGACAAAGATGACCCAACTTACTTGTGTAACATTTACTTTCCAATATCAGATATTATTTATAATGAGATTAACCTGACACATAATTACATGTGCTGTTGTGCTGTCTAGTAACTAGAAACAGATGGTAAATGGTCCTCATAAGTGGCTGCCATGATTATTATTAACATAATCAAGCATGGTTTATAGTTTTTCTCTTTGTGCTTTGCTAGTATTCTATATTTGTGAAGAATTCCTTTCTTTCCTGGCACTTTGTTCCATTTGATTGCTATGATGACAGTGATGGTGATCATCATTTAGACACACACATTTTATACACACATTCAAAGATAGAGGCCCTGAATCATTCTTTCCAACAGGGTTAATGTTCTTACCCTGACTGCCTTGTACTTTGTCCCGGGTTTAGAGCTTCCCTGTGACCACCTGCCCACCCCTAACTTGAGGTAGACTAATCCTCTTTAAAGCTCCTTCCCTAAATCTCTTCTTGCCTTATGAATTACTAGACCATCATGGAATCAGAGATTCCAAGATGTTCTAAGAAGACATTTCTATCCTAGACCAACTAACAGAGTAGTAGACTCTTGGTTCTATCATGTTTGCCATCAATTTCTTAGCATCTGGCATAGTGCCTGGTATGTAGTAGGCTCAAAATAGGTATCTGTTGAAGTTTTAAAGTTCTAATTTGGCTCTTTCATTTTACAGTGAAAGGACTAGAGGCCTAGGTCAGCTAAATGGCACATGTAAGGTCATGTATATAGTAAATGGCAGTGCCAGGACCCAAATGCAAGCCTTTCAACTTGTACCAGCCAGCGTCCCAGCAGGAAACAGATGGCATTCTCAAGTCAGATAATTAATTTGAGGAACATTTAAGACAGAGACTATTTATAAAGATGTGGGCTCGGTGTGGGGACACCACAATGGCTAATGCAGTGTCCCAGCAACAGTGGGAAGTCATTATGACCCCTAGACCTGAAGGAGCACACAAAGGAATGGTGACTTGAACCAGAAAGGAGAGAGTCCTGGGGAGAGGACTGCCATGAGAGGAGAGGGACTCAGCTAGCCACGAGCAACCTGACTTCACTTCCCTTCCCTCCCTTCAGTTTCCTTTCAGGGCTCCCCATTGCTCAAACTCAACAGGAAGCCAGAGGAGGGGGGCACCCTGCTGATGGAGGTCAGTCTTGCTACAGGTCAGCCTCTCTACTGGGCAGAGGGTAGGTCGGAGAAGAGTGGACCATGCATCTGGAGGGGCACACAAAGGACACCCCTACTCTAGTCTGAGGTGCGCTAGAGGATTATCCAGAGGCACTGAATTCATTAACTCACACCTGTCGAGACCCATCTATGAGCTAGACCTTATGGGGGGACACCCGGCTGTGCTTCCTTCCAAAAAGCACACCCTGCCTATTATCCCATTTCAGAGCTTCATTCATTTGAGTCTCTCCAGAATATTTTGGTCTCTTGGTATTACATTTTTACTATGATTCTTCTGGATGATATTGCAGCTACAGAAATGTGTTCAAGGCTGAGTCCAGAAAAGGGCCTGGGAGTGGGAGAAGGTGGGAAACTGCCACTGGAGAGAAGGAAGGTCATTAGGTGGGGCTGGTGGAATAGCCTGGAGGCGATGCTCACCTTTCCCACGATTTCACCTGAGCCAGCAGCCTTGGCCAGAGTTTGTTCCAACACATATGTTCAAAGATGTCAGGCTGGAGGAAGGAAGAAAGCTGTAGTATTGGAAAGAGGACAGCAAAAGGTGAGAAACAGGAGAGCTAAGGAAAGCAAAGGTGCGTAGGGTGCTTTACCCAACCTCCACTTTCAGAGAAGATTCCCAGCAAAGAGACAGTGTGTGCCAATGTCAGGAAATGCCATGCATCCGTAATCCAAACAGAGAAGAGAAAAGAATAGCAGAATGACAACAAAAGGATTTCTGGAGTGGTATTAGGATTCAATAGCTCTGACAATTTGCCAGGTGGCTGCACTGCTGAAACATCGATTAGAATTGGTCAAGCTTCCAAACTGCCTCCCTAGAACAAGCATATTTAGAATCCCAAGCTTGTCATCCTGAATTCCCAGGATGTGTTTAATTAATGCTACTGCTATTTAAAGGACTCATGATCATCTGGCCCATATAATGGGAATAAATCCAAATTTATTTTTTTTTAAAGAAAAATCAATTATCTCTATTTCTGGGACTTTCTTAACACCCTATCAACTTCATTTCTAAATCTTTTGTCTCCTAGCTTTTTCCAAAGGGAGAACATTACCTTGGCATAGTCATGGGGCGGTCCCCAGTTGCTTCATGTTTGTGTTTGTAGATAAGTGGGAATATTCAGACTCAGAGTTTCTCGCCTCCCCAGTACAGAGAAAGACTAGAAGATTTTGCAAATGTCTGTGAATGCTTTTTCTATTTTTAAAATTTGTGTGTGTGTTTAAAAAATAGTATATTCATGTGGTTCAAAATCCAGAGAGACAAAAAGGTATGTGGTGAAGACTCCCTGCCATCCACGTCTCCCTTGTACCCACTGTTGTGTTTTAGGAAGCCTTCTGGAATTACTTCTTTTACAGGCAAGTATCAATATAGAATCATAATTGTCTCTCATTTTCACATAAAAGGTAGCCTATTTTTCAGATACGTGTAAATTTTAAAATGACATTCTCTAAAGAAATTCATTGCAGAAGCCAAGAATACATTTTTATTAAAGTTTTTCATTAAAAACATTTCCTTGTCAAGTAAAATGCAGATAGTTGCTCTAACTTCTGGTCTATACCACAGTGTAGGCAGCAGAATCACTGAGGGCTGGGGGCCCTGGCAAGGATTACATATTATCTATCTTCGTTGCTTGAAAGGACAGCGATTAAGTATCTATATAAGATACAAGTTAAGGCTCCATCCAGAGGCTTGAAGGCCAGTGAGCTGAGTGCAGTGTTCCGGGAGCTCTGCATACCTGCCCATCTTCCTGTGGCTTCAGGCATCTGAGCAAAAAGAGGAAAGCAAGGTGGATTGAGGCAGATAGATTTTCTTTCTTTTCTTTTCTTTTCTTTTTTTTTTTTTTTTTTTGACAGAGTCTCACTCTGTTGCCCAGGCTGGAGTACAGTTGCGGGATCATGGCTAACTGCAACCTCTGCGTCCTGGGTTCAAGCGATTCTCCTGCCTCAGCTTCCTGAGTAGCTGGGACTACAGGATGTGCCACCATGCCTGGCTAATTTTTGTACTTTTAGTAGAGATGGGGTTTTGCCATGTTGGCCAGGCTGGTCTTGAACTCCTGGCCTGAAGCAATCCCCCTGCCTCAGCCTCCCAAAGTGCTGGGATTCCAGATGTGAGCCACCATGCCCGGCCAAGGCAGATAGATTTTCGACAACGAGAAAGAGCAAGTGAGGCCTCCCAGTGCATCTGTACTGCAAGTGTGATGGTGGAGAAAGTTATTTGGTGAAGCCTGGGAGGTTTTGTATGATAAAAACGAATCCAGGGGCTGTGTGGTCCCTGCATCTGATTGTGTCCTGTCTCGGGGAGCTTAAGGAAAGGTTATATCGAAGCTGGAAATACCGCAGTCAGGGTCACCAGCCTTCATTCTCAAAAAGCAGACGGAAACTCTGTGTTAGGCTTCATGTGGTTTCCCCGGAAGAAGTTTTAGTCCCCACTCATCCTCTCAGCTGGGATCTTGTGTGCAGTGCACAAACTGTGCAACTCGATGTACATGGCAGGCCTGACTGCAGGGCCAGTGTTGCTGGTCTTTGCCCAGATGCCTAGGCTGGTCCTGGGTTGTTTCTACAAACATCCATGTGTGACAGCATGTCCTCAGGAAGAAGGTCCCTCTTCCAACTCTCATTCTTAAGGCCCTGAGTAGAGGTCCCTGCCTGAGCTTCTAGGATGTAATGTGGAGGTTTAGAAGATAGGGTGATGATGGGGAAATTGTCTTGAGAAGTCCCGAGTTTCATTATGATTTCAAGGGCTACACTGGAGGGCAATCCAATGGGAGGGGCATCTCAGCCTCTCTGGTACTTTTACCTTGGCTTGACCCTTGCCTCTGCTTCCCAAGTTTCCAATGGCATCTTTTTGACCATGACAGCTGGTCCTTTGGACATTTGCCAAGGCACTACCTCCAGCTTTGGCCTATTTGACCCAATGAGATGCCTTTAGTTTTGCCTCCTGGCTGGATCTCTGCCTCAGCCCCTTGCCCCCACCCTGGTGAAGTCTTGAATTGAGCAAATGGTCCCCGGGACCAATAGCTTACAGATCCTGGTGATTTGGATCCTGAAATGTCATGTTCTTTTCAAATCTGCATATTAATTGGTAGCCCCAGAAAACTGTTTCTTTCTTGAGATTAGCTACCTGCCCAGGACATGGCCTGACAAGTTTCCCCAGCTCTCTCCCTCCTGCATGCATACAGGTGGGGTACTTTCTTACACATCTACATTGTCTTACGCATTTGCAGCGCTCCACAGTCTGCCACTTAGAGAGTCTGTCCTATCCTACCTTCTATAGTGAGTTATTTGAATGTAACTCACTCCCTCAAATTTCACTGTCAAATTGAAGAAGTGAATAAAGAGAGACTCAGAGTTTGGGAGGAAAGGGCTGTACTGCCACAAGTGTCCTTGAAGAATACCATAAATAAGTCATTTTAATTATATTCTCCTTTTACCAATAACAACCATCTGTAGTCTTATCTTCAATATACTCTCACATGGCAGGAGATAAGATTCCCCAGCCTTGTTGTTTTGGGAAGATTACGTTTCATTTCATGTTTAATTGACAAGCTATACTTACCGTGGCCATTGCTAGGGAGATAGGAAAGCCACCCAATTTTGAAGAGATGATAGAGGGGTTGGGAATAGAACAAAGGCCACTTGATGGCAAATGTCCTTGTCCTTTGGGCTGAGATAGTCCTGTTCCATCTTCATTTTCATCAGCAGATGTATGGTTGCCTTCATGATTCTGTGCAAATATCACCCCCACAAAAGACAAAGCAAACAGAGCTGGTGATGACCTTGTTTTAAATTTTCTCTTTTTCTCTCTGAAATACCAGTGTTCAGAAAATGTTGTCTCACTTTTAAAGACGTCTGAAAATTGTGATAAATAGCAATAAAAGAGGCAGAAAAATCCCAGTGTCTGTGTCAAAGGGGTTTCTCATAAGGGTTTATATGACTTGGAGAGGTTAAATGTAACTATGGAAACATAATTAATGCCATCAAGACCTTGACTTGAAATTATGTTTAGAGAAGAATGTAAATGTCACTGTCTCTTGTTTTGAGAAGACAACATTTTATAAACTTTGAACGAATCTTTCCAGTTTACACAAAGTGTTTCTCATTACATTGTTAACTGGCCAATAAATGAAGTCAGATTATCTCTTTTTAATTCTTTCAGATTCCTACTCCCCAACAAGTGAGTATAATCGTTCTTTTTCCTTAAAAAAAATCCACCGTCTACCTTTAAAAAAATTTCTTTTCGCTTTTCTTGACTGATTCTCATGACATGTCACTGTAAGTTAGCATCAGCTCTTCTTCAAATTTACTTAGCTTATATACTAATGTTGTGCAACAAATCTGTCCTATTGGTGGCTGAAACATGAGGGAAACCACCTTCTTAGTTTTTCTGTATTCCTAGAGGCAAAGATTCTTTCTTATCTCAGAAGCACAGCATTCAAATCACGGACTACTGATCAGCTAAGATGCATTTTGTAAATCAAATGGAAAATCTTTACATTTGTGCCAATGGGTTTTTCCCACCGTGTGTAAAGCATAACTTGACTTTTTTTTCTTTTAAAGATTGTTTTATCTTTTGAATGTTCTATCCCCCCAAATGATAGATATCTCCATTTAATACTTCCAAGACTAAAATAGAAGCATTATTGCTCTGATTCTAATTTAGACTGTGGTTAAGAGAGTTTTAGCATAAATAAGACTTTTGATCATAGGCTACTTGGGGCGAGAAGCTTTAGCATTATAGTTAAAATATTAATGATTCAATTGCTTGATCATATATACTAGTACCATGAAAACCACCTTAATATTTTATGCTGTGTTTGCTCAGTGATTGAAGTAATACCTGAAATACAAAGTCCATTACCTTCTAACCTTTTCAGTTTACATGAGGTACAAACATCTTTCATCTTATATTGTATATCAGATTTTAAAATACCTTTTTAGCACCAGAATTCAGTCATCTTTCTCTTATTTTAAAATGGTAAAGGAAAATGATTTTTCACAAGCTGAATAAAGACGATAACTATTTTCAAAACTGCTTTTCTTCAGGGACACAGAAGCACTTGGTTGTCAGAATCCAGTGTTATTTCACAAATGTGGGAACTTTCGATTTTAATATTACCTTTTTTCCTAAAATAATAACCATATGATGCTCTTAATGATACAAACATAGCTCTTAGAAGTAGAAAGAGAAATCCATAAAAAAGCACAAGAAAAAAATCTTCGACAGGCTTTCTAGTTTTATGTTTTCACGCGTTAAATGCCAGTGCCTGAGTGACATTATGTGCAAAGAATAAATGCAGATTATGCTGTTAATGTGATTGTTTGAAGAAGCAACTAAAGGAGAACACACTGGCTTTGGGAAAAGTAATTACCTGAGGAGTTGAATTATTGGTTCCCAACCTTTAAATGAAAGAGAAAACATCAAGTAAATTACTCACTCTCTTCAAACCTCACATCCACAAACCTCCCAAACCCCAACCTTGCTAGGGAAGTCTCTGTCCACGAATAGTTATGCCTGAAGCATTTTAAAGGTAAATCTATAAAGGAAATTTCTCATGTTGCAAGCTTATAAGTTGATTACTTAAACACGGAAAATTCCTTTGTTTCTAAAGAAATGAGAGAATGAGAACACCTTACCTGTGATAACTAAAGATTTCCCTCCATTTGTCAAGGAATGAAATTTTCCTTGAGATCTCCTCTAAATCCAGCTGTTCGGAGCTTTGTTCCTGGCCCAAGACCTCCATATCCATTTGGATAATGGGAGGAACTGAAAACGGGAAGTTCTTATGATGGGAGAGAGAGGTCGGGCTGTGGAGAAGCAAGTGAGGTGGCTGAAACAGATGGCTAGAGGAAGTGTGCCACCCCTACTTTGACCAGCAAAGAGATCACTCCACACAATTGCTGCTCTGAGCGCACTGTAAGCCCCTGCTATCAGATCATGATTAAACTTTCATTAGAGGTAAAATAGTCTGTGTATTTTTGTTCACTATATAGGGACCATGAATGTTTAATTTAAGACATAGATTTATAAACAAAGGGATTGCAATTATCTGTATCAAAGCAATTGGGATAATTTAATTGGTGAGAGATACTATGCTGGTGGTGGAATGTGATAGTTTTTTATGCTGTAATGCCTTCTTGGAAGTGTTTGTGGAGCAGAAATACATAGCCAAAAGTGAGTAAAAACCATCCTGCTGACATCAGAAAACTTTATCAACTACCGTTGGATAATATATAGGCCAAAAAAGACACTGGCCAACTGGCATTTGCTGTAGAGTTTAGTACACAGAAATCTTGCACAGTTGAAGAACTGGTCTGATTTGTTTCAGGGAGAAATCCAAAAGTTATATCATTATATCTCTTCTTGTTGGCTTAGTGAATTATAGCTGCAGTCACTGATATAATAAAGAATATTGATGGTTTTGATGATTAATTTTATGTGTCAACTTGGCTAGGCTGAGTTGCCTACATGGTACTCATGTAAACACCAATCTAGATGTTGCTATGAAGGTCTTTTTTAAAAGATATGATTAACATTTATATCCGTTGACTTTGAATAAAGCCAATTACCCTTTGCAATGTGGATGGACCTTATCTCATCAGTTGAAGGCCTTAAAATGGTCCCCCAAGGAAGAAGGAATGCTTCAGACAGGCTTTGGACTCAAGACTGAAACATCAGCTCTTCCCTGGGACTGCAGACTGCTGGTCTGCCCTGCAATTTAAATTTTTTGACTTGCCAGCCCTCACAACTGCATGACTGCCCTCACAATTGTCTATATGTATGTGTGTGTCTATATGTTGCCTATTGGCTCCATGTCTCTGGAGAACCCTAATATAATGTTGTTTATCAAAAACAATACTGGTTACCAGTAAAAGTTTTCTCTTGCTCCTTCTGACTTGGTTGAATATAAATCTTGAACCTCTTCAATAGGAGGTCATTTTCTCTATAAACATTTCTAATCATGAGTTATATAAAATCCTGGGAATGCTAAGAGGTCAAGACAAAGAGGCTATGTGGATTTATTGTGACTAGAGTGGTCAGGGTTGAGAGGACTGGTTATTTATAATGTTGCAAAGACCTTGAAACGTAGCCAGGCACCAAAGAAACCAGAGGTGGGTTTAGGTGTCCACAGTCTTGCTTAGGAGTGCTCCACCACCAGTTTCTTCAACTAATTTTTGGTGGTGGTTTAACTACCTGATTTCCACAGGTCTCAGAAATGTTCATCAGATTTACTATTTTTGTTATAAACATAAGAGGCCGAAATAAATCATTTTTTATTTCCCTTCACTAACCATAAAACCTTTTTTTTTTTTAAAAAAAAGACACTTCACTACTGTTTTCCTGTTTATAGTTTTATAATTTTAATAGTGGCATCAGTATTAATATTTATTGGGCACCCACAGTGTAGAAAAAAATAAGAAATGACATAATTCTTGTTCTCAAATAATATGATGAGAAATGTTCCGGAATTTCCTATTTAAAAAATCATATTAAAAAATAAATTCTGGATCCGCCATTTAAATTATTTAACAACCCAAAACCAGAAGAGGGGAGCAGCTAAGGAAACTATTTTTTAAAGACTCATTATTAAATCTGTGTATTTTTGGCTACATCTGTGCCCTAATTTACAGAGAATTCTGTAAAGGTAGAAGCATAAATCCCAATGATTAGATAACTTACCAATAAACCATCCTGTTGAGTTCAGTAAATGTATTTTGACTCTTCCCTACACACCAGGGACTTGGAGGTTCCAAGGTGAACCAGATGTGGTTCCTGCTCTTCCTAGTGCAAGAAATAGACACGCAGCGAGGAAAATGCAGTGGAACAGCGGGAGCACAGGGGATGGGCAAGACAGCAGGGTGGTTAAGAGCATGGGCTCTGGGCCCAAACTGCTTAGTTCTGAATCATGGTTTCACCTCTTACTTGCTATATCACCTTAGACAGTTTATGTAATCTCTCTATGCCTCAGTTTATTCATCTATGAAATGGGGATGATTTCATATCTTTACCATATTGAGACTTCTATGAACATTGTATATCACTATTTGTTTAGATCTTATTTGTCTTCCCATTGTTTATTTAGACTTAATCCCCAGGAGTGAAATGACTGAATCAGATAATGTGGTCATTTAAAGACATTTGACACAAATTACCAGGGTTCAACACTGTTTGTGATCATCTCTTGCCCAGCCCTCTTATTACTTTTATCCCAGGGTGGAATTCATGATCTCACTTTTCAATAAAGAAAGTGCTGTCTTTCCTTCCCCCACCTTTCTCTCCTCTTTCAGTTAGGTCCTCCATATGGAAAGGGCTGGTCTCTGGAATACACCAAGGTTTAAGAATGCAATTCAGCCACATCCAGAGAAAAGCACCATTCTTTGGGGCATTTTATTAAAAGACTTAGAGCAGGAAGCCTGGCTGTAAGAAAAAGGTTGGGAAGCAGATGTGGGGTTGGAGGATCCTGGACCAGGTCTGGAGAGAGGGGGCAAGGGAGGGTACAGAAATATGTGGAATCTGAGATTTCCCTCTTCCATTTTTATGTCCTTGCTCCCTCCTTACAGCATATGAAGTCATCTAAAGCTCTTATCCCAAGACTGCTCCTGATGCAGCAAAGGACTGGGACTAAATGTGGGGTATCAGGCAGTAAGGGGTCTGCAGCAGCAAAAAGAAAGCACAAGTACAAAGCAGGGGCCGTGGTGGGGATGGAGAGTTTCTGTGGCCCCGCAATGGGGGATAGATAGTGGAGGGTCTGAAATCATCCACCTATAAAAGAAATGCACTGTGTGAGTGCAGAAATCTGCAGCTGAGTCCATTTGCTTTCTTTGTGGATAATTTTTAAAAATATGAACGGTATCATGAGAAAAGCTAGTATGTATTTCAAACCTGGAAATTAATACGTAAAATTTAATGCCATTAACATTTGCTATAGTCTCCCAGAAAGCTCTGACTGATCTTTACAATTTATTTACTCAGTTCAGCCTTATAGTCAAAGTTGAAAACCTTGGGCTTGCAAGCGTTTTGACTAGCTTGCAAAATCATTCCCAACCTTTCTTCTTGCTGTTTTCCTGTGATGTTTCATAAACAGAAATCTGAAAGCAGAATTTTCGAGGCTTTTGATTTTTTTAAAACAAAATCTCGTTAGCGTTTAATTAACCTTATCCCTGGAAAGCTCTTCCTTAGGATTAAGTGAAATCCTTTATGCTTTAATTACCATGCATTTTCTTTAGTAATACTTTCTGTGGAGATGGAAATTTCCTGATTATATCCCTTCCTAAAAGAATTCTGCCAATCCACTGGATACTAGAAGATGGCTGAAATATTCTCCCTTTGTTCTTTGGTGCTATAGGGAGGAGGAAGAAGGTGGAGGTCAGACCCAGGGTGAAATCCCAGCTCCTCCTCCATGACTGAATAGCCTTGGAGAAGTCACTTAGGGTCTCTGAGCTTCACTTTCCACACTTCTTTGACTTATAGAGTCATGATGTATATGACATATAAAAACTCCTAACCTTTAATCAACATTTTCTTGGCTCTTATATGTTAAACTTCTCCTTTAAACATTTTATTTTTTCTGGAGAAAAAAAACCCATTTTATCTTTTATGCCTTTGTGTACTTTAGCGGTGGCAGAATGAGTCAGGGACACGGTTAGAAGTCAAAAGTCCTGAAGTGAGGAAACACAGGCATTGGTCCCAACTCAGTCATTGGCCTTTGGCTGGTCCCCTAGTCATTGGTATGGGCCCCAGTCATCATCTTCAAAGGCCGTAAAGACCAGTGTGGTATAATAGGAAATCTATATTTGGTCTTTCTCCCTGGTTCCTAAAACACTTGGAATTTCCTGAGTGATGAAGGCGATAGAAGCATCTTTTATTCTAATGAGCTACTCTTAGTGGGCTCCTAAGCAGCTTCAGAACAGGGTGTTGTCCCCAGAAAGACCAAGCCTTGATTAGATGTTTGGAACTTTTAGCTCACACCCCAGCCTGCGGGGAAGAAAGAAGGGGTGGAGATGATTTAATCACTAATGCCCGATGGCTTAATCAATAATGGCTATGTAATGAAGCCTCCATGAAAGTCCGTAAACAACAGGGTTTAGGGAAGTTCCAAGTTGGCAAAAACATCCACATGCTAGGAGGGTGTTGCATCCCAACTCCACCAGAGACAGAGGCTCCTACACTCAGGACTCCCCCAGACCTGGCCTTGCATACATCTTCATTTGGCTGTTTATTTGCATCCTTTATAATAAACTAGTAAGTGTAAATAAAGTGGCTTCCTGAGTTCTGTGAGCAAGTCTAGCAAATTAACAAATTATCAGGGGGTCATGGGAACCCCTGATTCACAGCCAGTCTGTCAGAGGTACGGGTGACATGATCCTTGCAACTGGCATCTGAAGTGAAGGCAGTCGGTGGGACTGAGCCCTCACACCTGGGGAGTGTGACACTAACTCTGGGTAGTGTCAGATTGAATTGAATTGCAGGACACCTACTTAGTGTTGGGGGATTGGAAACTGGTTGGTGTGGTAAAATACCTCTCTCCTTTGGTGTCCAAAAGAACCTGGTAACCAGCACTTGTCACACAGTTCCTGGAGTCACACTGGGTGGGAATCTCTGCTCCTCTTCTGTGATAGTTGTCCATTCTGTGTAACAAATTACCACAGACTTGGCGGCTTAACACCACCCGTATGTTATCTCACAGCTTTCAGGGGCCAGGAGTCTGGGCATGGCTTAGCCGGGTCCTTGGCTCAGGGTCTCACAAGGCAGCAGTGAAAGTGCTGTCCAGGTCTGCAGTCCCGTCTAGACTTGGGATCCTTTCCTAAGCTCGCATGGTTCTTGGTGGAATTCATCTCCTTGTGACTGTAGAACTTGTTTCTTCAAGACCAGCAGGAAAGAGGGAATCTCTGCTGCTTGAAGTCTCTGATCCTGGGGAAACATCTCTGCTCTTATAAAGAACTCACTTGATGAGGTCAGACCCACCCAGGATAATCTCCCTTTTGATTAACTCAAAGTCAAACTGATTAAGGATCTTAGTTACATCTGCAGAATCCCTTCACCTTTGCCATATGTGATCATGGGAGTGACATCTCATCACCTTTGCCATATTCCACTGGCAAAAAACAAGCATAGGTCCTGCCCACGCTCGGGGGAGAGGATTCCTCAGAAGCATCACTGGTTGGTATTGGGGTGGGGTCACCCTAGCGTGTGTCCACCACATCTATTTACTGGCAGCGATCTTGGGCCAACAATTTCACCTCTTTGCCTCAGTTTCTACTCTTATAAAATGGGGATAACAATATCAGCTCTTTCACTAGGTCACTTTGAGGAATCATTAATTAATACCTGAAAAGCATTTAGAACAGTGGCACATAGCAAGAGTGCAATTACTTTTTGGTGTTTATCTTCAAAATAGGGACAATTCCTGCTTGGTTGGCCTCTTGGGGTTGCTATAAACCTTCCAGGGGCCTGGAAGGTTTCTGCTAACTGAAAAGGACTATGCAAACAAGATGGATTATTGTTTTAGGGTCTGTTTTTCATTTTATTTTGTCTTTCTTGTTTAACCAGGACTCTTGTCTGTGAGGACCAAACTGAGTTTAAACTGTGAAGTAAAAAGGGAATTTAGTGTCTCATTTGATTTCAAAGGAAAAACTCAGTTTAGATATGACTGAACACACATGCTCAAATGACACTGTTGGAATCTAGTCTCTCTCCACCTCTGGGCTGGCTTGCTTCTATGTGGGCTTTATTTTTAGGAAGGCTCTCCCATGATAGGAAAGACGACAGCTCCAGGCTTACTTGTATCAGATAAGCCACTCCAGCAAGAATACCCCTATTTCCTATCGGAAAATTTAGCAAAATCCCAGGATTGATTCTCATTGAGTCTTTTGCCCAATCTCTGTGACCAGGGCGATGGGAAGCACTAATTGGCCAGGTCTGGCTTATGTGCTCACTCTTAGAGCTGGAGGATAACATTAGATCCCCTGACTGAGGGTGAGGAAGAATAGCTCTCCAACAGAAAATGGAAAAGCTGTTACCAGACCGGGTAGTGGATGTTTGCTTGTATATATATTTTTTAAAAAAGGCTCACTGCACTCTTACAAAGTATGAACAACAAGACTAGAACTCCCTGCCAATAAAGCATAAACATAATGTAAGAGCTATTTCTGAAAATACATGTGGTCTTCTCCTGTTGAATCAGACTGTGACTGCTGCAGGGATCACACAAGCCATCTAGTCAACCTCCCCCTCCCATGTCCCCAACAGATGGTCAGCCAGGCACCCCTGGAATACTGTCAGCTGCTTTATTTTCCTCTTCCTCTTTCTTCTGTATAAAAGCTATCCAGCATCTCAGGTCTGTTCATTTGCTTGCTCAGCATTCCTGAAGCCTCTCTTCTAGTCCTGTTGCCTTGGCCCTCATTATCCATCTTGCATGTCTAAAGTGTGCATGGGGCATTATGGGGAAAAACACTTGGTGGAAAATTGAAAGGTCAGTGTTTGATTTGCTCCTAAAATAATAACAGATTATTTTATAATCAATATGTAGCTGTTCACTTAAAACACGTATCTGTATGTATTCGCATAATAAAAAATACACCCCAAATCTTATTACGTCATTAATCAGGATGGGGGAAAAGACAACCATTGCTTCAGACAAACTATACAACATTCCTGAATGATTTCTTATTTCTTTCTTCCAAAGAACAGACATCCCATGTGCACTTCCAGAGCCCCAGCTGAGCCACTAAACCTAAGAACTACATTCTACAAGTAATGTGTCCGAGGCAGCCATTGGATGCCTCCATCAATTTGTGACCCCCCACCCCGATCTCTTTTTGTTCCTTATTCTTTTAACAAATGCCACCTCTTCTCCTATTTTCATATAATTGTGCAATGACACATAATTATCTATTTAAATTTGTGGACAGAAGGAAACGAAGATTCTGCTTTGATTCATCATGTTGGCGTTTCACTTCTGTCCATTTGCCTGCTTTGAGATATTTTCTGCCTTGTTTTAGAAGCTGCTTAGGTATCAGAAATGTTATGAGTCAGTGAGTAACAAGATCTGGGTTCATCAAATCTGCTGTGTGATCTTTTGTAAGTCACTTATCCTCTCTGGGCCCTAGGAGGTAAAATATGGGGTTGGACAACACTAGATAATCTCTGGGTAACCCCTTCACGGCTTACTGTCTCTGACATTGGCTTAATTTGTCAATTCTACCTAACTCCACCCGGAATCTCTTGACTCTTAGAAGAGGCCAATGAGACCTCTTCTATTTATAGGCTGTTTGTGGTTTTCTAATGCTTTGTGTTCCCTCTCTGAACTTCAAATCATCCAATTTTCTCTGGAACCAAGAAAGCCCCTTAAGAGGCAGCAGAGTTCATTCTCAAGAACATAACTCTAGGAGCCAGAAGCGTAGTCGTACTGACAAAGTCAAAAAAGGAGGCTAAATTAACAGATGCTCCAAGTAGAGTAATGAACAAGGTGCAGAAATGTTTCTCATAATGACTGCCTCCATAGAGTATAAATAGGAATGCATGCCTTTCTTCCCTGTCTCCCCTCACACCATCTGTTATTTGTGTCAGGCAGTCAGTAATTGCTATATGTGACCCTTGTTGTTAGTAACAGGGACAACACTGTACATTGCAGCTTTCTTTGCTTTCTCCCATCTCCTGGCAGCTGTGGCTCTAAGGTTCGCGAGTATGCTAAGATGGTAGATTAGGATTTCCCTGGCTCTTGTAACTAAATATAATCAAATCACTCACCCTCCCTATTGGGAAATAAGTTATAAATAACAAGTCAGAGCAATCTTTCATCAGAGAGGCTGTGGTTACTAGGAAACGAGCACTGCAGTCAGGCTTTCTATTGTCGTGATATATCCATATGGCTTGGGGTTTTAGCTCAGGTTCTCTGTCTTTGGCCTTTCAAATGGTTCATGAGTATACTGTTCTTGCTATTAAAGTATTCCTTTGTAAATTTTAAGGGATGAAGACTTGGGTTCTAACTTTGGCCTTTCTCATCAACTTGCTGTGTGACTTTCTGTGAATTAATTCACCTCTCTGGTCTTCAGTTTAATTCTCAGCAACAGATGAGAAGGTTGGGTTAGATCAAGGCAAATTGTGGCCCATAGGCCAAATTCATTCTAGTGTCCATTTATGTATAGCCTGCAAGTTAAGAGTGGATTTTATATTTTTAAATAGTAGGAAAAAATCAAAAGAATCCATAACATAAAATATTCTATTTCATAGTATATCATATAATTATGTAATATATTTCATGAAACTTATATAAAATTCAAATTTGTGTCCATAAACAAAGATTTGTGAAAACACAGCCACATTCATTTGTTTATATGTTTTCTATGATTACTTTCACACTCAACGGCAGAGTTGAATAGCTGGGGCAGAGACTGTATGGCCTGCCAGGCCTGAAATATTTACTCTCTGGTCCTTTACAGAAAGTTTGCTGATCCCTGAGTTAGATCGTCTCTTAGGTCCCTGTAACTTTATTTTAAAAATTGACTAATTCTCAGCACAGCTCCTTCTCAACCTGAGAAATTCCAGGCTGTAGGTGAACCAGTCCTGGGCTGCTCCTAGAGGGAATCTGGTACCTCTGCCAAGTCTTGAAAAGGACTGGGAAGTGTGTTGGCCAGAGACAGGATTGGAATGTTGAACCCCAGCCCTCCTGCTCTTGCTCTGGGTCAACCCAGGCCTGGGAACCAGAGTGATGAGCCATGAGCTTGCCCTGAGAGCTGGGGGCTGCAGTGGTTGTGGGCTTAGGATGTTGCTGTTGTGATACAGAGATCTCAAGAACAGTGACCTAAACAAGCTAGAAGCATATTTATCTTTCCAACAAAAGTCCTGGTAACTTATACACCAAAAAAGACATATCAATTGATTGCAATGTATGGAATTTATTTGGATCCTGCCAAAAAAATTATGAGATAATTGGGGAAGCTTAAACACTACATTTTGATAATAAAGAATTATTTATTTATTTTTTAGGTGTGGTAATGGTTTTGTGATCTTGTTTTCAAAAGACAGTCCTGGGAGACATACTGCGATTTTATGGATGAAATGATATGATGTCTGAGATTTGCCTCATGATAATCCAGGTGGGGAGGGTTGGAAAAATTGTCCAGGAGTTGGTAGTTGAATACATGTAATGGGTACCTAAGATTCATTATACTACTTTCAATAATCGTGTATATATTTGAAATTTTCCATAACAAAAAGTTTAAAATATTTAATGTTCATAACCGGTGATTAAAAATTTATACTTTAAAGAAATTTAGTCCATGAAAAAGCTCACGCGAGTGCCAAAAATGTATCATTACAGTCATCATAGCTGGGTTTATAAAATACCTGGGAACAAGTTTCCCTATAAGAAAAAATTTCCTGAAGAGGAACAGTTGTGTCAAAAGTTTCAAGCATTTAAAAATTTTAATTGACTGAATACACATTATTAATTTTATTATCGGTATATAGTCATTTATAATTTTTACATATATAAATAAAGAGCAGATAAATTCTTATTCCCTAATCAATTATATCTACTTTTTTTTTTTTTGAGATGGAGTCTCACTCTGTCGCCCAGGCTGGAGTGCAGTGGTGCGATCTTGGCTCACTGCAACGTCCACCTCCTGGGTTTAAGTGATTCTCCTGCCTCAGCCTCCTGAGTAGCTGGGACTACGGGTGCATGCCACCATGCCCGGCTAATGTTTGTATTTTTAGTAGAGACGGGGTTTCACCGTGTTGGCCAGGATGGTCTCTATCTCTTGACCTCGTGATTCGCCCGCCTTGGCCTCCCAAAGTGCTGGGATTACAGGTGTGAGCCAGCACGCTCGGCCAATTATACCTACTTTTTATTTTGTATTTTTAGCCAGTATATTAATCATGAAAGCATTTAGCAATTATGGGGTGTTTACTATGACACCATGCATGATATATGGCATTTTGTTATTTCTTTACTATGACTGCTATGAAATTATTTCTTAGACTTGAAAGTAAGTCTGGGTTGACAGGATTGGTGTGATGGTTTCTCAATTATGAGGCATCCAGGCTCCTTACATTCTGTGGCCCTGCCATCCTCATACTTGGCTTGCATCTCATGGTCCAATGTGGCTGCTTTGTTTCCTGCCATTAACTCTGCATTCCAGAATGTAGAAAGGGGAAAGGGAGAAAAGACGTGACCTATAAGGGCGTGACACCGAATTCGTACATGTTACTTTTGCTCATATCCCTTAGGCCAGAATCATGTGGCTTCTGGTTGCAAGGGAGGTTGGAAATGTAGCCTTAGGTTGGACAGCCATCCATTCTACTGAGAATACTATTACTGCATAGGAAAGGGAAGATAACTGGTGGGGGGCCATGAATAGCCTCTGCCTTGGATGCCTGACAGATGTGCTTACGTGCGCACTCGAGAAACCTTCCTCTTGATCTGAGCCTATTTCTTGCCTTTCCCTTTCTTCCATCTGTATTCTTGTCCTTCCTCCCCTTCTCCCTGCCTTCTTGTCAACAGCTTGGTTGGGGGGCCCAAGTAAGCATATTCATTCAGTCCTGGTGGTTCTGATATGGATGCCCCCTCACCTATTGCTCATGTATTTCTACTGGTTCAGTCACTTGTCCCCCATATCCACATTCACATAACTGGTTTTGCAGCCCAGGAGATGTGGATAAGTCCTGCCTCCCTTATTTAGTCTACCTGTGACCTTGGGTAAGTTGACTAACCTTTGTAAGCCTCATCTTCCTCCCTCTAAAGAAGGCATCATTGCATCAAAGCAGAGTCCCTGCTTAGCCTACCTTATGTGATCATTGTGAGGATTCAAAGAGAGTCATGGAGACTTGGGGTTTCAAAGGGTGAAGAGCCACATGGCTGAGAAATAGGGCAGGGAGAGTGCTCCAGCGTGCTGTGTACTTTTCCCCAATCTGACCAGCTCCTTTCTCACAGAGGGAGCCCCAGGAATCTGCACAGGACCCCAACCTTGACCACAGCTCATTGGTTCAGGCATGGAATCTTATCCCTAACAAGCTTGATTATTTCTTTTGGGGATATAGCATTTTGACTCAAGGGTCATATAACGATGACAGAGTCCTACTAGTGGCTGAGGTCTGTAGAGAGACCACCGACATACCTGGGGTACTAGAGTCTTCCTTCCTGACACCTGGAGGTCAAAAGTCCTCCTACTCTGAGAAATACCTTATTCCTTCAGTACATTCATTTCTTTGCTTAAATTTGTTAAGAGTAATTTCTCTTTCTTACAAGAGCCTTAAGTAAGCAATTTTATTATTGGCAAAATTGACAAAGTTTAATATTTGGTGCTTTAGTCTTATAAATCTGTGCCCTTTTCACCCCCTCAGGGTGAAAGGTAAATTGTGGTTTCTTCCTCATTTCCATTCTCTTTCTCCAATCAAAATTAGTCATTCAAAAAGATTCCAACAGCAGTCATTGACACTGTAAAAAAAAAATGAGAATTTGTAGATCTCTACCTCTCCTAGAGTGACTGTGTAGCCTTAATTCCATTACATAATAAAATATATTTTTCCCTGATAAAGAAATTGTATACATTGGGAAAGAGAGGAGGAAGTGGATTTTCTGAAGAAAGTGAAGAGCTTTCAACCCCTCACACCTCTGCTTAACATCGTGTGATGCAGGGGGCTACTTAGTTTGCTTGTGTGCTTGTCCACATAGGGGCATCCTCACAAATGTAAGTAGCCACATCACAATGCAGTATCAAGCAAGCTTAGCTTACACTGGGTTTGAAGGCAGAAGACCTGGCTCCTTGACCCTACTCTACCTCATTCAACTGGCTATTGCTTCTAGCCCTTTGAGGCACCACCCAAGCATTTTGAACTCTTGCATGAAATCTCCGATTGCCTCACTGAACTTTGGGTCCCACTTTTGAGGCTTCACTTCTACCTTCGGTATTCTCACCCCTCATCCACTTGTAACATTTGGGTGGCTTGTCTGTGCATAATAGAAATTTTTTTTTCATTGAACACTCATTAAAAACAGCAAGACAGATTTTATTAGGTTGCTGCAAAAGTAATTGCGGATTTTGGCATTAAATGTAATGGCAAAAAACACAATTACTTTTTCATCAACTTAATATTTGAGCTACTGCAGTAGGAGAGACTTCAATTCAGAACAGAGCTCGACTTCAAATAGAGAGTCTCTTCCTCACTCTTTACGTTTGGTCCATCATCAAATCTCGACTACACGTTTGCATGATACACATTTCTGCATCCATCTACTGTCTGAGTCTGACTCTCATAATCTTTTGGGTGACTTTCTGTAAAATGTTCTCATTGGTTGACTAGGTTCTGTTCCTGTCCCTCGTCGACAGGCCCCAGCATGTTGTTCTGTAATGCAAATCGGACTATGTCATTTCCCTTCGTGAGCTGCTGGATAAACTCCAACATGCAGAAGGCCCCCCTTACCAGGATCTGTGCTTGCATCCTCTGTGCTGCTGCTGCAGAGTTAGCCTCCGTCAGAACACCGAGCACCTCTCCACGGTTGGATAGATTTAAATCAGCATTGCCTGTGCCTTCCTCTGCTCTATCAGCTTGCTAAATCAACACAGTCCTCCCTAGGTGTCAGGATGATACTTCAGCTGAAGACAGTAATTAATTTGACTTAGAATCCAGAGTATTTGCAACTCATGAGGTACTGAAGATATAGCTTTGAACTTCTGAGCAGGGAGCAGATTTGGAAAGCCCTCAAGGTGCCCTACAGAGAAACTTCCAATTTCTCAAGCAAGCCACTTTAAAAATATGATATAAACCTTTTACTGCTTAAAGAAAAAAAGGGAAGTAATGCTAATATAAAAGAAGAGAAAAGGGAGAAAGAAAGCTTGACAATGAGTAGGGCGTAGTGAGGCTTAAAATACTGACTGCTCATCTTCTTGTCTCCTTGGTCTGCATGGTGGAACAATGTACAAAATGGAGTTGCAAATGCCCAACTGGTTATGGTGGGCCCTGGACCCCTCTGCTCACCACAGCACAGCGGAAATAAATGCTCCTACGATGCGCTGCACCATCTGGTGGTTCAGTGCTCCCAAGGAAGTACAGGATTCCTTGGAATCGTTGGCCCTGTAGAGATCCTTTAGGTGGATCCTCTTTCACGTAGTGGATAATCCAACTGTGTATTGAATCCTGACTCCACACAATGTGGGCTGGGGACCCTTCTGGATGCATTGATAAGACATTAATGAGAGCTGATGGGCATGAGGCTTCTCCTTTTTGGTTATAGAAGGAAATGTAGCTAGGTACCTGGAGAGGAGAAAAGAGGGACCTGTGACAAGAGAGAATGCAAGCAGACATGTGGCATCTCAGGCAGAAGCAAGGCGGTTAGGGGCACAGAAGACTGGGAGTGCCACAGCAGTGGGAGGAGCTGTTCTCTACCCTGACCCCACTCTACCCCAGGCCGCAGTGCATTCTAGAACCCTGGGTTGCAGAGCATCCCTCAGTGAACAAATCCTTTGCTTCAGCCAAGCAGTCTTCTCACAAAAGCCTCAGGAGCAGGTCAGCTGTGAGCTGCCTTGGTGTGGAAACTGGGATGACAGACTTGTTCCTGGGTACACAGGAGGATTTAGAAACTCCCAGAATGGAAGGGGAGGCACATGGGGAGTGGGCAGGGCTGGGGAGCAATGCCTTGGTTCTCTACTTGGAGGAGCTTGTAAGAGCCACCAAAATTGGAAATTAAGGCTAGTGTGATGGTTATTTGTGTGCATATATGGGGGCAGTTTGGAGACATTTAGATTAGTTTCTCATAGGTAAACAAAGTTCAGGAAAAGTTAGGTGACACCCCAGACTCACAGAACTGGTGAGAGGAAGAGTTTGGGCTTAAACCTGGTGCCCTTTCCATTTCATCAAGCTGGTTTAACTTGAATTTACTTACTGAGAAAACAGTCTGTACTTTAGTAGCAGTATAGTTTCTGTGATTTTTGGAAAGTGATTTGAGTTCTAAGAGCAGGGGCTATGCCCTGTATTTTTCTTTCATGCAGGACACATGGTTGAAGCTTAATCAATATCTTATGAGTCATTTGATTCATTCATTAGAACAAGCATCAGCATCTTCTCTCGAGTGCTCTGGGCAGTTACTGGCAAAGGATCAGGAAGATATTGCAGGACAGTAGATCTTATGAATCAAAATAGTCACCTCCTTCAAAATGAAGGCGTGAAAGCTTCATCAGATTTAGAGTTAGATGGAAATTAAGGAAAATGGCAATGGCAGGAAGCTGATTGTGTAGGGGAACCTCAGCTGAGGTTGGAAACAGATCTCTGCAACAGAAAGGAGGATTGAAATTGGCCCATAGTCATTCAACTTAGTAAGTGCTCAGCACATGTTAGGCATTGTTCTAGGGAAGAAGATTTAGCAGTGGACAAAACAATTTATGTGACGTAAAAGCATTTTGAGAATTGGGTTATAATTTACTTACATTTTTTCTTATTCTCATGTAACTTTAGTATTGTATGATGGGAAGATCTGGATTTGTAAAATTTGTATCCCTTGCTCTAAAAAACTTAAAGCAGCTTACAAAGGTGTATGTGATTCTTGGAAAGATTATAAATTAGGAGTTGAAAAGATAGATGAGTAAGAAAAAAATGGAATAAAAAGCATCAGAACCCACCTGAGCCAGGAATAAATCTAGTTCCCAATACACAAAAGACACCCATGAAATTCTAGATACTGCCATGGGTGAGCCACAGAAGTCACCTCAGGCTTTGCAGTGACTAATCCACAGTGAGTGATGATATGATCCATTAGGACAAACATGTAACAACAAAAACAAAACCCTTCTTTGGCAGAACAGCCAATCCTGATACTGAGACCGGAAGGAAATGTTTCTAAGAATCCTTCAGAATCAGGATACTCTGTGGCGGTGCTGCAGGACTACATCATGAGCAAAATGCCACTCATGAGGCTGGAAGAGGTGTCACTTTGAGTTCAGCAATTGAATCTTTCTGAATTGATATTGAGTCTCCAGAAAATAATGAGGGACAAGTATGCCATGATATAAGTGAGTCTCTACATTTGTGTGGCAAAGACATTGCACATGTCTCCTGAGCAAAAGAATGTATTGTGATTCACAGAACAGCTGGGGGTAAGGCAAGAGGGGAGAAGGTGGCTTGATGTCTGTGTCTTACAGAGAAATGTGAGTTTGTAAATTTGATCAGAATAATCTCAGCTCAGCCCAGTTGGTTTGCCCTGTTCCTTATATATGTGTGGGTTTGGCCATAGGTCTGCTATAATGTGGGTGAGGGAAGACCAGGGAAAGAATGAAAACCCATGTTAGAATAGAAGAGACATCTAGAAATATTAATAAAACTGCTTTGTCTACTCACTAGAAACCATCTAGAGTGTTTTTGTTTTAAATTAAGGAAGTATCAGTCACTCAACTGATATATTGAAGAATGAGATACACAGAAAAAATTTAAACCCTATGGAAAAATCTCAATGTCTTTCTCTGATTTTATAAAACAATAAAATGGGTTAGAAATTGGGAAGACAATTTGGTCAGTCATTATAAGGCATAAAACTGTATGTAAAGACTCCTATAAATGTTAATGTATAGGATGCAGAATCACATTTTTATTTTACCAATCATGATGGACAGTTTTGGGGTATCTGCCAAGCTCACATCCTCTTCTGGGAGACCCCCCTAACACACACACGTGCACACAGGCACACACGTGCACACACACACACACACCCCTGCATGTGCACGCACACACGTACTGTGCACCCAGGCCCTGCAGCCATGACTCATCCCTCCCTCACTTCAGTTGTGTGGAGCAAGGGTGGGCACCTGATCAAGGAGAACTGATTCAGAACTGGGCAGGACCATTCTGATTCTCCTTCCCTACCTGGAATTTGGAAATGGGCAACAGAGATTGAAGGATTGGAAGCTGGTGCTGAATCTAGGGCATTAATGTAGGCCTCAAGCTGAAGAGAGTTTTTTTCCCCTCATGCTTTGAAAACGCACAGAAATCTGGTAGGCAGAGAGAGAAGTGAATTGTTCAGAGGCACAAAGTAAAACAGGGGCCAGAACTATGTGGTCTTAGACACACACACACACACAGACACACACACACACACACATTCATACATTCACACCCGCATGCATGCCAGCCAGACACACACACACACACAGACACACACACACACTCATACATTCACACCCGCATGCATGCCATGCCAACACAATGGTGAAGCGAGGAATGGGAGGGAAGGGAAGTTTGTTTCTACTGACTTTCCAACTCCCGGATCCACCCCTTCGTGAGGTCTGAATGTGCTTACTGCCCTAGTATCCTAGTGCCACGGGAGATGCTGCTGTATCTTTGCACTGGATCTCTAATTCTCATTCTCTCTCTCTTTGTTTAGGATGGTTTAGGTAGATTTTTTTTTCTCATGTTAAATGCTTCCTGACCGAAACATTAAGTAAAATAGGAAGCCTTTCCTTTGTGGTAAAGGACAGAGAGGTAATTGACAGGACATGCATGCATTTTGTATTTTTTTATATTTACGTATTTTTCAAAGGACATAAGCATATTGTGTGGGGTGGAGGGCATCTGTGAAGTTTGTTAAATGCTTAGAAAAAATCAGAAGGAGTTTCCAGTTGAGAGTTACTGTGTGCGGTGAAAGGATATTTCACTGGTTCTTTTGGATATGCTCTCGTGCTCCCCTGTGCTTGTTTTGCTTCCCTTATACTCCAGAAACCTCTGCTTAGTCCAGGTAACTGCTCATCAGCTTTGGGGAGAAGTGGGTGACTCTGGATCCAGGGAACAAAAGTGATTTTTAAGTTCAATAGTCACTAGTTTAGGTTTAAAATAGTGACATTCTTGCAGGATAAGCTAGAAAATACCAAGGGCTGGAGATGGGCAGAAATTTAAGAGGAGGTACTCCTAGAATAAATCTAGAATCTCTGCTAGAACAAGTACCATCGTTTTCCAGCACTAGAGGACGTTGGGGAAACTGAGTCAGCGCCCAATGCCTTCTCATTTCTGCCCAGGAGACGACCAAGTTGATAGCATGGAGCAGGTCTCTTCGCCACCAACCAGCAGGAAAAGCATTTCTCTGGACCTCAACATGTAGTCTGACGCAGGACTGCGGAAAATTCCTCATCTGAATGCCCCGCCCCTTAGGGAGGAGGGAGCAGCCACGCCTCCTAGAGGGAACCCTCCCAGATCTGGATGGTGATGGAAGCCTCCCTCCTATCTCCCAGTCGCTCTTCTTGATACATTCTTTTTAAGTTTTTTTTCAGTATTATTTAATTAAGTAACAGAGTTCTTATAGCATTTTGTGAAAACTGAAACTCTAGGATAATTTTTTTTTTAAATGATTTCCTTTGTTACAAAATTTCATCAGATTTTCCTATTATGGGTAAACTTAAAAAGCCTTTTCTTAATACTATACTGAAGTTTTAAACAGAAACTAAAGATAGAAAGTTTTAGAGGATATTATTCTCTGCTCTCAGCCAAAAATCAAGAAAAAAATGTATTCTTACCCTTTTTACATTAGCCATCCCAATATTTGGTGCCTTACACACAGCTACATCTGTAGGAGATGCAAGATAGATCCTTTTTGAATAATGAAAAAGGGTTTATTAACCCATATTTGGAAAGAATCTTGAAGGACAGCAGCATAAGCAAAAGTGTTTATTTACTCTTTAGTTATTGATGTAGACAATTCACTCTCCGGTCTTCATTTCAGTGGGTGATGGGTAATGTGACCAGAGGGCCACAAAGGACAGAGGCACAGAGAGGAGCAAGTGGAGACGGTGCAAGGTGCACTGGCATAGACTGTGCCTTGGGAGCCCTAGAGAAGCATCTCCCTGGCAGGCAGCAGAAGAGCTTTCTTGGAGAATGGGTTCCTGTTTGCTAGGCTAGGCTAAATTAGACTAAGCTACAGTCACAATCACCAAAAATCAGTGGCTTTACAGAGAAAGTTTATTTACTACTCTTGTACTCTAGTGCAGGGCAGGAGGCCCGCCCCAGTTTTGCAGCCTTCCGTCTGGATCTCACAGATTCCAAGGCTGCATGCAGCACCAGAAGAAGAGAGAGCTGGAGGATTGCATGGGATGTTTTTCAGGGCCAGGCCTGAAAATGGCACAGGTCACTTCAACCAACATGTCATTGGTACAGCCACACTCACATGGCCCCAACTCCAAAGGAGACTGGGAAATGTACTTTAGCTGTTTAACTGTGCTCCAGAGAAGAGGAAACTGGTGAAGAGCACATCGAATTTCCATGGGTGAAAGGGTGACTGCAGAGGAGTAGGGCAAAGGGGGCAGCTATATGGCAGCAAATGAAAGTCTATACAGCTGATTCTCTTGGAGCTTCTGGCCTGGGATGTGCAGCAGACACCGTCCTTCCCTATATTAAGGCACACTATTCATTACACTTGGCTAAATAGAAAGATGGCAAATTTAAGTGCAAATCAGACAGCCATGGCATCCCGGAATCCACACCTCTGGATTAGCTATGCTACCCTTTTTTGCAAAGTTCATGATAAATTGGAACCTGAGGAGAGTGCAACAACAGGGTGGCAGATGTCGTGCCCTGAAATTGCACGTTTCTGGTAGGGCACTGGCTTAGATTACTTGAGGGGCCCAAGCCTCCTCCTCTGCGAACCCACTGACAAACTATACCAGAGGAGGGAGAGAGAGAACACCGCTAGCAGGAATTCCCAAGTCTCTCACTCTTCTCTTCAGTCGGGTTCGTGGCTCACAGAGGGAAGAGTGGACTTTTGCTGAATGAGGGGTGCACAAACTTGTAACTCATTCTGTCTACTGCTTTCAGAGTGGGTCAAAATCCCTCAGACCAAGATTCAAGCAAAGAAACAATCTCTTAAGACACTTGCCTTTTAACTGCACCATAGCTCACCCTCACCTCACTTCCACCCTGGGGTCTCTATAACTATTGCCTGATACTGTCCGGTAGGACTGGCAGGGGAGAGTCTGGAGATTTCTGACTTGGGTCTTTGGACTTTCCACATAAGCTAGTAAATCCCAGCTCTGAGCTGTGACACCCATGGATGTGTCTGGTTGCCTTGGTGGGAATTTATCACTAAGTCTGTAAATCAAAATATAATTTAATTTGGTTTACATCAGTATTTACAGGAGCAAGAGGGCTTTTTCCAAGGGGGGATTTTGGCCCACAAGCAGAAACCCCAGTCCCGCCCAGTCTTTCTGTCTGCCCTTTAAATTGACCAGCATTGCTGTGTCCCTTGTCACTGATGGTGGTGGCCCATCAGCCCTGAGCCGGGACCAACTGCCACGTTGATGGGGCTTGAAAATGGGCATGTCTCTAGAGCAGACACTGAGCACTGAACTAGTACAGGCCCCAGGATATGTAAATAGAAGGGATGAGGGGCAGCAAGGCCGTTAGAGAAACACGGCCGGGCTTTGGCCTGGTCTTGAAGCAGCATTTCTATTATAACAGATGCACTGTTTTAACTACACTGGATCTTATTGGAAGGGGAGAGGGTGAGGAAAATCGAGAGGGAAGTTAATCCTCCCCCCACCCCCGCCCCACTTTCCACCCTCTGGAGTCTACGCCTCTGTTCTCATTCAGGTTTCTCTAGGTAAATGATTGGGACAAATATCCATTCTAGCAGCAAGCCACGCTTACCTTGGAGCTGGTGCACCCTACCGCTGCCAGAGTGCACCCTCTGTCTCCACCAGGGTTAAGAAGGGGTGGTGGTCTCCCTCTCCTAGCCTCTTGCCAGGTAAAGGGGCAAGAGGGAGAGGAGAATAATAGCACTGTCCCTTGCCTTGATTGTGTACACGTATGATACTCTGGCCTCATTGAGGGGCCCTGAATACCTGGAATGTGACACGGAAGCAGCTTCCCTGGAGGAACAGATGCGACCGCAAGAGCAAAAGACCTCTGCCAACTGTAAGACGCCCGGATGTAAGGAGTGCCCCTCCTCTTCATTCTAATGCACCATCTGCATCTGTTTTCGCTTCATTCTGAAGCTTGCTCCTCTTCCGGTGAACACGTCTTGCCTTGGCTGGGTCCACCTGGACAAACCTAGGGTGATGTTCATACATTCTTCTTGCCATTCTTTCTGGCAGCATCATCAGCACTGATGTTCTCACTGATGACATGAAGGTGTCTGAGACAATTAAACAGGCTCCCCACCTGGCATGGTGTTCGCCTCCCCAGGGCCAGCAGGGGGCCCCGCGACCTTGTGAGAAGGCTAGCTGCCACCTGGGGAAGGAGGGCGGGTCCCAGCAAAACGAATGTCATTCCCGGGGCCTTTGATTCCCACCGAGTGGGAGCCGCCTATGAGCGTCCTGGCCAGACCCTTCTTCTAAGGGCTCCCCATAGGCCTGGGGACTATGCGTTTCATCTGCGAGAAGAGAGGGAGACCGGTGCTGCTGGTGCCGGGTTGTTTCCTGCTTTATTTTGTGTGCGGTGTGCTCTGCAGGGACCTTTTGAGTGTCTGTCACAGCCCTGCTTCTCCTTTCCAGCCAGGGAACATGGTGGGTTTGCCTCTTAGTTCCTCATTAGATTTTTCAGCAGCTGCTCCAGGTTTTCTTTCTCTTTCTACGGAACAGAGAACGATTGGAGACTTGTTTTCTAAAGAAAAAAGCCTGGTGTTCGAAGGAGTTTTTCAAAACTCCAAGAAGACAGAGAGGAATCCAATAAGAGTGCAGGGGGTACCTGGCCTTGGGGACCTCCAACCAACTCCTCACGCAGGAGACGGTCCTTGTCCTCCTAGCCCACTCATTTCCAGTGCTTTTGTACTGGACCATTTCAGCTAAAGACTTACAGAACCGGGCTCTAGCCTGTTACCAAAAAAAAAAAATCCCCTTTGTGGCTAGACTGAATTGTAGTCTTCTAGAAATTGTCCAGGTGTATTTCCTGATTTAAGGGGAAAAACCAGCATCTGGAAACTCGGTGTGTTCTGATGTCTGCTGGCGAATAGCGAATTGACACCAGAGCAAGTTATTTCTCAGGTATACGGTTGTTTCATCCTTGTAAATAGTTCCAAAGGGAAACAGTGTTTTATTTTAAGGAGTACTTTCAAACCTATTATATGAGGGCTGCTGAGTACTCAGCACCTGTGGTCAGAGGCCTAGTGATCTGTTTGCTGTCATTCTCTGCTTTTTCCTTGGTGCTTTCTGGAGGACAGCAGGTTGAGGATGAAGGAAGGGTCAGTTCCAGGCTCAGCTGTGGCCTTTAGTCAGCTGCAGATCAATTTGATGGGTAATTCAGGGGAAAAAAAAAGTTGACCTGGGTCATGCTTGGTGACAGCCAGAACAAGACCAAGATGATACAGTGATACCGTCATAATCCCAGATTTAATATAATTTTCATAATTGCATATTAGTACTCGAGACACTATAGCTAGAAAAACAGCCCCTAATAAGTCATTTTGCATCAAATGTACTAAGCAGAGATCATTTTTCATGATTCCTCAGTGGTCCTAACAATTATGTTCATTGAAAGTACTGTCGTGAATGTAATTGGGACTCAGGCACGGGAGGAAAAATACCCTAAGCTTGGTTTTTTCTTCTTTTCTTCTTTTAGAGTTTGCAGATTTTGACCAACAGACATGGTTAATAAGACTATGCTTTTTTAAAGCCTATATTTTATATTTATTTTATTTTTTAATTTTGTTAGTGACAGGGTCTCACTTTATTGCCCAGGCTGTAACTCGAACTCCTGAACTCAAATGATCTTCCCACCTTGGCCTCCTGAAGTGCTGGAATTACAGGTGTGAGTCACCACGCCTGGCCTAAGAGTATACTTTAAACAAATTTTTTAAAATGTGTGTTGATACATTTTATAGATGTTCATTTAATACACTACTGTTTTAGGAAAGCGATTGCAGCTCAGTTTTCTGAAATCTGGCAACAAATGTGTGGATATATTAGAGATATTATTTGTTTTTATTAAAATATATTCCATGTGCCTTTGATATCTTTTTGATAGGAAGACATCTTACACACACACACACACACACACACACACATATATATATATGGAGTAACAATTTGTCGATTCTAGTCAACTGCCTTTGACTACCTGGGTCAAGCAATTTCCCACCAGATAAAACAACTTTTCAAAGCCTTCCTTCTGCTTCCCTTACTTTCCAGCCTGTATCCTTAGTACGTAATTTGTAAACATTGTCACGAAGGGTCCTGATGCTTTAATATATGCAGACTAAAAGGATATGCAAAATTAACCACATCTAAAAGTGACCAAAGCAAGTCTACTCCCTTGTAAAATTATAGAAAGGTTTGCCTTTCAGTACATTAGATCTGCAGCTACATTAGTTGTTTCTGCGTCTTTAGATTTTGCAAAAGGGAACTGAAATCCAGCAAGTCGTATTAGGAGCCCATTCAGAAAATGAACAAAAAAGCAAAAGAAAATGACCCAGAATGAGGTGGTATATTTTTCACTTTGCGTTTTGTAGACATAAGTCCCTTCTTTATAATTTGCAATTTTTTCTGAGAGGTGATGGATTTTCACTTCAGAGGCAAACAATATCATGACAAGACAGCCACAGGAGCCTGCAACAGAAGAAACAAGGTGTTGGGACAAATATTTCCTGATTGTAAGGGACAGGGAAGAGGGTCAATGTGTAAACCAAGGAATTCTCTTACCATCATCCCCATTGACATTATCCACACAAAAAATTATTGCATATTTGTAATCATGAGCCTGATTCTTCAGTCTCTAGGTGGTAGGGCTTGGGTTATGGTTCTGCTCTGAGTGAAGAAGATTTGTGTGTGCGTGTAGGAGTGCAGTGGGAGGTAAGGAGGTGGTTAGAATTAAGCTGATCTTACAAAGACTGGGAGATATTCCTCTTTGCATGATGTGAAGGCTGAATTGCTAGGCACTTTAAAGGCATAATGGTGGAATCAGGCTACAAAGCAGCCACTGCTATGATGTGGCTTCAAGAGAAAATATTTCTCTGTACTTCACAGGCCATGCAGGATAAATGTCAATCATGCAGCCTCTTGTGAAAGGCCCCAGCCTCCCTTCAGAAGGGTTACCACAGCTCCTTCAGCTTTCACTTGGCCACAGCTGCACAAAGGAAAAGGTAGCTATGGATGAGGTATTGAGGTGGCGCACATCTCTATTCTCCTTGTTTGTAACAGAATTCAGATTTTTGGCTAGACATGTGAGTGTCTTGAATTAAGACAGCATTGTTCAACTAAGGGTGGTTGGGAAGTATGGGCGGGATAGTCTTCTTGAACTATACAGGTATTAGGGGCCTGTCCTTTCTTCCCCACTTCCTCCTTCCTGTGGCTGAAATATGGATGCAATGGCTGGAGCCCCAGCATACATTTTGGACCAATGTGGCCCCAGAAATGGAAGCCATATGCTGTGGAAAAACAAGAAAGAGGGAGTCTAAATCCCAGATCCTTGGAGCCTCTGGACCAGCCCTGGACTTCAACCTCTAGATTTTTATGTGTGAGAAAAATAAACATTTGTTTTGTTTAGTACACTATTATTATTTTTCCCCCTCATCTATCACTCATTGGTAGCCTAATTTTAACAGATGTAGCTGTGATTTCGGTGAGATTGCTGTGGGACAGGGGCACTCCATACTGGCTGGAAGCTGGAAACTCTGGTGAGTGTCTCCCCCGAAGATGGACACTGGGAGACTTCCAGATGGGTGGATGGCACAGGGAGCAGAAGCAGGTGGCAGGAGGGACCAGATCAGGAGCACATAGGATGGCCAGGACTCTACAGCGCTTCCACAGCTACTGTTATATCTCAGGCCACCACAATAGGGTTCCAGTTAATAGGAGACTTGCTGGGATGGTTTTCTACCTTAGGTGAAACCAATTTGGGTTCAAACCCTGATTCCTTTACTTACTATGTAAAAGTAGGCAATTTTAATATTCAGGTCTCAATTTCTTCATCTATAAAAGGTGGCTAATATAAATAAAGCATGATTTGCATTTGGCTTTGTAATTGACACATATAAATGCTTACTAATTGGTAGCTATTCATATGGTTTTTATGGATTCCTTTTTTCTTGCAAGTCCTTATCATAATAGCTTGATTTAGGTCAAACCAATTTGGTTTCAAATCCTGATTCCTCCACTTACAATGTCAAATTAGGTATTTTATTTCAAATCCTCAGCCCACCCCATATCAGGGACACCTGACTACATCAGGGTAGGCAACACAAAAGAATGTATTACAGTGTCTTTTTTTTCTCCAAATACTCTCCCACTAATTTTATGTCTCCTTTAGGACAGGTAAATGCTTTTTACTCTTCAGTTAAAGTTAATCCAAATATCCTAGGAGTGGCAACATAATGGCTTGAGTTTCTATTCATTAATTCACTCATTCATTTATTCTCTAGACTTATATGGGGGATAGTTGTGGAGATTTAAACATTAAAGATAATACTCATGATTTTTGCTCTCATGGAGTATAATTTGGCAGAGGACATAAAATCAATTACTAACCAATTACAGTGCATGTAATCAAGGGATAGTAGAGGGGCTGTTACTGAGAGGGTGGGCAGCATTATGGAAGGTTCCTTAGAAGTAGCCAGAAGGAGCTATAGGAAAAGTTAGCTGAGCAGAGGGAGGCTGGACTGTGGGGGGAGAGTACTGCAGGCAGGAGGAGCTACGGTGCAAGTGACAGCCCCCATTCCTTTCCCAAAGGTCAGGCTGGGTTTGGGGTAGAGGCAGAGATTTGGGGGTAGGAATGAGGGGAGAGGTGAGCAGAAAAGACAACATCACATTTCTTCTACTTTAGAATTTCACATAGGACTGGCCAATCAGCTTAATCATCATCAAATAATCAAATAATATAATTTTCTTGAAATTTCACTTTCTACCATCCTCAGAGTGGTAGCTGAGAATATTCCTTTGTAAAATTTTGTCAGCCTATTTTTGTATTCTG
This sequence comes from Homo sapiens, assembly GCF_000001405.40. Taxonomy (NCBI): domain Eukaryota; kingdom Metazoa; phylum Chordata; class Mammalia; order Primates; family Hominidae; genus Homo; species Homo sapiens. The sequence goes on from NC_000003.12 coordinate 150,930,561, forward strand.
AGCTTAAAACCAGAGCTCTCCCCTGGCAAAACCGTATTATTTCTTTATTGTTAGATCCTAACAAAAAGGCTGCAGTGCTGTTTTCTCTTTATCTTTTATTCGAAAATTGTGGAGAAAATGCCATTCCTTTTACCATAAGAGCCTTCTTTGTCTGAGGAGATGGTGAATTTCAGACAGAAGTGAAACATTATTTCCTGAGCACCTGAAAGGAAAATTCAAGCTCGGTTTCCTTTTCAAGTTGTTAAATATTTCAAAGGTACTGCTTTGTTAAGGAGACAGCATTACAGCAAGGCTGTATTTCAAATTCCTAAAGTAAAAGTTACTTGGGGTGTCATAAGACTCAAAGCCTTTTGCCATAGCTAATATTTCAAGCACACAGCCCCCAAAACAAAGTGTGCTGTCTGGTAGTAGAGAGGACAGTCTGAGATCTTGCTCTGGATTCTAGGGTTGATCACGAGGTCAACGTTGTCGTTTCAGGGACAGAGGATAGAAACCCAGCCTGAGTCTCATAACCTTTCAGTGACTGCTAAGAGATATGAAGGGAGACAACTCAGTGTGAACTTGGTATATTTTTGCTTCTCTCTGTCCATGGCTCTAAAAAAGACATGGGATCAAGGATAACTATTTATGACTTATGGACCAAAAGATATGCATGAAGAGTTTCTCTTTGTGGCATGGCTGCTAAGGCTATAAAAGAAGTGTGTAAGTGATATGAGTGATGTGAGAATAAGACTCAACCTACACTCTTCCAGTATGACCCTTTGAATCCAGCAAGAGGGGCTCCTGCTTTGTGCCCCACATTTAGAGGGTTCTGCTCTGTCTCTCTTCTGGAGAGGTTCCTTCCCACAGCATGAGGAATCCTTGAAGTCAATAGAACATACCCATCTGGCATGCCTGACTCACATTTTAGTCCATACTCCTGGGACCCCGGAATTGACTTCGTAAATAGCCCTGAGCCCATTTTCAAGACCTATGTGGTCATTTCTCCTGGGTCATTCCTCCCATGGTCAGAGGGTGGCTGAGGAATAGCTGTTTCAAGAGGCATGGTCAGAGCTTGGATACATGGTGCAATGTCCACACACCTATGCTTGAGGCTCTTTACTGTGTGCAGTGGAGCCAGGCAGGGGAAGAGAAGTGGGTTTTCATTCATACTCTTGCCCAAGACTTCACAAACGGTAGGATCAGTCCTACATGTCTCTCTCCTCTTTTTCCCAGTTATCCATGTACACCAAGAGCCCAAATTCACACGGTGCCAGTTGGACAGATTCCTTATGTGTCTGTCTATCTGACCAACACTGCTCCTGCTCCCAAGAAAGGTTAGAATAAGCCAGGACTGTGGAAATCCTGCCAAACCTTGCTGGAGCTATAATGTGGAGTATAACCAGGCACAAGGCCCAGGTTTTGCTGCCCAGTGTCTTACTCAATGACCTACAGCCATTTTTCCTTTCATCTGTCTGATTTCCCCACCATCTGTCTGGTACTGTAGGTTTTTTTTTTCTTCCTTTTAATGACTTTGATTACTGAGTTAATTTCTGACTGAATAGGATAGCTGAGTTATAGGGCTGTCACACCATGAATGATCAGTCAATTAACAAACGTTTGTAATGTGCTAGACACTGCACATTCATGACTCTCCTCTGACAGCTGTCTGAGACTGCAGAATTGAGCACTGGTCTCCTCCAGTCCTTACTATATGGGGAACGTAGGACATGGCCAATGAGGGTTGCTTCTTCATCCCTGAATGACTCTGAGGGCACCTGTGCTTTTATGAGTGGGAACTCCCTGCCAGGATCTGTGGGAGTCCAGAGGTCCTATGGGTTTGGCTCCTCGAAGGGGAAGAAATCTCTGAAATGTTATGAAATGTTATCCTATGATCAGTAAGATCATATTTTTGGAAATAATAAACTGGAATTTCAATTCCATTTAAAGTAATGATCAGCATTTTCAGAAAGCTTTCAACACATCATCTTCAATTGTCTTATAGGTGACAGATATTAGGGGCATTTCATTGCCAATATAGAATGATAAATTGATAATTTCCTTTTCAAGGAATATTGAGAGATGATAAATAGGTGTGGGAAAGCCACAACTTTACAAGTGTAGGTGTTAATTTTCTCTAAAATTATGTAAATGTCACTAGAAAGTTAGTAATTGAAAGTAAGGTCACCAGCAATGATTTCTTCCCCAAATAGAAGTTGTTCTGACTCTACACTGCTCCAGAGACCGATGGCTACCATCTAAAAAGGGACAGAGGGACAAGTGAAGTGAGTTAATACCAAAGGGTAGATTTTGAGATTGTGATGGCAAGCAATTTGGTCATGTGTTTCCAAAGGATAGATGTAGATGAAGGAATAACACCATTGGGTCTAGCCTTTTCACTTTATCTTCTGTAATGGAAAGTTGAAGAGCCCATATCTAACCTAAGTTTTACAAATGTTATATTATTGAGAAGGATGATTAATGCAAAGAAGAAATGGTCTAAAAATACAATGTTTATCTAATTTGAATTTATTTTCGGAAATATGTCTGAAAATATGACATTTTCAGAAGAATATCATTTGTTACCAGAAAATATGCAGCTACTTCTGTTTTATTCACTTATTCAACAACTATTTATTGAGTGCCTGTTGCGCTGTTGTGGGAACTGGGGGTACAGCACTAAATGAAACAGGTACAAATCCTTTTCTTCACAGAGCTCTCAGTGATGGAGACAATGGAAAGGGAGAGAGAGGCAATAACTTGATAAGTACATTCAATGGTTTATCAGAGTGTGATATATATTAAGGAGAATAAAATAAAGCAGAGAGGGGGGATAGGAAGGCTGGGGAGGGATGGCCAGGGGAGGCCTCATAGGGAATATAACATTTAAGTGTATCTTGAGAGAAGTGAGGGAGTGAGAAGGTAGATATTTGGAGGAAGATTATTTCAGGCTGAAGGAAGAGTGAATGCAAAGGAAGTAGGTGGTTTGAGTGAAGAGGGGAGGAAGGTAAGGGATAGAAAGAGGTGAGCTGTCTGTGTGTGTTTCTGAAGTGGATACATCAAGTGGTGCTTTGGAGGTCAAAGCAAGGACTTGGGTTGTGACTGTAAATGAAACAGAAGAGAAGACGTACATTCTGAGTAGGATAAGAATCTCTTTGCAACTGTGATAGAAAATGATTAAGCATTTCCTTGCACAAGGTCATAGCTGGGCCATGTACAAAATAAATGAAACACAGTCCTCCTACCACACCCTGGACATGAATGACCTGGAATGTGATTCCTCACAACACTGCCCCTTTAGCCACTGCCCTGCATATGAGAATGAAATTCTTTGCCCATTGCCAACATCAGCTGTCTAACATTACTTCTCTTTTCCTTCTGTGGCCTCTTTTCTAAGTTCTATGCTGAGAAACTAGCAGAATACATTCATTACTGGGTTTTCCTGCCACAAATCCTTTATTCTTCCTCAGGCTCTGCGGCTTTGATGACTGGACATCCCTGTGTCTCTTTCTCGAACTCCTGAAAAACAGCTCCTTCATAAGGATTGGCGTAGAGATAAGATGCAGATTTTTTTTCACCACCAATTACAGAATAATGTGCCCCAGACATATTTCAGAGTCCAGGGTATTATTCATACTGAAACTGATATATAATGTAACTGTTCTGTTTTTGAACTGTTCTTTATTTTATTGTCTTTGTGTATATGAATGTGCTTATGTTCCATGCCATAGCTGTAATTATCATAATTAATTAGGCCCATACTAGGAGCGTCCTCTTTTTAAAGAAAGGCAGCAATTTTGTTTGCCCTGCTTGGCATAACTCATAGCAGACACTATATGTAAGAGAAGGCATAACTCATGACGCTATGTGTAAGAGAAGCTATATGTAAGAAAGCCTATATATAAGAGAATAATTATAATCATTGCAAATGGTAACAAATACAATTTGCAATAAGTCCACATTTTGGTGGTTTTTATCACCTCCAAAAGGCCTGAACCAATACCTTTCATGTCATTCTCAGAGAGTATTCACAGAACTGCTAGGATGTTCTACCACTGATCCATGTCAAGTCTGCCAGCTGGCCTACTCCCTTTTACATGCAGATCTAGGTAAGACCCTCTCCCATCAACTGGGAAACACCTAGAATGGAATATATAAAAGGCCCCCACTCAAATATCACTGCCGCAACTAAAAACTATGAATCTAATTGCTTCTATACTCAGCTCCCTCTTTTTTGGTTCTCTCTCTTCCTCTACCTCCTTAAGTTCTCTCTCTCTCTTTCTCTTTCTCTCTCTCTGTCTCTCTCTTCCACTGTATTATAAATCTTGAGGGAAGCTTTTTCACCCCCTTTTCCCTATTCTGCCTTCTCCTGCCCGCACCTCTATTACAGGAGGCCACCTTTACACAAAGCTCACTGCTGATGGTAATCTTGAAACATTCCCTCTGGGACACTCATAATCTCCCAGTTTTCCTTTTTCCTCTTTTTCTTTGGATATTGCTACTCAGTGTCGTTTGCTGGCTTCTCCTCCTCCTAAACCAAAAAATTAACTGTCAGTGTTCTTCAGGAATTGGTCCTACATCAATTTTTGTTTTTTTATTTTATTTTATTTTATTATTATTATACTTTAAGTTTTAGGGTACGTGTGCTCAATGTGCAGGTTAGGTACATATGTATACATGTGCCATGCTGGTGTGCTGCACCCAATAACTCGTCATTTAGCATTAGGTATATCTCCTAATGCTATCCCTCCCCCCTCTTCCCACCCCACAACAGTCCCCAGTGTGTGATGTTCCCCTTCCCGTGTCCATGTGTTCTCATCGTTCAATTCCCACCTATGGGTGAGAACATGCGGTGTTTGGTTTTTTGTCCTTGCGATAGTTTGCTGAGGATGATGGTTTCCAGCTTCATCCATGTCCCTACAAAGGACATGAACTCATCATTTTTTATGGCTGCATAGTATTCCATGGTGTATATGTGCCACATTTTCTTAATCCAGTCTATCATTGTTGGACATTTAGGTTGGTTCCAAGTCTTTGCTATTGTGAATAGTGCCGCAATAAACATACATGTGCATGTGTCTTTATAGCAGCATGATTTATAGTCCTTTGGGTATATACCCAGTAATGGGATGGCTGGGTCAAATGGTATTTCTAGTTCTAGATCCCTGAGGAATCGCCACAATGACTTCCCCAATGGTTGAACTAGTTTATAGTCCCACCAACAGTGTAAAAGTGTTCCTATTTCTCCAGATCCTCTCCAGCACCTGTTGTTTCCTGACTTTTTAATGATTGCCATTTGAACTGGTGTGAGATGGTATCTCATTGTGGTTTTGATTTGCATTTCTCTGATGGCCAGTGATGGTGAGCATTTTTTCATGTGTTTTTTGGCTGCATAAATGTCTTCTTTTGAGAAGTGTCTGTTCATGTCCTTCACCCACTTTTTGATGGGGTTGTTTGTTTTTTTCTTGTAAATTTGTTTGAGTTCACTGTAGATTCTGGATATTAGCCCTTTGTCAGATGAGTAGGTTGTGAAAATTTTCTTCCATTTTGTGGGTTGCCTGTTCACTCTGATTCTTTTGCTGTGCAGAAGCTCTTTAGTTTAATTAGATCCCATTTGTCAATTTTGGCTTTTGTTGACATTGCTTTTGGTGTTTTAGACATGAAGTGGTCCTAGGTCAGTTTTTATCTATGTGCATTCTCTCCCTAGGTGATCTCATCCAATTTTATTGCTTTACATAATATCTATATCCGAATAATGCCCAAATATACATCTTTCTTCTAGACCTCTTCACTGAACTCCAGATTCATGTAACTGACTATTTACTTGGCATCTCCACTTGGTGGTCTCATAGCAACTCAGACTCGATGTGCCCCAAATGGAACACATGATTTTAGTGCTGAGCTCTTCTCCCCACCCCTTTCTTGCCCTAAACTGCAAGCCTGCTCCTCCCTTGTCTTACCCAGAATGCCACCACTATTTATTAGTTGCATAAGCTACCTGAAAAACATTTTGAATGTACTTTCAGAATGTTTTTAGAATCCATTCATCTTTTTCCATCTCCAATGTGATGGTATTGTCTTTCACCAGACATTTCTTAGAGAGGTAAATCAGCTATCAGATATCTTTTTAAAATCTTTCAAAAGGTTTTCATTGCAATTAGAATCAATTCTAAAAGACTTACCATGGTTAATGTTTAGGGTCCAACATTAACTGGTATCAACTGATCTCTCTAACCTCATTTTTTCCTTGTGCCATTTCCCCTCACTACCCAGCACCTAGCCACATTGGCCTTCTTTCGGTTCCTACAACAAGCAGACCTCTTTCCCTAGAGTCTTCAGTGTGCTTTCTCTTCTACTTGGGACGTTCTGTGAAGGTTCTCAGTTCCTTCTTAGCTTTAGAACTCAGCTATTGGAGCAGTCTTCCCTGACCACCATCTCAAAGCCAGATCTCTGCTATCTTTCTCTTTCATAGCAACTTGTTTATCACCCTCATTGTAATTATTGCAAACTGTAATCACTTAATTATTTATGTACACTTTTGAAATTAGATGAGATTTTTAAAAGGTGTCTGATAGATGATTTACCTCTTTAAGAAATGTCTGGTGAAAGGCAATACTATTGTATATTATAGCAACCTGTTTATCACCCTTATTGTAATTATTGCAATCTGTAATCACTTAATTATTGATATACACTTTTGTTTGACTCTCCCACTAGACAACAAGCTCCGTGAAGACAGCATTGTGTGCCTGATTCACTGTGGGATCACCAGTGCCTATTATAATGGCTGGCACATAATGGGCACTCAGTCAATGTTTGACAAATACGTGAAATATATTCACTTATATTGCAACCCTTAGCACTGGCTACAAATTAGAATGACTCCAGAGAGCTTAAGGTAAAATAGCAGTGCCCAAGCCCTACCCCACCAGAGACTATAATTTAATTAGTGTTGTGTGAGACCTGAGATCAGTAGTTTTAGAAAGTTCTTCAGATGATTCTAATGTACAGTCAAAGAAGCGAATCACTGCCCAAAATGAACTATGGGGGATGATGAAGGTATTACTAAAAACCTTGGGAAAAAGACTTCTCAGCATCAATTTATAAATGACAAGATGAGAAAGAGCAAATTGGCTGACTTGCATGGGTTTCATGCAACAATATTACATGGAGAATGCTGAGGAATACGAGCTAAACTGGAGGTTATGAGAGTGGAAGAAATGTCTGGTTCAAGAGGCAACAGAATATGAAGCCATAAGTATGAGCCAGCTGTGTGACTGAAGCCTTTGCTGGCCTGGTCCAATGGGTTGCTTTCTTTCCTTTTCTACCTGCAGGGTCTGGCATGCACCACATCGGGAGACATAAGGAGATGCCCATAGCAGTACTCTGGGCAGTGTGGAAAGGTCCAGATAGACAATTGGGAGGACTTCTTTTCCCTTCCCTTCCCTTTCCCCTTTCTACATGCCCCAGGATGCCAAGTCTTGGGTGCCCATCCAGCAGGGAAGTAGACAGTTGAAGAAATGACCATAGAATGACTTCAGCACAAGGAGCGGGGAAGCTTAGGGAACCTGAATGTGAGTAGGGAGGAGAAAAAGAGAAAAGAGGTCCAAGGAGGAAAGCATTTTTCTTCTCTGCTGACAGTGAGCACTGCCACCTGGGCAGCACACATTGGCAAGAGAAACAAGGGAAGAGAACCAGTCAGTGGAAGAGAGCTGACTTCTGGGGTCTCTTAATGGAATGTGACTCGTACGTGAAATAAAGGACCCCAATACAGTCTCTGGCCTCTGAGTGTGTGACGCATTGGCTCACACTTAGAATGTTTGGGATAAGGGCTACAAACCTACCCTTACACAATTGGGTCTTAGAGCCAGGGTCTGCATGGACATTACAACTGTGAATAAACACCTTCCAAAGTTCCAAGGGCTTCTGGGTACCATATGAGATTTAAGGGGAATGAGGAAGTCTGTGATTCCAAAGTGACCTGTTTATCCCCAGAGGTCACAAACTGCCAGTCCATCTGACCCTCAAACATGTTTTATTGTTGTAACGGTTTTTTTTTTAGTTATTGAACATTTTGATATTTCAAAATAAGTATTGGGGGCTTAGAAAAACACTGGGTGATCTAAAAACACTGGCCTTTATCCTCTGCAAGACACAGATCTGGAGCTGGCTCCTTCCCTTCCTTTCTCCCCTTCTCTTCCTTCCCTGATTCACAAACCTTTATTGAGCCCATGTTTTTACAACAAATTTGAAGGTGGGTGAGACAGAATAGAATGCAGGCACAGGTCCTGATCATTCCTGCATATATTTGTGTGCTCAGGTTCTCCTTGCATTAGGCCTGGCCAAAGGCAGAGATAGGATCTGGGATTTGGATTAAATTCTGTATTCTCTGAGTCATCTTGCTTTTCAAATGCTGTTAGTTTGGTCGTCTGTCAGAACTGTCAAATAATTTGTCTTCCAAGTGCGCTGTTCTTCAGAATTTCATTCAGAAGCTGGAGCGCTAGACGGCTGTTGCTGCTAATGAGCTGTTGTGTCTCACCTTCACTCCAGCTTTGCTTTTCTCTGCTTTATGATGCCAGGTCAAGACTCCCCAAACTAGTTCTGCCTTTTCAGCTGTTTTCTGTCAAACATGAGCACCAGGGGGAGAGAGAAGACGAGAAAAGAAAAGGGAGAAAGGCCCACACCTTCCACTTCACTTGTAGTTCTCCCTGGTGGCAGCAACTGGGGAGTTTCCAGCCCTTTCCCACACCCAGAAACCCCTCATGGTGTCCCAGTGCCAAGTCCTCAAGGTCTGAGACACAATGCTCTGGGGCCTCTCCTCAAGATTCTAGGTTCTGGCAATGCCAAACTCTTTTGTTGGTTCCCCCAAGCCCTAGGGGTGGTAGCTGCTTTCTGACATTACCATCTTGGAGTTACCTCGGAGTCTCTTTTTGTTTGTCAGTCCACCAACACCTGTTGAACCAACTACCTGTAGTTCAAACTTGAGCCAGCCTCAGAATCTCCTGAAGGGAGATTGTTAAAATACAGATGGCCATCTTCCCCCAGACCCCCAAGTTTCTGATTCAGTGGGTCTGGGGTAGGGCCTGAGAATTTGCTGCTTTATCAGGTTTCCAGATGATGCAGACGCTGCTCATCTGGGAACTCCAGTTTGAGAACCACTGCTTTACATTCCTTCTGTTAAAATTCTGTGTAATGGTCATCAGTAAAACAGCACACCACCCGGATCCACCTGTTTGGTTTTGGATGTTTGGTGAGCAGAAGTAATCCCAACTCTCTCTTCTCATCTGGACTTTCACATGTGATTGAATCACTTTCTCATTCAGTCTGCCCACACCCTGAGCCTGTGCTCTTGGCTCTTCAGCTCTGATTGCAAAGCCCTTGGCCTTTGTTTATGATATTCCATCCCTCTCCTCACTGGCTCATGTCCTATTGCTTCAAAGCGCCTGTTCTACCAGTTCCATGTCATCTGAATTCTGATTGCTGAAACCTGTTCTGTCTAAGTGACCAAGTTAACATCTCCTTTCTAGGCTTGCTGTTTCAAGTCAGCAAATTCATATTGAATTGTCTGCTGTGTACAGAGCTTCATGCTGAATGCTTTCGTTAGAGATACAAAGATGTAAAAGGCTTAGACTCTTCTGTTATAGGATAATCATCTGTACAATTTAAAACTGTATTATATACTTGTGACAAATCTAAAGAAAATATTAGCAGAATCTCCACTGGAGAGATCTACATTGGATGGGTGAATAATGTGATTAGCAGAATGTGGATGGGGTGAGACCCTAAGCAGTGTGCACAAGTAACAATGAACAGAGGCTACACTGCAAGTGACCTCCTGTTAACTACAGGCCTTTGTTTTATAGAGAGAGAGATCTATACACGTTTGTGGTTGGGGTTGAATTGTATGAGAGAAGGGAGTAGTGTCAAGAGCAAGAAAGTACCTTGAGCCTGGTGCCTGGTAGCTGGCAGCCAAAGGGCAACTTCAGGAGAAAAAGAAACAGTCGAATAGAGATTTTCATTACATTGTTTGCTTTGTGTGAGTTGTTATCGTTCTGTATCCCTCCATGAAACCATCAATAAAATTACTTGCCTCCCAGGAATCTGACAAAGTGTTGGATCTTTTTGCAAAGTTAGAATGGGGTGAAGTCAGAGATCTCCTACAGAACAGCTACATATAAATTATACACACATTTTTCATTTTCTCGTCTTTCTCCTTCTCCCACTTGCAGATAGTAAGCACCATTTGGCACAGACTGGGTTTTATATTCTTTTCCATCAGCCCTAGCTATTGAGTAGCACATGTTTATTGATGAACTAATTTCTGGCTTTAGAGTTTATCCTTGCCCAGATACACCTAGCATTAGGCTACACAAAGTGTCTACAGGCTTGAATATGGCTGCTCATATGTGGGCGGAACACTGGCCCTTTACTCTTTTTTGATGCCATTTATTTATTTTTATTATTATGTATAAATAATAGCACATTATTGAACACTAAGAAATATTGAAAAGTATGAGCAAAAATAAAAGTCCCCCATAGTGTCATGGGTCAGAGACAACCACGACCAACAGATTGGAGTCTGTATTGTCTGTCTGTCTGTCTATCTATCTATCTATCTATCTATCTATCTATCTCTTTCATATATATATATATATAGCCCCCATATATACATATATGTATTTTATATGTATATTCCCTATATTTTATATATATAATCAAATTAGGTTCACAATGTTTATATAAGTTTACATACTGCTTTTCCCATGTAACTTTTTGAGACAAGCGTTTATCCTCTTGATTACATCTTCAAAAATATAATTTAATGTCAGCATCACAGTTATTCATATAGATGTCCATAAAGTATTTATTGAATTCCCTACTGTTGAGCAAGTGTGGTATTTCCACACTTTTTGTTATTATGTATAATACTACAGTGTGCATCCATGTATATATGTTAAGATTATAACTTTATATTTAGGTAGACGGTCTTTTTGACATATTGAAAAGCACATTTGTCTTCAGAGGTAGAATTTTGTACTTACCTGAAATGAAGCTCAAAAGGTACAGCCCTAGGGGACCATGCAGAGTTTCAAAAGGTTTTCCAAAAGCATTGTACATGAAGAAGGCTGTCCCCACCATGGTTAACACAATAAGGATGGCAGAGAAGAGAATGACATTGACGTGGATGCTCACTGGGATTGCTTTGAGCAAATCTGGAAAAACTGAAGATAAGACAAAACTAGGGTTAGAAGAAGTTTCATTAGCAGTAGTCTGCAAGTATAATTTTAAAAATCAAATCTCTCTTTTTTAATTTCAAACATCACTAAAATCCTTCTGATGAATACATTCTCACTTACTAACTTATAAGGGGTTTACAAAAAGGTTTAAAGATAGGATCATTTTATAGAGTTTACCAGTAAAAATTAGCAAAGAGGAGATTTGAGGTAATTTATTTTCTGTGCTTGGTCATATGTAATGATTTAAACAAATAAGTTCTGGCTTTATAACCCAAATCTGTACATTTTAATAACCAAGCCTTTAATGACCTTTCTCGGTAGTCATTTAAAAAAATTTATCTTAACTTGCAATGATATTTTAAGTTTGGAGATATCTGGGGATATCTGGGGAGTTCAAATATTAGGAAGTTTTCATATTTACTTTGTTACAAAAAAATTGTTTCTAGTCTACACCAAGATTAAAGAATGGAGATATTTTCAGTCAACTTCAATATTTTAATGTAGCACAAAGCTGTGGGAAAATAATTTCTGGTACTACGGGAAATATTTCAATGTAGAAAACACGCCAAATCTATTTCTAGATTTTGTGTTCAGGGCAAGTTTTTCTTGTTTGCAGAGAAAGCGAAACCCTACATTTTAGGGCTTCTTTCATCTGGTGAGGCATCAGCATGCTTGGCATCAGCAAATCTGGCAGGACCAATCTGGGGAAGTTTAATTCTGTTCATTTTAGTTCCCCAAACATGTATCAAGTGCTTAAGTTATTCACTGAGCACCTACTATGTGCCAGGCATTATTCTAGGTGTTGGAAGTAGAGCCATAAAACAAGATGGACAAGATTCCTGTTGTCTCACAGAGCTTATAACCTAATGGGAGAAGACAGACCATTAGAAAGCAAACAAACAAATAAACGTGATAGCTTATCTCCAAAAATGGCCACAATCAATGCTTTTCCCCCTTTTACGCATGTGTCACTTCTCATTTAAGTGACACTTCTCATTTTTCTCCAATGCCTTTGAACTTGGATTGGCCTTCGATTGCTTTGACCTCCTGAATATGGCAGCAGAAGTACATTGTGCCAGTTCCAGGCCTGTTTGATAAGAGAACCAGCAGTCTCTGCTTTTTTTTCTTTTGGAAGCTTGAGTTGCCAAGAAGTCCAGGCTACTCTTCTGGAGAGAAAGGCTGCCTGGAGGAGCACTGAGGCACCAGACACACAAGGGAAGAAGCTGTCCTGGATGTCAAGCCCAGAAAAGATGACTCCAACCCAGTTGCTATGTAACTGCAACAGTTAGGAGAGACCCTATCAAGAACTGTCCGGGTGAATTAGTAAATTTTTGTTTTAAGCCCCTGAACTTTATAGGAGAGCTGTTATCCAGCGGTATCAATGACAGAAGTGTAGAAATTTTAGGCAGACGGGGCAGGTCCCTGGAAAAACCTCACTTTTGAGCTGAAAAGCCTGAAACCTGCAGCCCAAAGTGAGAACTTCCATCCCTGTGTGCCCGCTCTTTCCCAATTGGTTCTTTATGAATAATGTCTTTTTACCAATAGAATGTTGCCTTTTCCAAAATTATGTATGGCCTGCCCCACCACCTATCCTCTGCCTATAAATACCCCAGACTCAGCCAGTAGAGAGGAGAAGTGGCTGGACATCAGAGAGAGGAAACTTGACTTCAGAGATGGTGGCTGGACATTGGAGAGATGTGACTTGACTTCAGGGGAGAGTGACCTGCCCTTCCCATTCCCTTTTCAGCTTCTCTCTCTGCTGAGAGCCACTTTCATTGCTAATTCTCTGCATTCACCATCCTTCAGTTCATCTGTGTGACCCCATTCTTCTTGGGCACCAAACAAGAATTCAGGATGCACAAATTGTGGGTACCCAAAAAGACTGTCACCCTGGCCCTTTGCCCTCACAGGCAGAGGGCAGCCACCCTACATGATGAAGCAAAGGGCCCACTGAGCTGACAACACACTGCTGTCCACAGATGGCAGAGCTACGAGAGCATTGTAACACACCCTCTGGGGCCCTGGGGTTGCAGGCACCCCTACCTGGTTGCTGCTGCAGGGCCTGCATGGAGTTTACTCCTCACAGCACTAAAGCAGCCAGCTGGTTCCTGCACTCGTTCACTCGTGTGCTCCCTCCTGCAAGAGGTTGAGCAGGGCAGGCTGAGTAAATGGGGTACCCCTGTTGGGAGTCCCATGAAGGGGTCAAGAAAATAGCCTGCATCAACAACAAGATAGTTTCAGATAGTGATACATATGATGGAGAAATAAAATAGGGTAATGGGATTTTGAGTGATCTCTGAGTGGATGGGCATGGTCAGGAAAGTGAAACGAGCTGACACCTGAATGTTGAGAAGGAAATCACCCTTTAAAGATCTACAGAAAGAACTTTCCAGGGAAAAGAAGCACAACTGAGGCAGGAATGAGCCAGTGCAGTGGAGCCTGGTGAATGGTGGGGAGGCAGAAGTGGGATTATTGTGCTGGGAACAGATTGTTGTACCCACTGGATCCTGGCCTGGTGACCATGGCGAGGAGTTGGCTTTTTATTCTAAATTTATTAGGAAGCCACTAGAGAATTTTAAGTAGGAGAGGAACACAGTCTCCTTCATAATATTAAAAGATCATTCTGAATGCTGAATAGTGATCACAAGGGGGTGGGGAAGAACAAATGTCCAGAGATCTAAGGGAGGCTATTTTCAGAGGGGAGAGATGGGGGCTGGCCTACGGTGGGAGAGGTTGTCAGATTTGGGATACATTTTGGAGATGGAAGATAGGACTTGTTTAAAAAAAAAAAAAAGAATCCAGGCCGGGTGCGGTGGCTCACGCCTGTAATCCCAGCACTTTGGGAGGCCGAGGCGAGTGGATCACGAGGTCAGAAGACTGAGGCAGGAGAATTGCTTGAACCCAGGAGGCAGAGGTTGCAGTGAGCCAAGGTCCCACCACTGCACTCCAGCCTGGGCAACAGAGTGAGAATCCGTCTCAAAAAAAAAAAAAGAAGAGTCAAGGATTACTTCAAATTTTTTGTCCTGAGCAACTGAATAAATGGTGATGCTGTTAACTGAGATAGACTAGTAGAAGAGACAGGCTTGGGCCCCAGGATGGGAAGTGATGCAAGAGTTCTGTCTTAGATATTTTACGTTTGAGTTACCTTAAAACCTCCAAGTAGAAATGTCAAATAGGATTTATGTTTCTGGAGGTCCAGGGAGAAGACTGGGGTGTTAAAGAGGACTGGGGCTAGGGTAAGGCAAACAAGGTGCCTAGGGTGGAAAAGGTAAGGTGGTAGTCACCCTCCAGGGCCAGTCCTGCACTTGCATGGGCCTGATAAAGAATGTTTCCTTAAACTTTATGTGCTAAGTGCCTCAATGACCTCTCCCTAGTCCTAGCCCTAGTATTTAAACCCATTGGAACAGACATCCCAAGGAGATGAACCCAGGGAGAAGCTGTAGTTCAAGAGAGAAGCCCTGGGGCTCCCCCATGTCTACAAGCACAGAAGAGGAGAAAACCCAACCAAGAAGACTGGGAAAAGAGTGATTTGTGAATTAGGAGCAGACCCATGAGTGAGACAGCAGGGAAGCAAATGGAAAAAAATGTTTCAAGGAGGAGTAAGTAGTCATCTGTACAAATGCATGCCTCATGGCCACAACACTCTACTCCTGACCACATGCTGGAAGGGGGCCAGGAGAGAAAGTTTCATTGGGTCAGAACAAGCCCTTTGCCACCGCTGGATGTAATTAACTAACTACATATGTACATACATGAAATAAGCTTAGTGCTATCCAATAGGGAGCATCCTCTTCGTAAATACAGAGGTGTTTGGATCCTGATGGTGTTTACCAGTGTCCTCACTCAGGAGTCATGGCCAGGTCATTTGACTGCTGATGTTTAGTTGTACTACATTTCCTTTATCTTCTCACAATCAGAAAAATGCACATTAAAACTTTGAGATACCATTTTCAATACATCATGTTTACAAAGATGAAAGCATTTAGCAATATCCTGTGTTAGCTAGGGTATGGGGAAATGGGGACCCTTGTGCATTTTTCTTGGGAGTGTAAATTGTTATAACCTCCTTTGAGGCAGCTGGGCAATCTATAAAGCATTAAAATGCACATACCCTTTAGCTCAGCAATTTAACTTTCAGGATTTTATCCTATGAATATTTTTGCACATGAATCCACTAAAGTATTACAAGGATATTCATTGCAGCATTTCTTGATAATAAGAGGTTGGAAATAACGTACATGTTTAGCAGTAGCATATTCATACAATGGAATATTAGTCAATGATTACAAAGAATGAAGCAAATCTATAACAACATGTATGGAATTATTCATCAAAATGTGATGTGAGGTGAAAAAACAAGCCAAATAAATGAAGACATATGTGCACCACTCTGCTATTTGGGAAAAAAGCCAAAAGGGAATGTGAATAATAATAAATATTAATAGTTATTTAAGCACTTATCTGATTTAATTCTCTCAACAGCCCTATGAGGTAGGTACCATTATTAAAAACTGAGGCACAGAGGCATGTACCATGACCAAGATTTATACTTAGTGAGTGGCATAATAGGAATTTGAATTCATGTTCTCACTCTTAACCACCTTGTTACAGCCACCTTAGGGACTGGCATGTGTGTCTAGGCAGAGACTATTTGTACAAAAGTGGTAACATTGCTTCTGGGAAGGGAGACTAAGGAACAGCTCACTATGTACCTTTTTGTACTAAATTTTTTTTTTTTTACTTTTCTGCAAGCATTGTCTATTCAATGAATACAAAAATACTTTTTTTTTAATAATTGGAAGGATAAACGAAGACATAAAAATTCCAAAGACTGTAATAGATTAAAAGAAATTTAAGAGACATATTAATAAAATGTAATGTATGGCTATTGTTTCTGAATCTGGTTTGTGATTTGAACAGACCATTTCTTTTTTTTTTTTTTTTCTTTTTTCACTTTTTATTTTTTTATTTTTATTTTTTATTATTATACTTTAAGTTTTAGGGTACATGTGCACATTGTGCAGGTTAGTTACATACATATACATGTGCCATGCTGGTGCGCTGCACCCACTAACTTGTCATCTAGCATTAGGTATATCTCCCAATGCTATCCCTCCCCCCTCCCCCCACCCCACAACAGTCCCCACAGTGTGAGGTTCGCCTTCCTCTGTCCATGTGATCTCATTTGAACAGACCATTTCTAAGAAGACGATTTTGAGATAGCGAGGGAAAATTGGACATGGACTGAGTATTAGATGATATTTTATCATTGTTATAGATTTTATTGGTTATGTTAATGGTGTTGTGGTTGCGCTTTTAAAAGTCCTTATTGGTTAAAAATGATACGGATGAATGGATGGCTGGATGGCTGGATGGATAGATAAAGATAAAATATGTAAGGACACCCATAGGTCCAAAATAAAGGGATGGAGGAAAATCTACCAAGCAAACAGAAAACAGAAAAAAGCAGGGGTTGCAATCCTAATTTCAGACAAAGAAGACTTCAAACCAACAAAGAAAAAAAAAGACAAAGAAGGGCGTTACATAATGGTAAAGGGTTCAATTCAACAAGAAGATCTAACTATCCTAAATATATATGCATCCAACACAGAAGCACCCAGATTCATAAAGCAAGTTCTTAGAGACCTATAAAGAGACATAGACTCCCACACAATAGTAGTAGGAGACTTCAGTGCTTTACTGACAGTATTAGATCATGGAGGCAGGAAATTAGCAAAGATATTCAGGATCTGAACTCAACATTGGACCAAATGGATCTAATAGACCTCTACAGAACTCTGTACCCAAAACCAACAGAATATACATTCTTCTCATCACCACATGGCACATACTCTAAAATCAACCACATAATTGGACATAAAACAATCCTCAGCAAATGCAAAAGAACCAAAGTCATATCAAACACCCTCAGACCACGGTACAATAAAAATAGAAGTCAAGACTAAGAAAATCGCTCAAAACCATGCAATTACATGGAAATTAAACAACATGTTCCTGAATGACTTTGGATAAATAATTAAATTAAGACAGAAATCAAGAAGTTTTTTCAAACTAATGAGAACAAAGATACAACATACCAGACTCTCTGGGACACAGCTAAGGCAGTGTTAAGAGTTAAATTTATAGCACTAAATGTCCACATCAAAAAGTTAGATCTCAAACTAACAAACTAACATCAGAACTGAAAGAATTAGAGAAGCAAGAACAAGTCAACCCCAAAGCTAGCACAAGACAAGAAATAACCAAAATCAGAGCTGAACTGAAGGATTGATACATGAAAAACCATTCAAAAGATCAAGAAATCCAGGAGCTGGTTTTTTGAAAAAATTAATAAGATAGATAGGCCACTAGCTAGCCTAATAAAGAAGAGAAGAGAGAGGATTCAAATAAACACAATTAGAAATGGGCCGGGCGCGGTGGCTCACGCCTGTAATCCCAGCACTTTGGGAGGCCGAGGCGGGCGGATCACGAGGTCAGGAGATCGAGACCATCCTGGCTAACACGGTGAAACCCCGTCTCTACTAAAAATACAAAAAATTAGCCGGACGTGGTAGCGGGCGCCTGTAGTCCCAGCTACTCGGGAGGCTGAGGCAGGAGAATGGCGTGAACCCGGGAGGCGGAGCTTGCAGTGAGCCGAGATCGCGCCACTGCACTCCAGCCTGGGCGACAGAGCGAGACTCCGTCTCAAAAAAAAAAAAAAAAAAAAAAAAAAGAAATGATGAAGAGAATGTTACCACTGATCCCACGGAAATAAAAACAACCATCAGAAACTACTATGAACACCCATATGCACACAAACTAGAAAACCTAGAAGAGCTAAATAAATTCCTGGATACATACACCTTCCCAAGACTGGACCAGGAAAAAACCGACTCCACTTCTAAAATCATTATCGGTCTATTTAGGGAATCAGTAATAAATACCCTACCAACTAAAAAATCCCAGGACCTGATGGCTTCACAGCCAAACTCTACCAGATGTATAAAGAAGAGCTGGTACCATTCCTACAGAACCTATTCCAAAAAAATTGAGGAGGAGGAACTCCTCCCCAACTCATTCTAGGAGGCCAGCATCATTCTGATACCAAAACCTGACAGAGACACAACAAAAAAAGAAACTTCAGGCCGATATCCGTGATGAACATCAATGCAAAAATCCTCAACAAAATACTTGCAAACTGAATCCAGTAGTATATCAAAAAGCTAAACCACCACAATCAAGTAGGCTTCATCCCTGGGATGCAAGGTTGGTCCAACATAAGGAAATCAACAAATGTGATTCATCACATAAACAGAACTAAAGACAAAAGCCACATGACTATCTCAACAGAGGCAGAAAAGACTTTTAATAAAATTAAACACTGCTTCATGTTAAAAACTGTCAATAAACTAGGTATTAAAGGAACACACCTCAAAATAATAATAGCCATATATGACAAACCACCACAAACATCGTACTGAATGGGCAAAAGGTGGAAGCATTCTCCCTGAAAACTGGCACAAGACAAGAATGCCCTCTCTCACCACGCCTATTCAACATGGTACTGGAAGTCCTGGCCAGGGAAATCAGGCAAGAGAAAGAAATAAAGGGCATCCAAGTAGGAAGAGAGGAAGTCAAACTAAATCTGTTTGCAGAGAACATGATTCTATATCTAAAAAACCCCCTAGTCTCAGCCCAAAAGCTCCTTCAGCTGATAAATAACTTCAGCAAAGTCTCAGGATACAAAAAATCACTAGCATTCCTATACACCAACAATACCAAGCTGAGGGCCAAATCAGAAAAGCAATCCCATTCACAATTACTACAGAAAGAATACAATACCTAGGAATACAGCTAAGCAAGGAGGTGAATAATCTCTACAATATGAGTTACAAAACACTGCTTGAAGAAATCAGAGAAGACACAAACAAATGGAAAAACATCCCATGCTCATGGATAGGAAGAATCAATATCATTACATGTTATTCCTATCAAATTACCAACGACATTCTTCACATAACTAGAAAAAAAACTATTTTAAACTTCATATGGTACCAAAAAGAGCCCAAATGGCCAAGGTAATTCTAAGCAAAAAGAATAAAGCTGGAGGCATCATGTTACCCAACTTTGAAATATGCTATAGGGCTACAGTAACCAAAACAGAATGGTACTGGTACAAAAACAGGCACATAGACCAAATGAACAGGATAGAGAGCCCCAAAATAAGGCCACACACCTACAACCATCTGATCTTCAACAAACCTGGGAAAAACAAGCAACGGAGGAGATACTCCTTACTCAATAAATAATGCTGGGATAACTGGCTAGCCATATGCAGAATATTGAAACTGGACCCCTTCCTTACACCAAACACAAAAATCAACTCAAGATGGATTAAAGATTTAAATGTAAAACCCAAAACTATAAAAACCCTAGAAGACAACCTAGGCAATATCATTCTGGACATAGGACCTGGCAAAGATTTCATGACAAAGACACCAAAAGCAATTGCAACAAAAGCAAAAATTGACAAATGGGATCTAATTAAACTTAGGAGCTTCTGCATGGTAAAAGAAACAATCAAAAGAGTAAGCAGACAACCTACAGAATGGGAGAAAATATTTGCAAGCTATACATCTGACAAAGGTCTAATACCCAGCATCTATGAGGAACTTAAATTTACAAGAGAAAAACAACCCCATTAAAAAGTGGGCAAAGGACATGAGCAGACACTTTTCAAAAGAAGATGTACCTGCAGCCAACGAACATGAAAAAAAGCTCAACATCACTGATCATTAGAGAAATGCAAATCAAAACAACAATGAAATACCATCACACTAATTAGAATGGTTTTTATTAAAAAGTCAAAAGATAACAGAGGCTGGCAAGGTTGCAGAGAAAAGGGAACACTTATACACTGTTAGTGGGAGTGTAAATTAGTTCAACCACTGTGGAAAGCAGTATGGTGATTCTGCAAAGAGCTAAAAGCAGAACGACCATTTGACCCAGCAATCCCATTACTACCAGAAGAATAGAAATCATTCTACTATAAAGACACAAGCACACGAATGTTCGTTGCAGCACTATTCACAATTCTGAAGACACAGAATCAACCTAAATGCCCATCAATGACAGACTGGATAAAGAAAATGTGGTACATATACACCATGGAATACTATGCAGCAATAAAAATGAATGAGATCATGTCTTTTGCAGGAAGATAGATGGAGTTGGAGGCTATCATCCTTAGCAAACTAACACAGGGACAGAAAACCAAATACTGCATGTTCTCACTTATACGTGGGAGCTACATGATGAGAACTTACGAACACAAAGAAGGAAACAACAGACACTGGGATCTTCTTGAGGATGGAGGGTGGGAGGAGGGGGAGGAGCAGGAAAGAATCTGTACAACAAATCCTCATGACAGGAGTTTACCTATGTAACAGACTTTTACAGGTACCCCCAAACGTAAAAGTTTTTTAAAAATAAAATAAAATTCTTCAGCTATATTAGTCCATTCTCTCATAGTCTCAGGTAAAGAAATACCTGAGTCTGGGTAATATATATATATTTTTTGAGACAGGGTCTCACTCCATTGCCCAGGCTGGAGTACAGTGGCTCCATTTTGGCTCTCTGCAACCTCTGACTCCCAGGTTCAAGCGATTCTCCTGCCTCAGCCTCCCAAGTAGCTGGGATTACAGGCACCCGCCACCATGCCTGGCTAATTTTTATATTTTCAGTAGAGATGGGGTTTCACCATGTTGGCCAGGCTGGTCTCGAACTCCTGACCTCAAATCATCTTCCTGCCTGAGCCTCCCAAAGTGCTGAGATTACAGGTGTCAGTCACCGCGCCCGGCCTGAGACTGGGTAATTTAAAAAGAGATGAGGTTTAATTGGCTCACAGTTCTCCAGGCTGTACGTGGCAGCATTAGCTTCTAGGGAGACCTCTGGGAATTTAACAATCATGGTGGAAGGCAAAGCGGGAGCCAACACTTCACATGGCCAGAGTAGGAGAAAGAGAGAGAGGGGAGGTGCCACACACTTTTAAACAACCAGATCGCATGAGAACTCACTCACTATACAGTACCAAGGGGGGACCGTGCTAAACCATTCATAAGAACTCTGCCCCCATGACCCAATCACCTCCCACCAGGCCCCACCTCCAACACTGGGGATTACGATTCGACATGAGATTTGGGCAGGGACGACATCCAAACTATATCATCAGCTCTGTTTGGAAGACTGTGGTAGTGTCAATGTGGATGTTAAAGGTCGCAGATGCTGACCTCCTGTTGTCAGGACTTGCAGTTGTCCACTATGCCCCATCTTCCGGCAGCATAGCAGTCTTACACTTCCGGCAGTGTAGCTCGTCTTATAGGATGGATCCCAACCTACGATGGTTCGATTTTTCAACATCATGATGGTCTGAAAGTTATAAGCATTCGGTAGAAACCGCACTTTGAGTTTTGAATTTTGGTCTTTTCCCAGGCTAGTAATAAGCGATAAGAAACTCTCAATGCTGGGTAGAGGCACTAAGCGCAGCTCCCAGTCAGTCACAGCATCACAAGGGCCAGCAACCGATACTCTACAGTGTCCTGTGTTGCCAGGTGATTTGGCTCAGCTGTAGGCAATGTGCGTCCTGAGCACATTTAACGTAGGCTGAGCTAAGCTATGATGTTCGGTAGATTCGGTGTATTAAAAGCATTTTCAATTTAACGATATTTCAACTTATGACGGGTTTATCGGGAAGTAACATCATCATAAGTCGAGTCACATCTATACTACAATAACCTGCCTTCTGGAGCCTCCCTTACACTCAGTCAGCTATTGACTTGGTTTTTACTAGCAGTTATTAAACAAACAAACAAACAAACCCTGATTCCATTCATCTCCCCACCTGTTAAAAAGATGGCTACTTCATCATCTCTGATAGGGTGGCTAGGTTTAGCCTGTCCTAAAATTGAGGGTTGTTACCAAATTGAAACAAAGGCAGAAAGAAGTTGCACTGATTTGCCTCCTGGAAAAGCCAGAAGGTAAAATAAATTGTCATGTGGAGCAGTTTAATTCTTATGAAATCTCTGAAATTCTCACTGTTGTGAGAACATGACCCAGCAGGACACTAATCCCTGCTTGCTATATTTACACTTTATCAGGTTTCTTCTTCTTCTTCTTCTTTTAATCAAAAATCCCCAAGTCTGTAATGACCAGCCAGAACTCTCGTAACACCCTTCTGTTTTCTGACCAACACTAATTTGACTTTTCCTTGGTTGAAGCTGAGAGCAGACCATTCAAATAAATACTGAGAGTTGTCACTTTAATGATGTTGGGAGGTAGATTTGCTTGGTCTCTCTGTTCTTTTAGATTTAGGATTACAACACAGAAAAAGGATTTGAACATTTTGATCTGTGGAGGAGTTGTCATTGATCCAGCAAGTCACTTCTGGTCTCCAGAAAGTATTTGATTAGCTATTGACAAGTGAAAGGGAGTTATTTATTACAACACACAGCCGATGCCACGTTAGTAACATAACTTTGTCTGTGCGTTCAGAATTACCCTCCCTTTCTTTCATTCTCTTATCTTTGATTTCTTCACTCTGAGTCAATGTGTCTCGGTCTCCTCATACTTAAACCATCCCAGACCCCTAATTGCCCTTTTCTCTCCATTATCACCAAACTTCTTCAAACAGCAATAATGCAAGTAATAACAATAAGAAAAAAAAGCCAATAATTATAAAACATTTGCTATGTTTCAAGTACTTATTTTTTCTTCGAGATGGAGTCTAGCTCTGTCACCCAGGCAGTGGGTGGAGCCCACTGCAGCCTCCACCTCTGGAGTTCAAGTGATCCTCCCACCTCAGCCACTCAAGTAGCTGGGATTACAAGCACGCACCACCAAGCCCAGCTAATTTTTGTATTTTTAGTAGAGACAGGGTTTCACCATGTTGACCAGGCTAGTCTTGAACTCCTGTCCTCAAGTGATCTGCCCACCTCGGCCTCCCACAGTGCTGGGATTACAGGTGTGAGTCACCACACCCGGCCAAGTACTTTATATATATAAAACATAAATTAGCACATTTAATTCTAACAGTATGAGGAAGGTATTATTTTATCCTTAATGTATAGATTTCAAAAGACCAAGGCACAGAGAAGTGAAGTAACTTGCCCAAAGTCGCACAGTGGCATTGATTTTATTTTTTCCTTCCTATTTTTAAGATTAAAGTAAAATTAGCAGAGCATAAAAATATACCTTTTTAGTGTACAGTTCTGTGAGTTTTGACAAATGCAGACAGTTGTGTAACCACCACAATAATCAAGATATAGAACAATTTCACCCTTCTAAAAACTTTCCCCACCCCTACCAGGAAGTTTTGCCCCTTTACAGTCAATCCATCCTCTACCCCCAGGTCCTATGTGTAACTATAAGAAGCTGCGGAGTGTTTTCCAAAGTGGCTGTACCATTCACCTTCCCACTAGCAATGTAAGAGAGTCCTACTTGTTCCACATTCTGGCTGGCACTTGACAGGTTTTTAAAGTGGTAGCCATTTAATAGATATGTAGTTTATCTCAGTGTTGTTTTAATTTGCATTTCCCAAGTGTCTAATGATGTTGAGAATTTTTTTGTGGGCTTATTTGCCTTTCATAGGTCATTTTCGATGATGTGTTTGTATCTTTTGTGCATTTCTTATTGGATTGTTTATTATTGAGTTTTGAAAAGTCTTTATGCATGCTGGATACAAACCCTTTATCAGATAAGAAATTCACAAATATTTTCTCTGTCTGTGGCTTGTATTTTCATTCTCTTATCAGTGTCTTTTGAAGAGTAGTTCTTATTTTTATGAACTCCAATTTATCAAGATTTTTTATGTATCATGTTTCAAATGTCAAATCTAAGAAGTCTTTGCCTAATGCAAGGTCACAAATATTTTCTGCTATGTTTCTCTCCTTGAAGTTTTTAGTTCTAGGTTTACATTTACACCTGTGATCTCTTTCAGGTTATTTTTTGTGTATGGTACAAGTTTGAGTCAAGGTTAATTTTGTATTTTTGCATATAGATATCCAATTGTTTCAGAACTTAGAAAACTGAACATAGACTTAACATATAACCCAGCAATCCCATTGCTCAGTATTTACCTAAGAGAATTGAAAACATGTGTCCACACAAAAATCTGTATGCAAATGTTTACTTTATTCATATTTGCCAAAAACTGGAAACAACTTAGTATCCATTGACAGGTGAACAGATAAACAAGTTGTGGCCCATCCATGTGATGAAATACTAGTCAGCAATAAAAAAGATGCTGCTACTCACAATAACTCGGATAGATCTTAAATAACTGTGCTAACTGGAAGAAGTCAGACTCGAGAGGCTGCATGCTGCATGATTCCTTATATACAACATCCTGGAAAAAGCAAAATGATAAGGACAGAAAACAGATCAGTGGTTGCCAAGGGGTTGGGGGTAGGAGAGGAGATGGACCAAAAAAGGGACAGGGAGAACCCGGGAGTGATGGGTGTGTTCTATATCTTTGTTGTGGTAGTCATTATAAGCCAATATGCATTAGTCAAAATGCATAGACCTCTAAATCTAAGAAGGATGAATTTTACTGTACGTAAATTATGCCTCAATAAACCCGACTGAAAACAAATCAAAGCTGGGTGGAAAGAAGTTTGGAAAGAATTCAGGGCAATGGAGATAAAATAGTAGTAGCAAGAGGGGGTGATAGGACCCAGTGTGTTTTTGTTTTGTTTTACTTTGTTTTTAGAAGTTGAAAGAGGCAGGTTGGCAATTGAAATGGAATTTCAAATCTCCTCATTAAAAAAAATTATTCCAACACACTTGGGGGATTGTCAACATGTTACATGGAAACTGACTCCTGTTTAATAGCAGATGTAAAGTTCCAGATTTGGAAAAAGAATTCGTTGCACACCTGAACATGACAAAGCTCTTTTTTGTTTTGTTTTAAGCAGAGAAAGGGGATTGAAGGAAGATGAATTTTCTTCCTACTCTGTTTCTGTTAGTTTGTCCCAAAGCCCAACTGTCTATGGGGGACCTTTTTTTATGAACAATTTTATAACTATGAAATTAAAATTAAAATTGGAATTTCACCCATACGCCTACCAATATAAAAAGCAAAATTTTTCTTTATTTTTGTTCCTTTGAAATCTTTGTTCATCTCACTATTTCCTATATTACTATTATCCCAATGCAGTTTTGAAATCACCTTCTGTTCTTTTCACTCAGAATATAATGTGTTATACATATTGTCTTCATAACTATCATTTAGATAACTGCATAAGTTTTTTGCCAAACGGATGCCCTGCAATCTGTTAGTTCGTCTTCTATTGGTTCAGTATTACAGCTCATGCTTCCAGGAACATCTCTAAGCACACACATTTTTCTTTTTTATTTTGGAGATGGGGGATAAGTGGGAATAACCTTTTTGGGTGAATTCCCAGGAAAGGGATTACTTCGGTAATGGTGCTTTCTAAAAGAATGCTAGTTGTGGTATAGATACAAGGTAACCTCAAGAACGTGAGTGGCATTTTGTAATATATATATTAAGCTCTACTTTTTCAACCCTGATTCAAAGCTTGATTCCCTCTCCATGAAGTCTGGTAAGCAGAAATTTCTGACAAGATACCTAGTCAGAAAAAGAGAGCTAGAAGAAACTAGTCACTGGGTTCTCTATCCTGGTAGCAGAACAGAAGGCACCTAAGCCACAGGAGAGAGAAAGCGAAAAAGGAAATCCACGCTGCATACCTTGGCATGCAGAGAGAGGCTGTCATACCCTCATTACTCGAGTCTGCTATTACGAAACAGAGCTGAGTAAGTCGTAAGTTAATGACTCGGAGTGAAAACAGTGATAGGGATGCTCTCATAGGAAAGCTGCCCTCCTGCAGTCATTTGGTGAGGGGCTCTATATTTTGGGCTGTGAGCCTTGCCTCCCTGCCCTTACTCTCCTGCACAAATGGGGACCCCTTAGCCTCTGATCTGTGGGCCCACATTCTGCAAAGCCTTTTCTAGTTTTTTCCTCTCTGTCCCTTGTCAGATATTCCAAACTTCCCCTATTCTTAAGGACCTATCACACTCCACCTCCACTTCTTTCAGTCTATGAACCTGGCTTATGAAGTGCTCAGAAATATCTTGTAAACTAAACTCTCTCATTTCACAGAGAAAGGTGAGGCTATCATGGAATGCCCTCAACTTGACAGAACTCCATTGCCACCCATCTACACCTTCTTTGTGGTGTATACCCAACCTTCCCTTTATTCTTAGTGAAAGAAATGTTTTCTCCTGTCCAAGGCTGGCCCTTCTCCCTGTGCTTTCAGACTCATCCTTTCTCATCTTTGCACAGACCTTTCTAATTCACTATTTACCCTCCCATCTGTCTTCAGCCTTTTCCTCTCTACTGCTCTATCTTCTTAGTACAGAATTATACTCAAGGTCTTCCCATTTTATACACACACACACACACACACACACACACACACACCACCCCACCCGAAGCCTGGCCTTAGGGATCCTGTGGCTATTTCCTGATCTCAGTCTTTCCCTTTTATACCTGCAACACTTATCTCTGGGTCATGATCTCCCAGTCCCTCCTTAGCTCCTTCAGGGACCTCCCTTCCCCACCACTTCATCAAGACTGCTTTGGAAATGGTCTCCTGTGATGTTCTGGCTGTAATATTCAAAGAACCATTTCCAGTGTCTCTCATTTGACATCTCTGTGGCATTTAGGCCTGTTGACTGTTACTTCCTTGGTGAAGGTCTATCCTCTAAGGTTTCACCTCACTGACTCTCCCCTCGATCTCCTTGACAAGTCTCCCCTCTCTACCCATTCATATTAGTGTTTTCTAGGACACATCTTTGTCTACTTTCTTTTTTAGGGGGTCGGTGGGGACGGAGTCTCGCTCTGTCGCCCAGGCTGGAGTGCAATGGCACGATCTTGGCTCACTGCAACCTCTGCCTCCCGGGTTCAAGCAATTCTCCTGCCTCAGCCTCCTGAGGCTGGGATTACAAGTGTGTGCCACCACGCCCGGCTAATTTTTGTGTTTTTTTAGTAGAGACGGGGTTTCACCATGTTGGCCAGGCTGGTCTTGAACTCCTGATCTTGTTTGTGATCTACCCACTGCAGCCTCCCAAAGTGCTGGGATTACAGGTATGAGCCACTGCACTCAGCCTTTGTCTACCTTCCTGTTCAACTCCCCTCCCTGGGAAATCTCATCTTCAGTTATGGTTCCAACTACTGCCGCTAATCTGCTGATTCCCACTTCTCTGCCTCTACCTCAGGCCTCTCTCAAAACCTACAAATTGGTGTAACTGATGGACATCTCTGGTTGATGTTCCACAAGTGATCAAATTAAACATGATTAAAAATAATTTCATATTCCCTCTCAACTTTTTCCTTCTGTATTCCTTATCTCAGAGAATGTAACAACTGTCCATTCAGTAGAAACCTGGGTTCATCTTCTGTCATCAAGTTCTCTTGGTTTCTGTTTTGAATATTTTGGAAATATTTCCCTTCCTTTCTATTTCTCTGCCAGTGCTTTGGTTTGGATCCCCAAATATTGGAGGAGCCTTATGACTGGTCCCCACTTCTCTTTTGATTTTCTTCCAATCCATCTTCTGTCCTGTCACATAGCTGCTTGCCTTCCTTAAAAGGCTTCATGTTGCCTACAAGATAGACTTAACTGCCTGACAGTGAACACAGTCTGTCCTGTTCTGGTTCCTGCCTTCCTCTCCAGTCTTACCTTTTCCCTCCTCCACACTCTCACGCATCGTCTGTACTAGGACCACAATAAGTTCTTCATGCATTTGCTTATGCTGTTCATTTACTTGGAATGTTTCTTCAATGCCATCTAGTGAAATCTAGCTCATCTTTAAGAACTTCCCTCTGATTTTCCTATGCCTATTCCTCACATAGAGTACCTCTCCTTCTTGGAGTTTTTATAACAAATAAAATAATTGTGATAATAATGAGTGCTACTCATCCATCTATAGCTCGTGGTAGGATTTGCTCATCTTGACCTCTCTGAAGTTAGATGTGGCTGTGTAACAAGCCTTGGCCAATAAAATATAAGTGGAGGTGGCATGTGTCAGTTCCAGGTCAGCGAATTTAATTGCCAGTGTGACAGCCTCCACAACTCTTTCTCTGTTACGGTAACTGTCAACATTCCAGATGGTGGCAGTATCCTGGAATGAAGCTCCAGCCAATCTCCAAAAAATATGAACTGTGAGCAAGAAACACATCTTTTTTGTTTCAAACCTATAAAGTTCAAACTTACTTGTTATTAAAACATGACCCAGCCCATCCTGAATGATATGCTAGCATAGCTCTCCCAAGTGGCTGGTCATTTCAAAACACTTCTGCTAGATTCTGGGTTGTTGAACAAGTATCCTCTAACTCTCTTCACATTCTCAGAGTCTACCA
Organism: Homo sapiens; assembly: GCF_000001405.40. NCBI lineage: Eukaryota > Metazoa > Chordata > Mammalia > Primates > Hominidae > Homo > Homo sapiens. Next base: position 150,959,211 of record NC_000003.12, read on the forward strand.
GAAGGCTTAGGCACATCATGGGCACTCAATAATCTTTTTAGGGGAGGGAAGGGTGGGAGCATTGAAGGCACATAAACTCTTTAACTTACAAATAATTTGTCTCACATGTCAAGTAATGTTATTTTCAATAGGTTACAGCCGGGCTTGGTGGCTCACGCTTGTAATCTCAGCACTTTGGGAGGCTGAGGCGGGTGGATCACCTGAGGCCAGGAGTTCAAGACCAGCCTGGCCAACATGGTGAAACCCCGTCTCTACTAAAAATACAAAAATTAGCCAGGTGCAGTGATGGGCCCCTATAGTCCCAGCTACTCAGGAGGCTGGGGCAGGAGAATCTCTTCAGCCCAAGAGGCAGAAGTTGCAGTGAGCCGAGATCACATCACTACCCTCCAGCCTGGACGACACAGCGAGACTTTGTCTCAAAAAAAAAAAAAAAAAAGGTTACTGGAGGGTAATAAGAATAAGGTAAAAAGTGTTTTTACTAACTGCTAAGTATGTTCCTTTATTGTCTGCCATTAATCTGTGTTTTATTTGATATTTCTAAATGTATGGCTTTCATTTCAGTTGTCTTACCATTCATTTTACTTCTATCTGCTGGGGTTTTCTATTATATTTTATTCTGAAACTTTGTTAACCTTTTATCTATTGCTGATTCCAGTCTAACAGTCATATCTCTTATCCTACAAATCTTAAAAATCCTAGTAAATTCAACCTAAGTCTGTACGTAATGGCATTAACCAGGAGTCTCAGGCAGTTGGAATACAGTGTGCCATCAAAGCACAATGGGTAGAGGGGCCAATGGGGAGACAAACAGCCAGGCATTAACTGAGCGGCAGCATGGCGGGTTGGGCAGGATGTGGCTTTTGGAGTTAGGAAAGTTTAAAATTCATCTGGTTTTGCCATTTACTATGCATGTTGGTCTCGATATCTCAGTTTCCTTAACTATCAGCATAGATGATAATAGAAATAAATCACAGAGCTCACAAGAAACATAAGTGAGATCATTTATGTGGAAGATTGTTGTAAATTTTAAGTAATTGTCTAAATATTTTTAACATCATGAGAAGAGCAGAAGGGTTATATTTCCCCCGAAAAGAGTGGGGAATGTAAGAACTCAATGTAGTGAGGTCCCAGGAGGAATCACTGAGGGTGGGTAAGAGGGATTTGGCCCATGGGTGGTCAGAGTACATGTCTCTGCATTGGGACCAAGGAATCCTCCATAGTAGTCCTTGAAGTACGTGGAATTCAGGCAAACTTTCTATCTTGCAGCTCAGTCTTTTACTTTTTTTTTCCTGACCAGGTGGATGACTATTGCTATAACTAATGCAGGAACTTTGGATTTATGGTTAATTACTTATTTGAAACCAGTCACATACTTTCCTTACTATCTGATATATTGCTCTCATTCTTACTTCTATTTCCCTTGTGCAATTTCTTGGACATCCTCTGTAATGGCTGGTCTAAAATGATCTTTGGACTGATAACACACCTCTAAGGAGAACCCCTGAGAGTCTCTTTGGAAGGAGCAGAGCCCTTCCACAGGAGACAGGCAGATGGAGGTCAAAAGTTAACTTTATTTCTGATAAAACTGTTAGAGAACATAGCTTAGATCTTCCATCAAGTTCCCCAAATTAGGCAGCTTCACCCACGCAGTCACAGACAGGGCCAGACAGCTGAAGGCCTCCCTGCCAAGGACAGAGCCGACTTCTTTAACCCAACCAGTTGGTGAGCAGGCTCCTGTAACTGGTGGGCAGATTTGGAAACAGGGGAAGCCACTGGGGCTGAGAGCCAAGTGTGCTCAGTTTCTTACTGAAAATTCATCAATCAGATTGCTCATTGCCCTGAGGCCAGGTGGCTGTGGACAAAGCATAAGACCTTCATGAAAATGGAAGCGAAAGATCCCAGCCTAATTTTGATCAGAAAACCCCCCAACTGTGTGGAAGAAATGCTAAATACTGCTCCTTCCCCCTCCCCTCCTCCTTGTGGCTTCTGCCTTCCCTAACAGTAAGGGCTTCTAACTCTTGGCCTCACCTGTCTTGGCCACCATCCACCTCAGTCATTCTCAGCCTTGGCTGCACATTAGAGTCCCTGAGGAACTTTTAAAGCATTCCAATGCTCAGGTCCCACCCCCAGAGATCCTGATTCAATTGGTCTGGGATGGAGCCTCAGGATCAGTAGTTTTAAGGACTCCCCAGATGATTCTAAAGTGCAGCCAGAGTTATGGACCACTGATCTAATAGTTTTGGTTTCATCAACCTTTTTGCCTTCATCTGGCCAGATGTAAAATGCAGAAAAGGCCATCTGTGAAGCTCTCAGAACTAAGGCAGCCTCTGATAATGATGTCAGCAATGGTGCCGCAATTTCTTCCTAGATTAAAGCTATAAAGACAGTTTCAGAGGTCCTGTTTTTCGTCTCAACCTGTCCTTCTCTACATAAAAGGATGTGTTTTTTAAAAAAGTATTTGGCCTCTTGGTGCTCAGCTATTCATTTTCTTGAAAGAGAATAAGAGGGAAGATTTCTTTCTTCTTACAGAAATGCTCTTGATCTGACTTTCCCCTCAGCCCATCTGCAGCCAGTCATTATGAAAATCCAGTAAAAGACATTCTCTGACATCAGCTCAATGCATTCATCTCCTTTAATATCACCCATAATCTCACACTCAGGTATTGAGCCAAGCTTCCAAAGGCTATGTGGTCAGGTTGAATGAAATCCATGACCCCAGCACTTAAAAGGAGACCTGATGGTATGATAAAACCATTCAAAATCTGATTTTCTCAGCCCCTTACCTGAATTTCTCTCAGCTGAAGTGTATCCACCTCACTCAAGCCTATTCAGAGGTAGTCCCATCAGTGAGTCTTAATCACCCACGGTGGCTTAGGGATGACAGCGGCTGTGGCACATATGTGTCTCTGATAACAGGACCCATTTAACTGCTCCTAATCCACAGGGGTATGATTATGTTGGGGTAATAACTCCTGAGAATGGCTTTGCCACAGTTACAGCATGCTGAGAGGGAGCGAAATATGAACCCTGCATAAATTAGACTACCAGGTACAAAGTTTGCTATTAGTTAGTGCTATCATACCTCTAATAAGAGTGTATCTCGCCATAGACAATTGCATTTAGCTGCATGATGAGATGACAGGCAAATTTTTCAGTCTAATGTATATGAGTTTTGTTTTTTTAAAAATACACCTATAACTTTATGAAAACCCTAATATATTTGAGAGATAAAAATGGACGTTTGTTTTTATTTTTTTTCAAACAAGATTTTAATTGATGCTACAATTCTATCCCCTTGGCTCTTAATACAATACTAGTTTTTGAAATGAATCAAATGCCATGTGCCTGCTTTTCTTTTGGTCCTTGACTTTGTTTTAAAACTGTTCATGCCACCTCAGGAAAGAGTCTGCCATTTTGTTAATTGCTGTGGTGAAATCATTGCTGTGGTCAAAGTAGCTAACTTTGAAGATCATACCATGAAGATTTTAGTTGGCAGTGATCTTAAATTAGCTAACCACACATGTGATCAGATATCTCTGCCTTACACCTAAACTGCCAACATTAAGGTAATATAATTACATAACCCAAAGATTGATCATAAGCATGTGACTTCCTCAACCAATATTATTAAACAGGCTTGACTTGGCTATTTTACCTTGCAAGGATCAAAGATTAAGATTTAGACATCAGGATCACTAAAATGTGAAATAAAAAGGCAATGAATGAATTCAAGTCATAAGGCCAAATATTCTCAGATGGTTACATGAGAACCAGCTTTTGTGAGGCTTCAATACTATTCTTAAAATAGGTGGTGAACACTCCTATTCAACACAGTATTGGAAGTTCTGGCCAGGGCAAACAGGCAAGAGAAAGAAATAAAGCGTATTCAAATAGGAAGAGAGGAAGTCAAATTGTCTCTGTTTGCAGATGAGATGATTGTATATTTAGAAAACCCTGTCGTCTCAGCCCAAAATCTCCTTAAGCTGATAAGCAACTTCGGCAAAGTCTCAGGATACAAAATCAATGTGCAAAAATCACAAGCATTCCTATACACCAATAACAGACAAACAGAGAGCAAACTTATGAGTGAACTTCCATTCACAATTGCTACAAAGAGAACAAAATACCTAGGAATACAACTTACAAGGGATGTGATGGACCTCTTCAAGGAGAACTACAAACTACTGCTCAAGGAAATAAGAAAGGACACAAACAAATGGAAAAACATTCCATGCTCACGGATAGGAAGAATTAATATCATGAAAATGGCCATACTGCCCAAAGTAACTTATAGATTCAATGCTTTTCCCATCAAGCTACCATTGACTTTCTTCACAGAATTAGAAAAAACTACTTTAAATTTCATATGGAACCAAAAAAGAGCCTGAATAGTCAAGACAATCCTAAGCAAAAAGAACAAAACTGGAGGTATTACGCTACCTGACTTCAAATTATACTACAAGTCTACAGTAACCAAAACAGCATGGTACTTGTATCAAAACAGATACAGAGACCAATGAAACAGAACAGAGGCCTCAGAAATAATGCCACACATCTACAACCATCTGCTCTTTGACAAACCTGACAAAAACAAGCAACGGGGAAAGGATTCCCTATTTAATAAATGGTGTTGGGAAAACTGGCTAGCCATATGCAGAAAACTAAACTGGACCCCTTCCTTATACCTTATACAAAAATTAACTCAAGATGGATTAAAGATTTAAACATAAGACCTAAAACCATAAAAATCCTAGAAGAAAACCTAGGCATTACCATTCAGGACATAGGCGTGGGCAAAGACTTCATGACTAAACACCAAAAGCAATGGCAACAAAAGCCAAAATTGACAAATGGGATCTAATTAAACTAAAAAAACTTCTGCGCAGCAAAAGAAACTATTATCAGAGTGAACGGGCAACCTGCAGAATGGAAGAAAATTTTTGCAATCTACCCATCTGACAAAGGACTAATATCCAGAATCTACAAGGAAGTTAAACAAATTTACAAGAAAAAACCCCGTTAAAAAGTGGGCAAAGGATATGAACGGACACTTCTCAAAAGAAGACATTTATACGGCCAACAAACATGAAAAAAAGCTCATCATCACTTGTCATTAAAGAAATGCTAATCAAAACCACACTGAGATACCATCTCACTCCAATTAGAATGGCAATCATTAAAAAGTCAGGAAGCAACAGATGTTGGAGAGGATGTGGAGAAATAGGAACGCTTTTACACTGTTGGTGGGAGTGTAAACTAGTTCAGCTATTGTGGAAGACAGTGTGGCAATTCCTGAAGGACCTAGAACCAGAAATGCCATTTGACCCAGCAATCCCATTACTGGGTCTATACCCAAAGGATTATAAATCATTCTACTATAAAGACATATGCCCACATATGTTTATTGCAGCACTGTTCACAATAGCAAGGACTTGGAACTAAGCCAAATGCCCATCAATGATAGACTAGATTAAGAAAATGTGGCACATGTATACCATAGAATGGTATGCAGCCATAAAATGAGTTCATGCCTTTTGCAGGAACATGAATGAAGCTGGAAACCATCATTCTCAGCAAACTGACGCAGGAACAGAAAACCAAACACCGCATGTTCTCACTCATAAGTGGGAGTTGAACAATGAGAACACATGGACACAGGGAGGGGAATATCACACACCGGGGCTTGTCGGTGGGTGGGGGACTAGGGGAGGGATAGCATTAGGAAAAATACCTAATGTAGATGACAGGTTGATGGGTGCAACAAACCATCATGGCACGTGTATACCTATGTAACAAACCTGCATGTTCTGCACATGTATTTCAGAATTTAAAGTATAATAAAAAAAACTTTAAAAAAGATAGTGAAATTGAAGGATAATCTTACATATTTTCTTCATCTCTTTGTATCCCTTTTTCATATTCTAAGGGGGCAAAATGTAGCAGAGGAAGAGCATGATTTACCATATGCATATGAATTTGAATCCCAAGTCTGCTACCTATTAGCTATGTGACTTTGGAAAATTGTGGTGACCTCTCTGTTTCCAGTTTCCATATTTCTTCAAGAGAAACAGCATCATAATATGTCCCATGTAAGGGTTGTAGATAATACATACAAAATGCCTGGCACCTATGAGGCACCCAATAAGTGGGCAGCTGAAATAATATTCATTATTGAATATTGCTTTTATCAATATCATTCTATCATTATATCAATATCATAATATTAATTATAGTAATTCAATATTAATGAGTATATACTGATATACTTTTATGATTCTCAAAGTCTAATCTTTTGCCAGTGGCAGAGACCCACCCAATATTTTTTTCTTCTGAGAAGTCTGAAAGTCCTTGGGGAAGATGAGTCACCTTCAGAAATTAGAAAAGAAAGCAGAGCAGCAAATTGTGAGAACAGTTGAGGAGTCATCCTTCAATAGGTAAAGTTCATATACACCAGGGTTAAGTTCCAGGAGTGCCACTTAGAACCTGCCCCTGTCAGACTCCTCTTCCTCTCCCAGGTATGCTCGGGTCAATGATTTTACTACTATTAGGGTGTGGGATGATTTAAAGGGAAGGAAGGTATATGGGTGTGCGTGTGCACATGTGCTTACAAGTAAAATTATAATTCTTGAACAATGTTGATTCTGTACTTTTTTATGTGAATATGGGAAGATAGTTACTAGGGGAAGGGAGAAATAAAACTTCTTTTTCTGGATTAGGTAGGCAGAACCAGAAGTTCCTTTGCTTAAAGTCATTTTCTCCATATTCCTCACCAATTGGAGGATAAGTTCTGCCAAGTTCCTCTTCTGGGTAAAGAATGCCCTTGGAGAGGTCAGGCGTAGTGGCTTATGCCCATAATTCCAGCACTTTGGGAGGCCAATGCAGGAGGATTGCTTGAGCCCAGCAGTTTGAGACCTGCCTGGGCAACCCCATCTCTACAAAAAAATTTTTTAAAAGTTAGCCAGGTGTAGTGGCACATGCCTGTGGTCCCTTCTACTCAGGAGGCTGAGGTGGGAGGATTCCTTGGGCAGGAGAGGTCAAGGCTGCAGTGAGCTGTGATCACACCACTGCACTCCAGGCTGGACGACAGAGTGAGACCCAGTCTCAAAACAAAACAAAACAAATACTCTTGGAGTGTTAAACATATTGGTCATTCCTAACTTCTTGCCATTATCAGTTTAAGAAGTTAGATTTAGGAAAGTGGAGTTTTTCAGCAAGGCTTGGAAGAGGAGTTTCTTGGAAAAACAGAGAAAGCAAAAATTGGAGGAAGCAGGATGTCAGCTTCTTCTTGCTTTTGACCTTCTTCCATTTGTGCTTTCTCAATAATACGATCTCATTTATTTCGGTATTTGTGGCTGCCCCTACTTTCTGGAACCCACTAATCCATCTTGCCAGAATTCCAAAGCATCCCATTCTTCAATTTCCCTTTCTTTAACATGCAATTTCCCACACAAAAAGTAAAAGATTGTAATGGGAGAGAAAAGAAACATCCACTTTGGTCATGAAATCCATCTGGATCCTGATAAATGGTAGATATTTCAGAAAACTTTAAAAATCATGAGTTTTGAGGATCAGAGCAAAGGCACACGTAACTCAGCATGTCTAATGATGGTGGCCAAAAATCTGTCAGTGGAGTCATCATGTGACTAAGATTAGAAGGGTTATGCAACTGTAAAGCTGGAAGGAACTTGTCTAGAACAGCGAGCCCCTCGTTGTATAGATCACAGAGCATTTAAACGGTGAGAGATGTCAGAAATCACCTAGTATCGTCTCCCATATACAGATGCAAGAACTGAAAATCAATGAAGTGATGGAATTTTCTCAAAGCGTAATCTCTTGTGAGTGGCAGAGACCCACCTCAAATCCAGGTTGCTTAATTTCAATAGTGTCAGTTTACCAAACGTTTATTAAGTACCTCTTTGGGCCATGCACTGTCTGAGGCCCTGGTTTGAAGGAGCACTGGGATGAATAATACACAGCTCCTGCCTTCTTGGGGATTAAGATCTCCTTGCAGGGAAATACACATTCTCAAATATTTATAATATAGTTGTTTTGAAATAATAGAGCAAACATCAAGGTCTGGGAAGGACAGAGGAGGAAGCAATTATTTGGCTGAGAGAAGTTGAAGGTTTTTCTTTCACAATAGTGCTTCTCATACATTATTATCTTCTATTCCATTAATTGCTTTTTTTTTAATGGGAGGTAAACAAAACCTCTATTTGCTGGACTGTTTTAATAGGTGAGTGAGACTAGACAACAGGACCCCTAAGCTAAAAGGCAGAAGAGCCCATGCTTGCTGGTGAAATGGTGCATATAGCTTCTTCCTCTCCTCCCCTAACCAGGTAGTCTTTGCAGATGAACTTCATAGGCTTCCCCTTTACACACCCCCATACCTGCTTCCACACAGACCATAGGGGGAAACACAGGATATCAGACAGAGCTACATCAAAGACCTTTGTAGCTCTGCCATCGGCAGGGTGATAGGAGAGACGCAAGGTGTGCAGGGTCATGACCAGTGAGTCACTTGGGGCAGGTCAGGTCAGCAAGAGACAAGAGTCACACTTGGAGGAGACCATGGAGATAGAGAGTGCCAACTCTCAGTGACAGGCACTGAGACCCTGAGGCCCAACCATTTCATCCCAACATGTGTTTGAGAAGCCACCTGCTTGCTCACAGAAGTAGTTTCAACATTTTCTCTCCAATTTGGGTCAAATGCCTCATTTAGTAAAGAAACTCTGCTTTTCTAAAATATGAAGTGAACTAATTTCTGTTCAGCTTTTTATAAATTTTCAATCATGAGGTCCAAATTAAAATGCTTTTCAAAGTATGACTAAAGTTGCAAGCTGTGATACATGATTGGTTAAATTTTATTTTTCACATTTTAAGAAAATAATTCCATATGTTTTTGCCAGCTCATTGAACTATCTTGGCAATGAATAGATCAGTATATCTAGGAATGATTGATACCATATGATTCTTGGGTATCATATTTTGATGATATTCTGCAATGTTTCAAATTACCGAAACAGAAACCCACCCACACACACTGAGGCTCAAAATTTGCAGTTTTTGTCTTGATGGCTACATTTAGAGTTTAAACATCATCATTAAAATTTTACAGGTGACATATCAAGAAAAATTAAGCCCACTAGTTGTGTCTCTTTGAAGGGAAAACATTCCTTCATTATAATGAATGAAATTGTATGCTAGGTATGAATGCTGGTGACCTCTAGAAAATGAACCACTGACCCATAAGTGGATGAGAATCAGCCAGAGTAAATGAGGCAGAAGTTTTCCCAGCGTAACTGGGCATGCTGGCAGGGCAGATTCTTGTTATAATTAAAAGAGATAGAGTGGTCAATAGGGAACATTTAATAGGAACAAACATGACTACATTGCCAAACTATTTTTCTGGTCCATTTTTCATTCTCATGTTATGCCATATATCTGGGTTTTAAAAGTGACACAAGCATTGCACATGAAACTAACACACATACAAGTGTACAGCAGAACCCAGGAAAAATTCAATTAAAATATGAACACCATCAATCACCAACTTGTTCAGAGCAAATCCCCATCTAAATCTGTACTGACCAATACAGTAGCCATAAAAATGAGCATGTGACCCTATGCAAATCAGACATCCCCTCCTCCAGACACTGCATATATTCCTGGCTGGTGTCTACCATACTTAGGGACCTCCTCTTTTGGCTTTGGAGCGCCCCACCCCCGCGTCTCTGTACAGGGGAGCCATTTTCTTCTGCCTTCTCTTTTCTTTCTTGCCTATTAAACTCTCTGCTCCATAAAACCACACACAAAAAAATGAGCATGTGAAATGTGGCTAGACTGAATTAGATGTAATGTAAATGTAAAATACACTCTAGATTTCCAAGACAGCGTCAAGAAAAAAAAAAACAATGTAAAACATCTCAATAAATTTTTAATTATATGTTAAAATGATAATATTTTGGATATCTTGGGTTTAAAAAAATCATTAAAATTAATTTCATCTATTCCTTTTTACTTTTGTTTTCTAATATGGCTACTAGGACATTTAAAAGTACATATGTGGCTTGTGGCTTGTAATATATATATATATATATATATTTTTTTTTTTTTTTTTTTTTTTTTTTTTTTGAGACAGAGTCTTGCTCTGTCACCAAGGCTGGAGTGCAGTGGCGAGATCTCGGCTCACTGCAAGCTCCACCTCCCGGGTTCGTGCCATTCTCCTGCCTCAGCCTCCCAAGTAGCTGGGACTACAGGCGCCCCCGCCACGCCCGGCTAATTTTTTGTATTTTTAGTAGAGACGGGATTTCACCAGGTTAGCCAGGATGGTCTCGATCTCCTGACCCTGTGTCCTCCCAAAGTGTTGGCCTCCCAAAAGTTGGGATTACAGGCGTGAGCCACTGCACCCGGCCTGCTTATAGTATATTTTTATTGGCCAGTGCTGATATAAATGAAACATTTAGGTATGCAAAATAGTGTTTATCCACCTAACAGAACTGAAATATAAATTCCTATTAATTGATAATAACATGACAACACAAAGAAAACTTGCCATGAGACCAGCCTGGCCCACATGGTGAAACCCTGTCTTTACTAAAAATACAAAAAAAAAATTAGCTGGGCATGGTGGTGCACGCCTGTAGTCCCAGCTACTTGGGAGGCTGAGGCAGGAGAATCGCTTGAACCCAGGAGGGGTAGTTGCAGTGAGCCGAAAAAACTGGCCACGAAGTGATTGTTACCTTGATAAGTTACCTTTTCCATTCCTCTTACACTGGTAAGATTCTGTGAATTCAAATGTTTGCTTAATAACTTTCTAAAGGCACAATAAGAAAGAAGACATTCTGGGAAATGAATTGTGCACTAATTGTAAGTTGAGCTCTGGAAGAAACAGAAAAGAGTCATCCACCTGAGCTCTCTGGAGGTCCCTGCTTTTTGCTCCAAGGAAGCCACTACTGAGAAAGTAAGGTTAGATCTTTTATTCATTTATATGAACAGGGCTTATACATTTCTATCAGGAAGAATATCAGAGGATTCTCATCCAAGCAAACGTTGATGAAACATCATTGACAGGGTAATGACATTCTGAATGGAAAAAACGTGAACCACAAAGCTGCGTTGCAATGGGAGTGTAAACTTTGAGGGTGCAATGTGTCCCAAAGGCATGTTGATTAGAAAGTTTTAACACTGAGAGGGGTGTTTATTTAAATGAATATTATCCTCTTTGGGGAGTCCATTGGATCTATTTATTTTGGTTTTCCCAACTCTGTCTCATGCTGCATTGAAAAAGATACTTTTATGCTTAGGAAAAAAAAAAAAGCTCTACTGTAAGTATTCTTAGCTGGGCCTCACCAAAATGAATGAGATTTTTAACATGTATAGTATATACAGTACACTTAATATGTATAGTCTATTGTATATTGATGGAGCTGTCACTGCAGAATGAACAAGTAAATGGAAGATTTTCTTCACTAGGCTAGGGGGAGAATGTCAGGGGTATCTGGGAGCTAATGAAATTCTGTGAGATAAGTGAGGGTACTGTTTAAACCCCACCAGTTCTGCAAGTCCTCACAGAAAGCAAAAGGAGGGGCACCCAATTAGAACAACTTCATCCTTAGACAGGACAAGCATAGGACACAACCACAAAAATCATTCGCTAAACCCCAGAAGAATGTGGCTGTGTAAGGATTAAATGAGACAAAGCATATAAAGTGCTTAGTATGTAGTAAGTGTTCAGAAAACATCTTATTATTGTTTTGAAACATGTCCTATGGCATGAGTAAAGTTTATCTCCATTTCACTGTAGAAAATGTAAAGGCTCCAGAAAATTCACCAGTACCTTCTCCGCTTTTGTCTAAATTCATCTGTGAGAAGCTTTACTCACGCTTTGGCTGCCGGTGACTCACGGTTAAATCATCTCTCTCAACTTTTTTCCTTTTCGGTTTTTTAATACAGTTGCATATCACATGACATTCTGCTTTGTTTTCTTCCTTCCCCTTCCCCAGGAAAACTAAGCAACTCTAACAGCCCCATTACCTTAATGAATAAAAGCCATTCAGTGAAAAGAACTGGTATCCACTTCATCAATTAAAAAGCTAACAACCAATTCTTGGAAATTTTCTGGAGCCCTATGAAAATTCATATCACTTAGTAACCTATGTGAGCTGAAGGTTGGTGTCCAATGACTGCTAAGAAGATATAAGGAATGTTGCAGAAATATAAATAGACCAGCACTGAAATTTAATTAGGCACTGCATATGTTAATAATAAATTCAATTAATTTAGCCTTCTACCTATACTAGAAAGAAAAAAAAAACCTGGGCAAAATAATAATTCATTTTAAATGCTTCAGTTGGTAACCTCCTTTCCTGAAGAGTGATTTATGCAGTAATTTACTGACTGTGTCTTCATAAGGTTGTTCCAAACCAGCCCTTCTGAAATAATAATAACTTCTGAATGTGTGTTGTAAGAGATATAACAAATGACTTCCTATTAATTTTCATTTAATGAGTTGCCTATTCACATGGTAATTTTTAAAAATTCTCTTCTTAAGATAAACAGGTTATAAATACTGTGGATTACACTTCCATTTCACAAAAATCACAACAAGAAAATCTCTCTCATATTCTCTACATGATTTGCAGGTCAATCAGTTTAAAATGTTCTATACTAAATAGGCATCCATTTCTTTCCCAGTTAGCACAGCAGATCATTTTAAATTTCTATAGCCAAATGATTCCAAATTAGTTAAAAATGAAAACTGAATATTTAGCAGCAGGAAAGGTCTTAGCAGGAATAATGGGAGGGAGTGGGGAGCAGGAAACAAAATCATGAGAAAGGTGGCAACCTGGTTAAATACGGAGCCCATGACCTTGGTTCTTTTTATAAAGAACAAAAAGCATAAAGATCATTCTTTACAGCTTTCCTATTTCCCCAAGTTTACTTTTTTAAAAAGACTCCATAATTTTTTACATAAATATTAATACTTAAGCATCTTAATTGCCAATATTTCCAAAAACCTTAATTATGTAACAATGAATTAACTCTATATTATAATAAAAAGCAAGTATAAAATAATAAAAACTAGGAAGAAGAAATTGCTCAGAGTCATAGGTTTTTCATATGGTTCACACCGATTTAAAAAGTCCTGCAGTAAACACGGCAAAATTCTCAAATATAATTCCTCGCAACACTGGGAAGAGTCTGCCTAAAGCATTAAATAACTCAAATGCAATTGCTACTTACATGAGAACCGAAAGGGCCTTGCTCCCAACCCACACTGCCTCACACCCTCTCCGTGGAAAAGCCCGTACTGCATTTCACCCATAAACTTGTCCAGCTCCTGCCCTGAGGCATTGACGAGCAGAGCTCCCGTTTTGCAGAGGACAGTGGCTTTGATCCACAACGGTGTCCCCAAGGCTGTCACAACTCCGAGGGCACATGCAAAACTGAACACTCCGGCCATGCAAAAAATGATTTTCTTCTGTTGGCTTGGCATGATGAGAAACGGCTTCTGTGAGGGCGAGGTTCAAAAACAAGACCTTTGTGAGCAATGGGAAGGGACTGCCTCTTTGACTGCATTTATTACGGAAGCTGAACGGACAGCTCCCAGCTGAAAAGGCAACTTCACCATCGACGGTTCTCGCCAGGTTAAATGTCAGTAGATGAAGGCCTCATCATCACTCATACTTGGCTTTTCTCCTTTTCTGCTGCTTCTTCTCCCTAATTGGAAATCTTTGGACTAAGAATCTGTAAAACAAGTCTTTCAAACTGCCTTCAAGTATCTCCTCTGTGTCACTTGGTAACAAAGGTCGAAGATAACAGATGGAGTCCTCAGTGTAACTTGATAAATGTTTCCCTTCCTCAGCCTTTTGTCTGATTGGGTGAGTTGAAACTTTCAGAAACAGGCTTGAATCTGATGGTACATTTTCAGCAACTTGAGAAGTTCACTTATCGATGTTTTTATTTTTGTTTTTTGTTTGTTATTGTTTTTGGTGGTGGGGGAAGGAGCTTTAGCAGAGGTAGGGAGAACATATGTACCTGTATTGATAGTTGATGTCAAAAATTTTTAATTACAGCAGGATAAAAATATTAAACAGAATTTGGTCCTACACGAATATTAAGTGCTCTGGATCAACCATGGGTCCTTGTCCTTCCAACTTAATTTCTCCCAGATCCATGGTTTATACCTAATGTATCAATAGAGAATTTGATTCAAATTTTTCTTGGCATACAGAAATATGAAAATGCAGGAGCAGATATCTAGATTTCTAAATGCTTTCCTTTAACAGGCTTAGCTGCTTTAGGATAATAGCAAGGGAATGTGTTTCTGGGTCCAAGGAATACCAGGATCTGTAAAGATAAGGGCATATTGATGGAAAGAGGGATGGTGGTCAGATAGGTGACTCTATGGATTCATCATAAAAATGCACAGGTCTCAGCAAAGGTAATCTGTTTGGGAGACTAGAGACAGTTATGAGCAAAGATTAAGCAGCAGGTAGGTCTGGTTAAACGGTCAAGACCTGGAAACTAAAGTTCAGAATTCAGTAACAGCTTTTTAACTTTGCATTTCCAATGAGATTCCTCCTTCTACAGACACAGGACTGTGTGTGTGTGTGTGTGTGTGTGTGTGTGTGTGTGTGTGTGTGTGAAGTGTCTAGTGAATGTTTATTATATGCCATGTTATTGTCCTGAGCTCTGACCTACAAAGTTAATGTTTAGTAAGAACTTATGTCTGGCAACTTGTGAAGTATTCTACCTAAATTATCATATGTAATTCTCATAATTAGCATATAAAGTAATGAAGAAGAGGAAGAAGAAGAGGAGGGAGGAGGAGAAGAAGGAGGAGGAGGAGGAGAAAGGAAGAAGGAAGAAGAATAAGAAAGAAGAAAGAAGAAGAAAAAGCAATTATTCGTATCTTATATATAAGGGAATTGAGGCTCAGAGAGTTTAAGCAACTTGCTGAAGAGAGTAGTGGAGCTGGGATTCAAATCCAGGTCTTCTACTTCTGAGGTTGATGTTCTATTCCAAGCAAAGCCCCTGACCTTGAAAAGATGGCAAACATTTCAGTTTGGGTTGGGTTCGTCTAGGAGTAACAGGGGCAGACTAGCCCATTATTAGTTACACATATTGAGTGTTTGAAGAACACAGACATCAGTAAATAGAACTTTTTCAGTTGGCCAAAAGCACATGTGTATGCTAGCTTCTATTCTTTTGATCCACCTTTAAGCATGACAGCTTAGAGGAAATTAATAAATGAAGACTTATTTCACACCATTTTCAGCATAAATGAGTCTCTACATTATGCACACTTCGAAGGGAACTTTGAGGTATAGACTCGGAGTACTGGTAAACTTCTCTCACAGCTCGCCTCTCCTAGGAGTCGCAACAGCCAGTCTCGTTAAGGACAGACAACTAAGTATAGAACTCATTCTAGAATGCCAATGTACCTTCGGGGAGAAGAGGGGCAATATAAAACATGGCCACAGAAGAACTGGGCATATAGAAGATTCCAAAGAGGCACTTAAAATAAAGTTTACAATATTAGTAAGTCTTTTTTATTTTGTATAACTTAACACAGAATAAGCAACTCATCCCAGTTTATTTGGCCTTCCAATGAATTCACCACTGGATTTAGAATAATTGCTAGAACACAGAATAAGCAACTCATCTCAGTTTATTTGGCCCTCCAATGAATTCACCACTGGATTTAGAATAATCGCTATCATGGTCCACTAGCAAAACAAGGGGGTGCCAGTGCCCCTGATAAGTGGTTATTTGGGCATATATGTGCCACAGTCACCCTAGAAAACTTAGTTTAAGATGTCTAAGCAGAGCTGAGCTTACTAAATCAACATATTCTGTAATTGGAAGAGACAGAACATTTCCAAAGCCTGGGAGAAGAAATCACCTACAACTTAATCAATACTATTAATAACCTCTACTAAAGGATATGGCAAGAGAAGGATAGTTAGCATAGGACAGCGGTTTAATTAACCCAAACTCAGCCAAGTATATCTAAAGCTGTCCAAGGAGGAAAGCCTTGATTATGGGTGTAGAGAGCAATTAGATCACATCAGTTGCATCAGTTTGCATCAGTCTGTAGCGACATGTTCACTCGTCTGTAGAGACATGGGAAAAATAAATACAACATACTGAGTTACTCTTATATCCTGAAGTTAGGCCCTTCCTAATTTTTATTGTTGAAATTTTCTTTCTTTAATGAGATAATGGTAGTTGAATTTTTAATGATTTTATTTGACAAATTTAGAAACTGGCAAACCTATGTCTACTCCTGATTTAAAACAAAACCAAATCAAACCCACTGCTCTATGACATAAAAGATCCCTGAGTGGAAAGGGTGAGACTCACCCTTTGAGGCCTAAAACCTCACCCTTTGCTTTGACACGGTGGTTCTCAGTTTTGCTGCTCATTAGAATCACTTGAGAAGATTTTAAAAGTACTGATGTCTGTGTCCTCATCCCTGAGATTCAGATTTATTTGATTTTAGAGTATGGCCTTAGCGTCGAATCACCCCAGGTGATTGCATTGTGCAGCCAAGGTTGGAAGCCACTGCCCTTATCTCCTTTTCACATGGCTATCTACTGATTACAAACTAGGCTTTGCAGGCATCTCAGTGCTGGAATGCACACAGACATGAGCATCTGGGTCGCTAGAGAGGAATATGCTCATAGCAAATTAATAAATAGGCACTACCATTTACAGCTCAAACTTTCCTACATTTTTTCAGCACTAGGTTTCAGCATATCCACAACAAAAGACCAGGCCCCGATTCATAGATTTACCCCCAAATCACCATATGAATATCAATGGTGCTGTATCCTGTTCATGTGAGGCAGCCCCCCTCACCTCTTCTCCATGCAGCTTCCTTTCAAACTTCAGCATCAGCCACCCACAGGCTGCGTAGTAGTGTGTGTGATCCACCCTCTGAGAATGATATAATGGAACCTGGCAGTCATTATGCCTGACAGCCTTCTTTTGAAATTTCATCTTAAATGTCTTGAATGACAGTGATGACACCATTTTCCTTGCAGTCTCTCTGAGAATTTGAGTCATTAATGTCAGCAAGTTTTCACCAAGTATCCTGCTGAAATCTTTACTTCTCTCAATCTTAATAGGAATACATTCGGTGACATAAGAAAATGGAACTAGGCCTCCCCCTCCTCTGACCCCTTTCAGGTGCTGGATAATGATATAATTCTTCAGAGTGACTAGAGATTCTGTAGAGAAAGGAGCACAATTGCAGACTCTGTTTTCACTTCCAGTGTAGCATTTGTGCCTCTTCTCACACTAACTTGGCTGCATCAGTTTTTCCTTATAACCATTTGAAAACAAAAGAAAAAAAGCAGCCCCATTACAAAGGGATGCAAATTCTCACCTGGTTTGTTCGCCAAGTATAAGAGACAGTATAGCATGGCATGGGAAGATCCTGTCCAGGGTCTATTTCCAGCTGTATGGCTAAATTAAGAATTCCTTCTCTGGCATTAATTTTACATATTTATGAAAAGAGTGGTCTGGGCTGCATAGGTGATTCTCAAATCATTTTTAAGAAGAAAAACCATTGCCTCAACACAACTTGTGTGAAATAAGACAAAAATCGAGCTGCTATACTGGGAGGGTGGGTGATCAAGGAGTTGTCACTGGGCTCCCCAGCTCCCTACTCCCTACAGTGTCCTATCCCCAACGTGAAAGACAGCTTCGAGAAGCACAGTTTGGCTCCTTTAGTTCCCATTTAACTAAAGAAAAAAAAATTTAATAAGCCATAGAACTACAGTTTGGCCATTTGCTAGATTATGTCTCTTTTTTCTTTGCTGTGCTAACCTGTTAGCTATTACGGAATATTGCATTGCCCAGGGACACTGCATGGCTGATTATTCCAATTATTAATTTTTAGATTATTTAATGAGAGGTTCTATGTTTTGTCTGATTTGTCACTGGTAGTACTGATTTTGATTTTCCTCCAAATGGATCATTATACTCCAAGGCCTCTCTAAGAGAGATTCAACAAGGGTCTATCAAGCTTCCTATTCTAAGACAAGAGGCCTTTGTAAATCTACCCCATTTTTCTCATCTTTAAAGCAAAATCTGGCAAATTTGATTGACGTGCCTTGACTAATTCAAGTTGCTGGTGATCCTCAAGTAGCATTGTAATTTTCTAATGACTGTAAAGGAAAAAAACACTCCATGGAAAGAATTGATTGATTTATTAGAGAGAAAATTACCACATGTGCTAGACCTTGATTGCAGCTAATATTTGTAGAGCTAATTGCTTGAACTAGAGGATTAAAAGGATTGAGGGAAAGGAAGAAAAAGAAAACAAAGTTCTCTTGGAATACAGATGAACCCGCAGTGGATTTGGACTGAGAGGAGAGAATTCAGTACAGGGATTTTTGGGGCTGATGATGGTTGTGGAGACATTTAGAATAAGTGAAAGAATTGTGCTTCTGACACAAAAGCCACAGAGAGGAACCAGGGAGTGGAGTAAAGTTGCTG
The DNA here is from genome assembly GCF_000001405.40 of Homo sapiens. NCBI lineage: Eukaryota > Metazoa > Chordata > Mammalia > Primates > Hominidae > Homo > Homo sapiens. Next base: position 150,977,724 of record NC_000003.12, read on the forward strand.
CCCATGCTGTCTGTTAAATAAGATCTCGTGGCCGGGCGCAGTGGCTCACGCCTGTAATCCTAGCACTTTGGGAGGCCGAGGAGGGTGGATCACGAGGTCAGGAGATCGAGACCATCCTGGCTAACATGGTGAAACCCCGTCTCTACTAAAAATACAAAAAAAATTAGCCGGGCGTGGTGGCGGACGCCTGTAGTCCCAGCTACTCGGGAGGCTGAGGCAGGAGAATGGCGTGAACCCGGGAGGCAGAGCTTAGAGTGAGCCGAGATCGCGCCACTGCACTCCAGCCTGGGCGACAGAGCAAGACTCCGTCTCAAAAAAAAAAAAAAAAGATCCAGTGTGACACCTTCGGATTTGTCTGGGTTTCTTGTTGGTATCTCACATTAAGGCTATGTTGATACTTAAGCTTCACCCAGCAGAATGTCTGAGCTCCTACAGAAAGGAGGAAAAAGTTACCTAACCTGAAGAGGTGAAGAAAGAAGGCATAGTTTAAGACACATCCTTTAACGATAATAGGCAAACCACATTCCTAGCACAGGGAAACAGATAATAATTGTCCTCATTGATATAACTTAGGATAGATGTGCTAAAATAGTACATTTTGGGGTAGTTTGATTTGGTGATTACCAACTTTTTTTTGTTTGTTTGTTTTAAGACAGGGTCTCACTATATTTTCAGGCTAGTCTTGAACTCCTGGGCTTAAGTGATTCTCCTGCCTCAGCCTCTCAAGTAGCTGGGACTACAGGCACGCACCACAGATATAAACTCTGTGACAGCCACATTTGAACAATGTGACCCACCCTCTCTAGCCTACTTTGATTAGGATTAGACATCTAAATCAACCAGATTGTGTCTCCTGAAAATGTAAAAGTAATATTAAGAGACGCAAGTCAAATCACTGGAAGCCAGTCTGCAAAAATTGAGAAGGAAGCAATTTTTTTTCCCCACCAATAAAGCCTTGAACTGCCCTATAGTGCCCAAATTTATTGTTCAGTTTTTCTCCAGCTGTCACCATTCTCCTTCCCGGCAGTCAAGTGCAGTTCTCTGTTTTCAAAGTTCTCTTTGTCTTTTACTTGTTTTGTCTTTTTCCTCTTTGTGTGCATTCTAAAAAAAGCTTCTGGGAGGCACTGATTTTCAGCTCTCCCCACCATCTGGCTCTTGGTCCAGGGCACTAGGTGAAACAAACTGTGATGGCTGCCTAGTGAAGGGACAGGTGGTAGCTACTCAGACCCTATGTGAGGTACATATATATATTGGTATCAACCGTCCGGAGTCACAAGGTCTCTGTGGCCAACACTGCCCTAGCTTAGTGGGAGCTTTCAATCAAGCTGGCCTTGTCTGGTCCTTCCTTCATCAGGGATGAATATTGCCCTTTTATACTGTCACTAAAGGTGTTCAGGGCCCCACCCTCTTATCCTGGAGGAACCATAAGAGTACCGGGCTGCTGAACTTCCTGGGATTGACTTCATGGAGAGAAGCAGAAGGAGTAGGGAGGGCTGAACTGGGTCCTGGAGCACAGACAAGCTGGGATGCTGTTGGTCAAGGCTGCTGTCTGGTGGCGGGCCTCACTAGCTGGCCACGAGAAGGACTGGATAGCAGCACAACTGGGTAAAATCATCTGGCACTTGACTTCCACTCTAGCTCCAGCTTAGTTTCCCAATACTCTCCCTTCTGACTACTGGGTGCCTTCCTCCTTTTTACTTTCCTAGACTACAGTGACCTTTAGCAAATTGGCAGGCAGCAATGTGTGTCCTGCTTAGATCTGACTCTTTCTGCCTCCAACCCCCAGGGGAGATATAAAGGAATCAGACATGTAGAGAAGGGAGAACACACATGAATTAATATTTCAAATATCTTCTACCATAACTGTTCTAGATGCGCATGCTTTCTCCTCCTTTAGTTTGATTATCAAGAATAAATACTTTGCCCATCTCTGAGAAGATGAAAATCCTTAATGAAGTGCATATCTGTGTACCTTCGAAAAATAATACTGTTCCTTTGGTAAAATATAAGCCAGTCACTAGGGCAGTGAAGTATTAAAACTAAATATTTTAAACCCGATGGCCAAGACAGTTTTATTAAGCACTAATAAAGCAAGACAAAATTTCTAGGTTGAGTCCTTTTCCAGGAAATTCAGGTTGAAAGGAATATAAGATCATTATTAATTTTTACTTGTCTGTGTATATTTGATATGCACAGTCCTTATTTGAAAAAATTATGTGAAGGCAGATTGTAGTTAAAGAAACCCCAGAGGGTATTATGAATGCCTTACCTATAAGGTTTCTTTCCAAGATAAGCAGCCATAGCTAGGTAAGGAGGTGGTGAGCACTGGGAACCCTAAGCTGGAGTGGGAACTGTCTATGCAATTACCATAGTTGGGAGCCAAAACTCTTGGACTTGTCATGTACTGAAAATCACCAGCAAGCTAGATCAGACATGGCATTGTGTCTTTAAATGATGTATAATGCCTGGGCACCGAGCCATGGGCACTACTGAGAATAGATGGAAATTCAACAAACCTGAAGTCCTTATGGAGGAGAACTAAGCTTTACTCTGTGCCTTCACTTCTACTGGAATGAAAGCTAAGCTAGCTGATGACATTGTCATATTAATTATACAAGAAATATTTTATCATTATGAAAAAGATTATTTTAAAGATTTTAAAAGGAAAACCATATCATATGCAAAATTTATTAGATATGTATTATAGATCTAAGAGTAAAGCCTAAAATATAAAACTTCTAGAAGAAAACATAGACTAAGGTCTTTGTTGCTTCTGGTACAGATTTCATAGATAAAAAGAGTATGAACCATAAAATTAAAAACAAGTTGATAAATTAAAATTTTCTATTCTTTGAAAAACACTAAATAATGAAAAAAACAAGCCACAGACTGGGCAAAAGTATGCGAAAAATATATACATGATAAAGGACTTGTATACAGATTATATAAAGAAATCTCTAAATTTAGCAATAAGAAAATGAATACCCCAATTTAAAATGGGCAAAATATTTGAAAGATACTTCTTCAAAGAAGAGACATGGGTAGCAAAGAAGCCCATGAAAGGATGCTCCGTATCATTAGTTAGAACTGCAATGGGATATCACAGCCTACTTATTAAAATGACTAAAATTTAGAAAACAAACAAACAACTGACAACACCAAATTCTGGCGAGGATGCAGAGCAACTGGAATCCTTTAGAATATTGGTGGGAATGCCAGATGGCACAGCCACTTTGGGATACAGTTTAACAGTTTCTTTAAAAGTTAAACACATACTTAAATATGACCTAGTAATCCTACTCCAGATATTTATCCAAGAGAAATGAAAGCAAGGTCCACATAAATATTTGTACATAAATGTTTATAGTGGTTTTATTCATAAATACCCCAAAATGCAAACAACCCAAATGTTCATCAACTGGTGAATGGATAAACAAACAGTGGTACATCTATACAATGGCACACTATTCAGGAGAAAAAAGGAACAAACTAACACATGCACCAAAATGAATAAATCTTAAATGGTTTTTGCCAAGTGGAATAAGCCAGACTCAGAAGGTCATAAGTGATTTCATTTATATGACGTCTGAAAAAGGCAAAGCTTAGATCAAGGACAAAAATTAGATCAAAGTTTGGCAAGGGCTGAAAGTTGGGGGAGGGTATTGCCTACCAAGGGGCAGGAGGAAATTTTGTTCAGCAATGACTGTGGCAGGATTATGTACCTGAAAACATTGGTCAAAAATTCTTGAACTGTACAACTAAAAAAGGAGAATTTTACTATATGTGACTTATATCTAAATAAAACAATTAGAATATCTTTAAATGTCACCACTCAGCATAGAACTCTCTAGTTATTTTCTCATGCAAATGAATAATCTCTTTCAATATGAATTAACCTCTTAGAATAGAAAAACAGGATATTCAAGTTAATTTAATATTTTGTTTAACATAGGTGTTATATATACTATTACATACAGGGAGCATTGTTTGCAAAAGAATTATAATTTAAGAAATGCTTCCTTCAAAAATTGTTCTATTGTAAACATTCAATATGTTTTGGAAGAAGCAGCATCATCAAGATACCTGGGTTCAATAGAGGTACTTCCTAGTGCTAACTTACTATGACCACATTCAAGTTAACTTTCCTCCTTGGCTTTCATTTTTTTCACTCTTCAGATGAGTAGGTTGACTTGATTTGTGCTTCTGGACCTTTCCTCTGCCTATACAGGTACAGATAAGGAACACTGTCATCAGGAACAGTTCTTATCACAGACGGTGATTTTCAGTGGGTTAAGGAAAGCAGCCAAGGGAGGAAATAACTCCTAAGGGATTATTTTAATATCTTTCGGGGATGTAGAGATATTTTTAAAGCCTTCACATGTCTGAAATTCTTGGGGGGAGTTATCCCCTACTTGTTTGAAAAATTATTAGATTAAATAATCTCCACGAGGCAACTTGGTGCATTCCGGGATTCTGCCGAGGTCATAACATGTATAAGGCAATGTCTACCTACTACTAATTTCATGCCACACATAAGTTTTTATTTTTGTGATGATTCAGAAGACACTCTAATAATACTCCCTTTGGAAGTTCTAGTTTTTGCTTTAAGTAGGTAAACTGGTATTCTGATTAATTCTTCAGTCGGGCGCGATGGCTCTTGCCTGGTATCCCAGCAACATAAGAGGCTGAGGCAGGAGGATAATTTGAGGTTTGGGCAACATAGTGTGACCCCGCCTCTAAAATAATAATTATAATAATAATCATCATCATCATAATTCTTCAGTCTCTTGTGACCTCAGCAGGAAGAGACCCATTTTCAGAGCCCTAGCAAAAACAAGTCAATGAACCTGTAATGCTGAGGGCTCGACTCTGGAATGTGGTGCCTGTGGTCAAGCAACACTTCTACACTATCCCCTTCAAGTTTCTTTTCTTTTTGTTACCTCTTTCCCACTTCCTCACTCCTCATCTCTCTCATTTCTCTGTTTGTTTGTCTCTTAGGATCCCAATAGGAACCTTTGGCTCACTCAAATATAATCTGAAAAGGACAGTTTAATAAAGGGACAATTTTCAAAGATGTGGGAGGGGTTTAGGGAAACTACAAGGGATGATGGAGTCCCTATCAGAACTGAAGGGGGCTGGGGAGGGCATAGTCCTTGAACTTATAGATAGAGAAGCCTGTGTGGAGAGGGCCTCCTGACAAGAACTATGCCCTTCTGTTGACTTCTGGAGTGCACTATAACCCCACAGGGAGGAAGATGACAGAATAGACAGCTCGACCGGACTCTTTTCCTTTCCTTTCCTCTCCTCTGATCTGCTGCTGGTGCTCCCATTGACCAAACCCAACAGGAAACCAAAGGTCAGCCTCTCAAGGCATAAGCAAGGTTAACAAAATAGATATGGAGGGGGAAGATGTAAGAAATCCTACTAGCTATTGCTATTTATCCATCTATCTGTCACCTATCTATCTGAAATAGTTAATACATACACATGGTTTTAGAAATTCAAAAATTGTAAAAGTGTAAACGGTGAAAACAAAGTCTTCTTTTATCTCTGAACTTCAGTCTCCCAGGCACTCCTCTGCCAAGATAATTTCTTATGAAACTTTCCTGTTATATTCTCTGATCATCTTAGCATAGATGTAAATACATCCTCCTTCTACCACTTGCATTCTAAGCCAACGGCAATATGCCATGCAAACCCTTCTGCATCTAGGATTTTTCACTTAATAAAATGTCTTTGTGAGGATTCCAATGGATACACACACATGGTTGTTTTGGTTGTTTAGTCTGTCTGATTGTTTTGACAGCAACAAATTCAACTTTTAATAACTATTGGGTAGGAGGTCACTGAAGATACATGTACTGTTGCTCATGCATGCATCCACAGCCACTCACTGCAACTCCCCAGGAAATATTAATACACACCCTTTCCTTAATTTGAGATCTGGAAGCAATTCTCAGCAGCATCCACATTTGCCACCCTATGCTAGAAATGACCAGTCCAAGATGTGCCAGGGTAATGTTTCTGAGTTTAGATTCTCTGTGTGTCGGGGGTGGAACCAAATGCTAAAGTTCGATTTTATACAGTACCCAACCTGGGTGATTTACTCTCAGCCAGGGAACAGTTCCAAATATTTGATTTGGACAGGGCATCCTTACACATATTTTTTTCTTCTTTCTTCCCAATATGGATGCCTTTTATTTCTTTTTCTTGCCTAATTGCTCTTGCTAGAACTTGCAGTACTATGTTAAATGTAAGTGGTGAAAGCTGGCATCCTGCTTCATTAGAGAAAGACTTCCAAATTTTCACCATTGAATATGATGTTTGCTGTGATTTTAAAATATGGCTTTTATTATGTTGAAGTGGTTGCTTTTTCTTCCTAGTTTATTGAGGTTTTTTTTTTTTTTATGAAAGGATGTTGAATTTTGTCAAATGCTTTTTCTGCATCAATTGAGATGATCATGTAGGTTTTTCTTTCATTATGTTAATAGGGTGTATTGCATTTGGTGATTTTCATACACTGAATCATCCTTGCATTCCAGGAATAAATCTCATTTGGTCATGATGTATAATCCTTTTAATATGCTGCTGAATTCAGTCTTCTACTATTTGTTAAGAAATTTTGCATCAGTATTCATAAGGGATATTGGTCTGTAATTTCTTGCAGTGTCTTTGCCTGGCTTTTGTAACAGGGTACTTGCTGGCTTCATAGAATGAGTTAGGATGTGTTCCTTCCTCTCCATTTTTTGGAAAAAGTTTGAGAAGAATACTAGTTCTCTAAATGTTTGGTAGAATTTAGCAGTGAAACCATCAGGTCCAGGGCTTTTCTTTGTCAGGAGATTTTTGATTACTGATTTAATCTCCTTACTGGTCATAAGTCTATTCAAATTTTCTCTATTTTTTTATGATTTAGTCTTGGTAGGCATGATGGTTAATACTGAGTATCAACTTGATTGGATTGAAGGATGCAAAGTACTATTCCTGAGTGTGTCTGTGAGGATGTTGCCAAAGGAGATTAACATTTGAGTCAGTGGACTGGGAGAGGCAGACCCACTCTCAATGTGGATGGGCACCATCTAATCAGCTGCCACCACAACTGGAATAAAAGCAGGCAGAGGAACATGGAAGAACTAGACTGGCTAAGTCTTCCAGCTTTTATCTTTCTCCCATGCTGGATGCTTCCTGCCCTCAAACATCAGACTCCAAGTTCTTCAGCTTTTAGATTCTTGGACTTACACCAGTAGTTTGCCAGGAGCTGTCAAGCCTTCAGCCACAAACTGAAGGCTGCACTGTCACCTTCCCTGGTTTTGAGGTTTTAGGTCTCAGACTGGCTTCCTTGCTCCTCAGCTTGCAGGTGGCCTATTGTGGGACTTCACCTTGTGATTGTGTGAGTCAATACTCCTTAATAAACTCCCCTTTATGACAGAAAATCAAGCACTGCATGTTCTCAATCATAAGTGGGAGTTGAACAATGAGAACACATGGACACAGGGAGGGCAACATCACACACTGGGCCTGTTGGGGGGTAGGGGGCTGGGGGAGGGATAGAGTTAGGAGAAATACCTAATGTAAATGACGAACTGGTGGGTGCAGCAAACCAACATGGCACATGTATACCTATGTAACAAACCTGCAGTTGTGCACATGTACCCTAGAATTTAAATTATGATAAAAAAATAAAATAAAATGTATCAAATATGTTTAAAAAATAAATAAATAAAAATAAAAAATAAACTCCCCTTTATATATACATCTATTCTATTAGTCCTGTCCCTCTAGATAATCTTGACTAATACAGTAGGTTTTGTGTCTCTAGGAGCTTATCTATTTCTTTCTTCTAGGTTATCTAATTTGTTGGCGCACACTAATTCATAGTACTATATTCATAATCCTTTTTATTTCTGTAGAATCGGTAGTAATGTCCCCATTTTCATTTCTGATTTATTAATTTAAGTCTCCTCATTTTTTTCTTAGTTCATCTGACTAAAGATTTGTCAATTTTGTTGATCTCTTCAAAGAACCAACATAGGTTTTACTGATTTTCTCTATTGTTTTCTATTCTTTTTCATTGATCTCTGCTCTAATCTTTATTATTACCATCCTTCTGCTGGCTTTGGGTTTAGTTCCTTCCTCTTTTACTAGTTCCTTAACTTGTAAAGTGAGATTGCTGATTGGAGATTGTTCTTTGTTTTTAATATAAGCATTTATGGTAGTGCCCTCTCATCTGTGGTTTTACTTTCTTTAATTTCAATTACCCACAATCAACTGTGGTCTAAAAATAGGTGAGTATAGTACAATAAGATATTTTGAGAGAGAGACACATTTGCATAACTTTTATTGCAATATATTGCTTAATTGTTCTATTTTATTACTGTTTATCTCTTACTATGCCTAATTTACAAATTAAACTATCATAGCTATATATGTATAGGAAAAAACATCATATGTATAGGATACTAGCTGAGGTTTCAGGCATTCACTGGGGACCTTGGGATGTACCCTGCATGAATAAGGGGAGACTAATTTTTAGCTATAAATTTTCCTCTTTTCAATGTGTCCCATAAGTTTTGATATGTTGTATTTTATTTTCATTTGTCTCTAAGTACTTTCTAATTTCCCTTGTGATTTCATCTTTGATCTATTGATTAAGAGTATTGTGTTTAATTTCCACAAATATTTGAAGTTTCCACCTTTTTTAAATTATTGATTTCTAACTTTATCCCTTGTAGTCAATGAAGATACTTTGCATGACATCTACCTGTTTAATTCTATTGAGACTTGAGACTTAACTTGTGGCCTATTCTATATTCTATCCTGGAAAATGTCACATGTGCACTTGAGAAGAATATGTATGCTTGTATTTGGGGGTAAAGTGTTCTATATATGTCTGTTTCATCTAGTTGGTGTATTGTGTTGTTTAAGTCCTCTACTTCCTTACTTGTTTTCTGCCTGGTTGTTCTATCCATTACTGAGAGTGGGATATTGAAGTATCTGACTATTATTGTACAACTGTCTATTTCTCCATTCAGTTGGATTAGTTTTTGCTTCATATATTTTGATAGTTTATTATTAGATATGTATAAAGGTTTATAATTGTTATCTTTCCTTGCTGTATTGAACCTTTTATTAAAATGTTATGTCCTTCTTTGACCCCTGTAATGTTTTTGTATTTAAAACCTATTCTGTCTGATATTACTATCACTGCTTCTGCTCTCTTTTGGTTACTATTTGCATGAAATATCTTTTTCCATCTGTTCACTTTCAATCCATGTCTTTTTCAATCTATTTGATCTAAAGTGAGTGTCTTATAAACAGCATATAGTTTAATTATGTGTTTTTTTATCTAGTCTGCCAATCTTTCTTTTGATTGGAGAGTTTAATCTATTTATATTTATATTAATCACTGCTAAGAAAGAACTTAGTTGTGTCATTTGACTATTTGTTTTTAACATACCTTGTAAGATTTTTGTCCCTCATTTCCTGCATTATTGTCTTCTGTTATGTTTCATCGGTTTTTTTTGTAGTTAAATGTTTAACTTATTTTCTCATTTTCTTTTGTGTATATTCTATAACTATATTCTTTGTAGTTACTATAGGAATTACACTTAATACAGTAAAGTTATAATACTCTAATTTGAACTTATACCAGCTTAACTTGAATAATAAAGAAAAAATCTACTTTTTTACAGCCTCATCCCTACCTCTTTTAGTTGCTGATGTCACAAAATTACATCTTTTTCTATTGCATATGCCAAAATATATGCTAGTAACATTTTAAATACATTAGTTTCTTAAATTACATAGAAAATAGAATGTGGAGTTACAAACCAAAGTTACAAAAATCCTAGCTTTTAAACTAATAATTGTTTTTTTCAATGTGTTAGTCTCTTAAACCATATAGAAAACAAAAGGTAGTATTACAAACTGTTGTTATGATAATATTGACTTTTATAATTGCATGCGTGTGTACCTTTATTGAGATTCTTATTTATTTATAAGATTGTGAGTTACTGTCTAGTGTCCTTTTATTTTACCGTGCCTTACTCCCTTGAACATGTCTTACAGGGCAGGGCTAGTGATGACAAACTCCCTCATCTTTTGTTTTATCTGGGAATATCTTAATTTCTCCTTCACTTTGAAGGACAGTTTTGCCAGATATAGGAATCTTGGTTGACAGTTTTTTTTCTTTTCTTTTCGAACTTTGGATATATCAGCCTTTTAGCCTCCAAAGCTTCTGATGAGAAATCTGCTGATAATCTTATTGAAGATTTCTTGCATATGATGAATTATTTCTCTCTTTCTGCTTTCATGAGTCCCTCTTTGTCTTTTGAAAGTTTGATTATATATAATCTGTCTCTGTGTGAGTCTCTTTGAGTTTATTTTACTTGGAGTTATTTGAACTCCTTGGCATTTATGTTTATATTCTTCATCATATTTGTAAAGTTTCCACCATTATTTCTTTAACTGTTTCCTCTACCCTCTTCTCCTTTTCTCACAGTATGTATATTGGTGGTGTTCAACAGGCCCCTTAGGCTCTGCTCACTTTTTGTTAATCTTTTTTCTTTCTGTTTCTCAGACATGATCATTTCCATTGTTCTATGTTCAGGTTCATAGACTCTTTCTTTAACCTGCTCAAATCTGCCTTTGAATCCTTCTAGTGAATTTTTATTTCACTTATTGTACATTTCAGCTCCAGAATTTCTTATTGGTTTCTTTGTAGGTTTTCTGTTTCTTTATGGCTATTTCCACTTTGTTCAAATATTGTCTTCTTGACTTTCTCCATATCTCCCTTTAATTATTTGGGCATCTTTAAGACAATAATTTTAAGGGTTTTTGTCAACTAGATCTACCATCAGAATTATTTATTTATTTATTTATTTATTTATTTATTTAGAGACAGAGTCTCACTCTGTCACCCAGGCTGGAGTACAGTGGCATGATCTCAGCTCACTGCAACCTCCACCTCCTGGGTTCAAGGGATTCTCGTGTTTCAGCCTCCCAAGTAGCTGGGACTAGAGGTGTGCACCAGCACACCTGGCTAAGTTTTGTATTTTTAGTAGAGATGGGGTTTCACCATGTTGACCAGGCTGGTCTCGAACTCCTGGCCTCAAGTGATCTGCCTGCCTCGACCTCCCAAAGTGCTGGGATTACAGGCATGAGGCACTGTGCCCAGAGACCATCAGATCTTTTTCAGGGGCTGTTTTGTTTATTTATTTCTTCCTTTGAATGGACTATATTTTCCTGTTTCTTTGTGTATGCCTTATAATTTTTTTTATCAAAAACCAGACATTTAAATCTAATAATGCAGTAACTCTGGAAATCATATTCTTTCCCTTTCCCAGGTTATACTATTTTCATTTTTTTTTATTTTTTTAAAAATTGTTTTAGGTAGGTTGTTTCTGCGCCAAGGATAAGCCTGAGGTGTAAAATTAAGGTCTTCTCAGGTCTTTTCTGAGCCTGTCTTTCTCTGGGCATGAACATTTGTTCTAATTGCTAATGTATATGCAGTTGCTTTTGAATGTCCTAGTCTTCAATGTCTGCCTCCCAAAAGGGAAAAAAGAGAAAACTAAGGATGTGGAGAGTGGTGCCAGCCATTTACTCCTTTGGAAGTCACTTCAGCTGGACAGGGAGGGGCTTGCCACAGTGGGAGAGATGCAGCAACAATGGCCAACTATGTGTTTGTCTGCGCCTCTGTGATCAGAAGCTGCAATCAGTGATGGCTGGGCACAGTGGCTCATGCCTGTAATCTGAGTACTTTGGGAAGCTGAGATGGGAGGATCCGTTGGGGCCAGTAGTTCAAGACCAGCCTAGGCAACATAGTGAGACCTTGTCTCTAAAAGAATTTTAAAAATTAGCTGGGTGTGTTGGTACATGCTTGTAGTCCTAGCTACTTGGGAGGCTGAAGTGGGAGAATTTCCTGAGCCCAGAGGTTCCAGGCTGCAGTGAGTTATGATCGCACAACTGTGCTCCAGCCTGGGTGATGGAGCAAGACCTGGTTTAAAAAAAAAAAAAAAATCCACACACAGGTTATTCAAAACAAAACAAAACAAACAAAAAACAGAAGAAGAAGCTGCAATCAGTGAGCAGAGCACAAATGCACAAATCCCCAGCATTTGGAGGTCAGGGTCCCCTGGCTCCCACAAACTGTGTAAAAGCTGCTTCGGGAACAAGTACATACCTGCATACCATGGGGCTGGGGGTGAAGGAAGGATAGCTGCTACTGCAGTAAGAGCTGAAATTGACCACAGTTAACCACAATTTACTAAGCCTTCCCTAGACATTGCAAATTTTCAACAGACTCCAGAGTTCCTCAATAGCTACATCCGACAGATTTTGCCAGTGAAATTGTTTCTAGGTGGGCAGACAAATTCCTGTTGCTTCCTACTTTGTCATCTTCCCAGAATGCCCTCCTTGCACAAAAGTTTTTGAAACCACTGAATCTTTTGTCACCTCCAAACAACACCCTAAATAAGCAGATCTTTAGTCTCCAATAATTCTAAAAGTCAGGAGTAGTCATATGTTTAAAATGAGTGATAATAATGTGCTGTGAGGATGAAATGGAATAATATAAATACCTTGAAATAGTGCTTAGCATATAATAAATGCTTAATAAATGTTAGCTATTCTTTATTATAATAATTTTTATTTAAATTATAATTACTTTCTGAACTGGGGAGATGCCTCACCAGAAACAGTTAAAATATCAAGGATGTTTTAAGAAAACTGCTGGACCAAGAATTAACACTTGCTACATATTGGTTCCTATTTTTATACCAAATTTTAAAACATTAAACATAAGACTTAAATTTTTGACAATTTCTTGCTCAATATCCTAGTATGCTTAGTTACCATTCTAATATATCTTTTCACACAGGTTCTCTCTGAAATACTTAACTTTAGAAAGATTTATAGTTCTTAAGTGGGGCTATTTTATTCCATTTTAGTCCTTGGTAGTAACTTCCAACCAATGAATTCCCTGTAGGAATACTCACAATTTAGTGTATGCAATATGATTAATTTTAGCTCCAGAAAAAAGGCAGACATTTTTTCTTTGAAAATTTGAGCGGCTTTAATGTATTGTGAGTATGCATGTAGGATCTCATTCAACTGCAGTTTCTTATCTCATCAAAGTTATCTCCTCACATCCTTATGACATTTGCCTTATCTTTAATTTGTAGGAGTAATATTTTCCAGGTCAGAGGAGAGAGTAAATTTTCCATAGCTAATTTTCCAACTAAAAGCTGATGTACATACAGACACAATTCTGTTGGCATTTCCAGGGCATTGAATACCAAAGAAAATATATTTTATGATTATCTTGGGGGCATGAATGTACCTATATTATAGAAGAATTGGTAATAAAGAAGATTTATCAATTTAATTACTGGTGTGTTACACTTGGGCACCATGTAGCATTTTTTTGGTCCTACAAATAACTGTACTGAACAGGGCTGAATCTATGATGTAGCCCACAATGAACTCTCAGAGGTGTGGTTCCTGGAAGAAGCCTCATTGCTGAAACTATCCTCTTGCCCAAGGCTTTGCCCAACATTGTGATACACATGGTCAAGTGCAAACATCTTCTTTAGGAATTTCAAAGATTTGGCCGGATGTCTTTGCAGTAGAATTACTCTTTGAGTTTGAGAAACTAATTGAGTTCAGTATAGGCATGGAAAGACACTTGGAGGAATATGCCAAAATATTAATAGTGGCTATGCCTTGGGGAATGGCGTTGAATGTGAAGGAGAAAAACCAGAAGGGAACTTTCGCTTATTATTTCATCTGCTTCTGTATTATTGAACTGTTTATAACCTAAATGTATTAATTGCAGAAAAAAGGCAGCAGCCTTTACCAGCCACCTGGTCTCCCAGCTCAGAAACCAGGGAAGTAGGCACACCATTTCTTTTTCCTTCACTCCTCATGCCTGATCAGTAATTGAACTCTGTGGGTTTTCTTCCTAAATATCTCTCAAATGCATCCCTGTTCCCCGTTTTCACAGCTGTGCCTCAGCCCAGGCACTCAGGAACACTCCTCTGACTAACAAAAAGAGCCTCTGAACCGACTCCCTGCAACTCCACCCATCTCCCCTCAGCTTCTGAGAGGCACTACCACCACCACCTCCCCTCACTCCCCCACCTTCCCCACTGCAACTCCTACTCTGACCCAGAGCAAACCTGACCTGGTCACTGCCATGCTGAAAATCCCCCACCCAGATACTGATAATTGGGGAGGCTATACGTGTGGTTGGGAAGGAGGGTAGATGGGGAATCTCTGTACCTCCCTCTGAGTTTTGCTGTGAACCTAAAATTACTCTTAAAAAATAAAGTCTATTAAGAAAAATACCCCACCTAGCACTCCTACCCAGCTCTAACCTCTTCTCTACAGACTTTAAAAAATTTGATTTGTTTATAATTGCAAATCTGACCAAGAACACCCAAGACCCATAGAAAGAATCATTCCTCAGCCTGGCATAAAAAATCCTCATGATCAAAACTGCCCATCTTCCTAGCTTCACCTTCTCATACCCCTGTGTCCTCACCTGTGTGGTTTCTTCTTCCCGGATTTACCCCTCCCTGCTTTGGTTTCCTTTGAAAGTTTTTGCTCTTTCTTCTCTTTGAAGTCTTCCTGACACCTCTAGACAGAGATGGTTCCACCCTTTCTAAATGGCTGATTAGCCCATTATCATGCATTACGGTAATGATTTAACTCCTTTCTTCCTACACTATTGTTTTTTGAGAACAAAGAGCTTTATTTATTTTGCCTATATATTTATAGAGGCATACCTTGGAGATATTGCAAGTTTGATTCCAGAACACCACAATAAAGCAAATATCACAATACAGCAGGTCACACAAATTTTTTGGCTTCCCAGTGCATATAACAGTTATGTTTATACTATATTGTAGTCTATAAAGTATGCAATAGCATTATGTCTTAAAAAAGTTCAAACCATAAATAAAAACACTTTATTGCTAAAAAAAAAAAATGGTAACAATCATTACAGCCTTCAGCAAGTCATAATCTTTTTGCTGGTAGTGCGGCTTGCTTCAATGTTGATGGCTGCTGATTGATCAGGGTGGTGTTGCTGAAGGTGGGGTGGCTGTGGCAATTTCTTAAAATAAGACAGTAATGAAATTTGCCACATCCATTGACTCTTCCTTTTACGAAAGATTTCTCTGTAGGGTGCAATGTTGTTTGACAGCATTTTACTCCCCTTCAAAACTGCCATCAGTCCTCTCAAATCCTGCCACTGCTTTATGAACTAAGGTTACGGAATATTCTAAATCCTTTGTTGTCATTTCAACAGTGTTTGCAGCATCTTCATGAGGAGTAGATTCCACCTCAAGAAACCACTTTCCTTGCCCATTCATAAGAAGCAACTACTCATCCCATCCTTAAAGTTTTATCAGGAGATTGCAGCAATTCAGCTGCATCTTCAGGCTCTACTTCTAATTCTAGCTTTCTTGCTGTTTTCATCACATCTGCAGTTATTTCCTCCATGAAAGTCTTGAACCTCTCAAAGTCATCCATGAGGTTGGGAATCAACTTCTTCCAAACTTCTATATTAATATTTTGACCCCCTCCCATGAATCATGAATGTTTTTAATGGAATCTAGAATGGCAATTCCTTTCCAGAAGGGTTTCAATTTTCTTTGCCCACATCCATCAGAGGAATCACTGTGGCAGCTATCGCCTTATGAAATATTTTTCTTAAATAGTATGACTTGAAAGTCAAAATTACTCCTTGATCTATGGGTGGCAGAATGGATACTGTGTTAGCAGGCATGAGAACATTCATCTCCTCTACATCTCTATCAGAGCTCTTGGATGACTAGGTCCATTACAAATGAGCAGTAGTATTTTGAAAGCTTTTTTTCTGAGCAGTAGGTCTGAACAGTGGGCTTAAAATATTCAGTAAACCATGCAGTAAACAGATGTGCTCTCATCCTGGCTTTGTTGTTCCATTTATAGAGCACAGGAAGACTGGATTTTGCATAATTCTTAAGGGCCTTAGGATTTTCAAAATGGTAAATGAGCACAAGCTTCAACTTAAAGTCACCAGCTACGTTAGCCCTTTATAAAAGAGACGGCCTGCCCTTTGAAGAGAAGCTTTTTTTTTTTTTTTTTTTTTTTAGATGGAGTCTCACTCTTGCTCAGGCTGGAGTGCAGTGTCGTGATCTCATCTCACTGCAATCTCTGCCTCCCAGGTTCAAGTGATTCTCCTGCCTCAGCCTCCCTGAGTAGCTGGGATTACAGGTGCATGCCACCATGCCCGGCTAATTTTTTGTATTTTTAGTAGAGATGGGGTTTCACCATGTTGGCCAGGCTTGTCTCAAGCTCCTGACCTCAAGTGGTCCACCTGCCTCAGCCTCGCAAAATGTTAGGATTACAGGAATGTGCTACCACCCCTGGCCTGCCCTTTGAAACTTTGAAGCCAGGCCTTGACTTCTCCTCTCTAGCTATGAAAGCCCTACATGGCATTTTTTTTTTCCAACAGAAGGCTGTTTCATTTTCACTAAAAGTCTGTTATTCAGTTTAGTTACCTTCATCAATGATTGTAGTTAGATCTTCTGGATAACTTGCTGTAGCTTCCACATTAGCACTTCCTGCTTCACATTGCACTTTTATGTTCTAGAAATGGCTTCTTTCCTTAAACCTCATGAACCAGCCTCTGCTAGCTTTCAGCTTTTCTTCTGCAACTTCCTCACCTCTCTCAGCTTTTATAGAATTAAATAGAGTTAGGATTTTGCTCTGGATTAGGTTTTGGCTTAAAGGGAATATTGTGGCTGGTTTGATCTTCTATCCAGACCACTAAACAGCAATAAGACTGTTTCACTTTCTTATCATTTGTGTGTGAGCACATGTTGTTGGAAAAATGGCACCAATAGGCTTTCTCAAGGCAAGGTTGCCACAAGCCTTCAATTTGTAAACAACAAAATATCAGTGAAGCACAACAAAGCAAAGCACAATAAAATGAGGCATGCCTGTACTTTTTTTTAATGTAGCCAGCCCCAACATTTTCCATATGTAGTAAAAGAACATTCTCTATGTTCATGAATGCTTATGACAAATGAATGATAGAATGAATGAATAAATGAATGCAAAGAGCTCAGACTGGAAAGTAGCAGATATGTGATCTAGTTTTATTTCTGATACTCTGACTGGTTCTCTTTTTTCTCTCATCTTAATTGAACACTGGACATTCCATTTGGCTCTTAAATTATGTAACTTAAATATAATAAATTTTCAGCCAATGATTTCATTAGATACCTGGCTGTAACTCCAGAAGACCTATGAAGAGCCCTAGAGGCCAGCTCCACCTTGGTTCCTCTAATAGTTTCTTTTGCTCCATCGTTTTCTTCAACTTAGCATCTGTGTCACCTTGAACAAGTTGCTTAACTTCTCTACACCTTAATTTCTTCAGCTGCAACATGAGATTCATGATGTGGCTACTTCATAGAGTAGCAGTGAGGATTCGATCAGATAATGTATGTAAAGTGCTTAGAACAATGCCTACGATACTAAACACATAATAAATGTTTAATAAATATTGATGATGGTGATGATGTTTCCTTGATGTTTTTTAGGGCACTTTTCTGCATAGGAGGAAAGTAAACTCTGAGGCTTCCTGTATTCTGTAATGATTAATAAAGTACTGTATCATTGTGTCATATAGAGCTATACAGGCATCGACAAATTCATTTGTTTGCAATGAATTAGACTTCAAAGACGGTGCAATGAACGAAGGCAATTTAAAGGATAGTTTGCGCCCTTTGGAAATGTAGATATTTTAACAAATAGGAACATATGAGTCATATAAACCTTAGAGTGAATGAATTAACTAGCTTTTTTCCTCAAAGCAGTGTTGATGGGAGGAAAAGAATTGGTGCTAAGAGCCTGAGGGGTGGTGGAAAAGGAAGGAAGAGTAATCTGCAAGACTGTCAGGTGTGAAGGGTGTGGGGACTGCAGCAATTCTTGCAAGGTCAGCAGAGTGGGCCAACTTTTTCAGTTGCTGGCTGACCTCAGCCAGGGATTAGGTTCTGTTCAAGGGCAACATTGCTGCAATATCAAGGGGCCATGCTCTGGTTGCTGAAAGCTCATGCCCAGGACTGCTGGCCTGGGTTCTGGCTGTCTGACCATTTACTCTTATTTTCTTTTTATATCTGTCATATTTTCTCAGTCAGCTAGGATTTTTGGTTGCAAGTAACAGAAACGCCAACCTAAACTGACTTAGGCATGAAGGGAATTGTTCGCGCTTATATAACTGAAAAGATCAGGGGTAGTGCTGGTGTCAGGGTTCAAAAGAAGTCATCCAGGTTCAGTATTACTCCACCTTTTCTCAGCCTTTCACTGTGTTCATTTCTACTTCAAACTTCATGGCTTGATGGTGACAGTAGCTTCAGACTCTTCATCCCCTCAGGTTCGAGGCACAGAGAAAGAGAGTCTGCCTTTGCTTCAGATATCTGAAGAAAAAGCTCCCTTGTGTCCCAGTGGCTCTGA
The DNA here is from genome assembly GCF_000001405.40 of Homo sapiens. Lineage (NCBI taxonomy): Eukaryota > Metazoa > Chordata > Mammalia > Primates > Hominidae > Homo > Homo sapiens. Next base: position 150,996,225 of record NC_000003.12, read on the forward strand.
AGGAGCCATGTGCCTATCTATGAAGAAATTACTGTGGCCAAGGGAAGCACAAGCTCTGATGAGCCATTCCTCAGTCTCATGCCACCCTCAATACAGAGGCTGGAGGCAATTCCATCAGAGCTACTTGGGCAGCAGATGGGGAAAGATTAGCTCTACAAACAGGAACCAGAGCTGGTTATCAGAAGTAGAATGAATGCTGGGGAGTATTTTTTTTTTTTTTGGTCCACTACCTCTTCCAGTATTTGTGTCTTTTTGATTCTGAAAACCCACCCTTGATGTTTCCATCCCCTCACCAACTGCGGCTATCAAAACAGTTAACCCCTGATGCTCAAGTTTATCCTCTCCAGCCCTGTCGAGAATCAATGAACACTTTGTCACCAGTATCAGAAACTTTCTTGTATGCTCTAGGTCCAGTGGTTTGAGACGATGACCAGGTCTAGTAAAAGCATTCTATTGAAGCCTACCTTCATAGCTTTCACTTTGGGGCCTAAGGTGCCTTCCTGATTTTCTCTGCTCCAGTTTTTCTGGGATGAGGGAAATGAATACCTAACCCAGTAATTCTCAAGCCTGGATTCAAATTAGAATCACTTGAAAAGCTTTTTAAAAATTCTCATTCCTCTAAGATCAGAAATAAGAAAATTTTTAAAATTCTCATTCCTCTAAGATCAGGATCAGGATCAAGGCAAGCACAGCTGCTCTTACTCCTTCTATTTAACATAGTACTGAAGTCCAAGCCAGAGCAATTGGACAAGAAAAAGATAGAAAGGTCATCCAAATAGGAAAGAAAGAAGTAAAATTAACTGTTCACAGATGATATGATTTCATATATAAAAACCCTAAAAATTCCATTCACACACAAAAAAGTCTGTTAGAACTAATAAATGAATTCAGCTAAGTTGCAGGATACAAAATCAACATGCAAAAATTGACTGCATTTCTGTACAACAACAATGTATAATCTGAAAAGAAAATTAAGAAAACAATTCTATTTATAATGGAATCAAAAAGAATAAAAATTCTCAGAAATAAACCTAACCAAAGACATGAAAGACTTGTATACTAAAAACAAATCATTGCTGAAAAAATTAAAGAAGACACAAATAAATGAAAAGACATCTCATGTTCATAGACTGGAGGACTTAATATTGTTAAGATGTCCATATTACTCAAAGCTATCTACAAATTCAATGCAATTCCTATCAAAATTCCCACAGCATTTTTTGCAGAAACAGAAAAATTCATCTGAAAATTCATATGGCATCTCCAGAGGCCCCACATTTTGAAAATAAACAAAATTAGAGGAATCACACTCTAAAGGACAGACACTTTGTAATATGTTATTTCAAAACATATCACAAAGTTACAGTACTCAAAACAATGTGAAATTGGCATAAAAACAGACATGTAGACTAATGGAATAGAATAGAGAGCTCAGAAATTAACCCTTGCATATCTAGGCAAAAGATGTCCAACAAGGGTGCATACCAAGTTCACAGCGGCACCACTATTCACTGTAGCCAAGAGATGGAAGCAACCTAAGTGTCCACTGACAGATAAATGGATAGACAAAATGTGGTATATACATACAATGGAATATCACTCAGCTTTTAAAAGGAAGGAAATTCTGTCACATGCTACAGCATGGACGAACCTTGAGGATATTATGCTAAGTGAAATAAGCCAGTGACAAAAGAGACAAATACTATACAATTCCACTTATACGAATATCTAAAGTAGTCAAATTCATAGAAACAGAAAGTAGAATGGTGCTTACCACGGGCTGAAAGGAGGGGGAAATGAGGAATTGTGGTTTAATGGGTATAGAGTTTCAGGTTTGCAAGATGAAAAAGTTCTGGAAATTTGTTTCACAACCATGTGAACTGTACAACTAAACCAAATTGCACTACTGAACTGTGCAATTAAAAATGGTGAAGATGGTAAGTTTTCTGTGTGGTATTTTTTTACCACACAAAAAAATACACATCCTGAGTCCAACATCAGATCGATTAAATCAGATGGAGTGGGGCTAGGGCTTCAATATTATTAAAAGCTTTCTGAATTATTTTATGGTAAAGTCAGGGTTGCAAGTGACTTAATCACTTAATCATGAATTGAATTTATTGACCAACTCTTCTTCCTTAGCTGACTACGGCAAGGGGTAGGCCCTTACCCTTTTGCACAGAGTAGAATGGAGTCCGTTTACTGAACACCTTCACTGAGAGCTGGATTGGGGTTCAGATTCTATATGGGTCACCAAATCAACCCAAATAGGTTAGAAGCAGGACATCAGTTCGCTCAGATTTCCATACACACCTTTTGTGTAATTTCTGGGCAGGCAAAAAAGAGGAGATCCCTAGTGTTGCTCAGGGTGAGGTCCCAGACACAGCGAGACCCTCCCTAAGGGATAGTTAGGAGAAAAAAGATGGCTGGCAGAGAGGAAAGAGAGAGACACTAGTAGCCCAGGGTGCTGCCAAGGAATGGAAAGCCACAGAGGGCAGCCGAAGGAAAGTGGCCACCTGAGACTAGATGGGTGGGGTAAGGACAGAGAGAAAAGTTCCAGAAGCCCGAAATGGAGAGCTGAAGGGAAAAAGAGAAACAATAACATTGTTTTTTGTTCTAGAACTAGGCCTATTTAGTTTGTTTTAAAATAAAAGCCGCTATAGTAGGGAAAACATCATTCCTTATTGGGGAGAGAATGCAGAGCAGATAGCAAAGTTTTCATGCAGGGAAGAATAATCAATATTCAAAATCTTACTTCTCAATACACAGATGGATTGAATTCAGGCTTCAGCATCATTTAATTAAATGGACTATTGTTTCTCTCTCACGAGTTTTAGTGAGAGCATTGCAAGTATGAGGAGAGCAGGATTAGGTTCTAATTGAAGCAGATCTATCTGCCTCAAAGCCGAGGAGTACTGTTTAAACAGACTGAGAAGACTTTTATTTAAACTTCATATTCAAAAGGGTGTGGGTGCACAGATGGGTACACGTTACCTCCTTGGTTTCTAGTTTTAGAAGCAGGGCAAAAACGTTGGGTGAGTTCAAAATTTTTTTTAAATTACAGCTGGGTTTCTTCATAAAGCATATTAGCTAGGTGGCATTGAAAGGGTAGTATGTAATTTGTGCTTCTGCAACACTTTCTTCCAGAAAATGCGTTTAGATTTTATTTTCATTTATAATGAAAACCAATATTTAAATGCCTGTTATGAAGTAGCAGGTCAGGAGTTTTAAATGCACTAAGATAATTCCTACAATAACACTATTATTCCCATTTTTACAGCTGATGAAACTGAGGCTCACAGAAATTTTACACATTTTTCAAGGTCACTTAGCTAATAAATAGCAGAGCTGGAATTCAAAGCCAGTTATTTATGGTCCCCAAACCAATATTCTTTTTATTAGGTATTTCAGATTTTGAAGGAGATGAAGCCAAGGTGTATAATTCCTTTGTTTCTATTTTCACAGAGTTAAACTTAAATAGCAAATATAAGTCTTATTCCTCAAACTCTGCAAACAAAATTAATTTCTTTCATTTTCATAAATCAATTTAATGATAATTTCAGGCCCCCACCCTGCTAAATTGTCTACTAATTGCTGAAATGCCCCACTGTCTCAGCCCAAGTGTTTCCTTGAAGTCTGAAGTCAGCTATTTCCACACTATGTTTTATCCTTGGTCATCCTTGGCATGCCATGGCGCCACCCTTGGGCCCAGCCACTGAGGTCTGTTCCAGTCCCTGGGACTTCATCTTGAGAAAAGTCTTCTTTGATCATACTTCCCCAGAAGGACTCCTCTCTCACCTCAAATTCTGATCCCAACAATGAGTTTAGGCTTTTGAAAGTAAAAGACAGGGCCGGGTGCGGCAGCTAACGCCTGTAATCCCAGCACTTTGGGAGGCCAAGGTGAGTGGATCATTTGAGGTCAGGAGTTCGAGACCAGCCTGGCCAACATGGTGAAACCCCGTCTCTACTAAAAATACAAAAATTAGCTGGGCGTGGTGGCGGACACCTGTAATCCCAACTACTTGGGAAGCTGCAGCAGGAGAATTGCTTGAACCTGGGGGGCGGAGATTGCAGTGAGCCAATATCGTGCCACTTCACTCCGTCCTGGGCAATAGAGCGAGACTCAGTCTCAAAAAAAACAAAACTAAACTAAACAAAAAACAAAAAAAAAGAAAAGAAAAGACAGGAGGAGGATAACAATAGCACCTACTTCAAAGGGTTGCTGTGAAGATTAAATGAGTTAATACCTATAAAATGCTTAGCACAATGCCAGATATAGTACATGCTAGTAAATATTTGCTATTATTACATTACTTTAGAATATACTTACATATATCTTTTTCTCAATTTTACTTTGGTGGCCTGCAAAATACATGATAAAATGTAGAATTTGTGATGATTTGCATATAAGTGGTGCTGGTATTGGTATATGCCCTCCAGGCACAGAAATTCTACTCTTCTACTTCACACAATTCTCATCAAAAAGGAGAAAAAAGTACAATGCTGTTACAATTGTATGCACTGAATTTTACAGTATATTATTGCCAAGAAAAAAACTTCCATATTGTCTAGTTATCAATGAGAATTCCACCCTCCCCTTACAATTTTACACATGCTATGATTAGAAGAATTCCACAGAGGCTAGCTTCCGGCTCGAGTTTTTCAAATCTCGTGTCTCCTCCATAGCCGTATGTCCAGAATTACGTGCTGTATCTCACTTTCGTACCCCAACCCCTGGCCGTGAAGCTTGGTTCCATGATGAATCAGCATAGTAGATAAAAGGAGTATTCCTGGACGCCGTTTCTACACTGGCGTGATTGAAAACCACCTAAAAATCTCTTACTAAACCCAACTTTAGTGTAATCCCACCTCAACATCCCATTAGCCATATCCAAAAAATTCCCACACTCAGTGCCACCTGACGGGAAGGGAAACGTAACAGCAGTGAAGTCTGATTGGAAAGAAACAGTAACCTTAATTAATTAAGGTAAACGTATCTTACATTTGCAAAATTTCCATAAGCACTATGTAAATTTATGGCTAGGGTCCCTCTGAGGTCCCTGAAAGGTATCTGTGCAATAGAGGGGCCTGAAGCTTCAGCTTAGTTGATTTCACAGTAAATCGCATCACAAGTATTAAGTGGGATGATTCATGTAAACGGCATAGGACTGTGCCTAGCACATCCAACAAATGTCAACCCTTGTCTGCAGTCGAGTAGTAGTAGGGCTAGTAGGCGTTATTTGTGTTGATTTTTGTCCACATGCCCTCTCCTCCTTGTCTGCCCATTCTTGGCCCTTCTGTAACCTGCTGTGCCTCAGGAAGCTGACCCCTGTGCTCTTTCTTACACAGACTTCCTTGCCCCTGGTGCTTTCCTGTGGCCAGTGAGAAGCATCAGCAAGAAACTGGTAGGTGGGAAGAAAGAGAGTTTGGGCTATTTATATTCGTTCCCCCCATCTCCATATGCTCTCCCTCCAATTTCCTCATGGTTCGGGCTCTGTCTGCACATAGCTGTAGCTCCTATTGGGTGGATTCTCTCCAAGGACTATAGATTGTGCTGGTTTTGATAACACAACCTCCACCCTTTGCTCTCTTCAGGCCTAAAAGTAGAACAGGCTTCCTCAGTCCCTGGAGGCCTCACCATCCTTTGTTTGTTCCCTTAACCTGTCCATACCTTTGTAACTAGTGGCTTAATTAAATCCCTTTCAATAAGTTGTTTTGAGTATGCTGTTTCCTGCAGAATCCCTGATTAATACATTGTTTGTTCTGACCCCAACTAGTATGCCCCATGGTCATCCCTTTTCTGTCTCCTGATATCCTGAGATAAAAGGTATTGCCTATTTTCTCCTTCTCAGAGTAAGTCATGAAAAATATGTACATAAAGTCATTTTCCCCTCCAGTAGTATGGCCATAAACTGTATGAAATCCATGTGTGACTTAGAGGAGAGCTCTGCTTGTTGATCTAACTGTTAATTTCCCCTGGGGGTAACATGTCCCTTGGAGTGCTTAGCCTGTCTTTAAAATTTTTACGTTTCCATATGTGTTTATGTAACCACTTAGTTCTGTCCTATGTAGCTCTAGGGATATGTGCTACACTCAATGGAAGTTGAATTGTCCTGTCATATTACATAAGATGAAAATCTGACTCCATTCAACTGCCAGAGCAATAGCCAGAGAAGACATTAAGTGAGAACTGATTTTTGGCCCGGAGATCCTTTTCCATTCATGAGTCCTCTAGGGTTTCTCCAAGGCTACACAGATGGTCATTCTTCAAAAGGAATACAGTTTTTTTCTCCCCTTAGGAAATACTTAATCTGGACATTAGAACTGTTTCTGAGAGTGGGGAGGAACACAGGAAAAACTCACCAGCACAATGTTTATTTTTAATAAGAGAAAGGGAAAGGAATGTGCAGATAGAGAACATTCTTATGTTTTCTTCTTCATACAGCTGCAGGTGAGATCTCCAGAGACTCTGACTTTAGAAGTGCACCAGACCAGGAATCTCTGTAACAATACTGCCTGTGAAGAGCATGGCTCAGGCCTTGTTTGATCTGATAGTCATGGCCACCCATGAAGGACTTGTATTTGCCGAGTATTCCAAAAAATATCTCGCATCTGACTCTATCCTAGGCTGAACTGTTAATCTGTTCTTTCATCCCTTCAATCAGTATTTGTTGAGTGCCCATAATGGAGGAGGCCTTGTTTGAAGTGCTAAAGATACAGCTGTGAATACGACAAAGTCCTTGCCCTCATGAGCTTACATTCTAGTAGGAGAGACAGAAAATAAACAAGTAGGTAATTAAATACATATAATACCTTATAATTTTAATTAGTGATAAGAGCTCTGAGGCAGTAATGCAGGGTAAATTTGTTGTAATCAATCAATATCTTATTAATGTTGGTATGCAGAAAAGAATGAACAATAGCAGGCCTGAGGCTGCAATGCTTAGACCGGCTGCTTGCAATGTTGACCCTTGGCTGGTATCTGGAAACTTGAATAGTAAACAGTTCCCTAGACTGACACAAAACTTTCCATAAGCGATAAGAATGGTTCACTGTAACTAAACTGTCTATGCAAACAGTATGGTTTCTGTCAAACACCTGCTTTCCTTCTGGGAGTCTGAAATTCAGTATGTGTTGGGCAGAGGGTGCCAGTGTGACCAGCTACCAGCAAAACCTTGGGTGCTGAATCGTTAATGAGCCTCCGTGGTAGATAGTATTTTCACATGTGTTGTCACAATTCATGGCAGGAAGAATTCAACATGTCTTGTGTGAGTCTTCTGGGAAAAGACTCTTGGAAGCGTGTGCCTGGTTTCCTCCTGACTTCACCTTGTGTGCCTTTTTCCTTTGCTGACTTTTCTTTGTATCATTTCACTGCAATGAGTCACAGGCGTGTGACTATTAGCTGAGTCCTGTGAGTCCTTCTAGTGAACACCAAACCTGGGATGGTCTTGGGGACCCATGACACAGTCTGGGACTCTAGAATTTCTACAATCAAAGGAATTAAGGAGGCAATCCAGCTGGCAGATGGTGGTGGGGTGGCTTAGAGTACTACACAAAAACTGGGGTAGGTCTCAATGAAGCTGCCATTTAAAAAAAAACAACAACAAGGACAAAAGACAAAATGACATCAAAAAACCCCTGGAGGAACACCTGGGGGTTATTTAGGGGGCGCTAACAGTCCCCAGCTAAGGAACATGCTGATGTCAGCATAACCAAAAACCTTGTGTCCACACACGTGTTCTCAGTGTCCTTGTCAGTGTGCTCCTTGAGGAAGGGGAGTGTGTAGCCAGGTCTTGGTACTTTCATACTCAGAGAAGGTTATTTTGTAGAATGACAAATTAAATGAAACTTTATTTACAGATTTTTTTCTTAATTTTCAGGAACACAGCATAGGTGGGGGGCCCATGATCACTGGTTGAAGAAAGTTTTAAACCTCTCAGCTTGTTTTCCCTTTTGTTTTGTCAGCAAAATAGGCCTGGTCTTGATGCTTAGTGGTGCCCTATTATGTTCACATGAAGGTTAAATCATTTTAAAAAGAAAGAATAAGGCCAGGCACAGTGGCTCACGCCTGTAATCCCAGAGCTTTGGGAGGCCAAGATGGGCAGATCACAAGGTCAAGAGATTGAGACCATCCTGGCCAACATGGTGAAACCCTGTCTCTACTAAAAACACAAAAATTGGCCGGGCATGGTGGCGCATGTCTGTAGTCCCAGCTACTCGGGAGGCTGAGGCAGAAGAATCGCTTGAACCCGGGAGGCAGAGGTTGCAGTGAGCTGAGATCGCACCACTACACTCCAGCCTGGGTGACAGAGCGAGACTCTGTCTCAAAAAAAAAAAAGAAGAAGAAGAAGGAATAAGAATTCTTGTGACTTCTCTTGGACACCACTTTTCGTTTAATTGGCATAGATTCTTTAAAATAAAAGGCCTGGACTTTCAGCAGCAGGTTGGAGGAAAGGAGTGAATATGCATGTCCCCCAACAGAGAGAAATAGACAGGTGGGACCCCAGACCCAGCTCTCAAGGCAGATGGAGGGGAGGCCTCTGATTCCCAGCCAGGATTCTCGGTTCCTTCTCTTTCTCACTTTATTCCTCACTTTTTTTCTTTTTTCGTGTTTCCTTCTCTTTCTGTCTCTGTACTTGCAAATCTCTCCCTCCCTCTTCTTTCTGTCTTTTCTTATTTTCTCCTAGTCTTTTCTACATAGTAGTATTTTTTCTTTTTGTTCACCCTGGCTTCTACCCCACCCCAGTCTTATCTCTTAATTCTTACTGCTGTCTCTTCTCTGACTTTCTTGATAGGACCTTCTCAATTCAAGGCTGGGATAGGCTTTGGACTCTACCTCTGCCTTATGCTGTGGACTGCCTGAGGCATGATTAACTAACCCTGGACCAGAATTCGCACTTTTAGTCAGTTGAAACCTAGAAAACTGCTGAGAGCTACTTGACCAAGTATCATTTTCCTCCTGCTGCTAAAACTTGAGGAATGTACAAAAGATGATGCCAAGAGTTAAGCTAAGGTCTCTAGCACATTAACGCCTTTAAGGTTATGGTAGACACAACCTTAAAGGGTGGAGAACACTGATGCCTGCTTTTTCACTATGTATTTTTAGCCATAATATTTGCCACCCATAATGAGAGTATTGCCATGTGCTGTAATATATGCTACATACCTGTGTATGTTTCTCAGGTATATGGAGCTAGAGAAAATCACTCAACCATGCAGATCGGTGTCACTGAGAATTCCCAACCTCCAGCCTCAGCTGGGTCTTTGGGGCCATTCAACAATCCTGGTGATAGTCCTCCGTGAGCCACCACTCCCTTTCCCACCCAGGAACTCTGCCAACCCTCCTTCATTCTCCCTGAGATATTTAACTCCAATCCACAGTTCCCACATTCAGTAGATGACTCTTCCTCTATTTTATCAAGAAAAGTGACTGAACATAAACTACTTGATCCTACAAACTCACTTCTTCCCATGGTTTTCTCTTCACCACCATTTATGGGGATAAAGAGTTCCTCTCTTTTGGTCAAAGCCAGCCCCTTCATCTGTACCCTTGATCTCATTGCCTCCCATCTCTGACACCCTCCTTTATAAATTATCACTTCTCTCGTATATCATCCATTTTTCCTTTCTATTGGCTCTTTGCATGCAATCCATAAATATGCTCAAAACCTTCCTTTTAGAAAATAACAATCTCTTTTGGTCCTGTTTACTTTCCAACGTCTTGGGCTACTGCCAAGATCTGTTCCTCCCTTTCTTTTTTTCTTTTTTCTTTCTTTCTTTCTTTCTTTCTTTTTTTTTTTTTTGAGATGGAATCTAGCTCTGTCACCCAGACTGGAGTGTGGTGGCATGATCTTGGCTCACTGCAACCTCCGCCTCCCAGGTTCAAGTGACTCTCCTGCCTCAGCCTCCTGAGTAGCTGGGATTACAGGCGCCCGCCACCACGCCCAGCTAATTTTTGTATTTTTAGCAGAGACGGGGTTTCACTGTGTTAGCCAGGCTGGTCTTGAACTCCTGACCTCGTCATCCGCCCGCTTCGGCCTCCCAAAGTGCTGGGATTACAAGCATGAGCCACCGCACCTGGCCCTGTTCCTCCCTTTCCAGTCAAAATTTCTGGAAAGGAAAATTAACTTGTCTCCATTTGCTCATCTCCCATTCACTCCTCACATCCCTGAGATCTCACTTCCAACATCCATCCCTGTGCTAAAAATGATTCTCTAAAGATCTCCAGTGATGTTCATATTGATAAACCCAACAGGCACTTCAGTTTTTTTTTTTTTAATTGTACTTTAAGTTCTGGGTTACATGTGCAGAATGTACAGTTTTGTTATGTATGTATACACATGCCGTATGGTTTGCTGCACCCATCAACCTGTCACCAACATTAGGTAATTCTTCTAATGTTATCCCTCCCATAGCCCCCCACCCCCCACAGGCCCTGGTGTGTGATGTTCCCCTCCCTGTGTCCATGTGTTCTAATTGTTCAACTCCCACTTATGAGTGAGAACATGCAGTGTTTGGTTTTCTGTCCCTGTGTTAGTTTGCTTAGAATGATGGTTTCCAGCTTCATCCATGTCCCTAAAAAGGACATGAACTCATCATTTTTTATGGCTGCACAGTATTCCATGGTGTATATGTGCCACATTTTCTTAATCCAGTCTATCATTGATGGACATTTGGGTTGGTTCCAAGTCTTTGCTATTGTGAATAGTGCTGCAATAAACATATGTGTGCATGTGTCTTTATCATAGAATGATTTATAATCCTTTGGGTATATGCCCAGTAATGGGATTGCTGGGTCAAATGGTATTTCTCGTTCTAGATCCTTGAGGAATCCAGGCACCTCAATTCTTACCTTGTTCAACCTCTCTCTAGTACTTGACACTATTGAACTTTTCATTCTTGAAATTTCTTGACAACTAGAACATTTCTTTCCTGATTTCTTCCCGTTTCTCTGACCATACTTCTTCATCTCCCTAATGTGATCCTCTTAACTTTGCTCATCTTTTATGCCAGGAATTAAAAACTCAAATGCCTATCAGGCCAGGCAAGCAATATTTTTTAAAAATGAAACAGCTATAAGAAGTAGCAGCACCAATGTAAGGATTAATAGAAGTTGACATTGGCCTTGGTGTTATAAAGACAGTGGAGACTGTAAAGAACTGGAGAACAGGTATCTCATTCAAAGAAGGAAACTACTACTCAGCTCTGGTAGAATGTTGCTACATGAAAATGCAAGCCCAGTGGGGCCAGAGCTCCTGGTCTTAAGAGAATCTGGAAATCTTCATTTTAAGGTAAAATTCCCTGATTTTTAAATGTTGGGGACAAAGTCTAATTTGGCTTTGTCAACCACGTAAAGCATGCTGAACTTATTTGTAAAATCTGTCTTAAATAACTGTATGCCTAATGGGTACACACTGGCCCTTTGGCTATTCCTCTACGTATTCTCCTTGTACCAGCTCATCTCTTCTCATGATCTTAACTTCCACTGAGGAACTGAAGATCCCCATCTCTCAGCCTGGTTTCTCCTGTGACAGTCAGATTTATAAATCCAATTATTTGCTGGATGTTATACTTGGATGTTCAGTGAGCAATTCAAGTTCCCCATGTCTAAACTTGAGCTCATGATTTCCAAACATCTCTTCCACCCTCTCAGCTAGTTTTATCACCATCCTCCTAGCCATTTGATCTAGATCTCTAGGAATTAATCTGGACTTTGGCTGTTATTGTTGCTCTCTGCCATTCACAGCTTTCCAAGGCCTCCAACTGCATCTGTTATACCGTGTGTACTACTACCACTGTCTTCATTAAGGTCCTCAACATCTCTTACTTGAAATAACACATTAGACTCCTAAGTATTCCAACCCATTTGCCTACCTCCAGGTTAGCCACATCAAAACATATTCTTTCTACAGAGACCAGAGTGATAAATGCAAATCTGATTACTCCCGCTTCCCCCCACTACATCTTCTTGAAACATTTCAAGGTTTCCCATTGCCTACAGAGTCAAGCCCTATCTTGAAAGTAAGGTTTTCATGACTTTGCCCCTCCTTTTCTAGTACTTGATGCTCTGGCACTGCCAAATAGCCTGTAGCTTCTCACACATACCATTGTGCTTCCTGCCTCCTTGACTTTGTTCTTTCCTTTTTTTCTGTCTTTCCACATTCTTCTCGATACCCCTTAATTCTTACTGTTCAAAATACTTCCATTTCTGGAACTCCCTCCCTGAATTTTTACTTTGGGCCAAGAGTTCCCCATCTGGGCCCCCATAATCACTATGCTTATGTGGCACAGCTCTTCCTATGTCACATTGTAACAGTGTGTGTATGTGGGTGTCTTCTCCCTCCAGCCAGCAATCTGCCCTAGGGTAGTAATTGTGCTCTAATTCATCCGTATCCCCTCACTCCATCTTAGCATATAATACAATTCCTGACACATGATGCAATAAATATCACCAAACTAAACTGAACTAATACTTCAGTTAGGGAAGTAGAAGCAGAAATCATGGTTCTTGGTAATGAGAAATTTCCCAGGGATAAGAAATGGGGGTGGAATTTAACCCAGGTCATAAAACAAGGAGAATTCAGGATAAATTTCATGTGTACCATGCAAAGCCACAAGAAGAAAACAGAGCTAAGTGGTAGTACACTAAAATCCCAGAAGATGGGGTTATAGCCTCATCATGCTAGAGAGACAAATGCAGTCTTGGGCTATAGTGGTTGAAGCATCCGCGTCCAACTCCAGAGAGGGAGTTGTCCCAGTGTTCCCCATGCTGCTCAGCCTATAGACAGAATGCTGTCTCCCACTCTGGGGGCCTCAGGCTTGCATGACCAACTGAGAGATAGACACCAGCATGGTGAGGAGTTCCAAAGCCATGTCACTGAAGGGAAGGTTGAAGAGCTAGGATATTTAATCTCAAATAAAAAGAAATTCTTAGTGGAAATCTGAAAAGAGCATTAAAGCATTGGACGGCCCTTCATTTGAGAAAAGGAAAGTATGTGCTCATGAAGCACCTGAAAATAAAACTGGGACCAATAAATTAAAGCTACAGGGAAGCAAGTGACAATTGCATGTCAAGGACAATTGTCTAAAATTCAGGACTGCCCAGAAAGTAATGAACTGCTTCACCAAGTGATGAGCATCCAACCCCATGAGTGTTTGGGGAGATGCCAAACAGCCAGCTGCCAAGGCAGTTTTGGAAGGGGTGACAGCCTGGACTAGGTGACCAGTAGGTGACTTTCCAATGTTAAGAGCGTAGAATTCTGTGAGATTAGAGAAACCGCCTCCGTTTTTTTTTTTCCCCCCCTAAGGGAAAGGTTAAAGTTCTCCTCTCAAGTGAAGATACAGAGAGACAAAGAGCTTTCATTTGATTTCATCATCTTAGCAATGTTTTGGCTCTGTTCTTTCCACGTGAAAGACCACGTTTGATCTTCCTGGTGTTCTCCAATCACCTACTTTCCTTGAACTCTAACCTCTATCTACAATCATTCAGTCATTGTTAATTTGCCTGGTTTTCCCCCACCACCCCACTTCCTTTGGTACTGCAGTAGTGTAAGGAAATTCCCATTACTCTGTGGACAGAGATGACTTTGGAAGGCCACAGAAGTGTAAATGGCTGTCCTCTGCTTCTGTTGTTGGAACTAGGTAGGAGGGAATGTGTTTGGCCATTTTGCATTGCTATAAAGGAATGACTGAGGCTGGGTAATTTATAAAGAAAAGAAATTTATTTTGGCTCACAGTCGTGCAGGCTGTACAAGAAGTATGGTGCCAACATCTATTTGGCTTCTGGTGAGGGCCTCAGGAAGCTTACAATCATGGCAGAAGGTGAGGGGATAACAGGCGCTTCTCATGGCGAGAGAGGGGGGAGGTGCAACACCCTTTTAAACGACCAGCTCTCTGGGTGAACCTAGAGGAAGAAGTCACTCATTACCATGGGGATGGCCCCAAGCCATTCATGAGGAATCCGCCCCATGACCCAAACACCTCCCACTAGGCCCACCTCCAATACTGGGGATCATATTACCTTGCCTCATCAACTCTGACTTCTGTCCTTAAATACAGTTCTGTATCTCTCATTGTCCACAGAACACATGTGCCATGTGTCATCACATCATGGAGTCTCTTGACTCAACATGACCCAACTAAAATATGCATAACTCCTCTTCCCAACACTGCCACCACCACCAACTTGTTCCTGGTGTCCCTGCTTCCTTCACAGCTATCTGGTCACCATGAAGTGATGAATATGAAGGAAAGGTTAAGAGCACTGCTGAGATGTGGCACCTCATGGCCATGCCCCTGAACCACAGTCAGCAACGACTTTCCTCCAGACTTCTACTGATTGGATAGAAGTAAAAAGGATAATTTGAGCCAGTGTAAGCTTGGCATTCTGTTTCTTGCACTCAAATGTATTCAAAACTGGTATCCCAATTCTGATCAACTTCAGAGGCAGTGTTCTTCCTGGTTTAGCCCACTGAGACTTATTACCAGTATTTAGAACACTTCTCAGTACATGGCCGACACTCAAATATATGTTAAATGAATAAATGAATGAATAACTAAATTCAACATCAAAGCATTAAAAAATGTTAACCATTAAAAACATCGTGAGTAGATTCTATTCACAACAGCAAAGTCATGGAACCAATCTAAATGTCCATCAGCAGTTGACTGAATAAAGAAAATGTGATATATATAAAATGAAATACCATGCAGCCATAAAAAGGAATGAAGTCATGTCCTTTCCAGCAACATGGACAGAGGTTGAGGCCATTATCCTAAGTGAAATAACTCAGAAACAGAAAATCAAATACTGCATTTTCTCACTTATAAGCAGGAGCCAAACAATGGATACACATGGATATACAGAGGGAAATGATAAAACTGGGAAAACCGGGGACTCCAAAAGTGGAGAAGGTGGGAGGAGGGTGAGGGTTGAAAAATTACCTATCGGGTACAGTGTTCACTGTTTGGGTGATGGGTACACTAGAAGCCCAAACCTCACAATTACACAATATATCCATGTAACGAACCTGCACGTCTACCTTTCAAATCTATAAAAATAAAAAATAAAAAATAGAGTAGGTTCAAAGTTTAATTTTATGTTTCCTAGAGAACACCTATGAGATTTCTAGTGTGCTAAATTTAAATGTAAATAATCATAGAGTTTTTTAAAAAAACATGTAGAAGCCCTGATGAATACATTTTGATTAGACTAATACTTTTTTAAAGGCAGCACAGTTCCAGCTACAATAGGCTAGGAATTTTCTGGTCTGTCACAGTGGATTGTTAGGATTGGGTCTAAACCACTTTTGTAAGCCCAGGGGTTACTAATCAGCACTTGTTTTCCTGGCCCTGGTTGTTAACTGCTCATTTGGCAAAACGCCACATGGTTAATCACGTCCTGGCTTCCTAAATCTCTATGTTTTTAACAAGAGCCTTCATTTCCTGGGCTAAGCTGCTCCAAAGTGTTCGATAACTGAGGCGTAAAGGCTGAGTTTTCAAAGGGATGAGATATTTCCTGAACAGGTGACCAGAAAAGTATAGCTGTCAGTTGCATCTCATGTGTTTTAGTAATCAGATTTTGATTTAAAAAAAAAAAAAAGAGGCTTTGCTGAGGAGTTGTAGATTTGAAAAGTTAAAGCTTCATGTTTTCTCAGTCACTTGTATCAGTGATTGTCAAAGTCTGTTTCAGGGAGACTGTCAATGTTTGTGGTTGCTGATGCCAACCTAGGGCAGTAAAATAGATTTCAAACTTGTGTTTATCAAAAATATTCTTACTATTCTCCTTGGTAAACCTAATAATAAGGAAATGTAAATTTATGTTTTAAAATTTCTGCTAAGGAATATTGGTTTATCGGTTGCATACTTTAGGTTTCCAGTGAGGTTTTATTTTTTTAAGAGCTCTTATATTAAAACAGTTGAAAAACACTGAGAGATCAACACAATAGAGGATGCTTGTTTAGGGAAAAATAACATCCCCTGCCTTTGAAGGAGGTTTTAAGAGTTAAATAAATAATTTATGTGAGAGCATCTAGCACAGTGCTTGGCACAAAAGTTAATAAAGTTTGTTGGAAGAAAGGAAAGAAAGGGTGGGAAGAAGGGACAAGTTAGTGACTTAGTTGTAAGCTGGCATGCCAGATGTCTCTGGTTCCTCCAGATTCACTTGTCACTCTTCTCCACTTTGTTCTTCACTGGGGCAGGGGAGGAGGGTGCTGACTTATATGGACAGGCCACAAGGACCCCCTTGCCTTCTGGCCTCCAGTTTGCTTTGAACAATAGGAATCCCTTGTGGGAGCCTAGAAGGCATGAGGAGGAGGTGAGGGTGTCCACGCACCTGGCCCCTCCCTTAGGCTGGTGACAAAGCTTGGTGTTTCTCTCAAGGCAGCTTCCCCTACATACTCTCTTTCCAAGTTCTGGTAACAGCATTCTCCCCTTGTCTCTTTGGGGCTGGAGTGGTAACAGCCTCACTTCTACTAACTCCAGTTTACTGCCCTATCCCTTGTGTTTCCTTATATAATGCACAGTATTGTAAATAGATGCTTTGCAGTTGACCTCTTGAATTATTCTAAGTAGGGGTTTGCCATGTAGGGGTTGTCACTGTACCATGACGGATACAGTGATTGGCTGTGTATTTTTGGACCCTCTAGAAATAGTCTTTACCCTTTCCCCCTGTTTCCTATATCCTAGGAGGCAGGTATCTGCAGACCTCCTACTGGGTTTGGCCAATGGGTGCCACCGTCAGAAGATTAGAGGATGCGAGGAGAGAGGAATGGGTTATTTACCTCCTGCCAGGCTTGGCCATTGTGTTCCTCTACTTAAGACCACAGCTCCTGCCAGGAAGCCCCTCTCTCAGAGCTTAGCTTCCATCAGGTCCTTCATTTTGCCCTTCCAATTCTATGGATGGTACAGCTCCCCAGTGGGGCTCATTCCTGAGTGCTTCACTGTCGCTTGTTGGCTCCCGTGACTCTGCCCCATTTTTGTGAAACTACCCCCTCATTAAACTCTCCTCAGTTATTCCTGGAGTGTGTCATCTGCTCCCTGCCAGGACCCTGACTGATATAGCGGGTTTTAAGACCCTGACTGATATAGCGGGTTTTAAGACTTGTGGCATTATAATACAGATTACAGTTTTATTGATCACCAATGATTTGGTTTTTTTTTTAAGTTCTAGTAAAGTTATAAGATTGTTTAAATTCAGACAAGTAGCAAAGACAATGTTTTCCCATTTTTCCTTTTCCTATTTCAAAATAAGGAAAGTACATATAACAGATAAAACAACACATTAATTGGTCCCTTGTCCAACTCAGGTAGAGTGTGTAGTCAGGAAGGGGGCAAGATCGCAGCACAAGAATGTGAAAAACTTGCAACTGAATCATCAGGAACAGCATAATGTACTCAAAACATGTAGCAAACAGAATGGGAAATCTTCACCTATAGAATGTATCTATACTAAAGGACATCTCATAGATTTAAGCTCAAAGGAACATAATAGATACCATTTTGCTCTTGAAAATTCAGCAAGTCAACCATCTCCATGGAAGGAAATACAAATTTCTTAGTTTAGAACTTGGGAGACAGAGATGTGAGAAATAAAAATGAGTAAGAGAATACATCATGGTTCTGTGGTCCATGATTCCTAAGACACTTCAAGTGAGAAAACCTGTTCTGTATTTACTGACTTTCAGAGAACACCAGCCTGTCTTTCCTGATCACCATCACTTAACAAGTTAATGCAATGCAACAAATATTTATTGAGAGCCTACTCCGTGTGAGGCACTGAGTTAGGCACTGTGGCTACAAGCATGAATAAGCATGGCGAATGAATACACAATGAATTCAAATCAAAGCAGACTATGATAGGTACAGAAGTAGGCCTCACATACTATAAACACATGTGTCTTGGGAGCATGGAATTGGTTCTGTTGCATCTTTGTATCTAACATTAATTCCTTAGGCTGCAGTTTAAACACAGTTCCATTTCATTTCTGAGAAGAGATGGATAGCAGCTATTCAGTATCTTTCATGTAATTGCATCTCAAAGGGTAATTTAATGATGACTTCACCTCTCTGCTCTCAATCCTCCTGATAATCTGCCTTCATTATCCCAGTGTGGAGGTCCCAGGTCTTCTCTTCTACATGCATATTTCCCTGATCCAAAGGGACATCCAAAACTTTAAATTTGGGGGTACCTATGTTTCAGGGTGATAGAGGGAATTGTCAGAGTTCATGACAGCTCCCCATTGCAGGAGTGCTTCCTGGTCTTTTCACCTGTCAACACACAGGAAACAGTAATATTTTTAGGCACATACTGAGCTAAATGAAAGAGATTATTTGTGACTGAAAAATAACACTCCGGGGCTATGACGGTCCCAAGTTCTACCTGGTTATCCCAAGGTCTGAGAGGTCAGTATCTGTGTAGAGCATTTACTGCAGAGATAAGGAATTTCTGGCCTACAGGATAAAGTCCAAGCACCTCAAACTGGTATGGCAGGCAACACATCCAGACAGCAGTCTGGACGGGGGCCTTGTTACCTGGGTTTCTTCACTCTGAACACTAGACTCTTGGCTGTCTGCTCAGAATAGACATCTACATACAAAACAATATCCAGAGGAGTTGTCTAGCTAGGGAATTTATGAAGATGGCAAAGATGATGACTAAAGCCACACTTTGAACTGAGAACTCTACAAAGTTTATTATATATATGGTTACATCCAGCTACCCATCAAGGGGATATATAATAGCGTGCTATATTTGTCTCTAGTTGAGCCTTGCTAAGAAACTGGTAGTAAAATTTACCAGCCTTCTTCTGCGTATTTCTCACTATTTGATTCTTAGGTTCCTGTGCAGCAATGCTCACTTTTACCTCTGAGTTTTATGACTTTTGCAAATAATCCTTAGCTTCTGAAATTTAGCCTCAGGAATGATTGGTCTTGGGCAAATCTAAGGAACTTCTGGGGTATGCAGTACCCCTCTTGGATCTGCATTATTTGGAGCTACAATTGAAGAGCGGGGAGGGAAGAGTGGATTAAACATCTTTTGGCTTGAATTATTACTTTTTCTTTGGAGTGGGCTCTGAAAATAAGTGCCCTTTGCATAGATGCCTGGTTGCCATGTCGCTTCCTGGGTAACACATTAACCATCCCCTCTTGGTGATAACAGAACATTATTGCTCCATCATCACAAACCCAGTCAGGATGCTTACCAAGAGGTTACTGCTTATCTTTCTGTTTCTCTCTACTGCCTACCGTGCACCTTATTCTCCAGCCACAGCCATATTGTTAACTTTTCCTGCGCACATTTTTCATTTTTCAGCCTTCGTGTCCCTTCTGTCAAAAAACTAAACACAAGCCCTTTCCCAGTTTGATGTCCCGGTAGAGAGCTACTCATCAAGATCTGTGAGTTCTTTACTAACTCCCTGGAGGAGTGAGTTCATTCTGTCCTTTTATTCTCACCTCATAATATATATACCTCCTCTTCTATAGTACTTATGTTGAATTATAGTTATTTATTTGTCTATCTCCTCCCTACTTGCTAATGAGACTATTGACCCTTGAGGGCAGCAATGGTGTCTGATTCAGCTAGGTATTCACAATGTCCAGCACATAAACAGGCATGGAGAAGATGCTTTATAAATGTCAAATGAATGATTATAGGGCAGGCAAGAACTTCCAGCTGCCCTAGTAAAACCCTTTTCTGGCTGACAGGGCAGAGATTCTGGTGAAATAGAAACTTTGAAAACAATCCTGAGACTTTTATATTGAGGTTCTTAAAATGTCCACAAGAATTTGTCACTGACTTCATGCCAGGATGTGCATGCTTAGGAAATATTATGTGATCATGTCATAATTCTTTAATAAAAGGCATGTGGTTTCCTCTGCTTGGAGCATGCTTCCCTGTAGCCACCCCAAACCAGACACCTCCAATTATCTTTCAGGTTTTAATGAACTTCCTCAACTGTTACACCATATAATAATGGTCTGTTTACCTAACTGACTTCTCCCAGTAAATTGTAAATCCATGAAGGCAGGATGTATGTCATTTATGTCCAACACTGTGTCCTCAATCTTACAGGATGCCTAGTGCATAATCAGTGCTAAATATTTTTTGAATGAGTGAATGAGCTATCCACGTTGGTTTATCCAGTGACTCTTAAGAAAAAGGTAACTAAATATTACCCTGTGAAGTTTCGACACTGTAGATCCAGCTCCTTTTAAAGTTAGCAGAGCAAGGCAGGCGAACAAGATAAATTTGGCAAAGCTTTTAGAACCTTGCAAGAGACAAGACATTAAGTCAATGTAGATTATTGTAGCAAACCCTGAAAAAAATTCCCTGCTGACTTTTATATATTTAAATGAGAGCTATTCTTACAATGATTTTAATGATTCATTTGTGTTGCATCACATACATTAGTAGGCAGGAATATTTTTACTGTTTTACTCACCACAATTTTTTCGCAAAGCAGTTTTCTGAGAGTAACAGAATAGCTTAGATGATGTGATACTTAGTCCTTCACTGCTCCACGGTGATACTGCTGGAAGGGGAAGGTTTTTCTATTACTGTGTCCCACAGTGGATGATTTGCCTTTAGTTTGACAACAATCATTTCAGGCTGGAAGGCTATGAACAGGCAATTTAGAGAAATAGTACAAATGGCTAGTGCTTATCAGAAAAATGTATTCCTACCATTTTTTTTGGCTTATAGGCAAAAATCTTTAATATTTATAATAAACAATATTATAAATATTTATAATAAACAATATTATAAATATTTATAATAAACAATATTATAAATATTTATAATAAACAATATTATAAATATTTATAATAAACAATATTATAAATATTTATAATAAACAATATTATAAATATTTATAATACTGCAGCAAGCCATAGGAAAATGGGCTCTCTCATTCCCTATGTAAAGGGGACTATGGATTGGTACAGGCTTTTTATGAAGACCAAGATTGAAAATATAAAGATTTAATCAAAAATTTCATGCACATATTCTTGGACTCAGCAGTTCTACTTGTAAGAATCTATCCGGCCGGGCGCAGAGGCTCACGCCTGTAATTCCAACACTTTGGGAGGCCGAGGCGGGCGGATCAAGAGGTCAGGAGATAGAGACCATCCTGGCTAACACAGTGAAACCCCGTCTCTACTAAAAATACAAAAAACAATTAGCGGGGCGCGGTGGCGGGCGCCTGTAGTCCCAGCTACTGGGATGCTGAGGCAGGAGAATCGCTTGAACCTGGGAGTCGGAGGTTGCAGTGAGCCCAGATTGCGCCACTGCACTCCAGCCTGGGCAACAGAGTGAGACTCCGTCTCAAAAAAAAAAAAAAAAAAAAAGAGACTCTATCCTATCGTACACTTTCATAAGATGGCTCCACGTATCATCTGTAGAATAAAGAGCTACTTCCTGGGCAGTCACAGCATTGTCTTATATCCAAAAGAAATACCAGTGAATCCCCAAATCATTGAATACGATGAAAACTCCACTGAAACCTCCAAAATATGCACCAAAGGGAATTCTACTTAGGACCCGCAGTTAAACTTCTGAAAATCCTTTCCCCTTCTGTCTTTCCCCATATCGCATATTACAGCAGCATGAATACCTTTACCTTCTCTTTCTCATACACAACTCCTCCAAAGTCTTCTAAATTCAGTCTACAATTGTTCTTTCGATTTTCAAATGTATATTAGATTTCTTTTTCACTTTTAAAATATTTATTTTTACTTCATACACATCTATACAGTCTTATATAACTATAATTAATCTTATTTTTTAGTGCTGTGGTTCCTTTCCTCCCCTGATCTTCCCATTGTTTTATCTTTTCACTCTCTTTATTAGCTCAGGAGCTGAAAACAATATCTATTTATTATCTCACAGTTTCCTTGGGTCGGGTGTCGGGGCATAGCTTAGCTATGTCGTCTGCTCAGGGTCTCACAAGGCTGCAGGCTCATCCGAGTCTCGGGGTTCCTCTTCTAAACTCATGTGATCATTGGCAGAATTCACTCCCTAGTGGCTGGAGAACTCATGGTGACTAGCTTCTTCAATGCCGGCAGGAGTAAAAATCTTTGCCACTTCTCAGATCTGATCTCACGGATCACTTCACTCAGGATAATCTCCCTTTTGATGATCTCAAAGTCAAACTTTAATTACATCTGCAAAAATGTACTGTTGCCACATAAGATAATCACAGGCGTGATATCTCATCATATTCACAAGTTCCACCCACACTCAAGGGGTGAGGATTGTACAAGGTTAGAGAGTCATCTTGGATTTTTGCCTAACACATCCTCTACCAATATCACCCGTGTTCCTTTTGATGCTGTAAAAAGCTGCCACAAATGTAGTGGCTTAAAACAGAAATTTATTTTCTTACAGTTCTGGACCTCCTGGATAATTCAGGGTGATCCCCTTATTTGAGATCCTTAACATAATCACACTGCAAAGTCCCTTTTGCAATATAATATCACAGGTCCTGCGGATTTGGATGTAGACATTATAAGGAACCAAAATTCATCCCACTTTACCTGCCCCCAACCATACTAGGTAAAATCATGTTTTAATGTCTTCTGTTACTCTTAAATACACACACACACACACACACACACACAAACACATATACATGAACATATATGCATATGCATATACACACATATATATACTGGAAGGTTTTGGTCATTGTTAAATGGAAATGCATTTGTGTTATATGTACTTTTCTGCATTTTCCTTTCCTTATTCAACAAAACTTCATGGAAATCCTTGTTATCTGATTTAATTCTAATTTATTTTTTTCAAATTTGCAGCATAACTTTCCTTGAAGAGGATATTTTACCATTTATTCAACCATTCCTTTACTAATATGTATTCCTTTTGTTTCCAGCTGTGTTTTAATTGTTTTTGTTGTGCACACATCTGTAGTAAACATTCTCTTGCAAAGATATTTTTTATCCTTTATCCTTTATTTCCATGGGTTAGGTTTCCAGGAGTAGAATTACTAAAGCAGAGTATTTATATTTTTCATTTTACTATATATTGCCAGATTGATTTTTCAAAAAGTCTGTAGCAACTCACATTTTCATCATCAATGTTTGAGTATCCTCTCCCTTTTACCCCTGCCAATAAGTCTTGTTAGTCTCTTTAATGGATACTAGTCTATGTTACTTTACTGAATTTTCATACTTACTAGTATGTGAGCATTTTTCATATGCTTCATGTATTTATAATTTGGATTTGCTCTTCTATGAGTTGACTCTTCTTAATCTTTTTCCATTGGGTTGTTTGATCATTTCTTATCCATTTGTAAGAGCTCTGTGACTATTATTGTATTAGCTAAGGTAGTACTACGTTGCCATAACAAATACCCAAAATCTCAGTGATTTAACAGAATAGAGGTTTATTGACAATGAGATAGGGATACTCTGTTCTACCCAGTTATTCAAAGACCCAGGCTGTTGGGGGCTCTGCCATCTTCAACAGTGGCTCCTTAGTTCACCTTGGGCTGTCATCATGCAGCCAGCACATAAGGGAATACAGAAAGGTTTCTTGGGCCAGATCTGGAGGAATGCTCTTACTTCCACTCACATTCCTTTACGCAGCACCTATATGCTTGACCATAGCCTATGGGAAGGTGAAAAAGTGTAATCTATATGTGAGCCCCATGGGGATGGGGTGGAGAGAGAAGAATGGATTACACAGGGGCACCAAGAAACCTTTGGGGGGTGATAGTTATGTTCTTTATCTTGATTGTGGTAATGGTTTCATAGGTGTGTTATATGTCAACACTCATCAAATTGTACAATTTAAATATGTGTTGTTTGTTGTATATTGATTGTACATCAATAAAGCTATAAAAATGTGATGGGGGAAAAAGGAGTGCGTCTCTTGAGGAAAAGAAATATATTTAGTGATCAGCAAACCAATCTCTCTCATTATTATAGAAGTTTATGAATATTTTCCCCAATTTGCCATTTTTATGTAGTCAAATAGGCCTAGGGGGTGGGCGCAGTGTCTGTGTTATCAAGATTAGTCAAGAAGGTCTCCTTTGACCCTAGAGTAGACTTTCAATTTCTTAGATTTTCTTGCAAGATTCTGAAGATTAATATTTGACTTTACTCTTTAGCTTTTCTTGCTGGTTTGACAAATTTTCTGTTCAGTCCGTTTTATTTTCTTGTGGTAATACGGAAATTCTAGTATTCTTTTACATCCTGTCAACAGACACCTTCTCAACTCCTATGCTCACAGACATTTTTCTCTACTCTGAAAATAAGCCAGTAATTATTCCCACTAGATGAATTCTAAAATAGCTCTGAATACATTTGTTTCCTCCCTCTCCCCTCAGTATTTCCCAGATGAGGCCTCGGCAGCACTGGTGCCCAGCCCCTCTCCCCTCCTCATTGTCTGAGATTTGCAGAGATCATTTAATACTTTGATTTACAATAGTACAATTGCCTTTGCAGCGTGCTGCTTCTGTTCTAAAACCCCTTATTGTTTAACACCTATTTTACAAATTTCCAGAGAGTCTACCATTAGGTTAAAAGCCAATATTTATCGAATCCTTACTTTGTGCCAGGCACAGTTGAAGTTTATATGTGTTATTTAATCTTTACAACTCTGTGAGGCAAATGAAGAAGCTGAAGCACTTTACAGATGAAGAAACTGAAGCATAGAAAACTTAAAGAACAAGTTCACATGTCCAGGAAGAGGTAGAGCCAAGATTGGAACCCAAAGGATCACCCTGAGAGTCCACGCCAGTGGTCCATCCACCAGGAGCAAGGACAGCACCTGGGAATTTATTAGAAATGCAGGATCTCTGATCTTCGCCCTAGACCTGCTGAATTGGAATCTGCATTTTAACAAGATCCTCAGGTGATTAAATGCACATGAAAGTTGAGAAATGCTGTTTTATGCCATACTGGGGGTTGTGGGTTACATGAAATATATGCACTCTGAATTCTGGCATGTCCATAAACAGCTTTGCCGGCTCAGTAGGATGAATGAGAGCTTGGCAAGCATAGGGTTCTTGGGCTGCTGCTCTTTCTGTTAGTCACCTATATGGCTAATATGAATATTATTCTTTTTCTTTTGTAGGTAGTGTTTTTCCCTGTGTTCTAGAAGCATGTAAGATTTTCTCTTTATCTTTAGAATTCAAGAATTTTCGCATGCCTAAATGTGTATGTTTTCTCATCAATCATTCCTGGAGCTTGGTGAGCCCTTTCAATTTGCAGACTCAGATTTTTCTTCATTGCAGGGAAATGTTCTTCTAATTTGTTTAATTATTGCCTCTCCTCCATCTGTTCCTTTAGCTCCTCTGGAACTTCTATTATTTGTTAGTTTGATACCCTTGATGCACCCTCCAAGTCTTTTACCCCTTCCCTAAGGATTTTCTTCTCTTTAATTTTTTATCTATATTTTGAGATGATTCTCCAATTTTATTTACCAGACAATTAGTAAATCTCCTTCAATTTATCTACTGAATTATTTAGATGGAAAATCATGTTTTTAGCTCTAGAAAGAGAGAAAGAGAGAGAGACAGAGAGTGTGTGTGTGTGTGCGTGTGTGTGTGTGTGTGTGTGTCTGATTACTTACGTCTCCTTGAGTACTCCTTCTTTGATCAATTTTTTATGTGTCTTCTCAGTTTGATTTTACAGGGCATGTGTTCTGGTTGACCTGAGTGGTCTTCCTTTCTTTGTCAGACCATCTTACGCCTGTGTTCGTTGCTCTTGTCTGCTTCCTTGGCTCATGACTGGCTGCTGCAGTGTTTTCAAGACAGCATTCCCACAGGTGTTGGAAGATGGTGCAGCTCTTTCTCCCAAGAGGCTGCAGTGAAGAAGCCAGCAGGCTGCAGGCCCCTTGGGGTCACCTGCACTCCCATCCTGTACTCTCCCAGTCTTGGGGTCAGAGAGAACTCTGCCCACTGGGCCAACTTCCTCTAGGTCTCCCAGGAGCCAGGGAGATGTGGCACACTCATGTGGGATTGAGGGCCACTGATCTCCGAGACGAAGGTTTTCACAGGATTCCTTGCTTTATGCAAAGCTCCCAGGGTTGGGGACTGTGGGTAGTAGGGATTCTCCAGCTGGCTTCCCCAGTCCACAGAGTACAAAATTCTCTTTGCTGGAACTTCTACAGAGCCTCATAAAGAGGCTAGGTATCTAGAGCCTCATAAAGCTATTTGTCTCAGGACAGGCAGAATGATTGGAGTTAGTAGTACAGCAGAAAGGAGTCATGTCTTCTCCAGCTTCCCATAACCCCTTTCTGTACTCAGCATTGTTTTTCATGACAATAACTGGAAATAACCTATGAAAACAGGCTAGATAAATGTGTTATTATAGTACATACATACACAAAAGACTGTACAGTTCCTAAAAATAATAGAGTAAATCTATTATGCACTGGTGTAGAATTATATCTATGATACATAGTACAATGGGGAAAAAGAAATTTGAGAACATAAATTCTATGATCCTATTCTAGGAACATTCAATGTTTATGTGTATATACATTAAGACTTTGTGATTGCAAGAGAGAAAAACTAGTTTTGATTAGCTTGAGCAAAAAGTACAATTGTTTTTTGGATGAGTACTAAGATAGCTCATAAATTAATGGCAAATATTGGACTATCAAGATTTAGGAAAGGAAAGGAAAGGGAAAGACCCAGGGCAACATCTAGGCCTCAGTGGCAGCATTACACAGATCTTCTCTTCAGAGCACTACCATTGAAGTGGCTCAGCGTCTAACTCCCAGTCCCTCTCATACTCTATTGGAGAGAGAATCTGATTGTCTTGACTTGGGTCATTTGTCTATTTCTGGATCAATCAGTATGTTTAAGAATGGTAGGAAATATACAGAATATTTTTCAGAGTCTCCAGAGATCTCTCTCTGTGTATATTGGGCCATTCCCAAGGAAAGGAACATTACTAGAGGCCTGGAAGCAAGTGCGTGTGTGTGCATACACGTACAAACATGTACACATACACATACACGTACACACACACGCACACACACACATGTATGCACACACACACCCCTAAATACTCTTCAGACTACTACTTCTAAAGGGTTGGAATAGATGTATGGTAAGGACAAAAGGGGCAAAATTTTTCTTTTTTTGCTTGAAACACTTTAATACTCAAGTTTTTTATGGTAAATATTATTAAACCAAAAAAGAAAAGGAAGGAAAGAAGGAAGGGAGGAAGGAAGGCAGGCAGGAAGGAAGGAAGGAAAGAAGGAAGGAGAAAGAGGAGAAAGGAAGGGCATTTCAAGCTTCTAAATCATCTAAAGTTTTGTCCGTGGGAAACAACTAGAATCTTTTTCAGCCACTGTACATTTCTCCCAAGCATGGAGGAAGATATTCAACCCAAATCCACAGACGTGGTTCCACAGGCAAGGCCTGCTGGGTTGCTAAACTCTCACTCTTCCTCATCTCTTCTAGGCAGAAGAGTGACCCAACCCAGACAACAGAGAATCCTTAGTAGTTAGCAATGTCGTGTAGAAGAAAAGCCATTGGATTTGGGGCTAGAATGCCTCTGCTCATGACTCTGGCTCCTTGTTTGTAAAAGGTGGATAGTAATCATTACTTTCTCTTCCCCTTTAATCTACCCAAGCTCCAACCATATACAAAGTACTAGTGAGACCTCTAATAAGAATGATATACTTATGTAAAATGAACTCTATGGAATATGTTAAAATCATTGAAAGTAATGATTAAATGATTAAGATCAATAAAAGTAATGGCAAAACCCACAGTTACTTTTGCACCAGCCTAATATTAGTTTACTAGGGCTGCCACAACAAAATACTGCAAATTGGATGGTTTAAACAACAGAAATTTATTGTCTCACAGTTCTGGATGCTAAAAGTCCAAGATCAAGGTGCTGTCAGGTTTGGTTTCTGCTGAGGCCTCTTCCCCTGGCTTGCAGATAGCTGCCTTCCCACTGTGTCCTCACTGGACCCTTTCTCTATGCATGCATATCCTTGGTATCTCTCCCTCTTTTTATAAGTAGGGCCCTATCCTTATAACCTCATTTAACCTTAATTACTTCTTTAAAGGCTCTATCTCCAAATATAGTCACCTTCTAACACTCTGGGAGTTAGGACTTCAATACATGAATTTGAGGGGATCACAATTCAGTCTACTACATGGAGTAAAATATTATGCCCATTGTTTCAGTTCTATTATTGTATGTAAAACTAAACCAAAACATAGTGGCTTGAGACAACATTTTATTATCACTCATGATATTGTGGGTTGACTGGGCTCAGCTGAATGATTCTTCTGCTCCATGTGATGTCAGCCAGGGGTGCATTCCATCTGGAGGATCAACTAGGAAGCTAGCTCACTCACATGGCTGGCTGTTGGTGCTGGCTGGTGCCTGGTAGCTCACCCAAGGAGCATCATTTCTACTCCAAATGCCCTCCCCATGTGGCTTGGGCTTCTTCCAGCTTGAAGGCTTGTTCCCACCAGATGGGAAGTAGAATCTGCTGCTCCCTCTAAAGCCTTTTTTTTTTTTTTTTTTTTGGAATTTCAGAATGTTACTTCTACAGTCTTCTGTGGGTTAAAGTCAGTGATAAAGGCAGTCCAGATTCAAGAGGAGGGCAAATAAGTTCCACCTCTTGATGTGAGGAGAAGCATGCACATTCAGGGAGGGGAGAAACTGATGGGAACCATATTTGAGGACTAGCCACCACACCCATACAAGGCACTGAGACCTCGTGGACATTCCACAAATATTCCATGTTAGTAATGCCCCAGATTTGGTTGCAGTTCATGACAAATGTGTCTTGCCTCCTTATGACTGGGAAAATATCTCATATCTTCAGATTATTTCTGAAGATATCTGTCAAATACTTCTGAACAAATCTAGAAAATTTATATGTTGATTTACTTTCTTAATCACGTAAATTGTAAAGATTTTCAACATAAGAGATTTCAAACAGAATGAAATTATGCTAAATAAAATGTGAAAGATCCTTTTAGCATTAATTTCCTCCTCATCCCATTGTTAATCCCACAACCTCTTAGAAAAAAAACACCGATGGTTTGTGTTTTCCCACTTACTAATTTCCCCTATTATTAACATCTTATATTAGTATGGTACACTTGTTAATTAACCAGTATCGATACATTATCTTTTTTGAGATAGAGGTCTCACTATGTTACCCAGGCTGGCCTTGAATTCATGGGTTTAATCTATCCTCCTGTCTCGGCCTCCCAAAGTGCTGGGATTACAGGCATGAGCCACCATGCCCAGCCAGCTGCATGATAATCAATTAAAGTTTATAGCATAGTCAGATTTCCTTAGTTTTTAATCAAAGTTTTTTCTGTTCTACAATTTCATCCAAAATGCCACACTTAATTTAGTTGTCATGTCTCCTTGGACTCCTCTACACTGTTGCAGTTTCTTAGACTTTTATTGTTTTTTATGTCCTTGACAGCTTTGAGGAGTACTGGTCAGGTATTTTGTAGGTTGCGTTGTATTGGGATTTGTCTGATGTTCTTCTCATGATTGTACTGACTATGGATTTTGGGGAGAAAAACTGCAGGGGTAGAGTCCCATTTTCCTTAAGTCATATCAAGGCCATGTACTACAACCCTTTGTAGTACATGATACAACGCTGAGGTGGTGTTTGTCAAGTTTTCCACTGTAAAGTTACTCTTCTCCTGCCATCCCTTTTCCATACTTTGCTCTTTGGAAGGAAGTCACTCTGCGAAGCCCAGACTTAAGGAGTGGGTATTATGTTTTTCCCTCTTGAAGGCCAAGTAAAGCATAAATTATTTGAAATTCTTCTGTAAAAGAGATTTGTCTTTTTGTTTTTTTAATTATTTTTATCAGTATGAACTCATGCATATTTATTTTGTAATTCAGGTTATAATCCAATGCTACCTTCTTTATGTGCTCAAATCATTCCAGATTTGCTCATTGGGAGCCCTTTCAGTTGGCTCCAGTGTCCCTTTGATGTACCTTAACAATGGTCTGGTTTGGTTTCTTTGTTTGAGAACTTCCTTACTTCCTGGCACTAGAAGATGCTTTAGGCTCAACTTGTAAAATTCCTGCCCCAGTCCTAGAATCACCCATTTCTCCAAGGAGCCCTGGTTCCTTTTATTGGAGAATGGTGTTAGAAACCACAATCTACAACAGGGTGTCCAAATTTTTGGCTTCCCTGGGCCACATTGGAAGAAGAAGAATTGTCTTGGGCCATACATAAAATACGCTAACACTAATGACAACTGATGAGCTAAAAAAAAATTTGCAAAAAAATTCCCATAATGTTTTGAGAAAGTTTACAAATTTGTGTTGGGCTGCATTCAAAGCTGCTGTCCTGGGCCATGTGTGGCCCACAGGCCACTGGTTGAACAAGCTTCATCTTCATAATGAATGTTCCTTTGTAAAGTGTAAAAAAATAATAATTTCTTGGCCAGGTGCGGTGGCTCACACCTGTAATCCCAGCATTTTGGTAGGCCGAGGTGGGTGGATCATGAGGTCAGGAGATCGAGACCATCCTAGCTAACACGGTGAAACCCTGCCTCTACTAAAAATACAAAAAATTAGCTGGGCATGGTGGCGGGCGCCTGTGGTCCCAGCTACTCGGGAGGCTGAGGCAGGAGAATGGCATGAACCCAGGAGGCAGAGCTTGCAGTGAGCCGAGATTGCGCCACTGCACTCCAGCCTGGGCGACAGAGCGAGACTCCATCTAATAATAATAATAATAGTAGTAATAATAATAATAATTTCTCTAGCTTAGTTTGGTTTGTCCCAGGCTGAGCCAGTCGTCACTTACCAATGTTAGCTAGCTGACCCTCAGCCACCTGGCTTCTTGAACATACACACTTTATAGGAGCTTCTCTCACCCATTCTTCCCAACAAATTTAGATTTTTAAAACTTCTATTGGAATAAAACCTCTTTTAGAACCCGAATATAGTGAACTAGTGAGTAACTTTTGAGAAAACCTAAGGCATTGAAAAGAAAATTGGGCATTACAGAGAGCCATTTCTATTTCCTGGGAAAGATACTATCAACTTTCTTCACATTTCCTATAGAGATACAAATACATCCCACATTTTGCCTATGATTGTGTGAGAGCAGTTTGATCTCACTAACAAATACATCTCTGGCATTGGTAATTCTACAACAGGTAAAAATGTTGTGTTGAAAGTAAACCCACTAAAGCAAAATCAAGCAGTGAAAAGTTTAAAGAATAGTCCTTAAAACTTTGAGAGGCCAGGCATGGTGGCTCATGCCTGTAATCCCAGTGCCTTTGGAAGATGTGGTGAGAGGATTGCTTGAGGCCAAAAGTTTGAGATCAGCCTGGGCAATGTAGCAGGACCTTGTCTCTACGAAAAAAATAATTTTTTAGAAAATTAGCCAGGTGTGGTGCACACCTGTAGTCCTAGTTACTTGAGAGGCTAAGGCAGGAGGATTGCTGGAGCCCAGGAGTTCGAGGCTACAGTGAGCTATGATCATGCCACTGCACTCCAGCCTGGGTAACAGAGTGAGATCCTATCACTAAAAACAAACAAACAAACTGTGGTATCAGATCAGAGATATAAATTCTATTGCAGTGGCCTGAGCCCATCATGGTATATGCTGTGACATCTAGCCATCTAACACGGGATACAGAGATCCTTATGGAACTTTTCCTATAAAACCACACAAACTTGTTACTTCCTATATCAATCCTGAATATGTTTATTTTCACATAACCTGTTCCTTTAGCTCTTATCAGGCAAATGTCCTTTGTCCTCCCTCCGCCCCCACCAGGCCTTTCCTGTCACTTTCTCGTCTTGCCTCCAGTCCTTCTCATGTTACTGTCCCCTTGATGGAGCCATCTTGCTTCTGATTTGCCCCACAGCCTCTTTCCCTTATTTTGATATGCCCTCAGTTTCTACTTCTTTCATAGAACTTAAGCAGATGAAATAAAATTGGGAAATACAATTTCAGCAAGAATCACTCATATTTTTGCTTGACTCAAATTGTAAAAGGAAGAAACACAAGATGAAAAGATCTATCCCACCTTCAGTGCAAACTGGTTCCCTTTTTTTTTTTTTTTTTTTTTTTGAGATGGCATCTCACACTGTTGCACTGTTGTCCAGACTGGAATGCAGTAGTGCAATCCAGCCTTACTGCAGCCTCTGCCTCCCAGGTTCCAGCAATTCTCCTGCCTTAGCCTCCTAAGTATCTGGGATTACAGGCGCCCATCACCACATTTGGCTAACTTTTTGTATTTTTAGTAGAGATGGGGTTTCACCATGTTGGCCAGGCCGGTCTTGAGCTCCTAACCTCAAGTGATCTGCTTGTTTCAGCCCCCCAGAGTGCTGGGATTATAGACTTGAGCCACCACACCTGGCCTGGTTCCCTTTTTTTATTTTTTAAAATCAAAATTTAAGCAGGTAGAACATATATGCATAAAGGAAAATATATTGGCTTTGAAGTCAGCAGAACTGGATTTGAATCCTGGCCCAACCATTCACTAACTATGTGATCTTAGGCAAGTTGTATACCTCTCTGAAGCCAATTTTTCATATCTATAAAATAATACATAATATATTTCACCTATAAAATAATGTTATTACAATGGAAATATAACATTCTATCTCAAAAAGTGACTGCACAGTTGATCACTTAAGTCATATAATAAATGCTAGTTCCTTTCCCCTTCCTCTTCCTAATAAAGTTTGCACAGGAGAAAATTTCCCATAAGTTACCCAGTTTTTACTACTGTGCAGCCAAGTATTACTTTCTAGTCTGTTAAGCAGGAGTCACAGAATGCTAAAAGTGTTCACTTTATGGATGAGGAAACTGTGACCCGTAGGGGTGCAGTGATTTGCCCAAGGTCAAGCTACAGAAGACTAGGATGCAATCCCACAAGGCTTCCAGTTAATTCATGGAATATTTGTTGAAGATCTACCATACGTCACATGCCATGTTAGCCACCAGGAATGTAAAACTGGAAAAGGTATGGAGTTCAGAATCTTCTAGGAGAGATAAATACACCCAACAAACCATAATATGATGTGATGTGTGCTAATATCCCTCCCATTGAAGAAATTTAAAAGCCCAGGGCTGCATCCACACCAGAATATAAATGTGAAAATCAATTGCATCTGACCAAAGAGGCTGCAGAATGCTTCAGATTGAATCATAATGGAAGGAAAATGACACCGTACAAACTTTCTCCTAACCCTAAAGACTCATTCAGCTATTCACTTACTCCATCTCCAACAAACCTTTATAGAATACCTACTGTGTAGATCTCCTAACCCTAAAGCCTCATTCAGCTATTCACTTACTCTATCTCCAACAAATATTTATAGAAGACCTGCTATGTGCACAACACTATGCATGGAACCAGGGATATAAAGATAAACATAGTAAGATTGCTGCCTCAAAACTCAGTAGTTGAAGAAATGTAAGTTGACAGCTTTCTGGGCCATTAATGTATATACATTTTAAATAAATTTCAGGAATAATCTGAATTTAAATTCGATGCCTTAAAGCAGGTACTTAAAAAAAGTACTACAACTTGAACCTTATTACTTCAAATATCTATCTTCAATAGAGAGAAATGCTGTCCTTTGAAAGGCAGGAGGATTTAAAAGGTGATTCTTATAACTTGATCAGGATTTATATTTATTCTTTGGCTATCATGAATAAGTAGTTTGGATTGCCATGGTTGAGAATTGATTTCTAATGCATGTCAACATCATTGCAGTTGATTTTCAAATCCCAGATCCTTCTCTGACTCTGAAATAGAAATTGATAAACTTTATTTATATGTGTATAATGTTTTCACCAAGTCACACTAACGCAATTATTTCACCACTGTCGAAATGCAATAGCAAAGTTATCAAATTAATGTTACAACAAAATCAATACATATTAATGGGGTTTTCTTTGTTTTTCCTTGCATCTTCTAAACCATTTTTTCTTAAAATAAGTCAACCTCAAAAATGTGAGGGTGTTAGTGTCAGTACATAACAGAATTGATGGACTAATCAATTTTTTCTTTTTAGCATTATCTGTAGGACCTAGATAAACATCATTTATTCATTTTTATTTGGAACCAGCTTCATGGAACTTCTCTGAAGAGATGTGAGAGGCTGTTTTATTTGTAATAATGTCTTCTGGTAGTGGGTTGTGATGGTTAGTACTGAGTGTCAACTTGACTGGATTGAGGGATACAAAGTATTGATCCTAGGTATGTCTGTGAGGGTGTTGCCAAAAGAGATTAACATTTGAGTCAATGGGCTGGGGAAGGTAGATCCACCCTTAATCTGATGCGCACAATCTAATCAGCTTCCAGCAAATATAAAGCAGGCAGAAAAACGTGAAGAGGAGAGACAGGCCTAGCTTCCCAGCCTACATCTTTCTCCCATGCTGGATGCTTCCTGCCCTCAAACATCAGACTCCAATTCTTCAGTTGTGGGACTCAGACTGGCTGTCCTTGCTCCTCAGCTTGCAGACAGTCTATTGTGGAACCCTGTGATTGTGTAAGTTAATACTTAATAAACGCCCCTTTATATGTATTATATATCCTATATTATATAGGATATATATATAGGATATATATAGGATATATATAGGATATATATATAGGATATATATATAGGATATATATAGGATATATATATAGGATATATATATATTATATAGGATATATATAGGATATATAGGATATATATAGGATATATATTATATATAATATATATTATATATTATATATATAATATATATAGGATATATATATTATATATTATATATATAATATATATAGGATATATATATTATATATTATATAGGATATATAGATATATATCTATATATCTATACATATATACACACATATATTCATATTATATATCCTATATATCCATATATATGGGTATATATCATATATCATATATATCATATATATGGATGTATAGGATATATAGTATATATAAAGGGGAGTTTATTATATATATGATATGGATATATATGATATATATGGATATATATTTTATATGGATATATATCACATATATCATATATATGATATATATATGGATATATATCACATATATCATATATATGATATATATGGATATATATCACATATATCATATATATGATATATATATGGATATATGTCCTATTAGTTCTGTCCCTCTAAGAGAACCCTGACTAATACACAGGTATAGCATACAGGGAAAAGTGTTGCTTGCAAAGATTTATAATGACCTCAATTATAATACTTTGAAGAAAGGAAGTTGAGAGAATAATAAATATTTTGTTGATGCCTTTCCTCCAAGCCTTGTTAAGGTCTCTCTTCCCCAGAACATCTCTAGTCATGTGGTAAGTCAGAAAGAAGAAGGGCCTACGTTCTTTTATAAATTTCATTTTGCAACATCGAGAGATATACACTGGATGATAGAACTGTCAAAACAATTTATGACAGGAAAAACTCCTTTTAGATCACAATGTCTCCATACAATTTTTGTGCAGCCTAATCTGAAATTATCCATTCAAGTCATGATGCCTCTCTACCATAAAAAAGGATCACAGCACATCCTACACATGGATTTTAGACCATACAATGTTGATAGAAGAACTGGCATTTGTTAGAAATAATGTCTTTGTCTTTCCCAGGGAGGCTTGATTACAGGAAAACCTTTCTTAAATAAATCCTCCAGGGAATGGCAAAAATCATTTGCCCTACAGAAAAGATCTTTCCCTAAAGGTCGAATCCACCCTCACTATAAAGTGTAGGCAGTTATTTATATAAATTAGTTCAAAAGTAGTGAGGTACTCTGAAGTTCCTTTTATTCCTTTAATTAGTAAAGACAAAGTCACATATAAAATCCACACCTCTTTCTGATGTTTGTGTGTAAATGGTAAATAATAAAACTACTTCCAGATCAAACTCTATCAATGATACCAGCATTATGAAAATGGAGCCATAAGTTACTGGTATCTCTTAACATACTCTGCTCATCTCAATGCAATAAGCACTACTATTTAAAAAATGAGGGAAAACAAAGGAATATAATTCATTCTATTATAAAGACACATGCACACGTATGTTCACTGCAGCACTATTCACAATAGGAAAGATATGGAATCAACCTAAATGCCCATCAGTGATAGCCTGGATAAAGAAAATGTGGTAAATATACACCATGGAATACCATACAGCCATAAAAAAGAATGAGATCATGTCCTTTGCAGGGACATGGATGGAGCTGGAGGCCATTATCCTCTGCAGACTAACACAGGAACAGAAAACCAAATACCGCATGTTCTCACTTACAAGTGGGTGCTAAATGATGAGAACACATGGACACACAGAGGGGAACAACACACACTGGAGCCCATCGGAGGGTGGAGGGCAGAAGGAGGGAGAGGATCAGGAAAAATAACTAATAGGTACTAGGCTTAATACCTGTGTGATAAAATAATCTGTCCAACAAACCCCCATGATATGAATTTACCTGTGTAACAAATCTGCACATGTAATCCTGAACTTAAAAAAAAAAAAAAGAAAAAGAAAAAAAGAAAAAGGCAGGATGATTCACCCCAGAAACTCGGTAAAAGCTCAGAAATCAGAAAAAAAAATGAGGGAATATTATTCACATTATGAAATACAAATTTTGATACATTGTCTCTCTTCTTGCTCTCTAACTCTCTTCTCTCTACCTATTACTGCAATTTGTGGTTCACATGCATTTCACTGGATATCTGGTATACATCGGGGATATCACTGTGAAACGTAGGAAAAGGAAATATTTCATTTGTGTGTGGAATTTTGAAGTATCCCACTAATCATAACTGTTACTATAATTCCTTCACTTGTATTAGGATAACAGAATAAGAGCTAACGTAGAATAAAGTTGGCATCCTTTCATGACAGTTAACAACATTTGGAAAGATTCATGCATTACTCGATGAGGCCTCCTACTCTGATTACTTATAAAACCTGTTTTCAAAGAAAAACTGCTGCCACAGATCATATGGTCTTTACAGCTTTGACTTCTTTGGCTCTACAAACAGCAAGATGTTTTTTCCTCAAATCGAACTACCTCGTCACATATCATATAGCAAGCCAGTGTGATCTGCTTGCTACTATGCTTTTGAGACGTGAATGTGCAGTTGTCATATCTCAAGTGTGTTCTCAGAGCCTTCTCATCTCTTAACCCACCAACAAAGAGCAATTGCTTGGTAGCTTTCTACTCCTCTCAAATGATCTGATTTTACACTGGAATTAAGTCAAGCAGTGTGCCTGCCCTGTGCCAGGCATTCACGGGGAGTCCTCTAAGCAGAGCGTGAGAACTTTCCTACCCCCGGCCTGCACCTCCCATCCCCCTTGGCAAGTTCCATTCCAGGCAGTTTCCTGTTGCCTCAGCCTCGAACCCTGAACCTCTCTTCTGTCCCTTCCCATTCAAGGCCACAACTTTGCTAACTTCTTCCAGAGGGACTGACATCTTCTCTCCTATCAGATTCTTGAATTCTGTTGGAAGAGTAACCTTCCCAGGCTGTACCCAGGAGACTTGAGTGCTTCTGGTCACCAGGAATGGCAGACATCGATTCTTTTGGCAACTGTGGCCAGCTAAATCCACCTTGCTACACACCCCAAGAATCCTGGCTCACTACTCAGATGTGATTTCCTCTGGTCATCTCTCTTCTTTCCATCCTGCTCTGGACTTCTCCCTCACACTTCTTTCCTGCCTCTCTGCCCAGCCCTCTGCAAACCTGATCCACAGTTAACAAAATCCCCCATATCCTCAGCCGCTTCCCCAGTGATTCTATTCCTTGGCCCTGACACCAGCCTCCCTCTGAAGGATGCTACTTGCCCCACAGGCTTTAGCCACCCCCACCTCCCCTGCTCGTGGAAGCTGCCAATCCTCTAAGTCCCTCGAGTCTGGAAGAAGGGCTTTGTCTTGTGAGGTTCATACTGTCACCTCTACACCATCATCCTCCACCCTCAGGGAAGATGAAACCACCTGGTGCCTTTGGGCCTCTTGCCATTACTCTCTTGCCACTTGGCTGTCTCTAAAAGCCACCTCTTTGCTGTCTCTGTCACTGAAGTATGTTTGACCCAGATAGGGCTTTATTTCCACCTTCAGCCTTCTTTCATCCTGGGTGTCTTCACATCCAAATGGTGACTGCATAAGACTCCGCTCTCTGTCACAGAGTTTTCTGCTTGATCACCAACCTGCTCTATGTTCTTCCTGGGCACTCATTTCTCAGCCTCCCTAGAACATGCCTGTGGCCATGTGACTGAGTTCCAGCCAATGGAATATGAGCATAAGCTATATATGGGCCACCTTCTGGCTTGGGCAACAAAAACCTTTCACACATAATACACAGGCCTCTTCCGCCTTCTGCTGACTACAGTGGAGAATCTCAGGGTGGCCTTAGGACCTACTCATAGGAGACATCAGAGACACAAGGCAAAAGGACCATGGGTTATCTAATCACCACCTGGAAATGAGCTGCCAATGAAGAATACCCACGTCAGCCTATTATGGGAGTGAAAAATCAACTTTGGCTGTGGCAAGCCATTGAGATTTTGGAAGGTTTTTTTTCTTATAGCAGCTAACCATTGCCTTAACTAATATGCTTCTTCTCAAATGACCTTCTTAACTCCACTTCCGCCACCCATCTTCACGGCCACTAAGAACATGGTGAAAAGCAGTGGAATCACAAGTTCAGGCATCTTCCTTTCTGATCAGACTCCTCTCTTTCCAGTTCTTTCTTCATAATACCCCACACACAAACATACACACATCAGTTCTTTAACCTCATTGAGCCTCCAGTCCTCTCTATCTGTCTCTCTCTCTTTCACTCTGCACTCATCAGTCACATCTTGTCTTTCCTCCCTTCCCTCATCGCCTCAGCCACACTCTTACCAATACCGTCAACTTCTTTATACATTGTTCTTCTATCAAACTCCTCTGTAAAATGATCCACCCTGTGCGAATCCAGTTATTCACCTTCTCTGAGTCTACTCAGTGAGCTGGAGCTGCTGAGGAGAATCACACCACCAGGCCTATTGTTTCATGGGGAGTGACCTGAACAAGGCTTAGTGCCACCAGAGGGCCCTGCTATGTTTTGTTAGTCACCTTTCCTGTGCTCCATTCTCCTCAAACCTATGACTCTATGCCCAATCCCACCACGGCTTATACGTACAGCATCTTCCTCCTACCTTTCCTTCCCCCAGGTCCTCCTACCTCAAAGGAAGAGCTGTACCACCTTCCATCTAAGGCTAGTTCCTCCCCCAGATGCTCTTTTCTCTCCCTGCCAGTCTTCCAGACACTATTTTCTTAGCAGTGCCCCTTCTTCGGTACCTACAGATATTCCTTCTCTGCATTTTCCTCCTCATATCATTGAACATGCTCAAGTCTCTCCCATCCTTAGTCTCTCAATCCCTCTATTTATTATTCTCTCCTTCCCTCCACAGATAAACTTCCTGAAACAGTACCCCCCAAATCCCCCGCAACCCTACTTACCGCCTCCCCTTTCTCACTTCCTGCTTTACCCACTGATATCTGCCTTGGTTGTGTCAGTGAAACTATTCCCATCAAGGTCTTCAGTGACCTATTTGTTAAGTCCAATGGACACTTTTCAACTCATCTTATTTGACCCCTCAGCAACATTCCATAGTGCTAGACATTTCATTCCTTTGAAACAATGTTTTTCTCTGGATTCAGTGACTTCTTACTTTTCTGGTTTTTCTCTTACCTCTCTAGTTATGCCTTCTTTGTTTATGTCTCCATTTAGCATCTTGTCTTTTTAAATGTTCCTCAGAGTTCTCTTTGCCTCAGGCATTCTCATGTCTCTCCATATACACTCACTGGGAAATCTTATCCACGGTCATATTATCAACGATTCTTTTGTCTGATGGTTCCCAGATGAAAATATCCATCCCGAGTGCCTCTCCTTAGCTAGGGATTCATATATACAACTTCATACTGAACATCCGTCTCCACTTAGATGTACCTATGGCACTTTAATCTCAAATTTTCTCAAGCTAAACTCATGATTTACCCTATCCATGCTCCAAAGCCTTTCTTCTTCTTCTCTTTCTATCCCAGCAAAAGTCCTCTCCATCTGCTTAGAAGGCTGAGCCCAGAAATTGAGGAGTCAATCTTGATGCTTCTTTCTCCTTCAGCCGCCACATCAATCCATCAGTAGGTCCTGTAGATTCTCTTCCTAAATGCTTCTCAAATCCTTTCACCTATTTCAAGTCCCACTGCCACTATTCTAGTCCAGGTTGCTATTATTTCCATCTTCAGTAGCCCCATAGCTTCCTAACTACTCTCAGGGCTCTCATTTTCCCCCTTGCTAATCTATTATCCACAGGGGGAGGGTGACCCCTTTCTCAGATGTGAATATGATTATCTCATTCCCACTTAAAATGATTTGCTGCCATTCTCCTTCCCTTAATATCATGGTCAGGTCCTGGATTCAACCCCAGACTTAAAGAAGTGGAATCTACCAGGAAAGTTCATAAAAATTCTCGTGACAACCCCCACCTGGGGTGTTTATTAAATTTACAGTTTCTTGGACCCTTCCCTGGAGAATCTACTCAGTTTAAGGAGGGGTCTGGAAATATGTTATAACAAGTTCTCATGCACCGCTTATCATCAGGATTATTTGGAAGACACTGCTCTGGCCTATAAGCTCCATGAGGGCAGGGATCATTCCTACCCCTTCCATATGTGTATCAATTACACTTAGGCCCCAATGCAGTGCTTGTATGCATTGAAAGAAAGAAGAGAGCAAGAAAGAGAGGCAACCGTGTGTGAAATGGCCATGACTTTTGTAGCGTAGTCAATGTACAGGAATTTATGATATAGCTTCCTCAGACGTCAATAAGTAAAACTCAATACAAAGGGGGTAATTTATTTATATGCGCAGGTAACCCAAATGTATTGCTGGTGAAGGATCTAATCAAGGCAATCATGCTTAAAATGCAATTAAAGTCAGCTATACCCAATGTTTCTCAAATCTTAGTATCATATGGACCCCTTTAAAAAATAAAGACTTTCTGATGAGACCCAGGGTTTATGTATATTGCTTTTTAATAATGTTTTTTGAATGTGTATAAAGCTGTTAACAAATGCCTTATACGCATAAGATCTTATATTATTGCAAACCAAAAAAAAGAAACAAATAAATTACAAACAAAATTGCAAACCTGATCATGTTCAAGTTAACAGCATTAATTTAATGTAGTAACTAAAACTAAATTTCTTCTCATCATGTGACAATCATACTGCCTTCTAAAGAGCATTCTCAGTATTTGGCCTGCCTTTCTATCTTGTGTACAATTCAATTCTTCTGCAACTCTCCCTTATAAGGTGGCCATCCATAGGAAACACCATATTCTTATACTCAATTTTTATATTATTATTGAAATGAAAAAACACAGGAAAGGTTTTCATAGTGAAGTATCCTACCCCAGAGAATGCACCTATGGATTCCACTTTGATAAACACTCTGTAACCAATGGATGGATTTGCCCATTCGCCCAGATGGTGATTGTTTGTACTCAGGCTCCCTAACTAAACAGGAAGCTGCTGGATAACGTGGGTCAGTTTCTATTCCCAGAACCTAGAATTCTTGTCCTCAGTTATTGTTGTAGTTGAATGAGTTGTTCTGAGAGTAGGAGTATCCATATCCAAAGAGAGAATGTTTGAGGGTGAGCAACCTCTGTCTGGGAGGCTGGCCACAGGCCCAGTGGGGTGTGCACACCAGCTGGCTCTCTGACTTCCTGCTCCTCTCCATAAAGTTCCTTTGCTATGACGTGGCCACAGGCAGCCTTCTGTGGGTCCCCTGGCTTTCTCCACATGCTTTGTTTCAGAAGGGAGAGGATGTGCTGACCCTCAGCCTCCTGAGTATTTTTATTCTCAGTCAAATTAACAAATTGGCAGTCTGGTGTTTGTGTGAGTCCCTTGAGAATTTAGATAATATGAGTCCAACCCCAAAAGCCTCACCACCTCTGGAAAAAAATAATGATAATGACCGTTATTGGAAGGGTTAAACAAGATAGTGTATGCAGTGTGCAGGCACTCTCCTAGAGTAGTGTGGAGTCATGGTTCCCAGTTGGGGAATGGAGCGATCAGATCCTTAACCCTAGGTTGGAATGTCTTTTGACTGGTGTGGGGATGGGTGGGAGTGGATATGGGACTGAATTGATATCAACCTGTTACATAAATTTTAAGTTATCTCTAATGCATTTTTAAAGCATTGCTTAAAAAAAAAAAAGACAAGTTGGGTATAGCTTTGGTTGTTTGAGGGGTGTGAGGAGGTTGTTGTTGTTTGTTTTGTTTTTCAGAGAAGGGGCTAGAGAGCAGAAGAGGACTGAAGCAGCCCCTGATTCCTAAATCGAGACTATGAAACTTCTGTGGCTGCCACCTCAGCCTCAGCCTACTCTGCATTGGTTCTGAGGAGCACTCTGTAGAGTTGGAAATAATTTCCCAGAGGGTCTAGAACACATTTAAGGATGCTGGGCAAAAATATTCATTGAATCATAATACTTATGTGGCTCCCAAAAGCAGGAGACACCAACCTCACACCATCAACAGCAATGGCATTTCTGTGTTATTTGTCTCTTGGAACTATTTGGGCATATATACAAATATGAGGAATAAGAATTGCCCTAACTTGGATAAATCAATAACTCTTTGCACTGTTGATAATATTATTTTCCTGAATGTCATGACATTGTAATATTTATAGGACCCTAAAGTAGCTAACTTTCTGTGGGTCACAGGAATGTTACTGTTTTAAACTATTGTTAAAGGAATTTCCAAGGTACTTTTTTTTATTATTATTATACTTTAAGTTTTAGGGTACATGTGCACAATGTGCAGGTTAGTTACATATGTATACATGTGCCATGCTGGTGTGCTGCACCCATTAACTCGTCATTTAGCATCAGGTATATCTCCTAATGCTATCCCTCCCACCTCCCCCCACCCCACAACAGTCCCCAGAGTGTGATGTTCCCCTTCCTGTGTCCATGTGTTCTCATTGTTCAATTCCCACTTATGAGTGAGAATATGCGGTGTTTGGTTTTTTGTTCTTGCGATAGTTTACTGAGAATGATGATTTCCAATTTCATCCACATCCCTACAAAGGACATGAACTCATCCTTCTTTATGGCTGCATAGTATTCCATGGTGTATATGTGCCACATTTTCTTAATCCAGTCTATCATTGGTGGACATTTGGGTTGGTTCCAAGTCTTTGCTATTGTGAATAGTGCCACGATAAACATACATGTGCATGTGTCTTTATAGCAGCATGATTTATAGTCCTTTGGGTATGTACCCAGTAATGGGATGGCTGGGTCAAATGGTATTTCTGGTTCTAGATCCCCAAGGAATCGCCACCCTGACTTCCCCAATGGTTGAACTAGTTTACAGTCCCACCAACAGTGTAAAAGTGTTCCTATTTCTCCACATCCTCTCCAGCACCTGTTGTTTCCTGACTTTTTAGTGATTGCCATTCTAAATGGTGTGAGATGGTATCTCATTGTGGTTTTGATTTGCATTTCTCTGATGGCCAGTGATGGTGAGCATTTTTTCATGTGTTTTTTCGCTGCATAAATGTCTTCTTTTGAGAAGCGTCTGTTCATGTTCCAAGGTACTTTTAAGGAACATCTCAAAATGAACGCTGGGACCATCTTTCAGTGTGTGTGTGTGTGTGTGTGTGTGTGTGTGTGGTGTAGAAGCACAAATCTGCTTAAAACATCACACTCATCCTGGTAAAATCATTTTGAAGCCTTTGTTATTTTTTTTTTTTTACAGAGCAAGGTAGAAGTCAAAGAGGACTAGTTTCATTCTGTTAGGAGAGCACTGGAACCCATCTATGGTGGTTTCTACCCTGCTACTCTTGGCAAATTCTGTTTGTGAGACAAACTATCAATTCATTCTCACTTTTGTTACTTGACTGGCAACCCATGCTCTGAAATCATATGACCCAAGAGCAAATGGCAGAAGCACACACATAATGAGAAAAAGTAGTCCCACTTCCCTTAGGTTTAGTGCTGTTGAATGCTCCAAAATGCTGTGTTCCCAGTTACATCCAAGTGCCACATTTTATACTGCACCTGTTTTAGACACTGATAACTGCTGCGAGATTATGGCTACCATTTATAGTC
Organism: Homo sapiens; assembly: GCF_000001405.40. NCBI lineage: Eukaryota > Metazoa > Chordata > Mammalia > Primates > Hominidae > Homo > Homo sapiens. Next base: position 151,040,375 of record NC_000003.12, read on the forward strand.
AAGATGCATGGACTCAAATAAAGATCACTCCTACAGGCAATTCAAAAATGCACCCAAGCACATTTAGCATCCTATAGATAGGAAGTTGAATGGAGATTACAAAAGGTCAAGAGGCCTTTAGGAGTTCATCAACACGATCAGTTCTGAAAAGTCATCATTATATCTCTGAAGTGTGAAGCCAACATTGGCTCATTCCAATAAGACTCACGTTTTATTTTTGATCTCATTGACCCAGGGAACCAGCATATGATCATAGGAAACAGATATGTGATCCAATAATTAAGATACAACATAGTAAAGACTCCAAGAAAAGTGAGTACAAAGTGCTATGGGAGGAGAAAAAACAGATGAGTGAGTGGTGTGAGTGGAGGTGGGAAGTAGAACACGATGAGCACCAAATTAACATTTGTTCCCTTAAATCCATGGCACATGAGGTGACATTCTAGCTGGGCTTAACAGAATGGAGTTAGCTGGGCAGAGAAGAGGAGAAAGAATACTCAAAGGGGAGGAAGTGGTTCAAGAAAAGACCACCTATATATAAAAGCTTGCACAATTCAAAAGAATGATGGAGACAAAATATGAGAATCACAGAGGTGGAAGAAGCTCAAATGTTACCTAGTCCAACCCTGTGATTTTACATCAGGACTACAGAGGATGAAGAGATTGTCCACCTTTTGAGGATCTGGGATTCCAGATCTCATTCTGAAAACTGATAAATAAAAGGAAAGAACCAAGCATTTATCCTGCTTTTGCTATACAAATGATACCTCAGGCATATCTATCAATCAAGTGTACTGTATGGATCTTGCTTAGATCCTGATTTGCACAAAAAATATAAAGAAAAAATCAGGGCAATTTTGACTCTGACTCTAATATTTGATAATATTAAAGAATTATTAAATTTTTGGAGTTTAATACTGACATTTGATTTGGTTACTAAAAAAAGAATCTCATCTTTTAGAGATACATATTAAAATATTTAAAGATGAATGATATGATCTCTGGTATTTGCTTTGGATAATCCAGTGTGGGGCAAGAAGGGAGAATTTAGATAAAACAAGATTGGCCATGAGTTGATAACTACTGAAGCTGAGTACAAAGAAGTTGATCAAATACTTTTTATGTATCTTTAAAATCTTCTATTATAAAAAGTTAAACAAACAAACAAACAAATGGCCTGTTTGACCAGTAATTTGGTCTGAAAATCAGTACTGGAGTCTCAATTTTATTCCTAAGGGCTTTGCCTCTAGACCTTACAGCTCCCCAGATTTATATTTATAATTCAAGTAGTTACATTTTAAGCATTTTTTTTTTTCTGAGACTTAGTCTCACTCTGTCACCCAGGCTACAGTGCAGTGGTGTGATCTCGGCTCACTGCAACCTCTTCCTCCCAGGTTCAAGCGATTCTCCTGCTTCAGCCTCCTGAGTAGCTGGGATTACAGGCTTGTGCCACCAAGCCTGGCTACGTTTTTGTATTTTTAGTAGAGATGGGGTTTCACCATGTTGGCCAGGCTGGTCTCAAACTCCTGACCTCAGGTGATCTGCCCGCCTCGGGCTCCCAGAGTGCTCGGATCCCAGGCATGAGCCACTGCACCCAACCCATTTTAAGCATTTTTATCTGCTTAAAGGATAATGATGAAATAATAGCTGCCGCTGGGAGTGTGTATGGACTTTTAGCATGCTTCTTAGTGCATCACTCATTTAATCCTCATAACAACCATGAGTTCATTATTCATATTCCCCATTTTACAGGTGAAAAAAATGAGAGGTAAGTAATTTACCCAAAGCCTCACAGGTAGAAAATAGCTAGTAAATGTCTGGATACAGAGTTTACATATTTAATCAATATGCAGTGTGCTTCTCAGTGATGTGTACAAGTGGAAAACAAATCCAGGCTGGGTGTGGTCCATCTCAAAAAAAGAAAAATCTATTTAGCTTTAGTTACATGTTGTATAACTTATCTATTGCTGCATAACAAAAAGTGACTCCAAAATGTAGCCTCTTAAATCAACTATCTATTATTTCTCATGATTCTGTGGGTTGGCTGGATATTTCTCTTTTTCTCCTGGCCTATTCATGAGGCTATATATTCATCCCGAGGGTCCGCTGGGGCTTGGGCTCAGCTGAGACGGTTGGTTCTCTTCTCCATGGCAGGGAGCTGGGAGGCTGATGAGAAAAAATTCTCTGTGGACTGGATTTTGTGCTTTTTAAATATTAATTTTTAGCTTATCAAACTTCACATGCAAATAGATAAAAAGAATTATTTCTAGAAAGTTTATTTTAAAAAACCCGCAGTCCCTCAGGTCTTCCCTACACCCAACCATCTAGCTCCCTACTTTCAGCTCTGTCCTCTAGTTTTTAACACGTTCGCTTGTCCCTTCTCTTGCCTGCCCACCACCCTGGTAGCATAATTATATCTCCATTTGTGGCTGGGGAGGGTGGCTCATGCCTGTAATACCAGCACTTTGGGAGGCCGAGGCGAGTGGATCACTTGAGGCTAGGAGCTCGAGACCAGCCTGGCCAACAGGGTGAAACCCTGTCTCTACTAAAAATACAAAAAAATTATCTGGGAATGGTGGCAGGCGCCTGTAGTCCCAGCTCCTCGGGAGGTTGAGGCAGGAGAATCGCTTGAACCCGGGAGGCGGAGGTTGCAGTGAGCCGAGATCAGCCACTGAACTCTGGCCTGGGCGACAGAGCGAGACTCCGTCTCAAATAATAATAATAACTATTATTATTATATCTCCATTTTTATTAAAGCTGCATGCAGCATTTTTATTTTTATTGTTGGCTCTTGAGCCAAGTCATGTACTAAGATTGCATTTCCTTTCTTTTACTACTTTTTCCCTGAGGTTAAAAAATCATCTCATTTTAAAATTACTTTATTAAAAAAAATAGTTGATCTCTTCCTGCACACTGTAACCACTCCATAAAATACCCCTTAGTACTGTTTTCTACACAGTCAAATCTGTCAGAAAAATCTACCATTTCCCTGTTTTGTTTTCTTTGGTTTTGGTTTTGGTTTTTAATGAAGAATTTCTTTCAAGAGCCCTCTGTCCAGCTCTAGGTTGGACTGGTCACTCTTTAGATCCATTGCCCAGCTGTAGTCCTGGGGCCCCTCTTGCCAGCATTTTGGGAATTTTCATTTCTTCTTTGCTGCATTTCCCGTTTCCTGGATTCCTCTTTCCTAATTTACTTCTCTACCCACTGCACAGGGTTGGGGGATGGGGTGGAGACACACTCCAATAACACTCTGAGAAAGGGTGAACAAGAGATTTTTGTTTTTGAAATCTGCAAGTCTAATAATTTCTTTATTCTGTCCTTAGAGTTGATTGATAGTCTGGGTGCAGAATTCTAGGTTGAAAGTTATTTTTCCCTCAGTAATTTGAAGGCATTGCTGTACTCTTTGTGAGCTTCTACTCCTGCTGCTGCCAGGACCAATAATGTTCTGATTCCTGATTGTTCGGATGTGGGCTATTTTTTTCTGAACCTTTTCTTTATCCTGGCTTTCTGAAATTTCACAATAATGTGCATCAGTACGGGTCTTTTTTTCATTCATTGTGCTGGACACATGGGTAGAATTCTTCTAGTCCTTAAGTCTAAAATATGTGTATTCTTCTTTCAATAATACTGCCCCTTTCCTTATTTTTTTTCCCTCTTTCTGGAACTCCTATTATTCAGATATTGGGCATTTTATAAATGATCTTTGAATGATCTTGTCTTCTCTTTCCTGTTGTACCATTCTAGCCATTTTCAGGGAAATATCCTAAACTTCATCTTTCAAGCCATATATTAACTTTGTCATTTCTATTAATATATTTTTTACCTATAAAAGGTTCTTTCTTATTTTCTAATTACTACATTTTATTTTTTATTTGTTTTTGTTTTTTGAGGTAGAATCTCACTCTGTTGCCCAGACTGGAGTACAGTGGTGCAATCTTGGCTCACTGCAAACTCCACCTCCCGGGTTCAAGTGATTCTCCTGCCTCAGCCTCCCAAGTAGCTGGGATTACAGGCACCCACCACCACACCCGGCTAATTTTGTATTTTTAGTAGAGATGGGATTTCACCATGTTGGCCAGGCTGGTCTCGAGCTCCTGACTTCAGGTGATCCAGCCACCTTGGCCTCTCAAAGTGCTGGGATTACAGGTGTGAGCCACTCTGCCCAGCCTAATTACTACTTTTTATAATATACTCTTCTTATTTTATGGACGCAAGAGTTTCTTGTATCTCTCTGAGAATATTCATTATAATTTCTTTTGAGTTTTCTTCTGCTCCTGAATCGTCTCTATTTCCTCTGGATTCTTTTTGTATGTGTGGTTGGTTGGTTTTGGTCTTTGTCTTTACAAATGTCTGGTGATCCTTGGCACTCTGTTTATATTATTATATTGTATTATATTATAAAGCTAACTAGAGCCTTTGTGTGCTTGAGCAAGGCATGACTACTAGTGGGCTTCCTATGGATGAGTCAAGAGATGAGCTGGGATGAGGACACAGAGAAAAGAGAATGCTTATACACTGTTGGTGGGAATGTAAACTAGTACAGCAACTGTAGAGAATACTATGGCGATCCCTCAAAAACTACAAATAGAACCACAAATGATTCATCAGTCTCACTATTGGGCATTTATCTGAAGGAAAGGAAATCATTAGACTAGAGAGACATCTGCACTCCCAAGTTTATTGCAGCATTATTCACAATAACCAAAACATGGAATCAACCTAGGTGTCCAATAACAGATGAATCTTTCAGGTGTGGCATATATACCCAATGGAATACTATCCAGCCCTAAAAAAGAATGAAATCCTGTCACTCACTACAACATGGATGGAACTGGAGGACATTATGTTAAGTGAAATAAGCTAGGAACAGAAAGTTAAACACCACATGTTCTCCCTCATATGTAGAAGCTAAAATAAGTTGATCTCATAAAAGTAAAAAATAGAACAGAGGATACTAGAGGCTGGGAAGAATTAAGGGGAAGGGAGGAATAGGGAAAGATGTAAAGGATACAAAATTATAACTAGGGCCGGACGCAGTGGCTCATGCCTGTAATTTCAACACCTTGGGAGGCCAAGAAGGGCGGATCACTTGAAGCTAGGAGTTTGAGACAAGCCTGGCCAACATGGTGAAACCCCGTCTCTACCAAAAAATACAAAAATTAGCTGGGCATGGTGGCACACACAGCTGTAGTCCCAGCTACTTGGAAGGCTGAGGCACAAGAACTGCTTGAACCCGGGAGGTGGAGGTTGCAGTGAGCCAAGATCGCACCACTGCACTCCAGCCTGGGTGACAGAGCAAGACTCTGTCTCAAAAAAAAAAAAAAAAAATTATAATTAGATAGGAAGAATATGCTCTAGTGTTCTATACCACTGTAGGATGACTGTAGTTAACAATAACATATTACATGGGTTAAATAGGTAGATGGAGTGTATTGAATGCTCCTGAAACAAATAAATTATAATTTTTTTTTGAGACAGGGTCTTGCTCTGTTTCCCAGGCTGGGGTGCAGTGACACAGTCATGGTTCACTGCAGCCTCGATCTACTGGGCTCAAACAATCCTGCCACCTCAGCCATCCAGTGTGCTAGGATTACAGGTGTGGGCCACTGCCTCTAGACAATAAATATTTTTTTATGATGGATATGTTGGATATGCTAATTACTCTGATCTGATAACTATACATTATGTGTATTGAAATATCACTGTGCATCCCGTAAATATGTACAATTATTAAATGTCAATTCCAAATGTCCATAAATAAAGTTTAAAAAAAGAGATATGAGCTGGGGTTTTCATTGGTAAACACCAAATATGGGTAATGCAGGGTTTTTCACCCTTAGCACCTTGAATCCTGAGCCTTTCTTAAACTTCTATGAGGCAATCTGGCTTCTTATCAGCACCAACTTTGAATTTCCTCCTCTCTGCTAAATAATTTACGATTCTTCCATCTGCTTTCTCTATCTATATACTAGCGATATAAAAGGTTTTTTCTAGTTTAATAAAAAAATTGAGTTTGTGTTTTGGTTTATTCTTCTTGTGGTTTAGGAGCATTTTTAGAGATAAGAGGGAAGAAATATTTTTATTCCACCACCTAGGGCTGGATTTTAGAGACATTTTTGTGGGAAGTTTAAGACAGGAAAGAGAAAGATGTGGGAAGTATGGTAGGCAGAATTCTAATGGTGTCCTCCCATGATTCTTCTCCCTTCTTTATTCACGCAACCACTAATCTATGTATTACCACAAGGGAACTTTGCAAATGGAATTAAGGTTACTAATAGGGAGATTATCCTGGATTATCTGGGTAGGCCCAAGTAATCATCTGAGCCCTTAAACATAGAAAAGAAAGGCAGAGAGATGTGTCAGAGGACAAGGCAGGAGAGATGAGGTAGAAGGAGAGGTCAGAGAGATGTGAAGCATGAGAAGGATTTAATACACCATTGTCGGCTTTGAGGACAAAGGGGGCCAAGAGCCAAAGAACATGATCAGCCTCTAGAAGCTGAGAATAACTTCTGGTCAACAGCCCACATGGAAACAGGGACCTCCATCTTCCAGCTCTGGAACTGAATTCTGCCAAGGACCTGAATGAGCCCTGAAGCCAATTCTCCCCCAGAGCTTCCAGATTAAAAAATCCAGGTTAGCTGACACCCTGATTTTAGCCTGGTAGCCGGTGGAGTGCTCAGCTGAACCCACTGGACTTCTGACCTACAGATAATCAATGGTGGTCTTTTAAAAGACGCCAAATGTGTGGTACTTTGTTATGGCAACAATAGAAAACAAATACAGGGAGACTGCCACTCAGATGCAGAGGGAAAGACAAGGAAAGTGGACACTAAGAAATTTTGCTGTGCATTATCAATGGAGAACCTCTTGGAATTCCTCAGAAGACTTTGATGAAGATGAAATGGGACCATAAAAATACACAGCTCTGTAGAATTTCATCTTTGAGTTAGGAAGATGGAAATTATTACCAAAAAGATATAGTGATGAACTGGGCGCGGTGGCTTATGCTTATAATTCCAGCACTTTGGGAGGCCAAGGCAGGTGGATCATGTGAGGACAGGAGTTCGAGACCGGCCTGACCAACATGGTGAAACCCCGTCTGTACTAAAAGTACAAAAATTAGCAGTGTGTGGTGGTGGATGCCTGTAATCCCCGCTGCTACTCGGGAGTCTGAGGCAGGAGAAACACTTGAACCTGGGAGGCAGAGGTTGCAGTGAGCCAAGATCGCGCTTCTGCACTCCAGCCTGGGAGACAGAGCAAGACTCTGCCTCAAAAAAAAAAAAAAAAGAAAAGAAAAGAAAAGAAAAAGAAGAGAAAAGAGAAAAAAGATATAGTGATGAGGTTTCAACATGTGTTGGAGATTATTTTGCTAACAGTCTCCAATGAACCACCCTTCTCAGCATTCCTGCCCTATCTAGTCCCCTCCCACATTGACTGTGGGCTGGGTCATGTGACTTGATTTAGCCAATAGTATTCCAGAAAACATGATGCAAGTGCAGACTTGATAAGCTCTTGTGCATTGGGGTTTGCCTTTTCAGAGTCCAACACCCTGTGAGGAAGCCTACTGTTGGATGGAAAGGGGCAGTCAGAGGGACTGCAGGTTTCTTATATGCTCTTTAGAAATAATTGTCTTTTCAATCTCATTGTACATAAGGTTTGATAAACTAAAAATTAATATTCAAAAAGGCATAAAATCTAGTCCACAAGGCCTCTCCTCTTATGGAGCCCCTGGCTCCTTGGGATTTTTAACTTCGCCCATTAGGCCATTATCATCACAAAAGACCCAGACTCCTTCCTAAGAGACACTAGCAAGGTTGAAGAAGAAGGTGGAGGAATTACCACATGCATATTAATTTATTTTCTTTTATCTCGAAATAATACAAATTCTCGTGGTGGTTGAGCAGGTGGTGGTGGTTCACTTCTCCATGTCTAATTTCATAAATATGTGCTTCAATAAGCTTTGCAAATGAAATAACAGAGTCTTCATTCAGTTTTCTATTTTAGAAGGACCGTTAATCTGGGAAACAAATTAAAAAAAATTAATTTTAAATGGCCGACATACACTTTCTCAAATGAGAACTATAACATCAGTATCATCTTAAATAGAAAGTATAAGAACCCAAACTCTTGTTTTCTCTCTAACTGGGCTACTTCTTTCATGCAGCATATCTAAGGGTCAAAGTCAAACATAGAGAACCATTCAAGAAGTGGATTTTTTTTCTGCCTGTTGTCTCTTTGTCTTTAAGACTAAGAACAATAAAATCTTCCCCAAACAGTTTGACTCTAGAATTATATCTTTTCCACCAGGAACTATTAATAGGAAGAAGCTCTACAATGATTTCAGAAATCAAAGTACAATCAAACCTCATTTAATGGGAATGTTCAGGGGACATGTCATTTTGGTTAATTAAATTTCTAGTTAACTAGAAATTAACCCAACACGCTTTGTTCAAACCTTTCCATAGAAAAATCTTTCTAAAATGCATTAGGCTCTTTCATGCCTTAGGAAGTGTAGGGTGTTGAACATAATTGAATCTTTGATGATCGAAGTCCTTGCAGTGCCCCAGAAAGATCATTATGAGCATAAATACTCATTGTGCTGTACAGGGGATGTAGAGGGTCTAGGAGATTGGGTTAAATGGATAATCAGCTCAAGATATAATCTGAAGGAAAGTGTGTGTGTGTGTGTGTGTGTGTGTGTGTGTGTGTGTGTCTGTGTTCATTAAACACATATTATGCCTGTGTACTGTTTTCACTTTTCTCTTGAAATCAGAAATTTGAAAAGTAATCCCACTAATTAAGGGTTCCAATTAATTGGTTTCAGTCCAATTTTTTTCTATATGATCATAGATTTCTCAGGATCAACTTTAAAAGGATATGAGTATGGTGCCCCAAGTTATATCAAGTTATGACATGGCTGTAGTTTTTCTTTAAGAACTTTTAACATTTGCCTTCTTTATTTTACCTTATAAAAAGATAACATAACAATGTAACAGACAGAATAACACAACTATTTTTAATTCTATACATTACTTTTTCATCTTCACTACTTGCATATATTGATGATAATGTGATATAATTTTATATGTTGCTCTGTTTACTTAATGCCATATAAGAAATGCTTTCAATGGTGCCACATAGTCTTCATCTTCATTCACTCATTCATTCATTCATTCATTTTACAAGTATTTATAGACTGCCTAAGATGTCCCAGGCACTGTTCTAGGTGTTGGGTATATAGCAGAGGACAAAAAGGACAAAAATTCCTATCTTCATGGAGCATATATTTTTTGTGTATTATCATTTTAAATGGCTGCATAGGCTCCTTTTGCTTTTTAACTTAGTCTTATACTCATCAGTAGCACGCTTTACCCCTGGGTCCTTGTGTTGTCTCTGTAATATTCGTTATGGAAACTAGCTCTTAGGCCCTTAGAAGGAAACTGTAAACTCACTTACTCTGTGGTGAAAATAATAATAGCAGCTAACACAGCACTTACTGTAGCACTTAAACCTGGGCCAGGCATTGTTACAAGCACTTGTATTACACATTCAGATTTTATAACAACTGTATGAGGGAGATTTATTAATAGCCCCATTTTTTAGAAGAGGAAATTGAAGCATGGCTGAACAAAGATATGAAAGCATATGGTGTATTTGGAAGCTATTGAAACAATTATTCAAGTAGTAATAATGGAACCTAACTTTTATTGAAAATCAGTATGTGCCAAGCACTGTTCTGAGTTATTAACTGATTTAACAACTTATTTAATCCTCACATCAATTTTATTTTACAAACGAGGACACCGAGGCACAGATTAGTAAGTTAAGCTATCAAAATTCACACAGCTAGTGAGTGATAGAGATGGGATTTCAATCCAGGCATTCCTTCAGAGTACATACTCTTAACTACTTGCCTCTCACCAACTGATATTTTAACATTTTATTCTTCCAGAGGGTGTTTGTATTATAATGGTAGAAAAGAAAAACTACTGCATCTCTAATGTGGGACTTCTGAAGTAGAAGGACATTATGTTTCTTCTCCATTGACAGTGCCATTTGACTCTGCTGTTTTAATTCCAAGGACAATTTGACCAGATCACTGGGAAACAGTAGATTTTTGAGAAATAATCGACTGATCCTGGCTAATGTTGTTCACACATAAAATATATCGCAAAGGCACAAACCTGGTTGGCGAATGACATCTTTTTAGTGATATTGAAAACTAAAAATTGACATGAAAAATTAGATTCATAGAAGTTATCAGCACAATATAAATTTCCAGAAATGAGACCTTTTACTTCGTATTTTATATCTGTCTCTGTCCAATGCGATCCAGATAAAATTGGAATTATTAAAAATGAGGGCGACAAAACAAAATTCAAAGTGGCAAAAATATAATCAGTAGTTTCATATGGACAATAACTTGAATGATGAATCAAACCTTTCTTGGAAATTGTACGCAAAGGAGAACTGATCCCAGTGAAAATAATTTTGGTAAAATAAAAATGGAAGTACAAAGCAAACATTGAAATGGTTTCACTGCAGTGTAGAGAAAATTGATCAAGGATTTAAATGATAATAGCATTTGCCCTGGAAAATATGTATAAGTCCTTTCAGGATGAAAATTTAAAAATCTGAATGTCATTCTAATTACAATATCTTATTTATAAATACTGAGAAAAAACATTCTCAGTGTCAAATACTGGAACACAATCCTGCTGTATTTAAAATACCATAGCAGAGAGGTGGCTGAGTTTGTTGGTTTTCCTTTTTTTTTTTTTTTTGAGACAGAGTCTTGATCTTGTCGCCCAGGCTGGAGTGCATTTGCATGATCTCGGCTCACTGCAACCTCCACCTCCTAGGTTCAAGTGATTCTCCTCCGTTAGCCTCCTGAGTAGCTGGGATTACAGGCGCCCACTACCACGCCCAGCTAATTTTTGTATTTTTAGTAGAGACAGTGTTTCTTCATGTTGCCAGGCTGGTCTCGAACTCCTGAGCTCAAGTGATCCACCCGCCTTGGCATCCCAAAGTGCTGGGATTACAAGTGTGAGCCACCACACAGGACAAAGTTAGTTGATTTTTCTACCCAGAATCCATTCCTCCTTTTTTGTTCAAGTATCCACTGCCAATATCCTATGTTACACATCATTTTTAATCAATTAATTCATGTAAATATTCTGAGGTATTTAGTTTGAACCTCAAACTTAATTTGGCATTGAAACTTAAAAACAAGAAACAAAAATTTATTGATCATCTACTATTTGCTTCTACTTTGTTAGCAGTTGTGGGCATTCATCCAAGAAGATCAAATCCTTGATTTCAGTGAACTGAAAATCAAGTTGGGAAACAGAGACACATAATGGCATAATTGAGAATGCAAGAGAACATCTGATAGGTAACAAATGAGCAGCAATTCAGAGTTGTGAGAACACACTTTCTTTGTTTTTTTGTTTTTTTGTTTTGAGATGGAGTTTTGCTCTTGTTGCCCAGGCTGGAGTTCACTGGTGCGATCTTGGCTGACTGTAACATCTGCCTCCTGGGTTCAAGCAATTCTCCTGCCTCAGCCTCCCGAGTAGCTGGGATTACAGGTGTGGCCACCGTGCCCAGCTAATTTTGTAGTTTTTAGTAGAGACGGGATTTCTCCATGTTGGTCAGGCTGGTCTTGAGCTCCCAACCTCAGGTGATCCACCCACCTCAGCCTCCCAAAGTGCTGGGATTACAGGCGTAAGCCACCATGCCCGGCCGAAAACACACTTTGTAATGGGCTAAGCATTCAGTAAGAACATGATAAATGCCTGTTGAAGGAGTCAATGCTTGGAAATGTCTGGTTTTGAAAGTTGAATAAGATTTATATAATAGAGATAGGGAAGGATCTTGAGAACAAAGAGAAGAACAAAGTCTGAATTAAATGCTTCCTCCTTTGTGTTCTCACAGCACTTTACGTCTTTTATAGAGGCTTTCCCATTGCATGATAGACCTGCTTTGAGGGTAGCACTTTTGTGTCTTATTTACCTTTTGAACCCCAGCACATATTCCAATACCTATTTCTTAATTGGTAGTTAATAAATATTTAATAAATCAATGAAAGATTGAATGAGTTAATGAATAAATAAGAAAGCCCAAAGGTTACTCTGAGTGAGTTAACTAGTTTGGGATGGAAAGGGAACGAATCTGGAGGTTCTTGCCCATCAGTCTACACTGGACTTTATTCCACAGATAACAGAGCGCAAGATAGACTTTCACAGGGTAAGTCTGAAGTGGTAAAGTGTGCTGGTAATGACAGCAACTCTATATGGACTGGGCTAGGTGTTTCATGTGTGTTAACTTGTTAAACCCTCATCATTCTAACGATTAGGTAATATTAACGACATTTGTGTCAACTGAATCTGTAAGGGACCAAGGGAATTATTTAGAATCACTTAGTTGGCAAATGGCCTAACAAACACTTGAAACCTGGTGTACTTTATTTCACTTCCCAAGCCTCCTCCTATGCCACGTTCCCTCCTTGGGGATTCAATTGGTGGTGACAGGAAGCATGGATGGGACAACATTTGAATCATTACAGCTCTTATGCTTGAATATGAAAATGCAGATTTGTCATTGTGTGACTCAAGCAGAGATTCAGTGATAAACAGAGATACATTCCCCTTTCACCATGTGCTTCAAACAGTGTTTCTCCCAAGTCTGCAACCTCTTTAGGATGAATTGCTCGGAATATTGAGACAAAGAAAGTGTTCCATTTTTACTGTACGATCAAGTCTGACTTCATCTCTGTCCTCATTTAATTATTCCCCATTAGATAACTCAAAGAGGTGTGAGGTGTTCCTCAATGAACTCTAAAGGAAAATTTCTTTTTCCTATCCTCTTCTTACCTTATTTAATTATTTGAAGATTCGCATTTAGTATTTGACAAATGCTAACTTCTACTGTTGGCTGTTCATGATAGTAAACCCACAAATTCTTTCCATCTTTGGGAAAATGGTTCACTGTGAATTAATTTTGATTCACTTTAGTAGCAGTGATAATACAGCATTCATTTGCTATTCCAGTAGCTATTACTTGCATCTTGACACAAATTGCTTTATAATTCAGTCTTTATTTTCTGGTTGCCTGAAATAATATCCTCAATAGGCAAAGCCTTTTATCAAGAAATTGCTTCCAAATATTCTGTGTTCTAATGCCACTTGATATTCACTGGAGCAAGATTTTAGTGGACTCATGGAAGATTTGAAATTCAGTGTCCGTGTATTGCTGAAGTACCAAACACACTAAGTGACCTCTTTTTAAAAATTATTTTTGTTTATTATTTTTATTAAATAACAAAGTGCAGCTGAGACATCTCATAATCACCAGGCCCAAATCATGCTATTGAAGGAATTCTCCAACTTTGGGGAAAATCTTTCTAATAAACAGGAAGAAAGGAGACAAAAGAAACCGGGCTTTCAAAGAGTCATGGTACAGAAGGACCAAGGCTGTTATCTTCCTAGGTGATCATTGACATCCCATGGAGGTTGAATTACTGGCTTAGCTGAATAAGTCTGGGAGGAGGAATCTGAAATCAAATGCCAACTCAAGAGCACAAAGAAAGAAGGTGGATGCAATTGGACAATCACATGTGAGGCAATATATGTTTGGTTTATTTGGAATTGAGAGTGACTGAATCTTTTCTTGTCATTCAGTGAGCAATGAGTATTCTAGGAAAAACTATCCCATTTCACATGCCTGAGGATTCGGCAGAATCCTCCTCATGTAATTTCACCTTCTCATTGCATCTGTTTCTAAAGGAAAACAAGCCCTCCAATTATCTGCCATGTTTGGAGCTTGTATTTCCTATCAATCTCTAATATATTGAGGAAAACTGCTTTTCCCTTAAAAAATTATATAATAAAGTTATGGGTAATCCTCACTGAATGTTCATCTCTGTGGCGCTTAGACTGTTAACTCCTGAGCATTTCATGTTGGACTCATCACGTTTGGAGTTGGTGAACTTGAAAGTGTTTGAATCTGGATATAGGCTCTGTTCTCTGAGACTTTGCTACTTAGCTTGTCCCTAGACTGGCAGCATTGATCTCCTGCAGGAGCTTGTTAGGAGTGCAAGATCTCAGGCCCCACTCCAGAACTATTGAATCCAAATCTGCTTTTTAACAGGATTCCCAGGCAAGTCATATGCACCTTAGCATTGGAGAAGTGTTGCACTGAGGGTGGGTAGAGGAAATGTTTAAGGGAATATCCCAACTGATTGGCTGGAAGATTCAGTTGAAGAAAAGAAAGGAAAGGCAGAACTCTAGCATGGAAATGGGAAGAAAAGTTTCTCAGAAGCCAAAAAGGGACATTCCATGTCGAATATTATAGAAAGCTTAGAGAGAGTGTGTCTACAGAATCCTACTGGATTTGGCATAAGGGAGGTTCTTGGGGCAGGGGAGGAAGCCAGGTTGTGGGAAAAATATGATCAAGAAATCGTGACCTAAGGGTTTGACTTGTTTGAGAAGTTTGATGGCTTCGGCATTGAAAAGAGGTAGAGAACAGTGTTTGAAGTTGGAATGCCGGGTAAACAGAAAGGGAAGGAGTCAGTGGCAAGGGGATAACTGTAGATACTGACAAATATGCCTTTCAGCACTGGTGCTGGTAGAATTCATGGTGCAGTAGGGGAGAGAGCCTGTAAGTAGAGCAGGATCCATCTTCGTGGTGTAGAAAAGGGGAACTGTGGATGATGAAGAACCTAGATGAGGAATCTTATGCCAATGTGAGAGGGAGCCTTCTCAGGTTAGTAGGAAGAGAGGCCTTCGGCTGAGAATTGGTAAAAGAATCTTAAGAAGGCTTAAAAATATAATTAATGTTTGCTTTAAAAAGAAAAACTTCTAGTGATGAAGGGAATCTTTATATTCCTCTACTTGAGGTTATAAAATATCTTTAATAAGCAATACAGTTAATTGTTTCATTAGATTTCTGGGTTTTGGATTTCCACAGGTTGAGATTTATTGCTATATGGTTAGCATATGCCTGTGTGAGCCAGCATCTGGTGTTCCATGGATCAAAAGCAGCCCAAATTGTTCTACCTGCCAAGTATTCCCTTCTTACATCCCAATCATCTGATTTCTGAATACCAAGTCTATTAGTTTTATAATCTTGAAACTCCTAGTCACCCTCAACTGATAGATCCAATGGCCTTTTTCCAGTTACCTTCTCCTTGCCTTTCTGTAACATTTGAGAGAATTGACAATTCCTCTTTCAATAAAACTGCCTTTTTTTTTTTTTTTTTTTTTTTTTGAGATGGAGTGTGTCTCTGTCACCCAGGCTGGAGTGCAGTGGCGCAGTCCCGGCTCACTGCAACCTCCGCCTCCCAGGTTCAAGTGATTCTCCTGCCTGTCTCCTGAGTAGCTGGGATTATAGGGATGTGCCACTACGCCCAGCTAATTTTTGTATTTTTAATAGAGACAGGGTTTTACCATGTTGGACAGGCTGGTCTTGAACTCCTGACCTCAGGTGATCTGTCTGCCTCAGCCTCCCAAAGTGCTGGGATTACAGACATGAGCCACCCCTCCCAGCCCCTTATTATTTTTTTAAAAATCAACGACATTAAGGTATGATACATTAAAAAAAAAAACTCATTCATTTGAAGCACATACTTTGATAAGTTTTGACAAATGTATATGCCCATGTAACCACCACCACAATTAAGATATAGAACATTTCCATCACTCCAAAAGTTCACCTCATGGCCCTTTGCAGTCAATCCTCTCCTCCTCCAGCCCAAGGCAATCGAAGGAATTGCATATAAGTAAAATCATACAATAGACATTCTTTCGTGTCTGACTTCTTTTGCTCAGCATAATGTTCTTAAGATTCATCTATGTTGTTGTACATATCAACTTTGTTCCCTTTTATTGCTGAGTAGTATTCCATTGAAGTAATCAGTCATAATTTCCTTATCCATTCACCTGCTAACACATATTTGGGTGGTTTTCAGGTTTCAGCTATTATAAACAAAGCTGCTATGAACACTTTATTGTTGCTGAGACAGGGTCTCGCTCTGTCCCCCAGGCTGGAGTGCAGTGGTGGGATCTTGCCTCACCGCAGCCTCAACTTTCTGGGCTCAGGCGATCCTCCCACCTCAGTCCCCCCAGTAGCTGGGACTAGAAGCACATGCCACCATGCCTGCTTAATTTTTGTATTTTTTGTAGAGATGGGATTTCACTATGTTGCCCCGGCTGGTCTGGAACTCTTGATCCACCTGCCTCGACCTCCCAAAGTGCTGGAATTACAGGCATGAGCCACCACGCACAGCCATGAACATTAATACATAAATATTTGAGCAGACATATGTTTTCACTTATCTTGGGTAAATAGGAGTGGGAACACTACATTATACAGCTTAGGTATGTTTAAGAAACTGCAAACTGTTTTTCCAAGCTGATTGAATTTCTAACAGAAATGTATAAGAGTTCCAGTTGCTCCACATTGTCAGTCTTTAATTTTAGCCATCTGTCAGGTGTGTAGTCATATCTCACTGTGGTTTTAATTCATATTTTCCTAATCATTAATCATATTGAGAATCTTTTTTGTGTTTATTTTCTATTTCTATACCTTCTTTTATAAAATATCTGTTCAAATATTTTGCTCCTTTCTAATATTTTAAGTTGTAAAGATTCTTTATGTACACTGGATATCAGTCTTTCATCAGATATATTTATTACACATTTGTCAATATGTGAGTTGCCTTTTTAGTTTCTTAGCAGTGTCTTAACAGAGCAGAAATTTTAATGTTGATGAGGTTAAATTTACAAGTTTTTCGTCTTATGATTCATACTAAATGTGTCCTATCTAATAAATCATTGCCCACCCAAATATTGGGAAGATTTTATCCTATAAAACTGCCCTATCTTTAAACTTGCTCCTTCACTTCATTATATTGTACCACTCCAATGTACCTTCTTTTAGTCTGTTCTTTTCTGGATCCTCTTGTTTCTCTCTGTTAACCATGGATATTTACAAATTTTTTCTCCCTTTGATTATCAAATATTGCATGCTCATCAAAGATTTAGAAAGTAAAGGAAGTGAAGAAATAATAATGTTAAAAGCACTAATTTTGAGTACGGTATCTATTGTGTGATAGTTAGATGGTAGTAGATAATTGGGAGAACAGGCTAGAAGCTAGGCTGCCTGCCCCTGAATTCTATTTCTACCACCTTATACTTGCATGGTCTTGGATAGTGTTTCAACCCGTGAAGAATTCACAAGATTCAGTAGCAGTCTGCACTAGAATTTTCTGTAGGAAGGGATACAGAGCAAAAGCATCAGGAAAAAGATGTGCATCTTTAGAGTCTGGAGAGGTCAGGCACAGGCTTCCACAGTTCTTTATCATCCAAGGCTGCACAACAGTGATCTCTCTGGCAGGAAAATTCAGAGACATGGGTGAAATGTTTCTGCCCAGGGAAGACTCTTTGAGTCTCAGGGTCCAAGGTCTTTCTACAGAGGCTGTTAGCATAGAAACATCCTGCTACACAATCTACCATGGCAACCAAAATCCAGGACCCAACAGTGAAACCAGGTGCACATCATCAATCTTGACGTTAGTGCAAGGCACTTGATGAGCAAGTAAGACATGGTCCATTGATTCAGATGTATATAACAAAATTATCAATCATAACATGAAGAACTCTCTCAGGGCCACATTCCTAAGGGTGACCAAGGGCCAATCATGGTTCCTTTGGAGAGAGCAAGGAGTAAGCCACCAGACCTGCTGTGTTCACTCTTTCCTCTCAAGTAGCCTCTCTAAAGCCTTACTTCTACCTAAAATGGGAAGATAAGTGTACTTTTTTCATTGGGTTGTTGTGAGAAGTGAGATTATACAGGTAAAGCTTTCAGCATTATTTTTGGTTCATAGTTTTTGCTCAATAACTATTAACTATTATTAATATTATGCATTTTCCTCCTCTGTGACATAAGGATAATAGTACCTGTTTCATTGGTTAATGCAAGAATAAAATATAGTTCTGGTATATAGAAAGTTGATTCAAGGCTAGGCCCAAAACAGGAGCTAAAATTCCCAGTAATTTTGCTGCCTCCTATAACCCTATTATCTAGAAGAAAACACGATAAATATTTTGTTATATATGCCTTCCACTCAACATATGAACAATTAACTTACATGCTTTTTCAATAAAACAGTGAAAACATTAACACCTTTTTCAAAGCAGACATACACAATTGTCTTCTAAATGGGTGATGGCAGCAGAATCTGTGGAAACTGCAATGTCTGAAGTGCCTGGGAGGCCACAGCCAATGCTGGAAAGTATACAGCTGTTGCAGCCACGTGAAGCAGGACCATCACTCAGCCTCCTCTTCCTCCCTGTGGCTGTGCATGTTTCTAAAATTAGGACTTGTGAACAGGTGCTCCCTTCACTTTCCCTCTGTCATCCATCAAATGTTTTTTTCTGCGTAGAAAACACAATTCCAGGCACTGTGGAACAAGAGCTGCAGAGTCCTGCTCGTTATGGAGATTGTGAAATGCGGCAATGACTGGAAAATGTCAGTAGCTCAGGCAGGCCTCTGGCTTTGTGAGTAATAGAAGCCTCTCAACCTTGGAGTCCACTGGGAGGTTGTCAGTCAAAGCACTTACCAGGGCATGCTCAGTGCAAACGCCCTCAGAACAATACTTTCTTGGTGACCAAGATTTTAGTGCTGAGAATGCACATGGCCGCCTTCTAAAGGAAGAATTCTTCTCCTAGGGAAGACAGAGTAACACAGCTGTTGATAGGCTCGCCGTTGTCTGTGGTTCACTAGGTATCAGCAGTCTCCTTTTGTTTGTTTGCTCCATGAATGAACACAATTTTTTTAGCTCACCTCTTCCCCAAGCCGAATCATTAATTATTGCTAATATTAATTTGAAAAGCCAGAAGAAAAATAGTTAGCTTCTTTGTGACCTTTAACAATGTGTCTCCTGCTTTTGCCTTATTTCATATGAGAACACTTGTTTTGACTTAGGTACCTTTAAATTGCATATGGTGTTTTTGGAATTTACCTATTGGATAAAACTGGAAATGAGTGAATGACTCTGGTTTTTTACTTCACAGTTTTTCTCTCACGTAGTTGAAGTGATACTGTATTCAGTATTTTAAAATTATTTCCCATTACTTCCAGTCCCAATCTTGATAACGGTTCACAAGTAGTTTTCCATGTCATTAAAATTTTCTCTTAAATATTTAGGTGATTTTGTTGGAGCACAGCAGGGATTCCTTGTACCCATGTAGTATCCTCTTTTTTTTTTTGAGACAGAGTCTCACTCTGTCCCCAGGCTGGAGTACATTGTCATGATCTGGGCTCACTGCAACCTCCACCTACCGGGTTCAGGTGCCTGCCACCACACCTGGCTAATTTTTGTATTTTTAGTAGAGACGAGGTTTCGCCATGTTGGCCAGGCTGGTCTCGAACTCCTGACCTCAGGTGATCCACCTGCCTCAGCCTCTCAAAGTGCTGGGATGACAGGCGTGAGCCACCGCGCCCAGCCCCGTATCTTCTTGATACCAAAAAAGGCCTTCCAGCTTTTATACCACAATCCACAGGAAGAAATACATCATACATTGTGATCCCGTACACACAAACTGACACATACACATTGCTGAAACAGAAGTTTCATGAGATAGTACTTCCCCTTTCTACATGATATGCACTCTGCTATATTCTTTTTTATTCATTTTTTGAATTTAAAAATGTTGGTCAAATATACCAGGTGAAATGAGTTATTACTCAATGTTTTTGAGCTTCCAAACTGGGGCAAAAGAGAGTCCATACCTCTCTGCCTTTTCTTTTTTCCCACACTCCATCTGTCTTGGTCGGTTTTCCCTGAAAACGAGCCTGATGTAAGGATTGGGATGCAGGTTGTTTATATGGAAGGTGATTCCAGGAAACAGAAGTGCAGAAGTGAGAACAGGGAAGAAATGGGAAAGAAGGAAAAACTAAAACAAAGTGTGTTATTGTACAAGTTGCCATTGGGCAACTGGGGCTCAATCCTACTGGGGAACTTCTGGGGACGTTGGGTAGAATGGTGTTTCCAAAGGATGGGAGGCTGGGAGGTTTATTCACCGAGTCTTGTTTTCCCCATTGGTTGAGGTATCCAACCCACTCCCTAACGTGGCTGCAGAGAAATGGAGAGATGAAAGGTGCTTCAGACTATCATCATGAATGGAAGCCTCTACTTAGGCTCCACAGCACCATAAGCAAGCCAAGAGCACATGATGTGGAGCACAAAGGGCAGCTGCTGCTTCCTCTGAGCAGGAAGGGGTGGACTCCAAGATTCCCTACCCAGTATATCATATCTTCCTCTTACCTAGACAGGCAATCCTGAGGCCTCATTTCCATGGCAGAGAGAAACAACTTGAAGAATTGACTCTGCTAGGATTGGCCCTTAACATATTAACATAATTTAGAAAACTCTTCTATCAGCAGGGCCAGGTGGCTCATGCCTGTAATTCCAGCACTTTGGGATGCCAAGGTAGGCAAATCACCTGAGGTCAGGAGTTCGAAACCAACCTGACCAACATGGTGAACCCTCGTCTCTACTAAAAATACAAAAATTCGTCGGGCATGGTGGTGCGCGCCTGTAGTCCCAGCTACTCAGGAGGCTGAGGCAGGAGAATTGCTTGAACCCAGAAGGTGGAGGTTGCAGTGAGCCGAGATCAAGCCACTGCACTCCAGACTGAGCAATAGAGCAAAACTTTGTCTCAAAAAAGAAAAGAAAAGAAAATTATTCTGTCTTTCTCAACAAAGCTATTTTCCTGCTGTAGATTCAGACAGAAATCTAATTCCAGCTGAGGGTAGAAATGTCTTCTAGATTGGGGGTACCCCTCCATTCCACTTATGCCCATTGTTGCCTCAGTGAGTGGGGGGATTTGAAAATATGTAAATAACTCTAAACCTAGTTCCAAAATGTTATCTCTCTTGCTTTAATTGTGACTTCTGTGTATTTGTAAAATAAGATGGATATATCATAATTTATTTAACTACTTTCCTAATGTTGGACATTTAGTTTGTTTTCATTTTTTTGGTATCATACGTAATGTTATAGTAAACATCATTGTGCATAATTCTTTGTTTGGGTCTCATTTTACCAAGATAGACACCTCAGGGTGAAAATAGAGAGCTAAAGAGTATAAAAGCTATAAAAACTTTTAATCTATGTTGACCAATTGCTCTATAAAATGTGTAGATATAACCAATTTACCTTCCCACTAGTCATGTGTATATACTGGGCAATCTCAAAAACATTTTTTTTGTTTGTTTGAGACGGAGTCTCACTCTGTTGCCCAGGCTGAAGTGCAGTGGCGTGATCTCGGCTCACTGCAAGCTCCGCCTCCTGGGTTCACGCCATTCTTCTGCCTCAGCCTCCCGAGTAGCTGGGACTACAGGCACCCGGCACCACACCCGGCTAATTTTTTTGTGTGTTTTTTAGTAGAGACGGGGTTTCACCGTGTTAGCCAGGATGGTCTCCATTTCCTGACCTCGTGATCCGCCAGCCTCAGCCTCCCAAAGTGCTGGGATTACAAGTGTGAGCCACCGCGCCCGGCCCTCAAAAACATTTTTTTAAAAATTCTCAATGTTGAAAAATTTAAAAACATAAAAAAGCGTAAATCATCATCATAATAAATAACCCATAATCCTGGCTGGGCGCGGTGGCTTACGCCTGTAATTCCAGCACTTCGGCAGGCGGAGGCGGGTGGATCACAAGGTCAGGAGATGGAGACCATTCTGGCCAACACGATGAAACCCTGTCTCTGCTAAAAATACAAAAAATCAGCCGGGCGTGGTGGTGGGCGGCTGTGGTCCCAGCTACTCCGGAGGCTGAGGCAGGAGAATGGCGTGAACCCGGGAGGCGGAGCTTACAGTGAATCGAGATCGCGCCACTGCACTCCAGCCTGGGCGACAGAGCGAGACTCCGTCTCAAAAAAAAAAAAACAAAACAAAACAAAAAACAAACAAACAAACAAAAACCATAATCCTGAGACAGGCACTATCAACATTTTAATGTATTACATAGCCGTATTCATTCATATATAATGTATATGTCTAATTTAAGAACAAAATAGACATACCACATATAGAGTTTCATATTCTTTCTGATTTAATATTATATTCTATTTTTTAGAAAGATAATTTTAAATGGTTGCAAAATGTTTCATCTGTGTCAGTTAGGAATTGTGTTTGGCTGCTATTAACAGAGTTTGACTAGCATAAGCATATAATGGTTTATTATTTTTTTCTCATATAATGAGACATCTGGAAGGAGGCAGTTGTTGGCTTTGTTACAGTGGTTCAAGAATGTCAGAATTGCAGTCACTACAATTCTCCTGGCTTTTCTCTCATGGTCCCCAAATGACTGCTGGAGTTTCAGCCATCATATCAGTGATCAAGGCAGCTGGATCCAGGCAGTAATCCAGACACTTGGAAGTCCCACCCAAGGACTTCTGCTCTTATCTCATTGGTCATCTTTGTCTGAAAGGAAAGCTGTGAAATACAGTATTATTAATAAGCACGTTGCTGGCTCCAATAATATAGAGTCTTGTTAACAACAAAGAAGAGGAGAATGGAGATTGAGCAACCAGGAAGCAGTCTCAGCCACACCATCATATGGAGGTAATATATTTCTGTAACCAATTTCATATGGAGGGGTTTTAAATTTTTTCTAAAGTTCACCATTTTACCAATTAACATGATCAGCATCTCTGCACAAATATCTTTGCATCTTTTATTATTTCCTTATGATAAATTCCCAGATGGAATTAATAAATCAAATCATAGATTGCAAAGTTGCTTTCCAGAAAGGTTCTACCAATTTACATTCTCACCAGCAACATATAAAACTGTTGGGCAGTCTTTCTGAGAGTCATTTATTGAACACTTACTTTCTGTCCAACTCCAGATGGTCCCTTGTGATTCTTTTTTGAATATTAATATCATTCACAAATACTAGAAAATGCAATCAATCCTTAAATAGAATATGTCAAAATGGCAATTTCTGAGCACTATGCCTTTTATTTAAATAAATATGCACCAAAAAATATTTCTCAGAGAATGAGTCTGCAAGGCGACAGGCACATTTTGGATTTGTATTTTCTTTTATTCTGATATTTGAAGAAGTCAGTCCCTGAGATGGTTTTGATACCAATAATGACAGGGGGCCACAGGAGAAAAGATGGCAAGAAAGACCTATCTGAGAACCCAATAACATACCTAAATCAATTTAAGATCTTTAAAGTTTAATATTAGAAGCTATTATGGAAGTCACGAATCTTAACACAACTATAGCTATTCTGCAAACCAATGCAATTTTAGCAAAGTTTGGAAGCCCCATCTATTGAGTTGCATTTTAATGGAACTAATGTTAATGGAAATAATGTATGGCTAAATCATGGAGCTGGATTCCTCCACAGTTCCAAGCAAGAGTCAAATTTTGAGATAGTTAGAGGTGTATACAGTTAATATGTTCTTGAAAATTTATACTTTAAATAAATTTCTGGTAAATTAAATAGAAAATTTCAGTATATTTGTGGAACTCAACTGAAAATAACTCACAGTAGCCCCTGTTCAGTTAATGTAGTAGAATTAAAGAGTGATAGCAGGAAATGCTTTAGTAAAGAAGACCACTTTTTACACAAGAATAATCACCTGATAATTTGTATCTTATGAGTTTGGTTCTGGACATCAAGTTTCTTTAAAACCAAGCAGGGCTTTAAGTTCTGTCAAAATTTCAATGAGCATTAGCTTTCTTTGCCCAATCAAAGATGAAAACCACTGGAAAAAGTTATCATTGCATGCATGTTTTTGGAATTTAGATTCTGTGTTACTGCATAGTGTTGCGCATGGCCATCTGGGTCCCCAGAACATCATCACACACACAACTTTTTTATGTGGAATGTAGCTTGACACTCTAGAGCAGATTTTACAGATCAAGTCTCCAGCCCAGAGAGCAGGGGCCATCACTCATTCAGGAGGGAACAGTCTTGCAGCACAGAGTTGCTTCCCACATTCCTCTGGCACAAGCAGTTCCAGAGTTTAACACTAGACCTGCTGGCAGGGCATGGTGGCTCACACCCGTAATCCCAGCACTTTGGGAGGCTGGGACGGGTGGATCATCTAAGGTCAGGAGTTCAAGACTAGCCTGGCCAACATGGTGAAACCCCATCTCTACTAAAAATACAAGAAATTAGCCAGGGATGGTGGTGCACACCTGTAATACCAGCTACTTGGGAGGCTGAGACAGGAGAATCACTTGAATCCGGGAGGCGGAGGTTGCAGTGAGCTGAGATTGCGCCATTGCACTCCAGCCTGGGTGACAGAGCAAGACTCCATCTCAAAAAAAACAAAACAAAACAAAAAAAAACACCTAGACCTGCTGATAAGGTTTCATTAGTGTCCTCACCCAAATCTCATCTCAGTTGTTATTCCCATAATCCCCACATGTCAAGGGTGGGACCTGGTGGGAGGTGATTGGATCATGAGGGTAGTTCCCCAATGCTATTTTTGTGATAGTGAGTTCTCGTGAGATTTGATCCTTTTATAAGTGTTTAACAGTTCTTCTCTCTCTCTCTTCTCCCCTCTCTCTCTCTATTTCTCTCTCTCTCTCTCGCCCACCACCATGTAAGAAGTGCCTGTTTCCCATTCTGCCCGATTTTAAGTTTCCTGAGGCACCCCCAGCCATGCAGAACTGTAAGTCAATTAAATTTCTTTTCTTTATAAATTACCCAATCTCAGGCAGCATCTTTATAGCAGCGTGAAAACGGACTAATACACCTGCATAGAGTAGGAGGTCTATAAATACTTGTTTTACTATGGTACAACCCAAATACAGTTTATCTCCAAGTGATACAATTATTTGTGACTTTTATTCATTTTTGCTTTTCTGTATTTTGTTAATTTCCCTCAAAGGTATATCTGGAGTATTTGTAATTAGGTAAAATAAAACAACTGTTTTTTCTTATGGCTGTGCACATAGCTGCACGTTTGGAATATTCAAGATTATGGTTCCTGGAAAATTTTTGCTGACTCTTTGAAGTAGAAGAGGTAGACTACATTGTATCATAGTGAATTGAGCATTTTTATTAAATATATTTAGACCTTTGATATTTTATATTTTACATTAAATGTAACCCTTGAATTCAACTTTTGTTTCTAAGTATATATTAGGTAATAGAGACTGAAAGGAAATTAGCAAATGAATCAATCAATTGAACTGTGATTCCCTGCTTGAAGTAGGTCTTTGAGTTCTTTAAAACTGTCAGTGGATGACAATAATATGTAAATTCTATGGTCTTGTATTTTTTACTAACACTTTATTTATATAATTAACAATTCAGAATGTCAGATTAGTTGTTTCAGTATTTGAGATTCTTCTGTTAAGTATTTACTTTCATCAATGTCTAAGAAAATTATATGAAAAAATCTGATAGATTCTCTTATTAAACTGAACAACTGCATATGGTTTAAACATTTTTGATGGCTTAGTTATAATATATTTAAATTCAGCTAAAATGGAATGAGCTTATATATGCAATCATGGTGTGATGTAAATTCCTCTATCATTTTGTCACTACTCATTATTTCATTTTAATTTATTATTATTATTAGCTAACATTTGTTGTATGTTTACTATATACCAAGCAGCATGCAGTTGTTTTCATATAACAACTCATGTAGTTCTTATAATATTTCTATGATATATATTATTATCTCTGCCTTAAGAAACTGAAGCGCAAAGATAGAAATGACTCATCCAATATTACACAGCTAGTTGTTGAAATGGCAATGTCAGAATTTGGACCCAAGTCCACACATACCCTAATTCATATTTTAATCACTATGTTCTACTATCTCCCAAGTGATTTTATATGTCTGTTTTACCACTAAGCTCATTAATAGCAAGGATTATGTCTTTCTCTGCAGCTCTGGTGCCTGGCCCACAGGAAGTTTTCACTAAATATTGAAATAAACTGAACTTAGATTAAACTTTGGTGTCTAACTTAGGAAAAACAACAAGAGTTCTACAAAACTATTTCTTCACAGGTAATTTGCAGTTGTAGCTTACCTGATGTTTTTCCTGCTTTAAGCTAGTTTAAGAACTTATTTCCTAACCCTATAGGGACGTGGATGAAAGATATGAACAGTTTATCACTCTTAGCATATGAAAAGATGTTCAACTTTACAAACAGTAAAAGAAATGTAAATTAAAACTACAATGAGGCCAGTCTGGTTGGCTCACACCTGTAATCCCAGCACTTTGGGAGGCTGAGGCGGGTGGATCATCTGAGGTCAGGAGTTCAAGATCAGCCTAGCCAACATGGCAAAACCCCGTCTCTACTAAAAATACAAAAATT
The DNA here is from genome assembly GCF_000001405.40 of Homo sapiens. NCBI lineage: Eukaryota > Metazoa > Chordata > Mammalia > Primates > Hominidae > Homo > Homo sapiens. The sequence continues at coordinate 151,066,741 of NC_000003.12, forward strand.
AGCCAGGTGTGGTGGTGCACGCCTGTAATCCCAGCTACCAGTGGGGGCTGAGGCAGGAGAATTGCTTGAACCCGGGAGGTGGAGGTTGCAGTGAGCAGAGATCACGCCACTGCACTCCAGCCTGGCAACAGAATGAGGCTCCATCTAAAAAAAAACAAAAGAAAACAAAACAAAAAACTACAATGAGATAAGATTTCATAACGATCATAGTGACAAAAAGTAAAAAGTTTGGCAATGCCGTTGATGACGTTTTAAAATAACACATAGTATTCCCATACATTGTTGGTGGCAATGCAGAATGATACAAACACACTGAAATAAATTCATCAAAACCTAGCAAAATATTTTTTTACCCTTTGATTCACAAATCCAGCTTTTAAGAATTTACCCCAGGAGACTTCAGCTTCAAGTTTACCCTTCAGTACCTGCTCTGGGGTAATCAACTGGACTCTTTAAGCATTTCTCCTCAACAGAGAGCACGACGTTAATTAACCTTTGTCAGTAGAGGGCACTGGAGGGACATTGCAGGAGAAATGGGGGCAATTTCTAGTTCTGGTAAGCTGCACTTTGCTTTTACTTGCTCTACTGCATAGCCTGTCAGTGGGGCAATGGCTGGGGTGGGAGTGGAGGCAGTAGAAGGACAGTGGTGGAGCCAGGAGGTACCTGAGTGTTTGGCCCCTCAGCAAAATCCAATTCCCAGCCTAGGCCTAGTGACCAGCTTGCTGTGAGCCTCCTGCTGGGTACACTAAGTGGCTCCAGGTGGGTCCCTGACCATCTCTATGTACCTGTGTGCCTGAGGGTTTTTTTCCTGCTATGGCAAACTTTGGCCCAGGGAACCCAGCAAATGTTGGGCTATCCAGTAGGCTGCAACCACACCTTCTTCAACTAGGTTTTAACCTCATTAGGAAGGTGGGGGTTTCCCTTCCAGGTCTGTGCTGCCTTGAGCACTCTCCCTAGGCCCTAGGGCGTTCTTCTTTTTTCTTTTTTTTGAGATGGAATCCGGCTCTATTGCCCAGGCTGGAGTGCAGTGGCACAATCTCAGCTCACTGCAACCTCTGCCTCCCGGGTTCAAATGATTCTCCTGCCTCAGCCCCCCGAGTAGCTGGGATTACAGGCACCCGCCACCACGCCTGGTGAATTTTTGTATTTTTAGTAGAGACAGGGTTTCACCATGTTGGCCAGGCTGGTCTCAAACTCCTGACCTCAGGTGATCCTCCTGCCTCAGCCTCCCAAAGTGCTGGGATTACAGGTGTGAGCCACTGTACCCGACCGGTCCTAGGGCATTCTTTAGAGCAAGGGTTGGCAAACTGTGTTCAAACCCCACAGTTTTCTGGCCAAATCCAGCTCCCTACCTGTTTTGTAAATAGAATGTTATTGAAATGCAGCCAGGTCCATTTATTTATGTGTTGTCTATAAAGTACTGAATGGTTATGACAGAGAAAATATGGCCTAGAAAGCCTAATATATTCACTGTCTGTCCCATTATAAAGAAGTTTGCCAGCCCGACTTTAGAGTTCTCTTTACATCTTTATGTTATTGTATCATAGCTTAATAATTTAATAGTAAATCTCCTCATTTTAATTACTGCATGGTCTCTGTGTCCAGACTGATACTACCTCTAACGATGATACAAAAATACCTACACAGCATTACTTGCAATTGAAAAGGTATATAAACAACCTAAAATCCCTGGCATGGAGATTGGTTTAATAAACTATGATATCAACACAATGGAGTGCTCTGCAGCTAGGGAAATGAATTAGGAGATCTCTATGAACTGATATGGAGTGATTTGCAGGGTATGTGATCAAGTAAAAAAACCAAAATACAAAAGCGTATATGTGGTATGCCATATGAGTAAGAAAGCTTATTTCTTAAAGAAAAACAAACAAACCAAAAAACACAGGAATGGCCAGCCGGGCATGGTGGCTCATGCCTGTAATCCCAGCACTTTGGGAGGCTGAGGCGGGCGGATCACGAGGTCAGGAGTTTGAGACCAGCCTGACCAACATGGTGAAACCCCATCTCTACTGAAATTACAAAAATTAGCCAGGTGTGGTGGCGCACGCCTGTAATCCCAGCTACTCAGGAGGCTGAGGCAGAAGAATCGCTGGAACCTGGAGGCAAGGTTGCAGTGAGCAGAGATCATGCCACTGCACTCCAGCCTGGGTGACAGAGCGAGACTCCGTCTCAAAATAAATAAATAAATAAATAAATTTAAAAATATAAATAAATAAATAAACCATAGGAAATATATACTAGAAATTAATATATTGATTATCCATAGATGGTGGATAGGAATAGAATGAAAGGAATAGAAGAGGAATTGATAATTCTGTGAGTGTGTATTTTGTATAGTTTTTATTTTAAAACCATATTAATGCTCTATAAATTCAAAAATAATGTTAAATAAAAACAAGTATGAGAAAAAAATGCAAATTGAATGCAAACAGAAACCAATTAACTATATTTCAAATGAATAGCACATCTACATGGAAAAAAATAATTCAAGTAACATTTGAATACAATACTTTGGCTAAATATCTTCAGTCAAAAAACAAACAAAAAAAGTAATAAAAACACTTAAACTCTGTTTAGTAGGTTTTTTGTAGACCATAGTTATAGCAATTCTAAAACTATGTTGGGTATTGTAGAACTAAGCAAACAGGTACATACAAGATGTGTTGGGAGCCAGGGTTCTCACTGTGGGAGAAGGCAGATACAAATATAAAACAAGTGAAGACAAAAAAGAATCTAATTTGTTGCACTGGAATTGGAATAATCTACATAGACAGACAGATAGACAGATATTTCCTAGCTCTGTCCTCTAAAAGAATCTAGAAGCAGTAATACCCAATAGCAATGAGCAACTAGTATCCAGATCTTGATTTTTAAATATCACTCACACTAAAAGGAGGGAGGGCTCCTTGGGAAAATGCTGATTCCAGGGCTGGAGCAGTTAAAGTACAAGATAAGCCTGAAACATCATGTGCCAGAAAATAAGAAAGTGCTAAAAAAATTAAGGGAATCTGTCAAAAGGCTATGGAAACTGCCTTGAAGCAGCTTCTACTGGGAAAACTGGGAAAATATGAGCATCAAATAAACAACGATATTAATAGATTTTACTCTATTAAGTTAAATATCTATTTATAGACTTAAAAATACAGGCTAAAATTATAAAACTTTTTTTCTTTTCTGAGATGAGGTCTCATTGTGTCACCCAGGCTGGAGTGCAGAGGCACCATCACTACTCACTGCAGCTTCAAACCCTGGGCTCAAGCCATCTTCTCACCTCAGCCTCCCAAGTAGCTGGGACCACAGGCATGTGCCACCATGGCTGGCTAATGTTTAATTTTTTTGCAGAGACAGAGTCTCGCTATGTTGCCCAGGCTGGTCTTGAATGCATGGGCTCAAGCGATTCTCCCAATTTGGCCTCCCATAGTTCTGAGATAACAGGCATGAGCCACCACACTTGGACTGTAAAACTTCTAACAGAAAACAGAATAAAATCTTTGTGATATTGGAATAGACAAAGACTTCTCATATAGGACAAAAAAGGAAAAGAATACAAACAACAACTATATGTGATCCTGGATTGAAGAAATAAAAGCTATAAAGGACAACATTGGGACAGTTAGAAAATTTGAATATAGGCTGGGTGCGGTGGTTCACGCCTGTAATCTCAGCACTTTGGGAGGTTGAGGTGGGTGGATCACCTGAGGCCAGGGGTTCAAGACCAGCCTGACCAACTTAGTGAAACCCCGTCTCTACTAAAAGTATAAAAAATTAGCTGGGCGCGGTGGCAGGTGCCTGTAATCCCAGCTACTCGGGAGGCTAAGGCTGGAGAATCACTTGAACCTGGGAGGCGGAGGTTGCAATGAGCTGAGATCATGTCATTGCACTCCAGCCTGGGTGACAGAGCGAGACTTCATCTCAAAAAAAAAGAAAGAAAGAAAGAAAGAAAATTTGAATATAAACTATAGATCACTGTTAAATTTTGAATTTGATTATTTTACTGTGGATATGTAAAAGAATGTCTTTGCTATTAGGAAACTCATGCCAGTGTATCTAATGGATAAAGGATTGATGTCTGGAACTTATTCTCAAATGTTTCCACCAAAACTACTTCTATTACTACTACCACTGCCACCATCCCCACCCTTAGTAATAATAACAACAGTAGATATACAATAAATGTGGCAAAACGTTAATTGGTCAATCTAGGTGAAGGACTGTCTGTGATTTCTTTTCATGGCTGCTTGTGGTTGCTGGGTTGCATTAATAATCAGGGACTCTTGCAGTAAGTGCACACCCTTTGCTGTTTATTGGCTATGGATTTATTCATTCCTTTATTTCCATCTTCTTAGGTGCTGGGCTAGGTGCCATCCAAATGTTACCCCATTTAATTTTCACAAAAATCTTGTGAAGTAGATTTTATTTCCTCCATTTATATATAGATGAGACAAATGAAGCTCAAAGAGGTGACTTGCCCAAAGTCGATGTCAGTAAATTACAAAGCAGTAATTGCAACCTAGGACTTCAGGTTCAGTGTTCATTTCACATCAGTTCAGGCCTCAGGGGCCCAACATTGTGACCATCAACAGACGTTGCAGAATCAGAAAACAAAACATAGCAGCTCTGAGACATTAGAGGAGAAGGCCTTAGAACACAGATTCTGTGGGAATTCAGCAACTAGAAAACATAGCTTAATAATCTTAGAACAAATGAATATCTAAAGATTTAATGTTCATATTATTACTTCCCTAAATGACCTGCAGTTTTATATTATTTTCTTTTCATAAGGCTATAGGTTGCTTCACACATGTACCATTATTATTTACTGAGCTACATAAATATCCTCTACAAATATCGATGTGCCTCAGGTTTTATCTGTTTATGTGTTTTTAAATATCCTATTATATAGAAACATGAAGGAAACAGACAAAAAACAATTCCACTGATTTTTAAAAAGAAATATATGTAATATATGTATATGATTGAAATTTCCAAAATATTGTTTATTTTTTTTATTCCATTAACAAATACATTCCTAGAACATGCAGCCTATGACTTTCTTTTTTAGCAGCTGTAGGGGATTCCACTGTAAGGGTATGGCTTGGGTGCATATGCATGTGTGAATGTGCATATGTGTATAGGTTTCCGTGTGTGTTAATGTGTTTGTATAGGTTTGTATATGTATGTGTGTGTAGGCTTATATATGTGTATGTATGTGGGTTTGTGTGTGTGTGTGTGTGTGTGTGTGTGCGTGTGTTTATGCCTGTAACCACTGGCTGCCACTGGTGACTATGTTTGTCTCGTCCATGAGTTTGCAGGCTATGAGAAGCACAAGAATCATGTCTGATTGACTTTCAATGCTCAGCAACTGAGCAAGGAGGCTAGAGCTGAGGTTTATTGAGACATAACTTTCATTGGCACATAACAAGTTCTTTACGTATGAAGAGCAGTGGTAAAGACCATGAGCTCAGACTACCTGGGTTCAAATCTACTACTGTGTGGTCTGGGGAGGCTCCTGGGAAAGTTTCTTAGCCCTCCTTGCCTCTGTTTCCTCCTGGTCAGGTTCCCTTGTAGCAGAACCTGATAAAGGTTTAGCGGACATGTGATTTATTTTTTGACTCACAGTCCAAAGGCAGGAAGGGAAGAGGGATAGGACAAAGTGGAGAGCTAAGTAAAGATGTGGTCTCAACTGGGTCCAGCTTCACTTTGATCCTCAGGGAGCTCTGGAATTGGACCACAAAGTGAGTCCTGCATTAAGGCCAGGGCTAGCTTTTTTTTTTTTTTTAGACAGAAACTTGCTTTGTCGCCCAGGCTGGAGTGCAGTGGTGCGATCTCAGCTCACTGCAACCTCTGCCTCCCAGGCTCAAGTGATTCTCCTGCCTCAGCCTCCTGGGTAGCTGGGATTATAGACACCCACCAAGATGCCTGGACGCCTGGCTAATTTTTTTTTTTTTTTTTTTTTTTTTGAGAAGGAGTCTCACTCTGTTGCCAGGCTGGAGTGCAGTGGTGTGATCTCAGCTCACTACAACCTCCATCTCCCGGGTTCAAGTGCTTCTCATGCCTCAGCCTCCCAAGGAGCTGGAATTACAGGCATGTGCCACCACGCCCAGCTAATTTTTGTATTTTTAGTACAGACAGGGTTTCACCATGTTGGCCAGGCTGGTCTTGAACTCCTGACCTCAGATGATCCACCCACCTCGGCCTTCCAAAGTGCTGAGATTACAGGCCACCACTAGGGCTAGCTTTTTATGCCTCTTTGTTCCTTAGTCATTGGTTGCTGACCGTCCCCCAGGGTTGGTGTGTGGTATAATCTCCGGGGCGGTTTCTGTTAGACTGAAGGCAATTCTCCAGAGAAAAGGGAGCTGTAAACCTTTAGCAACCAATACTTTATGGTAACTTGGAGAGGTGTGCACTTGCCTGGTAAAAGGGATGCGAGAGACTGACAGCATCCTACGATCAGAACTTCACAAGGCCATTGTGAGGGTTAAACATGATACTACATGTAAAGCACTTAGAATGATCAGAACAAGTAACATTTATTTGCATGCTTAAGCCAAGCATTGTTCTAAGTTCTTTGCCCACAGAAAACTATCTAATATACAGGAAACCCTTTCTTTTTCTAACTTATAAGTTAAAAAATTCTAAACTTACAGAAAAGTTAAAAGAATAGTATAATGGGCCAGGTGCAGTGGCTCTCACCTGTAATACCAGCACATTGGGAGGCTGAGTCCAGAGGATCACTTGAGGTCAGGAGTTCAAGATCAGCCTGGCCAACATGGTGAAACCCCATTTCTACTAAAAGTACAAAAATTAGCCGGGCGTGGTGGCGGGCACCTGTGATCCCAGGTATTCAGGAGACTGAGGCGGGAGAATCGCTTGAACCTGGGAGACAGTGGTTGCAGTGAGCCAAGATGGAGCCACTGCACTCAAGCCTGGGTGGCTGAGTGAGACTCTGTCTCAAAAAAAAAAAAAAAATTAATAATCATACCAACCATGTGCCAAGAAAACAGAAAGCCAGCAATATTCAGAGAGAACTATTGACTCACAGAAATATGGGAAGGAAGTGGAATTCTGTTCAGTCAGGATCTTTGGGAGGGTGAATTACAATGACCAAAGGCAGCCTAGAGTCTTCTCCCATGTATCATCCTACATATCAACAATACATATCTATCTCTAAGGCACTGGTTCTCCAAGAAAATCTCCTTATCCAAGGCTTCCATTTGTTCCTTGTCACCACAGGGTAAAATCCAAACTCCTTGTGTTGTGGCCATTCTGGCTGCTGCTCATAGGAGAATTTAGACACATCAAGTCATGCTATGGGAACAGGCAGTGGCAGAGGCTTTCCTAGGGACTCTAAAGAGAAATTGAGGGACCTTGGGGATAAAAGATTGGGAAAAACACTGCATGCGAGCTTAATCTAACACCGATGCCTGGGTATAGCATTGTGCTTGTTACTGAGATGGGCTAATGCCAGATTCCTAAGCAAAGGAGTTTACTGCAAAGATCAAAAGGTTATTTTTACAAAAAATATCTGGACGTTCAAGGAAGCCTTGTTTTGGGATGTGGGTAATACAAAGGGTAGGGGAAAGAGATTGCCTCCTCTTCAGTGGGGAGCTGGACATCTCCACACTGGTATGTTATCAGGGTTGGAAATGCAGGCTTGGGCCCAGCTCAACAGGCTCCTTGGTGCAGTGTGGTTTGGGCAGATATGGGTGGAAGATGACACTGAGGGCTTTAATAGCAAAGGAAGCACCAGGGCCTTGGCAGTGTGGTGAATGCCTGAGGCAGTGGCTGCACCTGTGCCTATGGAAAGATGGAGCAAGTGAAGAGGAAAATGGGCCTTCCACAATGCAGTCAGAGAACTGGGTTCTCTGGTATGGGTAGATGTAAGATGACACTGGGGGCTTTGATAGCAGAGGAAGCACCAAGTGTCTTGGCAGTGTGTTGACGTTAGAGGCAATGACTGGACCTGTGCCCAAGGAAAGATGGAACAAGTGAAGAGGAAAATAAGCATTTCACAATGCAGTCAGAGATCTGGGTTCCTAGGTACACAGAGGGCCTACCCTGACCCTGATTAATCCAGAGTAATTAATTCATCCATTTAATAGTTACTGGACAGGTAGTAAATGAAACAGACAACATTCTTGACACCAAAAAGCTTATATTCCTATGACAGAAACTGACAAAAAGCCAGATAACAAATATATAGGCAATTTCAAATAGCAGTAAATGCTATAAGAAAATTAAAAACAGACATGTATATATATATTAGCATATTAGGAGAGAAGATTTACATGTTTTCAATTGTGAATCAGAGTGAAATTACATTATTATAATCCTACTTTTTACTCCTAGGCTGTTGTAGCAGGGAGACCCTCAAGGGCGTCTACAATATCACCACAACTCTCATAGAGCTGCCTGTGAAGGATGACAAGAAGGAAGTAGGCTGAGACCCAAGTTCTGGGTCAGGGGACTAATGCTGTTGTCACCAAGAAGGGTATAAAAAAGCTATCACTGCAGTGCCTAAAGGGACATTTGAAATCTTTGTCCTAGTCAAGGCTGGCACTGGTGTCCATGGGCCCACCCAGGTGGATAATGAGGAATCTCTGGTCATAGAAGCTTTCAGTGACAAGTGGGTAGAAGGTCTTGGATCTAAGAGGGTCCATCCTGGAAGAAGCAGGACTATGACTATGGTTAAGTGCCCACAGAAGAGTCCAATAACCTGGAGTAGGTGAAAGTTATGAAAGTTGTCAAGCACTCTTGTTCAATTATTCATTTAATAAATATTTATTAAACTCCTGCTATGTGACAGGCTTGTGCTATGTGTTAGGAATACAGTGATAAACGCTCAGTAAAAGACCCTTCCCTGATGGAGCTTACATTCCACCAGGTCCCAGCCTAGAGAGCTGTGGATTGATCCTAGTTAAGAACTACAGGAGAATCTAGGAATATGTCTGGTTGTAGAAACTGGTCAGGTATCCTGGATGGTATCCGCACTTTCACAGGCCCACAGAGAGATGCTGAGAACTTCATCCAAGAGAAAGGACTGAAGAAGAGGTGAAGATGGAGTCCTAGAACACCAACAGAATTGGTTTTCATTGACTTAGAGCAAGAATGAGGGTTGGAAACAAGCTATCCATGGCTTAACAGGGTTGGGGTCAGCCAGTGTCCACCCAGAGTCCCTGAATATTATTAATGCAGCTCATCTAACACAACATGTAGCCAGCAGCCTAAGAAAAGAATCACAGACACTCCAACCCCTCTTGCTCTGGCTTCTTCTCTTACTCTCACTACCACTCCGTACTTTCCCCCACCAAATTCATCATGGGGATGTCCCTCAGGCTTGATGGTTGAATAGTGCTTCTTCTGTTTTGGCCCCTGGCTGGTTAGATTTAGCTTGTACTCATTCTCAGACTCTTCAGGCTTTTCACCACTTGGGAAAAAATTCCTACCCTGAATATTCTTGGCTCCAGGCCTTCATACCCACCCACCTGGCCTGCATTCTTGGTCCAACACACAGCAACAACCTTTAAGAGAGGGCTGATCATTTTGTCATGAACCCACTGCTCCAAGGGCAAGCCTGTTGCTATGGCAACATGGATGATCTAGCAGGCTCACGGCTGTCACTCTGCTTTGGGACTAAGGACTTAGGGAGGGGAACACTAGCCTCCTTGGGGAGACAACAGCCCTTGTGGGCCAATTACCAGAAAAGAGAGCAAAATGCCTCCCTCATCCTGCCCTAGCAGGCCCTGTGGCCTTCAGTTCCTCCCCGCCTCCTTCAGGTTGCTTCTATTTCTGACCCCAGAGAGATTTAAAGGGAATCCAGATAAATTGCCAGGTTTCATTATTCAGCTTTAAACCTGCACATGGATTCTCTAGAGAGCTGAAAGGGATGACATTTCTCCTTTTTTTCCTAACCAAGGATGTGGAAAGATGATGGTTCCACTGGTGCAACCTGGTAATCCCTCTGCGAAGATAACAAGGTTTCTGACCTCAAAGAGACTTGGAGACCAAATCTTCCATGGATCTCACTTCTGTTCATGCTGGTCTAGGTTCAAAGTGTAGCCTCTACCCCTATGCCCACATAGTCAACTGATCCACTTCCACGCTATCGTCCTCATGAAGCTTTGCACGTCTTTCTGCCCCAGGCTTCCATCCCTTATCTCCTTTTCATTCTCTTCCACTCTGGCCTCTTGAATCCTTTCCCCATAGCTAGCAAATTGCCATACCTATACAGTTTCTTTTCTAACACTCTCACCTCCTTCCTCCTACCTTGGGAAAGCTGGCCTCTTCCCTTGGAGCACTGCTTTTCCTGCACCCCTCTTACCTTTGTATTTCAGTTCAACCAGGTGGGTTAATATCTATGGGGAATATATTACATTATGAATAATAGAAAAGTCACTAACACTGGTTTCATTAAGTAGGGCTCATTCTTCACATAACCAGATACCTGGTTGTAGATGGCTGTTGGTATTGGTTCAGTGGCCACTTGAAATCAGGGCTCATCTCTGGGGTTGTCTTGCCTTTTCCTCATACCATATTTCTAACTTCTTGGTCACAATATGGCCATTGTAGTCTAGACTTCATGACTAAATTCCAGGCGAGAAGAGAAAAGGAGCTAAAGGGTGTTGCCTGCATCAGGAAAGAAAAACATTCTCAGAATCCCTAGAGAAGTTAAGCTTATGTCTCATTGGCTAGAAGTGTGCCACATGGCCATCCCTAGATGTAAGGTAATCTAGGAAGGTAGGTGTATTTAGCTGGCATATTGTACCCCAGAACAAATTCAAGATTTCGTTACTAAGGAAGAAAAGGGATAAAGATAAAGATATCGGGCAGAGAACAAGCAGTGTCTGCCACAGTGTCTGCTTCACTCCCCCACATTATATTTCACTGTCTTGTTAAAAACCATTCTCCTTTGATCTTATGCCATTCAGCTATTCTGCCCTACCTCCCCCCATCCACTGTTGGTGCTGTCATCTAATGGGGGGTCCTCGCGTTCATTATGTACCTTGGCAATGGGCAAAAAGCCAACCATTCTGCAGGGCAAGCCAATTGCCTGCCTCCTACACACAAGCCTTGATCCGTCTTGATGACAACTTGGTTCTCAGCTCTTCTTCCTCTCTGCTCTCATCCTTACTCAGCCAGTCTCTACTCTCATCTTCTGTTTCAGTCTAGCTGTCACAGCCTCTATAGCCTCCATTTACTACTGCTCAGAAAGGACTCCCTTTGTCTCTTCGTACTCAAGATGCCCCAACTTGAACTTAATGTCTATTTTGCTCATCACCACACTCCCAGCTGGCCCCTGCTTCCTGTTAGCAAAACTGGACCAGGTGGCTGAGGTTCCAGGGGTCAGGAGACCCTAACTTCTCCAGGCTCCTTTGCTGATCTGACACATTTCTCCATCTTGGTTTGCAACATCCTCTCCGAGACAATTTTTATATTCACTCTGCAGTTCCGCATACCACAACTGTAGCCAAGAGGTGTTTTCCTTTCTCTCCTATTTGTTAACAGCCCTGGGAAGAGGCATAGTGGTGAGAATGTTGGGCAATGTTTTAACAATACTAATAAAAAATACTATTATATAAAGGATCCATGTAATTGATTTGTGCACTATTCCCCAAATGCTACTGAGAGCAAAGTGTTGGCAGCGTTTATTTTTTACTGCTTAGAATTTAAACTTTAGATTTAGCAAACAGTAGGTACCAAACAGTCTTAGATATATCCAGTAGAGAGGGGAAAAAAGAATTTATTCTTATATAAAATTTGACCCTGTTACATTTAGTTCATCATTTTAATCCATCAAGATATTTTGTTTACTATACAGATTCTGCCATCTAATATATTTTCCACGCTTTCTTGCTCTGTGTGACTGCAGCAGATAGATAAGAAAGTATAAGAGGATGTCCCTAGAACTTGGAGAAAAATATTTCTCTGAGAACCGAAATATCTCATAATGAATAGTTATCAGATTATAATTTTCATCAGATGTAACCCATCCTAACAGGTTAGTTACAATCTGAAACTAACTGATGATAAAGACTGGATCCTTAACTGGTTAACAATAAAAAAGTAGTAACATAATCAATTATTGTATAACTGAAAAGTAATCTCTCTCTCTCTCCTTTCCCAACAGGAAAGTCTGAAGCCAGGCCTGCTTAGCAGAGGTCTCCGTATAGTAGGGATCTCACTCTTTCAAGATGTAGGATCTCAACTGGTTAGCCAGCCCTCTGAGTGAAGCTGGTCAGTTGGGGCTGTGACAACATAGCACACTCAAAGGGGCAGACCCTTCTCAGCTCCAACAGATTGGTGTCATTGGAAAAGGTGGACCCAGTGTAGGCAGACTTTCCTAGAGAGTCCAGAAGTGACTGTGCAAGCCCAAAGCAATCCAAACAAATATTTGTGGACCACCAAGAACCTCTGGTATGAAGTAAATAATAAAGGCATTGAACAATAATAACCTGTCTGTATATCCACCAATGGGACCGATGGGCCACAGTGTGACATCTATCCTATTCATGTCATAAGGGAGATGAATTCTACTGTGGGACAGTCTGTGTGACTGCTCGTAGGAGATTATCCAATTCCTTTTGCTCTAATTTCATGGTCACCAAATTTCTGCTTGCTAACTTTGTTTTACAACAAACTTTAGAAAGGAGGTGATCTGAATAAGAGGATATATGTTTTTCAGTCTCTGGAAAGGGGTATTTCTTTGTATTGAGAAGCCAGAACTCTTGAGTGTGTTGAGCCTTGTAGAGATTGAACCACTCTGGGTCAGCTGACAAAATAAGATTCTGGTGCTGAAAAGCTGAGTATGTGACCATGATATTAACAGTGACCTAAGTTTGTGTGGCCCCCTTCGTTCTCCAGAAACCAACCAGTCAGCCTTCATTTTGTAAATGTAGCAGACACCATTTTGCTAGTGAATGAGGTTAAATCTTTAGCCTTGTCATTGGTTCGGCTTTGTAATTTAAAACTCTCTTATTTTACCCTCTGATTTTAAATCCCCAGATTTTCCTTTCTGTGTCCTTTGCCCCCTGAAGTTTCCATCTGTCTAGCAACTAAGCACTGTTTGGGTATCTACTGTCTTCCCCAAGTTGCCTTTACTTTTCTTCTTTACCTTTCTCTTGTTTTATTTATTTCTTTCTTTTTTTGAAATGGAGTCTTGCTCTGTCACCCAGGCGGGAATGCAGTGGCGCAATCTCGGCTCATTGCAACCTCCACCTCCCGGGTTCAAGCAGTTCTCCTGCCTCAGCCTAATGAGTAGCTGGAATTACAGGTGTGCACCCCCATACCTGACTAAGTTTTGTATTTTCAGTAGAGACGGGGTTTCACCATGTTGGCCGGGCTGGACTTGAACTCCTAACCTCAGGTGATCCGCCCTCCTTGGCCTCCCAAAGTGCTGGGATTACAGGCATGAGCCACCACACACAGCCTCTCTTGTTTTACTTCTGTCATTACTTTTTGTTCTTTTAATTTGGAAACCCACCTGCTTCCTCAGTGTCATTATTAAAAACCCACATGTTACAGGTTCATTAGGACTGAAACATTCCTTCAGAGCTGAGCTGACCAACATGTTAGCCACTAGCCACATGTGACTATTGCATACATGAAATGCAAAATGTGGCTGGTCTGAAATGATGGTATAGGTATGAAATTCACACAAGATTTAGAATACTGAAGATAAAAAAGAATGTAAAGTATCTCATTAATACTTTTTTTGGTATTGATCACCTATTGAAATGGTAATATTTGGTTATACTGGCTTAAGCAAATGTACATTAAAATTAATTTCATCTATTTCTTTTTACTTCTTTAATACCAGAAAATGTAAAAGTACCTATCTGGCAAGCAATATAAAACTATTGGTCAGTGCTACTTGAGAGTCTTAATGTCTGTATTTTTTATATCTCTGTAAGCATAAATGCTGTATTAAAAACCCAATTTGAATAAACACCCCCAAATTACTCTTCCATTTCTCTTTTCTCTCTTCTGACCCACCTTCCCAAGTCATTATCATCTTTCCTTTTTTGGGGAGTTTAAAATAAAGGGGAAATTTTTCTGTTTTGATTTAGAAGTAGGCATGAGACAAATACATTGAAATATAATGGGGATGTAAGAAAAATGGAAAGTAAGCAAACTGCCTATAGACAATCTGTTAACAAAACACAGTATATACACCTGGACACGCAACAATCCCATGAGGAAAGCTAGCAACTTTAATTACTTTACCTACAGGCACTACACTGAGAATTGTTTCTTTCCACTTGAGTGGAATTGTGCTGCTATGCCAGAGTGAGCTGTCAGGAGTTTTGCTTCTCTTATACCAGAACTGTCTTCAAAGGCTCACCTTTATGTGTTATGTAAATGATAATTAATACATGTAACACATTGACAACAATAATAAGCATAAGTTTGGGAGTCAGAGAGATTCTAGGTTTGATTCTGGCTTTGCTAGTCGCTAACTCAATGGCCTGGGAACAGCAGCTTCACCTCTGGAGCCCTACCTACTAATCTGTAAAATAGGAATAGGAATAGTAGGACCACTCCCTTCCCTTCCCTTCCCTTCCCTTCCCTTCCCTTCCCTTCCCTTCCCTTCCCTTCCCTTCCCTTCCCTTCCCTTCCCTCCCCTCCCCTCCCCTCCCCTCCCCTCCCCTCCCCTCCCCTCCCCTTCCCTCCCCCTTCCCCCTCCCCCTCCCACTTCCCCTGCCTTTTCCTTCCCTTCCCTTCCCTTCTCTTTTCTCTTTTCTTTTTTCTTTTTTTGAGACAGAGTCTCTGTTACCCAGGCTGGAGTGCAGTGGGGTGACCGCCGCTCACTGCAACCTTCACCTCCCAGATTCAAGCGATTCTCCTGCCTCAGCCTCCCAAGCAGCTGGGACTACAGGCATGCACCACCACGCCCAGCTAATTTTTTGTTTGCTATGTTGGCCAGGCTGGTCTTGAACTCCTGGCCTCAAGTGATCCACCCACCTGGGCCCTCCCAAAGTGCTGGGATTACATGTGTGAGCCACCATGCCCAGCCAGGACCACAGTTTCTGATGGGTAAACATCCTGCCTCTGCTCCTAGCCATTCTTCACTCTCATTTAAAAAATCTGCTCTGCTGCCAGGTGCGGTGGCTCATGCCTGTAATCCCAGCACTTTGGGAGGCCAAGATGGGTGGATCGCTTGAGGCCAGGAGTTTGAGACTAGCCTGGCCAACATGGCAAAACTCCATCTCTACTAAAAATACAAAAATTAGCCAGGTGTGGGGGCATGCACCTGTGATCCCAGCTACTCAGGAGGCTGAGGCAGGAGAATCGCCTGAATCCGGGAGGTGGAGATTGCAGTGAGCAGAGATGGCGCCACTGCACTCCAGCCTGGGTGACAGAGCAAAACTCTGTCTCAAACAAAACAAAACAAACAAACAAAACAAAACAAAAAACAACTTCTCTGCAAATGATTGTGTCTCTGCCTTTCACCAAAGAAATTTTATTCCTCACTTCAAACTTTTTGAGAGGGTCACTGACCTGAGCATTTGACATTCATCCTCTGCAGTTTGGATGAACCTGAGGAACTGGTCTCCGATTTAGACTATTGAACTTTCAAGGTGGAGAATTGTGGCTTGCAGAGTGTGTTCATGGTGGGCAAGGACAGAAGGCTGGTTAGAAAATGCCTGCACTAGCGTATGTACAGGCAAAGGACATTTGTGTATTTCTGGCAGACCAAATGTAGGGAGAGAAAGCCAGCCATGAGCTATATTGAAGGGATTTGCCCAAAAGCACAAATGGATACCAACTGTGAGGGACTCCTTGCAGAATGCTGAAAATCAGGGCTTTCAGAGGGAACATAAGCAGTTAGGGAATCTTTGAGAAACCCTTGAATGTGACCCAAGAAAAAGGGTCAACTTTTAAATACCTGGTAACCCTCAAAAGCAGCAGTGAAGACTCAGCTTTATACTTGGAGGATATAGCACCATATGCTTAAAATGGTTTGTAATTCATTCACCTTTCTCCAGCCACATTTCAACCCCATTTCCCTGGATAGCTATACAAAACTTCCTTAGGAACCTGAACTCATCCCTTCTTGCTAGGCTGAGGTTCAAGGCTGGGACCTATTTGGGGAGCCTCTGGTCTTCTCTAATTTCTGTTCCATGCAAATTTTTCCTGGTCCCAGGGAATCATTAGCTAGGTAAAGATAAAATACCCCTTAGGAACAGTATCAGCTAGAACCCACATTATTCAACGAGAATGTTTGCCTGCTATATTAACCAGCACCACGTGGGAAATTCAAGCACTGTATAGAACACAGTGGGTTACAGGTTAAGCCCATCATGATGAGCTGATCTTAGTCTGCTTAAAGACCTGGAATGGAAGAAGGGGACCAGGAGGAAAAGGTGAGAATGAGGCAACAAGACTATTCTGTGTGACACATTCAAATGCATGCCAATAAATAAGTGTTAAGATAATAAAAATTAAGTGCTAAGGGCACTAAAAAGCCAAAAGATCACCTTTTGCCAGGGGAATTTGAAGGGGCTTTGTACAGGAATCCGTACTCTGAGGACTGTAGAGGTGAGTATTTGAAGATGAAGAGCCTGGGAATTCCATATTAGGAAAGGAAGCTAACTAGGGCAAGAGGTTAAGGAGAAAAAGCTGAATTGCTAGGTAGGGGGTAGATTACAAAGATTTCCCAGGGTAAGGAGCCAAATGCCCATGGGAAATCCATGCAGTAAAATAATGATTCCTAGGGGAAGCTTCTAAGCATATTAAAGTTTTCAATATTTATTTATTTTGTGTTGAGAGGGTCAAGGAATTCATGCCAGACTGTTTCAGGAGAGGGAGTTAAGAAGGGACAACAACAGGGAGAGGGCTATTATTTTCCCTTCTTCCCAAACACCAGGGGCACACTACTGACACATTTTGATTTTAAGATAAAATTCTTATGGGCAGATAAGATTTTAAGTGCTTCAAAGTGTTTCAGTTGGAGGCGCTTGCTTAGGCATCCCAAGGGAAGAACTGAGATTACATTTCTCCCCCAAACTAGGGGTGTTTGATTCAGTAGCAGCGCAGGCTGTTATTCCCAAAGTACCACTAATGATGCAATCATCAGTCCATCCACACATCGCCTACCTATCATCCATTCCATAAGCCAACATTTTTGAATGCTCACCATGTGTCAGGTCCCATACAGTGTTTCTGAGTTGCAACAATGAGTAAAACTGTCCTTACTAGTGTATGTCAGTGAGTTGGGAATGGGGGAGAAAGATGAAACAAAAATAGTAACTTTAATTTTTATAGCTGAGAGATGAATATTTGAGGGCTCCTTATATGATTTCTTCAGCTTTTTGTATGTTTAATAATTTCCCTAATAAAGTTAGATAATAAAAAAAACCCTTTCGGCCGGGCGCGGTGGCTCACGCCTGTAATCCCAGCACTTTGGGAGGCCGAGGTGGGCGGATTGCGAGGTCAGGAGATCGAGACCATCCTAGCTAACACTGTGAAACCCCGTCTCTACTAAAAAAAAGAAATACAAAAAAAATTAGCCGGGCGTGGTGGCGGGCGCCTGTAGCCCCAGCTACGCGGGAGGCTGAGGCAGGAGAATGGCGTGAACCCAGGAGGCGGAGCTTGCAGTGAGCCGAGATCTCGCCACTGCACTCCAGCCTGGGCGACAGAGCGAGGCTCTGTCTCAAAAAACAACCAACCAACCAAACAAAGAAAACAACAACAACAAAAAACTGTCCTTTCTTTCAAACAAGGGAGCTACATTTGATAGATGCCTGTATCACAAGGGCAAGTCCAGCCATGAAATTAATCCCAGGATATTAGTGGAAGAGAAGACCCTGGGGCAAGATGGGGAAGGTGGTCAGGAAATGCCCTCCAGTGAAGTTAGGTAAATGCTCTCTAGAAGTAATTGTTCAGATTAAGGAAGCCAAAAGCTAAACACCTGACTCAGCCTCAAACTGGGTTTGGAGGTGCTCACAGGTCAGGATCAGGAGTGAGGAACTAGCCTCTACCACATTACCTTCACTTTATTTATCTCCTTCTTCCCCCTTTGCTTAAATGTCAACGAACATCAAAGTTGATGTTCAGATTCAACCAGCATTTCCAGAGCACCTACTATGTATCAAAGGCTTCCGGTTAGAATCTGCCTTTACCACCTTACAGAGAGGGAAGGCCGAGAATGCCTCAAGCCGTGGAGAACGTGAGTCCATCAGGCAAGGACAGGTTAGGAACCCAGTCCCTCCAAGTCCAAGTCAGGGAAAACAGGTCAGAAACTTAGAATCAGTCGTGGGTTCAAATTCCGACTCGTTTCGTGGCTTTCGGCAA
The DNA here is from genome assembly GCF_000001405.40 of Homo sapiens. Taxonomy (NCBI): domain Eukaryota; kingdom Metazoa; phylum Chordata; class Mammalia; order Primates; family Hominidae; genus Homo; species Homo sapiens. Next base: position 151,085,056 of record NC_000003.12, read on the forward strand.
GTGAGTGGTCCTCTCTGAGCTGGCTCAATTTCTCCATCCATAAAAAGGGTACAGTAAGACCGTGGAAGGTTGTAAGGACCAGAGATTCTGACTATCAAGATCCTGGCACGTAGCGAAGGCTCCATAAATGGCAGCCATCATTCTTGGCCAAGTGCGGGCGCATTCTCCCGGGCACGCCTCCCGCGGGGTCCCTCAGGACAGGCCGAGCCCGCCTCCGCGGCTCCGGTCTCGCAGAGCTCGCGCCAGGTGGCCCAGCATCTTGGTGCCCGCGCCCCGAAGCGAGGAGCGAGGGCGGGTTGGATGACCAAGGTCTGCCCTGGAGGATCACCCCCCCCGCCCCTTCCACGCTCCCGGCGCAGGTGAGGTTTTCGGCCCAGGCCACGGGGACCGCGACCTCTGGGGAGGTCGAGGCGGAGGGTGCAGCGGGGGGCTTGGAGCAGGGCTCCAGAGGGCGCTCCCTCCCTCGCCCAGGTTCACCCCAGGGCCAGCCTCGGCGCCGGGGCCCGCGGGCTGCGCGCTCTGCGGCTGCGAAAACCCGGAGAGGCGGATTGGAGCGCGCTCACCGCGCTCTCAGCCAACTCCTCCGCGGTCCGGCCGCCGAGCTGGGCATGCTCAGTGCGGACGCCGCGCCGCCGTCCGCCAACTCGGAAGCTCGCGCTCCCGGGCCGTGGGGGCGAGAACGCCGGCGGCGAGCCGGCGTCGCTCGCCGCCCCCAGACAGTGGCAAACTTCGCGGCGTTCCCGGAGCTCGTCCGGGCGAGGCAGATACCGCACAAATAAAATCAAATCCAAGTCCCCCATCCCAACCCGAATGATGGAGGCTGCGGCGGCCGGAGTGACCCCGCCGCCGCCAGCCCCAGCCCGCTAGCCGCGGACCAACAGGTAAAGTGTTGGGGGTTGGGGGCGGAAGGGAAGAGGAGCTGGGGCCGTGGGGAGGCGGCGGGCTGGAGGAGCCCGAGACGCCTGCGGGCTGGCTGCCCCCGTCGGCGCTCACAGCCATCGCTCCTCACCCCCTTCCCCAGCCCCTGGAGGGACTGTAAAGGGTTAAGTCGGCCCCACGCCACCGTGAGCACGGCCCCCTCCAGCCGCCGCGACCGCCAGCAGCGCGCCTCGGCGCCTGCCCGGAGCCGCCGAGGGGACCGTAGCTGCGGATGCGCCACTGGAACCTGGCGGGCGTCTAGGAGGCACCGGCCGCTTCCCACCGGCCGCATCCCTGCGTCTCGCGCCCCCTCCAGACCTGCCTCTGCCTGCACTGGCCCGGTCCGTGTCCAGGTGGCGGGGTCTGCGGGGCGCGTGGCGGCGGGGGAAGGGTCCCTGCCGGGGAAGAGAGGCGGGGGCGGTCCGCTCCACAGCTTCTTCCCGGGAGGGGAGGGCCACCCTCGCCTTGGGCGAGCACTTCAGCCACCAGCCTAGGCGCCAAGAAAAGTTTTTTTTTTTTTTTTTCCAGTGCCCCACCCCCACCCCCATCCTGCGCCCAGCTGGGGTGGGTTTGGGTCCATTGGTGAAAAAAGTCACACGTTCCCATCAGCTGCTCCTCCCCCTGGAGACAAGGTAGGGGGGAGCAGAGGAGGCAGGCGCCGCGGAGGACCCTGGCCGACCTCTAGTCCCTCCGCCGCCGCCACCGGAGCGGTGCGTCCCGGGGCTCGAGCGCAGCCGAGTACCCGCCGAAGGCTGTCCCCATCAGTGCGTGTCTGCTGCCGGGCAGCGGCAGCATCCAACCTGCTTTATTCCTCCTGCCTGCAGCGCCACAGCGAGCGAGCGAGCGAGGAGGGGGAGAGAGGGAGTCTGTCTGCAAAGTGCTGCTCCCTGGTGCTCAGAGGCGGCTGCTCCAGCTCCAACTCTCATTCATTTCGCCGGTTAACATGAGAGATCATGGCCGCCTTCGGGCTTCTCAGCTATGAGCAGAGACCGCTGAAGCGCCCCCGGCTCGGGCCGCCCGACGTCTACCCACAGGACCCCAAGCAGAAGGAGGTAAGGGCGCCGGCGGCCTCCCCGGCAACCGGGGCCGCGCTCTGCAGCACTGACCCGGGGCCAAGTTGGCCCAGCGGGCATCGCCGGCGCTGCGGTGGAAGAGGTCGGGGAGGGGGATTAGAGGCGGGGGCCAGGCTGGGGGTGCTGGGCGACCCCCCGGCGGCGGAGACCGAGCGGCTGTCAGTCCCCGCGCTCCACTGGGGCGCTCGCTTTCCATGTGCCGGTCGCTTTCCCGTTGCCGGGCCTTGCACGGCGCCGCCGGGCGCTTCTCGGGCTTCTTCCCTGCCGAAACCTTGCTCGCTCTCACCCGTTTCTGCCTGCTTTATTTTTCTTCTTGCCGCTTCGGTAAATCGTCGTAAACTTTTTGAAAAATGTTGGAATGCAGTGCATCCTACACTGAGGTCTTGCGTTTTGCTTTTGCTGGCCAGGGACGAAGGTGAGGGGGAAGCTTTTCAAATTTTCCAGTTTGGAATGGAAGTCGTTTTTATCGAAGTGATAAATATTTAGCTCTCTGAATATACCTCTGTAACCCTTCTGCCCTTTAAAAATTAAAATTAAGGAGAAACACTGATTTTCGTCTCTAGAGGCAATGGGCTTAATTGCTAGAGGCTGTTTTGTATACGTAAAAGCAGGCGAGTTACCTTGGGAGGGAATAGTTCCCAGGATTGCTTATTTCTTTGAATGAGATTAATTGGAGACACCTTGACTCTTGCACCAGCTACATTAGCTTCAATGGCTAGGGTAACCATGGCATTTTGTAGCTGTGTATCTGTTTGTCAGGAGTTAACAAGTAATTATGTAACAAGTCTCTAGTTATAATGATCACCTTTGGCTACACCATTTGCCCAGGGACTTGCCTTTTTTTTGTTTTTTTTTTGATCACCTGCTACCCAGCAGTGCTTTCTGAGTTTGCCAGCTGCAGTCCACCCATCTTCTGTTCAGCTAAACACGAACTGACCATATTTCAAAACTTACCTTTCTGAGAATCTAAAAACCCTCCATTAAAAGTTTGTGGGCCCACTGATAGCACAGAAAGGGCCTTGTAAACCAGGCAAGGAGGGGTCCTTAAGACTTTCCTTTTGATAAGTGTATCTTTCATTAGGAGAGTAAGTGCTTGTTCTGGCTAAACTGTCTTGCTTATAAAGTGTCTGAGAAGTAAGGAACAGCAACTCCTTTTAGAGGTTTAGCACACTAAATATGCTCTAGCATCAGTGGAGTCACGCAGATGAAAGCTGGGAAGGTTTTACAGGTGGTTTCCAGCACCAGCTTTACAGGATGGTAGAGGTTTGAGAAGATTTCCCAGATTTTTTTTCCTACCCGTTACCCCACCCTGCTACCCCAACTTAGAATGAAGTTAATGGTTAAGGACTGGAAATAATAGAGAAGCTGAGGATCAAGTGTACAGTTAATAGCTTAAAAATTATTGGGAGGAAATTCTTAAAGTTTTGATAGGGACAGGGATATTTTGTTGGTTGAACTTTATCATCTTGTAATTAATGTCTTACTCTGTCTTTCCAGAGGGCAGCATAATTGATGGCATGATGGCTTGGGGTGCTGTGTGGGCTTATTTAGCATTTGTTCTTCAGGCCAATGCTCATTTCACGACTGGGGCCTCTGATTCTGGAAAGAGTAATTTTGGATTTCAGGGTCTCACAACATTTTATGGAGTTCTAAAACTGGAAGCGACCTTAGGGACTACTTTCTATAACTTCCTTTTGACTAAGTGAAACAGGCCTGGGAAAGCTTGACTCGTTTAACCAAGGTGTATAGGTGAATAAGCAGAGGAGTTGTACCACCAAACCAGTATTTATGTCAAAACTAATACTGCTTTGAGGATGATTTATGCTAAATTATCTTCTGATGTTATCCCCTTTCCCCCAAGGCAGCCAATGTTTTAACTCTCCCAAGCAGACAGAGTTATGTGTGGCTGTAGCCAAATTTGGGTACAATATGGAACAGGTGCTTGGCTGTTCTTGGGTGGTTGGTGAGTAGAGTTTCCTAAGCTTTAGTTATTTATGTCCTACCTCCCTCAAGATTTCTACCCTACCCCTGTACCACCTGTACTTTTATTCTGAAGTTTTCTTTAAACTAATTTTTTAAGAAACTTTGTGTTTCCTGGGCAGTACTACACGTGGAGTCATGGATTTATTGAAATATATGTATATATAAAATTTATATCAAATCATGTTTACATACTATTTTTAATCTATTTGATATTACATGCACACACGTATATGATTATACATAATAAAATGAGACCATTACTATTAACACTTTAAAAGTTCATCTGTGTATCGAAAACAACAGTTGTGTTCCATTAGAGATAGCTGTGGTGGAAAATGCTGATTTAATGGAGGAAGTGTGGGCTTCCAAGTTGGGCCAACCTGGATTTAGCTTTTTTTTTTTTTTTGCAATTGTGTGGCCTTGGGCAAGTTGCATAGCCTCTCATTTGTAAATTAGTTTGTGCACTTCAGAAAAAATTTCAAACCAACATTTGTGTGAGAAAAGCCCTCCTCCTGGTAGAAGTTATTCTTGTCACCATAAATGTAATTTTTATTGTTGTTGTTAACCAGTGGTAATATATTTCAGAAAAGGGCTCCCAGAAGGTAGGGTGGAACCCATGAACGAAGACCCATGTGGAGAAGTATGGGGGTGGGGCGGGGGGGAGAATATGGAAGCTTTAACCTGCCTGATGGATTGGTTATATTTTTTTGAGAGCTTGCTGTGCATCAGCATCCTGTAGGACTTCATTATATATTGTGTTATAATACTTTGCTTCCTACAAACAGACTGTGCTCAAGCCTTTAAAGCAGGGAATCAGAAAACTGGCAGTCATCCTTGAGACCTCCTCCTTGCTTATACCCCATTCATCCATCAGCGTCTCTACATCCATGCGCACATCCTGTTCAGTTCCAAAATATATTTCCAATCCACCAGATGCTCTCCAGTTTCACCAGTATGCTTGGTCTCCCTTCTGGCTTCAGGGTGACTTCTCTTCCCCAGGGCTCCTGCATATTCTGTTCTGGTCTTTCTGCCTGGACACCTGTCTAGCCACCCCCTCCCACTTAGCATTCCACTCAGCTCTTCTCACCTTAGCCTGTGGTTAGAAAGGTAGGCTCTGGTGCCAGTCTGCTTGGGTTGGGACCCTGGCTGTCCTGTTTATGTGCCCCTTATTCTCCCTATACTTCATTTTCCTTCCATATAGAGTGAGAGTGATAATACTACTTAACTCATAGGGCTGTTGGAAGATTACCTAGATAGTATATGTAAAAAGCACTTAGAACAGAATCTGTCATAGATTCAGCCCCTATATGTTTGCTGTCATGAACTACTGTCATGCCTGCCCCTTCATCATTCAAGTCTCAGGCTTTTCTGATATATCATTTACAATTATATACTTATTTGCATCTTGCCATCTCCCCCTAATAGGTCAGTTTCATGAGGGCATGGATGAGGTCTGTTTTGGTATGGCAGAAGTACCTGGCACCTGCACAATTAGTTCCTAGAAGGCTGAGGGCACAAATATTTATTGGAACATGAATAAACTTGGGATGAATAAATTAAAAAGGGAAATCCGGTGACTGAGGGCTGTTGGGGAAAGTCAAGGTTAAAGCTGAAAGTATCCTTTGCATCTATCTGCTTTGGAGCCTAGGTTAAGCCTGAAAGTAAAATTAAGCTCCAGAAGTAGGAAGGAAGAGGAGGTTTACTCTGGGACAAAAGAGACTGAAACAGGGCCAGGCGTGGTGGCTCATGCCTGTAATCCCATCACTTTGGGAGGCCGAGGCGGGTGGATCACCTGAGGTCAGGAGTTCGAGACCAGCCTTAACAACATGGTGAAACCCCGTCTCTACTAAAAAATACAAAAATTAGCTGGGCATGGTGGTAGGCGCCTGTAATCCCAGCTACTTGGGAGGCTGAGGCAGGAGAATCTCTTGAACCCAGGAGGCGGAGGTTGCAGTGAGCCGAGATTGTGCCATTGCACTCCAGCCTGGGGGACAGAGCAAGACTGCATCTCAAAAACAAAACAAAACAACAACAACAAAAAACAACAGAAAAAGAGGCCGAAACATTTGAAGAGTAAATATGTGCAGAAAATCAAATTTGTTAGAAAAATGGGTTGGGGCAGTAATGAGATTTCCGGGAATCAGGAGCTGTAGAGCCCCACCAGCAGGGACCTACGGGAATAATGGCCTGGTGTGCAGTGCAGGGGCTGCCCGAAGATATACACAGCATGACTTAGGAGAGCTGGTGGTGATGGTGGTGTCTGCATGCGGATATCCCAGAGTGGTGGTTCTTCAACTTCAGAGGACATTCAGATTACCCTGAAGGCTGGTTGAAACAGATTGCTGGGTCTCTAAGATTCAGTAGGTCTGAGGTCAGGCCTCAGAAATTGCACTGGTGACAAGATCCCAGGTAATCTGATGGTGCTGGTCTAGGGCCCCACTTCGAGAACCCTCACCTAAAGGGAAGACATCCAGTTCTGCAGGGGCTAGAGCATTCTGCTTGATACGAGCAGGGCTGGATTAGACTTCTATGTATGGCTGAAGTTGCAGTAGTTTGGTTTAACAGCCAACCCAGCCAAGATTTGGTGTTCTTGTCCCAGAATTTGTGCCCTCTCTTAGTTCAGATCTAAGGGAATGGACCAGGAAGTCTCAGTCCCCCTCCAGTGGCTTTTTCCATTACACTTGAAATAAAATGCAAACCCTTTACCTTGGCCTTCAAGGCCCTACCAGTCTGGCCCTTGTTCACCTCTGCAGTCATTGCCTGCAGCCAAACAGCCTGGCTTTGAGTTCTGGCTACTCTGTTTACTGCCTGTTTGACTCAGCTTCCTCAACCATGGAATGAGGTTTGTATTTCTTCCAACTTCATAGAGTTGCTGGGAAGAGAAAATGAGCTAATGTATGCAAAGTGTGTAGAATCGTGCCTGTCACACAGGCAGCACTCAACACAGGTCAGCCACTATTAGCTGATCCCTTATTAAAGGATGCTGGGGGTCTCCTGTTGTACTTAACCATAACAGCCACAAGATCCTGCCTTTCAAGATCTGGGCTTTGAGTCACCCCTTCCAACTTGCTGTGTGGTGGGACCACAGGCTGCCTCTCTCTTCTTCCAACAGGCCTAGCTTCTTTGTGTATAGGTTCCTGTCCCTTGCTCCCTGCAGCAGTTTTGTTTCCTGTCATTTGGTTCTTAGCTCGGAAACTCCCCCACAGGGAGGCCTTCCTTGCAGCCTGTCTTCCCTCATCCTTGCCAGTTCATTTCCCTGAGTTAATATGTTTTGTAGCGCTTGTCACTGAAATGCAATTATTAGGATGCTATTCTCTCCATGGCCTGCCTTCCAGCTGGAATGTAAGCTGCATGAGAGCAGAGGCTTGTCTGTGGTGTTCACATCTGTGAACGGCCTAGTGCCTGGGAGTAGACTAGGTGCTCAGTAAATACTTCATGAAGAAATTAATAAATGCAGAAAGAACTATTAATGAGCAATTGTGAGTATTTATAACATTTAACTATCTCAATGCTTGGTTTATTTTGGTAACTCCTGTTAGTTTTCTTGTTAGCATCGAAAACTCTTAAAGGCATGAATGCCTGTTTTAGAGGCAGCTGGGGAAGTGGAGTGAGGGAGGTGGAAAGTTTGTTTCTTCAAAAGGGGAGGATGTTGATAAAGTTTTCTGGGAAGAAAGGACAGGTTGACCAGTTGACTTGGGGGACCAAAAGAGGAGGCAAGGGAGATACTTCATTTCAGAAAGCTCCTCACCTGAGACTAATTGGCTGGCCCCAGGCGCTGCTGCAGACCTCCCAGAATCCCAGTGTTCAGGGAGGAACTGATGTTTGTGCTTAACTCATGCCTCAGGTGACTCTTAGGAGAGGAGCAGTGTAGGAAGCACTGGTTGGGAGGTCCTGCTGTTTTCAGCTTCTCACAGTTTGCTACCCAAACTCTATGGCCAGGGAGGAGGAACTCAGCTGGTTGTCATTTTTCAGGGTCTGCCAGCCTCTGCAGCCGAATGTGAAAGATGCTTGTTAAAAATGGACATATATACTTTGGGAGACCAAGGCTGGAGGATTGCTTGAAAGTAGAAATTTGAGGCCAGCCTGGGCAACATAGTGAGACACCCATCTCTACAAAAAATTCAGAAAGCCAGGTTTGGTGGTGCACACCTGCGGTCCCAGCTACTAGGGAGGTCAAGGTAGGAGGATCACTTGAGCCCAGGAGGTCAAGGCTGCAGTGAGCTGTGATCTTGCCATTGCACTCCAGCTTGGGCTATAGAGTGGTACCCTGTCTCTTAAAAAATGCAGATAAAGTGGCCCACCTCTACCCCAGAAATGCTGAGTCAGAATTCTGGGAAGGAAGCTCAGAAATTTGCATTTTAAACAAGCTTTCTAGGTGATTCCGAAACATGTCAAGCTTGAAAACCTTTGCTTTAGTTTGCTATCCTTATCTGTAGAGAGCATTGTGAACTGGGCTCCCCCTTATTCCTACCTGCTGCCCTTGATTTGATATATTAGAATCTTTTGGATAATAAATACTACTCGAAGTATAGTACCTTTTGGTACTAAACAGTGCAAATGAGTTTAGTTACTTTCCTCCTTGAAGTTCTAATAACAATGGTTCCCAGCATAGGCTTGTTTTCTGTTGCTGTACACAGTTTATAGCAGAGGAGAGTTTTATGCCTTGGTTTTGAAATAGCTATATCTCCCTTCTGCATGCACTTGGCTAAACTGGGGTATAAGCGAGCAGGTCTTGCTTTGTTCCATGAAGCCATTCTTTGAACTTGTCAGGGTTGAGGGATTTTCTTTGACTGTGTCCCTGGGTTCTCAGTTTTGCTCTTTGGGGACCCCGTAAGGCTGTCAGTTAGGGGTACAACCACTGTCCTTTAGCCTGTCAGATATTTCCCTTGGACTAGTACCTGAGGAGATGAAATGTGATCCTTTAGGAGGTTGGAGGACCACACAATGAGATCTGGAGAGTAAACTGCACTGGGTGAGCACGAGGTAGGAGAGGATGAGGATGCACAGAGTTGAAAGATTCTAGTTGAACCAGTTAATAGTGCCACCCGCAGGTGTGTGCACGTGTGTGTCTGCACATGCATATATGCACCAGTGTGTGAAGACAGTGCTCCTCGTTAGTGTAGTAGAGAGTTAAAGAAAAAAGAAAAGCAGAAGTAGAAGCATAGAGTAAGTGAAACTTGCAAACTACAAGAACTGTGATGTATTTCTTCTGAAGCTCTCCTCCCATGAGGTTCTGGGAACACCATTCTCAGGGCTTCTAGACTAGGCAGGAATTTGAGAAGTTGGAATGATCCACAAGAATGAACATGATGAAAGATGTTAAAATGTCAAGTCTCTTGAGCAGTGAAGGAAGGGGTGATTGACTTAGCTTGGAGAAAAGCTAACTTCAGAATCTGAGAAAAACCAGGTGGAGGGAAGAAATCCAATTGAAATGTAGAGGGGACGCTCTTACCTCCTACGTATTCCTCCCCAAAAAGGGAGCATGGAAACACTTGGACTTTTAATTACCTTTAGATAATTTCTAAAGCTGGGTGATGGTGACAAGGGAGTTCATGATACTGTTCTCTTTCTCTTAGAAAATGTGTATGTATATGTAAAGAACAATGTCATTAAGTTATACAGTAGCTTAATTTTGACTTAAAAATATATATACACAATCTAGAAGGATTACCACTCACATGCAACCAGTTATCTCTGGGGGATAGGATTAAGGATGATTTTTATTTTCTTCTTTGTACTAATTTGTATTCTAAGCTGTAACAATAGATATGTACTACTTTTGTCATTGGAGGAAGTACATTAAAGAATAATTATTAAGTAACTTTGACTGATTTAGAGAAATGGGTTTCTGTTAGTTTCAAGCCAACCTAGAGCCCCTTTAGGTGGTGCCTAGGCAGAGGGATCTCCTAGGGTATAGATAGAAGCATTTATGTACCTGCGATCTGCCAAAAGCTGGATAGGGCTGGAGTTAGGACTGTTAGGTGATCATTCCAGCTCCACGACTTGAACAGTGCGATATCGGGCAGTTTGGCCATTTTCCTCACCTATAAGCTGCAGAGAATAATATCTGATATATAGAGCATTTTAAATGTGAAGTAGCATTGTAAACTTAACTTTTTAATCAAATGTAAGGTATAAATTCAGTGACCTGCAGGAGCAGGTTTATACCAGCTGATTGTTAAAATTTCAGGAATTTCATGAAATGGTTGATACCATGTTGGTAGCTTGAAATTGGCCATACAATTCAATAGTAGTAGTATTTACACCAAGGAAATTGGCAAATGCTACAAATGAGAACTTAATTTCATTTTTTTTCTTTTAAATTAGAGATATAGTCTTGCTCTGTCACCCAGGCTGGAGTGCAGTGGCACCATCTTGGCTCACTGCAACCTCTGCCTCCCAGTTTCAAGCTATTCTCCTGCCTCAGCCCCCCGAGTAACTGGGATTACAAGCGCATGCCACCATGCCCAGCTAATTTTTGTATTTTTAGTCGAGATGGACTTTCGCCATGTTGGCCAAGTTGGTCTTGAACTCCTGACCTCAGGTGAGCCACTGTGCCTGGCTGACTTTCTTTCAGTCTAAGCTGGTTAACATTTACCTGCCTACCACCGGGTGTAGTTATAGATGGCAGACACTTTGTTGGCTACTTCAACATGATTATTATCCTGCTTTTCCCTTGCCTGCTTCTCACTAAAAACTTTTTTTTCTTTTTTTTTAAAGCCAGATCCTAGCAAGGCTCAGTGGTGCATGCCTGTAATCCCAGCTACTCTGGGGACTGAGGTGGGAGAATCACTTGAGCCTAGGAGTTCAATAGTAGCCTGGGCAACATAGTGAGAGCCGATCTCAAAAGAAAGCCAGATTATCACTTTCCTAGTTTCCCTTGCATGTTGAGATAAGCATATAACTTAACTCTGGCCCAAGAAATTTAATGAAAATCTGGACTCCTGGAAAATATTTGTTTCCTGTCTGATAAAAGTACAGGCACAGAAGGAGAATGGCATCTCCTGATGACCTGAAGTCTCCTTAGTTTTCTATCTTTGGAAAGGTAATAAAAGAACATGATAGCTGGATCTGGGGCAACCATCTTATGGCCTTGTGGCAACAAGCCTATGGAGAAAAGACAACATGAGGAGTCAGTTGAGTGGCTTTATGAAATCGCTAGGCTGCTAAACTGACCTTGGGACCACTTCTCCTTGGACTTCTTGTTAAGTAAACAGTGCATAGCTATCCTCATGGTTTAAGCCACAGTTGGACCATATGTCAATTTCTTATAGCCATATAATGTTGTTAAGGTACTTTCTGTTTATATTTTGGTATCCTTGAATAATCATGAGGGCCACTCCCCCCGCCCCACACCCACCCCCTTTTTTTTCCTCAGGGATTACACATTCCAGGAACTCTCCTGCTCTTTGGCTTCATGAGGAATATATGGCAAGAGACAAAGAGCAGTGGCATCTTGTCCATTAGGCAGTGCATTCTGACTTGGTCCTATCAGAAATGGAGGGGGAGCTGAACAGCGGCCTCCTTTATTTATATCTGTTTCTGGCAGAAAGCATTTTGGTGGGAAGGGAGGAAGAAGCCTGTTCTGTTTTGCTGAGAGAGGGAGATTCTGTAGGTCTGCTATTTTGGGGGGGGAAGCCATGCATGTTTATAGCTAGAAGGGAACTTTGAGGTGGATTGTTCTAACCATCTCATTCAATACAAAAGGAAATTGAGTCCCAGGCAGGTTAAAGTGGCTTGTCAAAGCAGATCTGGGCCAAGCACTTGTGTGCCCTGATTTGTTCTTGCAACTTTACTTGGCCTGTCTGTAAACAGCCTCCCCTTCTGGTAAACACCCTCACGTTGCCCTGGAAATGAGAATCACTCTGCAATTTAGGGCACCCGGTGCCTCTTTGAGAGCTGGTAACTCTTCAGCTCACCACTTGATCCTCTCAGAGCTTGCCAGATCTTGTGTGGTGTTTCCTGGGCAGGGGGAAGAATGCTTCAGAAGCTCATGCATTTTTGTCATTGTGTTTTTTGATGGAAGGTTCCCAGACCTATCTGCAGCCTCTGGGGATAGCTCTGGCATTGGCATTTGTGGACTGTGTGTGTGCTGGAGGTCATTTCTATCTAGTTTCACTTCCTTGGTTGAGATACCCCCTTATTTATGGGCAGCTCTCTTGAGAGAGACGCACACAAGCGGTACCAGTTGCCCAGTTCCCGGAAGCGATATGTACATGACATTCTATATAAATGGATCTTTCTTAGTTGTACAATGCTGTGACCCTGAGAAGAGGAGAAAAATATTAGCCATTGGATTTTATTTTCCATGTTTTGCACAAAATCTTACTATAACATATGCATGCCAAACAAATTCAGTCATTCAGCAAATGACTGAGCACCTTGTAGGCTCTTTGCCAGCTGTGGCACTATGAGGACAGGACCACAGACTTGTATTTCCTACTGTGTCACTGACTTCCAACCCAGTGCCTGGCCTGCACCGAGGACTCAAAACTTTCTTTTATGAATGCATATGAGAATCCACAAATGCTAAGAGCATTAGATATAGTCCCAGTGCCCCAGGCCTTCAGTCTAGAGCAGTGGATTTCAACTGGCGAGGGGCGAGAGTGCATTTTCTTTCTCTCTCCTCAGGATGTTGGCAGTGTCTGGAGACATTTTGGGTTGCCACAACTGGGTGTGTGTCTTGGTACTTGCATATAGTGAGTAGAAGCCAGGGATGCTGCTAATGTTCACCAATGCACCAAACAACCCCCTACACCAAAGACTTAACTGGCCCCTGCTATCAGTAGTTCCGGGGTTGAGAAACTGTCGTCTAGAGGGAGTGATGGACTTGTAAATGAGGAGCACAATGTTTCAGATATTCTTTAAGAGGAAGGTACAAAGTGCTGTGGATAGAGAAAGAGATTTTTGAATCTGGAACTTGGAGGGTGTGTAGGAGTGGATGGGGTTGAGGATAGGGAAGAAGATTAATTCCAGGACGAAGGAGCAGCACATGCAAAGGGTCGCAGGACAAAATGATATGGGTGTGCCTTCGGCTGTGGGCCTGCCGCATGGTGCGGGGCATCCAGGGGAGAGCTGGGTTGGTGTGGGAAAGAAAGATGGGACACAGTCATGGGGATCTTTACTTTGTGGAGGCTTTTGGGTATTATGGTGGAGGAAGCCAGCCACCATTCAAGGGTGATAAGGGAATGAGATTTAAGATGATTGAGGGTTGCAGTTTCAAGGGACAGTGCCTCTGAGGGTCATATTGAGGCAGAAGGATTGCCTAGCTAGGTGGTCCCTGACATTCAGAACTGGAAGTGGGTGATTGGTTTCCTGGGGCTGCCATAACAAATGACTACAAACTGGGTGGCTTAAACCAACATTCGCTCATTCCCTCACAGTTCTAGAGGCCAGAAATCTGAAATCTGGGTGTTGGCAGGGCCACGTTCCCTCTGAAGGCTCTAGGAGGAGACTTCTTCCTTGCCTCCTTCAGCCTGTGGTGGCTCCAGGTGTTTGTGGGCTTCTTTGACTTGTGTCCACACATCACTAATTTTTGCCTCCATCTTTACATGGTCTTCTCCACTTTACATGGTCTTCCTCTGGGTGTCTCTTATAAGGACACTTGTCATTGGATTTAGGGCCCACCCAGATAATCTATGATGATCTCATCCTTAATTACATCTGTAAAGACCCTTTTTCCAAATGAGGTCACATTAACAGGTTGTGGGATTTGATGTGAATATCTTTTAGGGGAGTGTTTTTTGGTCTGTGGGATTGGGAAGCTCAGGAAGAAAGGAGGGGTGTATTAGCCTGTTTTCACACTGCTGATAAAACGACATACCTGAGACTGGGTAATTTATAAAGAAAAAGAGGTTTAATGCACTCGCAGTTCCATGTGGCTGGGGACGCCTCACAATCATGGTGGAAGGTGAAAGCCATGTCTTACATGGTGGCAGGCAAGAGAGAATGAGAACCAAGTGAAAGGGAAAACCCCTTATAAAACCATCAGCTCTCATGAGATTACTACCAAGAGAAAGATATGGGGGAAACTGTACCCGTGATTCATTTATCTCCCACCAGGTCCCTCCCATAACAGGTGGGGATTATGGGAACTACAATTCAAGATGAGATTTGGGTGGGGAAACAGCCAAACCATATCAAGGGGTGAATTTATGAGAAACGTTATTTGGATGGCAGAATCAATAAGGTGAATATGTGAAGTAAGAGGAAGGAGCATGAGAATTTACCAACACTTTTAGCTTAAGCCAGTGGTTTCCAAACTTTCTGCTCTTGGGAGTCTTAAAGATTGAGGATCTATTAAGCTTTTATTTATGTAGGTTACATCTCTCAATAATTACTGTGTTAGAAATTAAAACTGAGAAATTTGAATACATATTCATTAAAAAATCATAGTCAACCAATTTCATGTTAAACTGTGTTTTTTTAATGGAAAATAACTTTTTCCCCAAACAAAAAATAGTGAAAAAAGAGTGGCATTATTTTACATTTTTGCATATCTCTTTAATGTCTAGACTTTTGTATTTAGTTCTGCATTCAATCTGTTTTGAGACATTGTTTGGGTTGAAGAGCATGCAGAAAATCTGGCCTTTCACAGACAAATAGTTAAAATGTTCTCGAGAGCTCCAGAGGTATTGGACTTGGAAAACTACTTGTTTAGACTGTTGGGTAGGTAGATCAATGGTGGTCCGTAAACTAACATGCCATAGGGAACAAAGTAATTTAACTGTTTTCCAAGGATGGGGTGGGTGAGGGAGGGGAGGAGAGAATGAGTTCATTTCTGAATGCTTCCAATGTGATATATTCATAAATAATTGAAGTCATGGGTGTGATTACCTGTTGAGAGTGTGCAAAGAGATGGAGGATCTGGATGACCTGGAGAGATGGAAGTTTCTAGGGATAGACTTCCTGGACTCAGGGGATCTCTGAGGGCAGTTGATAGGGATTTATGGGTACAGATACTAAGTGACCCAAAGAGACAGTTAACATCGGTGAGATTCCAGCTCCATTTGCCTCCTCTTAGTTTTCCTTTATCAGTCTGAGCGAGGCTGAACTGGCCCTGAGGCAGGGGATTGAGGACCCAAGGGAAGTGATAGCTTTGACCTTGTTATAAATCTCTTCTTCTTAGAAAGGAGAGGAGACGGAATTGACACAGGGCTCCCCACTTACCTTGAATTTTCTACAGGCATTTCCAGAGTCAGTTGGAATGTGCCAAGATTTCCCTCAGTAAGAATAACTCAGCCTTCAACCCACATCCAATGTGCTGCAGATCAGCTGTGCAACTGCCTCCTTGTTGTCAATTAAAATTTGGTAGAATTTGCTGCTTTCCTTTTCCAGCCATTTCATTCATGGATAATCTAATGAGGTTGTTGAGATTTGGACTATTTAAGGCATTGGCAGGAGTGAAGAACTAATAAAAATGTATTTTGTTTGAAGTGTTGTTGGAATTTTTTGCTAAGATGCTCGTTTACTTAAAGGTATGGAGGATCTATCAAAACTGTGGCTGAGGCAGTGCTAAATAATTTATCATTCTCCTGAGTTCTGCGAGGAAGGTTAATATTGACATTGCTTAGGTTCTTTTTCATCTTCTTTTTTAATAAAGCTTCACACAGTGCTGTTATTTGACAGTATGGAGTCAGAGTTGTTTTTACTCTGGTCAGTTTCAGACTAAATGTAAACTCCCTCTTGAAAAAGATTCTTTATGAATTGGAGACACTATTTACATTTCTACTACTCACTTGAATCTGCTTTTAAGTTATTGACTAATTGAAATGTTTTTGAAATTATATTTTCGTTTACTTAGTACTTGATATGTGTCTTCCACTGTGTTAGGTGATATGGGGGTGTAGAAAAGAAATAGAAGCCTCCTATCTGTCTCCTCTAGAAATGTGCTTCTCAAAATAACTGTGGCGAAGGATCAGTTTTTAGAAAAATTAATTTTCAATCTGTTGTAGATTAATATAAAAATGAATTACCAGGAAAATGAAATGCTGCTTGAATGTAGTGGTAATGTCAAATTGCTGTAAAAGTTTTCAAATACTCTTAGTTTTTGCACATTTTATGTTGAGGACCAGTGACAGTATCAGACCACACTCAGGGTGGTAGCAATGCTCTGGAAGTTAATGTCGGTTTACCTACCCACATAAAACAATTTTTAAAATGACTAATTCATTAGTTTTATTTATTTATTTGAAAATTGAAGAATAACATTCCGTAGAGTGTACAAAGTGCCACATGACATTATAATAGCCACTATTTATTGTGTTTGTTGTTCTGAGTGCTTTAGGTGTTTGGTGTTATGCCAGCCTCACGGTACCTGTGAGGTGGTCATTATTATCTCTTGCTTAGAAATGAAGAAACTGAGGCACAGAGAGGTACTTAACTTGCCCAGGGTCATTGAGTGGCATAGTGATGGAGTTGGACTCTCTGAGCCCATGCTGTAAACATTCTGCTCTATTTATATAGTGAGTCTAAGAATGCTGCGTGAGTTCAGAAAAGAGAGGGCTGGATACATGGAGGATACACTGGCTGATGTAGGGTCTTGAGAAAGGCAGGACCTGAATGGGTGGGACATGCTGTATCCTCTCATAAGAAAAAGCTGGAAGGGAGGAGGAGGGGGGCAGTTTTTCTGCAGATCAGGCCTGGTGGAGCGTCTGCTGGAGCCCCAGCAGGTTGGGGGGTGGGGGATGGTGGTGAGCTCACGTGGTTTTGCTGTTAGATTTATCTCACTAGCTCATGCCTAATAAATCCAGTGTGGGAGACAGTGGAGTCGGAGAGGCTGGGAGGGAGACGACTCTAGTAACCAAAGCGTGAAGTAAAAAGAGCCCGACTGATCAGGGCTTTAAATAGGACTGGAGAAGAATTGGCAGTTGGTGACAGATTGGTCAAAGGAAAGGAAGAGAGGAGAATAGACAACACTCATATTTCTTGGAACACTGTTCAGCTAGGATAGTAGGTCCTGTTGCTTGAGGACCTCAGAGTGACACAGTTTTGTACTCAGTCTTCAGTGATGGGACAGGCATTTGAATTCCTTGGGTGCTGAATTGGAATGAATACTCAGACTCCCACCCACCCTGTGACTTCTAACTGGCATTAACTGATTTACTTGAAGGTCTTATTATTAAAAGGGCCCTTGTAGCTTTGGTTTATACTGCTTGTCCTGTGCTTTAAATCTCCCTTTAACGCCTGTTATTGACCTCCTTGTGGGCTGCTTGGGTGATAGTTAATCACCAGATTTGCTTGGAAGGTTTCCTAAGCTTGGTGGAGGATGAGCAAGCCCCCTGAAAATAAAAAGGGTGGAGGCTGAGAAGTGCTAACAGAGGTTAACTGTTTAGACTAGTTTTTCTGAGGTTTACCAGGGGAAATTTGTTTCCTTGACTCAAAATTATACGTTTAGCCCGTTTCTGAATAATTGGCCTAAAAGTAATGAACAAAATTGCCACCACCAACAGCAAAAAAGAGACATTTCCATTCTCTTTCCCCTCTTTTCCAAGCCAGAAGAAGGATGTTCTGCAGTGAACATGGTTCACTGCAACCTCTACCTTCTGGGCTCAAGCAATCCTTCCATCTTTGCCTCCTAAGTAGCTGAGACCATGCTGGCTAATTTTTATTTATGTTGTTTTTTGTAGAGACAAGGTCTCACTATGTTGCCCAGGCTGGTCTTGAATTCCTGGACAATCAAGTGATCGTCGCCTGGGCCTCGCAAAGTGTTGGGGTTATAGACGTGAAGCACTGCACCCAGCCTTGTTATTTTTCATGAATTTGCAATACATTTGGTGGGGAATCATTCTTTTGTCTCCCACAACATGGCTTCCTGCAGATGTGTGCTGAGCGTGGGGTCAGAGATGGAATTGAGGTGGGAAAGAAGGATAAAAGAAAGGAGCTACATAGTGGCTAAGTGTAAGTCAATTAACTGGACTTCAGAGGACAGAAACCAAGGCTTATGTTTGTGTTCTCTGCCCTCAGATCACCTAGCACACTAGCTTGTTAAGTACTCTGTGAAAAATGATTTAAAGGAAAAATTTGTTATGTAAGATTGCAATGCAAGAACTATATGGCATACCTCAGCAATAAGGGATCTAAAGAGAAAACTATCTTTTGAGGCTGCCTTAAATATAATTCTGGGCAGAATAAACTAGCAAATACCTTAAGTCTGCTTTATGAATATGCAAATCTAAAAGTTCAAGTATTTTTCTCCTGCAGTTTCCTAGATTTTTTTTCTGAGAGCCACATCCAGGTGTTTGATATCAGAGGGTGATATGCATTTGAATGTGATTTGAATATGAATTAATTAATGGGATACAATTATTTAGATAAGAGTGGAGTAAATGCTAAGTATATTTAGATATAATTGGAATCAGAGGCTCTCTCCCACTTTTAAATGAGGGAGGAGGAACTGCCTGTCTCACTAGGACACTTCTGGGTAGGATGAAGGAGGTTGTCATGGGAAATTGGCACTTCTGAGAGCTGTGTGTTCAACACTTCATTCATGGTGGACATTTCCATCTAAATTGAATTTACTGAGTAGTCAGTCATGTGCTCATTTTGGGCCATATGTGCTGGTCATACAAAAGATCATAATTATAATGATGGTGATACCATTTTTAAAGTACTTAGTGTGCGTGCCAGTTACTGTGTTGATTGTATCACAACTGATTTCCACTTACCCTTTACAGTAGACATGTGAGGTAGGTGGGGTGATCTACATTTCGCAGAAGAGAAAGGGAGATGGGATTCCAGTTTAAGTTTGTTGGAATCACACTGTGCTCTCCTCAAAGATTTCACTGTCTTGGAGCATACATTGGACCTATTTGGGGCTTGCTTCTCATATGGCCACCTAACCATCCATTTTACTTCTCACCTCTCAGCCTCAGTTTCTCACCCTATAAAATGGGACACATCCTGCCTAAGCCACTTGTCTGTTATGAGGATGGTCATGAATGTGCTGTTTAAATGTGAGGGAGTGGTATTATTACCATGATTTTTTTCTTTTTGCCTGCTCTAGGTACGGATGTTAAGATAGTATTTGCTGTTTTGTGTTGAGCTCATATCCTTTTGGTTTTGTTGGTCCCCACAGTTCGTGATTGATGGCCTGCAGGTGTGATTTGGATGGGGGTGAATGCTAATAGCAGTATAGGTGACGGTGGATGTAAAGAGCTGACTTTCATATGTGGCTTTGATGCAAATGTGGCTCTGGTGTTAGAAGGGTTGGGGCAGGAGAAGGACAAGGTGACCTTTTAGGGAAGTCCTGCCTTTCCTAAGTCAGGCCCCTACCTCTGGCCCTCTTCAGGAGGCTGGTATTAATGCTTTCTCTTATAAATATTTTGGCTGCAATGGGGAATTCTTCCCCAGCCTCCTTTAAAAAACTTCTCAAACAGCTATTAAGTATCATGTCAAGTAGAGGAGCTCCAAGTAGAAATCAGTCCCTATTGCTGTGCAGTCAGCGGCCGAGATGTCTGCTTATCCAGAGCCTTAGTGAAGCTGCTTTTCTTGGCCATTGTAGACTCTGCAGTAATGGTCTCCATGCTGCTGCTAAATGGCCTGGATCCTGGTTTTAGGGGGCAGTCTTGCCATGGGGAATAGAGCAGAGCCTGCCCTCCCCTACCTGTATGTTTTCATTTCCTAGGGCTGCTGTAATGAAGTACCAAACATTTGGTGGCTTAAAGCAATGGACATTTATTCTCTCATGGTTCTAGAGGCTGCAAGCTTGAAATCAACATATGCAGGGCCATCCTCCCTCTGAAGCCTCTAGTGCAGGACCCTTCTTTGCCTCCTCCAGCTTCTGCTAGCTCCAAGTATTCCTTGGTTGTGGCAGCCTAACTCCAATCTCTGCCTCTGTCTTCACATTACTGTCTTCCCCCTGTGTCCATCCCTTCCATATGTGGACATTAGCTATGCCAGATTAGGACCCACCCTAATTCAGCATGACTGTCTTAACTTGGTCCTATCCACAGAAACCCTATTTCCAAAGAATGTCCCATGCACAGGTACAGGGGTTAGGACTTTGATATATCTCTTTGAGGGACCGAATTCTACCCATCACAGTGTGGCTCCAGGGGCTGTCTCCAGATCCTCCTCTGCACATCCTCCTGAGTTGGTCTGGTACTAGCTATTGCCTTCTAGGGCCTGGGTTGGCAGCTCATTCCCTCCTGTTTTCTCAGGAGCTTGAACTTATCTGCCATCTCCCTTTCTTCCTGTTAGCTTCAATTGCTTCCTTCATCGCCTTCTTCCTTGTGTGATTAAAACATGCACCAAGCTCTCACATCTTAGATCTCCTACCTTAGACCCCATGTTTGCATCTCTCCTCCTTTTTCTCCAGACTTCCAGAAGCATCCAGTGTACTCACTGTCTTCCTCACCTCCCACTTCTTCCTCTGCTCTTTCGAGTCTGGTTCTGCCCTCATCTTTCTGCTGAGACACCCCTCTCAGGTCACCCGGAATGGCCATGTTCCCTGCAGCACTTGATTCTGTTGCTCCCTCCCTTTGGGAAGCAGTTTCTTCCCTCAGCTTCTGAGGTAAAACACTCCTAGTTTCCTTCTCTCCCCTCTGGCCACACTGTCTCAGTCTTTTTTGAAGGCTTATCCTCCTCTAACTGGCTATTAAATCAATACTGGATTTTTCCCAGGGTCTGTCTTAGGTCCTGGTCTTTTCTCACTTGACCTTCTCTCTAGGTGATCCCAGCCATCTCCAGGCTTCAGTCACTAGCCATATGCAGACAACTCACGACTTTAAGACTCCAGCCTAGACTTCTCTAGACCTGTATAGCTGAGTGCCTACTAGAAACATTTTCTCTGTGTGTCTGATGCCTCAAACTTACGACGTTTATACCTGAACTTGTGATCTGCTCCCCTTCCTCTGCAAAAAGCCCCCAACATGGGGGAGATATACCATCCCAAAAGTCTAGGACATCGTTGACAACCTTGCTGTTTGTCATTCCATCCAAGAAATCAACGTAAATCCTGTTGGGTTTCCCTCCTAAATATCCCTCCATTTCTTCCTTCTCTTTACTTCCACCACCACCATCTTGGTCCAAGCTACTATTATGTGATCTTCCAACTCTCATGAGAGCCTGGTAACTGGTCCCAATCCCCTTACCCTCAGCCTCCCAGTTGGTCTGACCCTACTCCAGTCAGTTGTCCACACTGCACTTCTATTCAAGTCGGATAATGTCACCTTCTGTTTTTTTTTCTTTCTTTCCTTCCTTCCTTCCTTTCCTTTCCTTTCCTTTTCCTTTTCCCTTTCCCTTTCCCTTTCCTTTTCCTTTTCCTTTTCCTTTTCCTTCTCCCCTCCCCTCCCCTCCCCTCCCCTCCCCTCCCCTTTCCTTTCCTTTCCTACAGGGTCTCGCCATGTTGGGCAGGTTAATATGAAATTCCTGGTCTCAAGCAGTCCTCCTGCCTCAGCCTCCCAAAGTACTAGGATTACAGGCATGAGCCACCATGCCCCGCCTGATGTCACCTTCTTGCTTAAAACCTTTACTGTTCTTATGATAAAGACAGAAGCTCTTTACTTGGTTCACAGACCCTGCATAGTCTCTCCCCCAACCTGTACTGCTTCATTCTTGTCTTTTACAGCTGCATTCCACTTCCTGCTACTGCTATGACAGCATTCTTTCTTTAATTTTCCCAACATTGCAGACTTTATCCATGCCCATCCTCTGTCTTTTCTTTTGTTAGGCACACATGCACCAATGATTGTTATGCCTTTCTGATGAATTGACCTTTTTATCATTATGACTTGTCCCTCTTTATCTCTGATAATACTTTTTGTCTTGAAGTCTACTATATCTGATATTAATACAGCTACTTCAACTCTTTTATGTTTATTGTTTGCATGGTATATGTCTTTTTCATCCATTTCCTATCAACTTATCTGTCTCTATATTTAAAGTATGTCTTTATATTTAAAGTATAGCCTGTAGTTGGGCTCTACTTTTTTACTCATTCTGACAATTCCAGTCTTCTAATTGGAGTCTTAGTCCACGAATATTTAATTAGCATTTAATGTGCTTATTGATATGGTTGGCTTTGGGTCTACCATTTTACTATTTGTTTTCTGTGTCCCCAGCTTTTTTTTTTTTTTTGGATTATTAGACTATTTTAAAAATAACTTTTGTTTACCAATTGCATTTTAGTTATACTTATTTGTGTTGTTTTTCGGAGTTGTTGCTCTAGGAATTACAGTCTACACCCTACCTATTCATGATCTCCTTAGAGTTAATATTATATCATTTCATGCAAAATATCAGAAGCTTACCACTGTAAGAGGCTATCCTCTTGAAGTTAACTCCTACTTTGCAGTCAGAGCTCAGGTCAAAGGCCACCTTTTCAGAGCATTCTTGTCTAACTCCCCAGACTAGTTTAAGCCACTGTTATGTGCTTTCTGAGCAGGCAGTTTGGGGTATTTATAACACTTGGAATTCGCTCACTATGGAATCCCCTGGACTTAGCAGAGTCTGTATGCATAATTATTTGTTAATCGAATGAAGGACGGGGAGCAGGCCTTGAGTTGTGGCTTGAAAAATATAAAATATTTCATAATAATGTATTTCAGGGGGTGGGAATGGCATGATGTAAGGCTTAGAGGTTGAAAAGACAGCGTATGTGGGATGGCATATAATAAAATAGATTAAATGAAAGTTAAAATACAAAAATAGAAAACAGCTATAATAACAATAGCCACCATTTATAGGGCATTTAATAATGGACCAGGCACTGTGCTAAACTCTGCACATTTAATCTTATGTAACCTCAGTCCTGTGAGTTATTCCTGTCTCCTTTCAAACAAAGCCACCAAGATACAGAGATCAGTTATCTTAGTCTCAATCGTAGGTAAGCCTATGCATTCAAACGCAGATCCATGTGACTCGCACACTTAGAATGGAAGCAAGGCTGGAATGCTGGGCTTGATTGTTTAAGGCTTTGAATGCCAGTCCTGGGCGACTGTGTTTTGATTTGGGGCCAGAGATAAGTGGGGAGAAGACCAGAGATGTTATTGAGGGTTTGTAGACAGTTATGCTAGATGCTGCTTTTTCGCTTCTCAGGGGAAAAAGAGAAGAAAGCCTTCTGATGCTTTTGGATAGGAGAGTGCAGAATAGAAAACTGTTTCAGGAAGATTCATCCAGGGCCAGTAGGCATGCTGGACAGGAGTGAAATGTGTGCGGAGCAGTAGCCGAATCCTGCTGTAACAGCTGCCTCAGTTGGTAGGGGTGGGGTGAGGGGCAGGTGGTGGGTGGGAGGGGGGTTGTAGTATTTTAAAGGAAGGAATAAAGGGGAGATATGTTTTGAGAGAAGTATGGATAGGTTTGGTTAATGATGAGTTATGAGGAGTAAAAGATTCTTCCCTTATCTTCCAGGTCTTTTATATCTGCTAACTGTAGGTGTTGCCTAGTAACAATTACATGTATCTGTGATGGGGATTATCATAGCCCAGTTTCCCAAACTGGGGTTTACAGACATCCTTGGGGGTCTGAGAGAATGTTCTTTTGGGGGAGAGGTGGACAAGGCTAGGAAATATAGCTATAAAACCATGAAAAGTGTTTTGTTTGTTCTGAGTAAGACTTGAGCTAACTCAGCCTTCTTGACTAGCGCATAGAGGGATATTTTTCTACTTCTGTGGCTTTCTCATCCCTGGTGGACATTTCTGTCCAATTCATTGAATCGTCATGGAACTGGTTTGTTAGATGTGACTAGGGGACGGAAAAAATTGGGAGTTTCTGCGCATGTTCTGTGCGATAGAGGGTGACGCTCAGGAGGTTGTGAGTGTCTGTAGTATGTATTTGTGTGCATTATCTGACTTTGAGATGGCCATTGAAAATTGTGTTAAACTGAGCTTATTTTTTTCTTGAGTGCAAAAGAGCTTAAGAAATTCCCAAACTAGCATCAAAATGTTTTCACTTTCCCAGTGAAACATTTCATTGAAATTAAAAGATTGCTTTGAAAGTGATCCAAAAAATAAGATCATTCTGTGAAGTTCAAGGTAAATGCATGAGATTTATGGATGCAGTTGGAGGTTACCCGAAGTATCGAAGGTCTGAATTTTTTTTTTTTTTGAGATGGAGTCTCGCTCTGTCGCCCAGGCTGGAGTGCAGTGGCGCAATCTCGGCTCACTGCAACCTCTGCCTCCCGGGTTCAAGTGATTCTCCTGCCTCCCGAGTAGCTGGGACTACACGCAGCCACCAGCCACCACGCCCGGCAATTTTTTTGTATTTTAAGTAGAGACGGGGTTTCACCGTGTTAGCCAGGATGGTCTCAATCTCCTGACCTCTCGGGATCTGCCTGCCTCGGCCTCCCAAAGTGCGTGAGCCACCGCACTGGGCCGAAGGTCTGATTTTTGTTATCAGTGTAGAATACAAAAATACAGAGTGAACACAGGCCTTACATATTAGCATGGACTATTTTCTGGACTTTGGTTTCTGTTTCTCTCTGTGTGCCTGTCTCCCTCGAATTGCTTTAAAGCTTGTTATTTTAGTCGAAACCAATGACAAGAGGTGTGAGAGTTCTCCTTTCTCTATGTTTGGATTACTTTGTTGTAAATCTGTTGAAATCCATGTGCACAATGGTTTGGTGCACTGCTACTCTGGGCCGCTTGGTGAGGACTGTGAATTCACATTCTCAGCTGGCATTGTCTCTTGGCTTAGTTAATACTTGGTCTTGGACATGTGTGTACAACTATTTTGCCCTAGATGCTGTTAATGTTAAACATATTTAAAAGTATGTCTGGATTCATGGTCTCTTCTGCTTCCCAACAGTTATTAAAAGTGCTTTATTTTTTCTCTTACTTTCCATGTTGTACAACAGGAAGATGTGCAGCCTTTAGTAAGAGTCCTTTTAAAAGGTTCAGTGCTGTTGATCTGGTTCCCAGAGCACGACCCTGGGAACAGGATCTTGACTAACTGTTGTGTGTGCCTCACGTTTTTGGGATCTTAGTTGCCTCACCTTTGCAGATGGGCAAAGTAGTTGCTGGAAGTTCTATTATAAGAACTGTTGGCTAGATATAGTGAACAAGCTTAAATCTCTGTAAGGAAAGGCGTCGTAAGAATTTTGGTGGCTGTTACCCTCCATTATTTCAAGACATCTTTGAAGAGGTTTGGGGCTAGTACAAGAGGAAGCTATTTGTGTCCCTTAAACATTCTGGCTTGGGGGTTTTAGAGGCATGCTGTTCCAAAATTTGGACTCTCCTCTTTCTATTTTTGCCTGATTAGACTTGACAAAAGCCTTCAGAGCAGTGTCATAAAAGTTTGTTATTTGAGTTCAGGTGACACGCATTACCTCTTGTTTGGAACCTCTTAATGCTGCCTAATACCATTAAGTGTCCATGTCCAGCCCAGTTTCCCAAACTTGGGGTCTAAGGACTCCCTGAGGCTGTGGTTTTCCTCTAAAAGGGGTCTATTGGTGCATTACTGGAGTTTGAGAAATAATGTCTAAGCAACAATAGTTAACACTCTGGAACTTGAATCTTATTCTTATCTTTTGGATTTTTGTCATTGATGTTAACTCTTCTCAGAAACTTCAGGAAATAGACCATCAAGGTGCATTTTTTTGGTTGTGATACTCTGGATTTTTACCTCCTTTCACTTAGTTTCTCTAGGTCCCTGACCTAAAGTTTTGTACTAATAAACCTCACAGAAGTGACAGCTTCTTTTTTGGCTCTGTGGCCCTAGTGTTCTATAGGAAGTTAAAGGAGTGAAGTGAAAACTTTATACGCTTGGTTCCTTCCTGGATCTGTATGTATGTTTGTGTGTGTGTGTGTGTAGCTTTGCATTTGTGCCCTTACAGTGAGAGAAGGAAGGGGGTATGGTAGAGAATTCTGAATGGACTTTTCCTCTTGGGATCTGCTGCTGTTGAGCCAAGATGGGACATCCATTTTCTTCCTGGTGGTGAGACCTGTACTGGCACTGGGCATGGAAACCCCGGTTTTCTAGAGAGGCAGAAACCTCAACTCTTCATGTTAGCATGGTCTCTGTATCAGCATCACCTGGGAAGTTGTTAGAAATACAGATTCTCAGGCACCACCCCTGACCTACTGAAGTGGGAACTCTGTGGGTGGGACCAGCAGCTGTGCTTTAGCAAGTTCTTCAGAGGATTCTGATAGATGTAAAAGTTAGAGAGCCACTGCTTTAAGGAAAGGGTCTTTTTATTTTCCCAAGAAGGTTTTTTGTATCTCTTCTGACTGGAGCTTCAGGTTATCACTTTCTGGAACCAAAAATATGATACGAACAATAGCAGCAATGCTAATTGCCAGCCATTTTTATATGGTTTGATGGTTGGGAGCATAGACTTTTTGGAATTCTTCACTACTGTGTGACCTTGGTCAAGTTAGTTTCTCTCTGGGCTTTATTTTTTTTTGAACTGGGTTATGGAGATAACATGGTAGAAACTATTACTATCCCCGTTTTACAATTGAGGAAACGGAGGCACAGCAATGGTCCCAGAGCTTGCTTAGAGTCCCTCTTAAATGGAGTAGGGGGTTTAAATTCGAGCTGTCTGATTGCAGACCCTGGGCTCTTACCCACAGTGCTGTCCCCACTCTTGTCTGCATCTCCATCAGTCAGTCTTAGCTGGTGCCAGCGTGTATCCACCTGGAACCACAACTGCGAGCCAGAGGATGGCCTAGTGAGTTGGAATTAGAGCATCCCCATTGTTGTCGTGTTGCAGCACGAGCAAGATTTTGACTGACACTTCAGTATGGAGCTCAGTGTTTCTTAAACCCAGAGCCTGTGAACCTCCTTTTCAGAATAGGGCTCTAAAAGATAAAAGCTATCCCTCTGGTGGGTCTGTGGCTCTCACTGGAAGTGCTGTGGAAATCTGGGCGGGGAAGAGGAGTTAGTTGGTTGTGGCTGCTACCATTGAGTGGGTGGGGCTGTCTTCAGTGCGCGGATGGGTGGGTTCCATGAAAAATTGTCCTGTGTCCCCTGCACTTTCAGATGTGTCACTGAAACCTTCAACTGTTTTTTTCCCATCTCAGATGGGAATCTGTTTTACGTATGATCTCAAAGTATTTTTTGTATGATTTTAATATACATTTAATACACACTGAGTTTCTGAGGAATATAACTGTTGCGTCTTACTATGTTGGGAGACTATTTTGTTAGTTTGAAACTGTAGCAAGAGTGTATCACAGTTTCAAAAAATTCATGTTATGCTCTTCCTGATCATTTGAAATGGCAATACAGCACACCTGTATCAGTTTGCATTTTGTAGTTACTATGTTGTGCTAATGCTAGGAATAGGAGCAAACATTTAACAATTTCTTTTTCTTTTTTTTTTTTTTTTGAGATGGAGTCTCGCTCTGTTGCCCAGGCTGGAGTGCAGCAGCACGATCTCTCCTCTCTGCAACCTCCACCTCTCGGGTTCAAGCAATTCTCTGCCTTCTAGGGCCCTGCTTCTTCAAAGTCTAATGTGTCCATGAATCATGTGGGAATTTGTTAAGAGGCTGATTGTGACTCTGGGGGAGGAGTGAGATTCTGCCTTTCTAACAGGCTTGCAGGTAATGCCAGTGCTCCAGGGCCATGGACCACACTTTCAGTTGTGAGAGTCCATTGTAGTGTGCCTGAGCGTTTCCTGTTGAAGTGCCTATTTTAAGTTACTTTCCTTTTTAAAAATTTTAGAACGAGAGCATTATATTGATTAAAAAATATTGATATAGGTAAGTTATCTATGAATTTCATTTCACACTAGGGAAATCGATGTTATAAAATGTTTGTTTTCAGGATGGTGTGTGGGGTTTGATGGGTTGAGTGCCCCTACTCTGGGTGACAAAGCAGTGCTAGTTAGAAACACAAATGAAATTACAACTCCAAATTCATGAGGTAGTGACTCAGAATATGCTCATGTTAATTGTTCAGAATAGGATGTCTTTCATTTATTCTTTGAACAAATATTTATTGAACAGCTGCGATGTGTGCTATTTGCCAGGCACTGCATCTGTGCACTCTGTGCTTGGCCTGCGTTTGTCAACAAAATAAAGATCCCCAGTTTTATGCACCTTATCTTCTTGTCGAGGAGACAGCCAATACACATTCTAAGTAAATTATAGTGTGTTTTAGGTGATAAATGCTATGGATTGTTGAAGGATTAGGAATGCTGGGAGGTAAAGGGAATGGGTGGACAGTTCCAGTTTTAAATAGGGTCATCACATTTCTCATTGAGAATGTGAAATTTGAGCAAAAAGTTAAGGTGGTCAGGTCATTGACCATGTGGATACCAGGAAAAAGAGCAGTCTAGGCAGAGGGAACAGACAGTGCAAAATCCCTGATTAGAGAATGCTGGGCTGGTGTGTTTGAGAAATTGCAAGGAGACTAGACAGTGTTAGTGAAGGGAAGTGTGGTTAGGGATGAGACCAGAAAGGTAATGGGGTTAAGATCACACAGGAACTTTTAGGACATCATAGGGCCTTTGCTTGTACTTTGAGTAAAATGGAGCATTTGGAGCAGGAGTGACATGGTCTCACTTGAGTTTTAAAAAGCTCCCTATGGCTGCTGTGGTCAAAGTGGCCTTCAGGGGGCAAGGGGAGAAGCTAGGAGACCAGTTAGGAGACATTGCATTGCGTAAGCATGAGATGATGCAGTGGTGGTAATGAGAAGTGGTCAAATTCTACATGTATTTTTGTGAAATTTAGAATGCAAAGTTTAAACTTCTCAGAACTCAAAGCTCCCAATAATATCTGTGTGGCTCCTAGTTTGAGGAAAATCTGAGGTAGATGACAGATATGTATCCATTGTTCCATGTTCTTTTCCTTCTGGGGATTCTGAGTTTGTGCACACACTCAGGAGTGGGTGTGTCTCTTCATCCCAGCGATTAGCAGTTGGATACAATGAGCAGCTATCTGATCTGGTGTTAGTTTAAAGTAAAAACTGAAGCAATACTAAACTATCTGGTTCTTAAAATCTCACACATTCTTCTTGATTAGGCCAGAATGTATTTTTAGTAAAAACATATGCTGTTACTCAATGTTTCTTATAATACTCTGACGGCAAATCAAAGATAAATATTCAGTTTTCTCATCCTACTTTCCCCCTGAGCTCACTGCTGGTACTCCTACTTTCTTAGACTCAGAGACTACTGAAATTTTGGTAGCACATTTGCTTTAAGTTGACTGAAACCTTTCTGACTTAAAATATGCATTATGTAGTTTTGCTCTATATTTTCACATAATTTATTTGAAAATGTAGGAGCAGTTTGGAGATATCTTCTGATAATGTACACGTAACTCATATTCTGTGCGGATCACGATTTCAGTGACCTATGCTTGGAGGAGACTTGATTACCATAGAGTGAAATTTCCTATAGCGGGGTCTTTTGAAAACCCGCCAAAACAGTGGCCCGCCAAGGCATTAGTAAGAGCACACATAATTAAGTAAAGTTACATGGCATGTCTCCAGGAGACCTCTTTCTCAGCTAGGGTGACCTTTTTAGAGTTTGGTTAGGTGCTTAAATGTCATAAACTATTTTGTTCTAAGCTTCTTGATTAATCATAGCGGTGATTTTGATCAATTGCTGTTTTTCATTTTATGCATTCAGCAGTTACATAGAGGAATAAGTGTATCTTATTCTTGTGCCGTGGCTACCATTACTCCAACTGTTACTAGGATTATTTCTTGGCTTGGAGTGAGGGGAGCAGGAGGTAGCTTCATTTACTCAAATCTCTCCCTCTTATTCTTTCAGGTCTGTATTTTAGGAACTCTGATGTAGTTCCATAACTCAATGATAATCTGGGTAGGGCAAGAAGGTTTTTTTTTTTTTTCTTTTTTAAAGCCTTGGGTTATTTTTGATGTGTTGTGACCTTGGAAAAGTATTCCTGTATCTATCCAGTAGGAGATCTTTTTAAGGAGAGTAGGAGTTGTAGGCACATATTTTTAGACCACATTTTCATGTGGCATTTGTTCTTTGGTGGCATGGTGTCATGGAAATTTCTCTTCCTAGTCTAGGATTTAGAAGATAGTATTTCCGTGCTGGCTTTGTCCAATTGCTGCACTAGCTTAGTGAGGCACACTTTTCTCATCTGTACAACGGGCATGAAGATACATACCTACTGTCTCCCTTGGAATTGGAGTTGGCAAAGATCAAGTGAGCCAAAATACGTGAGAAAACATTGCAGCTCTAAACTTCCCTTCAGTTGTAGGTTGTGATGTTGTGTGGCTGTAATCATAAGGCGTGTGCCTAGGAACCTTTTGTTTCTGTCTTTAATTTACTGTTAGTCTTGGGTAAGTTGGTGAGCCAGCTTTCTTAAACATAAAACAGGTGTGTGCATAGGGGTTGGCCAGGAATGGAGAAACAAACTGTGGGCTCTCTGGAAACAATTCTTTTTTTTTTTTTTTTTTTTTTTTTTTTTTTTTTTTTTTGAGATGGAGTCTCACTCTGTCACCCAGGCTGGAGTGCAGTGGTGTGATCTCGGCTCACTTCAACCTCCGCCTCCCAGGTTCTAGCGATTTTCCTGCCTCAGCCTGCAGAGTAGCTGGGATCACAGGCACCTGCCACCACGCCCAGCTAATTTTTGTTTTTAGTAGAGATGGGGTCTCCCCATTTTGGCCAGGCTGGTCTTGAACTCCTAACCTCAGGTGATCCACATGCCTTGGCCTCCCAAAGTGCTGGGATTACAGGCATGAGCCACCGCGCCCGGCCTGGAAACAATTCTTAAAAAAATCCTATCATTTTATATTTCGGTGAGATTTTTGCTCATTTTTTTCTTTTTCTAACTTATAAGTAAAAAAAAATCTAAACTTACAGGAAAGTTAAAAGAATAGTATAATGGGCCAGGTGGGGTGGCTTACACCTGTAATCCCAGTACTTTGGGAGGCTGAGGCCAGAGGATCACTTGAGGTCAGGAGTTTGAGATCAGCCTGGCCAAAATGGTGAAACCCCATCTCTACTAAAAGTACAAA
Organism: Homo sapiens; assembly: GCF_000001405.40. Classification (NCBI taxonomy): domain Eukaryota; kingdom Metazoa; phylum Chordata; class Mammalia; order Primates; family Hominidae; genus Homo; species Homo sapiens. The sequence goes on from NC_000003.12 coordinate 151,115,907, forward strand.
AATTAGCCGGGCATCGTGGCAGGCGACTGTATGTAATCCCAGCTACTCGGGAGGCTGAGGAAAAGGAGAATGGCTTGAACCCGAGAGGTGGAGGTTGCAGTAAGCCGAGATTGCGCCGCTGCACTCCAGGCTGGGCGACAGAGCGAGACTCCATCTCCAAAAAAAAAAAAAAAAAAAAAAAGAATAGTATAAGGAATACCCATATACTCTGCACCTAGAGTCAACAGTTAACATTTGCTTCATCCCTCTACACATTTATGTGTTTATGTATTGGTGTTTAAACTTCAATTTCTGCCTTCTCTGATTGTTGTCCTTTCAAGAGTTCTCCTCTACAGAGTATAACAAATTTAGCCATTACTTAGGATGCAATATGTGGGATTATGTTGAAGCTTTTACATCCTTCTGCTTAATCAATACCGTCTCTTGAACAGGATGAACTTACTGCTGTGAATGTAAAGCAAGGCTTCAATAATCAGCCAGCCTTCACTGGAGATGAACATGGCTCAGCCAGAAATATTGTAATTAACCCATCAAAGGTAATGTTATTTGTTTGTTTCCTCAAACTCCTGAAAAAGTGTGTATATGTGACACCCTTAATAATCACTGTTGATAAATTAGTGTTGTTTAAGCCACAGTCCATATTCAGATTTCCCCCAAATACCATGTATACCGTCCTGCCCCAGGATCCAATCAGGGATCATACATTGCATTTCCTTGTCACATCTTTTAATTTAGTACAGTACAGCTCTCTGCCTCTCCCTCCTCCCCATTCCTGCCTTTTTTTAAAAAGGCTTTTATGACTGCTATTCTAGAAGAGCCCAGGTCAGTTGTCTGACATACTAGTGCTATATTCTAGATTTTTCTGATTGTTTTCTCATGACGGGATCCAGGTTAGATATTTTTGGTAAGAAGACTACATTGCATCATACCAGGAGACACACAATGCCAGTTTGCCCTACTATTGGCTATAGTTTGATCGCTTGGTCCGGGTGGTGTCTACCATCTCCCTGCATTGGAAAGGTAGTCCTCTCTACCTCTTAGTAAGGTCTACAAGGTGATAATTTGAGAGGATATAAATATCCTATTCTTCAGTAAAAGTTCATCCTGTTATTTTAGCATCAGTTGATGACTCCTGCTGAATGATTTATTTTGCTGGTGATTGCAAAATGCAGGTTTTCTAATTATTCCATACGCATGTTTTACTTGGCATTCTTTTATTAAAAGAAGTGCTTTCTTTTAAACTCAAGTTTTTATTGTCACTTTGGATTCTTTTTTTTTCTTTTAATTTGTCGTGTTATAATCCGTACCTTCATTTTTCTTTTTGATGCTCAAATTGTTTCATGTTCTGCCAGTAGGGGCCCCGCTAACCTGGCTGCTGGTTAAATGTCCTTGTCATCCTTTGAGCACTTCTTTACTTTTGGCACCAAAACATATTCCAAGTTTATCTTGTTCTTTCCCAAACCAGATCTGGATGCTCAGTGCTACTGGAGTGTCATTCTTTCTAGGCTTTCTCAGTGGACAGAGATGGGACACATAGATACATATTTTTTCTACCTACCTATCATTACCTTTTCTAGCCCAGTGCTGCAGGGTATTTCCCCTGCTTTTTCGTATTCCGTTTTTAGGTCTCCCTTCTCCCAAAGTGAGAACCCTGGCTCTTAATAATATCAATATATTTATTCATTTATTCCGCCTTACAACACACATAAAAAAGTTCCAGAATAAAATACTTCATTGCCACTCCAACAACAAAACCACTGAATAAATGTAGAATTTTTCTACAATACTTTTTGCCCTTAGACTAACTCTCATTAAAAGTGTATACTCAGAATGTTGTGCTCAAAAAATTTTTTTAAAATTAAATGTCTTTTTCTGTGTGTTTATCTTATCAATTAGGAATATAGGCTGGCGTGGTGGCTCACACTTGTAATCCCAGCACTTGGGGAGGCCGAGGCAGGAGGATCACCTGAGGTCAGGAGTTCGAGACCAGCCTGGCCAACATGGTGAAACCCTGTCTCTACTAAAAATATAAAAATTAGCTGGGTGTGGTGGTGGGCGCCTGTAATCCCAGCTACTTGGGAGGCTGAGGCAGGAGAATTGCTTGAACCCAGGAGGCGGAGGTTGCAGTGAGCCGAGATTGCGCCGCTGCACTCCAGCCTGGGTGACAAAGCTAGACTCCATCTCAAAAAAAAAAAAAAAAAGGAATGTAAATAGAATTGTTTGTGTTTCTATTTGTAATCTTTTAGGGTTTTTTTTATATATATATTTTGAGTTGGATGTTAAAATACTTTTGTGAAATTAAAAACACACATACAAATGAAAAGAAATCAGACATGCAGGTGAATTTCTATTTCCTTTCCCTTCTCCAGAGAAACATGTTAATGGTTTGTGTATCATTCCAGATCTCTCTTTATGTGCACACAAATATATAAATAATTGACAATTTGTTAAACTATCAACTGAAATATTACTTAAGCAGTGTGAAAGAACATAGAAACATTTTCTGCAGATAGTCCTATTGACTAAACACGTTTTTAGTTTTGTCTTTTTTCAATCTTGGTACAATTTTTTACGTTACAACCGCAATTATGTATATGTAATTTATGATTCTTTTTTAAAATTATGATAAAACATACATAACATTTACCATTTAACCATTTTTAAGTGTACAGTTCTTGGGTATTAAGTACATTTGCATCGTTGTTGCAAACATCAACCATTGTCACTATCCATCTCCAGAACTTTTTTTTTTTTTTTTTGAGACGTATTCCAGGTTTATATTCCTCTCCCCCAAACCAGATCTACAAGGTGGAGTCTTGCTCCGTCGCCCAGGCTGGAGTGCAGTGGTGCAATCTTCGCTCACTGCAACCTCTGCCTTTCAGGTTCAAGCCATTCTTCTGCCTCAGCCTCCCGAGTAGCTGGCTGCACCCGCCTCCACACCTGGCTAATTTTTGTATTTTTGTAGAGACAGGGTTTCACCATGTTGGCCAGGATGGTCTCGGACTCCTCACCTTAAGTAATCTGCCTGCCTTGGCCTCCCAAAGTGCTGGGATTACAGATGTGAGCCACTGTGCCCGGCCTCAGAGCCTTACCATCTTTCTTAATTGGTCTACTTTAAAAAATTGAAACATTATTTTGTATGCACTTTTCCTTATGGCTAAAGTAGTCATATGAATAATAATTCATGGCTAGATAACATTCGATGATGTATGTGCTGTAATTGACTGAAACCTCTATATACAGCAGTTAGTCTGTTGCCAATTTCTCATGGTTATGTATAAAGAAACTGTAGTCATACTTGAAAGTATAGCTTTTGTTCTTTAGGATAAATTCCCTGAATTGTATTACTACTTGGTTAAAGGGTGTATTAATCTACCAGGGCTGCTATAACAAAATACTTCAGACTGGGTGTCTTAAACAACAGAAATTTATTTTCTCACTATCTGAAGGCTGGAAGTCCAAGATAAGGTGTCAGCAGGTCTGGTGTCTCCAGATGCGTCTCTCCTTGGCTTGCAGATGACCACCTTCTCACTGTGTCTTCACATGGTCTTTTCTCCTTGTGTGTTCCTCCGTGGTGTCTCCTCTTATAAAGTCCTACTGGATTAGGGCCCAGTCCTGTCACCTTATTTAACATTAATTACCTCCTTAAGGCCCTATCTCCAAATATAGTCACATTGAGGGTTAAGGCTTGAGGATGAATTTTGAGGATGCAATTTAGTCTCATAACAGAGAGTATGAATGCTTTATGTCTCTTGATATGAACTGCTAAATTGTTCAGTTGTATAAAGTTTTATGTCAGTTTAAATAACTAAGTAAATGGAAATAACATCTATTACACTTCCGCTACCACTCTTTCTGTGAGATTTACTCAAGGACCCAAGACTTCTGAGGGGAATTTGATTTTATAAATATGAAATACATGAATTATAATGTAACTCCTAAATTTTTTCCCCACATTCTTATCAAATGAATTATTTTTGAAAATAGCTTTGGATGGATGGAAACAAATGTTAAATTTAACCTTATTTCTGGCCGTGTGTGGTGGCTCACACCTGTAATCCCAGCACTTTGGGGGGCTGAGGCAGGTGGATTATCTGAAGTCAGGAGTTCGAGACCAGCCTGGCCAACACGGTGAAACCCTGTCTCTACTAAAAAAAAAAAAAAAAAAATTAGCTGGGTGTGGTGGTCGGCACCCATAATCCCAGCTACTCTGAGAGGCTGAGGCAGGAGAATCGCTTGATCCCAGGAGGCAGAGGTTGTAGTGAGCCGAAATCACACCAGTGCATTCTAGCCTGGATAAGAGAGTGAGACTGTCTCAAAAAAAAAAACAAAACGAAAAACCAAAAACAAACAAAAAACACCTTACCTCTTATACCTTGTTTGCGGGAGTACACAACTCTATAAACCTTTTAGAGGGCAATTTGGCAATGCTTATTAAAATTGCAGAATTATACAGTCTGAATTCTGGAAGCCTAGCCTAAAGCTCCAGCTGACTATGTATGAAATAACAAATGTGAAAGGCTACTTATTTTAGTGTGATTCGTAATAGCAACATTTTGCAAAAAATGCTGTAAATGTCCATTAATGGTAGCTTGATTAAATGTATATCCACACAGTACATTGTTATGTGTCTATAAAAATGAAGAAGCTTTCTGTATACAGATAAGGAAGGGTCTCATTTACTAAGTGTGCATAATGAGCTATACATACAAGGAAGAAAAAAATAATAGATGTGTGTTTACTCACCTGTATCCACATAAGGAAACAATGGAAGGACACATAAGAAATGAATCAAATTGTTTACTTGGAGGTAGACATTGGGACTTGGGAATGAGGCGGCTCTTTACTTTTTATTGTATTTATGGATTGATTTCTGAATAATATATATTGCTATTGCAATTAAATGTTATAATCATGTTTTGACCTTTTTTGGAGCCCTAATGTGTATTTTCTAGTCTTTTGCTTTCTTGGGAATTTTGACTTTGTTAACAGTATGCATTTGTTTACAAGGGCTTGTTAGCAGGAATTAATACATAAACATGCAGTCACTGTGTTCCATTGCTATCATTAAGTATATAGGAGAATATAATTATAAAATAGATTGCTCAGACTACTTTTTTCATTTTTAGAGCTCTGCTTGTTATTATTAAATACTTAAAGATAATTGCAAATAAGAGACCTTTTGAATGTATAGCAATCTGCAGCTGTAGGTGTTTTGTGCTCTTGGTGCAAAGACCAAATATCAATTGAGAAATTTAAAATTAAACAATTGGCTGCTACTGGCTGCTTGTTTCCAAACAGCTGGTTTTCCTACATTTTTGCACTTAATTTATTCACTGTTTGGACATCCTGCAAATATTTGCTTTGAAAGAAATCACAAACTGCAATGAAGTTGTTTGTATAAAAAAAAGACGGACTCCTTTTCTACTTATTCTAATTTTTATTATTGTATTACGTTAACACACCAAAACCAGACTTCATGGCATTACATCAATCACAAAGATCAAAGAATGTCAGGCTTTTTACCCTATAGATGAATTTGGCTAATGGCTTACAACTGTGTTTCAACCTATAGACTAATTGTTTATTGACTCATTAACTAAGGTGGTGATTCTTATTTTGCTTCAACAGGGTAAGTATTTTATTTTAGTCATGGTTGCCACTTTCTGCTAACTTCATTGGGGATATTTATCAGAAATTAACTGCATCATTGTATTAAAGAACTCCCAGAGTCTGAAATGTGATGCTTTGATAGGATTCTTGAAAAAATTCCAACAGATTTTCTATAGATTCACTGAATTTATTTTTTATTTTTATTTTTATTTTTGAGATGGAGTCTCACTCTGTCATCCAGGCTGGAGTGCAGTGGTGTGATCTTGGCTCACTGCAACCTCTGGCTCCTGGGTTCAAGTGATTCTCATGCCTCAGCCTCCCGAGTAGGTGGGATTATAAGCGCATGCCAGGCTAATTTTGTATTTTTTTTTTTTAGTAGAGATGCGGTTTCACTGTGTTGGCCAGGCTGGTCTCGAACTCTTGACCTCAGGTGATCCGCCTGCCTTGGCTTCCCAAAGTGCCGTGATTACAGGCGTGAGCCACCATACCCAGTGAGATTCACTAAATTTTTAGATATTACTTTGTTCTTTGCCTTCTTGTTACTTCTTTCCTGTTCCTTTCTTTTTTCCTTGTCCATCTTTAATTTGGTTAATATGAAAATGATACAGTAATTCATAGTAGCTTTCTTTGCCACTTTGCCTCATTCAGAGCAGGTAATACTAGCTTTCTCTTGAAACATTGTAGTTTTGAAATTGGCAGCCCAATAAAAAATGTTGAATACCAAATTTAATTGAACCTTTTGTAATTTTCCATTTAAATAAATTAAATTTCTCTAGACTCTTTGTTTAAAAGCATTGAGTGTAAATACCGAGTTTCCTTTCCAAAAATAAGTGCTATTAAGATGAAACAAGAAAAAGAATGATTACCGAGTGATTACTAGGCTTTCTCCTCTCAGGGAAAGCATTCTCTCCTGACGGGTGCGTAGTATTAGAAAGGAGAAAGAGCAGCTGAAGGATTAAAGCAGAACCCATTCTACTGAAATTTATTCAGGATGTAATTAATTTCATCTTAGCAGAGATTTCCAAAGGCTCTCCTTAACCCCCTCCGCCAAACTACTTGTGAGTAGTGGTATAAAGGTGCTGTGTATCAGAGTTAGTGTAAGGAAATCACATCTCTTGGCTTCAAAGACTTAAATTCCCAATTTATTTTCTGATGGGATGTATGAAGATTTTCAATTGAAACAATAAAGAAAAATACTAATGTACAGTACTAAGCTACTTGCTTATTGTCTTAACTTTCCCTTTTTTTCTCTTCTTTCCACAGATTGGAGCTTATTTTAGCAGCATATTAGCTGAGAAACTGAAGCTTAACACTTTCCAGGACACGGGAAAGAAGAAACCACAAGTTAATGCTAAAGATAATTATTGGCTGGTTACTGCTCGATCCCAGAGTGCAATTCATAGTTGGTTTTCTGACTTAGCAGGAAATAAGCCACTTTCTATTTTGGCAAAAAAGGTATCAAATATTTCTTACATTGTTTTAGTTATGGTCTTATAATCAGCTGTTTGGGATAATATTCAAGTATATATTTGTTTTTCCCAATTCTTTTTGAGACTGCAAGCCTATTGGCAGGTTTGTGGTCCCAGGTGGGTGTTACTCCATGCTGTTTTCCCCTTTATTTTGATTGCATGTAGTGCCTAGGACATCTATAAATCCCTAAACATTCTGCATATCAAGCTGTTTATGTGGATTTTAGGTAGACAAGATTTTAAAATCAAGAACAGGCAAGAAGCCTTCATTTAAAAAAAAATTACATTTCCAGTTTTCTTAGGCCAAGATGTCCAAGATTTGTTAAAAAGATTCTTGCTTTGAGGTTATTTTCTTGTCTTTAAAAGTATCCATCCAAATGCTTCAAGCTGTCTCCTTCCTACCAAGCAAGATAAAGATTGTGATTCTGTGTGTGCTTGTTCTTTGAAAAATTTTTAGAACAAAATGGGCAGGTTTATTCATAGCTTCTAGCTTTTTTTATAGGGGAGGGGATGTGGGAGGTTCTTTTAAAATCTTTGCCTTTGGTCATTTTTCTCAAGTGGGAAATAATACATAGATTCAACAATCTTGTGGTCCAAACAGTATAAGATACCTCTTGAAATTTATATAAGAAACTAGAAACCTCGCTTATAGTCCTGATCTCTGATTTCTTGCACAACTTTGAAATAATCCCAGGGGTCTTTTCTTATCTCTTCTAAGGCCCTTTAGTGTTAGGAGTGCCTGTCTTCTGTTCTTAGTATTAAGTTTTCCTTACCAGCTTGGTACAGGCCCAGTTTATAGGGGAGCTCTTTTGTATATTTGCCTATTTTCCAAAGCAACTCTTTGAAAATAGTGTCTGTAGCTTCCATTGGCTTTATTTTGCCTTAATGTCATAACATTGTATTGCCTTGCATAGATTTCAGTGGTGAAAGGCAACTGAAATCTTGGAAGAGTGTAACAGTCAGCATAACCACCTCTTACCATTCAGTTAGTACCACTGTCTCAATCCAGGCTGAACCATGTATGACTTCTTTTCCAGTGGTGAATATTTACTTTGTGGTCCCACTGTGGCCTATGAATTGTATCTGAAGGCCATATAAGTCATAGGGCATCCTTCAATATTTGATGGCTGTTGACTAACAGTTCATACTTTCCATGTTGCCAGCCTGACATCTTTCCATTTAGGTTTTCTTTTTTCATAAGTTTTTAGAGTGCATATTTTGGATTTGCTACTCTTGAGGAGTTGATGCCCTTGCTCTAGCGAAGTAGTGGTTTCTCCTCTTGTAGGAGGAAGTTGAATCATGGTGCAGTGTGTTAGCCATTATTCTTCTTTCTTTATTGGGAGCTGCCTCTGGCCAAGTCAGGTGTTCCTCAGGTAAGCCCTGATGTTAATTCTTTGCAAACTTGAAGATGGTTTCTTTATAAAATGATTAAATATACCTTGAATTATTCATTTCTTGAGCATTTCAAGAATCCTTCCCCTTCCCTCCTCAGCATATCATCTTCTTGAGATGGTGAAATCTCTTTTAGAATGGGGTAAAGCAATACATTCTCTGCATGTTCTTCATAATAGAAAGTTCAAATACTTCTTTAATTTTTGGTATTCATCTGTGCGATGGCTTAAGGTTGAAAGCCTGGGTTTACTTGCTAAGATCCTGAGTCATCTTTGAAATCTTACCTTGAGTTCATAATAGTTTCCTGTATGGATCATGTTTCAGGACCTGGTTTTCTGCTACTGTGAAGCTTCACAGCGCGCCAAGGCGTTTATCCACAGAGAGGCTTGTAAAGGACCTTTTAACTCAATCACAATTGTAGATAGATTTGGAAAAGGAGACTTCTGGCATCTAGGGATATTCTTCCAGGTCTTGAGCAGTTCATTAACTCTCACCTGTTCCCTTCAGGTGACTTTGATTACTGTGGTCTGTGAAATTTTCTTTTGCCTTTACCCTTGCTTAGCAAACAGAGGATGCAGTGATAACGTGCATCCAAGGAGAAAGGTGATAGGACACCCTTTTGTGGATTGAAAGCCAGCACATGCTAGGTGTCTTAATTTTCTCTGTACTTAGATGCGGCTGTAGCTTGATTTAGAACCAGACAACTGCCCTGTGATTGCCAAGTTTTAGCTATCATTTAAAATCAGATGGATTCTTTACTGAATAACATGTAATGCAACAAGGTGAGGAAGTCAATACTTTAGTCAATATAAACGTATTTTTCTTTTTGAGTGGGCCCAACTGTAGATTTGACAAAATTATTAATATGTGTCTGGTCGGTCTGCTTTCTTAATTGAGTAACTTCTTTCACATATGTTCTTCTTAATTCCGAAGTCTTGATTTGCATCAGCCAGTTCTCATGGGGTTCTGCTAGTACGGAGACAGTGAGGTAGAGGTTTGCATTGTGCTGTTAATGTAAGATCTGTGCTGAGTTTTGTTTGCTGTCTCATCTAAACATTTCACAAATTCAGATGTTTTATTTTTTCCCCTCTGCCAATTGTAGTTCAAAGGAAATCCTTTAGGCATCTGTGAAAGATAACTACTAGTGGTGACTGTGTTGGAGATGCTAACTTGCGCTTGTTTATGTTTTAGGCCTTGACCTGTATAACCTTTTGGCATGTCTGAATGAGAGACAGTCTCACCTTGACAATGAAAATTTAACTCACTGACACCACACTGTACATTCTAGTGAAAAGCAGCAACTCGGGTCTTGAACTGAATATTGAACTCTGTGCTTTTCTTGTCCCTGACTTAAATGATGGCCAGTAAACCGAGAGCCTTGTGCTCCATGAGAGATGTGCCTTGTAAGCCTGATTTTCAGGAAATGTTCCTGTTAAGTTGTATCTTTTTTGTCTAAAAGAGATAAAATTTAGTATCTGTCTGCAGAGAGGAAGCCTTCTAGCGTTGGCCTATATGACTTTTATCTCCTGTTTAGTTGTGTTGTGTGCAGTGTAATCGCCTCTGTCATGGGGTCTGTGTTCTGAAGTCAGCACCCAAGGCAGGAACTGTACATGACCTAAAGTCTCTTCAATTGCCCATAAAATATGTATGTGGATATACTGCATCCTCTTTTTTTTTTTTTTTTTTGAGACATGATCTTGCTGTATTGCCCAGACTGGAGTGCAGTGGCATGATCTTGGCTCACTGCAACCTCCACCTCCCAGGCTCAAGCAATTCTCCCACCTCAGCCTCCTGAGTAGCTAGGGCCACAGGTGTGTGCCACCACACTCACCTGATTTTTATATTTTTAGTAAGGTTTTGCCATGCTGCCCAGGCTGGTCTCAAACTCCTAGGCTCAAGTGATCCACCTGCTTCTGCTTCCCAAAGTGCTGGTATTAATAGTCCTGAGCTGCCGTGCAGGGCCTATATGCTGCATCTTACTGTGCAACCCAGGCAGCTTTTCCTTCAGCATTGAAAAGCTTTATGGTTCTTTGGCAAGACCAGGTGAAATAGTTTGCTTGTTTTTAAGGGCCACATACTAAAAGAATGAGCTCTTAAAAAGAATTATTCTAGGATCACACTTTGTACCAAGTGTGTGAATGGTCAAATTTGTGACATGTCAGTGCACAGATATCCACTGTATGAGTGAGGATTTGGTTAAGAGAAAAATGCCATGCTATATCAATCAGTTAGCTGGTTTGAAGCCTTGATTTTCACAAAATCAAGTAAGAGTTTGGGACAGAGAGACCAGGGCTCTTGGTATTTATAGTAGTGATGTTCAGGATCCTCTAAGAAAGGGTCACATCCATGGCCTGAAAGCACTTTGGTTGGCATGGAGAAATCCTTGGAACTGACAACAAAATAATCATTGTAATTTTGATTCATGTAATTGTTTTGCTTTATCCTTATAACTACCCTGTGAGGTGGACAGGGTTGATGTTAATAACACAGCTCATAAATGAGGATCCCAGGAATGAAGGGCTTAGCCAAACAGGTTTCATTCAGGAGTGGAGTACAGAGGGGGTCATGGCTGGCGTGGGGCATGTCCTTGGCCCTCAGTCTCATTGCTCTCATCCTGCTGCATCGTGGCTAATATAGTCTTTGTTCACTGTTTTTCTTCCTTTATATTCATAAACTTGAATAGATGATATAGATGAATGGGCTATTCTTAGGATATTTATGAGGGATACTAGAAGAATGAATTAACTCTTTCAAACCATTCAGTGTACATTGGGATACTAATTTGCTAAATAGTACCTTTGTGGTCTGGAAGACATAATTAACTGCCTCAAGTGCCTAATTTCAACCAGTAAATTAATTACCTAGCTATTTCTGGCTCAGTGTTTATTAGGCAGATTCACTGATCCATCATTGTAGTCTCTCTTTTAAATTTTGTACTAATGTCACTTTTAGAAGCTTTCTGGAAATTGTTACTCTTATGAAATTTTAATCAGAAAGCTTTGTACACACACAAAAAAAGGTCCTGGATAAAATATAGAGTAGGGACAATTTTCACTTGGTCTGTCCCTTCCAATTTTGAGATAAATTCTTTGGAGGACTGTCATGAAATTATTTTTCCTTGCTCTGTTGATAAGATGAGTAGCTCTCAGCATCTGAGAATTTGAAAATCATTTATTTAAAAAAAATGGAAAGCACAACTAGTGAAAGTTTTATATTGTGCTACACCTAGTTTTGATTATTTTTTTCTTAATGAAAATTGGCTTAAAATGTTCCTTTAAAAAAACAAAAACTACATGCACTATTTGAAAATCCATCAAGGATATACTTTCTTAGGGCCAGCAGGTAACTTACAGACTCTTTCTTTTGCTTCCCCTTTATTTAGGTTTATCTAGTGATGAACACAGTACGTGATTATTATAAATATACTATGTTGTTTCTTTTTAGGTTCCTATCCTTAGTAAAAAAGAGGATGTTTTTGCATATTTAGCTAAATATTCTGTGCCAATGGTTCGAGCAACGTGGCTGATCAAGATGACTTGTGCCTATTATTCTGCTATATCTGAAGCTAAAATTAAGAAACGTCAGGCTCCTGATCCGAATTTGGGTAAGTGAGAGAATACAATACACCTTACATTTCATTATTGATTTTGCAAGTAATTGTTGCCTGTACCCTCTGGATACAGCCCAGCATGGTGAGTGTTGAGAAGGTCCGTGGTGAGACTGATTTGCTCGGGTATGGATAGGGCAGCTGTTCCTAGTTCACTCAGTCTCAGAATCCTGACTCCATTAGCAAGGGCTGTTGATCTTACTGCCAAAATATATCCTGAATCTGAACACTTTTCACCACCACAGCTGTTGAAATGCTGGTTCAAGCCACCGACATCTCTTAACTGGTTGGAGTCACAGCCTTCTAGCAGCTTTCTCTGCTGTTACTTTTGCTCCTTACATTGTATTCTCTGCATAACTACTATACTAATCTCCAAACCTAAATGGTATATTGTGTTTCTATTTATAAATTTGCAGCAATTTTTTATTACAGTGGGAATACAGATCCAGATTCTTTACTGTGGCCAGTGAAGTCATCGCTGATCTGCCCCCACCCCCGGCTCCCCCCCTTCCTGTGATGTTCCAGCCACAGTGCCTTCCTTCTATCTCCCTAATATGCTGAGCAGAGCTCCTTCCCTTTTCAGGGCTTCTGTGTTTCTTGTTTGTTGTACTTGGTTGGTCTTCTCTGGAATATTTGCATGCTTCTGTCTCTTCATTGCAGCTTTGGCTCAAATGTCATTTCTGCAGGAGGCTTTCTCTGGCCACCTACCTAAATTGCATTCCCTCTCTTTCTCTCTTCTCCCTCTACTTCTGGTTATGTTCTCACGTTATTATTTTATTCAATGTCCATCTCAATATCTGAAATTATGTTTAAAATATTTGTATCTGTCACTCTGTGCCCCACCTCACATACACTAAAATGTAAGGCCCATAAGGGCAGGAATGTTGGTCTTATTCTCACCAAGTCCCCAGTGTCCAGAGTTATGCTGGCCATGGTCAGTATTTTGAGTCAGAGTCCCCACTATGTTGGTTTCTAGACTGTGACTTCTTGAGGTGGTGCTAAAGCATGCTTTGTAGAAGATGTGATGCTAAACCAGAAATGTACATAAAGAGTTATATATAAATATGACCATTTAGAGATTGGGTTTATAAATAATTCCTTATGAAATGAAAACAGCTTATGGTTTTGTAAGGGAGAGTCCAATCACAAATCTCTGAGGAGGAGGGACAGAAAGTACAGACGTCTTCAGATGCCAGGTGGTGCCCTGGATAAATGAGTTGGGGTATAAAGTGGTGGGGAGTGGTGTGATTGGAGCACACTCTAAAAAGCATGAACACTTAAAATTAAAAACAAAAACATGGTCTGAATTCTGTGGCTGCCATCTTTGAGTTCAGCATCATCCTATACGTGTTAAAAGAAATAAGCAAAAAGAAACTGTATTTTAGAGAAGAAATGCCCAGGAAAAAATACTAGAAGGTAGTAATCCACAAGTTAACAGTGATGGCCTCTTAGTGTTGTTTTCACGGTGGTCTTCTATTATCTTTATATTTCTCTGAGTTTATTCCCCCCATCAGCATTTTATTTTATTTGAGGGAATACAAAAGAAGTGCCCCTTTTTATTACTAAAGTAATACATTTTCATTACAAAATTTTCAAATAGTGCTGAAGTAGATACAACATGATGTTCAGGTTTCTCTTCTCCCTTCTCCTCTGTTATCCTTTTTGAAGTTTCATTCATTCAGCAAAGTTCAGCCTTCACACACACATATTTCTTCATATATCTACATTTGTGTGTGTGTGTGTGTGTGTGTGTGTGTGTGTGTATCTCCACTGGATTAACTTATTTATTTATTTATTTTTAGAGGTGGGGGGTCTCAGTCACCCATGTTGGAGTGCAGTGGCATGATCATAACTCACTGCTTCCTCAAACTCCTGGGCTGAAGTGATCTTCCTGCCTCAGCCTCTCAAGTTGTTGGGACTATAGGCGTGTGTCACCATGCCTGGCTAATTCTTTAATGTTTTGTAGAGACAGGGTCTCACTGTGTTGCCCAGGCTTTTTTGGAATGCCTGGGCTCAAGTGATCCTCTCACCTGCACCACCCAGAGTACTGGGATTACAGGGTGAGCCACTGCCCAACCAGTCTCCATTGGATTTATTAATACTTCTCCCCAGGACCTGGATATCCAATTGCTTACTAGCCACCTTCACTTTGATGACATCTGAAGTGTCTGAATCGGCATCTGAACCATAATGTATATCAAATCAAGGTCTTGATTTCTTGTCATCCCTTAACTGTTTCTTCCTGACATTTCTTCTTAGTAAATGTTATGTGTAGTTATTGGATGGGTAAGGGTAAGAGCCAAATTGTCATTCCTGGTATTTATCTTTCTCTCAAAATCCTACATTCAGTCCGTCAACAATCTTGTCATCTTTACTTTCAAAATAAAACCAGAATCTGAAAACTTGGTCTTCTGTGTCCCTGCTGTTACTCTGGCCAAACCACCACCACCTTTGCCTGTCTATGGCAGGGTTTTAGCCAATCTTCTTGTTTTTGTTTTTCTTCCTCTAATGTCAGCTTTCCACTTTGTAGCCAGAATGATCCTGTTAGGGCAGAAATTACGCCACCCTTATGCCCAGAATTCTTGCATGGCCCCTTGTCCCACTCAGATTGTGTAACTCAGCGACGCCAGCGACCTGCCTGCACATTCCAAACTCAGAGCTCTGCTGACCTGTGGGCGCGGCTCTTCCTTCACCTGTGGGTGCACATGGGCCTGCTCCCTTGCTCCACTGTGGTCTCTGCCCAGACGCGCTTCCTAAGAAAAGCCTTCTCCAACCACTGCTGCCAAAATATCTCCCTGTTACTGTCTTCTTATTCTGCTTTATTTTTCTTCATTGTTCTTAACACCATCTGATGTTATATTTTTTATTAATTTTTGATCATCTGTCTACATCCACTCCCAAGTACAACACAGGCTCCATGAAGGACTTCGCTAGATTTGTTCAGTGCTGAGTCTCTGAAGACAGTACTTGGCATACACAAGGTGGTCAGTAATCTTTAAAATAAATAAATGAATAATTAGGCCTGAAACATTTATGTTTGTGTGTGTGTGTGATGTGATTACATATTTCTGCATCTGTGTATGTATGTATTTAAAAAAATTTCTCCCAATTGATAATCCTTGAAACTTTCATTATCACCAGCTATATCGGAGAGACTACTCCATTCCTTATGTTCTCTTAATATATATTTTTTTGGTAACATGTTCTTGTCAGTGTTTTTCCTGATGTTCAATTTAATCTGACTTCGACTGCTACAAAAATGCAAAAAGGAAGTGCAGGAATGATTTTTACAACTGAAACTTAAAACGATTTTAGAGCAAATAAGAGTTCAAGCCAGGCATGGTGGCTCATGCCTATAATCCCACCACTTTGGGAGAACAGGGCAGGAAGATCGCTTGAGCCCAGAAGTTTAAGACCAATCTAGGCAACATAGTGAGACTTTGTCTCTCCAACCCTCCCCACCAAAAAAATTAGTAAGGTGTGGTGGTGCACACCTGTATTCCCAGCTACTCAGGAGGCTGAGGTGAGGGGATAGCTTGAGTCTAGGAAGTTGAGGCTGCAGTGAGCTGGGATTGAGCCACTGCACTCCAGCCTGGGCAACAGAGAGAGACCCTCTCCCTCAAAAAACAAACAAACAAACAAAAACAAAAAACAGTTTGATAGATCTTGATAATTTGGAAAGGTTATGTAATTTCTGGGAAATCCCAGATATGAGTGTTTCACCAGGACCACATGATTTCCCCTACTAAATGGAGAAATGGAGGGAAGTATAGCTCCAGTTTCTACTTAAGAACGTTATGGACTTGTTGGATTCATTAGTTTTACCATTAATTTCCTTATCACTATGGCTGGTTGGACTTTGGAGGGTTATTTTTCTCCCCACCAAAAAGTTAAAACTTTTATTTTTTGCATACCCATAATGGATGGATTATTAGGTTTAGTCACTAGCTGTATTTTTTCTTCCTCTGTAAGCCAGATAACATACGATTCTGTTTTTTGATCCAGTTGATTTACAGTATATTGCAGTTCATGGGTTTTTATGATTATTAATGTATATTTAAAATTGTGAATATTAACTCCATGAAGATCAAGTGCCTATAATAATATTTCTTATGTTAGAGTATCCAGGCTTTGAACTAAGACAGGCCAAAGGCTAAAAAGAGAAATATTTTTAAAATGTATGAATTTCAGGAGTTTACCCCTAAGTTCCCAGGTCTACCATCTCAGAGGGAGCTTTGGGCTTTACTTTTATCAGTGCTGCCACTAAGAGACAAGGTGATTTAATGCAAAGTCCTTAGCTTCTCCAGACATCAGTCTTTTCAACCTTGATTCAATCCAGTGTCTGTGTTGCCTTTGTCATGTTTTTTTAGTTGTCTTTAATCTAGAACAGTTCATTAGCCATTTTCTTTTGACCTTGATATTTTTGAAGGAGGCACACCAGTTATTTTGTAGACTGTCCATTGATTTTTCCTTTCTCCAGTTTCTCATTAATAGATTTAAGTTACATACCTTTGCTTGGAATAGCCTGGAGGTGATGCTGTGAATGTATCAGTGTATCATATCCCAATACTGATGGTGGTAACTTTGATGATTTGGGTAAGGTGGTGTCTATCGGATTTTTCTCCTTCAAAGTTACTATTCTACCCTTTGTAATTAGTAATTTACCTGTGTAAATATACAGTTCCTTTCTCTATATTCTTATATGTATTTTAATTGAAAATGAAGGATTCTGTTTATACTATATGAAAAGAGCATGTTTTCCAAATATCTAATCTTGTTTTACTATCACTTTGTTACACCTGATACCTCTGACATTCGCCTTTGTCGTCAGCAGCTTTTTCAACTTTTAAAAGCAAATTATACAGTATATTTGAAAGCATTTGGCTGTGTAGACATAGCCATAATGTAATGTAGCAAGTTTCACACTCCTAGCAAGGGATACAGCCAAGGGAGTACACACATATATATGTGTTGAATTGGATTAAATCACATACACTTCAGAAGATTAACTTCTAGTAATAGGTTCTGTGTTCTGGCATTGATAGCAAAAAGAATCATTCAGCACGTTTGGGAAAAGATTGACTATCAAGTGTCATCCTTTTCTGGCATTGGTTTTATGACTTCCGTTGTCTTGATGATTGTTATTAGGATTTGTAAAGTGTTTTCGGTAGAAATGACTTTTATTCCTTTGTAATAGAAACGTGTTTTATTTTCAGTTCCTACTTTCAGCATTGGAGCAGAGCTATAAAGCACTGCTGTTTGATTTTATTGAAGGGAACTTTTCCCAAAGTTAAGTGGGCTCACAGCAACAAGGAGCAACACAGAGATCCTTACTGTCGTTATGCAGAGAGTTACAGATCTCAAATGTAGATTAAATGGGTTGCTGCCCTGGGGAGCTTGCAGTCAGCAAAGATGTACCCAGTACACTGTATACACAAAAGTGAGAGGAGTGAGAAGCGCCTTGGGTTTCTGAGTGAGGTCTCATGTGTAACTTCAAAGTGGGTAATGAAATATTTGACTTGGACAAATCTGAGTATCAGGACAGAGATTTTAAATAGAGGGGAATTAGGGAAGCCTGAAAGAAGAGTTTGTAATTCTTAGTCCTTGTGAGACCTGAAAAAAAAAAAAGGTTTAGGTGGACACGATGTTTAGAAAATGTCATGAAATAGTTGATGTTGCTACTTGAGGGAGAGTACGCCAGAAATAATGCATGTTCGGTTTCAGATATTTTTAGAGTTGAATTAAGTTTCATTTTTAAGAGAACAAGATTGTTCAGCTGCCTTAAATATTTTGAGCTCACCAGAGAAAATTATTTAAAACAGGCTAGCTAATACTTAAAAATGAAAAAGTAAAACTCACATTGAGTTATGCAATTGAAGTCTTTGAACAGATTAGGAAATATGACTTTATAGTAAATAACGGAATTTTGTACATTTATTTATAGGAATTTTCCCCATGAGGAGTCTTATTGTTGCTGAATCAACTAATAATAACTACAGCATTTATTGCTGTTATTGCTGTCACTGTTAACAGCATTTCTTGAGCACTTATGGAATCCCCGGTATTGTGATAAGCAGGGATACGGTGCTAACTGCATTTCAAGGTTGAATCAGCTCCCGATGTGTGCTGGGTAATGATCTAGGTTGTTTGGAGAAGCTTGTCAGCCATGGGAATGCCCCATCCCTTGCTGTTGTGGGGTTGTTTTTTTTTTTTTTTTGGCCTGTTTGAAAATGGTCAGTCCCTCACCAGGTCTATTGGCTCTCTGCCACGGTTCTTCTGTTGTGCAGTGATACAGTGTTCCCCATTTCATTAGTAAATGTTTGCTGGGTTCTATGTATATTTTGTCCGTTTTATGACTTATTATTCAGATAGCCTGTGAAAGAGATACGTTATTCTCATTTCGTGGATGAGGATGGTGATGTGCAGGTGGTGCACAGAACCCCTCAGCGTAAGTGTCCAAACTTGGCTCCAGAGCCTGTGCTGGACACCACTGGTCAGTGAGGACAAGAGTGTGACAGTGTAATCACTGCCCTCTAGGTATTTGCAGTATGAGTAGGGGACATGCATCCAAACAATCAAATATTAGAGAAGGAAGACTTCATAGTGACAGGAAGAAAATACAGAGGAAGTCTTAAGGAATAAGCCACTGAGGGAACTTGGGACATCCAGGAGATTCACAGAGGAAGTGACTTAGGTGTATACTTTTGCAAGAAGAGACGCTTCCTAGGAGGACACAGCTGGAGTGGGCTGTTGTTCAGGGAAGGGCATTTCTGACAGAAGGATGAAGTCTGCAGAGAAATACGTTATCAAATAGTTTGACTTGTTGCACCTCCAGGATTTAACTTCAGCTTGAGCATCAGTTACCAGTGGGGAGGTGCTGAAAGCCTGTGTGAAGGTTTGTTTGCCAGAGTGAGATATGTGAGTTCCCTCTGGTGCATGATGAAAAGCCATGGAAGGGTTTATTATTACTATTATTGTTATGACTCTTTCCCTCAGTTTCTTGTCTGTAAAAAAATAAGGATAATTGACAGTACTTATTTATTTATTTATTTTTATTTGAGATGGAGTCTCCTCTGTTGCTCAGGCTGGAGTGCATTGGTGTGATCTCGGCTCACGCCAACCTCCGCTCTCAGGTTCAAGCAATTCTCCCACCTCAGCCTCCCAAGTAGCTGGGATTACAGGCACCTGCCATCGTGCTCCTCTAATTTTTGTAGAGACGAGGTTTCACCATGTTGGCCAGGTTGGTCTTGAACTCCTGACCTCAGGTGATCTGCCCACCTTGGCCTCCCAAAGGGCTGGGATTACAGGCGTGAGCTACCACACCTGGCCTGATAGTACTTTTTAAGAATGAAATGAATCGATACCTTTAAAGTGTTTAGAACAGTGACTGGCATACAGTAAATGTAGACCATTGATAATATGCGACAACTGCTACTTAGAACTGCTGTTACCAGCCAGTATTTATTGATTATCCTGTGTTACTCCGTTGGGAACTTTGCAGACTTTATCTGTAACCTTGCAATGTAGGTTTCATTATTCCATTTTGTGTATGAGGGACCTGAGTCTCAGAGAAGTTAAGTAACTTGCTGGCCTAGATGGAGTTGGATCCCTGCCCAGGCACCTGCCACTAGAGTGCCTGCTCCTCACTCCTCGCTGTGAGGTGATAGCTGCTGGTGGCCTGTGTGTGGTGTGGGTCTGGGCCACTGGAGGCAACAAGCATCTCTAGGTGGAAAGATGCTGGCAGGAAGCAGGCTGCGGGACTGGTGGCTCTGAGCAGCATCTGAGGAGTCAGAACTCTTGTTCTCATGGGTGCTATGGGGAACAGGAGGAGCAAAGCAAAGTCCAGGGTGCCATGGCAACTAGAGAAAGAAATATGAAACTGCTTGCAAGATGAGCAGCCTTAATTCTGCCTAGGAATTTTTGGGTATTCAATATGGTGAAAAGTGACAAGACATATCATGCGCATGAGGTCTTTTTTGGGGGAACAGATAGATTCAAAGAAGCTTAAAATGCTTCGTGGTTAAACTGCCTGGGGCACTGCTCTGTTTACCCCTAGTCATTTCCTCTGTGCCACCTGAGGTTTTGTGGGGATTTGAGTCAGATGAGAGACTTTTCTTGGTTGACTATACTCTTGTAACCACTATCCTTATCGCTCCCAAAATACAAAGAATAAACAGCCACCCTTCTTTCACAGTGGGTAATTAATTTGTGACATATTCACTGAGCCATTTGGACTGCAAAAATAAGTCCTGCTAAACTCATAATTGACAGTCTGGTTTCTTATCTAAGCCTACCAGCTTACTTGCAGTTTGGGTCTGTGAAGACATTGCATACTAACTTTTTTGATTCCAGGGACAAGCGTTTAGTTTTGTCAAGATTGCCTCCACATTTTCACAGTGTTCCTTCTATCTCATTTGTCATAAAGGCGATATCTGCCTTGTTTATGCTGAAAGTAATCCTGAAGATTGGACAGAAGTGCTTGTATAAGCTTAGTTTAAATTCACACTTTGCTTAGGCATGAAAAATAGGTTTTAACCGGTGAGGTAACTCTGGCTATCTGGTAAAAACCATTCTCCAATAGAAGGAATGGGGCTATTGGGGGTGAGACTTTGGTACCTGCAGCTATTCCATTCCTCAATAATCTTTTACCTAAAAGTTTTAACATCTGTTGATGAACTGAGCCTGGAATAGTTATTTCTTTGGGAATGGCAAGATGTAGGCATTCTTCAGTAAATGAGGGCTTTCTCTCATGTGATAAATTACAGTTCTTTCTAAAAAAGGCAGAATAAATGCTAAATTCTTTTCCTTTGATTTCAATTTTGGGAGTAGAAATTGTTGCATCTCCACAGTGGTGAAAAATGTTTCTCTATTTTTTTATTTATTAAAAAAGTTTAGGCTGTGTGCGGTGGCTCACACCTGTAATTCCAGCACTTTGGGAGGCTAAGGTGGGTGGATCACGAGGTCAGGAGATCAAGACCATCCTGGCCAACATGGTGAAACCCCATCTCTACTAAAAATACAAAAATTAACTGGGCATGGCGGCATGTGCCTGTAATCCCAGCTACTCAGGAGGCTGAGGCAGGAGAATCGCTTGAACCTGGGAGGCGGAGGTTGTAGTGAGCTGAGATCGCACCACTGCACTCCAGCCTGGTAACAGAGGTAGACTCCGTCTCAAAAAAAAAAAGAAAAAAAAAAAAAAGAACGAAAAAAAGTTTATTTTTGATCATTGTTATGGGCTCATGAAGTTTTATTTATTCTGTATTTTACAACCAAGTACACTTCTGTTAAATTTCGTGTTAAAATTGCCCCAAAATTGGCCAGAGACCCTTCTAGCTCCTTGTAAACTTTTGACATGACACCATTTGTCATGGGACATCTCCTTGCTTTCTGGCACAGAAAGATGTCCCAGGCGCTTGTAATTTTCCTGCCTCAGATCTCCAAAGAGCCTTTTGTCTAAGGAACTCTGCTTCTTTCTAGTGGGGAATGGTATTTAGAAAGCAAGATCTGGGTGCTAAAGGTGCTCATTGCTACTGGGATGTTGTGTCTAGGCCCCATCAGTGGGTAAATGGATGGAGACACACATATCTGCATGTGTGTGCATGTATGTGGGGGTTTTCCTATTTCCAGCTTATCTTTAGCATTTCCTATTTAACAAGAAAGAGTTTTTAGTAATTTCTTCAATTTTATGTTTATTTCATTTCTATTACATGAACAATCAAATGATTTCTAGTAAATGAACATGGTTACTTACCTGCTTCATCTTGCTACAAACATATTGGCTTGAGAATTATAATCTGATACATTAAAAGTATGTGAAATTTTTTTTTTTTAAGCTTTACACTGTGTTTCACTTAAAATGATTCTCTCTGCAGTAAGGTACACTGTTTCAGTTTGTTTTCCATTTTAGGGTTTGATTTTTTTCCCTTATGAACTAATTTTATATTTTGAATATGTAATACCTTGACATATTCAAGAGTCAAAACTATATAAAGATGTGCAGAAGTTTTGCTTCTATCTCCATCTTTTCACACAATTCCCTTTACCCCATCTTCAGATGTAACCATTTCTTACTAGTTTTTAATCTTCCAGTTTTTATTTTTGCAAAAAATATGCAAATACTTATATCTTCTTATTTCTTCTTTCTCCTTACATAGTAATTAGCATACTATATATACTGTTGGATACCTTGCCTTTTTTTTTAACTTAACAATATCCTAGTGATTACTTGATGTTCTCTGTTCCTTTTTGTGGCCTCTTAGTCCTTCATTGTGTGGATGTACCACAGTTTGGCCAGTCCCTTGTTTTTATTTCAAAAATGTTAAAAAAACTTTTTAGATTTACAGAGAAATTGAGAAGATAGTACAGAGTTCCCATGCATTCTCTCACCCTTGCAAACAGTTTCTCCCATTATTAACATTTTGCATTAATATGATACATTTATTATAATTAATGAACCAATATTGATTATTATAAAAGTCAGTCCATACTTTGGATTTCCTTAGTTTTAACCTAATGACCCTTTTCCATTTCAGGATCTTATTCAGGATATTATATTACATTTAGTTCTCATATCTCCCTAGGCTTCTCTTGGCTGTGACATTTTCTCAGTTTCAGTGATGTTTGACAGTTTTGAGGAGTACTAGTCAGGTATATTGTAGGGTTATCTTCTGTTGGAATTTGTCTGATATTTTTCTTATGGTTAGACCAGGGTTACAGAAGTCAAATGTCATTCTCATCATGTTACATCAAGGGTACATGCTATCACCATGACTTATGACTATTGATGTTAACCTTGATCACCTGGCTGAGGTAGCACTTACCAGGTTTTACAGTGTAAAGTTATTTCCCTCCCATCCCTTTCCACACTTTACTCTTTGGAAGGAAGTAATATGGACAGTCCACACTTAAGAAGTGGGGAGTTAACCATCCCCCTCCTTGAGGGCAGAGTATCTACTTATTTAAAATTCTTCTGCATGGGTGATTTGTCTCTTATCTACCTACCTACCTACCTACCTGCCTACCTACCTACTATTCTTTCATTCATTAATGTATGTATGTATTCAAGCATTTCTATCAGTATTGATTCATAGATGTTTACTTCATCTTTTGGTTTATAATACTCTATTTTGTTCCACCTTTGTCCATTGAGAGCTCTTTCAGCTGTGTCCTGTGTCCATTTGACATACCCATCTTAGTTTGCTTTTGTTTTTGTCTTTCTAAGTACTTTCTTCTTTTCTGGCACTAGAAGGTGCATTCCATGTTCATTGTGTATATTTTCTGTTCCAATCCTATAATGAGCCATTTCTCCAAGGAGCCCTGGTTGTCTTTAAAGGAGAGTGGTATTAGAAACCAAGAGTTGAGCACAAAGAGTGCTTATTGCTACTTGGGGTGTCACTGCTTCTAGGCCCTCTCAGTTGACAGATTAAGGAGATGCATGTGTGTGGACTAACTCATGTATGTACATATATTTATAAATATTTTTATATGTGATTGTGTTATCTCTTGAGCTAAACATGAATTCTTATTGATGCCTGGTAAGTGCATTTTTCCATTTTGTTAGATTCTGCCAAGTTTTCCTTCATAGTATTAACATGGACTAGACCTACTCAAGTTGTGAGAGGAGAATATTGGCGGGACAGGCATAGGAGAAATATGTAAGCAAGGTCTTGATGGGAGGTGAAAGAGAGCTGAATGTTCATCATCTTCCATGTAGGAAGCCAGTGGGTAATGCTTACAATCAGGAAGTAGGACTGTAAGCATGTTATTTAGAGGTAGAGGTAAATACAACAGATGAAAGAGTTGAAAATAATTTGCTTTTGGAGAATAATTGAGGAGTTTATGGACAATAGGCTGTTGTGTTCACAATAAATCATATAGAACTATTGGACTCTTTAAGACATGCACAAGAGGAGCTTTCATATAAACAAAAGTTAGCTAAGCCTAATCGCAGTCCCAAATTATTACTGCCTATTTTTTGTTGTCATTGGTACTTTTCCTGGAAGATATCTTGCTGTAAGAATGTTTTATGAAAAAGATTTGGAGGAAGTTTAAGGAATGCCATCTTACCCAGTAGCATTACAATTTAGTTATTCTTAGATAAATTGCAAGAGCTTACTTTTCTCTAAGCTAACTACTTGCTTTTTGGGACCTTAACTTAAATGAAGTAGATGTTCTTTGTAAAAATTGGAAGACCTCTAATATTTTTCCAGGTATGTAGCTTTTTAGTTAATTGAATATGCAAATTTTCCCTATTTACAGACCCTTTATTAACGTAAAATAACATAAAATTTACCATTGTAACCAACAATAAGTGTATGGTACAGCAGTATTAACTCAATGCACATTGTTGTACAACTGATTTGTAGAACTTTTTTCTCTTGCAAAACTGAAACTGCCCATTGAACAACTCCCCTTTCTCCCCCTCCACCAGCCTCTGGCTACTGCCATCATACTTTGCTGATTTACAGAAACTTTAAAAAGTTCTAATCAAGTTTAATATGCTGCACTGTAACTCTATGTGCCCGATTGTTGCCCTGTGGAAACATATTTCAGCTTTTCCAAAGTAAAAATATTATACCCTCTTCCAAGTTAGAATGCTGGTGTGTGGTTGTGGTGGTTGTATATTTATGTTTAATTAATTTTTTGGTGAAATCAAAGAAAATGTATGCCCATGATAGTTTTTGAATTTATTTATTTATTATTTATTTTTTGAGACAGAGTCTTGTTCTGTCGCCCAGGCTGGAGTGCAATGGCCTGGTCTTGGCTCATTGCAACCTCTGCCTCCCGGGTTCAAGTCATTCTCCTGCCTCAGCCTCCCGAGTAGCTGCGATTACAGGCACGTGCCTCCACACGCAGATAATTTTGTTTGTTTGTTTGTTTGTTTGTTTGTTTGTTTTTTGAGAGGGAGTCTCGCTCTGTTGCCCAGGCTGGAGTGCAGTGGCACGATCTCGGCTCACTGCAAACTCCGCATCCCAGGTTCACGCCATTCTCCTGCCTCAGCCTCCCGAGTAGCTGGGACTACAGGCACCCGCCACGACGCCCAGCTAAGTTTTTGTATTTTTAGTAGAGATGGGGTTTCACCATGTTAGCCATGATGGTCTCGATCTCCTGACCTTGTGATCCACCTGCCTTGGCCTCCCACAGTGCTGGGATTACAGGCGTGAGCCACCGTGCCTGGCGTTTTTTTTTTTGTTTTTTTTGTTTTTTTTTTTTTGTTAGTAGAGACGGGGTTTCACTGTGTTGGCCAGGCTGGTCTCGAAATCCTGACCTCGTGATCCACCTGCTTTGACCTCCAAAAGTGCTGGGATTACAGGCATGAGCCACTGGGCCTGGCCAGTTTTTGAATTTCTTAGAGAAATGCATTGAAAGAAATTACTGTATTTCACTTGAATAAGGAGTGATTTAGTTTAAAAAAGGTTTATCAAGAGTCTGTGCATTGGGGTAGATGCTGTGAAGATTTTTAACCAAATGGGGGCTGTGCTGTTTGTCTGTAAGGGGATACCATCTTTTTGTGGTTACAAGATACACACCTAAAACGGAGCATAATACATTAGTATCTAATTACCTGTAATCATATAGGAAATAATGGATCGACTGGAAAAATTAGGGAAAGTTTTCTGTAGTAGTAAAATATGAGCTATGCCTTAAAGAAATCTAGCCTTTAAGTAAGAATTGGGATTTTTTACTCTGTTTTTTGGATCTTAAGTAGTTCTTGGTTCTTCAGTTATCTTCCATCTTCCTCTTTGGCAACTTATGAGCAAATGAATTAAGTTTATAGTTCTGTTCCAGATAGTATATTCGCTGCAGTCTTTACTACTGTCATTTCTTCTGGTCTTGTCACTTTGGGTGAATGGTCTAGTCCCACATTTTCTGTTAAGAATCCATTGCTACTCAACAGTTTTTTCTAGTCAGTCCTAGTAAATGTTCACTCCCACTTGAATTAATCAGTCATCTTCTATGATAAAATGTTAATAAGAACCTTGATTTAATTGGTAAATCATGGTTCCCTACCCTCTTTATGGCTATTGGTATATACGTGCATACTTGGAAGATAGTATACTACAAAATAAGCTTGTTCAAAGTCTTGGCAGTTTACAGGCTGGTTTCGTAGCTTCTCATTTGGGCTAGTTTTCTTGAAAATTCTCTGAGGTAGTTGAGTGCCTCCATTTCACAAATGAGGGGACAAAGTTCGTGGAAAGTGGAAGAATGGGAAATTCCATCCTAGACTTCTGTTTCTGGGTCCTGTTTGATTTACAGAATTTGCATGCTGCTCACATCAAATGAAGATCAACTGTGTGAAGCTGAGTGGGGGAATGGTGTTTGCTTAAGGTATGAAGAATGCTTCCAAAAGCTCAATGTTTAATGAGTTTTAATTTGTTGGGCATCTTGCAGATCTGTTGCTTAAAGCATAAACAAGAGAATTTTAAGAAAAGATAGCTTCTTGTATGAGCTAAAATTTCTAATAGGTAATATTACAAAATGTGGTCCAAAACACAAAATGTTCAGAAAGGGATAGTGAAGTCTCCTTTCTAACATACTGTCTTCAGACCCCCTACCTCTATCCCAGACCCCTCCTTACATAGTTTAGAAGCAATAATTCTTACCAGTTTCATGCATATCCTCTGAGATATATTTCATGTATTTTTAAGTGTAGATTTTGTGTATTTTTTAACAGTCCTTTAAAAAATTGGTGCTTGCTCCATACTGTGCATACAGTGGCCTTGTTTTTTAAATGGCTCTAAGCTAACCTTTTAATGACTTATTTATAAAAGCTAGGTTCTTTATTTTTGCAATTTGCACTGGAATGTTAATTCCATGATAAATAGAAAGCTTTTTTTTTTTTTAATTAAAAAGAAGTACATTAGGTTTCAAAGTCATTTTCCAAATGTGTATAAACTTCCAAGTGAAATCCCTGGAATAACATGGCTCTAAAGCCTGATTCAAATCTGTTATTTTGTAGTCAAGGAATTCATAGGGTATGCCGGGTAGAAAACAGTTAAGGGTCAATAAATTATAGTTGGAATGTCTTTGTGAATCTAACACAGCTAAAGCAAATAGCTTTAATTAAATGAACATAACATGCATCATTCTTTAGTCTCCAGAAAAATCACACAGGAGTGAGTTCCGGAGCAGGGAATGAGAGGGAAGCCGGGGTGGATCTGGCTGGTCTGTGTACTGTGTAAGCATTTTTGCTGTGTTTTAGAGCTTTTTGCTCTAGGGTTATTTTACACGGTCATCTGGCAATATGATGTCTGTCGTATTTGTGTTCTAATGAAAGACTCTTAGCTGTCTAAAGCTTGTTCAGAAATAGAAACTTTACAGTAACTGCATTTAGGACCTAAATAGTAAGCACAATGCCACTTTAACTATTGAAACGTTACTCTAACTACAGCTGATCATGGGATTAAATTCCAATGCAAAGTGAAAAAAGAAAATGTAGTTTGTTTATTTTTGCTCCTCAGATGATTGGGCGCTTCCTCCCACTGCCTCTGCAGCAGAAGCTGGGAGAGGAGGTGAGGGTCGTGAAATGTCTGATGTAATAATTTAAATAACTTCTGTGTCTTCAGAGTGGGGCTAGCAGCAAGTATCTTTCACCAGTGCTTGTCCTCCGTTTTTCTTTTGCTCCCATTCCCCTGAATCTTCAGGAGGGTGGGTGCCTTCCCTTTCTTCCCCATGTCTCCTCTTCTCCCTTCTACAGCATTGTCCCCCAAGACCTGGCCAGAGGAGTGCACAGAGGTGTGTTCTCTACACAGAAGCAAAGTGGTGGCCTGTGTGTCTTGCTAGAAGACAAGTCTTACATCTTCCTACAGTCCTCCTGTCCTGGGGCAGTAAAACTCATGACTTGGTGTCACATGTAGAAGGCTGTGGGGATATGTCCTAAGTGGTTAATTAAGTGCACCAATTTAATATTTGTAAAAATGCTGTCCCTGTTATTCCCTATGATACGAATATTTCACCAAAGCCAAGGCTGTTGCTCACTCAGGTATATATAGAAATCTGAAAAGATGACAGAAATTTACCATATGATAATTCCAACATTAATTTCAGACTGCTATCTCATGCCCTGGAGAAGGAGCTGAGCCTGTTGGTGGCACATGTTCAGTGTGTCCCTCTGTTAGAAGGAAGCCCCCGAAACTGTAGCTGTGGGGGAAGCTGGTGGTGTGACTGATGTGTCAAATAAGAAATTCTTGTTCTAAGGGCTAAAATTGGATTCTGTGGTTGCCGCATGCCTTAGCTTGAGATGCATGTACAGGGTTGATAGGGAAAAAGGACAACTGGGGGAAAAAAAAATCCCTAAATGCGACAGTTAGCATGTTTACGTTAAAATGAAAATGAGAATTGGAGACCTGTGAGTGAAAGGGAGAATCCAAGAAAGGTGTCCAGTGTGGTTCTCCTCAGCTATCAGATACAGCCCAGCAACCTCACAGGAAGAAAGATGCAGTCGGGAGTTTCCATGCAACCTTGCAGTACAAGACTTTTGTGCTCTTGTCAGACCCTCCCTTGTCGACCCCTCTCCCCTATTTTTGTATCCTTGTCAGAGGCCTCGGCCCCCTGTTTTCTGACTTGGCCACGCTGGTCTCTTTTCTTCTGAAATCTTAAGCATTGACTACCTGACACACAACTGGGCAAGTATTTAGATATTGCCTTATAATGGCCTTGTCTTTCCTGGGGTACTGCCCCCCTTCCTCAGCTGTGTTATTCACTCCTTAGGCAGAGGGCCCTTCACTCACTGTGGCTGGTCATATCTTCACCTCTTCACCTCTCTCTTCAGTCTTCCTTCCCTTCCCCACCACCTGTCCCAGGAACATCCCAGAGGAACAGTCCTGTCAGTTTCCCTCAGTGACCTATTCACTGCCGCCCCCGACATACCTGCATCATGTAAACCTACCTGCAGCGGTTGTCCTTACCCGTCTTCCTCCAGTCTTGGTTGGAGAGATGCTACTTTCACCTAAGGTTACTTCCTCCTTTTTTGTAGCCTCCTCCCTACCCAGCCTTGTAAACCATGTAAGTTTGCTTTCTTCTGGGCCCTCGCTCTGTGCCAGTCACTGTTTTAGCATGTTGCATCTCATTTAATCCTCAAAATAATTCTGTATAGGCTAAGAACACTTACTAGCCCTGTTTTACAGGCAAGTAACTGAAGCACCCAGGGGCTGACTTGCTCTAAAACTCCAAAGCTGGTAAGTGATTGGAGCCAGGGCAGGAACCAGGCCAGCTAACTCTAGAACCTGTGCCCTTCACCACTCTTAAGCTAGTTAATGCATGTCAGGGGCTTAGAAGAGGGCCAGTGCACAGCGAGTGCACTACCAATATTGTTACTCTGCATGATAAACTGGTCTGTCCCCAGGATTGTGTCTGCTAGGTACTTCTGTAGTCATGAACACATTCTTTAAGGCATTGCATCCCACATATGGTAATGTTCGCTACATTTGCATCTTTCCCCTGACCCTTCTGAGTATCAGACTTGCATATCCACCTGCTCCTTAACATATTTTCCCATGAATATCTCCAGCATTTTAAATCTGGCGTATTCAAAACTAAACTGAAAACTGGGAAACCTGGGTAAGATTGGTGAGTTGCCTCAGTGTCAGTATGCTGGTTGCGATATTGTACTATAGATTTGAAGGAAGTTAACATTTGGCAAAACTAAGTAAAGTGTCCATGGGATCTCTTTCTTACACTTGGATGTGAATCTACAGTTATCTCAAAATAAGAAGTTTCATTAAAACAAGTTAAGGAAATAACAAACTGAACCCAGCCCTGCCACCCCTCCCCAGCTGTTCTCTGTAATTCCACATCTCCGTTGATGGCACCAGGACCACCCATTCGGAAATGTGTTAGCTGCCCTTTCTCTTTCCTTCATCTCCACTTTAGGGTGTTTCCTCTTCTGCCTCACAAAGGTGTCGCACCTGCCTCTTTGTTCCCTGCTGCAGTCACCTCCCTGATGGAGTTGGCAGCCTCCTTTCCAGGGTTTCCCCTACAACTTCCTGAGAAATAGCGTTAATTTACGTATCTGATCTTGCCGTTGCTGTGTTTAAAATGTTTCAGTTACCCATTTGTGATAAAAAACCAAACTCCATAGCTTGCCACTGCCTGGGTCAGAGTCCTCCAGGCTGCTGATTAAAAAAGCAGATTTCTCCACCCGACTCCAGACCTCTGGAGTTGAAATCCCTGGAGTTGGAAATAAACGTGTGCGTTGAACCAGCACCCTCTGGTGACCATTTTGTGCACTAGCGTTTGAGGAACTCTGGCCTCTGGGGACCTTCCTGCGCCTCACTGGTGACTCCCTCTGCCTTCCTGCCATCTGCATTGCCTGAAATGTCACACGCTGCCATTTCTGTGTGTGGAACTCCTTTGTACCTTCCCCAATATGTGGATGAAACGCCTCTTTGCTTCCTTTCCTGGGTCTCAGGGTACAATGGAGCACTTACCTTGTTGCTGTCTACTTTTGTGTCATGTGCACCTCAGGCAGGGCCACTTTCTTCTCTTTGTAGCCTCATATCCCAGTAGAGGGTCGTGGTAGGCATTTAGTGTTTGCTGCTACATATTGATGGGTTTTATTTTATTTGATCTTGAGCTGCCTACTTGATCCCTAAGTAATAGTACTTTGCACGGTGTCATTGCACAATAATTAAAACCAGAGGGAAATGGCTGGTTTAAAATAACATAGTAAAATGAGTCATCCAGACAAAAACAGGCACTCTGTATTTGTCCCCAGTGTTCTACAGGTAATTCTGTTAGAGGAAAACTTTTTAAAAGCAAAAATGTATTTCAGTAATGTATCACGCTGTGTCATTTCCACTGTGTACCAACAGCCCATCCCCACCCCTCCTCCTTTTCTCTCTTTTCCTGCTCTCCAGCCAGAGAACCTGATTTAACTATCTGATCATTCAGCAGAACCCAGCAGTCTGGCCAGTGGTCTGACTCTGCTGGTCTTGTGGCACTGAGGCAGCAGTTTTCATTTGGGCTATTTATCCAGGCAGCCAATCAGTGCACTGACTACTTTTCATTCCCCATGTGAACAGTGGCTGAGTATGGGATTTTGGATTTTCTGTGGCTCATTTTATAGGGTACAACTGATTAACTTTTAAACCCTTTTATTATGGGACATCAAACATGTACAAATATAGAAGTATATAATAACACCCATTTACTCTTCACCCAGCTTTAACCATTGACTCACAGTCACTCTTGTTTCTACCCCTTATCCTCTCTGTCTCCCCCCACCTGTGAAATTATATCATTTCCTAGTGTTTTACTTTTTATCAGTATGGAGTAATCTTTTCTTTTACTTCATGAAGAAATAATCTTTTACTTCATTTTATTGGTAGTTAAGTACTTCAAGAAGACATTTTAAATATTTGAATATTAAAAAACCAGCTTTATTGATATAATTGAAATACTATATAATTCATCCATTTAAAGTCTACGGTCAGTGTTTTTTAGCATGTTCACAGAGCTGTGAAGCTATTAACCACATTTTAGAACATTTTCGCTACCCCTGAAAAACCCCATGCCCATGAGCAGTCACTCCCCATTTGCCTTCAGTAGCCGCAGGCAACCACTAACCTACTTTCTCTGTAGATTTGCCTTTTGTGGACATTTTATATAAATGGAATTATACAACATGTGGTCCTTTGAAACTGGCTTGTTTCAGTTAGTGTATGTTTTCCTGGTACATCCATGTGGTAGCAGGTTTCAGTACTTCATTCTCTCTTAGGGCCGAATGGTGTTCCATTGTATGCATATGCCACATTTTATTTATCTGGGTATCAGCTGACGGATATTGGATTGTTTTCACTTTTTGGTTATAATGAACATCCTGCTATGAACATTTGTTTACAGGTCTTTGTGTGGACATGTGTCATTTCTCTTAGATATACAGGCTAGTTCTCCTGGGTATGTATAACTTACTGGATTATGTGATGACATTATATTTAACCTTTTGTGGAACTATCCTACTGTTTTCCACATATTACATTTATCATTTTATATTCCCGTGGGGAACACCTGAGGATTTCAGTTTCTCTACATTCTTGTCAATACTTGTTATTATCAGTCTTTTTATTATAGCTGTCCTAGCGGTATTTCATTATGGTTTTGATTTGCATTTCTCTATCGGCTAATGGTGTTGACCATCTTAAATGTGCTTATTGGCCATTTGTTTATTATTTTTGGAGAAATGTCTGTTCAGATCCTTTGCCTATTTTTTAACTGGGTTGTCTTTTTATTATTGAGTTTAATAGTTCATCATGTATTCTAGATCCAACTCCTTTATATATGATTTGAAATATTCTCTCCCAATTGGTGTGTTATCTTTTCACCCTGTTAATTGTGTCTTTGATCAAAAAAGTATTTTAACAACAGAAAATGTGAGAAAAATGGTGGAAAATCTTTCAGCCATTCTTACTGAGGGTTGAGTAATGGTATATATAATAGCTGACATGTACTGAAATTTTTGATTTTGCATTTTTTCTCTCATTCAGTCTGCACCAACGTCAGGCTGGTTAAACCCTCTATGTCCTGCAGCTTTGAGAAGCAGGCTGTTCACACTCAGAAGGGGGTATTATTGTAGTCATATAGCCTAAAGAAGGATTTCCAAGGAAATGAATTTCTCCATTGAGGAGTCCATCACCTCTGACTTAAAGTGCTGTGTCAGGTGGATCACCTTAAAGATTTGCTCCTTAGTCTCTGGACTTGGTTGGAGTTTTAAAAAAAACAATCTCTGTTGCATTTCATTTCACATAGTGAGTTCCCACTGGCTTTGATGATGGAAAAGGAAGTAGCTAGGAAAATGAATCTTTACAAAGTTAGTTTTTTCATATATGGTTATATAAAAACCTATACATACACATACATTTACAAGGAAATTTATTGAAAAAGAATGGAAAGTCCAATATTTGCCCGGCCCATTTATAGCCATTGATTAACAGGTGCTTCTATTTAGCTATATTAGAGACAGTGTATTAGAGAAGGAATTTGGCCTTTTCCCTGTTGTCATGTTTGAAACCTTTTAGGTGTGCAGTGGTGAGTTTAAACTACAAAAGAAATAAGTTTGTTTCAAGAAATGAGAGAATCATTGGGAGGGAACTTGATTTGGTAGTTATTTTGGGAGGACCTTATGGTGTATTGATTGAAATCAATACTTAGGTGTTGTCTACGTGTAAGGTGTAGTTTTACGGGGATGGAGGATGGAGGAAATTGTAATATGTCAGAGACGGGAGACAAAGCCCTGCTAGGTGATGAAGTGGTGTTCAGAGACTAGAGGGAACTAAATGTTAGAATACAGGCAAGTAGAGAAGGTACAGACATTCTTCAGAGATATTATGGGTTCCAGACTGCTACAATAAAGTGAATCACATGAATATTTTGGTTTCGTAGTGCATATAAAAGTTATGTTTACACTGTATTGTAGTCCATTAAGTGTGCAATAGCATATGTCAAAAAAAGTAACATCTTAATTAAGGAATACTTCATCCCTAAAAATGCTGACAGTCATCTGAGCCTTCACTGAGTTGTAACCTTTTGGCTAGCAGAAGGTCTTGCCTCAGGGTTGATGGCTGCTGACTGATCTAGGTGGTGGCTGCTGGAGGTTGGGGGTGGATGTAGCAATTTAAGTCTTAAAGTAAGACAGTAATGAAGTTTGCCACATTCATTGACTCTTCATTTTATGAAAGAATTCTATGTAGCATGTGATGCTGTTTGGTAACATTTTACAAAATTGGAGTCAGTCCTCTCAAACTCTGCTACTGTTTCATCAACGAAGTTTATGGAATATTCCAAATCCTTTGTTGTCATTTCAGCAGTGTTCACAACATCTTCACCAGGAGTAGATTCCATCTGAAGAAACCACTTTGTTTGCTCATTTATGAGAGGCAACTCTTCATGCTTAATTTTACTGGGAGGTTGCAGCAATTCAGTCCCATCTTCAGGCTCCCCTTCTAATTCTAGTTCTCTTGCTGTTTCCACATCTGTTGCTGTCTCCTCCACTGAAGTCTTGAACCTCTCAAACTCGTCCATAAAGGTTGGAATCAACTTCTTACAAACTCCTATGGAAGTCAATATTTGACCCCCTGACACATGAATCACAAGTGTTCTTAATGGTATCTAGAATGGTAAATCCTTTCCAGAAGCTTTTCAGTTTACTGTGCCCAGATCCTTCAGAGGAATCACTATCTGTGGCAGCTATGGCCTAATGAAATATATGTCTTAAATAATAATATTTGAAAGTCAAAATTACTTGATCATGGGCTACAGAATGGATGTTGTGTTAACAGGCATGAAAACAACATTAATCTCCTTGTACATCTCCATCAGAGCTCTTGGGTGACCAGGTGCTTTGTCAGTGAACAGTCATGTTTTGAAAGGTATCTCTCTTTTTTCTGAGCAGTAGATCTCAAGAGTGGGCTTAAAAATATTCTGTAAGCCGTGCTGTAAACAAATGTCCTGTCCTCCAGGCTTTGTTGTTTTATTTACAGAGAACAGACGGACTAGATTTAACATAATTCTTAAAGGCTATAGGCTTTTCCAAATGGTGAATTAGCATTGGTTTTAGGTTAGTCATCAGCCATATCAGTCCCTAACAGGAAAGTCAGCCTGTCTTTTAAGGACAGGCCTTGACTTCTCTTTTCTAGCTATGAAAGTCCTGGATGGCATCTTCTTCCAACAGAAGGCTGTTTTGTCTAACTTGAAAATCTGTTGTTCACTGTAGTCACCTTCATCAATGATCCCAGCTAGATCTTCTGGATCACTTGTGGCAGCTTCTACGTCAGCATTGCTGCTTCACCTTATACTTCCATGTTGTGACAATGGCTTCTTTCCTTAAACTTCACGTACTAGCTCCTGCTAGATTCCGACTTTTCTTCTGTAGCTTCCTCTCTTAGCCTTCATAGAATTGAAGAGAGTTGAGGCCTTGCCCTGGATTAGGCTTTTGCCTAAAGGGCATGTTGTGGCTGGTTTGATCTTCTATCCAGACTGCTGAAACTTGCTCCCTATCAGCAATAAAGTTGTTTTGCTTTCTTATCATTTGTATGACTGCTGAAGTAGCTTTTTTTTTTTTTTTTTTTTTTTGAGATAGAGTCTCATTGTGTTGCCCAGGCTGGAGTGCAGTGGCGCCATCTGGGCTCACTGCAAGCTCCACGTCCCGGGGTTCACGCCATTCTCCTGCCTCAGCCTCTTGAATAGCTGGGACTACAGGCGCCCGCCACCACACCCAGCTAATTTTTTGTATTTTTAGTAGAGACGGTGTTTCACCGTGTTAGCCAGGATGGTCTCCATCTCCTGACCACGTGATCCGCATGCCTCTGCCTCCCAAAGTGCTGGGATTACAGGCGTGAGCCACCGCACCCAGCCTGAAGTAGCATTTTTAATTTCCTTTGAGATCCTTTCCTTTGCGTCCACAGGTTGGCTGTTTGGCATAAGAGACCTTGCTTCTGGCCTGTCTTGGCTTTTAACATGCCTTCCTCGCTGAGCTTAATCATTTCTAGCTTTTGATTTACAGTGAGATGTGCGACTCTTCACTTGAACACTTAAAGGTTATTGTAGGTTCATTCATTGGCCTAATTTTAATATTGTGTCTCAGGAAATAGGGAGGCCTGAAGTTGGGTGGGGGGTGGGAAGAGAGATATGGGACAGAGACAGGTTGATGCAACAGCCAGAACACACGCAACATTTATCCATTAAGTTGGCTGTCTTATATGGGAATGGTTCGTGGCACCTCAAGACATTTACAATAGTCACTCAAAGATGACTGATTACAGATCACCATAACAGACATAATAATAACTGAAAAGTTTGAAACGTTGAGGGAATTACCAAAATGTAACACAGAGTCATGATGTGAACATATGCTGTTGGGAAAATGATGCCACAAACCTTCAGTTTCTTAAAAAATGCAGTATTTACAAAGCCCAGTAAGGCAAAGTGCAATAAAATGAAGTATGCCTGTATTTTAGATGGATAAAGCACTGTAAACATGGGAGAGAAAGCAACTGGAGCTAGCATGGTGGTGAGAAATGGTAGATAGTGTTTGAAATGATTTTAATTCCTAGCTAAGGAGTTTGTCCTTAATTCATTAAGAATTGTGGATCAGTTGAAGGTGGTTTTTTTTTTTTTTTTTTTTTTTTTTTTTTTGGAGACAGGGTCTCACTCGGTTGCCCAGGCTGGAGTGCAGTAGAGCAATCTGGGCTCACTGCAGGTTTTATCTCCTGGGCTCAAGCGGCCTTCTGACTTAAGCCTGCTGAGCAGCTGGGACTATAGGTGTGTGCCACCATGCCTGGCTAATTTTGTTGATTTTTTTGTAACAATGATGTCTCACAGTGTTGCCCAGGCTGGCCTCAAACTCCTAGTCTCAAGCAATCGTCCTGCCTCAGCCTCCCAAAGTGTTGGGATTACAGGTGTGAGCCACCGCCTGGCCCATCGAAGGTACTGAACAGTGAAACTGACATTGATTGATTCCGTAAATACTTATCCAGAGCATTGCCTGGATTATATTAATCATGGGGTGTTAACTCAGCTGAGGCAGAGGCAGGGTCTGACATTGGTGACAGCAGGTGCTGTCTATTGATACTCAAGGTCTATCAGTTTCCTTTCTACTGACTTTCATCCTGATGGTGATAATAGCTACCACTTATTGATTTCCGTGTTGCATGCTTCATGCTAAGTGACTCATCCTTACAGTGACTCTGAGGCATATGTATATTATTAATGCCTCTCTTTAAAATGAGATTGAGATTTAGCAGAGGTAAATGCCTTGCTCCAGGTTGCACAACTAATATGTGGCAGATCTGAGATTTGGACCCCAGGCCATCCTGTTCCAAAGTCCATTCTGCTAATAGCACTAAATGCTGCCCTACACTACCTCTCTGGTGGTGTAACACCGCCAGTGACCTTTGTGAGCCTCACTTCATTTGGTGTGCTCTGTATTTGCCTCCATGGCGGGTGTTCCTCCTCTGCTGAGCTTCCATTTCTCTCTTTAATACTGCAGGTATCCCAGGCCTGGGAGGAGCTGCTTGTATGTAATGTGACACATCTCTGCTGTCACCCATTATGTGTTTATAATTTACGTGTTTTCATATACTAGAGCAAGGCACAATTTTTGTACTACTAAAACAAAGCACTCAGTGTACTACTGTTTTAGCTATGCATCGGTGACCAAGATCACAGTGCTAATAACTCTAAAATGGTAGGGTGGACTGCATGACCCCTGAAACCCCTTCCAGGTCAGCCTTCTGTTCCTAGGGTTAGGCATTAACAAGGAAGGAATAGTGGTTCCAGAATTCTGGATGCTAGGTAGAGTATGGTCCAAAAAAGCTGTCATTCTTTTCAATCCTGACCCCTCACACCACTCTCAGTAACATTCATGATCATAAACTTTCTAATAATCTGGCTTCATGGACATTAAGTTCTATTTAACATCAACAACTACACATGTATTCATATCATCTGCATTGCCTGAATTTAGAACTGCTCTACTTTCAGAGTAGCTTGCATAGTCACTTTCTTTGTATTTTCTACCCCTGAACATTCCCCGCCCCTTCATCTTCAGTATAATCTGTATGTATCCGTTTCTGTTTTCTTTCTTTTTTTTTTTTTTTTTTTTTTGAGACAGACTCTTGCTCTGTTGCCCATGCTGGAGTGAAGTGGTGTGATCTCGGCTCACTGCAACCTCTGCCTCCCAGCTTCAAGTGATTCTCCTGCCTCAGCCTCCTGAGTAGCTGGGATTAAAGGCACCCACTACCATGTCTGACTAATTTTTGTATTTTTAGTAGAGACGGGGTTTCGCCATGTTGGCCAGGCTGGTCTTGAACTCCTGACCTCAGGTGATTGGCCTGCCTCTGCCTCCCAAAGTGCTAGGATTACAGGTGTGAGCTACCTCACCCGGCCTTCTGTTTTCTTTTTGTCACCTGAAACTGGGGCCTCACTCCAGACCAATTAAATTAGAAACTGATGGGTTGGGGCCTAAGGCAGTGGTATTTGTTAAAAGTTCCCGTCACCATTCTGCTGTGCACTCAGGGCTGAGAGCTGAGTTGAAAATAGGCCCGTCTGGCCACTGTCCGCTCATTGGTCCGGTTTCATTACCATTCTCTAGTCGTGAATAATTATAAACATTATTAATAATTATTAAGGAGTACAGTACTAGTCACTATGTGTTATTTTCTATTTTTAATTTTTAATTGCAGTTTTACTAATCCGCATCCACTCGACTGTCTTATGTCCCAGAGCCCTGTAGCTATCTGATTGACATAACTTTAAGTCAGTTAAATACACTTAAAGCACAGGGTTAAGAGGGCTTTATTTATGGACTCCCAAAAGGAGTTCAGATTGTGGAATAGTATATTCAGCAACGTTTTTAAAAAAGATATGCATATGTTTATAGAAACATTCATGCATACTTAGAGTAGAAAAGATGGAAAGATATATATGAAAATATTTTGTGATTATAGGTGATGGCCTTACAGATGGTTTTTCTTTTCATGTCTGCAGTATAAATTTTCTATAATGAACGCGTATTTCTCCTATATTTTAAAAAATCTTAAAAAGGAGATATACCCTAGACAAAATAGGGGTGTATGAATGTGTGTGTTATTAATATTTTTAGCTCCTGAGGCTAAAATATTCAGTGGGGATATTGAGAATAGTACCATACTGACAGTGAGTTAATAGCAAGGGTTGGCATACAAAAGTTAGGATTTGGATCCTTGTTATTTTTGTTTTTGCTTATTATAGCTAAGCTAAACTTGTCTCATCTGATGGTTGGTATTTCGTTTTGTTGAACAAGTGAGTGTCATGAGACTGTTAGTCCATAACAGGACAGAAGAACATGATGACATAGATAGTTTACTGTTTTTAATGCCAATGGACTAACTTTAATATCTGTTATCGGTGCTTTCAGAAAAACTATTAAACTAGGAACAGAATGTCGACCTAGTATTTGTTCGTCTTTTCGCATTGGCTTGTTACCGAAGTTTAACAACTCCAGCGTGCATTTGAATTTGAATTTTAAATAAGACACAATTAAAATAAGTGGTTTAGATGAAAACTTAACAGTAGTTATCTCTGGGTTCTGTTAAATAATTTTAAGGGTATTTAAAAAGTAAAAACAAAGCACTCAGTGACTAGCAGATGTTTAGTTTCTACTCTTTCTTTTGTCAAAATAGAAGGTGGGAGAACCTATTGCTGAATAATGGGAAAACAGCATTGTGTGGTAATGTTTCAGTAGGGTGTTTTCTTCTGAAATGCTGTTTTGCTAATCCTTGGGGAAATTTGGCTGTGAGCATGCAATTATTACATTTTTATCCACAGAATGGGCTAAAGTTGGCATCACATCCCTCATGGTTGCCAGAGGCAACACACTGATTTAATTTGTGCCCCTGTGGCAGACATTTTTGAACAATTTCAGTGATTTTTTTCCTGTTGCTACTTTGGTTGTTTCCTTTCCAGTATCCCACTGTTTGTTGCTCCCCAACCTCTCTGATTTCACCCTCCCTGAGTTTTGAGACACTTGGTGTTGGTTGAGGAGAGTAGAATAATTGAAGATCCAGATGATTGTCCTGAGGGAAGCCATGCGGGTGTCCCTGACACATCCTGGGGCAGTGCGGGTTGGAATGCTTTCATGGTCCAGCCCGCAGTGAATGAATGTCTGTCCTCTTAAAGACTGACAAAAACAAACAAATCTTAATTAGGCATATTTGAAATTCCATGTGGAGCCTGAAAAATGGATCCTAAGAGAGCTGCTTTTGGGGGATTTTGAATTCTTTTGCTGTGGAATTTGAGATTCCTTGAGATCTCCCCTTCACGATTCTGTCCTGCTTTGCCTTTGTTTTTTTGATATACTAACTGATGTTTAACAAGGAGGATCACCAGATGGACCCAATTCGAGAGTGAACATCTCTTCTCCTAGGTTAAGAGTCACAGAAGCACAAGGGTAGAGCTGCCTGTTTCTCCGAGAGCTGGCTGCTGCCACAGGGCAGGCCACCTCACACTAGCATGCGTTCTCTAAGGGCTTTGGGTGGGTATCCTTTTCTGAGCACTGCTTGTACAGGCACAGATCATTTTTAGGGAGCAGATGTTTGTTTTATCAGTACACCCTCGAGATAATCAGAATGGGGAAGAAAACATGTAATTCTTGTACCCATTGTGTCTAGAAACTCATATTTTTCTTTTTTTAAAATGCAGAGTGGACACAGATATCTACCAGATATCTTCGAGAGCAGTTGGCCAAGATTTCTGACTTTTACCACATGGCCTCCAGCACGGGCGATGGCCCTGTCCCTGTGCCACCAGAGGTGGAGCAAGCCATGAAGCAATGGGAATACAACGAAAAGCTAGCATTTCACATGTTCCAGGTAACCTTTTGAAGACATGCAGAGTTGTGTGCAATGCTTTTAAGAAGACAGCAAATTCCTTATAGTTTGGTGTTCTGGGGTTAAATCCTATTTTACATGAACCAATACATTCAAAGAAAGCAGTCTGACATTTCTCACATCGAATTGTATTCAGGGTGACACATCTGCCCTGGGATGACAGCTTATTATACATATTGATCTCCAGCTTTCAATCATGTTAGCTCTTTTAGTGCTATTAATTAGTTCGTAATTGCACTATTAAATGTAATCCTTCTAAACCTTTTATTTTGCAAAATTGGATATATTTATTTAAAAACACCTTTGTGCTGATGCCTTCTGTGGTAGCAGACCTCCTTTAGACCTAAGTTGTTCCAGAGAAAGGTCATCTTAATTCAGCTGCAGCTGAAAATACAAACAGAGCTGAGGGGAGGGGTAAGGGCGTTTAGGAATGACTGAACTCTCACCC
This sequence comes from Homo sapiens, assembly GCF_000001405.40. NCBI lineage: Eukaryota > Metazoa > Chordata > Mammalia > Primates > Hominidae > Homo > Homo sapiens. The sequence continues at coordinate 151,156,797 of NC_000003.12, forward strand.
AGACAAGCTGATGTAAATAATGTTGACCAGAAGAGGGCGTTTGGGCTCTTAATTACCTTATTCATGGTAAGGTAAGAGAGATGACTTCAGTTCAAGTCTTATTATTAGCAGAGATTTTAGTGCCTGTTATCTTGATTAAAGAGGGAGGGGACATGTGGTTTCTAAATTTTCCCTTTAGAACCTTTATTATAATTTTCATGCTCCTCTTCTAAGAGGTCAACATAGGAAAAAATAAGGTCTTTTTGAGAAGTAATATTGTTAGTTTTTAAGTCAGTAAAAATAAATTCTAGTTCCATTTAGAAGAGGGACTACTTTAGTGCTGCCCTGAGCTTTTATGACTTTTACTGGGCTCAGAATTTAGTCTGCATCTTGGAAAAAGTATCTCTCAGCATGTTTAATGGTTCTGGAAGAATTACGTATTAGGAGTATTGAAATTAGAATTTTTTTTTTTTTAAGAAAGCAGTTAGGTCCTAAAGGAATGAATATAATCGAAATAGTAATGTTAAAATTTAAATGTTCATTATATTTTAATTTGCCGTATTCTGAAATGTGAAACACACCCTAATTCATACACGTGAAGACATGTATATGCAGAAACAAGGGCATGGGTATATAAACAAAGCATCTACAGGATGGACTGTTATTTATGAAGATTCTCTTTGTTTTTTTGAATCTTGAATTTACCATCTCTTATACCTTAATGGAAAATTCCATTTTGTCTCTTTTTTAAAAAAATTTTAATTAATTTTTAAATTGACAAATGAAAACTGTATATATATTTATTTAGAACTCACTTTATTGGTCTTAAAATTTTAAATTGCACTTTTTATGTGACTTTTTAACTATTTTTGACTGTAAACATTTTAAAAATTAGAAATTAGCAAGATGTCATGTCAATGTGGCCTCACTGTAAACTTTGAAATACTACAACTGTAATTTATCAGTGTAATATTTTCACATGAATCCTTGATAACCATTGCAGTGGAACACTGGTAATACATAACAGTTGCTAGGAACAAAGTAAGATTTCATATGAACTACTAAGTTTGTTACCAGAATGACCATAAAAGTATATGTCTTTCCCAGAAAACAGTTTTTTGTTTCTTTCTTTCATTCTGTGAATCATAATACAAAACTATAATAGGATATTAAATCTATATGTGCATAGAATGTCATAAAATAATGTGTTTATCTATGTGTATATGCATATGAAGGCAAGAGACAAAAGATGTTTGTAGTGCTTATATCAAGATTAGTGGTCTCTATAGGGTCTGTGTCACCCCCGTGGGGCATTTTTGGAAATTGTAGGGGGTATTACTGTTTTTTATTGTAGTTGTGTTGAAATGTTTATACATTATTTTATCATAAATTCCTTTCATTTCTGTATATTAGGTCATTGATTTTTAAGGTTGTATTTTATAGATAGGTGATAGTATCTGAAACTAATTTTGGGATAGTGGAAGAAGCTATTAAGGGGGCATTGGGTCTGATGGGATTTTCACACTTTTGTTAAGATGATGGCATGAGCAGTGCTTATCTTCTTTATAATTATCACTGTTACCCAAGTTTCCTTCTATGAGCATGAGTTCATACTCCCCCGAAATCTAGCCAGGACCCTGACACACACTGGGGGTGTGAAAGCTTCTGAAATTTTTTTTTTTCATTGTTGGAATGAATTTTTCTCAATTTGGAGCAGATTTCTAAAAAACAAAAAAAACTATACAAAACATATTAGTTATTTGTTTTGTTTAGAATTTGGACTGTGAGCAATGAGACTATGTTTAACAACAACAAAAACAGTAGTACAGTTAGACTTAAGCATAAGAATGACAGTGCCTTTTTTGTTTTTTTTCTTTAACATTATTAATGTAATTTTTCTTTGTTCATTTAAGGAAGGAATGTTAGAAAAACACGAATATTTGACATGGATCCTGGATGTTTTAGAAAAGATCAGACCAATGGATGATGATCTTCTTAAACTCTTGCTACCACTAATGCTGCAGGTATAGTACATGTCCCCTTGAGGCAGTTGGTTTTATGGGCAAGAAATGAGCCTGATAAGAATGATTAGGTAAGTGGAAGAGGAAAAGGAAAAAATATCCTGTTGAAATGGAAGGAAAAAATGTCTTTGATGCTATAACACATGAAGTGATAAAGGCTTCTAATAAGTTTTAGCCATCATTTGTGTTAACCATGTTGGTAGTTTTTATCCATGTGTCCTAATTTTTAAGTAATTTTACCCACATTGATTTCTCCTATCACTGAGCAAAGCAACCAACTTTTAAAATACTGTCTCCATATAATAACACAAATCTCTGTGAAAACAAAACAAATCATCCCTTTTGAAGATAGGGGATCTTCTACATTCTTTTGACAAGTCTTTGAGACTCTTGGGATAGGAAACTTTTTATTTTGATGATTGGTCTAAGATGTGCTTAAATTTGATGTATCTAGATGAGATTTATTTAAAAAAATTCTTACGTGATACATGTATTTGATAATTCAAGGAAGATGGAAGAATATCCAGTGAACAGCACTTCTCCCTTTCACTCTCATACCCTCCCCACAGACTATACCATAGGTTCCTGTGTCTCTCCCCTGAGATAGTCTGTACCTGCACTGTCCATTACAATAGCCACTAGCCAGATGTGGCTACTGAGCTCTTGAAATGTGACCAGTCCAAATTGATGTGTGCTCTAAGTGTAAAATGCACACCAGATTTCAGACTTAGTATGGAAAAGTGTATAATAGTAATACTTTTTATGTTGATTACCTGTTGAAATGATAACATTTGAATATATTGGGCTAAATAAAATACATTATTCTAATTTTTGCCTGTTTCTTATTTTTTTCATGGCTCCTAGAAACTTTAAAATTATACGTGTGGCTCACATTCTATTTCTATTGGACAGCACTTGCTTTATACCTTTGAAGTTTTTTTATCTTTTTTAAATGAAAAAAAGTCTGTGTTAAAATAGTTATTTAACCAAGACGCATAAGACATGACTGAAGTCTGGTGTCCTTCTACTTCTCAGTATTCAGATGAGTTTGTTCAGTCGGCCTACCTGTCTCGTCGTCTTGCCTACTTTTGTGCCCGGCGTCTTTCCTTGCTGCTGAGCGATAGCCCCAACCTCCTTGCTGCCCACTCACCCCACATGATGATAGGACCAAACAACTCGAGTATCGGGGCCCCCAGCCCTGGCCCCCCCGGCCCTGGCATGAGCCCCGTGCAGCTGGCCTTCTCAGATTTTCTTTCCTGTGCACAGCATGGTCCCCTGGTTTATGGACTTAGTTGTATGTTGCAGGTAAGTCCTTGGCCCTTGTTATTTTATGTTAAAATTCAATGTGGGAAGTGATTGAGTTGGGAATGGCATTTTCAATTCTCTAGTTGACTTTTTACAACTCTAGTTTTTTCCTCACCCAAGTAATTTATTGATTGAAATTTTATGTTTTTATTTCCCTGTGATGGATCAAGCTGAGAGAAGATTTGTCACATTCGTCTAGGAGAGTGTTATTGCAGTTGTCCTTTATTAGGGTCATTAAGCAGTTCAATTAAAAATCCTTCAGGGAACCCACAGAATAAGTCAGTTGTATTATTGTTCTTCTGGAAAGACAGCTTCTCCAGCTAGCATTTTTAATCTTTCTAAGTTCACATCTTGGGTTGGTTGCCTGTCTGTGTTTAAAGTCCAAATCGTATCGGGTTCCGTTCGTCTTCCAAGCATTGTTGCTTGTGTAGTCCTTGAACATCCAGTAACATGCTGGTTGCTGGGCTGATACTACCAGGAATATCAGGAATGAGGTACAGTCCTGCCCTAGAGGAGCTCACAGCTTAGTGTTCAGTTTGTATTTCTTGAGCTCTTAATGTGTTCTGCTGTATACTAAGGAGCTTTGAAACAGTTGACCCTCAAGACATGGTCTCCACTCTCAGAGTTTACTGTCTTTTCAGGAAAACTGGGTCATAAATGGACAGTTTCCAAATAATATGACAAGGGCTGTTGGGGAGATACACAGGGGGCCAAGGCAGTTGAAAAGGGGAACCTCTAGTCCAGCCTAAAACTCACGGAGGCTTTGTGAAAGAAATTTTTTAGTTCTTCGAATGAGTTGAGAAAGATCAAGTAAAAAGAAGTAGTAAAAGTTTCCTGGCAGGGGAAACACTATGGGAAGAGGCCCAGAGGCTGGTCAGTTATCTTTTGTGTAGGTGGGTGTTAGTGGGACATACATTATAAACTCTGTTGGGGGTCAGGGCATAGAAGATGCCCTGTGGGCCTTATGATTGAGGTGTCATCAGAGGGTTTTATGCAGCAAAGTGACACAGGTAGTTGTGTAATTGTCGTTAGATTGATTGGCCACAGTAGAGGGAAGATTGGTGGGAGTGGGGAGGTAGGAAAGGAGGCTTGCAAGGCAAAGAAATCAGTTTGGAAGCATTTCAGGGAGTTCAGCTTTGGACTATTTTGGACTGTTTGTCCTTTATTTAGAACCTCCAAATGGATATGTTCAAGAGTTGTTACATGTCCAATTCTGCAGATTTGGGCAGACAGTTGGCTACTTGTGTGGATTCGAATCCTTCAAGAACTTTGGCTGTTCAAAAACCCAAGAGGGAGTGAGGTTGCCTGAAGAATTTTGTAGTGAGAGAGAATCCGTGAACCTGAAGGACAGGAGTGCTTAAGAGTCGGGCAGAGGGGAAGTCCATGGAGGAGACCGGGAAGGTTGGCCAGACTGGAGAGAGAACAGGGGGAGAGTATTGTTGCCCAAAGATGATGAGAATAACAGTAATATTGTCATAATTATATTAGCGTATGGATAGCATTTATTATGGTCTAGGCATCGTTCTAAGTTGCAACGTATGTTATTAAGTCATTTAGTTCTTGGAACTAGCCTTTGAGATGGGAACCATTATTATTCTTATAACATCAATAATGCATAGATTACAGAGCAAGAAAGTGGCAAAGCTGGAATCCAAACCAAAGCAATCAGGATCCAGAGTCCACACTCAACCACTATGCTAAACTGGGGTCTGCAGAAAGTTTCAAAAAGGAATTAGTAGTGGGCAATGTGTAGAGTATTGGAGACATCTGGCAAGAAGATGGCTGAAGTAGTCTTTAACAATATAGTGTTCATTGGTGATCTTTTAAAGAGCTATTTAATTGAATGGTGGATAAGGAGCCAAATTAAGGAATGTCGAGGAGTGATGGAGAATAAGGAGAAATAGCACTAATTGTTGTTTTGAGAAACGTGTTTATGAAGAGAAGAGAAGAGAATGGATAATGGATAAAGATGGCAGCTGAGTGGAGAGTTAAAAATATATATATATTTTGATGGGCAGATTTGAATGTATTTTTGGGCTAAGAGCAAATAGGAGAAGGAGCAGTGTTTGATAGATCAGTGCCCTGGGTATTAGAGGGCTTTGGAATCAAGGACACAAGGAAGGGCTCTGTCAGGAGGAGTTGAGAACTCCACATTGTTACAGTCATGAGGAAGGCAGTAGGGATGTAGCCCAGTGGAAAGAGATGGATTGGTAGGTTTCAGGGACTTGACATTCTTTGTATCTGCTATCTGGTTTCCACAAAGATGTCTCCTAGACCTCAGAGTTTATTTTTTTTATTTTTATTTTTTTTAAATTGATTGATGAATTGATTGAGACAGGGTTTTGCTCTGTTGCCCATGCTGGAGGGCAGTGTGGCCTAATCTTCAGTCACTGCGGCCTGGAGCTCCTGGGCTCAAGTGATCCTCCTGCCTCAAGTAAGTGATCCTCCCCCCTCAGCCTCCTTAGTAGCTAGGACTACAGATGTGCATCACCACACCCAGCTAATTTTTAAATTTTTCTTAGAGATGGGGTTTCACTGTGTTGCCTAGGCTGGTTTCAAGCTCCTGGGCTCAAGTGATCCTTCTGCCTTGGCTTCCCAGAGCGCTGGGATTATATGTGCAAGCCACTGTGCCTGGCCAGCTTTTTGTACTTAATTTCATATTTTTGAAAAAAAATTTGCTGTTGAATGGCACAAGAGCATAATGGCTTAGATATACACTTTAAAGCTGTTACAGACCTGATTTTAAACCTCACTCTGCCACTTAGTAACGGTGACCTTGAGCCTCTGTTTCCCCGTGTCTGGTTGGGGAGTAATGATAGTTCTTACTTCATTGCCTCATAGGGTTAAGGTTATGATGACGGAAAGCTTCCAAGATAGTGTTCAGCGTAGACTAAGTGTAATTAGCTTAATTAAATGTGAGCTATAATGTTTAATCTATGTTTAGGAGGCAGGATAACATAGTGGTTCTGAGCATGTGTGCTATTAATAAAATCAAACTTGGGTTGGTTACTAATCTACGCGGCTCATAGTCCTCTTTGGTAAAGGTGGGGGATAACACTACCTAGATCATGGGGTTATTGTGACACATAAGCAAGATGGTCATATAAAGTACTTCTGGTTGAGTGAAGAGTGTCTGCAAGTGTCTAGGGCGAGGGAGATCTACAGGCTGTGGATCAAATTCGGCCCACAAGGTAAAAATAGGTTTTATGTTTTTAATGCATTATTAAAACAAAAATGAAGAATGTGTGACAAAAACTGTAGGTAGCCTGCAAAGCTTAAAACATTTACTATCAGGCTTCTTATAGAAAAAGTTTGACAACCCCTTGTCCAGGGTTACTGCCTGCCCACCATTTATGAAGCTACTATTACATGATTATTTGATTTTGTTTTTGTTTTTAAATACTTCTTTTTTTTTAGCTTTTACAGCCTTAGAAATTACATATTATAAGTTCATCTCATGTTTTTAATTGCATGAAAAATTGGTTTAAGTGACGATTTTTAAGTGATGATTACTGCATTTTTATTAAGTTCCTTCAGGTTCCTGTTGGAGTATTAGCTTATGAATTATTCCTTAATTTCTCAACAGCTGTACTTCCTCCCTTTCAACTTAATAATTTTTAGTTTTGTCTTCTCAATTGCGAAGTTGAGAATGGGGTAAGACACTCTCGTATTTTAAACTTACTAGTAGGAGACAATAATACAGTGATGACAGGGTGTCGTTTTTACTGTTTAGCTATTGTTATGCTTTTCTCCTTCCTCTGAACATCCAACTTTATCTGTTTCATTTCCAGACTGTCACTCTCTGTTGCCCAAGTGCCTTGGTGTGGAATTATTCCACAAATGAAAATAAGAGCGCAAACCCAGGCTCACCCCTGGATCTGCTGCAGGTGGCCCCGTCCAGCCTCCCCATGCCGGGTGGGAACACGGCTTTCAATCAGCAGGTAGACTTTATGTTTCAGTGATTTGATGGCTGTTTTCATTCTTGACAGGCATCAGGGCACAGTGGGTCAAGCACAGGTTTTAGTATCTAGATGCTTGGGTGCTATCCCAGTTTTGCCTGCTAACACTCTGGGTGACCTTAGAGAATTGTTTAGCCTCTTCAGAACCACTGAAATTCTCGAAGTTGCTCCCTTTCTTTTCACTGTCTTGCTGAACAGTTCTTGCTGAGAGTTCTGCCACCCAGACTGTAATTATGGTGGTGGTTCTAATACATGACCATGACTCCTGTAGTAGTTTTGATATTTGGTAATTATTATATGTTCTTATTGGTACTGGGTTATTTGTTTCAAAGCCTTATGTGACTTGAACCATAGGATTGTGATTAATATTTAGAATAAGATCCCTGTCTTGGGATCTAGAACTAGAAATACCATTTGACCCAGCCATCCCATTACTGGGTATATACCCAAAGGATTATAAATCATGCTTCTATAAAGACACATGCACACGTATGTTTATTGCAGCACTATTCGCAATAGCAAAGACTTGGAACCAACCCAAATGTCCAACAATGATTGACTGGATTAAGAAAATGTGGCACATATACACCATGGAATACTGTGCAACCATAAAAAATGATGAGTTCATGTCCTTTGTAGGGACATGGATGAAGCTGGAAACCATCATTCTCAGCAAACTATTGCAAGGACAAAAAAAAACCAAACACCGCATGTTCTCACTCATAGGTGGGAATGGAACAGTGAGAACACATGGACACAGGAAGGGGAACATCACACACCGGGGCCTGTTGTGGGGTGGGGGTAGGGGGTAGGGATGGCATTAGGAGATATACCTAATGTTAAACGATGAGTTAATGGGTGCAGCACACCAACATGGCGCATGTATACATATGTAACAAACCTGCACATTGTGCACATGTACCCTAAAACTTAAAGTATAATAAAAATAAAATAAAATCATATTCATCCATTAAAAAAAAAGAATAAGATCCCTGTCTTTTCCCAAGCAGTTTTCTTAATAGAACGTTGCAAATTGCTTTCACACATGGAAGAATGGCTCAAAGAGATTATTTTAGAACATTCACCTTTCCACGTGGTGTCCTAAAAAAGAAATTTCACTCGTAAAACAAATTTTGCAAGCATTTATTTTTGTGAACATTTATTATTGAAAACTGACATTGAATTGCCCTTTGTAAATTTTAAAAATTCACTTATTGGGCCACAGGCTGCATTTCTTACAATGCAGTCAAGATTGTAGTTCACTATAGGATACTTTACTCACGTGGAAAAACCTGACATGATTTAGACATGCGCTGTGGCATTCCAAGCACAAGTTAATTAGAAGCGATTATCTTTCAGGTTCGGGCAAGGATTTATGAAGTAGAACAACAGATAAAACAAAGAGGCCGTGCAGTGGAAGTTCGGTGGTCATTTGACAAGTGCCAAGAATCCACAGCAGGTACAGAATGCCACAGAGGAACGAGTGCTTTTGAATGTTGGACTTTATGCTGTGTTTTTGCTTCTTATAAACCATTCCACATGAATAAGGCAGCTTTTTGACAGAGCCACTTGGTGAATTTTGAGGACAATCTTCAGTTTATGCCTTTTAGATCCTGGCTGTCTAGAATGTCAAGTTTGGTTTTGTTGATGATTGTTTGATAACATATGCCAAGAATGATAATTAAAAAAAAATTCTTTTGCCTCACATAGAATGGTGATTTTGTACTGTGTTATAACTGTGTTATTTTTGGCCTCATTAACCACTTGTTTAATTTCTGCCTATAGGGGTGACTATTAGTCGGGTTTTGCACACGTTGGAAGTTTTGGATCGTCACTGTTTTGACCGAACTGATTCCAGCAATTCCATGGAGACACTTTATCATAAGATTTTCTGGGCAAACCAAAACAAAGATAACCAAGAGGTAGTTAATTTTTTTTTAATTCTTTTCACCTTTTATTTTCATAGTGTTTTTTTCTTCTTTCTCATTCAGGAAACTCTGGCGAAACCTTTTCTATGAAGTGTAGTATCTTATGAAGACATACACACTTGAAATCATTCTATTGTTGGACTAAGATTACCTACCATTATTAAAATGAAATGTCAGTGGGGCTTATCTACCTAGGAATATTGATATATTGACGGGCAAGATTTTTCTTGGCCCTTTTACCATCACTTTCCAATTTTAGTTTTAGAAGAATATCCTTCATTTAGTGATTGGACTTAATATGGTGGGTTGGCTTTAACTTGGGGGAATGTATGTTAACATTTAGCACAGCAGAGGGCAGTGCATGAATACCCGTGGTCATGATCTTTCAAAAATCCTTAGACAATGTGTTAGGGTTCTACAGAGAAATAGAACCAATAGAAAAAAAGTGTGTGTTAAGTGTATGTATATATATGTGTATGCGTACATATATGTTTATATCTACCTAGAGAGAGAAAGGGGGGGAGAAAAGAGAGGGGTATTTATTTTAAGGAATTGGCTCACATGATTATGGGGCTGGCAAATTTGAGATATTCAGGGCAGGCTGGAGACTCAAGGAAGAACTGATGTGGCGGTCTTGAGTCCATAGGCAGTCTGGAGGCAGAATTCTTTCTTCCTCTGGGGACCTCAGTCTTTTTTTTTTTTTTAAAGACAGAGTCTCACACTGTCACCTGGGCTGGAGTGCAGTGGTGCAATCTCGGCTCACTGCAACCTCTGCCTCCTGGGTTCAAGTGATTTTCCTGCCTCAGCCTCCCGAGTAGCTGGGATTACAGGCACCCACCACTATGCTCAGCTAATTTTTTGTATTTTTAGTAGAGATGGGGTTTCACCATGTTGGCCATGCTGATCTTGAATCCTGATCTCCTGATTCGCCTGCCTCAGCCTCCCAAAGTGCTGGGATTACAGGCCTGAGCCACCGCACCCGGCCGGGACCTTAGTCTTTTAAGACTTTCTATGGGCTAGATTAGGCTCACACACATTATAGAACATAATCTGCTTTACTCAAAGTCTGTTGATTTAAATCTTAATCACATCTTAAAAAAATCTTTTTAGCAACAACTAGACTGGTGTTTGACCAAACAACTGGATACAATAGCTTAGCCAAGTTAATATCTAAAATTGATAATCACAGATAATTTTTATCTCACACATATCTAGCAATAGATTGTTTCATGAATGAATTGCCCCAAAACTAGGATATTCAGTTGTTTTTTTCCTCAGCCTTATTTGGGGAGAAATAAAAAGTTTGTCTTCTTTTCACAATGAAAACTGCCGATGATAATATCCAGCCTGTGCTAGGCACTAGGACTGCAGAGTTAAGTTTTAAGACACCTTCAATACCTTAGTTAGCTGATGGCAAGCATCTTTGATATTTCAACTGGCTTTTGGGAATGCATATGTGGAAAGAAAAGATGAAACAGCAACAACAACCACCATCAAAAACCTTTCCTTCTCTTACCTTTATGTGAGCCTGATACATATTCCAGATTATTATTCTTTTTGGAATAATTTTTGATTGATCACCCTGCTTCTCAAAGATATGGTTCAAGACTAATGGTGCCAGCTAGGATCATTCAGAACGTTGAGAGCAAGGGACTGATTGAGTGTGCTTTTTAAATTCATCGCGAGTTCAGTAGCAATGCCTCCCTACTTCAGTGGAGCATGCTGATATAATCCTCTGCTTACTGAGGCAAGTTAGAGTGCTACGTGCTCTTTTTGGGTGGAAACCTTAAAGTGTGTTTTTAGTAAAGACTTTCTTAGATAAAAGACTTCATGAATACTAAGATTTTTAATACATATAGGTGAGTTATCTGGAAGGAAAGTAGGGATACCCAAAATTCAGGGGGATCTTGGATTGTTTAGCTTCTTGCACTAAGTATTGAGTAAAAGCTACATTGTTTCCTGGTGAGGGTTTTACCAAGATTATCATAACCACCTTAGTTTTGTGGTTAGCCTGACTATATACCTTCAGAGTGTATGCACTGGCTAACTTCAGGATTATTGCCCCATTCACCTGCAGACACTTAAGTTACAGCACTCTCAAGAAAAAAATAGGGGTGTTTTTTCAAAAAAATTCAAGGGCAGAAATTATGTTGCAATCTTTCTGAATGAAATCACACTGTGAGGTTCTTTGTAAATCACAGATATCTCCGGAGTGGGTGCTTGCAATGAGCCATTAGGGTGCAAGAAGGTTATTAGAACTTCTGTTCAGATTATAATTTTCAAAAGCTTCTTTTGTCTCTGGAAATGAATGTAATTATTATGATCGTATAGGTATAGAAGTTATAAATAAGTGTGTGTTGAAAGTTTTTACTAAAAAAACTCTTTGAGCTGAGAGGGTGTGTGGGAAATGTTTGGAAATCACTGCCGGAAGCTTCCCCTACCTGAGTGACTTCTCCAGGATTCAGAGAGGTGCGTGCCACCAGAGGGCGACATGTGCTCAGGACTGAGAGTCCTGGAGGCTCTAGGCACGCACATTTCTGGAAGGGCCATCAGTGTTGCCCCATTTAGCAGTAATTATTTTGAATGTTGACTCAACTTCAGAAAGACTTGATGAAAACTACGTTTTCAACCCATAATTCAGATTGGTCACCTTTTCTTAATAGTCTGGCAAAAAGGATAACAAAATAGATGGATCCTTCTGTAATACTTAACATTAAATTATTATTAGTATTTTTCCAAGACAGTCTCAGTCTGTTGCCCAGGCTAGAGTGCAGTGGTACTGTCTTGGCTCCCTGCAACCTCTGCCTCTCAGGTTCAAACAATTTTCATGCCTCAGCCTCCCCAGTAGCTGGGATTATAGGTACATACTACTGTGTCCAGCTAATTTTTCTATTTGTAGTCAGGCTGGTCTCAAACTCCTTGCCTCAAGTGATCCATCTGCCTTGGACTCTCAAAGTGCTGGGAGGTGTGAGCCAGTGTGCCTGGACTAAATTAATTTTTAAAATATGTCGTTGGTATCTGTATGTATGGTATATGCATCAAGGTATATATGTATATGTAATCAAGTTTTATCTCTCTATTTACTCCTTAACAGGGGTTACTGTTTTCTTTTTCTTTGTTTTTTTTTTTTTTTGTTTTTTTTTTTTTGAGACGGAGTCTCTGTCTGTCTCCCAGGCTGGAGTGCAGTGGCGTGATCTTGGCTCACTGCAACCTCCACTTCCTGGGTTCAAGCAATTCTCCTGCCTCAGCCTTCCAAGTAGCTGGAATTACAGGTGCCCTGCCGTCACGCCCGGTTAATATTTTTATATTTTTAGTATAGATTGGGTTTCACCATGTTGGCCAGGCTGGTCTCTAATTCTTGGCCTCAAGTGATCCACCCGCCTTGGCCTCCTAAAGTGCTGGGATTACAGGCATGAGCCACCGTGCCCAGCCCTGTTTTCTTGACTGCAGAGTCACTTTGCGTATTTCTGGAATTCATGCATGTGCTGCAGCATCATGTTAACTGATCAGCTGGTGATCTTGAGTAAGTTACTCAAGGCTTTGTGCAATAGTGCCCTTCCTGGTTAAGTAGGCATAGAGTACTTGCCCTTTTTTTCTCTAAGGAAACATGAACACTTTGAGAATTATAAGGCACTATACAAATATGTTTTAAAAATTGTTAACAATAATAATATAGCAATTATTAGTATTATACTGGAAGAACTAATGTGATGATGCTGTTCTCTGATAAGGAGTTACGTGTGGTTAGGATTCAGAAATTGGTCTCACTTCTTTAAAATATACTTCCCCTTTTTTGTTTTCATAATTCATTCAGGATTTAGATAGCACGATAGATAAAACATGATCAACTTCTGTAGTTGCAATAGGTTGGAGGTTTGCTGTTACTAGAAGTCGTGTCTAGGTAGGCCTAGGCCCCAGGTTGCATAGCCTGCTTCTTCACATCTGTTGGGAAAACCTGAATTTCACCCTCCTTGATTCCTTAATTCCCTTTTCTCTGGAACTGCGACAGGGAAATGCAGTCCTCTCTACTTCCTTGTAGGGAGGGGAGAACTTCTGTCTAAATGGGAGAAGTTTGTGTGTGTAATCAGTTTCAGTATTGGTGAAAGCCTGTTGAAAACTGCAGTGCATGGGATGAAGGCATCCGAGGCCTGGGCCCTGCCTTGTGGTTGGACTGTGGTCATGAGAGTGGGAGTAGGAGCTGATTCTGTGCCCACATTGGGGTGTGCCAGGCTATGTGGTGTGCCTTCACTGATTCCACATGGAATGCACTATTTCTTTTTTTCTTTTTCTTTTTTTTTTTTTTTTGAGATGGAGTCTTGCTCTGTCACCTAGGCTGGAGTGCAGTGGCGTGATCTTGGCTCACTGTAACCTCTGCCTCCTGAGTTCAAGCCATTCTCTGCCTCAGCCTCCCGAGTAGCTGGGATTAATAGGCGCCTGCCACCATGCCCGGCTAATTTTTCTATTTTTAGTAGAGATGGGGTTTCACCATGTTGGCCAGGCTGTTCTTGAACTCTTGACCTCGTGATCCACCCACCTCAGCCTCCCAAAGTGCTAGAATTACAGGCGTGAGCCACTGCACCTGGCCTGGAATGTGCTAATTCTTTACTCTCCCTCCCTGTTGCCCTTTACCGCCCCATTTCCTTGGCCACTGTTTCTGTGTCTGGGCTTTTGGGTATAATGGCAAGGGAGGTGAAAATAAAAATCTCAAAAACCTGAGTGTTTCCTTATTCTAGATCTGTGCTGCTTAGTTTTCCATTCAGAGTAGTGTGAGATATAAAGATGGTAATACTGAGGTCAGGGCTCATGTCCCACAGTGGCCAGGCAGGTAGTGGGAATGAGTCGGGGGATGCTATGTATAAGGCAGCCTGGAGGTGGTGGGGGTTGAGGTGTCTGGGAAGTGGGCAGACCCTGTCTGAAGAGGGAAGCCTCTCAAATTCTTAGATTCTGCTTGGGATCCACTGTTCCCTGATCATCCAACATTTCAAGAGAAGCTGGATGTCAAGATCTGCATGTAAACTTTCCTGATTTTAAAATACTGTGCAGCCAGGCAGTGTGTCTGCTGGCCATATTCACTCAGATGCTTGTCACTTTTCAATTCCTGGTACATGTCTTCTACAACATGTACTCACTTATTTGCTTGTTTAGTGTTTCAGAGCCATTTCTAGTCTGGGTGATGGAGGTGGCAAATCCTGACATCCACACAAAGGAGTCGTTATGTGGACAGTGGGACCCCTGGTTTCCACATGCTCACTGAGCCTGTCACTTGTGACCTCACCTCTGAGCAGCTGGAGGAGGAGTTGCTCTCTTTGCTTTTCAGAGGCCTCAGACCACTTCCTTCCTCTTGGCATCTCTCTGTTTGGGATGAGTGTGAGCACGGAGGCAGCTGCATCTTTAGGGTGCCTCAAGGACATGGATAGAAGGGACAGGCTAAAGGTGGCAGGAAGAGCTGCCTTTTCACTTCTCTCTTTGGGGGTCCCAGGAAGCCAGCTTTATCCTGAGTAATGAAAAGATGGAACCGGCTGCACTGGACAGAGTGTTCCTGCAGCAGCATGTGTGTTTCCTCCTTCCCTGCTGCTAAAACCACACACCCCAGACGGGGAAACTTACATATTTATTGTTTGGATTTGTTTTATGCTTAGACTATTCGTGCAGAATTCTTTGAAAGGTTGTGATGAGTTCATAGTGATGTTTTGAATGGCAAAGGCCCTAAGTTTAGAAAATGTGCTTTCCTCACCTGTGGCACAGAGTGTCCCAGGCCCAGCCAGGTTTGTATCAGTGCAGCTGGCGAACTCTGCTTCACCACCACGATCCAGAGGACAAAAGCTCGCTTTCTGTCAGTGCTGGGCTTGTTCCACATTTGTCTTCCTGCAAGCGTTTCCCTGGGGTCTATGTTTCTTCTTCTCCTCACCTTATGCACATTATCAGCCCCAAGTACCATGCATGGGGCCCAGGAGATGCTCAGTCGCATTTATTGAATTCATTTTTTAGACCTCATTAAAAAGCTACTCGGGCAGTGAACTGGAAGGGGAAGCACCCCTATAAGATTTGGCTTGGAAAGGTAGAGATGAATACAGTCATGGAATCTGTATATATCAGTCTTAGACGAATGCTTAGATTCAGATGTGGGAGAGAGTACGTGCAGGTAGAGGTAGGGGTGTGGCTGACAGGGGAGCTCTCTGCTGTGAAATCAGCAGTTTAGTGTATTTCTTTAGGGACATTGGACAATTCACGTATTTTTGATGAGTCTCAGTTTCCTCATTTTGTAAAATGGGCATGCTATTTCCTGACGATGTGAAAATGACATGAAATATTTGATTGATAAACCATTCAAATATTTATAGTTCCCAGCATGTAAATGGGTACTTAATAAACACTAGCTGCTATTATTACTGACTGATGTATATAGAGTTAGTTAAAAACTGCAGAATTGGAAGGAATATGATCAGAGACTCATAGTGGGCCCCTTGGGGCTACTGTGGGCACACACAGATACCCATCACGCAGTCTACTAATCATAAGGCACAGCCAGGATCTTTTGGGCTTTTTACATTTGCTGGTTTTCATGAAGTCTTTACTCTCTGTAGGGAGGCAGTTGGATGGCATTGATCCACTCAGGATGGGGTAGCTGCAGGACCATGTTGTAAAGGAAATCATGTTCATTTAAATGCTTAGGTTTTGTTGTTGTTTAAGGAAAAAAGTCAGTTTCTAAAACCAAGACTGCAGAAAGTCAAATAAGGCAAAAGTCAAGCAAGCAAGGAAAATGTGCATGGATGGCTTTCTGTTGAGATCCAGGTGTGCTGAATTTATGTTGTTGATGCTGATCACAGCCCAGCCAGAAGTGTATTGTGCTTCAGAAGCTAACACATTTCCTACTGGACACCCAAAGGAAGCGTTGCTAGTCTTTTACAACTAGTATTTTCTTATTTTTTGAAATAATGTGTTAGTAAAAGTTTGGTTTCTAGTAACATAGTTGGGAAAACAAAATTGTGTGTCCAGTTATTTAGACTTGCTGTCACTGAGAAGGGCCTGTCACACATTGTTTAGATTGGAGTGGGCCTCTTGATTTGTTTTTGAGTATTATGCGACTTTTTTTTTTTTTTAACTTTTTTGTGTGTGTTCTTTTTAGACAACGAGCCCTGTTTTAGTGTTATGTCATCTTATTTAGTTTTTCCCTGGCCTGTGAGATGCACGTTATTCTTTTTCTTACTTTCTCTTTTTAAAAAATCTTTTACTTTTTTGACAAGGCAACCAATGCTAGAGAGGATGAGAAATTGTTGAGGCTGATACCCAACTCATTGGTGGAAGAAAGGAATTGGAATCCTAAGTAGTTCCAATTAACAGTACAATCCAAATGGTACTCTTAACTAGTACGTTCTATTTCTTCTACTGTTTATTTAAAAAATGATTTTATTTCAGTGAACAATATAGCTGAAGTAACAAGTTTCAGATGTAATTTTGGAAAAAAGAGGAAGACACCTTTGTAATTGCCATGAACAATTTTCACCAACAATTTCCAAATATGAATATTGGTACATTTATGTGATGGAATAATCTATTAATTTTTAAAAGCTTGCTTGACAATTTTAACATAGTAAACAATATTTTAATTAGAAAATTCAAATCCTCAAGTTGAGCACGCTGGCCTTGGTAGGATACCATAGACTTTAGGCCAGTTCAGACCTGATTTTCAGTCTTCATTTTGCTCCCAAGTATTTGAGTGGCTTCAGATCTCCCTTAGTGTCAGTCTGTTTGTCTGTACAATGGCCTTACTAATAGAATCCACTTCGTGTAGTAGTACATGATAAGCACTTAGTAAATGCCAGTTGTTATGTTCTTGACTGGACAGCTTTTGGTTGTCAAGTGAGTAGAACAAAGCACCATCTTCTAGAAATTTGTAATTCCTTCTTATCTGTATGTTACTTTGATCTTCATAAAAGGCAAGCAGTAAAGTTTTTTGTACAGTGATGAATTTTGGAAATTACGCATAATATTTTAATTATAGCTTGAATATCCCTTACGTGAAATATTTGAGAGTAGAAGTGTTTAGGAGTTTAGACTTTTTTCAGATTTTGGAATATTTGCATTATATACTTACCAGTTGAGCACCCCAGTTTGAAAATCTGAAGTGTGAAATACTCCAGTGAGCATTTCCTTTGCGCATCAGGTTGGTCTTCAGAACATTTTGGATTTTGGAGCATTTCAGATTTTGGATTTTCAGATAGGGATGCTCAGTCTGTATTTTAAATATGAGAGACATGTACTTGTTAAGGACTTTTGGAGAGATTTTACTTTGAAATTATGGATCAGCCCCTGTATGACTTTCTGTTATGCAATTATGTATTTCTCACAACTCCTCTATTTTTTTCATTTGTATTACTTAAACGTTGACTGAAGATTAGAAGAATCATTTTTTGTTAAAGTGCAAATAAATGACAAACCTAAGTAAAAAATTAGTTGATTTAAATACTCAGAGAGGATTGTCTTATCTGTCTTGTTTCCTCGCAGAATTAGATCTCTTCTGTTTTTAACTACTGCTTTACAAAAAGGAAGTTGCTTTTGCTTCCATGGTATATGTTTGGTTTATCTGATGTCACAAGACCTAAAGACTATCAACATTGATTTTAAGGATGTGAAGTTAGGAAAACTTGTCCCTTTCTCAGTCAGAAATCAGCCACCTCAAATATCTTTTGGAAATGTATATATGCAAAATATTTTTTTAATTTTTTTTATTTTAATTTTTCTTGTAAGAGACAGGGTCTTGCTCTGTTGCCCAGGCTGGAGTGCGGTGGTGCGATCACAGCTGATTGCAGCCTTGAACTCCTGGGCTCATGTGATCCCCAGCCGAGTAGCTGGGACTGCAGGCACACGCCACACACCCGGCTAATTAAAGATAAGGTCTCACTATATTCCTCAGGCTGGTGGTCTTGAACTCCTGGGCTCAAGTGATCCTCCTGAGTTGCTGGGATTACAGGTGACCATGTCTGGGCCACCATGCCAGGCTTGGAAATGTTTATATGTATAAAGATTATAAAAAATGAATACCATTTATGCTTATGTAATAGATCTTGTGAATTTATGGTTAACAGTGTTAGGCCTATTATCTTATATTGGTGACTGTGACCAGGTACAGCAAGGTTATGTTCTATTAGCAGTTAAGACTAACTTTTTTACTTCTGTGACTTGCAGTTCATCCAGCTCCTCACAGTATGCCTCAGCTTGCAACCTATATGACTTGCTAATATAACTACACTACATATTATTCCATATTATTTATTGGTGCTGTAATATGAATAATATCTTCTCCAAATTTGACCATTTTGTTTGACCTTGACTAAGTGATTGATTTCATTTATAAACATGTCCTTTTAGTCTAAGATTAAAGAGCTGTTAAGAGCTTTATTCAGTATCTTACGTCCTTTTATTTTTAATTTTAAAAAACGTTTCAACTCTTTTTAGTTAGCTGTTGCTGATAGTAATAAGTCATTGATTTTTTTCCCCCACTCCTTTTTATGGTGTTATATAACCTAGGTAATATATTAACAAATTTCTTATTTGAAACTGGCAAAAGATCTCACCATGTACCTCCTAATTTCTAAAGGAAGCCTGCCTCTCAGATGTAGTTGTCAGTTATTTTACCTTCTTTATTTGTTGAGGGATAGAAGACCTGTGGTTAGCTTCTACAACTATTAGGTTATTGAATTGCTGAATACATTGAATTACTGAATTACGGAATTAGGCCTAATCTTTCAGATTTGTGCCTGCTCTTCCCTGAGAAAGAAGAATGTGGCAAATCCCCCGATGTTGAAAACCTTTCTTCACATTTGAGATACCTTTATTATAGATGAAGATAACATCATTAATTATGATTATTTGCTACATAATTAATTCTTTTACTATTTTGCCACTGTAGATATGCCCCAAGTTCATGAGACCAGATAAACAATGCTGTTATTTGAAGGACCTTATTGATTTTTGAATTTTGTGTCCATTCATTTTCTCTTGTTTGCTGTCATTGTAGAAGTTTCTTCTTGTGATTGTTATATATATAATACAGGAGTACATTCTTGATATTAAGTTTCGTTCAGCCCACAGTGTGGACCCCTGTCCCACTCCCCTGCCCAGACAGGAGGTATTGGCGTAAGAGCCCTCTCTGTGGAGGCTGATAGCTTGAGTTGGACTCAGATTTGACCTAGTAGCTTTGAGACATTTGACAGTTATTTAACCTTTAGACTTTAGTTTGCTCAACTGTAAAATGATAGGATTGTCATTAAAACATGAGAACAGGGCATACTGTATAACAAACATATATACCAGCAGTAATCACTGTTAATTTTGGTCCATATTTGGTTCACTTTCAAGAGTTATGTTGTGGCAAGAGGTCCATTACTTGCCTAGGGAAAAAATACGTTTCAAATATCTTTTGGAAATATAAGTATGGAAACTTTCATAAACATATATGAACACTTAACTATAAAGGTTGGAGGACATAAATGAAATTGCTCTATGCATAATATTCTACAGGATTTTTTTTCTTTTACTGCTTAATATTGTTCATCATTTTTTTCTTGTTTATTTTTTTCTGGTCATGGTGCTCCACTCTTTTATTACTTCTAATAAAGTTTTCCAGTTAATTATCTGGGTGGGTGGGGGTGGGGCATAATCCTTTTATGCAAACTGTAGTGACACATTGCCATATCCTTTCAGATATTTATTCCTGTCTCTTCTCATTGGTTAACACTTTCAAAATGATGCTAAGTGATAGTGTTGAGGCCAGCAGCCTGAACTTATTAAATGAGGAATGGGAATGCTTCTAGTGTGTCACACTTGGTCAACTGCGGAATTAAGTCAGTTACTTATATTAATTAAGTGCATCTGTAAACTTTCTCCCCATCTACCTTGTTTATTCCTTTGGTTTAATGTAACACAGTGTATTACTTTTACTCTTTGATTTAAAAACAGTCGAACCTACTCTACACCAGGCACCGTGGAAGGTGCTGAAAATAAAACCGTGAAAATGACAGTAAGTCTAGCATGTGTTAGAGGCAGAATAAAGGGGATTGTGCTCTAGGTGATATCATATGAGCATCTGGAAACAGAATAAAGTCTTTGGTAATTCACTCCTGTGGTTTTATTTTCTGTGTATCAATTAGATTAGAAGTCCAGCTTGTCCCTAGAGAGGCAGAAGTCAGGGCTGGAACAGAGGGTGGCAATGGCTGGCCGGAGTGGTGCTGGGCAGCAGGGATCCTGGGCCTTGTGAGCCACTCAGGAGACTTACATGTAACGGTGATCCTCCTTTTATAAGTAATCTTGATTTACCCGTGATGTGAGCAGCAGCATGGTATAGCAGAATGTATGGGGGCTTTGGAATTAGGACAGCCTAGTGCTGTTTTCTAGTTCTGTGCCCATGACCATCTTAACTTCTTTGAACCTCAGTTTTCTTATCTTTGAAATGGGAATAGCAATACCTGCTTTCAAGTTTATTAAGATTAGAGATGATGTGTGTAAAATTTCCAGTACTTGCTCAATAATTTTTGTTTTTGAGACAGGGTCTCACTGTCGCCTACAATCATATCTCACTGTAGACTTGAACTTCTAGGCTCAAGCTCTCTTCCCATCTCAGCCTCCTGAGTAGCTGGGACTACAGATGTACACTACCATGCCTGGCTTTTTTTTTTTTATTATTTATTTTAAATGGGGTGTCACTACATTGCCCAGGCTGATCTTGAACTCCTGGCCTCAAGCCATTGTTCCTGCTCGGCTTCCCAAAGTGTTGGGATTACAGGCATAAGCCACTGCACCTGGCCAATAAATATTTTTTAATTACTGCTAACTACCTGTAGTTGGAAATTTAAAACTGTTAATACTATTATTGCCATGATTATGTGTTTTAATTTATGCCAGGGCTGGGCCTATAGTTTGTTATTTTTTCTTTGACCTTAACTTTATATGCCAGGGTTCAATTATTCCCTCCCCTCAAGCCTACCTCTTGTTCTTATGTATCTCATTCACCTGTTATTTAAAGCTAGGGAGGCATGCTTACATTGTTCAACTTCTTACTATTCGTTAGAAAGTGCCACAAGAATGGCTTGAACCTGGAAGGTGGAGGTTGCAGTGAGCTGAGGTTGTGCCACTACACTCCAGCCTGGGCAACAGAATGAGACTTGGTCTCAAAAAAAAAAAAAAAAAAAAAAAAAAAGAAAGTGCCAATATGAAAAGCTGCCTGTTTCTGCCCCATGAAGACCTGAACCCTCCTTTGTAGTGTTTGGAATGAAGTACTTCCTTTTGGTTATTCTCAGTGGTGCACCTCCAGGGTGGTACCTGAGCCTTCCTAGTGTATATTTAAAGCCAAAAGCTGGAAATCTAATAGCCACAAAGCTGTGTTGTGAAATGTGCATGTTACATAGGAGTAAATATTCCAGCTCAAAAGGGAGCAGAATACTCTGAGGCTGTGTAAGCATTGAGGAGGGTGGAGTCAGGAGAAGCCAGAGGTGCTGGGGGCTCACACAAAAGGCCATTGTGTATTGTGTACGCTGGAGGGAAGGACAGAGTTACCTACCCAGGTTCTTTTGACACACAGGTTTTGCTTTACCTGTTTGGTTCATTTCCACGAGTTATGTTGTGGGAAGAGCTCCATTACTTAGCTGAGTGACCTTGGACAAGTTATTTGCTATCTCTATGCCTTGCAGTTTCCTTATTTGTAAACTGGGGATAATATAACCAGCTTATAGGTTGTAAAGATTGAGAGAAAGAATTCCTGAAACACATTTATTGCAATGTCTGACTGTAAATTGGGTAGGCACTCAGTACATGTTAATTATCTTTATTACTACTACCTGTAAATTTGGTAATCTATCATCATTATTGATTTTCAGTGTGATTAAACCCATAACTTAATCTGCAAGTTATTTTATATTAAATTTTCATTAGAAGCAACTGAAAAGATTTACATGTAACATTAAGACTTTCAATTTTTTATTTTTATTGTGTCTGCTATCAGTCCTATGACTTTAGTCCATGACTAGAATAAGCAATAAATACTGTAGAAAACCTATTCTAAAAATGAGTTTTTGGCTGGGCGTGGTGGCTCATACTGGTAATGCCAGCACTTTGGAAAGCTGAGGTGAGCGGACCACCTGAGGTCAGGAGATCTAGACCAGTCTGGCCAACATGGTGAAACCCCATCTCTACTAAAAGTACAAAAATTAGCCAGGCGAGGTGGCACCCACCTGTAACACCAACTACTTTGGAGGCTAAGGCAGGAGAATCGCTTGAACCCAAGAGGCAGAGCTTGCAGTGAGCCGAGATTGTACAACTGTACTCTAGCCTGGGTGACAGAGCCAGACCGAAAAAAAAAAGGGCGGGGGGTTAATCATAAGAGAAACATATACTTTATTTGGTCAGGGCTGGTCTAGACCTTTGGCATCTGAAATGTTTTACAGGACATTGCACCTAATGAGTACCTGATGGAGTGAATTTTGTTTTTCTTATGTCCAAAGAATTGCCTGAAATTTTCACTGCCTCTCACAGCTCCAAATGCAGACTATAACAATAAAGCTGAGAGGATGGGGTACTGTAATTACCCCAAGAAGGGGAAGGAGCAGTAGGGGT
This sequence comes from Homo sapiens, assembly GCF_000001405.40. Lineage (NCBI taxonomy): Eukaryota > Metazoa > Chordata > Mammalia > Primates > Hominidae > Homo > Homo sapiens. Next base: position 151,179,597 of record NC_000003.12, read on the forward strand.
ACTGCTCCTGGAAGAAGGAAAGCATGGTGAGAGACACTGTCTGAGGGCTGAGAACGACCCCTCTTGGATAGGACTTGGGATTTACTGCTGGTCATGCACCATTGACCTTCCTTTTCCTGTGTTCCTTTGGAAGCCTCTGCCATCTGCCCTTATCTGTATGTCTTTAATCAGACATTGAAATCTGGCCCATTAGCCTGCAGAAAAAATGGAAATAAAAACAAACCAAAAATTTTCATAGTTCCATTGCTGAAGACATTCAATCTGAGAAGTTAGTATAAGTCATTGTAAAACTTCTTTGATAGTATCATTTCTTTTAAAGTAGGCGCAGAAGCTGTCTATTCCTTTATTCCCACCACTCTAAATATCCTAAGGAAAGGATGGCATCACTTGGCAGGTTTTATGATATTTAAGAAATAGTGGACATTGCATTCTTGGTATCTAGCTAGTATTGGAAAATATTTATTGGTTAAATATAAGATTTTGAAATGCATAACTTTTTATAGGCATAATTGATAAAAGGACAAGAAAATTTTTGTGCTGAAATTTTCTATTTTTTAAAAGCTCAGTCTTTTCAGCAGCATTTTCCTCAAGGTTTTAATTTCTGGGTTTCTTAATTCACTTAATTTCTAAAAATCAGAAATTGGGACTACAACTGCAGCAGGTAGTCCACAGGAATTTCTTCAGGTTGAGATCTCAGATGTCAGTAAGTTGGGACAGATGTATGCTCCCCTCCCAGGAGATACCGAAGGGGTGGAAGGCTAGACTTACTTATTCCTCCACTCTAGAAATGTCTTGTTACTTTATGATTACTTGTCTTTTAGACGTTTCTCTCTAGAAGGTGAGCATTTTGAGGATAGGGACAAGATCTTTAAAATTTTTGTTTCCCCATGCCTACCGTATTATGGGCACTTAAAAAGAAAGCACATTAATGGGTACTTTTGGAAGTGAATTGACTTCCTCTTGGAACCTGTTTTCTATTTCTAGCACATTCTGCCTCCCAAACCCCAGTGGTGACATCTGGATGTGTTCAAAAGAACTCTTTTCTTTATGTGTGCTTTTCTATGCATCTCTAGGTGAAGACGTGTCAGTTACTTAAATTGGGTGAGTCAAATCATTGAGAGACAAGTGTACCTTTCCATATTCATTGGATTTTTATGAATCTATTTTAGGAAATTATCAAGGACCCAACTCTTCTGCACAGACTTGGAATTCCAGTGGACATTTTGTAAATTTAATTTCCTTCAGTGCACAGTATACACATAGATACAATGTTTGCTTTATTTCACTACATTGTTTAACATGTAAGCAACTACCCTATTCTTCTTCCAAAGAATCGACCAGTTTCTCTAGTAAATTGTTTTCTTTGCAAGTCATTTTTATGATTAGTAAAAAAATTCTTTCCTAAATGATTTTAAATTCTTAAGTGATTTTACTTTTAAAAGATTAAAAAAAAAACACTTCTGTTTTCTCGGTGGTTAAGTTTGCTGGCAATCTTTTTTTAAAGCCATTTGGAGATTTGTCAAAATCCTAGGCTTATTTCATATTTGGAATCAGCATCTAAGGTTATTATGTTATAGATATTTTTTAAATATGTATTTTATCTCTTTGGTATTAAAAATAATATATGTTCGTTTAAAATTTGGAATATATGCAAAAGTTTAAGTAAAATGAAAGTCACATTGGTGGGTATTTTATCTCAAGCATGTTTAGAAATGTAAAAGTGAAATCTATTCTTTTAAAAATAAAAATTGGTAGTTGTAATTTCAGCTCATCATTAGTGCTTTTATATAAATGTAGAAATCATTGCCATGTCTTTCCTTCCATTTTTTTTTTTTTAAGACACAGGGTCTGGCTCTGTTGCCTAGGCTAGCCTCGAACTTCTGGGCTCAAGTAATCCTCCTGAGCTCAAGTAATCCTCCTGCCTTAGCTTCCCCAGTAGCTGGGGCTACAGGTGCATGCCACTGTACTTAGCTCATTGTCTTTTTTTTTTTTTTTTTTTTTTTTTTTAAGATGGAGTCTCACTCTGCTGCCCAGGCTGGAGTGCAGAGGCATCATCTTGGCTCACTGCAGCCTCGGCTTCCTGGGTTCAAATGATTCTCCTGCCTCAGCTTCCTGAGTAGCTGGGACTACAGGCATGCGCCACCATACCTGGCTAATTTTTGTATTTTTAGTAGAGATGGTGTTTCACTATGTTGGTCAGGCTGGTCTTGAACTCCTAACCTCAGGTGATCTGCCTCCTTTGCCTCCTGAAGTGTGGGATTATAGGCGTGAACCACCATGCCCAGTCTGTCATTTGTAATAACCATTTCTGGCAGTCTTAAAGGAATAATTTTGCTCATTTTATGTAGCATTGTGACCTTGCAATAATAACTCAGTGGAATAAAGACATGAAAATGTAAAAAGAACATTTTAATTTAGCTAAATTATTTTTTTTAATGAGGTAAGTTAAAGTTGCTTGAGATGACAAGACACCTAAAGGAGTGAAGATTATATGAATTAGGAGAGAAAAAATGTCTCTGCTTATTTTCTTTGCATCTCCAGGAGCATTATTTAGAGATTAGAGCAAGCTGATTGAAAATTATTGTGAATGCTCTAGATGTTATAACAGTGCTTCCTTATTTTACTTTTTAAAATTCGTTCAGACTGCTGTTGGATGTATGCCATAAGATAAACCCAGTATTTGCCCTAAATTAGAATGAGTTTTTTTTTTTGTCATTCATAGGATTTCTGTAAGTGGGCCTGCTGAGTGGCTTTATTCATGATGTTCCCACCTAAAATCCTTGTTTACTAGTGAGAGAATGCAGACAGTAAAATTATAAATAAGTGAAGAAAACATTTTCAGATAGCAGCATTCACTGCTAAGCAAATGAAATAGCATGACGTTTGCAAGGGTGGCCAGGGAGCCTCTGGTCAGCCTGAATCCTCCAGATTTTAGGGCAGATAAGGGGCTGCTCTGTGAAACTCGGGGGTAAGGAACGCACTGGAGGGAAGGGGCTGCCAACACTGAGGCCCGAGGTGGAGGTGGGCTTAGCATGTCTGAGGGGCTCAAACTGCAGTGTAGGTAGAATGTGGCTGGGGAGAGAGAAGGACTCTCAGCTTTCTGGCCTGAATGGTGATGCCATTTTCTAAGAGAAAGTTCACAGGACAAGAAATGTATTTGAGGGGTAAGATGAGCTTAGTTTGGGATCAGGTGATTGTGGTCAGCAGGTGGAGGTGCCCAGGGAGCGGATGGGTTTTAGTAGCTTAGGGGTGAGTTTGGGGCTGGAGGCATGGGTTTAGCTTGCCTCTCATTACAGTTGGGATAACTACTTCCAGGTTTCTGTAAGGGTAAAATGAGATCATATGTATAAATAGGGCAGAACACAGTGCCTAGCACATAGTTGTGTAAGTGGATGTTATACCCCAAGGCTTCAGGAGAGCATATGATTTCCACTATGTTTAGATAGGTCTTTTCTGTCCTTTACATTTTTTTTCTATTTATCAGAAATCTGATATTTTTCCTCCAAGGCCCAATTTACATTTTTTTCCCCAAAACAAACAGTGTTTTTCTTTTGCATGATAAAAGCAGAAAATAAAAATCTCCTGTAGTCCTCTCTCTGGATAAAACCCTAGTTAACAGTGTGACTATATGAAGGTTCAAGACCATGCCTCTCGTAAAACCTTCCCTGGATTGTCCCTGTGGATGTGCAGTGTATAGAGCCTCTTATTCTGCTCTGTGTTTGCTGTTTCCTTCTTATCTCTTGAGTGTAAGCTTCTTAAGCAAGAAAATGTGCCTTCCTATCCCTAGCAGCACTGAACGCTCATGCACATTATGGGTGCCCAGATGAGATTTGTCTTTCTCCTGCCTTTTCAGAATCGTGTGTGCTGTGTGTACACCGTGCTTGGTTTGCTGATCTTCAGAGTGTCGTGTGTGATGAGTTTGTGTTTGTTTTCTCAGAGATGATGTGGGCACACTAGCTGTTGTTTTGGTTTATAAAAGGGATGTGGTAATGTGATTTGTTTTGACTTCTCTTTTGTTGTAGTTTATTCAGTAGATCTGAAGAAATCTGTTCTCCCACGTAGGTGTTGAGACATTACTGATCACATACAGTTCTTCTATATGTCTCCCTAATTTCACATAGATATTAAATCTCACATAAAATCTTCAGTGGGAAAAGAAGTTTTTAAATTTTAAAATCACCTGTTTCTTGTAGCACATTTTAGTGTAATCCTGAAGATGCAGGAGAAAAAAAAATCTGTGTAAATGTGGATATGAAGCATATTACTGCTTAGATTAATAAAAACTGAAAGCAGTATTTTTAGGGTAACTCTTTTTGTTATCTTTAATATTCTAAACCTATAAGCATGTGGTCCTTCACTGGATTGACTTTTATATTTTTATGTTCATATAGGTTAGAGTGAATCTGGGCAGAAAGTCCTCCCAGTTTACTTTCTGTTTTAAATGTTATGTTCAAACATTTCTTTCAATTGAGTTACTTCTCTTGTTTTAAATTAGGAAAACAGAGCTCCCTTTGAGGTATCTGCCTCAGGTAACTCATTTCTTTGGTTTGAGTAACCATGTGTTTAAATGACAAAATTTAGGGTATGATGAATAAAAATCTTGGAATAAACTGATTTTCATGATCTGAATTGTTTGCTAGCATCTACAGCTGATCAGGGATACTTATTCTGGGATTCTTGGATGGCTTTTCAGACTGCACAGACATTCCGAAATGTGCTAAGTTCATGCATGTATGTATGTATGTTCTTCCATGGCGTGTGCTCATAGCCATATCGTAATCTTAATTGAGTTTATGGATTCTACAGTATTAACTTCCTTCATAGCCTGTAGTGCTAATGCTGCGATTATCTAGTTTTTCTGGCATCATGTTTATCCCCATGGGGACATATTAAAAACTTGTAGTTGATGTCCTATTGGTTGGCGTGGACCCTCTAAAAGGAAAGGACAGATCACACGGAAGTACCATCTCCCCGCTCACCACTCGCTGCACCCCTATCCGCGACTCATGTCATTTGGGTCCCCAACATCCTCTCATCCTCAGTCGCTGGTGCCTATTTCTAGGCCATGACAACTGTGGCTGACAGTTCTGGTCACCATGCTGAGCCCTACCTAGACCCGGCTGCTGTCCTTGGTTGACTGTGTCTGCCCTTAATTGTTGGTTCGTTTTGGTGCTGGGCTGTCATTTTTCGTGTTTGTTATTTCCATTGGGACGGGTGTTTTACCAGCGTTCCAGCCTCCCCTCTGGTTTGTTCCTTCTAATTTTGTATTGGAGTGGGTCACTGGATAACCTGGCTTGTCAGAATTATTTATTGTATGAGGCATTGAGTGAGTGGGGGGCCTGAGGGTGCCAACAGTAGAGTGATGTACTTTGACTTTGTGACAGCTGTTCTTGACAGTCAGTGGTTGTTTTTTTCCCTTACTATTTGGTTTTGAAATTTGAGTTCTAGAGGGTAGCTGGGGCTAGGTTATGTCCCTGTGTAAGTGAAGGCATCCACAGGGAAGCTCTAATTCTTTTGGAATTGTCACAGATTCAGCATAAGTGATTTCTTTCCTTGTATAGGTTTATTTTTTGTATTTCAATTAAAAATGTTTTGGAAGCGCTTTCTAAAGCTACTATAATAAAACATGGAAAAAAGCTTTAAAGTGTTAGATATTCCCTTGCTTGCTTCCTGCCTCTTGCTGGGTGAATGTTTCATTTGATGTGGCTGGTACCCCTCTCTGTTGGTCATTAGGTTGCGCCCAACGATGAAGCTGTGGTGACGCTGTTATGTGAATGGGCCGTGAGCTGCAAACGGTCTGGCAAGCACAGGGCCATGGCTGTGGCAAAACTCCTGGAGAAGAGGCAAGCAGAAATTGAGGCAGAGGTAGGTTCCATTTTCTTTCTGCTTGTTGAATGCCGTAATGTAAAAATACTGTTTTGGGGAAGATCATTTTCTCTTACCCTCATTATGTTATTCTTTTGCTCTTGAGGAAAAAAGGGAGGATGTAAAAATTCACATAAGGAAGATTCTTATAGTAGAATCTCTCTAAATTGATGCAGCCATTTATATTCTGGACTAATTTAAAAATGGTATCTTTTAAAATAAAACTTTAGGCTGGGCACAATGGCTCACACCTGTTATAATCCTAGTTTTTTGGGAGGAGAAGGCAGGAAAATCTCTTGAGCCCAGGAGTTTGAGGCTGCAGTGAGCTTATGATGGTGCCACTGTACTCTAGCCTGGTTGATAGAGTGAGACTCTGTCTCTAAAAAAGTAAATAAATAAAAGATAAAATAATACAATTTTAGCATCTGATTTAGAACAAAGAAATTTCTTTGCTATATTGAAATATGCGTACACAAAACATACACACACATGTGCAATATACATGTGCACATGTGTATAAGATATACCAACTTTTATGAAATTTACAACTACATATTTTAGTGGATTTGGATATACTTTCTTGAGGCAGTTATGATTATGATATTATAAATACCAATTTGTATTGCTTTTGAGATTATATTCTGGCCCCAGAGAGAGCAATTAAAGCCTTGGAAGTAAATTATAAGGGAAAAAGCAAAACTAAGTTCATCAACATTAGCTTTTGTTGAGGGAAATTTTCTAAGCAGGCCTTCCTTTCTGCCTGTGACTGTTAGCAGGGATGGCTATGGGGAATGTGTGTATATCATCTGACCAGGTCCTTGTCATCTCTCACCTGGCAACTTTGAGGCATCTTACCTCATCTCTCTGCTTCCTCTACACAGCAACTGCCGATCTTTTCGAAATGTAAATAGATCGCATTGTCTCCTTACTGATACTCTCTGTGGCTCCTGACTGTAGCCTTTGCAGCATCTCCTGAGCTACCTCACCTGCCTTTTCCACCTCATCTTGTGCCCTTCTCCCCAGGGTCACAGCTCCATTCACCTTGGTACTTCTACTCCTTCAATACACAAAACACACTGTCACCTTGAGGCCTCTGCTCTTGTTGTTCCTTCTAGGTTGCAGACTGTTCCCCAGTCTTTGCATGGCCAGCCTCTTCCTGGCATTCCCATCTCAAGAAGTGTACCTTCCTTTCCAGCATTCCTAGCTCAACATGTGGCACCTGGGGAAGGTCTTCCATCACCACGTGATCAAAGTTAACAGCGTTCTACCCCTCAAGCACTCTTTCTCACGTCACTGTTTTTACTTTCCTTGTTGCAGTGCACATTTATCTAGTTAATCTGCTTATTGTTTAATACCTACCTTCCCCCTCTAGAAGGTGAGCTGGACAGCAGAAAGCTCACTCATCTTGTTCAGTGTTGTGTCCTTGGCACAGAATAGTGCTCACTGCATAGTAGATGCTCAGGAGGTATTTGTTGCATGACTGGATGAGCCTTAGCTGGCTCTCTGTGTTGCTGATATTACACCTCCTTCTTGTGAAGCTAGTAAAAATGAAATAGGAAGAACATTTTATAGACATTTTTCTCTTCCTGTTAGGAAAGTTGTATTCACCAAAAACGAAAGATCATATTGTTGAAACTGGGGCTTGAAGATATTAATGTTAAGGTGTAAGCTAAATGACCTATTGAACAGTGTGCAAATTAGGAAAAGCCTTTCATTGCTTTTCTTCCATACATTGTGAATAGTTGGACTATTCTGTGGTGAATTGCAGTCCATAAACTTCAGCAGCTAAAATGAAATTTCCCAAATATTTCATTGCTCCTTCTGTATTGCATATGTGTTTTTTTACACTGCTTTTCTCCTGCCTCTATTCCAGACATACAAACATACACATTCCACTTTTAGAAGAGGTTCATATATAGATTACCTTGTAATTTTAATAGCCTAAATGTATCTATATCTAAAAATGTATTCTTTCAGAGATATTTAAAATAATTGATTTTTTGTTAAACATCACCATCTTTAAAATTTGACCTTCACAAAGAGAAAATAGATTGGAAAAATAATGATATTCTTAACATAATTAGTATCTTGATATTAAAGAGTAATGAAAATGGGAATGATCAAAGGAATATAACAAAGAATAGAAAACAAGGTTCTGGTCCTGTGTAAGTTCTGTCTTTAAGAAAATAGAAGTTAAATAACTTCCCTAGAGGTACTTCATGAACTGTGGACATTCCCAGAGGTTCTGAGAGATCTTATTGGCGGAATGTGATGAGTAAGTGAAAGAATATTGTTAGGGGAATTATGTTAGCCTTCTCATTTGATACCATGTTTCTCCAAAAACACAAATAAACCCTTCTGACAAAAACAGTTCAATAATATATGCCCCAATATTTTCCAGGGAGAATACAGTTAAACATGAACTATTTAAAAATGAAGACAACCTCAAATTATTTTTAGCAATTTTGCATAGGGATAATGAATAGTTTGTTGTACCATAATATATTTAGTGGGCACTCATGTAATACTGTGCAGAGTTTATAGTTCACATGAATAAATGTTTTTCAGGGGTGTTTTTGAAATCCTTTGAGTTGTTCTGGGGTAGTTTTTTCCAACTTTTAGAAATTATATTCACCTGTCTACGGCCATACCACCCTGAACGCGCCCGATCTCGTCTGATCTCGGAAGCTAAGCAGGGTCGGGCCTGGTTAGTACTTGGATGGAGAAATTATATTCACCTGAGGTGCATGGTCCCTTAAATAAGTACAGACATATCAATTAATTTTACATGTTTTACCTGAGCACTTAAATGCCAATAAAAAATTAACAAATTCATGATCTGTTATGACTATACTTCTGTAATTAACTTTGTTATTTATTTTTAATCTGTAGAGATGTGGTGAATCAGAAGTCTTAGATGAGAAGGAGTCTATTTCTTCATCCTCTCTTGCTGGATCCAGTTTGCCTGTTTTCCAGAATGTGCTGTTAAGGTTTTTAGATACACAGGCCCCCTCTTTGTGTAAGTAGAGAAAACTCTTTGCCTCTAGATCTTAAATAAGGGATTGATTTTTTTTTTCTGATTCCTTTTTTAAAAATTTAGATCTTATTTAATATTCTTGGCACTGAATATAATGTATGTTTTACTGAGCAAAATTTTGTGGCATGTTTTTTCATGGAGACTTTTAGGCAATTTTAAAATCAGTCAAGCTTCAAAGACTTTAAAATAATTGTTAAAAGTCACCTCACTCCTTCATGTAAGGAAGTAAGGTCTTGTGACATTTGTCTGTATATTGAATGTGATTTGGAATTTTCTCTTTTTTAGTAGTTTTCTGTATGTCTGATTTTCTAGTTCCTGCTCTTAAACATGGGAGTAGGGGGGAATCAAGCAACAGTACTCTATAGCCAGAGGCATGGTACAAGGAAGTAATTTATAGATGCCTAGCTGCTTCTCTACACTCTCTGGGATGTTTATGTCATCTCAAGCTCTTTTTTTTGCCTTTTTAGTGAGGAGTTGAGGGTTTCTGAAATAAACAGCCACCCAGTGGGTTCAGACTGTGGGTGAACACTTTTGAAATATTTTGTGAGCTATGTAGGCTTGAAATTATTCTGAGATTTTCATATGACAAAATGCAACAGGGAGGATCTTAAGGTAACAGAAAAATGGCAAAAAGTCAAAAGCAATAGAAAGAGGGAGAAAAAGGTTGGGGAGGAGGAAGATGCTTGTGAAGAAAGAGGTAAAGCAACAACAAACAGTACTCTTCTGAGTCCTCTGAGGAGGGGCCTGAGTGAGACCTGCAGGTGAGGTTCTTTGAGACAAAGGGCTCTCTCAGTTATTTGGTGGCTTCCAGGCTAGAAGGAGAGCAAGCACTGGAGCTAATCTAGTGGTTGGAACATAGGGAGGAGTAATTCATGGAAAAGGAAGCAGAAAAGTGAAAGGACTGAAGAGATCCCTGATAGCAGAAAATATATTGTCAGGCATGAAGTTAGCAGTTGTAACTTACCTTGTACCCTGGGGGAGACAGACATTTGCCCTTTGCTTCCCTCGTTTCTTCCCCATTCTTGTTCTCTCTTTAGGAAAAACTCCTTACTCCTGTGTCTTTGCTAGTTCATCTCATTTACTGTCTGTCAGAAAAAGCTGATCTGTTCCCTGAAAGAGGCTGCTCATCACCGAGTTTGGTAGTGAGCAAGAGGAAACATTTAGGTTCAAGGTTTAGGGAACTGAGCTTAATGTTCCTTGGATAAATGTGTCTCCTATTGGTGTTTGTGAATGTGATGGTACCAAGGATTGAGCTTTGCAGGTTCATCTTACAAATTTTGAATCTTATCTTAAAGGTGTAGTCACAAAACTTTAGAGTGCAGTGACAATATTGAAAGTCATAATGTGAGTTAAATAGGCTAGTTATGAATAAAAATAATCTGCAGAGCTCCATCTTTGTGTTCTTTTTATTCAGTTGTTCCTTTTTCTTTTCCGTGGATCCTGCTTACATTTTTTTCAAACACCATTTAAATTGTGGTTCAATTGTAAAATCTCCTTTGAAAATGTGCACCCATATTCTCACAATTGCACAGACCCACTCAAGCTAGAAAAAGCAGTCATGAACTGTTTTATTAGTAAAACCAGAGGACGGCAGTCTAGTCCTGCTGTCTTTTTTTCTGATCCTGAAATTTTGCTTTTTTACATTAGTACTTGAATGGGTATTCAGGACTACTATCTTTTTTTTTTTTTTGAGATGGAGTTTCGCTCTTGTCGCCTAGGCTGGGGTACAGTGGCACGATCTTGGCTCACTGCAACCTCCGCCTCCCGGGTTCAAGCGATTCTCCTGCCTCAGCCTCCCGAGTAGCTGGGCTTACAGGCACCCACCACCATGCCCAGCTAATTTTTGTATTTTTGGTAGAGACGGGGTTTCACCATATTGGCCAGGCTGGTCTCGAACTCCTGACCTCAGGGGATCTGTCCACCTCAGCCTCCCAAAGTGCTGGGATTACAGGTGTGAGCCACTGCACCCAGCCAGGACTACTATCTTTAAACTTGTAATCATGTTTACCATACTGGATATTTTTCAGTTATGGTGGGACAATCAAAACCTGCCTGTCAGTTCTGCCCAAAATGCTAGTGCCTCAGTAAATCTTCCAATAGATCTTTTTTTTCCCCAGAAAAGTTGATTGTGAAAAGTAATGAAAATATTAAGCCTTAGTAATTAGTTTTTTTCTACCACCTGCTCAAGGAATTCTTGATTGAATTTGTTTCTCTATAGCGGACCCAAACAGTGAATGTGAAAAGGTGGAATTTGTGAACCTGGTGCTGCTCTTCTGCGAGTTCATCCGCCATGATGTCTTCTCCCATGACGCATACATGTGTACCCTCATATCTCGAGGAGATTTGTCAGTCACTGCCTCAACTCGGCCGCGGTCACCAGTAGGGGAAAATGCAGATGAACACTATTCAAAGGACCATGATGTGAAAATGGAGGTATGGCCCTGGATATGATGCCCCACTCCCCCAGAAACTAAACTCTACTGGGAACCATGTTCAAATGGGTCATGTAGTGGTAGAAGAGTGATGGCTTTTTGTTGTATTCTTTTGCCCCAGTGGTTGTTTATCTCTACTTCTCGAGCAGGAAAGATATTTACACTGTAGCTTCTTATGTCTTCCAGAATTTCCCTTTGGATACTATAAAACTGTAATGAAAATAATCTGACAGGCCATAACATTTTTCATAGGATTGGAATTATATACTTTCAGTTCTAGATGTTTCTAATCTCTAGTTTTTCTTTAACATTGTGTCTCAAAACTGGACTTGTTTTGACCTTTAAGTGTCAGCTGAGTTTTCATTCTAAGAATCGTCTTTTCCCTAATGTATCATTCATTACTTATATCACTCTTTTATTCATAATGGGAAATTCTTTGTTAGTCACAACACATATTTTCATTTCAGTTAATTAAAAGTTTAATCTCTGTTTCTCAAATGTTGTAGAAGTGTCCTTTTCAACAAATTATTTTATGCTATGAGTGTGACTTTATAATTTTCTGCCAAATTCTGGTATTTTGGATATTGTTCCAGATACTTACTGAAATTTTCAAGGCAAAAAAGATGGAGGTGGTGATAGGAAGTTATAGAAAATGACGAGAACTTGAGACAATTGCTTAAAAACTGACAGTTTAGCCTGGGCACGGTGGCTGATGCCTGTAATCCCAGCACTTTGGGAGACTGAGGCGGGCAGACCACCCGAAGTTGGGAGTTTGAGACTAGCCTGACCAACATGGAGAAACCCTGTCTGTACCAAAAATACAAAATTAGCCGGGCGTGGTGGCACATGCCTGTAGTCCCAGCTACTCAGGAGGCTGAGGCAGGAGAATTGCTTGAACCCGGGAGGTGGAGGTTGCAGTGAGCCGAGATTGCGCCATTGCACTCCAGCCTGGGCAACAAGAGCAAAACTGTCTCAAAAAAACAAACAAAAAAAAAAAAAACACCTCACAGTTTAGGCATATACCATTATTATTTTTTAAAACAGTAGCTATACTTACAATTAAAAACCTGGTATTAGAATTGCAAACATGGATTCATAGTTCATACTGTTAAGGCTTGTTTTCAAAATGGTGTCGGGTTAAAAATATTTAAACATTTGTCTTAATTTATTGACAGTAGCAATTACAAGGCTAAAAACTGAAGTTCCTTTACCTGTTTACATGTTTTCTATCCTCCTGCTTTTTCTTTTCTATTCTATAGATATTAAAGTGTCTTATATTTCAGATATAGTCTTATATTTTTCTTAATAAGAAGAGTTGGTTAAAGTATGTGATGGGAAATAGCCCAAGAAAGGAAATTGTGGACACTTGTTTTAATCCGGATGTTTGTGTGCTCTTCTCTTAAAATATCATGGAAGTTAAATTTTCTCATGATGAGGGAAAAGAATGTGACTGTTCATAGCAAGGCATGCCTTAAAGCTTCCTTCAATTTGCGGGGAAGAAAACAATACGGGGAACAAAAGACAGAGATGGTTAAAAATCCCACTGTCATGTTTTAGCTTCAGTTTCTTGATGAACTCCAAAACTTACAATGTTACTTTCTTTCTCTGGCGATTATCAGGAACAGAGTATTATGGCGCATATGGGCATTGACTCAGGAACCACTAACATTTTTGATGAAGTAGACAAGAGTGACTTTAAAACTGACTTTGGTTCGGAATTTCCAGTAGGTTCAATCTTTGATTCTTATTGACAATTAAGAATTAACCCGTTCCCATCCCAGCCTGTCTCGATCCTTCTGTGTTCTCAGAATGACTTGCACATTTGTGATATGTAATCTTGCCATATTCTTCCTTTGGTACAATTATCATCTGACACAATTGGGTCATCCTCAGTTTTGGTTGCATGGCCTACTCTGTAAATTGGAACACTCCTGTCCTCCTGGTTGGCTAACTTTTTTGTTCATTTTGAGCTCATCATCATCTCATTAATGCGTGAATGTAGCTTCACGATGACAGTCCATGTTGATTTGCTATGTATATGTTCAGCTTCTATATAATAGCTTTGGTGGCTTTGGGCCTATTATGCATTCTTCTACTTTATTTCAATATAATTATAATGTGTTCTTTCTCATGAATCACAATATATAACTTTAAAAAAAAATTGTTTGGAGTACAGACCAAAACCTTTATGTCTATTATTCATTAGTCTTACTAGTTTATTATTATGTATATGTTTCTGTACGAAATGTAGCCCTACGAGGAAAACACTTACCCATAATTCTGCTTTTATCTTTAGCTTTCCAGGTAGTGTAGACACATTTCTTATGTGTGTGGTTGTCATTTTCTCATCTACAAAATGGAGGGTGATGCTCACAGATTCGTACTGATCTGAATATGAATTTTGTGGAAATTAACACAATTTCTTCATATTTTTTTGCTAAGTGGTTAAGTAGGAAAAGGTGTATAAGTGTCTTATGTGTGTGTTTTGGTATGTAGCACTGTGGTTTGGTTTTGCTGGCTTTCATTTACAATCTCCAACATTTGTTTTACATGACTTAGATTTTTTCTCCTATGCCTGGAGAATCCTGTGAGAATGCCAACACTTCGTTGGGCAGAAGAATGTCAGTTAATTGTGAGAAGTTGGTGAAGAGGGAAAAGCCAAGGGAATTAATTTTTCCATCTAATTATGACCTCCTTCGCCACTTACAGTATGCAACACATTTTCCTATACCTCTGGTAAGTCATTGCTTCAGTTAATCTATACCCTGATTATTTTATTATAAGATCAATAACTGTTGAACGTCAGATTATTCAACTGTATTCTTGACTAATAATGATAGCAGGTGAGTTTTTTGCATTTGCTCCTGCTTCTGTTCTAATTCTGATCTTAAGCTTATGTACTGAGGTTGTCCGAATTTGTAGTGATATTAGTGGCTAATTAGATTTAGAAAATGAAATTTTCTATGTTAGTATCCTTTTATTAAAGAGCATTTGAGTCACTGCAGGTGATGTCTAAATGTGTTTTTTTTCTTTTCTTTTTTTTTTTTTTTTTGAGACGGAGTTTCATTCCTGTTGCCCAGGCTGGAGTACAGTGGCACGATCTTGACTCACCACAACCTCTGCCTCCCAGGTTCAAGTGATTCTTTTGCCTCAGCCTCCCGAGTAGCTGGGATTACAGGCACCTGCCACCACGCCTGGCTAATTTTTTGTCTTTTTAGTAGAGACAGGTTTTCACCATTTTGGGCAGGCTGGTCTCGAACTCCTGACCTCAGGTGATCCGTCCGCCTAGGCCTCTCAGAGTGCTGGGATTACAGGCGTGAGCCACCGTGCCAGGCGTAAATGTGTTCTAATTTGAAAGTAAATTTGCTGAGTAGCTTTTATGTGCACTGTATTATGGTAGGTACTTCTAGTCAGTAAGAGTTTTGAGGCATAGGAAAGACGGGAGACAAATGTCAGCAAGAATTTTGAGGCATAGGAAAGACAGGAGACAAACATCTATAAATGGCAAGCCCTCAAATACATGCAATAATTGAGTAAAAACACAAATTCTTACTGGAAGGTGAGCCAGTTGACATTTCTGGGCCCCTTCCACTCTCAAAGAATGAGTATTGGAGAGAACAAGAGTATTTTAGTTGAAAAATTGGGTAAGACTTCATAGAGGCTTGTACAAGATAGGCTCAGATTTGGACTGGTTGAATTTAAGAATTGTATAGCAAATGGGAAATGCTTGGCAGGAAATTTACCATTTGACTCTTAGCAAAGTGATGTGCTTTATTCTAAAGTGTAACAAAATTGGTTTCTTAATATTAGAAATAAAAATTGGGTCAAAATTTGAAATAAAAAGTTTATTCTTGGCTTCACTAACTTTTTTTCTGGATTTTTATTTTAAGTACAATTTCAGGGAGTCATTTTTTTCATTGGGTGTTACTTTTACATATAAAAAGCATAATTGGGCCGGGCGCGGTGGCTCATGCCTGTAATCCCAGCACTTTGGGAGGCCGAGGTGGGCGGATCACGAGGTCAGGAGATCGAGACCATCCTGGCTAACATGGTGAAACCCCGTATCTACTAAAAATACAAAAAATTAGCAGGCCTGGTGGCGGGCGCCTGTAGTCGCAGCTTCTCAGGAGGCTGAGGCAGGAGAATGGCGTGAACCCCAGAGGTGGACCTTGCAGTGAGCCGAGATCACACCACTGCACTCCAGCCTGGGCGACAGAGGGAGACTCTGTCTCAAAATAGAAAAAGTAATTGTAGATGTATTACGTTACTTTCTGGGTATCTTCTAGGAGTTTTTATCAGCAAAACAAAGTATTCTGTTAAGTTATTTATTTATTTATTTATTTTGGTATTTTGGAATATCTCCTGAAATGACTTTCAAAATTACCAAACCCATTTATTTTTTTCTTATTACAGTTAAAAGTCTCTTTTTTTGTAATTTTTCTATGTCCAGGGCCATTTCAAAACTTGTCAAATTATCAAACCCATATTTTTTTCCTTATTACAATTAATCCATTTTTTGTTAATTTTTCTATGTCCAGGGATATGTCAAAACTTGCCAAAGTTTGTTCTTATCTATCACTGCCTGAATAATATCTATGCTTTTCTACTGTTACCTATAGACATTATTCATTTATAATATAATGGAATAATCTCACAGTTTATTTAGGGGAGCAGAAAGAGTAGCCTTATATTTTAGAGATGTATCCTGAAGAATTTATAGATGAGCTATCATGATGTCTGGGATTTGTTTTTAAAATATTCTGGGTAAAAAAGGGAGACAATATTAACGTCCGGAGTTTATTTAATAGTAATATACCAATGTTAACTTCTTAGTTTCACCAAATGTACTGTGGTTCTCTTAAGTCATTTACATTAGAGAAAACTGGCTGAATGGCATATGGAACTCTCTGTACTATTTTGCAACTTCTCTGTAAATCGGAAATTACTCTAATAAAAAGTTTATTTAAAAGAAAGAATTAAGGGGGGTGATAAATTAAGCAAAGATGGCAAAATGTTGAAAGTGTTTGAAACTGGTTGAATGGTTGAGGGTTATGTGTTCCTTTCTTGGGTAAACAGAGCTTTGCATGTCTCTCTCCCAGGTGTCTGGGTGTCAGAGCTGGACACTAAGCCTCAGCTTCTTTATTCTGTTGTTCCTGTGACCTTGGTTTTACAGCCTTTCCCTGCATTTAACATTCTACTTCCTTGGAAGAAAGAGCTTAAATGATTTTCAGTGACCACATGTCATAATGAATCATGAGATAATTTAACTATAACAATTCATGAAAGAACTGCTAGACAATTGATATTGTAGGATACATTTTTTAATAGCCTTCCACCACTGGTTGCCCTAAACTCCCTGTTACCATGAGTTCAATTCAGAAGAAGCCAAAGGATATGCTAATATAACACTGACTTTAGGAATGCTACTGTCTGTTTTTTTTCCCTTAATAAAAAGAGAAAATCTGACTAGCTTCTCATTGCATGTGAGGAGACTATAAAAATATGGTTAAGAAAAGTGTTTTCCATGTCCCCATCTGTCATATGGGGCCCTACTAAATGAAGACCAAAGAGAAGAGGACTAAAGGGGGCTTGACCAAAGATTCAGAAAAACAGTTTCATGATGCTATTCTGTGAATAATACTTGATCTGCCCATTAGTGAACCATGTTTCCTAGACTACCAGCAAACACAGGTTCTAGTGGATAGGCATTCTACAGCCTGCAACTGAGGTAAGTCATTTACACTGTGTCAGATGTGTGAGGCTGCTGGAGTTTCTGTCATTACCATTAGCTAGCTAGAATTGTATAGCATTATCTTGTTGTATGTTTTGTAATAGGCACTTCATGCATTTTCTCATTTATTATTCACTGCAGAGTCAGAATATTTTTATGGAATTGTAGATAGGATTTTCAAGCTTTAGAAAATAATTTGTGAAATGCAAAAATGAGTTTGGAATCAAACTTGTTTTCCTAGCTTTCAGGAACACCATTTCTTAATCATTGCAGCTAATGCAAATGGATTTACCAGCGGTTTTTATATGGGCTTATTTTACTAATGAAATAAAAAACACAAAGTCATCATGTATGCTTATCTAAATTTTTCCAATATTCTTTTTCCTAATAAGTCTTTTATTTAATGCTGTGTATTCTTTCTGCATCACCAGCAGTGGAGAGAATTTGATCAGAGTTGTGACTCTGAGAGCTGGAGTCAGCTTATACTTTATTGTTATTTATTTATTTACTTATTTATTTGAGACAGAGTCTCGCTCTTTTTGCCCAGGCCGGAGTGCAGTGGCGCAGTCTCAGCTCACTGCAACCTCTGCCTCCCAGGTTCAAATGATTCTCCTGCCTCAGCCTCCTAAGTCGCTGAGATTACAGGCGTGCACTATCACAGCAGGCTAAATTTTGTATTTTTAGTACAGAGGGGGTTTCATCATGTGGGCCAGGCTAATCTCTAACCCTTGACCTGAGATCTGCCCACCTCAGCCTCCCAAAGTGTGTGAGCCACCACGCCCGGCTGGAGTCACCTATACTTTAAACTGGGGCCCTACGTGGAGTCAGGCTCATCTTTCTGGACCTGGGTGGCACTGAGTAGCTCGGCCTGTGCTACATTCCTAACACGGCCTTGCTATGCGAAGTCAGTGTATCTGTTTTATAAAGACCATCTGACTGGTGCTGTTTTACCATTGATGTGCTATCGATGTGATTTTCTAGTTCCAAAACACTAGTTTCAGTAGTTAGTATAACTTAACAACTCCCTCTGAAATGTTACAGGGCCTCTGTGTTTCATGTTACTTCAAAATAGAAATGAGAAGTCACTAAATGTATTATTACTAACATCAGGAAGCCTTTATTATAACCTACAGGTAGAATATAATTACAAATAATACATTAAAGATTGTCTATATTTTTCAAGCCTTTTTATAAATAAAAGCTTTTGGTTATTGTGTTAGAAAAAAATTCGACATTAAAAATTGGAGGAATAATGAGTTGAAAGATTACCATCTTTTGAAGTGATAGATTAGAAATAAAATAGGCACAAGTTGTTATATGTAAGCTGCATTTTTTAAAAGTAATCTGAAAGGCTTTAAAATTATGTTGCTGGTGGGCTTTCTGGTAACTTACATGGAAATTATTTTTTATATTTTTATCAAGAAGTCAGTTCCAGGCATTTAAATGAATAACTCATGAATACCTTTGGGTCTATGTCATGGACCTCTTTTGGATTTCAAGGATATTGCAGGATTTTACATTCGTTCAATGAGACTCTTTAGTTTTTTGTACAAATATTTGGGTTAATGAGTAGCAGCAAGCCTAACAATAAAGCTTGACTTGCATTTAGAAACAGGATTTCTAAGTAAACCTGTCCATATTTGCTAGCTAACTGTATTTTTTCATACTGAGTTTTTTTTTGTTTTTTTTTTTTTTATCTTTCAAAGCTATAATTAACTTTATGGTCCAGTAAGGCCAGAATTGGTAGCACAAAAAATCCTGTCTTTTATGCATTATTTTCACATCTTAATTTTTCTTTCTGAGCCTTGGTCTCTTTAGGTGAGGCAAAAGTCTCAGTGACCTTTGAGCGGAATGCTTTTGAGAGGTGATAGTACAGGATAGGATCAAAGCACAGGTTCGACACAGCCAGGAGCAGTGTAGCCTCTTTGGCTTTGAAGAGTGAAATCCTGGTTGAGCAATCAGTTATGACTTCTGTCTGGCTGAGGGTATACGGGATTCGGACAATGTGGTAAGGAACAAAGCATATGATGTAGCCCGTGGTCACTAAAAGTATGTTGATGAGAGCCTTTTTCACATTTGGGTAATTTTCATTATCTTTGTTTCTGTAGAGCTGTCGAATTACAAGGCAATTGGATATTAAAATGATGGCTGAGAAATTTAAAAATATTGCTACACATATGAAATTTGTCAGCAAATGCCAATTTCTTCCAAATTCCTTTTTAAACTCCATACAACCCACATTTGACTTTTCCTTGATGTCTTTGATGGGAATCATCATATTTGGCACCATTATAAGAAGGACCATTAGCCACACAACGGTTGATATCATTTTGGCAAATCCGGGTTCTTGTATTCGGTAGATCTTGCAGCTGTGTGTCAGCTGAAGACAGCGGTCAATGCTGACAAATGCTAAGAAGATAATTGATAAATACATATTGATATAGATGAGGCAGGCTGTTACTTGGCAGTGGAATATCTTCAGCTTCCAAGGTGCCACACCCAAGTCAACAACAATTTTCACTGGTAATGCCAGAGTAAGCAGGAAATCGGCTGTAAGCAAATTAATTAAGTAGATGCTCACACACCTGTGATTCGTATTCTTCTGTATAAAAGCCCAGGTTGCAAAACAACTTCCAATAATTCCAACAAGGAAAACTAAATAAAAAAAATACGTGAATGGCTCCAGATCTTTATAAACTGGGCAGAAGAACGAACTGTTTGTCATCTTGAGGGAAAGTAAGGATGACTGCTTATTGAAAAGAAAAAATTTCTAAGACTCTGTAAAAGAAACAAGGAAAGGGAGGTTAGTAATTAAAATTAGCAACTATTTTCTTTAAAAGACATTGGTCTTCACAATACCGTTGTCTTTCCAGTTCTTAGAATTTTATTGGTGAACTTACCAGACCATATGGCCTGGTGAGAACATACTAGATTGTGAAGATGCCTGGGTTTTCCATTGTCTGATTTTGTGACTTTCAGGAAATCCCATGCAGGTTTGCTTTTGGTAGGGATATTTTCAACCTCAGGTTTTTCCATTCTGGTAGTTCTTGTTACCAGTTGGGTTGGAAGTTAGTTTGCAGAGGAGATAAGTGAACCGAGATTCTGAGAAGTAGAGAGAGGAAACTAGGGTTGTGGTTGAGCATGAAGAGCTTTCAATGAGGCCTTCTGGTTTTTTTCTTGTTTTAGTTTTTTGTTTTCCATAGATTCATGTGGCTCCTAAGGCTGGGAGAACCCAGGCTGACAGGGGAAGTAAGGAGTTGATGGAAAATCTCCAGCCTGGTCGCAAGAGTCTGTCTCAAAAACAAACAGAAAAAAACCAAAAAAACAAACAAAAAAACCCACAACTACCAGAACATGGATGTATGTTCATTGGTTACAAAATCCTTGGAGAAAGATTTATTTATATTAGTATCAAAACATCTGACTTCAACACTTGAGTCGCTTTTTTTTTCTTTCATTGTGGGTTTTGAAGCAGTTAAAAGCCCAGAAGCATAAGACATACCCTTAGAACTACTGTGATCACCACTGATAATGACAATGAAGTCTTGTCATGTCCCTCCCAAATCTGGAACATTGAGCGGGTTTGTAAGCTCAAGTTAAACTGATAGGGCTCCCTTTGACCTGGTCTATTCAAACTCACATGCTTAGAGCTAAGGGTACATTAGTAATCTTTCTGGTGCTGCCTGTTGGTGTGGGTCCCCCTTTTGCACATTAAACAGTGTTCTTTTGTTTTAAAGACCTGAAGATTATTTTTGTATTTTAGCAAGGAAACATTTTATATTATAATACAACCTTTTTAAAAGAAGCAAATATAAGTTATAGTGACCAACATTGAAGGCCAGATCAGCTACTCTGTAAGTGCCTTTTAATAAGAGAATAAAACTTCTGACATCTTTCTAAATTTTAATTTCCCCAATTAATTAATGATCCTTTGTGTGCATTTGTAATGAAACAATGTATGCAAACAGATGAATAAGGCAGATGTACACAAAGCTTTCTAAATTCAAGTGCTGCTTAAAGGCTACATGCCCTTTCTCTTTCCCTACCTGAGTTAGCACGTTAGAGTCCATGAATAATGTCATTCTTTACCAAACTCGATGAAAATAATTAAGCAGTTGGTTTGTATCTGGCACTATGCCAAATACTTTACATGTACTTATTTAACTTCTTATCATTTCCATAAGCTAGGTGTTGTTATTGTCCCTGCTTTACAGATGAGGAAATTGAGGCATAATGGGGTTACTTACCCAAGGTTGTGTAGCTGGTAAGATATAAAGCCAGGATTCCAGCTCAGTCAGTCTGATCTCAGAATCACATTCAAAACCACTCCAAAACACTGCCTCAGTAACAATAGTAAGATGATGATAGAAATGATAATGATTATTATTATATCTGCCAGTCTTTACTAAGGGCTTACTGTGTGGGCAGGAACTATGTTCTAAACAATTTTTATGTAATAAAGCTGAAATAAACTATTTTTAACTTTTTACCAAAATACTAAGAATATAAGTTTAGGCTTTTCGTATATTTTGCTGTTCTATGCATACAACCACGTGCACACACTCTCTCTCTCTCTCTCTCTCTCACACGCACATTTAAAAACAAAACCTAGGCCCATCCAATAAGTTTAAACCAACTTTGCTCTCAAAGCTTCCATAACCTAGTTTCTCTCTACCATCTCTACTTACATCCCAGATTAAGATTGGGATTGGTGGGGTCTCTATTATTCTGTGTACAGTTCCTTCCTGCCTTTATACTTTTGCATGTGATAGAAATTTTGGAGTCATAGGATTTTAAGGATGGATGGAAACTTTATCGATAGCCTGTAGTCTAATCCCCAAGTCAGTTGAGGAGATTGAGGGCTGGCACTGGTGTGTTCCTCAAGCTTTCACAGCATGTTCAGGCAGGACTAAGATCTGTTCTTATTGGTCATCTTCTAAGCGCTCTGCATTTATCCTTACTATTCCTGAATCCTGCTTATTCCAGAGCTTTAAGGAAGCTCCTCACATCTGAAAGCTACTCCAGGCTTTACCGATGTCCTTGGCGACCATGAATTTGGATAGTTACCATTTGTACCTTGGAATTTTGAACATACTTTTCTTCTTTATGTGAAAAACTAGTATTCGTGTGCATTGATATAGTGTCACATCTTTGCTTATTGTTACTTTCTAAGGCCCTAGGATTTTGGCTTACGCACTTCTATTTCAAATATTACATAATAATGGTAACATAATGTGTTTCTTTAAGTGCTCCATTGCTTGCACAACTATAAAATAAGTCTGTTGTATCAATGAGACGTATATGGTAAAGAGAAGAATTAGAGTAATTTATTTTGATTAATTTTCTCTGTAGCTAGAACTGACGATATATACCGTACATGAATAATTTATCTGAAATGAATAATCATTCAGTAATTCTCAAGAATCATGGAGCATCTCACATTTCTCACATTTGTGTTTGTGAACTTTTGTCTAAATTGCAGTGAGAAACAAATCTGTTTATTTAAAATTTTTGCTTATGTAAATTAGAGGTTAAAATATTGTATAATAACATCCTGTGTTCTGTGTCACAAGTTTGAGAACTAAGTGCTTAATAAATATTTTACCAGACAGTTACTTACCAGTGAAAATGTGAGATACTCAGAAGTAGTGCAGCAACAACAATACAAGATTTTAACTGTCTCTGTAGTTTGGATAGAGTGCCCATTGCTTAGAAAATAAATAAACTGGCTGGGCACAGTGGCTCACGCCTGTAATCCCAGCACTTTGGGAGGCTGAGGCGGGTGGATCACTTGAGGTCAAGAGTTCGAGACCAGCCTGGCCAACATGGTGAAATCCTGTCTCTACTAAAAATACAAAAATTAGCCAACGCGGTGGCGGGCACCTGTAATCCCAGCTACTCGGGAGGCTGAGGCAGGAGAATTGTTTGAACCCGGGATGTGGAGGTTGAAGTGAGCTGAGATCGCACCACTGCACTCCAGCCTGGGTGAAAAAGCGAGACTCCTCAAAAACAAAACAAAACAAAAACAAAATAAAAGCTTATTAGATTTTCTATGGGAATCACAGTGGAATCTTCTTGAAATCACCTATTGTAATGTTTGTAGAGGAAAGTCATCTTAAGGCCTGTTGTTCCCTGTTGTGAAGATCTACAACATGGCCTCTATCCACCCAGTTATAAGATTGAGTTACTGAATAGTTATGCTCGCTCAGGTATTCAGTCTGGTGTCAATTATCCTGTCTTTTGGAGACAGATGAATGGGTTCATCAGATATAAGAAAATTATAGTGTCATTCACAGCTAGGACCTATTTAGAGTTTAAAAATTGATGCTTTTTTTTTATACAGCTTGGCTTTTTCTACTTATAAGCCTTAAATACTGAAAAATCACAATTTTGTTTTCCACGGAAAAGCATTTGAATATATTAAGTGTTTAAAAAGACATACCTGGGGCTATCTTCTGTGAGCCTCAGCAAGCCTTGCTGCAAGTCTTCAGAGAAGCATGAGCTGTTTGGTTAGCCGCAGCAGTAGCAACCCCATTGCAGGCTGCTGGCTTTACTAAAAATTTCCTTTCCTTTTTGTGTGGTTTTAAAATGTTGCATATTGACGTAGATGAAACTGTGGTTTGCAAGTAGTTTAACTTTATGAAAGTCTCCTAAAGAAGTTTTTTTAATGTATACAATTTCATGTATGCTTTCTTAAGCAATTTATTTGTCATATTTTTTAGAGAAAAGATCTTCATTTAGTACCTAGCCTTTTTTTTTTTTTAAAGTATCCAAGGTATGTTTTGTGTCATAATGATTTCAAAGAATATCACTCTTCATGCCTTGATGGGGATTAATAATTAAAGATATAAGGTGTTTAAGCAAATATTTTTTCAGTATATATAGTAACACAGCATTTCAAAGTTAAAATTTAAAAAATAGTTGCAGTTTTTATTCCTGCTGAGACACCTATTATTAAAAAAAGAAGTAAACAAAAAGATGTGTTTTACAGAGTCAGCTAATGTATACATTTTATTTATCTTATTTTATGTTCATTATAGAAAAATCTGGAAATAGAAATAAAAAAGGAACATCATTATGCAGAGAGATAATTACTGTTAATATTTTTGGTACATAAGTTTTAAATTTTTTCTATGCTTATGTATTTCCACTTAGATGTTATTCATACTATTTTATAGTTTATAATTTTTCATTGAAGAATATATTATATATTCAATTTATGAGATTAGACTTGTAATAAGTATTTGTCTGTTTGACTCAAACAGCCTGATGAATTGGAATAGTATTTAGTAATTAATAGATTGTGTGTAAAGGAACCCTACAGTGTGTATTTAAGTTGTTTGGTTAAATGTTCATTGTGTCTGTGGCAGAACTAACTGAATGTTTGAAAGAAGCCTAGCATGCTGGGGGACCTAACAAACATATTTTCAAGAGTTCTGAATTTTCTGGTTCAAAGTTGATGTGTTAATGCAAAGCCATTGCCTGGTTATTTAGGGTCTGGTTTCTTCTAATGCTTCATTGGCTTGGTAGGTGCTTTGGTTTCTTTTAATAATACTTGGTCAGTTTTCTGGATAAGAAAAAAGAAGATACCTTTCCAGGATCTAAAATTAATCTCTTGGTATTAGTTTTTAAAAAGAAAAATGTCTCAAAAGATGAAATGAGAAGTATCTAGCTAGGGAGAATTTAGGGAAAGTCTAAGGAGACTTTTGAAAAAAATGTAAAGATGCTTATGATGATATTGGTCACGTCTCAGGTATTCTGACATTCTCCCAAATTCATATAATTATTATTTTTGCCAGTGAAGACCATAAATTATAAACTAGGAGGGAAAAAGCAAATGTTTCTCAAACATTTTATGTTAAGAACCACTGTGAACTTCATCATCATAGTGCTAGGAAAGGATCTTTCTTTTAAGATATGTATGCTTCAACATTGTACAGGACTCACTGAAGAACATACTTGTAGAAAAGATATATTTGCAGACAAGTAAGTGAGAAGTGATCAGGGTTTACATCCACTGGAGGGTAGAGGAGATGAAAGGGAGAGAATTTAGAGATGAGTGGAGTTGACTGCAAACAGTGGTGAATGATTTTACCATGGCATGGAGAAAAACTGGGATGAAAGATTTTTGACAGTTTCTGTTTTGCTTTTTTTAGTTAGGTCTCTTTATATGTTTACTTCCTCGGTTCACTTTAAGGTTGTAGACACAATTGAAAAGTACAAACAATTGTACTTAAAAATCTACCCAGACCACAGTTTCTGTGTCTGGATTGCCAAATGTGAAAGCACTGAAGTGCCCTTGTTCTCAGAGTTCTATTTAATTTTTAGAATAGTGAGAATTAATCTTTTAATAGATGAATCATATTCCTCCTTCTGAGAATGAGCTTAGGCAACCTGGCTTTGTGTGGAAGTTTATTCACAGTGGAAATACATGTAGTTTTCATTTTTTAATACTAGTTTCATTTGATTTTCTATAAGCCACTTTTTTCTATCTGTTTCACTGAGGACAAGTGTTTGTGACTGTACTTAGTGTTCCGGGAAGTTGCATGTCATCACTAATACACACCCAAGCGGGAAGAAGTGAGGTGAAGTTATTTTTCCCTTACCTTGGTCATGGCAGTACTTTTTGTTAAAGAAATAATCTATTCATTACTTATGAATATTTCATGGATATTTTGTATGTGTAAAATAAAAATTAAAGCTAAATTGTCCACCAAGTTATGAATTGAGAAAGAAAATATTTTCTGTGGTCAACTCTCCTATCCATACAAAACGTGCTTTTGATTTTATTGAACACAAATACCAAACAACGGTATTTCAGTAGAAATACTTGCTTTGAATATTTAGCGTTTTTAAAATGTGCTTTTTCGGCATAGCATGGAAGCCATTTGGAACTAATGAGGAAGGGGAAAG